>NC_000018.10:69537528-70787528 GCF_000001405.40 Homo sapiens
TTATTTAACTGATTGAATTGCATTTAGCAATCTATACACTCAACTAATTATTGAGCACTTATTATGAGAAAGACATATTGAGGAGAGCTGGATTATTCCTTTGTTTCTAGACGAGTTGGTGAATTTTACACAAATATGCAAACTTCTACTTCAGTTCCAATTTTAAGGTTTTGAATAAGGAATCATTTATGATCTTTGCCTAGCAAACATATTTCAAAGGTATCATCAATAGGTACCTGGCCAAAATTCCAGTAAAATCTCTTTTTCAGAGGACATTCTTTCTGTTTTTATATGATTTTTATAACACTATGTCTTAAAAGTATATTGACATAACAGTCCAACATGTCTAAGATGTATCAGAAATATGGTTTCCAGTAAAAATAAGCTCCTTAGAAAGCTTTTAGTATTGCTGTTCTTTTCTAGAAGAATGATTGAAGGATTTTTAAAAAGGACTTGTATCCAAGCAGAGATTTAAAATAAAACTGTCATGTTCAATTTGATGCTTTATGATTGTGACATGCAAAAAATATTGTAAAGTTACAGGGCTATCATTATTTTATTGAAATCTAAGGTAAATAGGCTCTTTTCTCATGTATCTATCTTCTTGTTCAGAACAACTGCATTTTGAGAATAGAAATGTTATGCTGAAATATGAGAACTTACATGAAAGGTAAATATGAAAAGAGTGAGAAGAAAAATAAGTCTTAGAGCAAGCCCTGTAGTATTTTGAATACTAGGGAGACCGCTTGAGGTCTAAATTTTAGTGTCTTTTTTTAAAGCATGCTATTCATTGTTAATATTTTTTTCCAATAAGAATAATTTAAAAGTTTGGGTGCCTTAGATGATCCATTTCTCCTTTTTTTTTCCCCTCTGAGACAGGGTCTTGCTCTGTTACCCGGGCTGGAGTGCAGTGATGTGAACACAACTCCCTGCAGCCTTGACCTCCTGGGCTCAAGCGATCCTCTACCTCAGCCTCCAAAGTAGCTGGGACTACAGGCATCCACCACCATGCCCAGCTAACTTTTGCATTTTTGGTAGAGATAGGAGTCTCACTATATTGCCCATGCTGGCCTCCAACTCCTAGGCTCAAGCAATCTGAGCATCTAGGCCTCCCAAAGTGCTACTATCACAGCTGTGAGCTACCGCCTCCATTTCTCTTTACTACACCAACCTTTCTATTCCCACTGCCTTGCTCACCAGGATATTTCCTCTCTAGTTACTCTGGTCACCTCTCTGATTGTCTTCCTGAGAATCTCATCCCTTCATTTCCCTTTAAATGTCAACCTTCCTCCTCCTCCCTTCTTCTTGGATCCCTTTTTCCTCTCCAGCCTTCCCTGCAAATACTGCCCTTGATCCTCCTAGGCTATTGGATGGTTTATCTAAGTCTCAGTTGCTCTCTGTTTCTTCATCTGTAACGTGGAAATAATAGGAGTAGCTTTCACACAGAGCAGATGTGAGAATTGAGGGACAGAGTGCTTGGATATGCTCTTTCAAACATAAACAGAAGTCGTGTAATGAGTATCAGCTGTTATTATAATAGAAGCAAGGTCAACTAAGAGACATCCCTGCCTTAGGCTTTTTCTTATCAAACTACACTACAGCACCAGAGTTAACCATCCTGAAATACAAACATGATCATGAATTCTTCATTGGTTGTCAATATAAATTTAAAAAAACAACACCTCACATACCTCTGTCAAGCATTTAATCTGTCGTTCATCAAATTTAGTATTTATTACCAGATAGGCAAATCACTAGCACATGATTCGTGAATTGCGAAGTTTGTCTCCTTTCATTTTGGTAGATTCTGCCCCTGAATTCTGTAGTGGAAACTTATTTTTCTTAAATTCATTTTTTTGTAGTTCTAGAGTTTTTTTGTGAAGATAAAAAAAAGTGACCATACATTTTTAATTATTTTTCTTTCTCATACAAAAACAGCTTTTTTTTTTTTTTTCCACATATAGTGATCCTCCTGCCTTAGCCTCCAAAGTAGCTGGGACTACAGGCACAGGGACTCCAGGATATACGTATATATCCTCCAGGAGATACATATGTATCCTGGATAGATTGTCATGTCAGCATATAGAAAGCTTTCTTATTCCAGTAAGTGCATGTACCATTGTTTATTTAATAAATTCATTATTAATGGCTAATTTTATTTTGCAGGTTTTGCTATATGAACAATTCTATAATACAGAACTTATGCACGTAACATTGTTATGGATGCAGATGTATCTAAGATGTACATTTTAGAATGTGGGAATGATGGTTCAAAGTCACATGTATGCAATTTTGATATATATATTTTTCAAATGAAATATGTATTAGTTTGTTCTCTCAGTACTATAAATAAATACCCGGGACTGGGAAAGAGGTATAATTGACACAATTCTGCATGGCTGGGGAGACCTCAGGAAATTTACAATCATGGCAGTAGGTGAAGGGGAAGGAGGCAGCATCTTTCACAAGGCGGCAGGAGGGAGAAAGAATGCATGTGTTGGAGGAACTGTCAAATGCTGTCAAATGCTTATAAAACCATCATGTCTCCTGAGAACAGCATGGGGGAAACTGCCCCCAGGATCCAATCACCTCCCACCAGGGCCTGCCATCAACATGTGGGGATTATGGGGATTACAGTTCAAGATGAGATTTGGGTGGGAACACAGAACCTAACCATATCAATGTTTGTTATACTTCCTGCATTGATTAGAGATGCCACCTTTATCATCATATCCTCTTTCTAGATTTTCTTTGCTTTCCTATTCTGATTACTCATCTGCCATTGCCATACTGTTTTAATTATTGAGGCATTATGTTTTAATATATATTTGGTCTCCCCCACCATTGTATTTATTTTTCTGAGTTTTACTGGCTATTTCTTATTTTACCACAAGTTAAATAATGTGTCTAGTTCCCAGGGACTGATTTACTATTCATTGCAATCAAAATTTAACTAATATGGGAGAATTTACCATTTGTCCACAATCTTGGTGGATCCTTGTATTAAGTCATAATCTATTTCCTCCATAAATGCCTTCTAATGACCCTTTGGTGGGTTTCAACATTCTCTTAAGTGTATTTCTCGACGTCTTCACATTTATGTGGCCATTGTAAATGAAGTTTTTTCTTCCATCATAGTTTTTCAATGATTACGGTATGTATATTCAAAATTATAGACTTTTGATAATTAATTTTATTAACACTTATCTTAGTGAAATTAATTACCTTATGCTTTGTTATAGATTCAAGTTGATTCTATTGGGCTTTTAAATATATAGGCATTTCACCTAAAGTTATTTTAGCTCTTACTTTGTAATATTTCTCTCTTTCATTTCTTTCTCTTTTGTAATTGCATTGGTTAACATTTCTACTACCACACAAATCATAGTTCTGTTAAAGAATCTTTGTTGTTTTCCTCATTGGCAGAAATTCGCCATTAAGTTTAATGCTAATTCTTGCACTAATTTGAGTGGGGGAGGAAGAAAAGAGTGTGTATGTTATCCTACTAGCATATATTATAATACATAAAATGCATATCATAACACTTTTCTGAACCTACTTACTAGTATGTTTAATTGTTCCTTTGTTTCCCCAAACTGTTTGCTCCTTGAAGGCAACTATGAGTTTTATTTTACCCAAATATAACTATGATGTTCCCCCATTGTCAACATGTACTTACTGTATAATTAGAATTGTAAGTTAAGCCACTAAAATTGCAGACTACTGTAATTTGCTCTCATGCTCTGGAATAATTCCTAAGTAGAAATATGTACTTGCTTGTGATGGGGAAATTGATGCCTTATTCATAATGGCTTAATATATAAGCCTTAAAGCAAGGAAGCAGCAGTGGGTGGGATCTGTGCATTGATGATGTATGTATATTATCCACAAAGACTGAGTGCATTATTATATATTTTAAAAACCCAACCATTTCCAATCATTTATGAGAGATATTTTATTGGAGATAGGTATGAAAGTGTTATTAATGTATATAATTGCATGTATCTAGGTTTGAAATAATCGATACTGGTCCTTTATTAATCTTAGGCATGAGTTTATGCCTTCCATGAATATATACTGAGCCATGAAGGGAATACATTGTGCCAGAAGCTGTTTGACATACAAAGTTTTACCTTCCACAACCATGCACTCTCACAGGAGAAATGAAACTTCTATATGCTGATTTACAAAAACAGAAGAGTATGATAATGGTCATGTTTGTGGCAAATAGAGCATAGGAGAATGGAACCTGTAGGCATTACAATGAACAGGAAAGCTTGATTTGCCAAACAATTCCTTCCTTGAAAACTCTGTATTGATAGGAAAAAGTAATCAATTTGGCCAGATGTCAGGATACCTGGAAAGCACAAAGAAAGAGAGCTATCTGTGACAGACTCTGTCTCATAAATAAGTAAATAAATAATTTTAAAAAGAAAGGGAGTTGACAAGTAGTTGTGAGTCCCTAGAGCTTAGTTTGAGTAAAAAGAAGTGGAAGTTAGTCTGAAAAGGCAGAATGGAGATGGTGTGGATGGCCTTGTGTGTGGGATTTAGGCAGTTAGAATTTACCTGCTAGACAACTGGATGCTCTCAAAGGTGCCATGAAATTACAAAAGCATTAGTATGATTATTTTTATTGTGGTTTATAGAACAGTTTGGAGAAGAAGAGAAGGATTAAATAGGAAACCAACTTAGCAAACTTAACAATAATTTAGTATTATGCCAAACTTTAAGCTACTTCGCTTTTCTGCCTGACCGACCCATTTTGTAAGCAGGAATAATGATATTGCCTGCCTTGATGGATTTGGGTGTGGCTTAAACTATGTTAATGTTTGTAAGTCACTTTACAATGGTGGGAAACAGAAGAAATTAAGATGTTAGTTATTATTACTGAAAGTCAAGATTGTTGCTGCTACCCTATGAAAGTGATGACCAAAATGTTGACCCAAGAGAAAAAGATAAGTTAAGCCATAAAATTAAAATAATATTAAAACAAATCTAGAACCCCTCCAAGTCCAGTTACGTAGCGCTACACGAAAAGCTGGTACATTTTACACAGCAGCTAACATTAAATTTAGGAGAACAATAAAAATGAAAATATAAAGTAGGAAAGAAACACCATGTACTTTTTGCAGTTTCAGAGATTGATTTTTTTTTCTGAGTAAAAACGCTTGCTTAAGACGTTTCATTTCAAGGGAGCTTTGTACATTTGAAATCAGTCATTCTTGAAGTTATTTCTTCCATGGGCTTTCGAGCCTCTGAAGCTTTCATGACTCGTTCATGCAATGAGGTGAAAAGCTTCTGTTCATACACCGAGCGTGGATTAGTTCCTAAGGCTGCAAGGTGCCATGGTCTCAAACATCATTTAGTTGAGATCTTGACATTTCTTTTACTTTTGATTTTAAAACATACTTATTATTGCAGTCGATTTGTCTTCTTCTAATGAAAGGATAGAAAGATTGTCCAAAGGGGTATTTTCAAAGGAGTCTGCTTTGGGACAAAAATCTATTGATAACTAAGTACATGAAGTAGAGGGTTCTTCACTGGTTTAATCCCAAGCAGACCCCGTAATGGCCTTAGATTCCTTAGGTCTTAGAAGGAGGAAAGTAAGTTGTAAACCCTTTTTCTTTCTTTACACTCCTTTCAATTTACTTTTATTTTCGGCTGTCACTTGGGCTTTCAGACATGAAAAATTGCAACTGTGCTGAAATTTTCAGTGTGCCAGAATAAATGGTGATTCTCCTTCATGACTGGTTTCCAGTTTGAGAACAAGGACTTTCTTTTAGGGAGTTTGGATACACTTCACTCTCAGGCAGGTGAACAGAGAACAAGTGAGAAGCGATAAGTATGAGGAAAGATAGAGAAGACCTTTCCCACACAAAGGTGACTTCACAAAGAAACAAGGATGAAGGAAACAGACAAACATATACAACCTCTCATTTCAACTACATCTCTATTTTCTCCATTCTTTTTTTCCCCCAAGTCCAAGTTCTCATTCTTGAAGAAAGCCAACCTGTTTTCCTTGGTGGTGTAAGTTTTCCCAACTTTTAAACCAATACATTAATATCTTGCTTAAGGCTCAAGTGTATAATGTATGAGGGAGTATAATTTTGTAATTCTAAATCCAAGCCCTGAAGCTAGACTTTCAGGGCTTGATTTTTGTATCTCCGTTACTACCTTTTAAAAAAATATTTCTGCACCTTGATTTCTTCATGTGAAACAAAATGATAATAATGTAGCCTAATTATGTTGTTTTGTGGATGAGATTAATTTCAAAGACAACAAAGAACAAATGATAAGGGAAAACATTATAAAGCATGTACATTTTTAAAATAAGGGAATTTCAGGTAAGAAATAATGCAAGCAAAGAAATGGAAGCAAATATATTGAAGGGGTAATGATGACTAAACCAGTCCAATTTGAGGAAAGGATTTAATAGAGAAAGGGACAAATGTTCCACATGATTTTGGGGTTAGTTCATGACAGTTCTTGCGGGGCTGAGGTGGGTGGATCAGGAGGTCAGGAGTTTGAGACCAGCCTGGCCAACATAGTGAAACCCTGTCTCTACTAAAAAAAAAAAAAATCAGCCAGGTGTGGTGGCGTGCATCTGTAATCACAGCTATGTGGGAGGCTGAGGCAGGAGAATCACTTGAACCCTGGAGGTAAAGGTTGCAGTGAGCTGAGATCGAGCCATTGCACTCCAGCCTGGGTGACAGGGCAAGACTCCATCTCAGAAAAACAAAACAAAACAAAAAAACTTGTCCAGAAACTCAGTGCTGTAGATATCAATGTTATATTATCCATGCGTTAGTGATGCTTTCATACATTTTTCAAGGGAGAAACTGTACACAAGGAATAAAAGGTAATGAGGAATGATCAAATTTAGGAAAACGAAGTTAAAAAGAGGAGTGAATGAAGAAAATAATGGGAAAGCAGTCAGTAAAGGAGGAGAACCACATAATGAAAACACTCAACAAATGTAAAACAAAAATACTGTGGTCATGAATGTCACAAGTTCCAAAATTAGCAGGAAGTGCCTATCAGAAGCATTGAGAAGTTTTAAAGAGAATATAGTTGTGCTCAGGCCACAGTTTCAAACCATACAGTTAGAACCTTCAGGAACTGGGTCTTGGCATGATCAAACCCTATGCTAACTGGATCCATAAAATAAAAACAAACTGAACTGCTCGTACATAGAAATACGGTTTTTATATATTACTGACTTTCACCTCTATGGCTGATTGATTAAAATAAAACATGAATTTCAGAAGCATAACTTTATATAGAGGCAAAAATATTTTGATTTAAAAAAAAATTACAACCCGCCAGGTGCGATGGCACACGCCTGTAATCCTAGCACTTTAGGAGGCTGAGGCGGGCGGATCACTAGGTCAGGAGCTCGAGACCATCCTGGCTAACATGGTGAAACCCCATCTCTACAAAAAATTAGCTGGGTGTAGTGGTGCACGTCTGTAATCCCAGCTACTCAGGAGGCTGAGGCAGGAGAATCACTTGAACCCGGGGGTGGAGGTTGCAGTGAGCCGAGATTGCGCCACTGCACTCCAGCCTGGGTGACAGAGCGAGACACCATAAAAAAAAAAAAATTACAACCCATGATATCAGAAAACATGGCTTTTTCCTAGAGTTCTTGAGCAAAAACAAAGGACTATTTATTCCGCATCATTTCAGTTTTGAGCTCTCTGAAAGCTGGGAACTTGAAGGGTGTAATTTTAAGTATCCTTCCAGTGTTGTGATTGTTTCCAAAAATTTCCTTCTGCTTGGGGTACTGCTGGGCAGGTGTACTCTACAACTAGTTTTCATTCTTATTGTAATGATGACAGTTTCACACTGTTGACCTAAAACTTGCTGCTGTTTAGGAAACTTCATTTCTGTCTGTAAATTTAAGCCATGTGTGTATTTTCTCCTGGTATTTCATTGATGATCTGGTAACAAAATCAGCAGAGATCACTATTTCTCTTCAGTGAAATACCAAAAAAAAAAAAAAAAAGAAAAGAAAAAACACTTGACCTCCTCAAAAATTGCCACTACTTAGAATTTTAGAACCATCATTTGCCCATTATGAATTTTACAGTTGTTTTCCTGGATTATTAATATGAAGAGAAAGCTAAATAATAGAACTGGAAAAGACTACTACATTCATTTTGGTCTTTTCCACTATACGAAATAAGATAAATTGAGATATACATATTGCTCTTTAAGCATTTTTTTCTAGTATTTCAGTATACTGTAAATAGATGGCAGTATTCACATTTTGGATTATATAATTGCAAATGATGAAATTTTTAAGCTACAAAGTTGGTAAGTACATTCTCTTATAAAAATGAGCTTATGCTCTAAAAGAAACTAAACCTAGAATTTTAAAAAGTGTTGGTCCTATGATTTATATTTAAATAGGTGTTTTATACCTGGATAGATGCATATATTCATGTATATTATTTATATAAATATGTAAACTACGTGGTGGCTTATGCCTGTAATCCTAGTACTTTGGGAGGCCAAGGCGGGCGGATCACTTAAGGTTGGGAGTTCGAGACCAGGCTAGCCAACATCGAGAAAACCCATCTCTAATAAAAATACAAAATTAGCCAGGCATGGTGGCGCATGCCTGTAATCCCAGCTACTTGGGAGGCTGAGGCAGAAGAATCGCTTGAACCTGGGAGGTCGAGGTTGCGGTGACCCGAGATCTCACCATTGCACTCCAGCTTGGACAACAAGAGCAAAACTCCGTCTCAAAAAAAAAAAAAAGTGTAAACTAAAATTGAGAAAAATAGATATACATACATATACCTGTATGCATAAATATAAATGGCTAGCACCATATACATACAATGATAGCATGTGTCTGCGTCCTCTCTTCCTGAACCTCTCACTTTCTACCTCTGCTGTTTTCAGTCATAGATTCCATAACCAGGAATGGCTAACTTTTTAAAACACTTAAATAAAACCAACCCTTCGAGCAGAGATATGAGTTCTTACAGTTTGTGGGGTACTACCTATAAAATAAATATATTTAGATTTGTAAATATTTAAGAAAATACAATCGTATTTCACAGTCCAAGTTATATGCTCTTTGCCTTTTATCACTATGGACTGCTTGGTGCCTCTTAAAACAGAGGCTGCTTTTTTATTGGTACATAATATTTTGCATATTCTTGGGGTACCTGTGATATTTTGTTACATGCATGGCATGAGTAATGATCAAGTCAGGGTATTTGGAGTAGCCATCACCTTGAGTATTTATCATTCCTATTTGTTGGGAACATTTTAAGTCCTCTCTTCTAGCTGTTTTGAACTATATCATATGTTGCTGTGTTAAGCTGTTCTTACATTACTATAAAGAAATATCCGAGACTGGGTAATTCATAAGAAGGAGGTTTAATTTGCTCACGGTTCTTCAGGCTGTACAGAAAGCATGACAGCATCTGCTTCTGGGGAGGTGTCAGGGAGCTTTGATTCATGGTGGAAGGTGAAGTGGGAGCAGACATGTTTTCACGTGGAAAAAGCAGGAACAAGAGAGATAGTTGGGTCAGGGAACGTACCCTTTTTTGTTGTTTGTTTGTTTGTTAGTTTTTTGAGACGGAGTCTCACTCTGTTGCCAGGCTGGAGTGCAGTGGTGTGATCTTGGCTCACTGCAACCTCTGCCTCCTGTGTTCAAGCAATTCTCTTGCTTCAGCCTCCTGAGTAGCTGGGATTACAGACGCGCACCACCACGCCCAGCTAATTTTTGTATTTTTAGTAGAGACTGGGTTTGACCATGTTGGCCAGACTGGTCTCGAACTCCTGACCTCGTGATCTGTCTGTCTCGGCCTCCCAAAATGCTGGGATTACAGGCATTAGCCACTGCACCCTGCCGGGCACACACTTTTAAACAACAGGATCTCAGGAGAATTCATTCACTATCACAAGGCTAGCACCAAGAGGATGTTACTAAACCATTCATGACAAATCCACCCCCATGATCCAATCACCTCCCAGCAGGCCTCACCTCCAACAGTGCGGATTACATTTTAACATGAGATTTGGAGTGGACAGTTATCCCAACTATATTAATTGCTATTAACTACAGTCACCCTACTCTGCTATCTAACGTTAGAACTTATTCCTTCTATCTAACTATATGTTTGTACTCATTACAACCAATGTCTCTTCATCCACCCTCATCCATACACCCTTCTTAGCCTCTGGTAACCATCATTCTACTCTCTCTCCATGAGATCCACTTTTCTAGCTCCCACATAGAAGTGAGAATGTGCAATATTTGTCTTTCTGTTCCTGGCTTATTTCACTCAATAGGATAACCTCCAGTTGCATCCTTGTTGCTGTAAATGACATGATTTTATTTTTATGGCTAAATAATATTCCATTGTATCTATATATAATATATAATATATATATAATATATATAAAATATATATATATGTATTTTTGAGACAGAGTCTCGCTGTCACCCAGGCTGGAGTGCAGTGGCGCAATCTCAGCTCACTGCAAACTCCACCTCCCAGGTTCACTCCATTCTCCTGCCTCAGCCTCCCGAGTAGCTGGGACTACAGGTGCCTGCTACCACACCCGGCTAATTTTTTGTATTTTTAGTAGAGACGGGGTTTCACGGTGTTAGCCAGGATGGTCTCGATCTCCTGACCTCATGATCCACCCGCCTTGGCCTCCCAAAGTGCTGGGATTACAGGCGTGAGCCACCGCGCCTGCCCTCATATATATATTTTTTTAATCCAGTTGTCCATTGACGGACACTTAGGTTGATTCTACATCTTGCTATTGTGAACAGGGGGCACCTTTTTATAGTTGACTTGTCTTTTTCAGTTGCTCTTATATTTTTAGGTATTTCTAATAAACTCACAGGTGGAGAAAAACATTTTGGGCTTTACATTATCAGAGAGCCACTGCATTTATTTCAGAGAATTCAGCAGGCTGTGAACCATATCCTGACTTACAATTTTGTACAAAGGACGGCCCATAATGGATGTATGTATTGTAGCAGCATACAGTCTGTTTGGCTAAGCATATAAAAGCTACAGAACTGTAGATATTTTAATGACAGCTGCAGATCTTACAGCTTAGAGACTTGTAGCTTGAAAAACCGAGTCATTGAATACAAGTCGACCTGAAATACACGGTCACTCAACCAGTCTGGTATATTCCTGGACCTATATGGCTGCTTTTAAAATTTGATTTTATTTATGACCTTAAGCATTTTGTTTAAGAATTTTTAATTGTAAGAGCTTCAGTTTACTTAAGAATTTCTACCTTGGCCGGGCGCGGTGGCTCACGCCTGTAATCCCAGCACTTTGGGAGGCCGAGGCGGGCGGATCACGAGGTCAGGAGATCAAGACCATCCTGGCTAACATGGTGAAACCCCGTCTCTACTAAAAATACAAAAAAAATTAGCTGGGCGAGGTGGCGGGCGCCTGTAGTTCCAGCTACTCGGGAGGCTGAGGCAGGAGAATGGCGTGAACCCCGGGTGACGGAGCCTGCAGTGAGCCAAGATCGCGCCACTGCACATCAGCCTGGGTGAAAGAGTGAGACTCCGTCTCAAAAAAAAAAAAACAACAACAAAAAATTTCTACCTTAACGTGCCTTAAGTTAAGTTGATGCTGCTTGGAGTTCTGAATCTGATTTAAATGTTAGTGAATGACTTGCTTCTTAGATGCATTTAGCTATTTGCCAAAATGCATGAAATTTTTTTTAGAAAAAATGCTGTCTAATGTGGAATATCATTATTGTAGCCACAGTACTTCTTATGGGAGCTGCCATATTTAAAGGAAGTTGTATGATAGGCCTATGCAAATTAACCATGCTTTTTTTATTAAATTAGTAGTTGTAGGATGAGGCATTCTTACTATCATAATGATACAATCAGAGTGAGAAAATGCATGAGATGGGTTGTTGCAGATTCCCTGCTCCCTCTACAAATTCTTATCGTGAAAGTTAACATTTTAAAGTTCATAATCCATTACCCCATTTGTCCAGTCCTTTCCTAGTTCTTGATTAGGCATTTAATTTAAAAAAATTGAATGGCTTAATTTGGGCATAGTAGTTGTATACACACTTTTTGGTGGCAATTTCCATAAAGCAGTTTGTATCTCAACTCATCAAGTGGTTTGTTAATGAAGTGAGAGTTTGTTAAAGATCTTTACTTGAGGATCCTTAAGGAAAATTGATGCCTATGCAAGATAGACACTCATTTTACCCTCAGGGAATCAGATCTGGAAGCACTTATAGTCTGTAGAGCTTAATGAAACAAAGTACATTTTTTATTTGAAAGAATTTATTAGATTTATCTAAGAAAACGTGGGGAAGAGTTTTTAATTTTTTTTTTTTTTGCCTATCTAGGATAGGAAATTAATGCTAATAGCTACTATTTCTTAGATAAAGATATATTAAATAAGAGTACAACAATAGCTATATCCAGTTTTAATATACTTCCTACATGCCAAGATACTTTAGAAATGTTAATTTTATTAAGTTTATAAAGTGTAATCATCTTGCATTTTCAGAATATTAGAACATAGCCAATCCAAAATTTTACAAACATTTTTGACAAAAAATAATCATGGATTACCTAAGATTACTTATTTATTTAATAATACATAAAGTTTTAAAATTCAACCTCTTCTGCGTCTACAAAATTCTATTACTAAGAAGCAAAGCCATCATTTTTAGGTATATCTAAACAACAACCTTCCATACATTTTCAGGCACAACAAAATGCCTGTATGAAAATGTTCCTGGAAAGTAGCACTGATGAAATTTTCTGATTCTTTCCAATACCAAACAACTCTGGATAAGATAAAAGCACCCATGGGAAAAAAAATAAAGCAAAACTAAAACAAAACAGAATAAAAACAAAGATGCTGTATTAATTAATTTGAGAAACAATATATTTTTTTCCTCCTTCTCAATGCATTTTAAATGCTTTGAGATTCCCTGGGTAAACAACAACTTAACTTTGTTTAATCCAGCATTTTGCAGAATCATTTACACATGGAACCTTGGCTTCTTTGCTCAGCATATACATCAGTATCGGATGGTGTTAAGCACAGTTTGAGAAAGCTTCTTGAGAAAAATATGAGGAAAATTATGAAGTGTATGGAGAGCTAAGAGTTATTTTACTTCATGTATATGAGAACAAGTTACATCATTTTGTTTTCCCTAATATATATTGACAGTTTCTTAAGTTTTTTTATTTGTTTGTTTTGTTGTTGTTGTTTCTTTCTTTTTTTTTTTTTTTTTTTTTATTTTGAGACGGTCTTACTCCCTCACCCAGTCTGGAGTGCAGAGGCACGATCTTGGCTCACTGAAACCGCTGCCTCTGGGGTTCAAGCGATTCTTCTGCCTCAGCCTCCTGAGTCGCTGGGATTATGGGCATGTGCCACCATGCCCGGCTAATTTTTGTGTTTTTAGTAGAGACAGGATTTCATCATGTTGCCCAGGCTGGAGTTTTTTTTTAATCTTAACTTATTTACAGGAAGTAACATTTACTGTACTTTAAAAAATATACTAATTTAATCAAAGCAGTAGAAAGGAAAAAAACATTAGTGAAAGGATGAAGTTGAATTTTTGAAGAAAGCTTTCCTTCTTTTATAAAGATATAGTGATAAGTGTATGGACACCAAATGATTCCTTTGAGAATGAGTTGAAATCATAAATTCATTTGTCCGAGAAAATAACACAGTTACATTAAAAAATATGTGTAACATTTCAAGTACTTTTTAGGCATCGTGAAGCTTGTGCCTGGGCTATCTAATAATCACTGACTTAATATTTTTGTATTAGAATTCCACAGTTTGAAGAAAACAGTGCTGTGTATTTTTGAAATGTGGTGTTCTGCAATCAACAAGATATAGGGGTTTTAATTTTCAACAACTACCTTTTATTCAATAAATATCTTGATTATCATGTAGTCATAAATCATTGACTTAAAAGTAGGGCAGGTAATATTTATACTGTCTATCAGATATTTGAAATACAAACAATAATTAGAAAAAGAATGGACCCATATGGTATAAAATACTAAGGTTCCTCTGCTCAGGAAATCCAGGAGGATATGTCAATAAAAAAGGTAAAACACATATATAGATTAGAAACACTACACAGTCAAAGTAATGGAAAGTCTTCAGTGGCTATGTAAAGAAAATCACTGTTATTTTTCATCTTATTCCAGTGGCTTTTAGGAAATTCATATATTGAAACAAACATCAAAATTTCACTCTTAGCAAAACTGTCTGATTTTAATATATGTGTATTGTTTTTAATGTTTCACTCTTTCCAAAGATGTATTTACATTTTGAATTTTCCAAATTGATTATTAATGTTCTTACGTTTAGAAAATCACTTCTAAAATGTATTGAAATCTCCATAAATAATAAAAAATAATTGCAAAATGCATTACCCCAGTTCACATACTTGGCTATTCAGGCAAGCCCGATCATGTTCAAGAAAGGCAAGTAGGTTTCACCTACATTTTGCTGAGCAAATTATATTTTGGATGATTGTTATATAAATTAGGAGAGGATTTTAAAAAATCACTTTCCTGGAACATAGTGAGGACTTACTGGACAAAAATGGAAAGGACACTGTTTCTACACTTTAGAAGCTCATTGTCTTGTGGACAAATAAAGCAGAAAAATACTTAGGGATTTTTATATATTAATCAAGATGTCAGAGCTCAGAGTGTTTTGGAAAAATAAATCTCCATGTTTTAAGAACTTGGTTTAGGACATTTGGAAATATATTAATAAGTAGATAAACATCTTAAATATATAATCATATATTAAAGATGAATTTTAATATAGCAAGCATTATACTAAATATTCTATATTAAATTTATATTATCTATGTTTGCTCTATATTTTGTAGTGACAATATCAATAAAATTTGTATTTGTAAATGTTTTTCCATAGGAACCTGTTTGGAAATATTTAATACATAAATACATCCATAAGTTACCATTAAAATGATATTATACATGTGTATTTATTGATAAGGCATGAAGTTCAGAACATTTGCTATGTGAATAAGAGGATTACTTCCTCCAGGACTTCCACTTCCCATTCTCTTTTAATTTTCTTCATACTGGTTGTTCTTTATTATAATCTGCATGTTATTCAGTTATTTTTTATTTTGTCTTTGTGTCTGTACTGAGAGGTGAACTCCATGAAGACAAGGATGGCAGGTGTTCTTGTTTGTTTCATTCACTGCTTGACACTAAGCAACTGGAAGTGTACCTGGCAAATAGCAAATATTCATAAGATGTTTGCCGAATGAATGAATTATGAAAGTGGAACTCTTTGAAAAGCTGTATTCATAGAGAAAATGTGTGTGTGTGCACATGCGCGTGTGCGCACAGAGATATGATGTGCTAATTTTAGAAGGCTGTCTATCAAAATGCTAGCAATATTTTTCTCTGGATGGTAGTGGAATTTTAAAATATTCTTTAATTGGCTTTTTGGTATTATTTGTCATTTTAACAAAAAGAGATAGAAATTAAGATTAGAAACCATAATGTTTTAAGATTTAACATTGTGATTTTAAAATATCAATTTCTTCATCTCTATTCACCCCAAACATATTTTGAATGCCTATGTTGCTGCAGGTGGGAAAATAATTGCTATTTCTGTTCGTAAGTCAATTAATAGCTTACCAGGAAAGATAATAAAACATCGACTGGAGAACAAAGTCAAATTGTAATGAAATCCGTAACAGTTGTGCATAGTGTAAGTCTATTCTAAAGACTAAGTATTGAAAATAAGTTCATTATTTCACACAAGAATAAAGAGACATAAATCATGGCCTTCTGTCCATGCATTCATTGTTGAAGTGTATGTTTAATTACCACCTCTGGTACAACACAGTTTAGATTAGAGATATTATGATGTGGAAATAGGTGGGCCAGAGAGATGGGCTGAAAACAGAGGCTTTGGAGACAGACAAATGCATTAGAGTTTTCATAGCACCACTTGGTTTTGTGATCTTTGCCAAATTACTTGACTTAAGTGGATGAGACTTACTTACCCTTCTGTGCTGTAGCCAGGATTGTCTGACCTTGTATGTGAAGCCCCCAGCACGGTGTCTCCCTGCTCAACAAGTGTGGATTTAACACCCTTTGCTAGGTAGAATCCCAGCTTGTCTCCCTTCAGAAGCCCCAGTACAACCACTTACATACTCACTCCAGACTCCAATTGAAAATCCAGTCATTTACTTATTTCTTTTAACAGATAAACTAAAGATGTTGGGGCTCCTTAGAAACTTGAGCACCTTAGATGTCAGTACTTCTGGGATGCCTGCATCTTAACCAAAAGCTGTTTGATGTCCACCTGCTCCTTTACAAATTTCAGTCTCATGAGTGGTTTGTCGTAATACCTTTTGTAACACATGTAGCAGGGACTGCCTTCTGCTATCCTTGAAAATCCTAGCAAAGGATCAATTCTTCTGTCTCTATCTGTTCCTATATCACTTTTTCTTACAAATAGGGAGCAATAATAAGGAGAAAACCAAAAATGGGTCGCATAACATCTGCATAAACTTCAACATGTGATATTTTTAAACTTAAAAAAATTGTAATTAAGGCACCCGTAGAGAAAATGACACAACTGGAGACTAAAATGACTAAATGGAGAGTTTAAAGCAAATACTAGTGTACATGCGAATTATATCAAGAAACAGAACTTTGTTAGTAGCCAAAAAGAAACCCCAATCCCAATACATTCCTTCCCATTCACACCAGGACCTCCCACTAAATGAACCACTGTGCTGATTACGATGGAAGCCACTTTCTCACTCTTTATACACTTGTCACCTAAGCATGCATCTTTGAACAGTGTAGTTGAGTTTTGGCAATTTGAGGAATTTATAGAAATAATCCTTGTATCATGCTTTCTTTTGTGTCTGGATTATTTTATTCAACATAACGTTTTTGAGATTTGCACGTGAGGTTCTATGTAACCATAGTTCATGTATTTCTTTGATTGCTGCCTAGTATTCAACTATATACATCAATCACAACTTCTGCATTTGAGACTTATGTGAATAATGCTATAATGGCCATTCTTCTTGTGCAATGTACAGATATTTCTGTTGAGTACATAACCAGGAGTAGAATTGCTAGAGCCTGTGTAAATTGTTAGCAGAATTGCTAGATTCTGGGTGTGTATCTCCCAAAGTCATCTGGTGCACACTCTCTCCAGTAGAGTGTGAGACTTCCATTGCTCCATATCCTTACCAACACTTGGTATTATCAGTATTTTTATTTTTTTCTCCATTTTGTTGCAAATGAATTGATATCTTATTGTGCTTTTACTTCAGGTTTCCCTGAGTACGAATGTAGTTGAGCATTTTGTATAAGCCTATTGGCCATTTATACAGCTCCTTTTTATAAGCGCCTGCTCAAGTATCTTGCCCTCTTTAAAACTGGATTGTCTGTCTTCTTTTGGATTATTTACATATTCTGGATATGTACCCATTTAACAGTTACGTGTGTGGCAAGTATCTTCTAATCAATTCCTTGGTTTTTGATTCTCTGATAATTCTTTCCTAATATGTAAAAATTTATATTCTTATTTATTTCCGCTTATTTTATCTTACAATAATGTTTTGTGTCTTATTTTTCTCTACTTTGAAATCACTGACATACTAATTAACATGCTATATTTTCTTCAAAAAGCTTTAATTACTGGACCTTTTACATGAATATTAAGGATCCACCAGATTCCTAAGACTGAAAATGTTAAGTGTCGCCATTTTGGAAAAGAGTAACATGCTTTAAAGAGCAAAAATCTTGTTGAGTGGGCATTGTAGCAGTTTTTTGAAATAGGTGTAGTCTTTTTTTCCGTTAAGAAAAAGAATCTGCCTGATTTTGGGATATCATATCAGGAAAAGGTCAATTTTCACTTTGTTTTCAATATATTTATCCAACTATCCCAGAGCTATTTATTAAAAAGTCTTTTTCCATTGTTTTGAAGTGCTCCTTTTGTCATAAATCAAATATCCATATATGTGTTTATTGATGGTTCTGTTCCTGATCTATTTGTATTTGTCTGATTCTACGGTGTCTTAATTACGGTGTCTTCTAATTGGTCTTGGCATTCTATTTAGCAAGTCTTCCCATCTTGTTACTCAATCTTATTTGAATCCTTTGAATTTTCTGGTTTGTAACCAAATATATAATCAGTTTCTCTCATGTTCCGTGTGAGCTTGAAAATAATTCATATTATGCAATCATTGGGTACTGCATTCTGCAGAGGTCTATTTAATCAATTTGATAAATATTTTTGCTCAGATACTGTGTATCCTTCCTGATTTGTTAGCAGATACTGACATTTTAAACAAACAAACAAAACACGTTATTGTGGCCTTGTCGGTTTTTGTCAGCTCTGATTTACAATTCTGAGGCTACATTCATGAATGCATATAAATTCAGAAGAGTTTACACATTCTGCTGAATTAACCTCTGATCATTGCAAAGTGTCTCCATCTCTAATAATACATTTTGCTTTGAAGTAGACTTTGATATTAATATAGTTACATCAGTTTCTTTTTGTTAAGATTTAAGTTCTATTGTGTTCTCTCACTGCTTAGAGCTTTTAATGGCATCAGAGAGTAAAAGCCAAGATCCCTTCCTGACCTGGCTTGTCCCTGTCTCTCTCAACTCCAGCCACCTTGTTCTGATTCCCTGCCCTCCACGCTGGCCCCTTGCAGCTCTTGAAGCAGTTCAGAAGCTCCCACATCAGGGTATTTACCTGTGCAATTCTCTCTGGCTGAAATGCTCTTTCCTCAGATGTCTGCATCACTCATTCTTTCATGTTCTCTAATGCTGCTCCTAAAAATCTCCCTGGGGGTTGAGCCTTTCCTCACCACACCCAATGTTCCCTTCTCCATCCTTGTGCATAATTCTCTCCATAGCACATAGCAAAAAAAAATTAAAATAAAAAAAGCTATTTACAAATGTGCTTCTTTGTTTGCTGTCCACCCATCTACGATATTGAAATGGTAGTTTCATGCAGCCAGAACTTTGTTTCCATAAGGGCAGAAACTTGGTTTTTGTTGTTATTATTTTATTCGTTTAAATTCTTTTTTATTACTCTATCCAGAGAATGTAAAACTCTCAAGTACTTTTTGAATAAATGAATGAATGAATAAGAGGAATTGTAGCATTATATTTATCTGTGTACCTATCTATGGATCTACCTATCTATTTAACAGCCATTAAATATAAGCTAGTATTAAGATAGAGCAAAACTCATTTCTCTATTGAAAAGATAGCTAAAGCTAAACTCATCAGTGCGTTAAAGTGAATCCTGTGCACTGACTACTTTTTTACACAAACCAAGTGTGTCTTTCAATAGTACTACACACGTTTTGTCAAAGGGCAAACACTTAAGACCAAGTAACTGAAATTACTCATAGCATAAACCTGTAAATAACTCTTCTGGATGGGCTTTGCTGATTTGTTTATTCATTTGTTGTCTTGATGTGTTTGTCTGATACACAGTTATAAATTAATAATAAATCTTATTCCCCAAGATGTCATTCACATGGTATCTTGCTTTCAGAACGGAACACAAACTTAGCCACTCCAGCTACGACACTTCGTTCTATAATTTTTTAAATCTCAAGGAACAAACTTTCTAACACCCCCTTTAGAGCAATTGACTCTCAGGTTTGACAACTTCTGTAACTGAAAATTCTTCCGAGTTTCTAACCAAAATCCTACTTGAAGTGCAGAGTTCATTGGGTCAACAGCTTGTGATAAAACAGGCCCATTAAATCCAACTTCTGGTTAAGGCAGAGCTTGTGAATGAGTCCTAGCTAAATAACGTAATTACGGCTATGAACTGAAGCCAAGAAATCTGCCACCTACTTCACAGTGAGTCTTAAATGGAAACAGGATATCCTTTGTGTAAAATCACCTTGAAAAGGAGAAAGAACTAAGGAAAAGAGATTGCTATGCGGTAAAATGGTTTTCATCAGATGGAAGGGGATTAAGAAGGTATTTAATGATGGCATGCTGGCTGGCTGGTTAACACAGTGGAAAGCTGAGGGTGTGAACCAGCTGTGATCCTGGGAATTCCTGGAGTCCTAGCAACAACATGGAATTTTCTATATGGGAATCGGAGGGGCACCTAGGAGCCTGTTTGATGAAATAACTGGCATGTTTAGGAGATAGTTTTGAATGAGAAAGTGAAATCAGTTAATCCCCCAGGATAAAGTGGTACAGCATCCTGAAATGATGGGGAAGGAATGTCATCTGCCGTAAGACAGACACTGGGAAGGTACATTTTCTTGTAAGCAATAGGTTCTGTTGTTAACCAGCCAATGGTCTCTGTACCTTGAGATGCCCTTGAAAGCCAAGTAGTACCCGAAGAGACTGCCCCATCTCTTCCCACCTACTGCTAATGGAGGTCATTAATTTATGTCCCATTCTCATGGGAGGCAAATAAAAATAAGGTACTGCATTTCATTCATGTGGTGCTCTTTCATGTACTCAAAGAATGTGTATCTTTCATTTACAAGCAAAATAAAACCTATTCCTTTATTATTCTTTTTTCTCCAAGGAGTGATTTCCTGGTCTCGGGCAGTCATTTCTGCTGTTCAGTCCTGGAATTTCTCCAACACTCTCACATAAGGCATCAGTTATAGGGCCTAAAGCAGATCCTAATGCACTAATAAAATCTGGTTTGATGAAGAGTACAGAAAAGGTGATCTCCTTGTACTTCTGCTTATTTTATACTTCTGGTACGGAGGTGGCTTTTAGTGTGCTGACTCATGCTTAATTTGATTTTACATTGACACAGAATGACACTTGCAAATTCTCCACTCCAGTGCCCTTTTTATTTTACTCCTATTAAAAAGCAAAATACTTTGAAAAACCATGTCCAAAGAGGGGTAGAAGATGGAACTCTGCATTTATTAAATGATTTTTTTTTGCTACTTTAAGTTTAAAATTCAGCCAGAGATCTGATCAAAATATGACTAGTCCATAGCCATGGTGAATTCATATTTCCTAATAAATTATATGCTTTCATTATTTGATGAGATGTTTATTAGACTTTTAAAATATCAAACATAACTTAATTAAGACAAACAGAAATGAAGGACATTGTACAATATACCTAACCATTAGACTTCCAAACTGTTTAGGTCACGAAAAACAAAGTGTCACATATCAGAGGAGACTAAGGAGACAGAACAACTACATGCAACTTGATATCCTGTGTCAGATCTTGAAACAGAACAGGACGAGAAAAATCTGACAAAATCTGAGCAGAATCTTTAGTTTAGTTAATAGTATTTGACCAATATGAGTGCATTCATTTTGAAAATGTACCATTGTTATATAGGATGCTATCAGAGGAAGCTGTATAGAGTATACAGGAACTCCACCATTTTTGCAACTGTTTATAAACCTAAACTTATTCCAAGATTGAAAAAAAATAATAACTTAAGGGCTTCAACTTGGTAAACAGTCTATTACATAGAATCTTTAAAAATCAGTCTTATCTCTGTGTGATTGCCTTTCTTAATGTAATAGCAAAGAGATAAGATGCTGTCAAAAATATTAAATCTATTTTTTCCTTATTATCTATTATTAGGTTTATTTTAAAACAATATTGAGTGCCTACATAGAAATATGCCTTCTGGCTCATGTTTAACTCACTCTTTAATAGAAAATAACTACAGTAACATCAGATGGGGAATTACAGTCAGCAAGTATGTGTATTTACATATTTCCACGAATATTGTAAGGTTTCATTTAACATCATGATTGTTCCCAAGCTATGAGTAACAAAGTGACAGACAGTACAGGGGAAAGCATTGTTCTGTACAAAAAGACAACAACTATATTACTAGGGATTTGAGTCTCAATTTTACTCCTCAATTAAGACTCCAAATCCATTAATGAATAGCTAAAAGATAAAATATTGATAATCTCTATACATCCCACTTTGCAGATATCTTTTTCTGTTAGCAGTCTCTCAAATCTTAGATTCATGTAACTGTTTTTTACTTCCCCAATATTATTACTCTGACAACTACCACAACCAGCACTATCCTACCATCACTGCTAGTTTTAAAAAAATATATCTAAAAGTATCTTAGTCAGTTCCAGCTTCTGTAACAAAATTTCATATAGCTAGTGGCTTGAACCACAGAAATTTATTTTTTCACAGTTCTGGAGTTTGCAAGTTTGAGATGAGGGTGCCAGCCCCATTGGGTTCTGGTGAAGGATTACTTCCTGGCTTGCACATGGCCACATTCTCACTGTGTGCTCATGTGACCTCTTCCTTGTGAGTAAGCAGAGAAAGAGAGAGAGAAAGCAAGTTGTCTCCTATGTCTTCTTGTAAGAGCACTAATCCCATTATCAAGGCTCAACCCTCATGACCCCATGTAACCCTACTTACTTCCCAAAGGCCCCATCTCCAAATACTAGCACCTTGGGAGTTAGGGCATCAGTAGATGAATTCTGTGGGATGCAGTTCAGTCATGGCAGTATCAGAAACCCAAGAGTTTCAGGTAAGAGTTTGTGGATTACTTTTCAAATTCACATGCCAGATGCTTTCTTCAGGCTATGTCTTGTAATCCTCAAAGAGCATCTTCATGAGGTATATTGATCTTAATTTAACTTCTGCAAGTGGAAGTGTTTAATGAATAGCAGAACCTGCACTAAAAATTAAATTGTTGTGACTAAAAAACTGTTTTTAGGCATTACAATATCACATCCTGAATTCTAATACAAAAGTGTGAATTTCACTAAAGACTGAGTGAAGTGATTTATCCTGCCCAAAAATTTCATGCTATATGGTGAAGAGAGTAATTTTAGGAAAACCAAATTTGATGCCGATTTTTTTTCTTTTCTTTTCAGTCATGTATTAGTGAATGTCAATATAAATAGTTATATTGCTTAACAAATATTCCAAACTACTGTGAAATATAGTAGGAACTCATATGTGTATTCAATGGAATAAACGGTTTTGTTTATTGATACTATATATAATTCTCGTAATTATGAAAATCATTTGAAAACTTTAAAACTATACTGATGCAAGCAATAATTTGTAAAGTACATGTAAATACCCATATTGGTTATAGATGCACTGAACAAGGTCTGTTGCCAAGAGCATTTTATCCATTTTGAATTAAAATACCCTGTGTTTATTGACTACCTTCTATGCACTGCGGCATGAGCTTTACATACTTAATTTTTTAACACTTAACACTTAATTGTCCGTAGCTAATTTAAGGACACAAGCTCAGAGAGATAAATGCCTTGCCCAAAGTTATGTGGCTCCAGCAAGGGCTGAGCTGGAATTCCAAGTCCAATATTTGTAGTTTCATAGTCTGTACTTGGGAGATCATTAATATGCTTTCTATTTAAAAAATTATATGGTGCTCTAATTTTTCTGGTTGCAAAATATTTGCATCTGAATATTCTGGAGCTGAATATTTATTAGAATTGTATATCACTAGGAAAAAAGTGTCCCTTCATATGGCTTTGTCATGTGCAGAAAATTGTACCTACTCTATAAGAAAAAAGCGCTTGAGAAATGGCTGAGCCTTGTGGAGAGTATGCTGTGTACTAGAACATAAGCCCATCTTGGTAAATCCTCCGTCTGTTTCTTGAGGTACCCTTCTTTATCAGCTAAGACACTAAGTAATTTGTGTAAGGTTGCACAGCTAGTAAGTGGCATAGCCATAATGTAAACCTATGTCTGTCTGATTCCAGAGCTCTATTAAGTTTCCACTATATCAAACTGTCTCTTCTTGATGTTTGCATTTCCAAAATCTGTTACCACTTGAAATGTAATTACTTCATTTAAGTTCAAAAGCAGAATTCTACAGCACTAAATAAATCTATGTAGAATTAAGTTAATTAAAGGTAGACAAACCATATGCTGATCATATTCTAATCATCTGTTTTTTTAAATACATTTCACTTTGGGAGTGTGGATAAGTAAGGGGCCAAATAAGCACATAACTACAACATTATGTGTGAAATACAGGAGCTTTATGTAGAAAGAACACCAGGAGCTCTAAAGGAGTAATATAGTTCATAATTTTCAGGTTAATGGTTAGGAAGTGTTTGTTAGGGAAGGTGCATCTGATCAGGCAGAGGAGAGGCATGTTCATGTGTGTAGGAAGTTCAGGGTTATCCTGCACATGCTTTTCAAGGCTCCTGAAAAGGATGTAAGAAAGAAAGAGTAAAATCAACTTACGGATATGCTTGGTTGTTCTACTTTTATAATGAGAGGCCTTTATGTGATTGTTGCAAGAATGCCTTTTAACATGGAAAAGACTGTCTTCTAGTGAATAATAAGCAATGCACACTTCAAAGGAATTATATTATCTAGGCTATATTTGTAAAAAAACAATATGACAACTTTGCAATTTAAATGAAGACATAGAAGAGAAATATTGTGATCTAGATTTCAGAAGTTTCCTTCTATTGATTTCCTCATGGGCATAAAGAAATTATCCACCAGCAAAGAATACACTAGATTTTTAAATTTAAAAGTTGTGGCCAATTTGCATTTTTAGACTTCTTCAATTATTGGAAAGAAAGATTCATTTTATTACCTTGTCTTTAAACATATCTGTTGAGGGAGTGTGATATGGTGGAAAGTAGATAATGAACAATTTACAGGTCTAATATTAATCAGTCCTATAAAATAAAGGCAAGGTTCAGAAATTATGGTTTGTGTCAGTGTAATTAGTAGTCTGGGTTTTTTTTTCAATCAAAGCTTAAGATTCAGACGTGTCAGGTTTGTCAAAGATAGATAGTTGTAGATATGTGGCATTATTTCTGAGGGCTCTGTTCTGTTCCATTGGTCTATATCTCTGTTTTAGTGCCAGTACCATGCTGTTTTGGTTACTGTAGCCTTGCAGTATAGTTTGAAGTCAGGTAGTGTGATGCCTCCAGTTTTGTTCTTTTGGCTTAGGATTGCCTTGGCAATGCAGACTCTTTTTACTTGACAAAAACAAGCAACGAGGAAAGCATTCCCTATTTACTAAATGGTGCTGGGAAAACTGGCTAGCCATATGTAGAAAGCTGAAACTGGATCCCTTCCTTACACCTTATACAAAAATTAATTCAAGATGGATGAAAGACTTAAATGTCAGACCTAAAACCATAAAAACCCTAGAAGAAAACCTAGGTAATACCATTCAGGACATAGGCATGGGCAAGGACTTCATGTCTAAAACACCAAAAGCAATGGCAACAAAAGCCAAAATTGACAAATGGGATCTAATTAAACTAAAGAGCTTCTGCACAGCAAAAGAAACTACCATCAGAGTGAACAGGCAACCTACAGAATAGGAGAAAATTTTTGAAATCTACTTATCTGACAAAGGGCTAATATCCAGAATCTACAATGAACTCCAACAAATTTGCAAGAAAAAAACAAACCACCCCATCAAAAAGTGGGCGAAGGATATGAACAGACACTTCTCAAAAGAAGATATTTATGCAGCCAAAAGACACATGAAAAGATGCTCATCATCACTGGCCATCAGAAAAATGCAAATCAAAACCACAATGCGATACCATCTCACACCACTTAGAATGGCGATCATTAAAAAGTCAGGAAACAACAGGTGCTGGAGAGGATGTGGAGAAATAGGAACACTTTTACACTGTTGGTGGGACTGTAAACTAGTTCAACCATTGTGGAAGTCAGTGTGGCGATTCCTCAGGGATCTAGAACTAGAACTGCCATTTGACCCAGCCATCCCATTGCTGGGTATATACCCAAAAGATTATAAATCATGCTGCTATAAAGACACATGCACACGTATGTTTATTGCAGCACTATTCACAATAGCAAAGACTTGGAACCAACCCAAATGTCCAACAATGATAGACTGCATGAAGAAAATATGGCACATATACACCATGGAATACTATGCAGCCATAAAAAATGATGAGTTCATATCCTTTGTAGGGACATGGATGAAGCTGGAAACCATCATTCTCAGCAAACTATCACAAGGACAAAAAATCAAACACCGCATGTTCTCACTCATAGGTGGGAATTGAACAATGAGAACACATGGACACAGGAAGGGGAACATCACACACTGGGGCCTGTTGCGGGGTGGGGGGAGGGGGGAAGGATAGCATTAGGAGATATACCTAATGTTAAATGACGAGTTAATGGGTGCAGCACACCAACATGGCACATGTATACATATGTAACAAACCTGCCCATTGTGCGCATATAACCTAAAACTTAAAGTATAATAAAAAAAAAAAGATTCAGGTGTGTGTGTTCAAATCCTGACATTGGCACAAACTTCATCTTGAAATGAAAGTAATGCCTATTTTACATTAATCTCATTTCACTATGAGTATTAAATATGTATATAAATTTTAATTTATTGCATGTATTTAATAAATACTTCCTATTACAGAAGTTCAAAAGTGTGAGACACATGTGTTCATAATAAAAATATATTTCTTGCTGCTTTCAAAATTACTAATGAACATCTGTTTTTAAAAATCTAAAATTCTACAAGATAAGTAAATTTTCAAATGTGATTTTTTTCAAAGATAGATAATTATTATGTAAGTGCTTCACTTAACTTTGTTAACCTGCCACTGCACTAGCATGGAAGATGGAGAATTGTCTGTCACTAGGATGGTGATAATAATTTATATGGTACTGACATCCAGATGATTTAGTTATATTAAAGACTACTAAAATCAGCCAGTACAGTGAAAACCTCAAAACGAAATCTTTTCACAAAAAATTATTTTACATGAAATATCATATTTAAAAATACTGTAATCTTAATTAAGAACATGTTTGTCAATCAAAAACAGTTCCTCTCTGAAGTACACTTAAAAAATTGATTAATTGAATCAACTCCTAATGTCGTAAACTCATGTAAAAATATGGATAATGGGATTCCTTTATTTGCTTTCAGATTTTCAGACGATGCTGGTTGGTTTTCAAGAAGGCTTCTAGCAAAGGACCCAGAAGGTTAGAAAAATTTCCAGATGAAAAGGCAGCTTATTTCAGAAACTTTCATAAGGTAAGTCACAGTCCTGGGAGTCCCTGGGGAATAACTGGGCCCTTGAAGACTTGTGGAGATATTTCTTTGATAAATGAAATCTTCAGTGGCAAAAATTAATGGCTTGGGAAAAATGCCCTTTTCTGATAAAATGCAGAAGTTATTTTTCTCCTTTAATTATCTGTTGTAAATGCCAGTGCTACCTCTGTGCAAAACCAAAGACTCATTTTTATTGCTACTTTGCAAAATGAGATGACTCATAACTCAACCAAATCCTTTCCTAAGGTGCTGAGTAGGTATTTTCTCTCTATTGAGGTTAATTATGCATTTGTTACTTGGCGTAAACTGTGAACAATATTTACTAGATAAAAATTAGGGGGCTGCCTTTAACAGTGCTAATGATATTGTTAACGTATATGGCATTTGCTGTTTTGTAAGCTCCTTAACAAGAAAATGATCATCGAATATGCTGATGTGTAGAGATAAGGCATAAATACTTGGAATAAAATATCAATCTCCTAAGAATTAAAAGAATGTAAAATATAACCCCAAAATGACGCTAAATATATCTTTCATGATAACATCAAAACACAGCTAGGTATTTTATAGTAATACAAAGGATTCATGATCAAAACTCAAGAGTTGTAGAACAGTGTTGCTTAATTGGTAGAATGCTCAGTAAAGATTTTAATTTCTCATTGGTCATACATGGAGTAAGTTTTCCTGGATAATGTAATGAATTTGTGGAATTTTATTTTATGTAATATATTGTTCTAATTTCTTTTTTAAAAATAGATTATTTGACAATAACTAGTATTTATTATTATTAGTTATGAATATTAACTAGTAATCATTTAAAATTTGAGCTTGTAAAACTCTAGGAACCATCTTCTGTCTCTACGTGTGTGTGTGTGTGTGTGTGTGTGTGTGTGTGTGTGTGTGTGTGTGTATATATATATACATAATTTTAAAAATATTTTAAATATAAATAGACATTGGTCTTGCTATGTTGCTGGTCTCAAACTCCTGATCTCAAACAATCCTCCTGCCTTGATTTCCCAAAGTCCTGGGATTACAGGCATGAGCTACCATACCCAGCCAAGTATTCCATACATTGATATAGATTTACTGCCAGAGAATACAACTTTCTGTCCAGTCACTTACTAGCTCATGTATGTTTGGTTTTCTCATGAGTAGACGAATTTTAAAATTGTTATATATCTCTAAAGATTATTTGATATATGATGTCATAAACAGCCAGCATAATACTTCTCAATCTCATTATATGCAATTATTTGAATTCTAAAGTCTTGCTGATATGTTTGTGTTATAACTATGATTATGACTTTGGCAATAAAGTGAAACCTAACTTAATGAGGAACTGCCAGTTTGTAAAAATGTGAGTCCATGATATTTAGTTTGTAAGTAAAATTTTGATGGGCTGAGCATATTATATCTTATTTGGATGCCTGGTCAGAGTTCCTGCCTGCTGGTTAGTGACATATACTAGTTGGAGCTCTCTAGCCAGTACAGCTCGGTTTATTTATTTATTTATTTATTTATTTATTTATTTACTTATTTATAGACGGAGTCTGGCTCTGTCACCCAGGCTGGAATGCAGTGGCGCGATCTCGGCTCACTGTAAGCTCCGCCTTCGGGTTCACACCATTCTCCTGCCTCAGCCTCCCGAGTAGCTGGGACTACAGGCGCCCGCCACTGCACCCAGCTAATTTTTTGTGTTTTTAGTAGAGACGGGATTTCACCGTGTTAGCCAGGATGGTCTCGATCTTCTGACCTTGTGATCCGCCCGCCTCGGCCTCCCAAAGTGCTGGGATTACAGGCGCGAACCACCGCACCCGGCCCAGTTTATTTTTATTTACAAATGAAACAGGAAAAATTGTCAAGAAGCATTATTATGTTATCTCTGGACTCAGCTATCTTTTATCTGAAAAAAATAGACACACTCTAGTACTCTAACCCCACTATAAGGATTGGTAATTTGGACACAGATGGGCGTGGAGTGTCTGCTCTACGCTAGGCATTCCACTCCTGGTTGGGAATTCAAAGATGTGTGAGACACAGTCTTGCCCCGAAAAAGCTTGCATTCTAGTGGAAAAGACGCAAATACACAAATAACTTCAATTCAATATAGCAAGTACAGATGGAGAAGTATTTATAGATTGCTGAAGAAAGAGCATTTTACCTAATTTGGAACTCAGGTAAAACTTCTCTGCAAAGATGATATTTGAATGGCCAAACTAGTGGTGGTAATGTGTCAGCCAAATGAAGAGAAAGGGTCATCTCTAGGAGGCATGTGGAGCAGCCCTTCCTCCTTATTTTATATTCTCTTGATTTTTACTAGCTTGCCCACTCATTATCCCACAGAGGCAATCACAGGCACTCCATGGCAGTGCTCAGAGCTAAGGAAAATGCCAACTCCTATTTATCTTACAGATTGCCTCTTTAAAAATCACTTAGCTTCCACTGTGAGCTGTGAATTTCAAGGCAAACTTCATTCCTTGAGTTATTCTGTGAATCGTCAAAACATGGTCTATCCGTTAGCCTGGCATGGAACTCCAACTCATTAACATCATCAGACATGTTTACGGAGCCCTTACCATGAATGTAGCACTGGGCCATGCACTGGGGATACAGTATTAGAAAGATGGTCCTCTAGTCTATCACTGATCTTCACTTCTTGATAACATAAAACAATGTAAATATGTAATAAATGTGTCTTTATTTTTTAAAAAAATAGGATAATACAGAATTAATGGATAACAGCTATAGATATGAGTAGGCTAAGACTCAACTGAAAAGAAAAAGACTCAATCCTTAACAAATTCGGTGATATAAAGAAAGATCATTCCAAGAAGAAAGAAAAATTTTTAAAAACCATTACCAAAAAAAAAATGAGGCAGGAACAATTCGGTGTGATCAAGGACCTGAAAGAGATCTGTTGTGACTGGAGTGTAGGAAAAGAGGTCATAAAAACTGAATTAGACTACAAGTGATGAGAGTCAATGACAGGGTTTTAAGCCTGGGTCTGGCATTACAGTCTTAAAATACCACTTTGTATTTTCATTTCCAGTACATAACAGTGATCCTCTGACAGTATAATTCTCCCACAGATGACATATAGAAACTCTGGATGTCAGGTTCAAGCCCCAGCTGAGGTCCGAGGGGAGTGAGTGGTTGGGGGTAGGGAGCTGGAAGAACACTCAAGAAACGACAGGTAGATGACACATGGCTTTACTCAGCAGCTCTCTCACACTGTCTGTCTCATCAGCAGCTTACTTACATTGTCCACCTTTATCTCAGCCGCTTGCTCCAGCTGTGCCCTTCTCAGCAGCTGCTGTGGCTCCTGCCGCTCCCACTCACAGCTGCATGGCCAGCTCTCCCTTACAGGGTCAGCAGCTTCACTCTCTCCCTCTCAGCCCAAGCTGGTTTCTGGCTCCCCGCGGCCTGCCTTCAGGCAACCGGCTCTCCCTTACAGAGTCAGCAACTTCACCGTCTCTCTGGGCACAAGCCCAACCTGTGCCCTGGCTCCCCCATGTTCAACTGCAAAACTAACACATTTGCAGAGACCACTCTGGCTCTCTTTCTTTCTCTGGGCATGCCATATGCACAGCGTCAGCAGGGCAGTTAGACCTTTTACAAACAATAGTGGCTCCAAGCCAGGTAATGAGCCTTCCCGTGTTATGGCTACATAGCTGTGTTTACATAATGCATGGAATTGTGCACCTGCACTCCGATCCTGCTGAGTCATGCAGGATGTTTACCTCGGCCTGTACTTGACCAAAGCACATCCATTTACCTTACACTGGACAAAATACAAAAACAAAGAAGTCCCTGGGTCTCTGAAAAAAGCTAGTCATTTTGGAGGAAAGTCAGATCTGGAATCAAGGGAATGACAGCTTCTCCCTTTCTCTGGGTGCAGCTTTAGGCTGGGGGCAGATGTAGTCACACCAAAGCAATATTGGCCATGGCAATGGGATGACTAAAACCAGCAGTTCCCAACTACCAGGGCATGAACCAGTGCTGGGCTGTGGCCTGTTAGAAACCAGGCTGCATAGCAGGAGGTGAGCAGCAGTGGGCAAGGGAGCAAAGCTTCATCTGTGTTTATTTACAGCTGCTCCCCATGGCTGGCATTACCACCTGAGCTCCACCTCCTGTCAGATCGGTGGCAGCATTACATTCTCATAGGAGCACAAACCCTATTGTGAACTACGCATGAAAGGGATACAGGCTGTGCGCTCCTTATGAGAATCTAATGCCTGATGATCTGTCACTGTCTCCCATCACCCCCAGATGGGACCATCTAGTTGCTGTAAAACAATCTCAGGGCTCCCACTGATTCTACATTATGGTGAGTTGTATAATTATTTCATTATGTACTACAATGTAATAATAGTAGAAATGAAGTGCACAATAAATGCAATATGCTTGAATCATCCCGAAACTGTCCCCCAGCCCCCACAAACCCCCTGGTCCATGGAAAAATTGTCTTCCATGAAACCTGTCCCTGGTGCCAAACAGGTTGGGAACTGCTGACTAAAACAACCACAGAAAGATTCGGCATCATTGTTCAGAAACCAGGAGAAATCTAGGCTGCCAGAAAGGGAGGAAGAAACTCCACCAAAGAGAATGCTAGAGAAGGGGAGCTCTTAAATATGTACATAAACTCAGAATGAGAGTGTGGCTGACACTTGAACCAGTTATGAAGTGGCAAATTGAAAGCAACTCACAACTAAAGCTTAAGCATCTCACTGAAGTTTGAGCCACACCCCACCACAGGTGTAGCATTTGGCAATTCAGTCTAAGCAAGGTAATTGCTGGCTGAAACAAAACACTAACCATCTCAGATAAATGTAACAGAATCCAGAGGCTACACGTGACAATTACAATGTCCAATATAAAATCCAAAATTCCTCAAGATAAAAAATACTATGAAAATGGAGTCCAATCTAAAAGGAAAAGAAAATCAGCAAATGTTCAACCTGATATGATTCAGATTCTGAATTATTAGAATGGGATTTAAAACCAGCTATTATGCCTATGCTTGATGAAGTGAATGAAAATATCCTTACTCTTTTAATTTTAAAAAAAGTATTTTTGGCAGAAAAACAAAAATTATTTTTTTTTAGAAATCCTAATATAACTCATTCTACCATAAAGGCACATGCACATATATGTACATCGCAACACTATTCACAATACCAAGGACATGGAACCAACCTAAGAAAATGTTGTACGTATACACCATATGGTACATATGGATACTATGTGGCCATGAAAAAAGAACAAGATCATGTATAACATGGATGGAACTGGAGGCCATTATCCTTAGCAAACTAATGCAGGAACAGAAAAACCATATACCACCTGTTCTCACTTATAAGTGAGAGCTAAATAATGAGAACATATGGACAGAATGAGAGGAACAACAAACACTGGGATCTACTTGAGGGAGGAGGGTGGATGGAAGGAGGTTTCAGGAAAAAAAAAACTGTTGAGTACTATGCTTAGTACCTGAGTGATGAAATAATCTGTACACCAAACCCCCAGTCACAAGTTTACCTATATAGCAAACCTGCACATACACCCCTAGCCTAAAATAAAAGTTAAACAATATATTTTTTAAAAAAGCAAAAACAAAATTCACCTGCAAAAAGGAGAAAAAAGAGAAATCTTAAATGGAAATTTTAGAACTACAAGTAAGACATCCAAAATTTAAATTTCACTGGGTAGGATTAATAGCAGGAAGAAAATAATAGAAGAAATAGTGAACTTAAAGATAGAACAACAGCAACAACAAAAAATCACTGGCTATGAAAAAGAGAATTTTTAAAAAACAAAGAAGTAAAACCGCTTCTGGGACTTAAGGGACAATTTCCTAGTTAGTATTCCCATTGCAAAGAAAGAAGAGAATGAGAAAGAAAAAAATTTGAAAAAGATAATGGCTGAAAAATTCCCAAATTTGTTGAAAGACATGAATTTACAGATTTAATAAATTCAGTGAATTTGAAGCAGGATGTTTGGAAAAAGAATCATGCCTACCAGGTCTTTCATAAAAGAGAAAGAAAATCTTCAAAGCACCCAGAGAAAAAAGACATGACATACTGGGGGTCAGTGATTTGGAGGGCAGTGATCTTGGAAACCAGAAAAGTCTGTGGGACATCTTTAGGATGACACACACACACAAAAAAGTATCTTCAACCAAAAATTCTATGTCTGTGAAAAATATCCTTTAAAATGAAGGTGAGATAAAGTCACTTTCAGATTAAGAAGAAAAAACACCTAAAGGTATTTATTTCCTTCAGATCTATACTCCAAAAGTGTTGAAAGTGAGTTCTTCAGGCAGATTATACCAGAGGACTTGAATCTTCAGGAATAGATGAAGGGAATCAAGAATTATAAATATATAGGTAAATATAAAATACTAACTTTGTCATTATATATGTATACATGATTTATAATGTATGAATATTTAATATATGTGATAAATATAATGTAAAGATGTTGGTGGTGAGTAAAACGGACTCATACCATTGTAAGATTTTCATGGCTTACATAAAGTGGTACAATATTAAGTATAAGTAGACTTGGAAAAATTAAGGAGTTTATTGTAATCCCCAGAATAACATTTTTAAGTTAACATAAAAATATGTAGCTCAAAAGTGAATAAACTAAAATTGAATTTTAAATAATATTCAAAAATTCCAGAAGAAAATAAGAAAGGAGAAAAGAGGTAAAACAACAACAACAAAAATATGAAAAATGTAAACAAAGAAGAAAATAGTTTATTTAAAGCCAATCCATGAATAATTACGTTGTGTTAGTAAACATTCCAATTAAAAAGGAAAAATTATTTGAATGGAAATAAATCAAGACCTAACAATAGGCTGTCTACAAAAGATGCACATTAAATATACAAATAGCCTGAATGCAAATGGATGGAAAAAATGATTGGCCATGAAAATAGTAATCATAAGAAATTTGGAGTGGCTGTATTAAATCAGAGAAATAGACTTCCGGACAAAGAGTATTACCAAAGATAAACAGGTTGTTTCATGATGACAACAGTATCAATTCATCAGGACAAATAAAAATCACAAATTTTATGGAACTAATTACAGAACTTAAAAATACATAAAGCAAATTTGACAGATTTAAAGGAAGAAAGAAACAATTTCACAATCTATATTGAAGATTTTAACCCCCTCCCTTTCTCACCAAATGATAGACTAGCTAGAAAAAATATATATATCAGCAAGGATATGAGATCAGACTTAACACAATCAACCACTTTGACTTGATACTTTTATACCAATACACAAAACAACTATAGAATAAAGGTTACTTTCAAGTTCACATGACATGGTCAACAAAGTAGACCACGTTCAAGAATATTAACAAGTCCTAATAAATTGAAAAATATTGTGTTCTTTGACCATAGATGTTTTAAATGTGAAATCAATAACAATGTATTATCTAGAAAGCTCTAAATATTTGAAAATTAGCATATGCCAAGGAGCAATATGCAAAAGGGCTAAATAGATATCACAAAAGCAAATATTCTAAACTGAAAGATAGCAAAAATAGATTGCAATAAGCCTTATTTCATTGTTTTTGATTAAAAGGACAAATTTTGGATATGGTGTGTAAAAACGGACAGGACTTACTTATGAATTAAGTGTCGGGTGTGAATGAAAGGTAGAACTCATGCATGATCTGTGGGTTTGGGCTTGAGCAACAATGTCAAGGATGATGCAGTTCATGGAGATGAGGAAGCCTAGAAGATCTGGCTTTGGGTAAAAATCATAAGCTTTTACTTCATATATGTTAAATTTCAAATGTCTATTAGGCATTCAAACTGAAATGTCAAGTAGTCAATTCGATAAATAGTTATGGGCTGAGGTGAGGGAAATGTCACTGCTAAAGTTGTTCCTTTGGTTATCTTTGGCATATTGATAGTACCTTATTCTATAGTTCTGGATAAAATGTCCTTGGGAAAGACAGAGAAGAAAAAGAAGATAATTAGCAATCCAACGTTTGGAAGACTAGTGAAGGAAAAAGGAACAGCATAGAAATCTAGGGAAAAGAACAGTAAAAGGTGAGAAATAACATTAAGAGTAGATCATTGGAAACCAAGAGAAAACTATTTATAAAGATGAGCAAATGGTATTATGGCTAACACCAACAAGAGATTAAGTAATATGAAAGCAAAGAGACCATTTCATTTATGACACAGAGGTCCTTGATGACTTTGACAAAAGCTGTTTCATTCAAATATGGGGACTAAGTTTACTTGAAGGAGCCTATAAGAGAATGATAGATGAGAAAAAGACAGCTACTTAGAAAATGTTTTCAAGAAGTTTTGAGCCACGACATGTAGCAGGTATGTTTTCAAATATGACATATATGTTACCTACAGGTAACACACCTGTAGGCCTATGGGAATGATCTAGTAAGCAGGAAATGTGATGAGGAGAAAGTTTATGTGTGTAATTATAGGGTTTTGGCCTTGACAGAACCTGGGATACTTCATTCATTCTAACAAAAAAGCTGGAAGAGAATATGAGTATTGATATAAGTAGGTTGGATAAAAATTAATATTGGAAAACTGTGATCAACATTTCAGAAACACACATGCTCTATGTGTGTGATTTTTCCCTCCAATGTGTGAAAATGAAGCGGCAAAACAGCATGAAGAGCCCAATGAGAACAGGAACAGTTAAGGGAATCATCTTGTGATTAAAAACTACACAGACTTTTTAAATTAAAGCTCCCTGAAGCTCTTTTGTAACTGTGTTCAGTAGATATGACAGCTAAAATTTACCTTTTTGTGGCAATGCTATGAAGATGAAAGTTTTTATTATTACAACTTTCCTTTCATAGCATTGGAAAGGTAATTCACTTTCCCGGTGACTTAAGTTTCCCTTTGGGAATTTTATTATTATTTTTTTCTGTGATGGATGGTGAACTGAAACAGCAAAGTTCAACCAATCCTGATATGGAAAAATAACATAGGCATGATTCATCAGTAGTACAAATTTTAAGGTTTTTTTTTAAGAGTGTATGCAAGGCCCCTTTTCTGATTTTGATTTTATTTTAGTAAATATTACCTAAGGCTTGTTTCTTTGTATCAACCTTACTATGTCTCTTCTTTCCACTGTCTTAACTAGTTCAATGATTCTGATTTCTGTTTCTTTTTTTCCCTTAGGACGTACATCTGGTTTTCTTCAAATTCTCTTTTACCATCCTTTCGTTATTCTATAACGCCACTCTTTATCATTCAAATGTGATCTATTCTTCCTAGTCATCAAAATTACATTACTATTAAGCAAGTCTGAATTGCTCAAATTAAGGTAAAAGCCATCAATAGGAATATATGCACTTGTTGAGTGAGATAAGTAACATACGGGCACATCCATCTCTAGAAGTTGTTGCCTCTGTGCTACCAAGGAAAAGAGATCTGCCCTCTTTATTGGGGAATTGCTATTAAGCCCAATTCATATATGATGAATGCAGTATGATTATGAATGTAATCATATAATGTAATATAAATCTTTGTGAGACACTATGTGTAGTGACAATGCAGACCCCAAGTTTCAGAAAATGAAGATGCTCTTCTTGTTTGTACACTAGGGATCGTAATTGTCCTAATCTTCTAGGACCAGGAGGAGACTTGACTAAGTTTCTACATATAAAAATTTTAAGAGTGTTTGGAGGAGTCAATCAACACTAAGAGTTATTATCATTATTGTTTTGAAATTTTACAATCTGATGAAGTAAGGTTTATAAATAGCTAACTATAATGAAATATGATTAAATGTAGAGTGCAATGTTAAAAGTACACAGGAACAGTTAATTCTGCTTCTGGCAACTAGGACTTTACCAAGGACGTGACACTTAAGGGACTTCTTAGGTTTACTTAGTTTTGACAAAGTAAAATAATGGGGGAATGCACTATATGAAGAAAAATGTGACCACAAGTACTGAAAAGCTACATTGCACAATGATTTGAAGAGAATTTGAGTTATCTAGTGTTGGCAGGCTCTGAAAGGAGGCCTGGAGTGGGAAAGATGAGCCCAAAAAAATTGCATGGGGCAATAATTGGGTATAAATACCTTACTATGAGTTTAGTTTTTATCTTTAGGCAATAGCGAAGTTGTGAAAGGGTTAAAATGTTTTTTGTCATATTCTCAAATAGGTATTTCAGAAAAAAATCCATTTTTGTGGTGTCATAGCCAATGGATAGGGTAATACACTATGTAACAGAGAAACTAGTTAATTAAATATTATAATATTCCCACTTCCCAAAAATAGATGTCAGAGTCCTGAATGGAGAAAGGTACGTGAATGGAAAGGAGGAGATAGATTTAGGTGACGTTCTCCAGGCACAGTCAAGTAGAATTAATTACTTAATGGATACAGTGTACACCCTTCAGGCCATGGTGAAAAGCCTAGGCTTCCCTACTGCACAGCATATTCATGTAGCAAAACTGCACAGGTATTTCCTAAATTTATACAAATAAAACTTTTTAAAAAGACTTTGTAACTGACTGTGTATAGGGGAAATGGAAGAGAGAGGAATGAAAGTTCTGATCTTTTCAAGACAGGGTGGTGGATGCATGATTTTGCACTCACAGAAACAGTTACCATATGAGGAGCAGTTTTCACTGGTAAAGAAAAATGTCATCCTTGGCATGGTATGAGGCATCTATGGTATATTCAGGCATATATTTTCATTAAGCAATTAGAAGTACAGCAGATTGTAGTGAAATTGCCCAGGAAGCCTACTGAATAGAATTAAAGTTAAGGTAGGTGTATATCAAAGCCCATGTGCAAAAGCAGATCCATGCAAAATTAAACTTTATAATAAGCCCTTTTCTCTAGATGACATGGAGTTTGGTATCAGCCTTAGAGTAACATCCGTGGTATTTCACAGGTATTTCAATTCCGAGATTATTGAGAGCTACAAATAAAAAAAAGTTGAGCCCTGACAGGAAAAAAGCTAATTTAAGAAATGCTTTTAAAAATTGCAAAGAGTGCCACTTAAATGAGTAGCTGTTAGTGGAATAAATGTTAAAAGACTAAACAGCAAAGGTTATAGTAATTATCAATACTATGTAACTATACTCCTAAGGAAATAGTAATAATTCTAAAGAGAGAATATATTTATTTTAACAAAGAGAAAATTGTTTAAAATTTTTTATATTTACAAAGGAGAAGGAGAAAGCACATTATTGGAGGCCATGGGTGTTTCCTTGGGACAGGACAGGTGGCTGTGGGTGACTTCAATGTCACCATAGGGATCAGATGGTGTTATTTTGTCCAAGACCTAGACAATCAGCCATCAAGGCAAAAAAAATCACAGAAGTTTTTAAATATTTTTATGCTCAAATATACTCTTGCTCTTACAAAATCATGGACTAAACCATAATTCCTCATGGCTTGCTCCATTTCTAGAATCATTAACCCTTTTTCTTCAGAAGTGTACATTGGCCAAGTTGTAAATTTGGTCATAGTTGCCTCTGAGGTGCAGGTAAATAAAGGAAGCTCCTTTTATGAGAAAGGCGAGATGTGGAATCTTTGTTTTCTCTTAGATAATTAATGGCCAGTCCAAATATTGGATCTCCAGAATTGGGAAAAAATATTCATCATCAAGATGGCTTAGAGAAATAGACTAGTGTGGATTTCTCAAACTGTTCTATTTGTGAGTGTTTAAATATCTTGAACTTGTAACTAAGCAGTTACTTTGATATACCCTAAAATCAAAGTAACTGGTTAGTTACAAGTTTAAGATATTTATGCTGTAACACTCAATAGCAATAAATTAAAATAATCAAATGAATGAAATGTTTGCAACCTAAATGAGAGATTTCTGAAAAAATAAGCCAAGGATACAATTATTTCTTTACCAACTTTAACTTTGTGTTACGCCCTATCTGGAACATACATATTATAAGCTTATGAGTATTAATGGTCTCATTTAGACATTTGATATGTTTACTGTGAGAGTGATCTTGCAGCATAAATCAATTTTTATATGAAACTGCTATAAAATGGTATATACTTTTTAGAAACTTCTTGGCAGAGAGAAATTTGAAATTCAAATCACTAGCTGCTGAGGGAAGTTATTAAAAATGCATTAGGGTTGAAAATGTAGCTGTATATAATTGTCATAACAGATATTGAAAACAAATTTATCCTCAATGAAAACTGAACTAGAGCAATTTACATAGAATCAGCTAATAAATTTTCCTTAATTTTCTAAGCAGATGAAAAAGTAGCAGTTTATAGACATTTTAATAAAATAAATATGAGTTCTGTCTACAGGGAGGAAAATATAAATAAAATCCCTTAGAAGGATGAATGAAGATAAAACAACGTGAAGTTCCATGAAAACTGCATGATGCCAGAAAAGCGATGCTTGTATTGGGACCAATCTCACTTCTAAATTCCCTGTAACCCAACACTGAAAACATCATTTTATTCTCTTTGTTTGGCCTTGGCAGTATTTATCCTTAGGTAAAGCAAACATCTCAGAAAGTTGGGGAAAATAAAGGCATCCTTGTGAAAAACAGCCACCTATAAATACACTATTTCTTCAAAACTAGAAGAAAAGGCATTGGTAAATGCAGAAATGGCACATGGGCATAATGTTCTGTTGGACACTCTACCCTCATTTTGATTCCACGAAGAAACGGCCCTATGCTTGGATGAGCACATATGTCATGCGATGTGAAAGCTGTTAAAGGGCTTGGTGTCTCTTGAAATACCTGCTGGAAGTTCCCAAAGTGATCATGATTTGTTTAGATTAAGGTGTCTTATCTATTCATTAATGTATTCATCCATCTTCAATCTCTTATCTGGAAGAGGTCTCAATTTCTTGAACATTAAGCACTTACTAATATACACATCGGTTTCTAGGACAGTGACACCTCAATTCACAATCATTTACTGATTGATTTACTTATATTACCACATGCAGGTGTCTCAGGGAAGACTCAAAGAAATGGAAAATGAAAAGTTCATTTTTATTTTGGATGAAGAGCAGGGAATATGCCCACAGACTGAGCACCATCTGTGTAGAGCATCTCTAGAGAGATGTTCTGGTTATGAATGGAAAACTCGAAACCAGAGATTAGCGAGAGGCACTAGGTGTTAAGACTTTCAGGTGGAGGGTATCTGTAACATTGTGATGTCTAAATTCTAGGAACCTTCCAGAGCTAAACTTGATTTTTGTAATAGTTGAATTAAAGTCAATTAAAATTTTACAAAATCTTAGATATCTATCGCCAATAAGAATTATTCTATGTGGCTTAATAATGCCGTGGAAAGCAGATCACTCAGTACTTCGGATTTCTGTTTATTACCCATTTCTCCACAGCAGTTATGATTCAGACTCCTAGGAAACCACCATGGCACATACATACCTATGTAACAAACCTGCACGTTCTGCACCTGTATCCCAGAACGTAAAGTAAAATAAATAAATAAATAAATTATTTAAAAAGAAAAATACCTGTATCACTGATCTGGGATTGACTTAGAGTATATAGCAGCATGATTTATGTTAGCAAAATTACTGTCCTTATTCCACTTTTTAAATTTATCCATTTTTTCTTTTGTAAAGCAACCGTCTATAATGGTACTATATAGGAAAAATCATAGTATAATTTAAACAACATATTTCCCTATTTGTAAAATGCAAGTAATAATAACATCATGGCACACAAAGTGAAGAGGTGATCGCGAGTAACATAATATGTAAAATGTAAAATGATTGTTGTGTAAAAGTCATTTCTGCCTTAGAGTTTGCATTTTTGAAATTAAGAAAATAATTCATATCAACTTTAGAAAGTTTTTGAGAGAAATTCGGATGATAATTTCAAACAAGTCATTCTACATGGGAAATCAGATAGTGTGAAAGAATGTTCGGTACTGCAACACTGTTATGACATTATTTCCATCATTTCTGGAGCATTTTTGCATTTAATTCACAGATTTAGATCCAATGCTTTTCATTATTTCAGAGTATCATCAGTGCATTTTTGAATTTTAAAACTCTCCCTTTTTAATCTATCACCAAATTCTGCCTAATTGCATAATATATGACAGATGCAACAGGAGAAATGCTTACTGCATAATGTCCAAAGAGAATAAATTGTTTCCTACCATTAATGGAAAGTTATATATTACACTTTAAGTTATAAATGCACATTTATTTAGAACTTACAATTTCAACAATATTTCAGTGAGAAATTATTCTTGAATAATACTTTGCACTTCACTATAAATATCTAGCATCCTTTGAAATAAATAATAATGTTGCTTCATATTTATTTCAAATTTATATAGTATTTTAATATTTTTAAGCTCTTTATTTACTTTAGTAAAAAACAACAGTACACTTTTAATTGACCTTTGAAGTATCTTAATTTGCAGACTGAGAAAAAACACTAAACTAGTTTTATTTGAGAGCAGGTCCTTAACCTAGGGAACTGGGGGTTTTGAGACAGTGAAATTACTTGTTTTGATCATAACTGTTTAATTTCTCTACTCAGAATATTGTCACACATAAACTGATCTCCTGAAGAAATGGTTCAATTTCTCCCACACAATATGAAGGCAAACAAGTTTTTGTTCCCTGACTTATTTGGAAGTGGAGAGAGGAAGAGAAAGAAAGATTATAAATTTTTGCTTTTAAATGCAACTATTTCCCCATAGTTCTCCTTTTCTACTTTTTAGAATCAAGTTAATCATATTTGGATATCAAGTATACTATAATATTAAAATGTAACTGGATTTTCAATAGCCTGGAATTCTCTAATTGTTTTTATTCTTTCATAAAAGGTTTTCCTGGGTATAATGGAAACTGTCTTCCTATTTGATATTCTCTCATGCTGGAAGCTATCATGTTAATCTCCTAGTCCTAAAGCTGGTTTGTCCAACTCTCCGAAGGTGGGCCAAAAGAAGCCAACTTTTCTTTTTTTTTTTGAGACGGAGTCTTGCTCTGTCACCAGGCTGGAGTGTAGTGGCACGATGTTGGCTCACTGCAACCTCCAGCTCCCTCGTTCAAATGATTCTCCTGCCTCAGCCTCCCGAGTAGCTGGAATTACAGGCACCCACCACCACGCCCAGCTAATTTTTGTATATTTTTGTTTGTTTGTTTGTTTTAGTGGAGACGGGATTTTCAGCATGTTGGCCAGGATGGTCTCGATCTCCTAACCTCATGGAGAGATTCTCTCACGAGGAGAGATCCTCGTGGAGCGGTCGATCCGCCCGCCTCAACCCCCCAAATTGCTGGGATTACAGGCGTGAACCACTCTGCCCGGCCAGAAGTCAATTTTTTTAATGTTTCATTGCAGTTCCATCTTCCAAGCAAACTGATCTGGTCAGTCTCACCATTATCCCAAATAATTGAATTTTTTATGCAGTTCAAATACTAACAATAATTGAAGTACAGCTTTAGTTTTCTTTTGCTACATAATAAATCACCACAAACTCAGGGGCTCAAAAATACCCATTTTTTAGTTCACAGTTCTGGGGTCAAAAGCCTGATTCAGACTGTTTCAGGGTTTCAGAAGGCAGATGTCAAGGTGTCAGGTGGACTGGGTTTTCATCTAGTGGCTGTAGAGAAAAATCTGCTTCAAAGCTCCTTCTGTTGTTGACAGGATTCAGTTCCTTGTAGCTGTAGAGCTGACTTCCTGTTTCCTTGCTGGCTGTCAATAACAAGCTGCTCTCAGCAACTAGAGGCTGTTGCAATCTGTAATTCTCTCCCTCTCCAAGCCAGCACGGCACATCAAATCCTTCTCGTGCTTTGGATCTCTGACTTCCGTTTCAGTGACCAACTGGAGAATACTCTGCTTGCTTTTAGAAAGCTTCCATGATGAAGCCAGGCATGCCTGGGGAATCTTTCTTTCATTTTCCTTTTTCTGTTTTCGGTTTTATTATTATTATTTTCAATTGACACATAATAATTGTACATATTTATGGGATACAGTGTGATATTTTGATACATGTGTACAAAGTATAATGTTCAAATCAGGATAATTCACATATTCATCACCTCAAACATTTATTTTTCTTTGTGTTGAGAATGTTAATCATCTGTCCTTCTAGCTATTTGAAAATATATAATATATTGTTAATTATAGTCACCTTATGGTGCCAGAACACTAGAACTTATTCCTCCTATCTAGCTGTAATCTTATACCATTTAAAAAACAACTTCTCAATATTCCCCATCCCCTCAACCCTTCCCAGCCTCTAATAACCACAATTCTACTCTTCGTTATGAGCTCAACTTTTTAGTTTCTACATGCAGTGAGAACGTGTGGTATTAATCTTTCTGTACCTATCTTATTTCACTTAATCTCCTCCAAACTCATCCATGTTGCCACACATGACAGATGTTCATTCTTAATAAATTCAGAATTATTTTCTTAATTTCTTGTTTATGGCTGAATAGTATTCCATCGTGTATATACGGCACACTTTCTTTATCCATTCATTTGTTGATGGACCTGGGAACCGCTCTTTCTTAAAGTAAACAGTGTCATATGACATGACCTAACTTAAGGCATGCATAGCAGGGGTTGGGGCATCTTGGAGGACGTTTTAGAATTCTGCCCACCACCAATACCCATTTGACATCCTTGCAGGGCCCAGTGGTTGATAACTTGTTTGCTGTGGCTCATCACTCATGCCTTCCCAGCCTTGTGACAATACTTTCTCTAATTTATGGAAAGGTACTGGTAACAGTACAACTTTACTCAAAAAAGCTCAAAACATATGGACGTGCTTACACTGTCATTTTAGGCTATTTGTTAAAGGAAGAAAGGAGTAAACCTTTAAAGTTCTGCATTGTGATCTAACTCTAGTAGCTACTATTACAATTTTACTTTAGCTTTCTAATGGGAGGGAATTTTTTAGGCTGACAAAATTAAGAGATCCACATTTCCCTCATGGACTGTAGGAAGTATACACCTATAGGCATCATATTTGAAGTGAAACATGATACAACTTTGGCAATTCAGGCATGGGATATAATTTAATTAGTTGCTAACTCAACTCCCATTTGTGACACATTACTTCCTCTCCCATCTCTACTAAAGGGACTGAAAAAGCAGAATGATCACTTTTCTATACTTCCTACAGATAGGGAGGTACATTTCTGGCAAATGAGATATAAATTAAAGCCTGATAGAAGCTATCAATAGGGCTTTATGTTTTCTGATATGGCCAATAATGCCCCCTTATTCTTTTTCTAAATTGAAATCATGATGGCTGGACATGCAGCAGTCATTTTGTGGCCACGAGGAAACAAGCCTGTGAGAAATGCTAAGAAAAGGATAGCCAGATGGGCCTGACATGCTGCCTCTTAACAGCATCAAACTGCTGAACCAACACCAGTAACTACCTACTTCAAAGTTCTAATGTGGAACAAAAAAGATCCTGTTTGTTGAAATTAGTCCTCAGAGGAAACTTTTTTTAATGTAAAGGGTCAGCTAGTAAAAAATGTATGCTTTGCAGACCATAGGTCTTTGTTGGAGCTTAAAGTCTGCCTTTGTAATGCCTGAAGCAGCCACAGACAACATGTAAAGAAATGGGCCTGGCTGTGTTCTGATATAACTTTATTTACAAAAACAGAAGGTAGACCTAATTGGTCCATAGGCTATAGTTTGCTTGGGTTTTCTATGATTTAAAGCTATACAAATTTCTAGCTGAGTTCGTGAAAGTATAAAGAAACCTGAATATTATGAAATATGCCTAAATGCAATAAGTGTATAGGTGAACGTCAGCCAAACATGATTGGCAGTTAACTTGTAGATCTCACCTAGGGTTGGTCTCAGGTTTAGGAAAGTAAAATTTCCTAGCCTTTTTGTAACAAAGAGTTGATATATATTAATGACTGTACAAATACTCTTTTTCATCTTCCTTCCTTCCTTCCATCTTTCTTTCTTTCTTTTTCTAGTGTAGTAAAGCTCAGCTGCACAAGTTGAGTTAATCATATTACTTAGCTATCATCAGTGGTTTCTATAATATTTGATTAATCTGTTTTATTCCTATTCCTTAATCCCATTCATCTTTCCATCTCTGTAAACAATCATTACAGTGAGTTTGATGGAAACTTTGTATTTTATATAATTCTTACACATTTGTACTATTGATTTCTTGTACACTTACTGCATTGTTAACTCATGTACCTGCTATTATGATATAACCCTTATTCTGTTTCTTATTTTTACTCAGCTTGCATTATGGCTTTTAAGATCCATTCGCATTTCTATGTGTCCATTTTGCCAGTTGCTTCTAACTGTTACTTGATATTCCATGGTTTACCTTCACCATATTTTACTTTTCCATTTCTCCTAGTGATAGAAACTAGATTGTTTGCAACTTCTCATTATCTCAAACAGTGCTGTAATTAAGATTTTGTATCCTCTCCTTGTGACCCAGTGTGAGAAACTTTGGGGAATACATATAAGGAATGAAATAATTCTGTTAAATATATGTAGATAACTTACATATGTACTACAGATGGTTTTCCAGAATGGCAGTTCATTCTACGTATTCACCTGGTATGTGAGGATCTCTGTATTCTCACATTCTCATTGATGCCTACCCTCATTCATTAACTTTTCCAAATCTGATGGGTGTAAAGTCATGGTCAACAGTGTTTTAACACACATTTGTAATTCTTAATGAGTTTGAGATATTCTTCAGGTGCATGGTTGCTTTCAGGTTTTATTAATCCAGGAATTAATTGCCTGATATCATCTGTTTTGTTTTTTTACTGGAGTTTCTACATTTTCCTTACTGCTTTATAAGGTTTACTTGTCTGTTTTAAGCACTAGACTCACTTTAGTTTTACACATTGGAAATAACGTCTCACTTGTATTATCTGTCATTAACTTTGTGTATGGAGTCCTGCATTAAACAGAAATCTGAAAATTTGATATGCTCAAATTTTTCACGGGTTGAGCTGCTGTAGTTTACTTTAAGAAATACTTCCCCATCCCATACACGGCAAAGATTTCATCATAGGCCAGGCATGGTGAAGCACCTCTGTAATCCCAGCCCTGTAAGAGGCTGAGGCAGCAGGATCGCTTGAGGCCAGGAAATCAAGACCAGCCAGGCAACATAGTGAGATTCCATCCATACAAAAAAAAAAAAAAAAAAAAAGCGTTATCTTAAATATTATTCAATTGACCTTAAAGTTTTGGCTTTAATATTTGGGCTGGGCGAGGTGGCTCACGCCTATAATCCCAGCACTTTGGGAGACCAAGGCGGGAGGATCATGAAGTCAGGAGATCGAGACCATCCTGGCTAACACGGTGAAACCCCGTCCCTACTAAAAATACAAAAAATTAGCCAGGCGTGGTGGCGGGCGCCTGTAGTCCCAGCTACTCAGGAGGCTGAGGCAGGAGAATGGCGTGAACCCGGGAGGCGGAGCTTGCAGTGAGCCGAGATCGCGCCACTGCACTCCAGCCTGGGCAACACAGTGAGACTCCGTCTCAAAAAAAAAAAAAAAAAAAAGAAAAGAAAAAAATAAAATTCTAAAGACTCCATCAAAACACTGTTAAAACAGTATCAAACGAATTTAGTAAAGTTATCACCATATAATTTTTAAACATTTTTCATATCTGGGTTTTTTCTTTTCCTTTCACTTTTTTAAAATCAGGGTTTTTTGTTGTTGCTGTTGTTTTTTCGTATGAGATAGAGTCTCACGCTGTCACCCAAGCTGGAGTGCAGTGGCACAACCTCCACCCACTGCAACCTCCACCTCTGGGTTCAAGCGATTCCTGATTCTCCTGCCTCAGCCACTCGAGTAGCTGAGATTACAGCTGTGGCCACCAGCCCGGCTAACTTTTGTATTTTTCAATAGTGACGGGTTTTCACCATGTTGGCCAGGCTGGTCTTGAACTCCTGACCTCAAGCAGTCCGCTCACTTCGGCCTCCCAAAGTGCTGGGATTACAGGAGTGAGCCACCGCGCCCAGACCATATCTGGTTTTTGCATCAATATTAAACCAGACTCAAATAGCTAAGCAGCTTTTGCTTTTTTTTTTCTGGACTATCTTAGAGAAGAGATTAATTCACTGTCCCCTAAATGTTTGGTAAATTCAATTATGAAACCATCTGGAAATGGGCTCTTGGAAAATGAATATATTGTTTTACTCAAGTTTTCTGTTTTTTTTTCTGCTGACAATTTTGATATTTTATATTTTCCTAGATATACAGTCTTTTAATTGATGTTTTTAAGTTAATTAATATATAGTTGTTTAGAAGCTGTTTATTACTATTTGGATTTTTCTTTGTTCAGTTTTCCCCTTTTCATCCTGTACTTGATTTATTCCTACCTTCTTTCATCTAGCTTGCCAGAGGTCTCTTATTAATCATTTCAAATGGAGCTTTTGTTTAGATTTTTTTTTCATTTCATTGATTTCTGCCCTTATCATTATTATGTCTTTCTTTATGGAAATGCTCTGTTGCTTTATTTTAAATCACATTTTCAGTTGAATGTCTAAATTCTTTGCTGTCAACCTGTTTTGTTCATTAAAAATATTTTTAAAGCTACATGTTTTCTTAAATTGTAATATATACTGTTCAATTTTTGTTAAACTCTACATGTTTTGTAATTTAACTTATAATTTCCTTTTAACTCATGTTTTTTAGAAATCTGCTATTTATTTTTATATATGTAGAATATTTAATTATCTTATTATAAATTTTAATTGTATTATGGCAATAGGATATAATTTGTATAATTTTGTTCTTTTGAACTTACTAAGACTTTTTTATCACCATCTTTTCAGTTTTCACAAATATTCCAAATGTGCTAGAAGGAAAGTGTCTATTTTGTTTGCTGTTGATAGTGGATGTGTGTATATAGGGCCACATAGATAATATAAAATAGCTTAACCGTTTTTTAATTTCATATAACTTCCATATCTTTGCTTATGAGAGTGATAGGTTTACTGCTTAACTTCCTTGTCGGATAATTTTGTCACCTGTGATTAAATATAATGTGTCTTTTTTTTCACTGGACAGTATAATTTACTGGACAAAAGTCATGTGCTTCCAAAACCAGTTAGGGTTGTGTGTAGGGATACACTGTACTGCTTTTAGCGTCTATGTAATCTTGCCTGAGAACTAAGTTGAATGGGTTGTCCATGATTTGAACTTGAATAACATTCATAGACTGATACAATGTCATCACATGCAAGCAGTTTCTCCTAAGCTTTTCCATTTTTATTTCCACTTAGAACCCAGCTTGTGACACTTTTAAAAGTTGATGTATGTCAGCAATCTGTCCCTAATCATAGCCTTGTATCTTTTGAACAGCTGCAACAACATTTTTAAGGCAATGATCTCTCAAGCTGTTGTCAGTGTTTTTCATGCCACCAGAACTTGATCTCTCTATATTTTCTGTCTTATATATAATGGTAGGTCAGCAATCCTGGCCAACTCATGGTAGTTCTTCCCAGCTGTCAGATGTGTGCAGTAAACAGGGAACTTCTTTATTAAACGAGTAAACAATCCTGTTTTGATTCCAGAAATGCCAACGAGAAGCAGTTACCGAAACCACAACTAGCAGAATGACTTGCTTAAATATTAGCCACGTATTTTCTCAAGATCTTTGTGAAAATCCCAAGTTTATGATGATAGACCACAGGAGTATAAAGGAGCTTTTTGACAAAGAAATGTTTTATCTGTTTGAAGAGGGTGACCCGGAGACTCCTCATAATTTTATTATGGGCAAGAGTGGACCTACTGGCTGTCTTCTCCAGGGTCATTCAGCCTAGCATCTCAGGTTGACAGCAGGCCCTCTGCCGTGCTACTCTTTTGTTCCCTGTTAATGTGCCCAAGCCAGAAAAAAGTAAATAAATAAATAAAATAAACTATGATTGGTTACAAAGAACAGAGCAAGCCATTCCCTCTGAAAAATTCAGGACTTCCCATCTGAACGTTTGAATGACCTCTTCTGCAGGTGGATGTCCCCGGACCCTACTGGCTAGTTTCCCAGTGGAGAGGAGGTAGCCCCAGAGGGCAGATGAAGAGCTCACCAGCTCAGTAACAGGTCAGCTGTGCTGCTTGCTGCGGCCCCCATCAGATAGCAGTAAATTATTTTTCCAAAGAGAGGCTTTGTGCTTAGCTGCGTTTTCCCTGCATTTCCTCCTGGGGCCCCGATACTGACAGGGCTCGTTGACAAGGAGCTCTTGCCCGAATGGAACTTCACCTCCCACAGGCTGCCCATCAATCACCTGCCCAGCCTCTGGGGGAGGCACATTAGAGAGCTGTGTGGACTTCCTAGCAATCAAAAATAAATAATAAATAAAGAATAAAAAAAGAAAAGCATATTTAATGCCTTCAGGTGACACTGAATAAGCAGGGATGTATCCCTTGCTTTTAAAGAAACAAATATCTTACTGGAGAAATGGGGCTATATAGAAAATTTTCGTGGTTGTCTTTCTATTTTACGTTCATGTAATAACTAACTCTAATACAGACGGCACTGCTTATCTTCTCATAATCTGTGTCATTGTAGTAATTGGGGCTGGCCTCACAAATTACCAAAAACTTGGTGGCTTAAAAACACAGAAATTTATTCTCTTACAGTTCTGGATGCCAAAAGTCAGAAATCAAGGTGTCTGCGGGGCCACACTCTCCCAAAGCTTCCAAGGGGGTCTCCTTGCTTGCATTTTTCAGCATCCAGTGGTTCCAGGTCTTCCTTGGTTAGCGCAACATAACTTCTATCTCTGCCTCCATCTTCTCAGGGCCATCTCCCTGTGTCTTTGTCTCAAATCTCCCTCTCCTCGTCTCTTGTAAAGACACTTGCCATTAGATTTAAGGCCTACACTAAATTTAGAATGATGTCCTCTCAAGGTCCTCAATTACATCTACAAAGACCCCTTTTCCAAATAAGGGCACATACGCAGGTTCTAGGGACTAGGACTTGGACATACCTTCCCAGGACCCGCTGTGCAACCCATTACAATAATGAAGAGATTTAAGTTTGTCCATCTGCTAGGTAAAGCCATAGTAGCTGTATAGTATCTGATAATATCCGTGTGGTAAAATTGCAGCTCTCAAAGTAAGAGCGATGTTGTAACTGACTGAGTTGTTTTGTGAATTTTTGTTTTTGGAGTCAGTGGAGCATGTTATTAGATGTAAATTTAAACACACACACACACACACACACACGAGAAGTAAGTGCCAAGATTTTCTACTTCGGCGCCTATATTTCTATATACTGATTTTCTGTATTTCCCAGACTTGAATATAGATTGTCTTTCTGTTTTATCATAGACAGTCTCATAATAATTTAGGCATAATAAGGTAATGAGGTTTTTCTGGGCTTCTTTTCATCATCCCTGCAATTTGAGTCTCTTTTATAGTTGAATTCTTCTCTGTAATAACTTCTTGTTTTAGCTGGTATTTACCATTGATAAATCACATGACTTTCAGAATAATGGCTATTGCATGAATTGGTGGAAAAAGTGTACTAGCCTGAGAACTAAGAAATTTGGCCCTTATTCTCTCTATGACATTAACTGTATGATAGAGACCAAAATCAGGATAGCCATTTTGCCATTTGTAAAATGAGGCAAGCTCCACTCTAAGCTTGCTTTATCAGTTAGAAATTTTAGGGACTGTGAATAACAGAAACCCAACACAAACAAGTTTCAAATGTACATTATTACATATTATAGCAGAAAAAGAAACTGGCTTCAAGGTTGCTTGATTCGGTAACTCTTGCTAAACAGTTAAAACATGTGTGTTTTTCCTCTCTCTGTGTTCTTCCATCCTTAGGATTGCCTCATCCTCTTCAATCTAGTAGAGTGGCAGCTGTAGCATTTCTTAGTTATGACATTCCGATAGGGCAGCAGCACTAGAGAGGAAGGCTGGTTTTATCATGAAGCTACCACTAGGAGACTTCTAGTCACATCACATTAGCCATGTGTGGCTCATATTCCCTTTTCTAAACTAATCACAGGCAAGGAAACTTTACCCTTGGAATAATGAGTTGTACTGAGATACTAGGGCTGAGAGATTCCCACCAGGACACACACTGGCTGCTTGTTGGAGGGGCAGATAACGGAACAAAATCAGGTTCTGGTAAGAGTGAAGGAATTGGAGCTGGATGTTGAGTAGACAGCCAATGGAGAGAGTATTATAGTTAATTTTAATTCTAATATCATTATGCATATAATTATATTATAATTATATTGATATAATTCATTTTAGATGAGGCATTTTATAATGTGGTTTATGTCAAAGATGTAAAAGATTAAGCTTGTAATTATTAATAATAAACGTATTGGGATAGTCAAGTGGTGAGCCATGGGAGAATTGTGTCAGAGCACATGTCTGTCACAGGTAGCTTTAAGAATGAATTAAATTGATTTCTTTTTTTGTACACATTCATTTTTATCAGCAACAGGAGGCAAATATAAGGAAGCAGCTACTGGAAAATTGATATAAATTTAGTTGGAAAAAAGCAATAGTAAAATTTCTATGCAAATTTCATGATCCAGATATTGAAGCATATAATGTATGAGGTAATACAAATATTTAAATTATTGTTATGAAAGCTTAGGATTCAAGCATAGAGAGATTAACCTATATTTATTGTAATAACGAAAATGCAGTAAAATTTTCATTTTCTTTTCTTAGTAGAAAATAAATATTTTCCATCCTAATAAAGTTGTATTAAACTTGCTCCTAGAAGGTACTATTTTACTCTCAAAAGTAAAATCTTTGACTTAATTAAAACAACCATAGGAGATTAGTAAAATACCCAGATTAATAAGAATTATTAGTAAGATTAGTATGAAAGAATAGTAAAATTTATGTTCTAATTCATTTGACTCTACTTGAAAAAATCTAGAAAGTAATTTCACTTTTCAAAAGATAGGTTTAAAGAAAGAATATTAGTGCTTTAATGGTCAGATAATCTAATCTCAATTATCATGATGCAAACTGAAAAGAGGCACATTAAAGCTAATAATTATAGTAAATATGTGGTTTTGCCTATTTATGTATGTAGTAAATAGTGTAAATGCAATTGTAGTGAGTAAGATCTGCATTGAGTGGTAATATTCCACTTAATTTGCCCAGTTAGGCTAAAAGAAAAGATGCATAAAATAAATAGCATGATGTTTTTAAAATGCACAGTTAAATATAAATTATATATTCCAAATTTTACCGAGCATGCAAATAAAATAACTGAAAAACTTGGGCTTAACTGGAGAAAATATCGCTATGTCCTTAAGCCCATATCATATACCTCCACTTAAATGGTAGTAATGGTGGAACAGGTAAAATCTTATTAACCTTTTTGAACTAAAATTGAAGCAAAGTTTCTCTCTGATGTTTGTTCTTCTATTTATAACTCCTAAAATATCTAAATATGCCCTCCCTCTCACAGCATATACCCTAAGAGAATAAATCCTATTCTTCAGTCTTTGCTTCTCCCATAGGCTATGAAAGGAATAATCACTTAATAAATGCCTAGTGGTCTTCACAGTGAACAGCACACTGTCAAAACTCACAAATGAATAAGTAAATAAATCCTATGTTGAAGTCTAGATATGCAAAGAACTAAGTAAATGACATTAATGAATGAAAATTAACTATTTTTACTTACTGTGTCCTGCATAAGAACACAAACGGATTTCATAATGAGCCAGAAGCATCTGAGTTTAGATCAAATTGCCAAGTTCTAGAGAAAAGGTCTGTCCAGGAATGAATTATGAACTCTGTATGAGTCACTCAGGGAAGACCTGCCCATTGGTCTTGAAGAATGATTGTTAGTTTGATAGAAATATGCGAGATCAGCATACTCCAAGTGGATTATTTTGTGAAAACCTTCCTAACCTTTAAATACCATGCTTTTTATTCAGGAAAATTGAAAGACTTTGTATACGGCTGGAACTTAGCTTGTGTTGAGAGTTGGAAAAAGATGAGATTAGATGTGCAGGTAGCAACTAAATCATGGAAAGCCTTCTAGTTCTTGCTAAAGACTGAAAATTTCATTTTTAAGATGTTATCAAATAGGCTTAGGTCCTTGAAGGGCATGATTAAATGTATGGTTAAGAAATATTAGTCTGAAAACAGTGTGATCAAGATAATGAAAGGTGAGGACCATGGAGGCTGATGGGAACATAATGAAAATATTTCGGAAGAGAAAGAGTGAGGGCTTAAATGAGTCACTAATGTGAAGAGGAAGGAATAGGTAGGAGAATGTTCAAGAAGTAGAACTGACAAAATTTCATGACAGAACAGATGTTGTGGGTCCAGGAGGAGGTTATACATGGAAAAGTGGATCTCAGAGTGGTCCGTGAAAACAACACCCTTTCATCACAATGCTTCTGTGTTACTTGTCTTTTCTACTGGTTTTCATTTTCACTGTTTTGGTGCATTTGCAACAGTAATTAAAACTATAACATCCATCAAGGCCGTGGCTCCAAACAATAGTAGCAGTTATATTTTTTACAATCATGCAGTTACCTAAATAAGTAAACACACAAATAAACATGCCAATTTTATTCTCATTTTACTTAAGAATCTCCTTGATGAAGTAGTAAGAAATACTAATTTTACATCTAGACTTCCAAGTGTGTCTTTTTAATATTCTACTTGACAAAATAAATAGAACTCATAGGTCACTTCTGCTGTATACTGATATGGGATGGCTGTCTTGAGGAGAGCACATGTGTGATGGTTGAAGTCACAAGCCTAACAGTTACTTAAAGAAAAAAACAGCTATTTTAATGAATGAATGACTGACAGACAACCGTGGTCATTCAGACTTTGGTATTTGTCACGTATGTTCTCAAAAATGAACTAAGGGAGTCTTATCAAGGAAAACAACTGAGTGCTTACTGAAAATTTGAAAATTTAAGCTTGCAAGTAAAAATTAAAATTTGGGAATCTTGTATCTGCATTTTTCAACTTGACAACTTCTCAAAACTGGACTTTTCTGAAGAGACTAAGGTCGATATTAAATATTTTTTTAAAAATATGTATAATAAAATAATGTCAATATTGGGAAGGTTTGCATAACTGAGTAAATCAGTATTTTCCCAAAGATCATTCCAAGATGATACAAAACCATAATGGATAAAAGACTCATTAAAAGTTGAAACTAGACCTATGAATTCTAGGAGTAGGAAAAGCATGTGACATGGTATCAGACTCCCTGTTGCAATAACCTTCAATAAAACATTTGCTGAGCTTAGAGAAAGAATCAAAGGAGACTAATATAGGTTAGTTGACAAGTTCATATCTGTATAAGGCCTTATTTTCTTCATATGTTCTTAATCAAAAGAATATATTAAACAGATTAAACTCAGAAGCAGATATGAGTATTAAGCTGTGTTGTATTAAGCCAGGTATTTGAGTTTTGGAAAAATGCAAAAACGTTGACACTCCTCTTCGTACTATTTGGGAATTATTTTCATTTTAAAATGCTGTTTGTGTTGGTATTAATTCATTTATTATTTTTTAAACACATAATAAAAATATTTAAGAATGTATAAGTTCTAATATCTCTTATAGAAATCACTAACAGATATAACCCACATGAATAAAGTTGGGTAAGAGTAAGGTTTGGGAGTTGGTGGCTTTTGTTTTTCTTTTTTCTTTTTTTTTTTTAAACTTACCCTTTAAAATCCAAGTGTCATGTCTACAAAGAAGTGGCAGAACCCACAAATTAAAATAAAGATCTTTCTTCCTCTCTGCTCCCTTAATTCTGATTTTTCCTTCTTTCATAGGGTTTACTAGAGTTATTTTTTATTTTCCCACTCCAAATCAATTATGAAATCCTACAAAAACAAGATCATGTGTTTCATCTTTGTCTCTACTAGCACCGTGAATTGCTTAGGGATTTCTCTTTAAAATGACAATTAAATAACATCTGTTAGCAGTGTTGTCATTTAGGTAAATTTATACTTAGGCATTAGTCTTGTCATTTATCAGACCTTAATATTTTAAATTTTTCATCATGGAACGTATTGATTTGGATGTGAACAACCTGAATTATTTTCAAGTAATTTTTCCTTCAATTCAATTCAGTCAACTTCATATTTACTTAAAATAATTAAGTTTAATGCTTTTATTAAACTTTAATCAGTACTTTATGCTTTTACAACCATGTGAAAAATCAATAATTTAAAAGTACATATTATTTTTAATGATGCAATAATTTACCGATATTGAAAAGCTCAAGGATTTCACAATTTTAATACATGTTGATAATTTTTTATGTTACATTGACAGGTTTTAGACTAATAAAAACATAATTTTAAAACATTTTAGAAATTTTAAAAGCTTTCTTTATGTAAGTAAATACAGAGTTTCCCATGATAGTCAATCCATATAGTATTGACAGTAAAAAAAGAAATGAAGATAGGATATTCAAATACATTAGATCTTGTCCTAAATTTTCATGGTTAAAATTTTTTTTTAAGTGGAATTTGGTTAGGCACAGTGGCATGATGGATTTCATGCTTGTAATCCCAACACTCTGGGAGGCCAAGGCTGGAAGGTAGCTTGAGGCCAAGAGTTTAAGACCAGACTGTATAACATAGAGAGAGCCCATTTCTACAAAAAAATTAAATTAAAAAAATTAGTTGGGCATGGTGGCACACACCTGTAGTCCCAGCTACTTGGAAGGCTGAAGCAAGAGGATTGCTTGAACCCAGGAGTTTGAGGCTGCAGTGAGCTGTGATCTCACCACTTCACGCCAGCCTGGGCCACAGAACAAGGCCCTGTCTCTTAAAAGAAAAAAAAAAAAGAAAGAAAAAAGTAGAATTTGATACTCTTCATTATATTTTTCTTTTCTGGTATCTGTTTAATTTCTTAGGGTACATGCTGAAGTGGATAACATCACACTGTTGATCAACAATGAAAAACCTTGCATTATTCTAAAAACTACTGTAACAATGTGGGCTTGAAGAAGCTGTCTGCATTTCTAAATGTAAATTTTACAGAAGAGCAAACACTGTGTTTGACCTACATCATCTGTCAGATATCCTAAGGCTCTGAAATTAGAAAATCCCTGGGGTTTGCTGCATTTTGCTAGGCTATCCATTAGCTTATTTTGTCAATTTTTATTATAAGAGGACAAAAAAATAGAAATCACAATATCTGTTCTAATATTCTTTTATATTTGCAAGTAAAAACCTTTGGAAAAGGTTCTCAAATAGATTTATAAATGTTTTTATTATATGGTACATCTAGCTATTATATGTAATGTAGTTTAACAGTATATCATTCTTGTGTTTATCTTTTTATGTAAATTCTTAAGCCACACATAATTTTCATTAAGATCCTTTGTTCAGGTAAAATTAGTAGCATTTGAAAATGGTATATCTTTTCAAACATAACTTCAATTTATTTTGTTGTAATAAAATTTGTTGTAAATATCACTTGATTCCATTAATCATTTAAAAATTACAAAGTTAAGCTTTATTTCAGAACACGATTTAATGTGCTTAAAATACAACCCGTGAATCACTCTTCCTAAAAAACTTCATATTTCTCTCCAGGGTATTAATTCTCAGGAACTGTAAGACATTGATGTTTATTTTTTTTTTTTACTGAAAGGGAAAATGAATGTTTTCAGATAGATGGATGGACAGATAGATAGCAAATTGTATACACATACATGTACACACATACACACACATGCACATATATACACACATACATACATACAGATACATGCATATACAAATATATGTATTTTTATATATAAGCAAACCTCTTTAAGTATTTTACTTAAAATCACCCATATTACATATTTTAATTTTTCAAGATAATTTTAAATGAGATAATTACAAATAGGGAGAAAACAAATATAAATAACAGATATATTAAAACTAATTTTCTAAGCTAAAGCCTTTCCTTTAAGAACTGACATAAAAAAAGAAAACCTACTTTCACCCCTCCTATTCTACATAGCACTAGAAGTCCTAGCCAGAGCAAACAGGCAAAAAAAAAAAAAAGAAAGAAGAAATAAAAGGCATCCAGATTGGAAAAGAAGTCAAATTGTCAAATTGTCCCTCTTTGCAGATGAGATGATCTTATATTTTGAAAAATGTATATTTTGGCCTCACACAGTGGATCACACCTGCAATGCTAACACTTTGGGAGGTGGAGGCAGGAGGATCACTTGACATCAGAAGTTCAAGAACAGCCTGGGTAATATAGTGATACTCTGTCTCTTACGTGAAAAAAAAAGAAAAGAAAAAAGAAAAAGGAGCACCTAAAGACTCTGCCAAAGTGGATTTAGATATGATAAATTCAGTAAAGTTGCAGCATACAAAATCAACATACAAAAAGAAGTGGCATTTCTATACACCAATAATGAACTAGTTAAAAAAGAGATCAAGAAGGCAGTCTCATTTACAATACCTCAAAAAATAAAATAAAATATCTAGGAACAAATTTAACCAAGGAGGTGAAAGACCTCTACAAGGAAAACTGCAAAACACTGATGAAAGAATTGAACAAATGCAAAGACATGCCATGTTAATGGACTGGAAAACTTAGTTGTTAAAATGACCATACTACTCAAAGCAATCTACAGATTCAATGCAATCCCTATCAAGTTACCAATGTCTTTTTTTACAGAATTAGAAAAACAATTGTGTGGCTAATCTAAGCACAACAGTTTTGGCACTCACTGAGTGGAAAATTTGTTCAACTTTAATTTTTCTGTCAGACTTGTATAAGCTGAACCAATTGAGATGACTGTGGGTTTGGCTATTGTTCTGCCATTAATTGTTGGTCTTTCTTAAGGCAAGAACAAGATGATTTTTTTCCCTCAAAAATTGATGTGGATGATCTGCCACTGAGGGCTTCATCTTGAACATCATCTTGTCTCTTCTTAAATAGACTTATTTATTTGTAAGCTGCTGATTTCTTTGGACATTGTTTCCCATAAACTTTTTGTGAAGCATCAATAATTTCATCGTTCTTCCACCCAAGCTTTGCCCTAAGTTTGATGTTTGTCTTTGCTTCAATTTTAGCAGAATTCATGTTTCTCTGATAGGAGTTCTTTTCAAACTGATGTCTTATCCTTCTTAGTGCCTCAAACTAGAGTCTATTTAGATATGTTACAACAAAAGTTGATGAGTTTATGTGAATTTATGAGTTATGAGATTAATAATTTATTTTGGTGCAAAAAATTTTTAATCCATGCGTAGTTTTTTCACTATAAGCATTTTCTATGAACCTTTCAAAGACCCCTCATATATACTATTCATTCTGTTTCTCCAGAGAAGCCTAACTAAGACACACGGCTTAGAGATTTTTGCCCTAGAAGAATAAAGCTGACCATAAAACAGAGTTCTCAGTCTCTTTCCAAAAACACCTGACTTCATTTTCAACCGGGTGTGGAAAAGTTTAAGCATAAGGACACTATACAAAAGCACAGAGGTTGTGATGAAAAGCAATTGAGAGAAAATGATAGGTATATGAGAGATATAAGCTAAACTTTAGGTCAGCAAGTTTGCTGGACAGGACCTGGAACATAGACACCTGGGAGGAGCCCATCTGGATTTAGAACCAATGTAAAACAATGACCTCAGGAACTATCACTTTAAAAGATCCCAAATTGGATTGGCCCCATATGTGAAGTAATATATGCCCCCAGGATATTTTTTTAAAAAATAAAGAAATCAGCCTGCAAATAGTGGAGCTAAATAATTGGGTGTGGTCATGGAAAGAAAGAGTGAAAGGTAGTCCTGATTAAACTACTGTCATTCCAGATCCAGAAGCTCAATTAACTCAAAGTAGGATAAATGCAAAGTGATATACCATCAGGAATGTCATAGTAAAAATACTGAAAGACAAAGACAAATGGAATATCTTGAAAGCAGCAAAAGAAAAACTGCTCTTCACTTACAAAGGAACCCCAATAAGATTAACATCTGACTTCTCACTAAAAACACTGTAGACTGGAAGGCAGTGGAAAGTATATTCAAAGTGCTTAAAGGGGGAAAAAAAACACGCCCACAAAGAATCTTGTATTCTTCAAAAAATACGATGAAATAAAGGCATCGTGAGACAGACTAAAACTCACAGACATGCCTTACAAGAAATAGTAAGTGATCCCAGTCCAACCGTAACAAAAAACAGTATCAGTAAGGTAATTATAAAAGACAGTATAAATGCATATTTATTTTTTTCCTCTGAACTGACTTAAAAGGCAATTACATAAAACAATACGTATATAATGTACTTTTAGGCCTATAACATATAGAGTTCTAATATATTTACCAATAACAACACAAAGGAGGTGGTGGCAGCAAAGTTGTATCGACTATGGAAATGACTTCAGATAGTAACTCAAGTCAATAGGAACAAAAGAAAAGATACAGAAATTATAAAGAAAATGTTAATGTAAAAAGCAATAAATATACACTTGATCTCCTCTCAGCTTCTTTAAAAGATATAAAATTATATAAATTAATTAAAATTATAAATATGATGTAATGTTGGGTTTGTAACATTTATATTAATAGATGCAATATGTATAAAAATAATATCACAGTAAGGGAAAAAGCTATGTAGATATGAGATTTCTATATTTCACTGGAACACAATATCAATCTAAAGCTAATTCTGATATGTTAAAATATTTATGGTAAACCCTAGAACAATCTCTAAGGCATGTAGTTGATTTTCATTATTCATTGTAGTTATGGTCTATAAAGCCTCTGCAAACATTCAGTTGCAAATCATGAATGAATTAATGAATGACCTCTAGTCACAATGCTTTTGTTAACTGATCATTATATTACCTCGTTTTATTGTTGCTCTTTAAAGATATCTGATTGCTAATAATGAACTTAGGGCAAACAGCACTGTACCTCATGCTGAATAAAGCTTATCTAACACATGTATTTTCTCCATAAGGGGTATCACAGTCTCTTTAACTTAGGGACACTAGACAGCAGTTTAGGGCTGCACTTGGGGAGCCATTTTTAAAAGTGTAGTCAACAAGAAAAATCACAAAAATGCAAAAGCCATGGCTCTACGCAGAGCATGAAAAGGACATGTGTCTACAGTATGACCACAAACACAATAAGACACAGCATCGCCTGCTCAACCTCAGCTGGAAGCGTGCACATCTGGAGACTCAAACGCCTGCTCAACCTCAGCTGGAAGCGTGCATATCTGGAGACTCAAAGTTTTCACCCCTCTGCACATGCACATGTCTACAAATGACCACAGATGTGCCATGTGTATTTATGTTGGGGTTGTAAATACATTTTTGCAAGTAGGTGAATTCACAGATTCAGAAACCACAAATAAAGATGATCAACTGTAACTTTAAAAAATACCTGATGACTTGGGTGATTTTCCTTGACAAGTAACTTTCAGCCACTCTCTGTAGTCTCCATTCCAACATATCCAATTGCTCATTTCCATCCACATTATAGATTACTCGCCTGTGATTTTTAGGTTTTTTTGTGTTCTTATTGGGGATCTTAGTCTAGTCTACATAGTGTAATGTTAAATACAGATATAAATGCTTGCTAAACTAACCACACTTAATATTAAAGATAATAAAATATTATTTCCTTAGGAAAATAGATCCTAAGGAATATTACTTAAATATTGATTATATTTGTATTATATATTAGATTATATAACTATAATATGCAAATGTGTATATAAATATGCATGTGGTTAATTATTGTGTTTATAAAAATATTAATCAGCAAAATAGCCTTGAAAAAGCTAGTTATATCCTGTAAAAATTCTACATTTGGAGAAGAGAAATTAAAGCATAGTCAAAAGGTAATGAATTTATTATAAGATCATATAATTATAGATATAATATCATAGGTTGTCATAAAAGAGGATATTAACTTGCTGTTTACTATGCTAGTTAATCCTGTCTTCTTTCTGTTAACAGTATGGATCTAGAAATAAGAAATCTTATAAATTAGAAGAAAAAATTCGCACCTTGATAAGCAGATTTTAAAAAATTAACTCATTGAATATTATTATTGCAATGTTGTGTTTGCAGAGTTGTTGAGGAAATATACATTTGTTTGTTTCTGTTGACTGCGGGGGAAATTAAAGATGCACAAATTGTAGCAGAAGATCTTGTACCAATAAGGAGTCAACATCCAAAATACATAAGGCTACTAGATATTTATTAATTGCCCAATAAATAAATTGTTGTTAACCTGGGTGCATAAATCTTGGATGGGCTTTGGTGGGAGAAGTGGTGTATGGGTCTGTGAACACTATGAGCATTTTTCTGGAGAGCAAGTCTATTGCTCTAAAATGTACCTTTTGGAGCAATGGACTTGCTTTCCAGTCACTTTTCTGACAGATATGTGTCAGTTGCCTCAGGACCATAGGCCTACAGGAAATTTGCATGACAGGTGAAAATTAAGAGAGAGGAGATATTAAATACAATCAATATTCAGCAGATATTTAATGAAAATCCTCTGTTATACCACAACTGCTATTATTTGCCAGGTATATGCTTTTAATAAAAGCACAAAGTCCATAGAACCCTTCTACATAATGTGTAGGTCATTTCAAAATGCAGCAAACAATATAGTCTGTGACCAAAGTTAAGGGCATAATAGAAGACATTTTGTTTTTTTCTTTACTGTTTTTGGCTAAAGTCAATTCAGAATGAGTACAAATATCCCGTGGAAATTCATGTAAGACTGTGATAACTTATCATTTTGTTTCAGCACTCCAACATACAGCATACATACTGTACACTAAGTTAAATATATTTTTTCTTTCAAGGTAACTGAACTGCACAATATCAAAAATATAACCAGACTGCCCCGAGAGACAAAGAAGCATGCGGTGGCAATCATCTTTCACGATGAAACATCGAAGACATTTGCCTGTGAGTCAGGTAAGCTATTATTGGCCATCTACCCCTTGAGGAAATTGAGCTGCTTGTGAGACAATGGCCCAGGCGGATTAAGGTACACTATTGAACAGGATGGCCTACTGTCATGAGAATGTGCTGTAGAAGACTTCGTTCAGAAGCTCAACGTATTGATTTCTACAGATGTTTTTGTGCCTGTTGTTACATGTCTGTGTCTGGATTTGGCTCCCAGGTGGTCTGCCTGTTGAGGTTTCCGTTCAAGCTTTGAGAATTAAGTAAACAATACCTGGCAGGTGTTGTTCGGGTGAGTGCATGACCAATATTCTGGTTCTTGCTCATTGTGTCTCTAGGCATTTTGTAGGGCAGGAATCAGGGTGCTGTGCAAAAGCATGGCAGAGCACAGCCCCAGTCCGCAGACACCACAAAACAGAACTTTGAGGAATGTATTGTTTTCATGGATTCTCAGTACTACAAGTAAATACATTTCAGATTGAATTTTAGCATCTCAGTTCGTAAAGCACTCTGACATTATTGAGACACAAGGCAGTTTATAGTTTGAACTTGCAGTATTTTTCATGTTGGAATCCCTGTGGTGTGTAATATATTAGTTGGCTTGTCACTTTTTAAAGATTTTGCTCAATGCAATGGTGCATTCATTTTATAATGGATGTTAGCAGAAAGTACCAAGGGTTTGCAAGATGTGAACTTAAACTAATGATTAGGTCTTTAGGAGAAATTTTATTCAGCATTTTAAAAAAGTAAAATGGTCCTTCTAGTTTTGTATACTTTGTTTATGGATGTCATTAATGTCAGGTTATATTATTCTAAAACTGATAATATCCCTTTGCCTAACTGAAATTGCTCACACCTCTCACCGACCTTATCTTAGTATGGCTAAACTGAACTGGAATTTATCTCCGTGTTCCTCTTTTCTTGCGTGCCTTTATCCATCTGTCCCGGCATATTTCTCTTCACTTGCCATCTGACCTCCTTGCATCATTTAAAATCGACATTTTGGAGTTGCACAGAAGCCTGTTAAATGATATAAATTCCCATTTTGTAATACCCCCTGTCCCAACCTTGCTGGTGTAATATAATATCATCCAATGATTTTTCTGCCTTCCTGTCAGCTGTCTTAAAACTGGTAAACCACTTTATTTTTCTCTGGGCTCTTAATCTCTCATATTAAAACTAGTATTTAAAAAAAAACTAAAAGGTAATGTTTAATATTTAAATTTCTAATTTTCCCAATTACTGTACATTTTCAAATTGTAGTGAGCAATATTTTGAATGTATAGGAAATACTGGAGCCTATTAATTTGTTAAAGAATGATATTTGGTTATATTTCTTTATGTGAAAATCTTATTTATGTTGTGTTTGGAAAGGTATTGACCTAAAATTCATGTTTAGTTAATAACTTAATCATTCAATATATTGCTGCTTTCAATCTGACTACAATCTTGAATCCGATATTACAGTAGAAAGTCATTTAATGCAATTTTATGTATTTATACAGATGTTTTTTGATTTACATCATTATAATCTACTCTCCATTTAACTTTCTATTGGTTGTAGAATAAACTACGCTTGAGAATATTATAAAGCTTACAAGATTCTGCCTTTTCAAATTTCTATATTCTTGGAAGTTAGAGAAAATACATATTCCTAAAATTTTGTCTAAATATCTTTGCTGCTCCATGACTCTTTTCTGCCTCATTTATCCTGGTATCGCCTGAATGTCCTTGCCCTCATAGATCACAGAATACATACCAATGGCCCAATTGAAAGCAAAGCTCTGATTTACATCCTGATACTTAGAGCATTTTAATAGAAAAGGTGTATTATTTGAATAGTACATTTGAGTTCTGTGCTCCCATCATCTCAAGTTCTTAGTTTATAAATGTCAGTCTCTATAATATATCGATATTGATCTATTAATTCAGAAACTCATATAAACATAGTTGAAATTCAGCAGTACTTGTGTTTATATACTATATGGAAATTCTGAAGTATGGTTTGTTGAATTTTGTTGGTCTATGCCCAACAGAGGACCAGGGTGTTCAGACGGGAAGTGTGATAACAGAGCAGCGCCCAACTCCCAACCAGGGGCTGGAGTCAGAGCACCTTATCGTTACACAAGGTTCTGTGCAAACAAAACATTCTCCCTGGTGCGTTGGCTTAACAAAAGCATTTAAATTTTAATTTAAAGGCCATCAAGATTTAGAATTTTAAAATAAAACTCCCAAGTACACCTAGCATCCAGATCTTTCTTGGTTTTTAGTAACAGGAACCAGGGCTTCTTGGAGAAATGGTAGATTCTAGGACCGGGGCATGAAATACACAAGACGAGCCCAGAGCATCTTGTAGTGCCAGAAAGTAAGGAAGTACCACACGAATGCTTCTGTATGTCAGAGGGACACAGGAGTTCCCAATGGCCAAAGATGGAACAATTTGAATACTAAAATAAAGTAGCTAAGGATTATAACCCAAATTATAAATGAATATTTATGAGTCCATGCTTTAGCAATGCTTGATGAATAAATACATAGGAGAGTATAGAAAAATATCCCATGCAGAAAATTGCAAATAATTTATGTAGATGCTCTGTCCAGAGGAGGTGGAGCATGACTCCCTGTGCCTTAAGTGGGGGCTGTTCATAGTTACTTCCTCCCTAGGAGAATAGGATAGAAAGGGATGGGAGAAAACAGCTTTGTGGTGGAGAAAACTGACAGACACTGCCTCAGCCAGGTGACCAAGGTGAAGATCAACAATGATAAATCATGTTGATAGACTCTACCCTTGATATGACGTGATCAAAAATAGCACTTTACCTCTGTGGTCTTCATCCTAACAACCTATAAACCCATGAGAATAACATCAGACACATCCCAATGAAGGGACATTCTACAAATACCTGCCCAGTATTCCTCAAAACTTTCAAGGTCATTACAAAGAAGGAAAGCCTGGAAAACTGTCCCAACCAAGAGGGAGCTAAGAAGGCCTGATGAATAAATGTAATGTGGTATATTGATGGGATCTTGAAACCAAAAGAGGACAATAAGTAAACACTAAGGAAAACTTAATAAAATGTGGTGATTAGTTAGTAAAAATTTATCAATACTAGTTCATTAATTTTAACAAATGTACCATACTAATGTAAGATGTTACTAATAGAAGATAGATATAGGCTATATAGGAACTCAGTATTATTTTTGCAATAATTCTTTCAATCTAAAACTATACCAAAATGAGATTTTTTTGTTTAAAAATAATGTGGAAGTGAATAAAAATATATCGATGACCTACAGTAGACTCAAGTATAATAGAAATATAGTGCATTATCAAGGATATATTAAAAATTAGTAAAGAAAATTATATCTTACAAATAACTGGTGTTTGAAAAACTAAATTCTTACACCATCCTATTATAGAATGCTTTCAGAATGATGAAGTGATATTCATTATTTCTCAACAATGGAAATGACAATACTAAAATCATTGCCACTGTTCAGTGGCTTGATAGGAAATGTTAGATGTTTACCTAGTGTCATGAACAATAATGAAGAACCAGACTTAAAGTTGTATTGTGAGAGTCCCATTTTTCAATGTAGGTGATTCAGCAGAAGGCTGAGCCTACCACATGTTCTTTTAGCGAACTGAGCACTCCCTTCAGGGTCATTTTAGAATACTGTTTTATTGCTAACTTTGAAATAATTATCGAGGCCCTGCTTGGTTTTCTCTGAAATGCTGCTGTGTGAGCTTACCACACATCTGTAGGACAAATGGAAAGGTTACAAGATGGCTTACCTTTTGACACTGATTTCATAGCGCAAAAACCTACCCTTGTAGCCCCTAATCCTACAATTCAGCCGGCCTACCTTACAGAGTGCCCTGTAGACATTTGTTACCAGTCTATAGATCATGTAAAACCTATACCAGAATCTGCTCATCACAGTTATTGCTACCATGTTAGTCTCTTCCAAAGATTTCTAGATACCCTAAAATATGGACATCTGCCGGGCGCTGTGGCTCACACCTGTAATCCCAGCACTTCGGGAGGCCGAGGCGGGTGGATCACGAGGTCAGGAGATCGAGAGCATCCTGGCTAGCACGGTGAAACCCCGTCTCTACTAAAAATACAAAAAATTAGCCGGGTGTGGTGGCGGGCGCCTGTAGTCCCACATACGTGAGAGGATGAGGCAGGAGAATGGCGTGAACCCGGGAGGCGGAGCTTGCAGTGAGCCGAGATCGCGCCACTGCACTCCAGCCTGGGCGACAGAGCGAGACTCCGTCTCAAAAAAAAAAAAAAAAAAAAAAAAAAGGACATCTGTGGAAAACTTTACTCAGTTCTTGTTGAGCCAAAAAGTTGACATTAAAATGCATGTATTTGTGAAGCATAAGTTTAGGGAAACTATTTTGGATATTAAGTTATTATACGATTTATTCTCAGTGAAAAACATTTATAAAGAAATAGGATCATAATTTTATTTTAACTAGGATAATTTCAAAATATAAGCATCAAATTAGGGTCATTAATAGCATTCTTCATTGAAAATGACAAGTAGTGGTCTCAATAAATCACAGTGATAATTTGAATCCATAATTTAAACTGAACCCTGCAATTATTTTTAATATAAACAGATAATTTCTATATCTGACTTTGAACTTTCCCATTATCAATTACCAGTGGGGAAAAATGGCTTATTTAGTATACTAATTAAGGAATTTAGGATTAGTATAACCACAAAAGACAAGGTTCTGTTTTTTAAAAATTTTCGAACACACAGAAACCTCTTGCTAACAAAGACTGTTTCTTCTCATGTCTGAATTTCACACGCACAAGTCTGAAATGTGAAGGTTTCTTAATGTTGGTTTTATGGTTCGTGTAAGATTTTTGGGAAATGAAGGGCTCTTCATTAGGATAAAATGGTCTTAACTTCCCAGAGAAGAATTTCCTGACAACGTGGCTGAAGTTAGATACAAATGTTAATATAGAAGAATGCTTTTATTTGAATTTCTAGCAAATGGTTTTCAACTACTTTAAATATGACCTACTTGAAAGTATTATTTCTTTTTTAAAACTACTTTTTATGTATAGATCTAAGTCTGCTTGAAGCTAGTAGTTAAAGTGTTTGAGAAATAAAGGCAAGATTTTTTTTAATTGTCTCAACCTTCATGACACATGCTGATCGGGATAAAAAAGAACTTGAAAATCATAATCAAGAAATTTTATTACTTTGTAATGCAAATTATTTTTAGATAAATGTTAAGCTACAGTAGTTTATATCTGTTAATAAAATTTCATCCTCCAAGAAAATGCTGTGTCAAGTAGATATTGTATAGATTATTAAATACTCAAAGGAATTGCCAAGCAATAACAAGAAATCCACTTTCATTTTATTTGTATAAATTTGAGGGTACAGGTGCAGTTTTGTTATGTGGGTACATTGTGCAGTGGTGAAGTCTGAAGAAACCCACTTTCTAAAGTTTAATGAGTGTCGCTTCTCCTTGTCAGAGAGAGTATCTGCACCATGGCCTCTGGATAGAAAATTTCAAAAAATCCTTGTAGTTTTTTGAGACCCCTGTTAGGAGAGATCCCTTTGTGTGTGTGTGTGTGTGTGTGTGTGTGTGTGTGTGTGTGTGTGTGTGTGTTTCAGAATCAGCTGAGACCAAATCATTTTGCAGCATTCAAGAAGTATTGGTCATTTTTAAAAGCTTAAACATACAAAATGATAAAAAGTAACAGTAATTTTACTGAAACCTTTCTATAAGGTTAGGAAATGTATTAATAAGAGTAGGAAATGTATTAATCCAAAATGTCCTCCCTGCAGCCCCATGCGAACTGACCTGTCCGTTTAACCAAAGAAGAAACAGAGGTACTTTGAACCTCAGCACATGCTCTTAACAACTAGGTCACCTGTACAAGTTTTCACCTAAGTCCTGATGCTAATTACCAAACGTATATTCACTTAACATAGATGACAGTCATATGCTGTCTTTTCCTTGAGGTCTCTCCTTAAGCACAAATTATTACTAAGTCTAGGATAAAAGTTAAAACATCACTTTTTTCTGGTGGATGACTTGAGAAATGAAATGTAACAACAATAAAAGGTAGTATAATTTTCAATATTCAGGAAATAATCCCACTCATAATCTAAAGAATAAAAATTATATTATTATATTGTCACAGAAAAAGTATTTCACAATATTCAAAGACATTCATGATAAAAACTATGAGAAAATAAAAAATAGATGGGAACTTCCTCAACTTGATAAAGAACATCTGCAGAAACCTACCGCTACATCACACTTAAGATAAAAACTGATGCTTTCTCCATAGACTGGGAAGACGGAAAGCTTTCCTGCTCTCCTCTGTGCTGTGCAAGACAGTTCTGGAAGCTCTGTTGCCACAGTAAGGCAAGAAAGAGAAATAAAAGACATACAGATTGGAAAGCAATGAATATAACTGCCCATTTTTTGAAGGCGACATGATTGTCTATATTTAAAAAATCCCGGCCAGGTGCGGTGGCTCACACCTATAATCCCAGCACTTTGGGAGGCCGAGGCAGGCAAATTACCTCAGGTCAGGAGTTCAGGATCATCCCAGGCAACATGGTGAAACCCTGTCTCTACTAAAATACAAAAAATTAGCCGGGCGTGGTGGTGCATGCCCGTAGTCCCAGCTACTTGGGAGGCTGAGGCAGGATAATTGCTTGAACCCGGAAGGCAGAGGTTGCAGTAAGCTGAGATCACGCCACTGCACTCCAGCCTGGGCAACAAGAGCGAAACTCCATCTCAAAATAAATAAATAAATAAATAAATAAATAAATAAATAAATAAATAAATAAATAAAATTCCCAAGGAATTCTAAAATTATATGGAAAGAAAGACAACTCTCAATAAAATACGTATAAAAGGAACAAACTTCAACAGAATAATGGCCACTTATGAAAAGCCCACAGCTAACATCATAATCCATGAATAAAAACTGAAAGCTTTTTCTTAAAGATGTGGTACAAGGCAAGGATGTTCACCCTTGCCACTTCTATTGAACATAGCACTGTAAGTCCTACCCAGAGAAATTAGACAAGAAAAAGAAACAAAAGACGTCCAAATTAGAATTACCTCTGTTTGCAGATGACATGATCCTACATGTAGAAACCCTAAGACTCCATTTAAAAACTGTTAGGACAAACGAATTCAGTGAAGATGCAGGATACGAGATCAACGTACAAAAATCAGTAGCATTTATTTATACTGATAACAAAAGATTCAAAAAGGATTTTTTTTTTTTTTTTTTTTGGAGACAGAGTCTCTTTCTGTCGCCCAGGCTGCTGGAGTGCAGTGGCGCAATCTCGGCCCACTGCAACCTCCGCCTCCCAGGTTCAAGCAACTCTCTGCCTTAGCCTACCTCAACAAGGAAATTTTAAAAAATAAGCCTATCTATCTAAATTGTGTTAAAAATAACAAAATACTTATGAGTAAATTTAACCAAAGATGGTTTTATGTGTTACTCTTTCATGGATCCCAGCACATGACAAAAGATTCCTGGGTCAGATACAATAATTTTTTTTTCCCAAGTCCCAAAGAGGCAATGTGATTAGCCCAGATGGATGCCTGCACATGCAATGGGTTTGTGTCACAGTTGCAGAACCCAGAACCAGAAACTAGGCCCTTTTTGAACAACCAGCACATATTGCAACAAGCAGCAAACAAGCCAACCCCCTTACCCCCAGGGGGAGTGAGCAGTTTCCTGGTAGTCGCACTTGATCTACTTTGTTGCCTTTGAAACATTAAAACTCATAAAGAAGGAATATGATCTAATTTATTTTATGAAGCCAGCATAGTAACATCTGATATTATTTTGTTTTAACATATTTTTAACTTTAAGTTTAAAAATTAACAAAAAGCTACAGCAATATACCATAGCAGGAAAAAGGTAAATATTCGAGAGCGATTTAATTACTATATAAAGGAAAATAACAAGTCTTATTTATAAACAAAATAGATCATTTCCTTGGATATAAAAAAAATTAAAATAATAAACTTCTTCCAAAACACAATATTAAAATATAAACCTCTCCCATGTTAATACTGCATTTTAATATAGTTCCTACTTGGATGTCAACAAAATTTTACTTTTGGAGTAGGGAAAATTATTTAAAATTTATATGGAATAATATCTATGACTAACCAAAGACAATATGTTAAAGTCTAAAAAATTTTCAAAGAAAATTTGGAAAACTGTGTGCATAATCTAGGGAGAGACCTTCTTTATAAAGACAGAGCTCCAAAACTATAAAACACGACAACTGATACATCTGAGCCTAAAAAATCAAACAGCTCTCCTACAGCAAAGGATTCACAAGCAGAGTCACTACACAAATTAGAGTTTTAGAATAATATTGGAAATGCAGGTAACAGATAAAATGTTAAAAACTATAATGTGAAAAAACCCTTATAAAGTGACAAGGAGGAAATGTTAACAATTACAGTTATGCAAAGATTATGACTAGGCAATTCACATTTTTATAAATACAAATGGCAAAATTGTTTTTTTAAGAAGACTTAAATTATAAAATTGTTAGAGATATAAAAAATCAAAATGATAATGAGAATAAAACCAAGATTAAAAGGAACCCTCAGTTCAAGTTATAAATTTATTTAAAATCTTATAACAGCCTTTAATCTATTTTGATTTGATGTTTGGATGTAGTATAAGATAAGGGTCCAATTTCATTATTTTCTATGTGGATTTCCAGTTTTCCAACACTATTTGTTGAATAGCTTATTCTTTGACCACTATGTGTTCTTGGCACCCCTGTTAAAGATGAGTTGACTATATACGTGTGGATTCATGTCTGGGCTATTCTGTTCCATCAGTCTATATGTCTGCCTTCACGCCAGTATTAAACTGTTTTGATTATGGTAAACTTGTAGTATATTTGAAATCAGGAAGTGTGATACCTCCAGCTTTATTCCTGTTTCTCAAGATTGATTTGGATATTCATAGTCTTTTGTGGCTCCATATGAATTGTAGAATTTTTTTTATTTTTGTAAAAAAAGTCATTGAAATTTTGAGAGGGATTGCACTGAATCTGTGGATTGTTTTGGGTAGGATGATATTTTAACAATATTAATTTTTCAAATCCATGAGCAATAGATGTTTTTCCATTTGTTTGTATCTTTTTGAATTTCTTTCATAAATGTTTGTATTTTAAAGCATAGAAATTTGGGAGGCCGAGGCGGGTGGATCATGAAGTCAGGAATTCGAGACCAGCCTGGCCAACATGGTGAAACCCCGTCTCTACTAAAAATACAAAAATTAGGTGGGCGTGGTGGCAGGCGCCTATAATCCCAGCTACTCGGGAGGCTGAGGCAGGTGAATCGCTTCAACCCGGGAGGTGGAGGTTGCAGTGAGCCGAGATGGCGCCACTGCCTTCTATCCTGAGCAACAGAGCAAGACTCTGTCTCAAAAAAAAAAAAAAACTTTCACTTAACTTTTATTTATTTAAGATTTTTTCTTAACTATTTTCTTAACTATTTTATTCTTTTTGGTGCTGTTGTAAAACTCCAAGAAGAAAACTTAGGGGAAAACTTTTGTCTCCTTGGCCTAGAAAAATGATTTCATGGCTACAACAGAAAGCTCAGATAACAAAAGCAAAACTTGGCGAATGGAAATTGTGTCAAACTAAAAAGCTTCTAAACAGTGAAGAAAGACATCAACAGGATGAAAAGGCAATCTACAGAATGGGAAAAATACTTGCAAACTATCTACCTGATCAGCAGTTAATTTCCAGAATATATTAGGCATGTGTACATCTCAATAGCAAATACATAAATTATCCAATTCCAAAACAGAATAAACATCTTTCCAAAGAAGACATGCAGATGGTCAACAGGTGTATGAAAGGTGCTCTGAACATAACAAATCATTATAAAAATGTAGATCAAAATCACAATGAGTATTATGAAAATGTAAATCAAACCTGCCAGGATGGCTATTACAAGAAATAAATAAATAAATAAATAAATAATAAAATGACAACAAGTGTCGGCAAAGATGTGGAGAAATTGGAACCCTAGTGTATTAGTAACGGAAATGTAAATTGATGCAGCTTTTATGGAAAACAATATGGAAGTTCCTCAAAACATTAAAAGGAGAATTACCATATGATCTGGCAATCCCATTTCTGAGTATTTATCCAAAAGAATTAAAACTTGGATCTTGAAGAGATGTTAACACTCCTATGTTTATTGCAGCACTATTCACAACAGCCAAGATATGGAAACAACCTGAATGTTGATCAGCTGATGAATGGATTAAGAAAATGTGGAATATACATACAATAGAGTATTATTCAATCTTTAAAAAGAAGGAAATTCTGCAATATGCAACAACATGGATGAATCTTGAGAGCATTATATTAAGTGAAATAAGCCAGTCACAAAAAAACAAATGCTGCATTTCACTTATGTCAGGTATCTAAAATAGTCAAATTTGTAAACCCAAAGAATGAAATAGTAGTTACCAGAAGGTAGGGGCTAACCAATGGGCATAAAGTTTCAGTTAAGCAAAGTAAATAAGTTCTAGAGATCTTCTGTACAACATGGCACCTCTATTCATCAATAATGTATTGCCTTTTTAAAAATCTGTTAAGAAGGTAGAGCTCATGTTAAGTGTTCTTATAACAATAAAATAAAATTTTAAGAAAGGGGAAAAATGAGTTCTCACGTTTATTTCCCATGAAAATGTAGGTAAAAGTATATTCTCATAATGGCTAATAGGAATATGAATTGTTTTCCTTAGGTTTTCAAGAAAACTGTCTATTGCTATTAAATAAACATGCGTACCCTTGATTCTATGAACCTCCTTGGGAATATATCTCATATAAGCATATACACTAATACATGAGGATACAGGTACAAGAACATTAAGTACATTATGTATAACGGCAAAAAAATTAGAAATATATGCCTATCAAGAAAACAGTTGAGCATTTATGGTGTATCCTTATTCCATGAAGTATTTTGCAATCACTAGAAAGAATTCTAATTAAATCCTTTGAGAAGATTTCAATCAAACTTAGTTCTTCAGGCAAAGCAACCACCCAAGAAGTATATACAATGAACACAGTCCGCCCTCCATATCTGCGGACACTGCATCTGTGGAGTCAACCAACGGTGAATTGAAAATATTTCAGAAGAAAAATAACAATACACCAATAAAAAACAATACAAATTAGGAAATACAGTATAACAATGATTAACATAGCATTTAAATTGTATTACATATTATAAGTAATCAGGATGCACTTTAAAGTATTGGGGAGGTTATATGCAATCACTGCAGGATTTTATGTAAGAGATTTGAGCATTCATTGATTTTGGTATTTGAGGGTCAGAGAAGGGGTTCCTTAAACCAATCCCCTACGTATGGATATTTAGGAGCAACTGTCATCACATATTTAAAGGAAACAGAGAGAGAGAGAGAGTTTTAACAACTGCTACCTGAGGTAAGGGAGGATGATGGTGAGGTGGATGGAAAAGGAAAAGGGACAAAAAAGGCAACCAAAAAAAGAATTTTAATTTTTATGTACCCATAAAAATTAAAATTACAAAAAAGAAAGAAGATAAAATGAGCAAAAGAAAACATCAAGTATACAATTTATCGCATTCACATGAAATTTTGCCTATGTGAATTTGTGCATGAATGTGTTCAGTATTTTTAAGTAAGTTAATCATCAGGAAATGCAAATTAAAACTGCAGTGAGGTGCATAGTGACACACCTGTCAGCATGACTGACAGTTTTTAAAATTAGCCACACCACCAAGTGCTCGTGAGGATGCAGAAGAACTAGATCTCTCGTATGTTGCTGATGGGAAATGTAAAATGGTACAGTCAGTTTGGAAAACTGTTTGGCAGCTTCTCATAAAATTAAACATGAAATTACCATACAACCTAGAAATTACACTCTTAGGCATTTATCCCAAAAAAGGAAAAAGAAACAAGTACACGTACACACACACACACACACACACACACACACACACCTGAATGTTTATACTAGCTTTATTTGTAAGAGCCCCAAACTGGAAAGAACTCAGATGTCCTTCAACAAACTGTGGTATCTTCACACCATGAAATAAATACTCTTCACCAGTACAAAAAAGAACAGACTCAATATATGCAGCAGCCTGGATGAATCTTGAAGGAATTACACTAAGTGACAGAAAGCACATCCCAAAAGGTTTTAGATACCATGTGATTCTGTTTACATATCCTTTCAATGACAAATTTTAGAAATGGAGGACAGATTAGTAGTTGCCAAAAGTTAGGAATGGGGCTGGAACCTTGGGGACAGGAGGGCTGTATGGTCACTAAAAAGTAACAGAGCTTGTATTGGAACTGTGCAGCATTGATTGTGGTGGTGCGTACACAAACCTCCACAAGTGATTAATTATATAAAACTTACACACACACACACACACGTATAAGTAAAACTGGGGAAACCAGAATAAGATCAGTGGACTATCAATGTCAACACCCTAGTTGTCATATTATACTGCTCTTTTGCAAAATGTTACCACTGGGGGAAACTGGACAAAATGTACACAGGATGTCTCTATCATTTCTCATAACTACATGTGAGTCTACAATCGTCTCAGTAAAATTTTCAACAAAAAGTAAATTAGGTATATGTCTGTGATCTTAAGGTTGTCTATAGTGTATATTTAAGTTAAAAAAAACCAGGGTGGGAAGACAGTTGCGGAAAAAATTGTTTTCCTTAGGTTTTCAAGAAAACTGGCAATTGCTATTTCATATAATTCTAATATGCTAAAAAGAAACTAACTACAAAACCAAAAACAATCCTCAACCTGTGCCTGTGTGGCTTGTGCATGTTTATGAGCACGAAGAGACTTTGTGTGCGAGGGCGCATGTGTGCGAGGGCGCATGTGTGCGAGGGCGCATGTGTGCGAGCGTGCATATGTATTTCTTGCTCTTTTCTAACATAGAGGCCGTGCATGAGCTGCTCGTCTGCCTACCCCAGCCTGGCACCAACACCTCACCCAACCGACTCCTACATTTCCTTCCATTTTCAGCGTAAGGTTCTCCTGCTTTGTTCCCCCTCACGCTGCTTAGTGTCTTTGCTCCCCACTCCCATAGTACCCTAAAGCGGGGCTTCACACTCTGTTCACGGTCTCTCTACTCTGGCAGATTTGAACTCAGTGAGGACATGCACATATTGGCTTGCTTACCCCTGTATTCCTAGCACCACATGCTAATAAAAGTGTGTTGAATTATTAATTAATACCTGAATTAGTAAAATTTATACTTGTTTTATCTTAATGATATATTTATATTTTTTGGATAATTATTTTTTTCTTTTTTGCTTTTCTTTCTTTCTTTTTTTTTGCCTTTTGAGACAGGGTCTTGCTCTGTTGCCCAGGCTTAAGTGCAGTGGCATGATCATGGCTCACTGCAGCCTCCACCTCCCTGGCTCAGTCAATCCTCCCACCTGAAGCTGGGACTACAGCTGTGTGCCACCATGCCCGGCTAATTTTTGTACTTTTTGTATAGATGGGGTTTCGTTATGTTGCTCAGGCTGGTCTCGAACTCCTGGGCTCAAGCCATCCACCCGTCTCGGCCTCTCAAAGTGCTGGGATTACAGGCGGGAGCCACCGTGGCTTGCCTATTGCTTTTTTCAAAACAAATTTTAAAGACTATGTGCTTTGTGCTTGTGATGTGAGAGTGAACAACCAGCGTGCTGCGTATGTGTGTGTGTGCATGTGTGTGTAAAATTGGTTATGGCAAACCAGGCCTGTGGCAGTAACTCTGCAAGTAAAACATTGCTGTATACAATGAGAAATTCAACATTTTGCCTGTTCATTAAAAGGAGAGCCCTTCTTTCTTTTACTGAGTATGTCCCAGTCTCAAGGCAATGGCTAGTAAATGAAAAAGGAGATGACGTAGAGAAACCCAAAGTTTGGTTAATAGACTCTGCCACTGGAGAAATAAACCACTAATTATTTTTAAAATTAATAAATGAAGAGAAATAAAGGGAAATAAAATTAATACTTTGTCATTCCTTTCCTATGAGCGGTTCTATTGAGGATCCAAAAAAATAGATGAAGAAAAATTTCTCTTATAAAAAAAATAGATTATTCTTACCTTCATTAAGAAAAAGAGGAAAAAAGAGTATAACTGTGTCAGCATATGAAACCTAAAAACTTATCTTCAAATGATTTTGGACAAGTAAATTTTTAAGTCTGAATTACCTGTTTAATTTCCTAAATAATTACATGAAGCATTGAATGTATTCCATAATATAATGAGGATATTTTTATAGGTTCTTCCCTCCAAAATATGTAATGGAATATGTATCAATTGAATAAATTCTTCCACATGAAAAATTGTAAAAATGAATTTGGGTAAATCCCAGATCTCAATATATTTATATATTTATAATTAATCTTTTATTTTTTATTTTATTATTATTATACTTTTAAGTTTTAGAATATTTTTAAGTTTTCTGAGTATTATTACCTCATACCTGAAATACCTGGTTATCAGCTTATCACATTGCAGTTTATTCAAATTTTATTTATCAAATTCTATATCTTTATTTCAAAGAGAACATCATTTACTAAAGTAACACCTTTTCCCCATAACGATTTGTGTTAGGTGATATATTTGTATCTTACAATATTATCACTAATTTTTCTAAGAATTTTTTTCCAGAGGAATCTCTGTAGTTTTCTGCTTCTCAGACTTGGCATAATCTTTCCTACCACAAGTCATCTAGAAAAGATGCTGTCCAAAATCATCCTTGAATTCAAAAAAAATCATCCTTGAATTCAAAATGACAGGCAGTAGGCATACATTTCAACCTTTATTTTCATTAGCATTTTTCAGTTTTACTGCGGCATAGTTAGCAAGTAAAAATTCTGCTTATTTAAGGTATGCAACTTGATGTTTCAATATATGTATACTTCATAAAATGGTCACCACAATCAAGCTAATTAAAATATCTGTCACTTCACGTAATTATCACTTTATTTTTTCTTTGTGTGTGTGTGTGTGTGTGTGTGTGTGTGTTAAGAACACTTAAAATCTACCCTGTTAGCAAATAGATGCTATCACAAAACCTGTATTGGTTTCAATATGTGGCGTAGAAACTGTAAATAGAAATTAATTTGTTTTGCATCCGTGTTACAGCTGTAGACACTAAACAAATAATCCATACTTAGACATAGGTGAATGGAGCCTACTGTAAAGTCCAATTACTATTCATTAACATTATAATAAATAATATATATGTATATACACACACACATATGTGTGTGTGTGTGTTATTTCACCAAAAATATTTTTACTTGATTTTTTAAGAAAGCATTTCTATTACCTTATTCGGAAATCCTTTTGAAGCATGTAGATTATTAAAGATTGGAGGGGCTCACTTTCTGCTTAAGAATAGAAGAAGGGTCCCTCATATAAAGGTTGTATAGTTCAGGTACTCATCCCAGATTATAGAACTTTTCATCTTTATGGCCACAAAGCTGATTTAATAAATGTAAGATAGTAAAACAACTAATAGATTTTATCGATGTTAGATCAGTGTTATAGTCAAATATGACTTTAAGTTGTTGCAAATATAGTATATATAACCCCAAATAATAGCTGGTATGTATCCAGGACAAAGGAGAAAATCAATTTTATTGCATTTAAGAAGCCAACTTAGGGTATGACATTAGAAAAATTATTCACTAATGCTGCTTAGAGTTACATGGTCTGTGGGCAAACATAGTACTTCAGTTTCAAGTGATGTCAGTCCAGCACTTTTATGAACATTCCATTACTTTGGGGATAATGGGAAACATTTCTGTTTGCTGATTGTTCAATACAAAAGACAACTTGAATAAAGCTGGAACAACTTATATTTCTAGCTGACTCAAGTCACTGTGGAATAAAATTTCTGGTTTATAACCATCTGCTTCTCAGCCATCCTGCTAAGAGATGTGGAAGAAATCATTAAAAACAGAATATAGTGGCCTTATGTTATCTGAAATGTATTGAGATTTTGAAGTTAATTCTTTAGAGAATGTGGAAAGCTATATAGCAATGTCAATGTAATGAGACTTTAAATTTTTAATACTCTTCACAATTTCACATTGAAGAAAAATACCAAACCTTAAGCTGCACACACCTCCACCAAAAGTTTACATTATTTTGGTGAAATTTGGGTATGCCGTTGTCAGACTGGCATAACAAACCAGAGACAGAACTGATTTGAGCAAAGTTTGATGAAACTAAACTGCCCTGTAGTGACCAGCCTCTACCGTGCATGGGGTATCAGAGAAATTGATGTGTTCAGTTGAAAGTAGTTTCTCTTTGACACCAAAATCATAAGCACGGTGAACTGATTTCATTTAGGATGAGTGTGGCTAATGCATTTTTTCTAAAAGAGGTGCTTGTATTTGGGACATTGGAAATAAGAAAGAAATGAGTTCCCAGTGGGAGAAAAACATATTGGCTGCTAAACAACTAATTTAAGGATAGACAATACAGTTAAGTGTGACATGCAAAATACTGATGTATCCTGGTGTCATCACTCACTAAACACTGATGAACTCTAGAAATTAATGGCATAAGAATAAAATCCAGAAATCCAGTACATATCCTGAGAGGCTTCTCTTCCTGTTCCCAGCTTCAGTGGAGTGTTACTATCACACTGGTGCTGCTTTGTTTCCCTGTCTTTGAACTTGATGAAGAGTAGAAAGAGCTACCACTCATGACTGTCTGCTCTGCGTCGGTGTCCGTGTGTCATCCCAGCACCCCTCACCTCCACCATGCCATGCTCATTGCTGGGCTGCCCAGGCCTGGCCTTCCCATCACTTTACACAACGAAGCCCTAGCTGGCCCTGTGCTCCTTCTCTAAGTCAACCAAGCAGATTTTTCCTAAGGTCAACCAAGCTCCAGAAAGCAACTTTAGAACTAACTACTAGATGTGCTTCTCTAAGTCAACCAAGCAGATTTTTCCAAAGGTCAACCAAGCTCCAGAAAGCAACTTTAGAACTAACTACTAGATGTGCAAGAATTTAGAAACTACTTTTTTAAAAACGTTTTATAAGCAATTAACATACAGTATCAGCTGGAAAATGGTTGTTGAAGAGTTGTCATTGTAATTCCTTATTTTTGTACATTAAGAAAATATACTTCTGCTTTATTTGCAGAATTTACATAAAGCATATTACCTTGCTGTCTCACTTCCAAGTTTTACCATATGATACCCTGTTACACAGAATTGTGCTTTTTTAAGAAACTAAGCCCTCGATAATTGGGTGCCAGACTTTTTGAAATCTTTGTAGCAAAAAAAATGGTTTGAATATTTTTATGCATATATAAACAAAATCTTTCATTTGAAATGTTGAATGAGGACTTAAAAATATCTTTCTTACAGTAGCAATCTCTTAATAAGCTAACAAGAATATCTGAGACTTTTAAATTTAAACTTTCTAGAAAATGTTCTAAACAATTAATATCCAGTAGTACAATAGATCTCAGGACTGAGTTTACTTTTTGCCAACTTGTCCCTTGTATATCCATATATTTGTTAAAAAAAAAATTCACTACAAACAGATTAGGAAGAGGTTTTTAAAATGCAATGTACTCTGGTATCACAAAACAGAGCCTTAGGCTGGGAGTGGTGGCTCACGCCTGTAATTTCAACACTTTAGGAGGTCAAGGTGGGAGGATAGAGTGAGCCCAAGAGGTTGAGGCTGCTGTGAGCTGTGATTGTACCACTGCACTCCAGCCTGACAGAGACAAAGAAAAGAAAAGAGAGAGAAAGAAAAGAAAGAAAGAAAGAAAGAGAAAGAAAGGAAAAGACTGAGCGATAGGAGAAAAAGAGAGAGAGAGAAAAGACTGAGCGATAGGAGAAAAGAAAAAGAAAGAAAGAGGGAGGGAGAGAGGGAGGAAGGAAGGAAGGAAAAAGACAGCAATAGGAGAAAAGAAGAAAGAAAGAAAGAGAAAGAAAGAAAAGAAAGAAAGGAAAGAAAGAAAAGAAAGGAAAAGACTGAGTGATAGGAGAAAAAGAAAGAAAGAGAGAGAGACAGAAAAGACTGAGCGATAGGAGAAAAGAAAGAAAGAGGGAGGGAGGAAGGAAGGAAGGAGGGGAAAAGAGCGATAAGAGAAAAGAAGAAAAAGAAAGAAAGAAAAGACGGAAAGAGAAAAGAAAGAAAGAAAGAAAAAAGGGGGAAGGAGGGAAGGAAGGAAGGAAAGAAGGAAGGAAGGAACGGAGGGAGGGAGGGAGAGAAAAGACAGAGTGATAGGATAAAAAGAATTTGTAGTGGGTTGATTTGTGTCCCCACAAAACGCATGTTCAGGTCCTAACCTCCAGTACCTGTGAATGTGACATTATGCAGAAGTAAAGTGTTTTAGATGTAATCAAGTCAAGATGAGTTTATACCAGTTTAGTGTCAGCCCTAAATACAAGGACTGATATCTTTGAGACAAAAGAGAGAAAGATTTGGATACAGAAACACAGAGGAGACATGGAAAGAAGAGAGCCACGTGGAGATGCAAAGAGGCAGCTACAACCAAGGAATGTGAAGCCTTGCCAACAACCACTATGAGCTAGGAGAGAGGCATGGGAAAGATTCTCCCTCAGCCCTCCAGAAGAAGCCAACCATGCACTTAGAAATTCCATCCTAGAGAACTGTGACAGAATACATTTCTGCTGCTTTAAACCACGCAGTTTGTGATCATTTTTACGTCAGTCCTAGGAAACTAATATAGAGCTCTTCCGAATCAATTGTTCCTTGTGGAGGACTAAATGGCTTCCAACAGGTAGGTGCATGGAAAAAAGGCAAGGTGTGTATGAAGGCAAACAAGAAATGATGAAATTCCTCTGTGTTTTTAAAGAAGCAGTTTTAGAGGCAGGGGCAGAAGAGTGGAAACAGCTAAGAAGGGTTTAAGAGTTTTGTATTAGTCCGTTTTCACGCTGCTGATAAAGACATACCTGAGACTGGGTAAATTATAAAGAAAAAGAGGTTTAATGGACTCACGGTTCCACGTGGCTGGAGAGGCCTCAAAATCATGGCAGACAGCGAAAGGCACATTTTACATGGCAGCAGACGAGAGAATGAGGGCCAAGCGAAACGGGTTTCCCCTTATAAAACCATCAGGTCTCATGAGAGTTATTCACTACCATAAGAAGAGTACAACAGTATGGGGGAAACTGCCCTCGTGATTCAATTATCTCCCACCAGCTCCCTCCCACAACACATGGGAATTATGGGAGCTACAATTCAAGATGAGATGTGGGTGGGGACACAGCTAAACCCTATCAAGTTAGGACTTTGTTTTGAACACAAGTGGTCCAAATGAAAATTATTTCTTTTTAAATAAAAATAACGATTTTTTTTTCTGATTGTCAAAGTGATACAGAACTTCTATCTCCAAAAATAAGGTCAACATTATGTACTAAAAAAACACACCCACACAACACAAAATGCCTAAAAACAAGTCCTAAGTAAAATATAACAAACATTTAAATGCATAGTTCCACTTACAAGAAAGAAAAGAGATGCCACAAAAAAACTAAATGCAGAGAACATTTTCAAGAGGAGTAGACTGGAGAGAAAGCAAGTAAAGCCAAAGAGGAGTAAGTTGGACCTGGGAGCCTGGGCTCACCCCAGAAGAACGTGGAACGCAATACTCATGCATTTTCACGGCTGTGACTGTGGACCAGGAGACAGTGCCTGGGGCTTCTATAGCTTGAGGACACAGAACTGAAAGCTTTCAGTAAGAACTGATTGAAGAAAACAAATCCAAATGCCAGCAGAGCAAAATAACCAGACTGCCATTTCCAAGATAGGCTCTGTGAATAGGTTAATCCCACACCTGCCCTGGCTGACATTTTTGTGCCGTCATACCACCTTCATGATCGTGGGTGTCCAGAACCATGTTAAGGAATTTCTCTAAAGTGACCCAGGATTGTTAATTCACCTTCGGCACTACATGCCTCTTGGAATTCCCATGTGCAGCTTCTAAAATGTGGATCTGCCAGAATGATGACCAAAATCGTGAGTAAACAAGCACCTTGGGTAAAAGTTAGAAAACAGACAAATTCGTGGCAGCGCTTTACATAAAACAGGAAAATGAATGAACTAATTGTCCACCAGTTTGTTATTGGCGTAAAATACAAAATAATTTGCATCAATTAAAACTGATGATGTAAATTGTATTTCTTGGCTTGAGAAGATGTACATTGTAAATTAAGTGAAAAATGCAGTTGGTAGTGTGCACCATAAACTTATCGTGGTGTTGTGAACATGTGTGTAAACATACACACGCACACATATGTATACATATACACACAAGTATATATGTTTGTCATAAAACACGAGGTACCGAAAATTTATATTCATGATTGTGTCTTGGTAAGAAAATATCAAGTAATAATAAGTGATGTTTCCTTTATATTTTTATATTCTAAAGGTTGTTAAATTAGTATGTTTTGATTTTATGTATTATTAAAACATACATAAACAAATAATAATATTACAAACACTTGTGAACTTACCAACCACCTTAATATAATATAATATAAATATGTGACGTATGCTTTTAATACAATTATATCAATCCCTAAAATTATATTATAATGCTTTGCATACTTTCTTTAGTAGACACTTGTGATTACTATACTCACATAGTAATATGTATTTTTAAATTGCTTTGCATTTTCTGAAATTTATATAAACAAGTATTATACTCCATTATTTGCCAAGTTGTCATTTTCTTCCTCCAGATTGTATTTGTGAACATCTTCCACTTTGATAAATATCACCTACTTCATTTATTTTATATCATTTCACAATTACACAAGGCTATATTTTTGATAGCTAAAATATGTCAATTCACTCAAAGCTTGCATCCATCAGTATAATTACATGGTTCTTTTCCTTTAAGCATTTAGTATGATGAATTATATCAATATGAACACATTTCCTGATATTGAACCATTTGAGAGGACGGATCAAGGGTAAGAGCATACCCTGCAGCCAGACTGAGTTCTAATTACCCCTCTCTACACCTCTGATTCCCCTTACGTGAATGGGGCCATAGCAATCCCACCTCATGGGTTTGAAAGGAAGATTTAATATCAAAAGTACAATGTCTGGCATTTGATAAACAATAGTTAATAATAAATATGATTATATGTCAATAATGAATAATCGTAAGCATTATTAACGTACTTGTAAATTCAAATTTCTGAAACTCGTAGGTTTTTCACAATCCTATTCATAATTGAGGCACGCCTGTAAACCTTGTGTACTTTCCTAGTCAGGTTTCGGCATCAGGACGTTGTGTTTTATGTACAAGAAACTTCAAAATGTTTTTAAGCACAATAGCTGTTTAAATAACAAGTGAAATATTATTTTCATGTTGCTTTGAAACCATCTTAGCCTAGTGCATTTTTGAGGGGTGTTTTTTACAAAGTTCATGGTCACTCAGGCATTCTACATCTACTTGAATGCATTCTGGTTATCTATATCTACTTGAATGCATTCTGGTTATCTACATCTACTTGAATGCATTCTGGTTGAATGCATTCTGATTTTTCTGGAACACTGTTTCATCCTGAATTTAGGGTTCCTTTGTATAGTGAACTGGACAAGATCATACACCTAGCACCAACTGCCTAGGTTTAAATCCTGGCTCTCCATGTCCTAGTGATAAGGTTGGGAGAAAGTGACTATTTCCGTAAGGCTTTGCCTTGATATTTTTTAAAGGGTAATTATAGAATGTACTAAAATTGTTACTGACTGAGACTCAGTAAGTGCTCTATCAGTGTCAGCTATTATTACTATATACCTTATTATTTTAATTTCCTTCTATTCATATACCCTTTCTCATCTCATTACTTGTATCATGTATTTCCTTCTCCTTCTCTTTTAAAATTATATAGGATCTGTAGGAATGTATATATTTTGCTGTTTTGTTTTGCCAAATGTATATGAGGAAACAAGAGGGATGACTGAGGAAGTTGACTTTGCAAGGAAGTGATTCTAATGGCTGACTAAGGAGTTTAAGCTGGATAAGCTGGGGAGTGAGGCCATGGTGGTGATTGAATTGAAAAGATCATGGGATTCACAATGGTTGGTGATCTTGATGGAGTTAAAAGAGTGCTGAAACAGACACTCAATGGAGTAAACTGGAATGACAGGAGGCATTTCAATGGGACTTTATGAAAACAGCTTTAATGAGAGATGTGAACTTTGATTATTTGGATACCTTTCTTTTGGAACATAGTTAATTCCTCAATAATAAAAGACGGTGCCTTACAAATAAAAGACACACATTTATTGTTGCTGATCACAGTGTTTTGAAAAATAAAAAATGATCTTACAGTGTTTTTAAAATAATGTAATTAAAAGTTCATTCTGATATATTTATTGTACTTGCTTCTTGGGAGAACTTAATTTTTGGAAAGAAATATAGTAATCTAATTTTGTGACTTAAAAATACTGTACATATAGTAACAGATTTTATGTTAATTTCCCTTTTGAATTTCAGTTTCTACAGATTCAAATGCCAGAAATATGTAATACCCAAAGTATCTGATGCTGTGCTAAGAAAGACCACATAGGAAATCCTGTTTAATTTTCCAAAGAAATCCTTTCTGCTTATTGTGTTTTCCAGGCGCACATCTTATTAGCTTATAAGCTCATTGCCTTATCTGTATTACTTTCTCCAGCCCCATAAAGAGAGAAAATAGAAACTAGAGAATTATATGTAAGTTCACAGTTTGATAACCTTTGTCTCCTGTGAATTCAAGCTTCGTATTGTGGAAACACATCACATTGACATCTGCAGTATTCGTTTGTTTTGATAACTATTATTTCTTGGGCAGAATATGTCACAAAGCTGCCTCTTATGTCACAATGCAGCCAAAAGCATTTTTCTTTAGTGTGACACTAGAAATTCTGTGAAATAAGCAACAGGATTTTTTGTTTAAGTATACTGTTGCCATTTGCTTCAAGCTATATTTTTCTGTCTTTAAATGTACTACTTCTAAGAACATAGCTGTGGTTTGCTAAATTGTACTGACTTTGTTTATAAATAGTGAGGCAGATGTCAGCAGAAAATTAGATTTAATGCAGGTCACCATGGCCTCCTTAGATAAAGAACTTGAAGGTATTGAATGGAAATTGCAGAATGACACAAAGAAAATTGAGATTCAGAGTTCTGAACAACTGGCAGGTGCAACAATATTATTATTGTCTAAGGCATATAAATGTGAAACTTTAAAACAATTATTGATCCTCTTGAAAATTTCAGAAAGATAAGGATTTATAGGAATGTACCTGACTAGGAAGAAAAAAAGAAAATTGCTTGTGTTTACCAATACCATTCCTGAATCACACGGAAGTGAAATAAACCCATTTGAGTCGGAATTGCCATTTCACTATTTCCATGTGATATGGTTTGGCTCTGGGTCCCCACCCAAATCTCATGTAGAGTTGTCATCCTCAGTGTTGGAGGCCTGGTGGGACGTGATTGAATTATGGGGGGTGGACTTCTCCCTTACTGTTCTCATGACAGAGTTCTCAGGAGATCTGGTTTGAAAGTGTGTAGGCCTTACCCCTTTGCTCTGTCTCTTTCTCCTGCTGGCCATCTGAATATATGCCAGCTTCCCCTTCACTTTCTGTCATTATTGTAAGTTTCATGAGGCCTCCCCAGAAGCAGAAGCTTGTGTAGCTCACAGAACCATGAGCTGATTAAACCTCTTTTCTTTACAGATTACCCAGTCTCAGGTAGTTCTTTACAGCATTGCAAGAACAGACTAATACACCACACTTTGTTTTTACACTATGTTAATTGTTTGTGGATACTTCATCCATTACATTCAATAACATTTTCCAGCATAAAAAAAAGATAAAAATCTACCTAAAAATTAACAAAGAAGGTAAAATTCAACTTCAGTCTAAATAATTATTGAACATCTATATTGTCTGGATGAAACTGGCTCATAATGTGCATAATCACCTTTTCAAGAAAAATTATTTGTCTTCTATGAAAGTAAGGCAATGTAGGGCACTGGAAACAGAGGGATCTAACCCAGCCAACTGTTAGCTCTAAGACGCTGGGCAAACTTCTAAATTCCTCTAATGATTATTACTAATATTTATTGAATGCTACTGTGCTTCTCTTACAGTGTCCTACACTTTGAACTCATTTGAATCTCATAATCATTCTCACAACACTCTTATAATGTCATTATTTTCATTTTAGGGGAGATGAAACAAAGACACAGAAAGGTTATAATGACATAATTAGTAAGTGCTAGAGTCAGGATGTGAATTGAGGGAGTATTACCCAGAACCTCTACTTCTAGCTGGTATACTGCATACATTTCAGCTTTCATGTTTTCCTGTGCAGAAAGGAGTAATTTATAGTGCTGGTAACAATTAGACATGATAGACATAGAGCCTTTGGCACTGAGTGAAACCTTAGTGAATGGTAACTGCCAGTATTATGGCTCTACACAACTTCCTCTTCTATTGATTTTTGACATAGAGTAGGGAACAATGAACAATATTTCATTATTTGAGGAGTTCTAGTGTTTAATAAATCTAAAAGCAATTCAGAAATGATTTATTTAATTTATTGGACCCTATAATTATCTTCTTCTTTCCAAAACCCATCCATAAAGAGATTAGTTTTAAAACATTTCATCATCACCATCATCATCGTCATTATCAATCAACCTTATCATCTGATTGTGCCAAATAGATTTAGTAAATCATAATCATTTTCATCCTATCGGTTAAAAATGGCAAATATCTGAAGTATTTTTAAGATATAGCAAAATTTTGCAGCCACTTCTATAAAACCTGCTAGCAGTATGTTTATGTTTCAAATTGTGTTCCTCTGTAATTTAAAACCAGCTAGTAATCCATTGTATTTTTCTGTAATCAGGTAAAGGAAAAAATAATTGTAGTCTCACTGCTAAAAATTGTTTAGTGGCATTTTTCACAAATATAAAATCTGTCACTTTAATCACTTGGCCATCCCATTTGATCTCTAAATGACATACAATTAGCTGAACAAAAGCTAAGCCAGAGATGTATCATGAGAGTATTACTTACTGGTTCCTTTTAGGAGCCAGATTTTTGAATTAATTAATGAATTCTTACATGTGTGGGGTTATTTTCTAAGTTAACAATATCATTTTTATTTACTATTCAATTTATAATGAATCCTGGCTTTGCAATCATTTTATCATACATATTAGAAGCCAATTCTTTCCTAATTTTAAGTATAGGATAGTGTTTTGTATATTCTTTTACTTTACGCTGCAGGAGTTACACCTAAACCTATTAAACATCGTCTTTTCTTCTTTACATGTTTTCCCAAACATTTTGAAGATTAACATTATTTTAAAGTTCCTGTACATCCCACTCTACTAAATATCACCTAAAAATTTTTATTAAGTATCACTATGAAAGTATTTATGAAAATATATTGAAAGTTGAAACACATTCTAGAACAACTTGACTTGGCAACTCTAGTGAAGATCTGAAAACTAGTTCTCTTACTGTTTTCTGGCATCTTCCGTGTCCTTAATACATATGTAGTAAGTGTTCAAAATGCCATTTAAAAGGCTAGAAAGCAATGCAGTAGGTGACCTAAGAATGCTGTAAACTCTTTATTAGTGTCAAGACCAAATTAAAATTCATTTAAGGTGATAAGTTGGAGTTGTTTTATTACATTTTCATGAGTTAACACCCTAAGAGGAGCATGTTTTATGGCCAGAGAGTAATTTGTTATAGAATTTGTCAGGGAAGTAAATCTATGGTTTGCTTAGGTTCTCTGGTGATGCACCTTGGGAGGGTAACTTCCCTGAAATCACCTTGGTTGAGACTTCTGCTTTTAAAGATATGTTTTACTGTAGCCCATACACATAATAAGGGACCACCTATACCTAGCTAGCATTGCAGTCAGATACATCATGTCTATTATTGGTAATAAATATTTGTCTTTGCTCTGAAGGTATATAAGGTCAGATGCTCACATCGTAAGGTTCATGTGTGTAAGTTCAAATCAAGAAGCGTTCAAGTCTTATGAAGTCTGTTTGTAAAAGCAGGTATCTTAATTGCTTCAGAAAATACACAAATCATTTAAGTATTTCCCATGTCAGCAGCAGCAATGTTCTTACTATTTATTGTATGAACTCTTTGGGCCAGGCCCAGGACTCAATATTCACATAAAATATTGGAAGACTAAGAGAAGATGTTCGTAAACTCAGGCTTGATCATTCTGAAACCAGTTTTTTGTTTGTTTGTTTGTCTCAACGGTTTAATGCATAAATATTATCTCAGTGAAAATAAAGTTACTAAAAGGCAGTTGATGAGTCTGTGTTTTCATGAGTAGAACCAGGGGAATTCTGACATATGGAATAGATAGAAAAAATATGGTCTGATCCCTATATTTCTGGACAAAGTAAAGATGAACTCTGTATTAAAATTCACATCCAAGATGCATCTGACACCCTGACTTTTGACAATGACTGATAGCACTGCCAATTCCCAAGCAGAGAAACTTAACACTGCCTGTAATTTAAAACAAGCTAGTAATCCATTGTATTTTTCTGTAATCAGGTAAAGGAAAAAATAATTATAGTCTCACTGCTAAAAATTGTTTAGTGACATTTTTCACAAATATAAAATCTGTCACTTTAATCATTTGGCCATCCCATTTGATCTCTAAATGACACAATTCGCTGAACAAAAGCTAAGCCAGAGTTGTATTTCATGAGAATATTCCCACATTCCCCTGACCACTTCAAACCGCCTCTCGGTCCATTCACATTTGCTCCTGTTAATGATTACCAGAGAAAAGAATATATTCACCTTTCTTCATTTCTTTATTCATCAAGTCAGAAAATACATACTAAAAGTCAACCTTGTAAAGTTTTCATTCAAGACATTAGGAATACAGCTGCAAACAAGCAAAGAAAAATCCATGCTGGCAAAAAGCTATAAGCTGAATGCCTATAACCTAATGGGAAGAGGCTAAAATATACACAACAAATGAGTAAAATGTTTAATAACTTCCTGATAAATGCTTCCAAGAAAATCGAGGCAGGAAAAACTGGTCTTAACCAAAGGAAAAATAAACTTTCTCATAGCTTCATGACAGGAGATCGAGGTGCTCATCAAAGTTAGACCCTCACCCTCTCACAGAGACTGAGAAATAGTGGCACTGTCTTCTTGGATTACTGTATTTCAAAGGAATGGTTCCCAGGTCCTTGAGAAAGACATTCCTGGCATGCAAAACTGGCAAGAGGTTTTTAAAAGATTTCTGTCTCAAAGAGGCAGTTATAGTTACCAGTTTTCTAAAGTAAATGCTCCAAGGAAAGGAAGGGATGGGGCCTCTGTGGTTAGACTGCCTGGATCTGCAAGGACTGGTGAGAGGGGTCAGGCCTAGAGGTACCTAGGAAGTTTTTCTAAAGTATAGTCAAGCTGAGGGGAAGTTAAGACTCTTGCTGGCCTTATAGACCTGGGTAAATACTCTCACGCAGTGAGACGGGCAGTCATTGAAGGGCATGGAGTCCTGCCGAGTCATGGCCTGATTCATATTTGTAGTACCCTGTTTAATCCAGCATTCACAACATTTTAGAAAAACAGCAGTGCCAAGAAGCAAAAGAAAACAAAAACAAACAAACAAACAAAAAAGACTCAGAGAAGAGAAATGCCTTCTTCAGGTGCAGAGAGTCAGAGAGTGCTGATTGAGTGGCAGCCAAGGAAAGACATTTCAGTTGGTTGTTTGCAGATGGATTTAACCCAAAAGTTGTAGCAGTGTCCATGGTGCTTTAGGGGGATGTTTCTGCTGCTCAGTATGATACTGGTGTAATAATTTATAAATAATTCACCTTCCTAAACTTTCTTATTTTTATTTTATTTATTTATTTATTTTGTGACGGAGTCTCGCTTTGTCCCCCAGGCTGGAGGGCAATGGAGCCATCTCGGCTCACTGCAACCTCTGCCTCCCGGGTTCACGCCATTCTCCTGCTTCGGCCTCCCAAGTAGCTGGGACTGCAGGCGCCCGCCACCACACCCAGCTAGTTTTTTTGTATTTTTAGTAGAGACGGGGTTTCACCGTGTTAGCCAGGATGGTCTCGATCTCCTGACCTTGTGATCCGCCCGCCTCGGCCTCCCAAAGTGCTGGGATTTACAGGCGTGACCACCATGCCTGGCCTCACCTTCCTAAACTTTTCTATGGTCTTCAAAGCACTAATGTCCTGGATGTCAAAATCAATCAAGTATGAGGATGAAGAGACTTTGAAAAAGTAGGAATCTTAATAACTTAATGAAATGAATCTTTTGGGACAGCACTCTTTTTCAATATCATTATCCACAACTTACCTTTGTGTGTAAAATACAGAGATGTCACTTCATAAAACTGCATAAAATAGAAAAGATAAAATCCTCATTTTCTCCTTTAAATGAATTTTATGCATAATGTACAAAACAATGTTCCTTAAAATGATTCCTATGGAGTCAATTTTTACCTTTTACTTCTTTATAAATAAAATTTGAATAAATTTGTTTTATCATACAGTGTTTCCCCAAATTGTCTTCTGTAAACCATTCATTTTTTGCAAGGTAAATAGCTGGATTGAAGAAAGGGTTGCTGTGTCATCAAATGTTTGGGGAGGCTTGGTGTGGTGGCTCACACCTGTAATCTCAGCATTTTTTGGGAGGCTGAGGCAGGTGGATCACTTGAGGCCAGGAGTTTGAGACCAGCCTGGCAAACTTGGTGAAACCCCATGTTTACTAAAATATAAAACTTATCCAGGTTTCATGGCCCATGCCTGTAATCCCAGCTACTTGGGGGGCTGAAGCACAAGAATCTCTTGAAACTGGGAGGCAGAACTTGCAGTGAGCCAAGATCACGCCACTGCACTTCAGCCTGGGTGACAGAGTAAGACTCTGTCTCAAAATATATATATATATATATTTGGGAAATGTTAGAATAAACAGAGTAGGACAATTTTATCTACTCTAGAGCTCCTCAGAGCAGTTAATGTTTTGATAAGCTATGTTCCTCCAGGAGGGATATGGTATGAAACTTTTCCTAAACTTTTCCTAAACATATTTTGATTTTTGAATTTTATGAACATATTTGCCTAACATATTTTGATTTATGAATACCTTTGTAAACATCTCTGAGCGTATCTCTAAACTGGAGTTCTGAAGAGGCATCTAGAAACAATTGTTACATTTGTTGGCTTGGGAATGCCTTAAAACTAGATCCAAGTATGAGAGTAATTCACACCTTCATGTGGGAAAGGCTTGTTGATGGATTGGAGTAGGATGCATGTACATTTAAGAGTTAACTGAAGGCTGTGTAAGCTGGAGCTGGTGATGGAACAATATGCAAGCCACAAATATCAAGGCTTAAGTGCTCAGCAAAAGAGCCCAGCTTATCCAAGTTACAGAGAGCACCTAGCTCCTGGCTGGAGAGATGATCACATAGTAGCAAAAAGTGTCAATTTAGTCACAAAGGCTGAAATGTTCTAAGGTCTCCTAGCCCATCAGAGGGAATGTTGGGGGTTTGCCAGTTTGAGGATCACGGTTGCTGCCAAATTAACCTGGCAGCTGTTCTGAGAGAGTTCAGGCAGCTTCATATCTATGCAGAGGTTCATTTGTATGGTGTTGATAGCCTGGCACCCCTGGAGCAATCCAGAAGACTGTTGTGACCTTTAGTGACACAGCAAGTGGCAATGTTTCAGGAATTTGCTCAGTATATGAGAGTTCAGTTGCCGAAGTTTTGAATAAGATATCAAATATTATAGCTGCTTATTTTTTTTCAATCATACTCAATGGCCATGAATTATGCTTATGACTGACATGTTGCACATCCCACATATGGTGTCTAATTAAAAGAGCGGCATTCTGACAGGCTCTTTTGCTCCGACATCTTCCTCTCTTCCTGCATCTGGCACTTTTATTGAAAGAGAAATTTGCAATATAAATGTTTTCTAATGTTAATTTCTTTAGAAGTGGAATAAAAGCATTATTGAGACTTGGCACTGAGGAACTAGTTAATAGAATGAAAATAATGTTATATCTCCAATCACAACTCAAAGGACTGTTTTTATCTTAACAGGCTGATCATTTCCACCCTGAAGGACTGACTCCTCCCCCATTTCAAGAGTGGTGGGCAAGTCATCAGGATTCTGCTTCCCAACACAAACCCTCCTTCAGCCCTATGGGTTTTTGTTTGTTTGTTTTTGTTTGTTTGTTTGTTTGTTTGTTTTGAGATAGAGTCTGGCTGTCCAGGCTGGAGTGCAGTGATGCGATCTCAGCTCACTGAAATTTCTGCCTCCCAGGTTCAAGTGATTCTCCTGCCTCAGCCTCCCATGTATCTGGGATTACAGGTGCTAATTTGTAGTAGAGATGGGGTTTCACCGCGTTGGCCAGGCTGATGTCGAACTCCTGGCCTCGGGTGATCCACCTGCCTCAGCCTCCCAATGTGCCTATGGTCTTTAACATACCCTCAGCACTTCAGCACACTTCCAGCAGAAACTGTAATATACAGATGACTCTGCATTTGATGGTAGTTTTTTTTAACAATGTGTTAATTCATAATGAAAACCTATTAGGTTATATAAGCCCACCCTGTACACATAGTCACCTGGCATGTGTCTCTACATGCCAATAACAAGTAACCAAGAAAGGCTAGAAAGACCTAACACTTGACCATTTTACATGTGATGTTTCAAAAGCCAACTGGAAAATTGATTATGGGTTTTCTGATTCCATTGTTCCTTTTATTATACTATGCTTCCTTGGAATTAAAAAAAAGGAATGTCCCACCTTGTCACATTTTAGTTCCCTTGGATTTTTTAACATTTAGTAGCATTTATGTTAAAATGTGTTTCACTTTAAAATTTTTTGCATGAGTGAGGAAAGCTATATATTTCTTCACTTTCATTCATTCATTATTCATGAAATCAGAACACAAATAGACTGTCAGAATACAGCCAAAGGGCTGAGTGTAGAGTAAGAAGGTTGCTGTTACCATATAAAGTGCTATAAAAAGTCGAAACAATAATGGCGGATAGATATATAATTCTTCTTGAGAAAAATGTGCCAAGTTTCACAAAGCATTAGTCATTATATTCATTTCTATTTTCAAAGCCCCAGGCATTAGTTTGGATTTATTTGTTCTTTGTTGAATGGTCAAATTATACTGTGACTGCATGTATTGCACTGTATAATACAAATCATTACTGAATTCCCATGAAATGCTTCTGTAAAATACTTCTGGTATTGCTGAACATTTTTTGTCTTACTCAGAAAAGTATAAATTTATAGGCATTTTCTTAAGATAGCTACTTCAGGCTATAAAAAGTAGATGCCCCAAGTAACTTGCCAAGTTTAGAAATGCAAGTAACTGAAAAGTAGCTTGGCAAACTAAAGGAGTTCACTCAAATTATTAAATAATTTGCATTCAAGGTGTTATATTTCTTGTTGAATTAGGAGATACTTATTTGCCAGGATATTATTCCTATTCATAGCTAAAGATAAGGTATTTTTAGCTATGTCTTCTTAAAAAAAAAAGCGGTTCTCATTTTTGCATTTCAGCATATTTTACAGTATTCCTCCCGGATCAAACATCAAGGAAATATATACAAAATGTAGACAATATGAGAAGACATATTTGCTAATTGTCTCTTCATATGGGAAAGTTCTCACAACTCCATTAGGGATTTGGAGATGATGTAATTGATAATATATAAGCCCAGTGTCTTTTGAGGCTGCTGGATTCCTTAGAGTATTGCCAGCCAACAAAATCCAGACAGTAATTTGAAAGTGGAATTTGAAATACCATCAGATAACGTGTGACCAGCTGGCCCAGGAGACCTTCAGTGAATAGCATGGTAATTCATGGCACCTAACATGAAACTCCAACTTTACCCATCTGTCACTGTTCAACCTCAGTTTGGTCAGCTGAGTCATGTACAGTACATTATCCTGCAAACAGACTAATCGATCTAACCTCCCCTCTTTCAGGGCTCTTTCATCATTACTGGGTGAAAAACTCACCCTGCCAAAGGAATGATCAGTATGAACACGTTACTGTAGCTAGAACATGTCACAGACTGTTCAGATGTTCTCCACAATATTAGACGTTTGATACCGTGAATACATGCACAGGAAAAAGAAATTGTTCACGTATAAAACCATCTGACTTGAAAACTACTGCTAACAAATGGACATGTGTACATCCATTAGACAAAGTGTCCGAAAATCCAAGCGCTATCCTCTAGATTTCACAAACCTGTTTCCTGAAAATACATTTGTTTATGTAAGCCTGCTTACTTTCATCTCCAATTCTTTTTATCATAAGTCACATTGACTCTATCTGAAAATCTTTATGTTGGTTATGTGACTAAATTTTGATTCATTGTATGCCTTAAGCGTTCAAATATTCATATATTTTCTTGACTACATGACTATTGAATAAATGCCATTGTCAAAAACCTTAAATATTTCTCCTTAAAATTTAAGAAATATTTACCACTATTTGGTAATTTAATAAAATGCATTTGTATTTCCCTTGATGACCATGCAAAAACAGTATAAAAACTTGGTACATACTTTATCACTAACAAACCAGATTTTCTTCATTTGTCTTAGGAGACATATTGGCTCAGCAAATAGACGGTAGAGCCTTTGACAGTGGGAAATTGAGTGTAACATATAGTGTAATCAACACTTAGGTTTTCTTGCTGTGTGGATCTGAAGAACAGTTTCATGCATTTTCTAGTTTTTAATATATGTAGCTCTCCCATTTTGTTCTGAGTTTTCCATTTGAAACTTATTATTTACAATTTTCCAAAAGGCTTGAGGTCCAGTATTTTTTTCCCTCTAAAATATTAGAACAGACTTCTAAATTCTAGGATTAAGGGATTCTGTTATCTTGAAGATAACATCGGTGTATCAGAATACTGTATATAGGAAGGAACCTGGGTCCACCTCCCCACACGGGTACAAATTTTAAATATTTAAGTCACCTGGTGGCCTTTGACAACCAAGATGATTGTAGCAGAAGGTACTGTCCTCTTGACTGGTAGCAAGATGATTAAAAGTAAAGTCTCCCGAGGTATATTTCTATATTTAGAAGTACACAATTTCAGTAGCCACTTTTCAATATTTTGTTCAAAAACATATATTGATTTATATCTGCATACATCCTACAAATGCCCATGCAATAAATATAAAAAGAAGCATCATTTGGAGCAAGACAAAATAAGCATTAGAATCCAGCCAATTCAGGAAGCAACAGTAATCTAATATTTTCTTTCTGATGGCACTTTGTGTTGCCATCACTTGTAAGACACAAGTACTCATAGAAACCACTGTGATCAGACACCATCCTCTGTGGCCTCCCCTGAGTCCTCAGTTTGTATGGGGAACATCATGGTTTAAGCTCACAGCTGTGAATCATAGATTCTCCATGTCTGGTCCATGCATGGACTTTATGGAACCCGTGTATTCCCTGACTTCTTTTCTCATTTATGTATCTATGGCTTTCATTGATTTGTCAAGAACTATTGTTTTAATTAATGGTTTTCTTCCCAGAGTACATGTAATGTCCTTGTAAGAATAACAATAGCTAATAATTATTAAGTATATTCTACTTGTCAGTATGCCTGTAAGACTTGAATTAATTTATTTTTCTTCACAATAATCAGATGCAGCAAATAGTATTCACACCGATTTTACAAATGAGAAAATCATGGTAAGATAGTTTAAGAAATTGTCGAAGCTCATACATCTCATTAGTGACAGAGCAAGAATTCAAATGTCAAAACGCCTATGCAAAGTCTATACTGTTAACCAGAAAGCTAAGCTTTCTGAAAATGTAGCTGGTTTTATCCTGCAGAACATATTCTGCCTATGGGTTTCCATGTATCTTCTTAGTATACATATCTTGCAACCAAGGTCTAGCTTATAAGTTATTTTTGCCGTAGTTTAAAATTATTTACCATATTTTTATTGAAGGGGGATTTCAAATTTAGTAAAACTAATCAAAAATTTCCTATTTTGTTTTCCTTTAAAGCCTATTTTACACAAAGCAGAACCTATCTAAATACATTTTAACTTATGAAACAGAAGTTTACTTATTGAATGAGAGGAAAACGTCTAATTACTCAGTGATGGTCAGGGTGCCCTTTTCACTCTCAAATTCTGGCAAAATATATGCTTAGTGGAGACAATAAGGAGTATATGTTGAAGAAATGATTGTGAGACCATTTAACAAATATTTCAACTCTAAACAAAAAAGTCCTGTACTAAGTACCGAGTAAGGGAAACAGAATTTGAAGTGACCTTTCCCTGGCTCACCAATGGTTTTAGGATTTAGAGGAACAAGAGAGTATAAATATGGAAAAGTAATATTGAAAGTCTTATAAGAAAACATAAATGAAAAGAGACTATTAATTTAGCAGTGACTTTGATCTAATCATAACTAGAGGAATATAAGAAAGTTATCTCCCAAATCAAAAAAAAAAAAGTACAAAATGGTTTCATATCCTCTCCTCTAAAAAATTAGTCCAAACATAAAATCTCTGAAAATGAAATTAATTGACTTGAGTTCAGCACCGTGTCTAGTACAATGGTAGTATGGTCTTGAGTAAGCCAGTTAGATACCTAGGATTATCTCTCAGTGTGGAAATAATAATACCTCTTCACTTACATATCATGAAGGTCACATGAAATTTTCTCTTTGCACAGTTCTAGAACACTTTAAAACTTTAGTGTACTTTTGTACACCATTTTAAAGTAACCCTACTCCCCAGCAAAGACATTTAAAAACTGATCATGCTTTTTGCCATGTTAAAAAAATAAGAGTTGTCAAGATACTTGAATTTTAGTCCCGGTAATTTCACAATCTAAGTTGTGACTTCAGCATGTCATTTAAGTTTTCCAGTTCACAAGCCAAACAAGTGAATTAGATAAGATGATCTTTAATACTCATTTCTTTTCTGTGAATTGAATACTGTGTAAGGAGAGGAGGAAATTTTCATTCACCAGAAATAATGTATTTGATAGTATTTATTTATTCAATAACTATTTATTGGCTGCTGACTCTTTGCTTGGACTTAGAGAAATGAACAAGAGAAATAAAGCCCAGACCCTGAGAGAACTTTCTAGATGGGGAGACAGACAACAGACAAGTAAACAAATAAATAGGTAATTTCAGAAAATAATAAGCACAATGAACAAAAACAAGACAGGGTAAGAGTTTTTTTATTAGCAGATTCCTTTACCATATTACTGGTAAAATTAAACATCCTTGGTATTTTGTAATTTTTTCCCCTTTCTTAAAATGTCTTTCCTTCTCAGTAAACTCTTTCGACCTATGTGCTTAATTTCCTCCCCAAGTAATCTCCTTCTTAATTTTCTCCATGTTCACTGACTTCTTCCTGCCGCAGACAGCCAGGCACACCTGTTTCTTATGCTATTTACTGCCACATCTGCCAGCCCCAGGTGGGCTCCAGTTGACACAATCCAGGTGCAAACATGCAGTGCACACACTCTGTGGCTCTTAGTTCTGCTCCATGGCTTTCCTGTTGACACCGGGGCTTAGAATTCCATGTGACCCTGATGGGTACTTATGCATGGACAACTAGAAAGTGTAGGGATGTTAACGAGCCATAGTATAAACCTTTCTCTAATGCGAGGTGGAAACCAGAGATTCGATATTTTTCTCTTTTTTTCTCCTCATATGGATTGGCTTGAGGCACAGTTTTGTGGCATTTTACAAGACAACTGTGCAGGACGTAGAAATGTTTTGCTCTGAGATGTGTATAAGCGTAATAATTCATCATTATATTGGCTTTCCCTTTCTTACCTGTCCCTTAGTGCTCCTTCCGTAATTGTCCTATCTAATAAAGTAGTACCACTTATGCCTTTGCTTCAGGCTTTGCATTTTCTAACTATTTGTGCTTCCATGGAACCAGGAATGGCTTTAGACAACACACCCTCAGGACAGATTTTAGGAGTTGGATTACTCCCCTATGTGACAGCAACGAGGATCTGATTTCTGGTTGTAAACACATGGTGATAACTCTAGGCATGTGGTAGCATCACAATTACCAACACTTCCTCTTGTGGTTAACTGAGATGTGGTGCAGGTGGAAGAAGATGTGTTGGGATCCTCAGTAGCCGCATACCTAGACTTCCCTACCCAGACAGAGGACTCAGTGTTACACTCAGCATCTCCAACCCTAAGAAAGAGGTGCAATGTTGGGGGTTTCTTTGGATTTTGGAAACAACATATATCATAATATTTCAGAATATTTTTTCAATGCATTTATTGCTTTACTTAGAAGGTTGCCCGTTTTCAGTGGAGTCCAGAGCAAGAAAGGGCTCTTCAGCATGTGCTGGCTCTGCTGCAAGCTTTCTGTCCCTGGAAGTCTGTGACACAGTAGAGATAGTGCTGCTGATGTCTGCGGTATGGAAGAATGGTGAGTAGAGGTCTCCAGCAAGCCCCAATAGGAATTCTGTAATGCAGACACCTAGAGATTTGGAATGAGTTCATGCCTTTTATGGAGAACTGTCCTCCATTGTAAAATTGTCTGTAGCATGATTCTGGCACTAGTGGGGACTGATTATTGGACCATGGGGTACCAAGTACTTATGTGACAGAAGCCACCCTTTGTAAGTTGAAAAACTGACCAAATCTTAAAATGAGGTGGACATAGCAGCAGTCCACTTTATAATGGAATATTCGGGATCAAGCCCTAACTAGTACAGATGACACAAGATATTATGAGGACAAGTGGCACAGACCCCCTTGTCACACGTCCTTAATTAATGCCCTGGCACCTTTCTTCTGTCTATGTATATGGCCTCATAGAGGATTCCCTGTGAACTACTGAAGAAAAAGGAAGCCATCCAGGCACATCCAGGCATGGCTCACAAATAGTTAACAAGGTAGTCTATGCTGGCGAAAAGTTGATTTTTGCTGCATTTAACTCCACTCATGAATGTCCCAGGAGGACAATAGCAAAGAAGAGTTGTCTTAGTGACCAGAGTTGTTTGCCTTGGGCTCTGCTTTCTGGGGCAACATTGGTTTGCTGTCTTCAAAGATCTGCTTATGTTCCCTCTCACTTCTGCTAGCTGCTCTTCTTGCAGTTACTGTATCACTCCTTGCAACTGTCAGTATTTGCCTTAAACTTATGATCAGGGCTACCAGAAATACAATGATTATAAGCCACATTTTCGGTTCCAGTACTGTAGAGTACATTCATTTATGCAAAGGAAGTCTGGTTCAATGAAGTTCAAAGTCAGCTGAAAGGCCAAAAAAAAGGATGCAAAGGCAAAATGCAGACTGGGAAGTGAGGGTCTAAGTAAATGAGGTGAGTTGACTTTGGTGGAGTAGATGGTGTGTTTATAGGATGATTGTGTACATAGATGCCTTAAAGGAACTTTGTTTTAGTTCTGAATGGCAGCACCATCTCCCCACCGCCATACCCCTCTCCTCACTCTGGGACCCTGGGTCATTACCCAGAGCAGTCAGCAGGGAGCTCCCCAAGCTTGGCCTCCGCTCTGTGCACCCTGTGATCTGTCTTAACCAGGTTATTCTTGTCTTCCACTTGTCATAAACCTACCTAAATGACAACCCACTGATCGTTATTATTTAAAGCTTATTTAAAGCAGTGTTTTCATTGACAAAGAGTTCACAAGAGATGTTCAGGAAAATAAATTTTCACGGTCACGTGAGTTTAGGAAATGCAATGTAACATGTCTCCCTTTTTTGAAAATTTGTCAGGCACATTTACATATTAAAAGGCCTTAAAAAGAGAGTAAAAGGAAATAAAAAGATACTTTTATCCTTATTTAATTCAGTGATTACCAAATGTATAAGCCTACATAATTCCATTTTATCTTTGTTTTAAATACCATCTCCACTCCTTCCCCCGCAAATGTTTCATCCCTCTCTCATCATTCAGGGAGAAAGAAAAGTCATCATAATAACTTTGAAGTATTCCTGTGGTACATTAGTGTTCAAAGAATTTTGGAGTTGAAAAGGACCTTAGAGAATATCTAATCTATTGGGTCACAAACATTTTATCACCAAAAACCATTTTACTTAAATCTCTCCACATATATACAAGTTTTAAAAGACAACTTCTACCACTTAGAAAATTATAATATTCTCTCTCTTTTTTTTTAAACCAGCAAAGGGGTAGAGAGCTGCCTTCCAAAGCCTTTTATTAACATTGAGTTATATATTTATTCTGGCACTTTAATAATACTTTGAGCAAAAAAATCAAAGGACCTTGACATTTCGGTTGGCAAACTTTTAAGTTTTTTTTTTTAATGACTTCTTATTTCTATGATCTCATAAGGATAGGAGATCTATATTATGCCCGTCCTCAACTATTTATTGATAACATACCTTGGTTTCAAAAAGTTGAGCGTCGTACTCTAGGCCCACTGCTGTTTGATAGAACTCAGAGCTCCTAATTCCCTGATCAATATTCTTCCTATTGCCTTTGATGTTTCTTTAGAGCAGAAGTTGGCAAACTTTTTCTGTAAGTCAGATAGTAAACATTTTAGCATGTGTGTCATAAAGTCTCTGTTGAAACCATTCAACCTCATTGTTGTAGTGCGGAAGCAGTGATAGACAATATGTAACAAATGGGTATGACTGTGTTCTAATAAAACTTTATTTACAGAAACAGGCCACAGGCTGTGAGCCACAGTTTGCCAACCCTTCCTGTAGAGCACTTTGCCATACACTTGCCTGATTATAAGAATTATCTGGCCTATGAAGTAAAATATGGATTCCACTATCTCTTCTGATTCTGATTGAGGATAAGGCCTATAAATCTGTGTCCTTTTCAAACACATCAGGTGATTTTTATTTTTGGAGGAACAAGTTTGTCAAACATTGATTTGGGTATACTTATTCTTTTTTTTTTTGTAATATTAGAAAACCACATGTATTTATTTCCAGGCTGAAGTATTTAGTATTTTCCAATTTGTACCAGATCAAGTTTGAGTCAAAGAAACTGAATATTTGGCTTCAGTTTGGTTTAACAGATTAATTTGAATCAAATCATTGGCTTGTGGTGCTTGTAGTTTAGTTTATGGTACTGCTTCTTATATGAACCCTTAAATGATTTATTCCTGGTTCATTTGCGGTTCTTCAATGGGAATAGCTTGAAGAAGGATCCAGAATCATTCTCTAAAGGATTTGATGCCTGTTTAAGAAAATATGTTAATGTACACTGTATATAATATACTTGTTTTTATATATACATACAGTATAACCTCACAAGAGAAATTATGGCTAGTTAGAAGTGGGGATTTATAAAGGAATTAAAAGTAATCAATATTAACATGATGTTGTACAGTTGAAAAAGTACATTTTTCTCATTTGATATTTATAATCCTGGGAGGTCTTTTTGTTTTTTCTTTTTTTATAGCTGAAGAAATTCAGGCTGAAATCACAAAGCTGGTAAATGGAATTGGGACAGAAACTGAAGACTTTAAATCTCAAATTATGTGTTCTTTCTCCTGCAGTCTAGAAGATGCAAATAAAAGAGGCATAATAGCAGAAGTTAGGAAAAACAGATGAACCAAGGAAAAGCTTTTTATGAGTGTCCATCGCTCCAGTGATCCCTGATCCAAACAGAATCCTAGACTCTTAAGAGCTACTTCTACACTGTCTTAAAACAAAGCTTGAAAAAATATCTCTAAGTGTCCTCCCATCCTCTGCTCTCTTAGAGAAAACCTTTTACAGCACTGAAGGACCTTCTGCAGCTTGAAAAATCCAAATCAAGAGTCCACACTTGATAAGGCCATGGAGGGATTCTGTAGAGAGGAGGACTCGGCCGATGAGGAAGGGAGGGCTCCTGAGGATTTGGCAGAGCTGGGTCCTCACCTGCCTTCTCTATAAAGTCTTTCCCAGTTTTCCTTTTCATAGCTTTCTGAAAACCTGGTCAACTCTTCTTTGAGTCCTCGTGCAGCCTTTTCATGGTTCTTTTAATACTTTTCATACACTGCCCTCTTGTAAGGTGTTACAGGATCCTAATGAATGCCTTCTGTATTGTTGTATTCCATACTAGTTAGGGCCTAACAAAAGCATGGCATCGAATTGTGTAGAGGTGACTGATAAATACAAGAAGGAAAGAAGAAAGAGTGGGGAGGAAATAAGGGGAAAGGAAGACAGAAAGAAAGAGAAAGGAGAGAAAAAGTCAACAGAGCATGAGACATAGCATTACTAATTGGCTGAGGAATATCAAAGTTAGTATCTCTACCCTATTATTTTCCTATTTCTTTCCTGTCCCAAAGCTAAGCAAGAGTGGAATTATCTCCCCAAAGTCCCTTGTCCTCCTCTGATTGTTACAGCTGGATCAGGGTCCTATTAATTGATGATGAGGGTCACTTGCCTGTTTCCCCAGGTAACCATGAGCACCTTGAGCTAAGTCCCCTTTCTTAGATACCATTTTAACCAGTTCCCCTGACTCCAGCCTTTCTGCTCATTTTATTGCATACACAAATGTCAGGTTAACCTGCAGCACAGTTGTAGTAAACAGACAAAGGCTTGCGATGTCTCCACACTGCCCAGGATGGCCTGCATACTTGAGCTGATCTACTAGCCCTTTGCAATTCACAATGATGTGCAAAATATTGCCTCAATCTGGTATTCCTCACTCTTTGTTAATTCTGTCTTTCAAAATACATTCTGAAAATACATCTCAAAGAGAATCTCACAGTCCTCAAAATCTCTTAAAATTTCCTGTTTCCCTGATATGTGGTATTCCTCTCATTCTTATTTCATGAGAGGTACAATTGTATAAAAAAAGTGCTTGCAAGCCTGAAAGATGTACCCTTTGCCACATTCAGTTCTATGCCCTTAGGTAATTTGCTTAGCCATTAGGAATCTGTGTTTCCAAATCTTCAGAAAAGTGTCTTAGTCCCTTTTTGCATGCTGGCAACAAGTGAAAAACTACCCTGCTTGTAGCAGAAGCTTAAACTCCTGTGATGAATGACAGAAGCAACAGCATCTAACCCTGGGGGCACAGAGAGACAGGGACTGAGAAGAGTAAGGGACAGGGCAGTTGGATCCAGATGGGCTTCTGTTTTTGTACGATCATGATCCCTTCTTTACTTGTTAGTATGACCAGCAAGACATTAAAAAATATTTCCTTTTTCCAAGACCATATAAGGAAATAAAACTATTTAGCAATCTGATCTCTCTTCAGAATGCTTTTCATTAAATGATATGAGTATTTATTGCTTAATAGTGGACTCTTCAATGCCAGCATCCCCCAGTAACAAATTAGTATAACAGTATGCTCTTCCACTTGCTTCAAAACGTGCTTTCTGATTACTGTCATAAAAAATAGGCCAGGCATGGTGGCTCACGCCTGTAATCCCAGCACTTTGGGAGGCTGAGGTGGGCGGGATCACGAGATCAGGAGATCGATCGAGACCATCCTGGCCAACATAGTAAAACCACGTCTCTACTAAAATACAAAAAATTAGCTGAGCGTGGTGACACGTGCCTGTAGTCCCAGTTACTCGGGAGGCTGAGGCAGGGTATCGTTTGAACCTGGGAGGCGGATGTTGCAGTGAGCCGAGATCATGCTACTGCACTCCAGCCTGGTGACAGAGCAAGACTCCGTCTCAAAAAAAAAGAAAAAAAAAAAGAACTCAACCTAATGATAAAATAAATATGAAGTAGTGCTAATGCTGTTCCACAAAAAACTTCCACTTAATCATTAACTAAACTGTTTACAAAAATATTTCATGGGAAAATTTAATCAGATTTATTTTTTATATTTGAACAATAGCAATAACACCTTATGCCAGTTGCTTACAAAACCTTAGCTAATTAATGTTATTGGAAAAATTGGATAAAAATTTAGACTCTGGAGCCACCCACAGATTTTTAATTCATTAAATCTGGAACAGGGCCCAGGAATTTACATTTTTAAAGAAGCAGATGCTTAAACTGTGACAATAATTTAAGCTTGTTTTCATTGCGGTTTCTTCCTGCACCTAACATAATCATTATTTGACTTATAAGCTAGATATCAGCTGCCCATACTAATTGCATTGCTTGAGAATCTCTGCAATGAGAATGCTGCCTCAAAATTACTATTATTTTAGAATGTGGTCTCCTGACTTGAATTTTCAACTAGCTCCTTAGTGATAACAGTGTCTAGTGATATAGGATCTACATTTCCCAAACATCCAACTGCTACCACAGCCATCTTGCTGTGCACAAGCAGCAGTGTGGAAAACACACACACAAAAAAAGATTCTGCAGAATAATTATCTGAGATGTGAAACTGCATGTTCTTTCCCCCTCTCTCTCCAGCCACCCTCATTTAGACTGTTTAAAGCAACGATGCCAGTGCATTTTTATTTCATTAGGGGCATTTATAACCACTGGATTTGTTTTAATTTTGAAGAATTACAAATACAGAAAACTCGAAGAAATAGAAGTAGTAAAAACCCATTTACACTCTAACTCAGCAGTTAATATTTATCTTGTTTACTTATTTCTCTTTCCTCTCCATGTCTCTGTCTACCTAACTGTACTTTTTTACTGGGTCTTTGAAAGTGAGTCGCAGACATGATGATACCTACCCTATATATTTCAGCATCTCTTCTAATTAAAAAACCTTCACTTACATAAATGCAATACCATGATCACAACCAACATATTTAATACTGATAAAAGAATACAGGTACATTTGATGTTTTCTTCTTCCACAACTGACCTATAGCGATTTTTATTTTATTTTATTTTATTTTATTTTTTGCTCCAGATTTCAGTCAAGAACCACTTGTTTGCTAGGCATGGTAGTGGTACATGCCTGTAGTCCCAGCTACTTTGGAGGCTGAGGCCAGAAGTTCAGGGCCAACCTAGGCAACATAATATAATGAGACTTCATCTCTTAAAACAAAACAAACACTTAAACACTTATTGCATTTGGTTATCATAATCTCTTTAGTCTCCTTTGATTTAGATTAATTTATCTACCTGCCTTTTTTTCATTTTTATTCTTTTTTTATTTCAAAATATTGACATTCTGGAAGAGTTTAGAAACTTGTCTCTTATAATACCCTCCAACCTGAATTTGTTGTAATTTTTCCTCAAGTTAAACATCTTTCCAAGAATGTCTACATGTATCTGTTTCTCACAGCCTGACACGAGAAGGTACACGATGCCAATTTGTCCCCTTATGGGCAATGATAGTTTTAGCTACTTGGATATGGTAGATGTTGCCACATTTCCTTATTGTAAACATAACTTTCTTTTTGTAATTAATATTTTGTTCCTCACAAACTTAAACCCTATAGATTAAGTACCTATTAATGAACCTTGCATAGATCAAATAGCACACTGATGATTGCAAAATAGAGACTCTATCATTACTTTCCTATTTTTAGATGGTCTTAGAAAAAAGTACATACATGTTGAGGAAAAGCTCTTTACATACTTTGTTTCCCAATCTTTGTATCATTATGGCCCTATGGATTCTTTTTATATTCACTGTAATAAACCATTACTATTCTTCTTTTGTTATTGCTGGTTTTACTGAAGTAGCTGTACATTCATATGAAGTTGTAGGAAATAACAGAGAGCCCAACGGTAATGTTTTGCAAAACTATAGTATAATATCCTCCTAAACAGGGTATTGACATTGATGCAATCCACTGATCTGATTCAGATTTTCCTAGTTTTGCTTTTATTCATTTGTGTGTGTGTATGTTCTATACATTTTTATCACCTGGTCCGTTTGTGTATAAACAACACAGCCAAGATACTGAACAATTCCAACTCCACAGGGAGTCCTTTTGTTGCCTTTTAGAACCACATTCACCTTCATGCCATCCCACCCCATCCCTAACCTTTGGCTTGTATCTTCCATTTCTCAAATTTGTCATTTTAAATGTTATGTAAATTGACTCAGGTAGGATGTAACTTTTGGGGATTGGCTTTTTTCTCTCAGCCTGATTCCCTTCTGACAGATCCACACATGTATCAGTAATTTATTCCATTTTATTGCTAAACATTCCATGTTGTGGTTACATCACAATGTATTTAACCATTCACCTACTGAAGGACATCTGGGGCCATTTGGGAGCCTTTAGAAATAAAACTGCTATAGATATTCATGTGCAGGATTTATGTGGACATGTTTTCATTTATCCAAGATAAATGCTCAAGGGGCTAATTGCTGATTCTTAAGGTAAAAGCTCATTTAGTTTTATAAGAAAGTGTCGAAATGTTTTCCAAAATGTATCATTTGACATTCCCACCAGATATCTATTAGTAGTCCAGTTTTCACAACCTTGCCAGCATTTAGTGTTGTCACCATTGTATTATTTTTAATTTGGCCATCCGGATAGGTGCGTAGTGACATTTCATTTTTGACTTAGCTTATCTTTCCTTGGTGATAAGTGATTTTGAGCATATTTTCAAGTGCTTATTTGCCATCCATATATCCTCTTCATTCAAATGTCTGTTCACGTATTTTGCCCATTTTCTAGGTGGATATTGGTTTCATTTTTACTATTGATGTTGGAGAGTTCTTTATAAATTCTAGATATTTGTTCTTTGTCAGATATGTGGTTTGCAAATATTTTCCCTTAGTCTATAGCCTGTATTTTCTGTTTTCATCCTTTTCACATAGGTTTTTACAGAGCAAAAGTTTTTAATTTGTATGAGGTCCAGTTTATTAGTTTTTCTTTTTATGAGTCATTCTTTTAATGCCAAATCTAAGAACTCTTTGCGTACTCTTAATTCCTAAAGGTTTTTTCTTCCACTTTTAAATACATTTTACAGTTTTTCATTTTGCTCTTAAGTTTATGATCCATTTTGAGTTTGTTACTGTAGAAGTTGTGAGGTTTAAGTCAAGATTATCCTGCCTATGGATGTCCAATTGCACCAGTGCCATTTAATGAAAAGGTTACCATTCCTCCATTGAACTGCTGTGACACATTTGTCAAAAATCATTAGGACGTAATTGTGTGGGTCTATTCTGGGTTCTCTATTCTAATCATTAATCTATGTATCTGTGCCCTGCCGAGACCACACCATTTTGATTACTGCAGCTAAATTGTGAGTCTTTTTATAAGGTAGAGTGATTCCTCCCACTTTATTACTCTTTGTCAAGAGTGTTTTAGCTATTCAAGACCTGCTGATACTGATGCTAATTGCTGTGTCTTGAGTAATAAAGTTTTTCTCTGATCCAGGAGTCTTGTCAGCTGCCAGGATTTATGAAAGAGTAACAGGTGGACTTGTTATCTTCTAAGTAAAGCAAATCTCAGATCCTTCCCAATTCTTGCTGCATATTTCCTTTTCTTAGAAAATATTAAATGAATGCTTTGGAAGGACCAATATTAAAATAGATGTTTTAACTTTTTATTTAGAAATAATTACAGATTCATAGGGAAATTTCAAACATGGTAGAGAGAGCTCTTGCATACCTTTGATTCTCAAAGATACGCAATCTTTGTGTTGTATATCAACCCCCAGTGGTTGCCTCTTACATAAGTGTAGAACACCGCTAAAACCAGGAATTTAATATGATACAATGTGTGTGTATAATTCCATGCCATTTATCACGTGTGTGGATCTGTGCAACCACTGCTGCAGTCTAGATACAGAACTGCCCCATCCCCACAGAGATGGGCTTATGCTACCCTGTGAGAGGTGCATGCACCACACTCCTCCAATCTTCCCAACTGCTGACAACCACGAACCTGTTTTCCATCTCTCTAATTTCATTATTAGGAATATTATATAAATAGAATCATGTGTCCTTTTTAGAGTAGGTTTTTCACTCAGCATAATCTTCTGAATATTCATCTATGTTCAATATAATACACACAGTGAATAAAACATAAATAAGATGACAAAGTTGGGACCAATTGTATCAGATATAGCCATGATTTTAAGGGAGTAAGCTCATCTATTAAAAGAAAAAGATTTTCACATTGGCTTACTGGGCAAAATACATGCTAGTAGGAATGTAAAATTGTAGACATAGTGTGAAAAACAGCTTGGCAGTTTCTTCATATTAAAAAAATGCATTCTTACTATATAACCCAAAAATGACATGCCTGAGCCTTTATCCCAGGAAAAAAAAATGAATACTTAGGTCTACAAAAAAAACCTTGTACATAATTATTCATAGCAGCTTTACTTGTAATATCCTAAAACTGAAACAATCAAGTTGTTCCTCAGAAGGTGCGTAAACTTCTCAAGGAGATAAACAAAGACAGCATTTCCTGAGTTTTTCTTTTTTAAATGTGTTTCTATGATGTTTAGAGTTTAAAGACCCTTAATAATTCTTTTGTCGATTCTTCTGGAATGTTCCACTACTGTCTTATTTTGTATTTTGTGATCGAGGAGTCTGATTTCAACCTTTTCTTCCATTATAAGTGACTTAGTCTTTTTACCTGGGATCTAAAAGGAATATGTATTTGTTCTAGTATTTATTATATGTATTTATTCTCTGCAGTTTTACTAGAGTATATCTAGGAATCAATGATTCTTTTAAATTTCCCCAGCATGTAATAGACCCCTTCAAAATGTAGATTTGAGTTCCTTGATTTTGAGCAAGTTTTCTTGGGTTATTGTTTTAAATATTAGTCTTGTTTTACAGTTTTGTTTTTTCTTCTTCAGGGATTCCAATTATGCATATTTTAGTTACTTTTCCTATTTGGATATCTGTATATTTTTTCCATATCTTTTCTAAGTTTTTGACATTCTGACAGAAGGTGTTTGCTTTCATTATGTCTGCAGTTGCTTGTTTGAGAGTATTTAATGCAGACATGAGTATGATGTTACAGTTTGCCTCTGATTTCTGGTTATTTTAGGGAAAAAAATTACCAGTTATTATGTATTCTCTTTTTAAAATTTCTTGTTAGTACATTGATTTTTATTCATTTTTAAATACTGTGTTTTTCAAAATCTTAAAGGTAAATTCAGGGATATAGAGTTTGAGGGGCTCGCTGGGTTTAATCCTTGAGGATTTCTTCCATGGTGCCCATTTGGTGGAGAAGGGCTGGTAGCTAAACTTCTGCTAATTTTAATTCTGTTTACTTGTTTAGGAGCATTACTTTTCACCACTTGCTTCCTTTTCCTTTACCACCAAACGTCTAAAGGATGCATCCCTCTGCTCTAGAGACAGGGTGTTCACGACCAGGCCCCTCCTGGTCTATGCACTTCCAAGACTCTTCCTTTTGATTCCCCAGTCAAGGAGGATCTGTCCATCAAGTCTCAACAGTATTACCTCTATTTCTCCATCAGGGTGGGGCCCCTTGTGTCTGGTCAATATCTTGATTAATTGTCCCACATTGCTAAGCATGCTCCTCCACTCTCTCCTTTCTTCATATAGTCTATCTATTTATCTATCTAGCTATATAATCTATCTAGCTATCTAATCTATCTATCTAATCTATCTACTCTATCTCATCTATCCATCTGTCTATCCTGTCTATCTGTCTATCCTATCTGTCTATCCCATCTGTCTATCCTATCTGTCTATCCTATCTGTCTATCTATCCTATCTGTCTATCCTGTCTATCTATCTACCCTATCCATCTATCCTATCCATCTATCCTATCCATCTATCCATCCATCTACCTATCTATCTCCTGTCTTCATTATGTACTCCAAAGCTGGTCTTCTAGTTTCATTTTTTTTTCTTATGTACTTGTAAAGTGAAGTTTATATGTTTGTTATTTCTTGGTTATGCTAGAAGTACAGGTTATGGTGGTTTCACTGGCTCTCTTGGTTGAAGGGTATGATGTTGGAGGGTATGTAGAGAAATAAGGCAGTCATCATTATCCTACAGGACCCTGGAAGTCCCACAGCTTGCAAATTCTAAACTGCTAGTTGAAAGCACGTCACTTCCAGTAGGTGACCCCTTAAGTCCATGAAGATGCAAACAAACAGCCAAGAGATCTGAAAGTAAATGGATTTCATCAGGCTAAACAAGGTACTCAGTCCTTAAAGAGGGATCAGGCCTTGGGTTGTAAGCGTGTGTGATGTACTGTGCCCTTGTTTCTTGAACACTCTACTCCCCACTCTGCCCAAGCACTCCCCACTCCCTGGACTCCCCATAAACTTTAGAGCAGAATGTGGGAGTAGGAGAAATGAAAGGCACTAGAGAATCTGCTGGTGATCTGGAAACTTATGTCTCCTACTTAAAGTCTTTTCTGAAAATGAAATCCCATAGAGCAACTCCATGTCATCAGGATGGGGCAGAGGACAGAAGAAGTGGTGATGTAGCAAATTGGATGAGAAGCAGAGAAATGCCTTTCTCTGCCCGCCGGCAGGGATATGTTAAACAGGACCCTGCTAGTGAAGGCTGCAGTTTTAGCTGCCCAGGGAGAGCCAGAATGAATTTATCTTTATTCATTTGTTTACATACTGCTTTATTTTAGGACAGGATTACAGTGACTAGAAGCCTATCAAATACTTGTTTAGCTATCATATAATCATCATGAAGCCTGGCACATCCTTGTTTCTCCTTTTCTCGCTGAAAAATACTTTCAAATTTTACTTTTTGTTTTTTACGTTACACATCCAGAAAATGAAACTACGGCCACATTCAGGTCTTCATTAATATTTTAGCTCCCTATAGTTATTTACTATAATTGTTGAAGAAAATATTAAAAAGAAATCAATTCAAAATGTTATTGTGCTGAATTTCAGAATATTATTGGTAAGTTGGGTACAAACCAAGGTTACAGTGTATTTGTGTCTGAACAAAAGCAAAACAAAACCAAAGCCCATTTTCTAACCTGTACACCAAACCCCTGAGTCACGAATTTACCTGTATAACAAATGTGCACATTGTATTTTAGCTTTAGGTACCTCTGAACCTAAAATATTTTTCAAAGCCCATTTTCTTTCTCTTTTCCATTGAAAAGGATGTATTCACCATCCTATTAATGAGAGTTTATGTAAATGACCTTTACTGAGAATTTTAAAATCATAATAAAATGGCTTATTAGTATCTCTAGCATAAGGACTAGGAAATAGAGGACATGGCGATGTGAAACTAAGTGTACTAAATATCGTCTGTTAATTGATAGGTAGAACATCATTGCCCTGGACTCAGCAGTTCTGAGCACTCCAGTTTGCTTTGGCTACGTGCCAATGCATGCTCTGGTTATGCCTAGGTGGAATTTGTAGAAAATAATCAGAACAGCCCCCTGTTCCCATCAGCAATAAAATAGCTGTTCATGCAACTGGGAACAGTAGTAAATTCTTTTTTATTTCCTAGTTCCTATGCAGAAGGTCAAATCCCTGGCCATTTTCAGATGTACATTATGTTAAACATCTATAAATTAAGAGCAAGAACATGAGCTGAATCTTACACTAAAAGAGAGACATGTTTTCTACTACAAAGCACTTAATCCCACTAGATACGATATTATTAGAGCATAGCATCCATATGGCATATTCTTGCATCCTGATCATTTTGTAGCAAAGAAGTGTTCTTGACTTCTCTTACCATCCACACAGCTTCCCACTGGAGAAGTCTGTGGATATGTCCATTCCCAAGAACACACGCAAACCTGAGGCAGGAAAGGGACACTAGTATTTTTTCCAATACCTATCACTAATCCAATTTAAAAGGCTCATCTAGTTACAGAAAAAGAGGAAGGCTATATTCTATTCATTTTTTAAAATGGTTACAATAAAGCTTTTCTCAAAGTCATTTATTCTACAATGAAAGCTTCCTTTCTCAAAGAAATAATTTATGTCCATGTAAACGAAATCTCCTTGTCAGAGATCTAAAAAATGACACCCTTCATTGCATGGACTAGACTTCCACAAATCCATGCTAATGATGAAAATAGGGGTATTTTAGTTTGGGATGGATCCTAGGGTTGCCTCCCACTCACTGCCAGGGATTTGCGGCTTCTTTTAGGATAAATGAACGTAATTTATCAGCCTCAATAGATGTTCCTAGAATTCATATTACTATGAAGAACTTTTTCTGCATCCCCCTTCTTAAAGATAGTGGAGTCTTAACAGACTTTATAATTGGAAAATGCAAAACAAAATCAACTAAAAATGGATTTGAATTAATGAGATTAGTAAAGGGCCTGATATAAGGTCAATGCATGGAAATCAAGGACAAAGAAACATTGCATATTTAGAAAAGGCAATAGAAACGTTATTTTTAATGACAAAATTCTAAGATTTTAATAGTAAAATATTTGAGAAATGTGCAAGACCTAAATAAAAACAAGTATATAAATCTTTATGAAATATAAGATTGCATAATTATTGAGATGGTAAGATATGATGTCTCTTATGCAATAATCTTATGCAATTGCAATAATCATGATTTTTTAAAAAGTAAAACTTGACCCACTGATCCTAAAATACATCTCTTATGGGATCCCCTCCCTTCCTAGAGTCCTCTACATAAGGCTTAGACAGCCAAAAATCACCACAGAGCGACTTTCCTTTCCAAGGAAAGGACAAGGCAAGACTTTTCTTGCCTTGTCACCCAGTGAGATTAACACTTTGTGCCTACTGTCTATTGTTCTTAGGCCAGTATGATAGGTGGCATGTCTAACAAGAATTTGTGAAAATTTTAGGATTTTCTATGAAATTATCATCTTTAAAAAAAAACGTGGTTGGTTGATTTTATGTATTTGTGAAGAGGATGCAGGGAATACTACTGCTCTGTGGGTTGAAGACTTTATAAAGTAATCTTAAGTGGGAGTTTCAGTCTCTGAGCTGGAAGTCATCCAAAGGTTCTAGATGCCTCCTGCTTTGAGTCGGGCATAAGGTTCTGTTCTAGAGGATCTGCTACCAAGAGTGAGCAAAGCCCTAGACATCTTCCCTATCACATATGAGCCATGTCAGACCCGGGGTCCTAAAAAGGAAGGAATATGCAGGAAATGCCTAGATATTGCTTGGCATACTTTCATAAGAAATAAAACTGAAACTTTTTCCTCAAGTTTAATTATGTTAATTTTCCAACTTTTCGGAGCTATTTTGGTTAACATGGATTAAAAACTATCATATCCAATGAAGGGAGGTGACCCTTGCTGTTCAACGGGTGTAAAGCTTCAGTTATGCCAGAAGAATAAATTCTAGAGATCTTCTGCACAATATTGTGCTTACCTTGAACAGTACTGCGTCATACACTCAAACTCTGTGATCTCATGTTCAGTGTTCTTACCACCATTAAAAATATATAACCAAGACAAGAAAAAATTTGTCTTCCAACTCCATCATTTTTTTCATGCTGCTATTACTGCTTCTAATTTCCAAATACCCATACTTTTCCTTTGACTGTTTTCTTTGGTATAATAGCCTGTCCATATTTTATTCATTGCAGCATCTAAATGCCCTTCATCAAGGCGGTGGTTAAAATTTAAGAACAATCTTGATATGGAATATGCTGCAGCCATACATTCATACATAAACATTTTAAAAAGCAGTCTTAGACTGTATGTGGAGAGATGTAGAAGGCATATTGTTGGTAAGCAAAAGGACTCTCTCTCCCACTTCCCAGAGGAAATAGAAGTCATCATCATAGCATGCTTCCCAGTACGAAGCATACAGACATCTGTGCCCGTCCTCCCCACTTGAGCCTCCTGTAATAACAGGGGAACCATAATAATGTCAATACCTCCACCTATAGTTTTGATCATTACCACCTCCTTGAAGCACAAATAATCTTCTCTGCCTTTTATCCCATGCATAATCCAATGGCTCCCTCAAGACTAGATCCTTCCCATGATATTTTAGATATAGTCCAATTTATGCACTTTTTTCCAAAACTTGTCCCTGCTTTCCCTTAAGATATTTTACCTTCTCACCTTCACAGCTGGACTTTTTGGTTCCTCCTTAGGGAATCCAATCCTTGCCCTGCATTGCATCATCAGCCCCCCGCTCCTTTTTTTTTTTTTTTTTTTTTTTTAAGACAGAGTCTTGCCTTGTCACCCAGGCTGGAGTGCAGCAGCGCGATCTTGGCTTGCTGCAACCTCTGCCTCCCGGGTTCAAGCGAATCTCCTGCCTTAGCCTCTGGAATAGCTAGGATTACAGACATGTGCCACCACACCCAGCTAATTTTTGTATTTTGAGTAAAGACGGGGTTTCACCATGTTGGCCAAGCTGATTTCAAACTCCTGACCTCAAGTGATCTGCCTCCTCAGCCTCCAAAGTGTTGAGATTACAGGTGTCAGCTACCGCGCCCAGCCCCATCAGCCCCCTTTAATCTCTTTTCTGCACTATCTCCTTGCAAAGCAGGCTGTTAAACATCTCTCTGACCTCCATTGGTTAAATAATACTAATATTTTAAGTCATTTGATTATTCAGAATCCTTTCGATACAAAATTTAAAAAGGAAACTAATTTAAGTTAGCCTTAAAAGTGAATTGATTTGATAACCAAAAGAGCAATGGGAGAATGGCCTTTGGTCAGCTAGTGTCCTTGTGCTTCTCTCTGCTTTAACCTTGCTGTGTGCTGGCTTCTCTTATGACAGCAATGGCTCCCATAGGCATTTACACACAGCTTGTGGAAAAATAAGGGTGTCCTTCTTTCATTACCAAGGAGCAATTGTGTGAGTAATTTTGCTTTCAAGCCAATCCATGAAACAGAGAGGATTAGGATGACAAGTGAATTATTAAATAACTTTCAGAGAAGTTGTTTTTTATACAATACACTAAAAATAATATAAAAAGTACCTATTTATTGAAATCTAGAATCAACTATTTTTAATTTTGTTCACACTTGTTTTAACTCCTGGTTTTAAAAGACGAATATTCCACATAAATACGAGATGTTGACTCACACAGGCTCCCTTCCTTTTACAAAGAGTGTGATGGGAAAATCCCAGGACTGTACAGGAGAACATCCCTCAAAAACTGGGAAGGAGCTGAGAGACCAAAGAATGACTTGGGCAATTCCAGCTTGAGGAGTAGATGAGTTTATTAGGATTCACAAACAGGACATTTTCGGGCAGCATCAGGAGAACTCTAGAGATCCACCCACCACACGCCTCTAAGCTGCTTTTAAGCTGATTTTGTGGCTCTTTGGCTGCCGCATGTGATGAGACTCTTTTCCTTGGTATGTTCCCAGATACACTCTAGGATGTTTGGGTTCTCAGGGACACCTGCTCCTCAGCTGAGCACCGTGGCCTTGGCTCATTTCCCAGCTTTTAGGGTTCAAGCAGCGTACATACAGCCTTAAGTAAACTGGTAGGAGAAACATCACCCTACAAAGGAACATATTATTTTTACTACATAGGCAAGCTTGAAAAAAGCATAGAGATGATTCTAGCTGCAAGAAATTGAAAATCAGTTTCGAATAGTAAGGACAAACGATTATCTGACAGTCTATGTTATTTTCAGACCCATGTATATTCCCTGAGGGGATGATGTCTGTAGTTTGAAAGATTCACGATGGAATTCTACTTCTGGCTATGGGGGACTTACTTTTATCACACCAACACTCTCGTTAAAAACATGGGTAAATAGTGGATATTTTTCAAAATCATCTATTTGAAAGTATCTAAGAAACATCAAAGCAACTGGATTTAGAGAAGCCAAGATTCAAGATAGAAAGCCACCATGTTTGGGTGAGTCTAGCCTTTAAGACCATCTATACCTTGAAGCGTTTGCCAATTCGTAAGTAACACAGGCTGCAAGCCCACCCAGAAAGAAGAGGCTATGGCAGATAGCTGAGAAGAATTTTAGGCAGTCTTATGAGACTGAGACTGGGACAAAAAAAAAAAAAGAAGAAGATTTTGGCTAACTTCCGAGGCAGCCAGGACTTGGGGAGCTGAGGTCCCGGAGAAAAGGAAACACAGAGAACTGAGCCTGATATTTGACTCTGTGTTGCTTCCCGAGGTACTTGCCGTCTGGTAGGTAATCACTAAGGGGCTGAAGAAGCCAAGCTGAAGGTGGTGGCTAAGAGAACTTCCAATAGACTCATGATATTGGGAGTCAAATTCAGATTTCAGGATCCACCAAGGAAGAGGGACTTCTGTAAATATCCCACATTTCTAGTGGGATTCTGAAGGGCTATACCCCAGAAATGAAGACAAACTGAACAAAAACTAGTCCTTACAAAAACTGAAACTTAGATTTGAATGAGCTGAGTCCCAGACTGCATAAAATTGATATATCTCTAACCACATGCAGTGAAGTGAACTGATAAAGATAACATCATTCAGACCTTTGTCATCTGGGCAGAGATAAACATCATTGAGATCCTCAAATTATCGCTATAATGTTTCAAACATACAAATTATCCCTATAATGTTTCAAACATAATGTTTCAAACAAGCATTCAATTAAATACCACCAATCATTCCAGGAGAAAAAAAATGGTTAATAGAAATGGGGCCACAGATTATCCAATATGAGAGTCAAAATAGCTGTGATTAACATGCTCAAAATATGAATGACAAGATGGAAAACTTCAGAGAATTGAGACGTCTAAAAAATGAATCAAACAAAAATTCTGAAATCCTACAAATGAAAGTAAAATGTAATGAAGATTTGATATTGATTAAAAACAGTTGAGGAGGGTGTTAGTAAACAGAAATGGGTCACTAGAAATATACAGACTAAACACAGAAGAAAAGAGCAAAAAAATATATAAATGATGGATAAGATGCAGTGGAAAAGTCTAACATACTTGTAATTGGAGTTGCAGAAGTTTAAGAGAAAAAGAGATTGTGTCAAGGAAATATTTGAATGGAAATTGGCAGAGAATTTTTCCAATATGACAAAAGACATCAAGAAACAAATCCGGGTTGCTGTGTACTTGAACAGGGACACACACATGCAGACACAGACACACACACACAATTGTAAACTTCTCTGGGGCAGGAAATTTGACATTGACATTGAGTCGGCATGAAGTTAGGGCTCTGGACTTGAATTTTTTGCATAAAATCTGGCTCTTCCCTTCTTTATAAAAGAAATAGCAAAATTTCACTCACCCTCAGAAAGTAATGAGAAAGGCTGACACATCTCTCTCACAATTAAAATGGTGAATTGTCATCCAAATGAAGGCTTGCCCCTCTTATGAATATCATATCCCAATATAAACTACTTGCATAATAAAAGAATTCCAAGCTAATATTAAACTCAAAGTTGTTTAGAATTGCTGACTGCTGTAGGGCTTTGACAGAGGAAAAGATTAAACCGTTTTGTTGAGGCCCTTTAAAGAATTCTAGGCTCATTGGACACAGTGGTGCACGCCTGTAATCCCAGTACTTTGGGAGGTGGAGATGGTGGATCACTTGAGTCCAGGAGTTCAAGAACAGTCTGAGCAACATGGCAAAGCCCCATCTCTACAAAAGATACAGAAAATTAGCTGGGTATGGTGGTGTGCACCTGTAGTCTCAGCTACTCTGGAGGCTGAGGCAGGAGGATAACCCAAGTCTGGGAGGTTGAGGCTACAGTGAGCCATGACTGCACCACTGCACCCCAGCCTGGACAACAGAGTGAGACTCTGTCTCAAAACAAGACAAAAAGAATTCTAGGTGTATGAGTTTTCTACAGAAGAGAAAAACCTTCTGAAGATGAGCTTACTTTAATAAAATAGCACCAACCACATAAATAAATCACAAAGAGGGAAATTCACCAGGTACAAGACAAAAAAGCGAATTAGCATCTTAAGAACTGCAAGTAATGGGAAAAGTTTTACAAGAATAGAAAATAATTTTATTTAAAATAAATATAAGAAAAAATAGACATTATATTGGAAGGGCATAATATAAAAGACAGAATATATGTAAAAGAAACAAATAGAACTTTAAGATATTTTAAAATGCCATTGAAATGGAAAGGATTAAATAAAATTAGTCTATCTGAGAGGATTCTCAGTGCTTAGAAGATGAATCTGGAGAAATCATCAAGAATGCAGCACAAAGGTTGGGCGCGGTGGCTCACGCCTGTAATCCCAGCATGTTGGGAGGTCGAGGTGGGTGGATTGCCTGAGCTCAGGAGTTTGAGACCACCCTGGGCAACATGGTGAAACCCTGTCTCTACTAAAAATACAAAAATTAGCCAGGTGTGGAGGCAGGTGCCTGTAATTCCAGCTACTCAGGAGACTGAGGCAGGAGAATTGCTTGAACCCGGGAGGTGGAGGTGGCAGTGAGCAAAGATCACACCACTGCACTCCAGCCTGGGTGACAGAGCGAGACTCCTTCCCCCACCCCTCAAAAAAAAAAAAAAAAAAAAAACAAAAGAACAAAGCATAAAATATGAAGATATAAAAACCTTAATCTAAAATATGAAAAATAAAATATGACATATGATAAAAATAAGATATGAAAGAGTAAGAATGTCCACCATACATCCAACATATGTCTGACAGGATTTGCAATGAAAGAAACAATGGTGAATAGGAAAGAGGCAGAAGTCAAAATGGTAATTGCTGAAAAAAAATTCCAGAATTGAAGAAAGACTTGTATTGTTGAGAGTTACATCAAGTCAACAAGTAGACACATAATGGTTTATATGTAAAATTAAATATAAAACAAAAAGTCTTAAAAGCAACCCCAGAGAAAAATCAGACTGCTGTTAGAATGGAATGACAGAATGAATAGATGACTCAATGTTAGCAACAATAAGACAAAATACTCTAAAAAATTTTGTAATGCTGGAGAAAAGCAACAGTCAAGATAAATTAACACTGAATAGTAAGGGTAGCAAGAAAGATATTTTCAGAAACATAAAAGCAAAGGAAATTGATTAACCTAGATCTTTACAGAAAGGAGTACCAAAAACATATTCTTTAGGAAGAGGAAAGTAAAAACAGAAAGGAGGAAGATGCAAATCACAATGATGAGACGATATCACAAAGTGGTTTAGAGTATAGATGTTCTAGTCAGCGTGCTGTGTGACAAAGAGTAAATTACTCCACCTCTCTGTGCCTCCATTTCCACATATGTTCAGTGGAAATATAAATAATAGTAGCACTTATATCATAGGTTTGTCACCGGCACATAGTATAAGTTCAATAAATGTTGATTAAAAATAAGTCAAAAAGTTGCTAAATTTAAAGTAATATTGATGTAAAATGCTAAGATAACTATTTTAAGAATTTAAAAACAACAGACTTAAAACAAAATATAAGTGTAATGTTGGACACTGATATGGTAAAAAAGAGGAAATTTGATTAAAGTATTCTAAGATCATTGTATTTTTTTCTTATACATGAAAAAGGGAGAAAATAAAGACAATGCAATTGATAACTGCAGAAGAGTGAGTGTGGGCTCCAGACCACCAGCATCAATATACCTGGGAGCTTGTTAGAATGCAACTTCTCAGGTTGCACTCCAGATCTTCTGAATCAGAAATTCCAGGGTTGGAGTCCAAGAATCCACTCTAACAACCCTCCAGGTATTTCTAATGCATAATAAAGTCTGAGGTGCTCTGTTAGAGAAGATAGGAAAGGAGGACAGAAAAAAAGAAAATTCATGACAAGTGGAAAACACAAACTGAAATGATCGATAATAATCCAAGTAAATGCAAATACGTAGGTTTTTCTAAGATATCTCCAATTGAATTGAAAACCTAGTTATATACTTTTTACAAGATAAATGCACATAAAAGACAGGATCCACAGTGATAGAAAGTGAAAGGATGGGAAGGATGACTGCGATGTGTTGGGTTGGATTATTGTTCCTCATGCCTGCCTGCCTTTCTCTGTTAGAATATTAAACCTCCCTTTCCATTAACTTGCGTCTGTCAGTGGAACCTGCAACAGTGACACGTGCCACATATGAATTTTAACTGCATGACATGGCTCTGCCTTAGCTTTTATCCCCTTTGCCCTGAGACTGGGATGGAAGCTACCCCTTCAGCCTGGTCCCAGAATGAGAGAAGCTGAGCAGAGTTGAAGCTGACCACAAGGTCAGGAGTAGGAAATAAGCATTTTGTTATAGGAATCCTCTGAGATTGCAGGGCTATTTCTTACTACAGCATAATCTAAGTAAAAGTTGATTGATACAGAAAAATATAACAGGCGAAAGCTACCAAAGAAAGTTGATGTAATGAGATTTTTGATGTTAAATCATGTATTAGAAACAGAGGCTAATAATTCTTCACCCTTATACACCTAACAAAATAGTCTCAAAATAAAAATTAAGTGCTGATAACTTTTACAAGGGGAAAACTGGCCCAACACAAGAAGGAAATAGTAAATTCGTGAACTTGATAGGAGATTTTCACCTGTTTCATAAATTCTGGAATTAGGTCTGCGTTCTACCAGACCTAAGACACAAATTAACTGGAACCTTTCTGTTGGTTGGTTGGTGTGTAGGTGAGTGGGTGGGTTTTTTGTTTGTTTGGGTGGTTGTTTGGTTTTGGGTGGGTTTTTGTTGTTGTTGCTGTTGTTGTTTTTGTTTGTTTGTTTGTTTGCTTTTGAGAGGGGTCTCCCTCTATTGCCCAGGCTGGAATGCAGTGGCATGATCATGGCTCACTGTAGCCTCCATCTTCTGGGCTCAAGCGATCCTCCCACCCCAGCCTACTGAGGAGCTGGGACTAGAGGCACCACCACGCCCAGCTGATTTTTTAATTCGTCATTTGTTGAGATGGGGTTTTGCTATATTGACCAGGCTGGTTTTACACTCCTGGCCTCAAGAGATCCTCCCACCCCTGACTCTCAGAGAGCTGGGAATACAAGCGTTAAGCCACCACGCCCAGCCTGGGTTAAGAGCATAGACTGGGGCTGGATTGCTGGGTTTGACTCCTGAATCTTCACATGCACTTTAAATTCTTTGGTCTTGGTGACATCATCTGCAAAATTGTGAAATAGTGTCTATTTCTTGTTGGGAGTCACACATGAGTTAATATATGTAATGTAAATTTCTTAGACTAGTACCTGGCACACAGTAAATATTTTTAAAATAAGTATTGTTGTAATATTTAGTATGTTGACAATAATTACTACTACTATTACTATTGCTATTATTATTATACAAGCTTATTCCATTTGAAAGCAGCATGGGAAAGACATGAAAGCCAAGAACAGGCTTTTATTCACTCATTTTCATGATCAAAAATAAGGGGTCTCTCTGCTTCCTTAGTTCTGCTACTTATATCTGCCAGTAGCAGTTCGCTGTATTTCTCTATTTATTTCATAAACGGAAATGAGTCTTTTTCTGCTGTCTTTTTCTCAGTATAAGCTAATATAGAGAGCTCAAAATGCTTTATTTTTGCATATATAACTCTCTTTTTTCAACAAGGAAAAAGATTAATTGGTAACTGGTTTTCCAATAATTCATTCCTCTCAATATTCCTGGCTGCAGCTTAGCACAGCTATAAAAGTAAGCCTGCACATAATAATTAAACACAATCCCTTCTCAGCCTGTAGATGGTAAAGACTAGCTCTTAAGAATTACAACACAATATTTTTGGTCTAGTTCCCTTAAGAAGGCTATTTTTTCTACTTCGAATATTTGAAAACACATTAAAATCAAATGCAGGCAAATTGAAAATTTCCTTAACACCCTGAAATCAAATAGTAGAACAATATAAACATTTAATCATTACATCTGACTTTGCTGCCACTGAATCTTTCAGGTGACAGTGGCTTCTGGCACCCTGAGCTCTGCATGTTCTCTGCTGCTCCAGCATTTAACCTTCATGGTCAAAGGATGCTGTCCTAGCTCTCTGGCCTGTTCAGAAGAAACAAGCAGCATTCTGGCCTTTCATATTACATAAAATGATTTCAAAAGTCACTGCTGTGCACGTCTACGTGTGCCTCCAAATGGTTCAAAGTATTGACACAATGGTGTCCATTAGAAAAAGATAAAGTGACAAAGCAGCAACAAGAAGGCTACATGCTGTGGTTTTGCAAAACTAAGAAGATATCCAAATATGATAGGTTATGTGTTTCTGCACAATGTATTTCATTCTGTTTGTATTTAGGAATTAATCCCCTGAGAAACTGAACATTGCTCACGTTTGCCAGCTGAATCCGGTTAATTACACAGGCTGAGATAAAGTCAAGGGCACTCGGGACATGAGCAAACAGGTCGTTAAATGCAGTAACTGGAGTGGAGGATCAGGATGGAGAGAAGACACACAGTGTTTTACAGCCCTAATTTGTTTTGGAATGTCTTGGAAAGGGGCTAAAAAGGACGTTAATCTGACTGTGCCTGTAATTATTTGCTGGGACAGTGTCACTCTGAACATTGAATAAATGCCAGATTTTAAATATTATTAGATGGCCATCTGAAATCCTGGTGGTTTTTTTTTCTGCTTTTTTTTTGTTATATATATATATAACATATATGTATGTTATATATATATATATAAAACATATATGTATGTTTTATATATATAACATATATGTATGTTTTATATATATAACATATATGTATGTTTTATATATATAACATATATGTATGTTTTATATATATATATGTATATAAAGAAAATCACAAACCTAGTCACTCTACTGATGCAAATGATTTGGGGGTGTCTTCCTAGCTTTACAATAAGAGGAGGGACCTCTGCTGCACCCTCTGTCTCAGTTTCAGGGCAACATCTGGTCTCTTTGGAAGCAGCTTCCATGCATGACATAAGCAAACAGGGCCCCGACTTTCTTCCTGAAGGCCACTTTTCACGCTTTTCAAACTAGTTTCTGTACGTCTGAAACAAACCCTCTGCATGGAGGCCTGCAATGTGCATAGATTGTTCATAACTCAGAACGTTGACTTTAATCAATTGCTAAATGTGTTACCTTTTGTTTGAAGAAAAATAGGATGCAAGTGTCTTTGTATATTCAAATAAAAGCTAATGAATGAAAAATTTCCAATAACATAAATTTCAACTCCACAATACAAGTCTCAATGAGGCTAACCACTTTCTCTCATTGTTTCTTTTATCGTGGTATGCGCTAGTGCAGGATACTGACTTTTTTTTCAGATTGGTCTTAGCACAATTACTAAAATAATTTCATTTTTCTACTTGAAATGACAGATTTAGCAGGATTAACATCTCATAAGGGATACCTCCATAACCAAAACTGGATAGATTTTGGAGTTTTCACACTGACCTCAAGGAGCAATGCATTCCTTTTGCTATTACTTTTGAAGACATGAGACATCTATATCTGATTTTTTTTTTTTTTTTTTTGAGATGGAGTCTCGCTCTGTCACCAGGCTGGAGTACAGTGGCTCAATCTCAACTCACTGCAACCTCCGCCTCCCAGGTTCAAGCAATTCTCCTGCCTCAGCCTCCCAAGTGGCTGGGACTACAGGCACCCACCACCACTCCTGGCTAATTTTTGTATTTTTAGTAGAGACGGGGTTTCACTATGTTGACCAGGTTGGTCTTGAATTCCTTACCTCGTGATCCACCTGCCTCGGCCTCCCAAAGTGCTGGGATTACAGGCGTGAGCCACCACACCTGGCCTATACCTGATATTTCTTATGCTTTGATTACAAATTCAACTGAGGAGACAGCAGATGCTGAAAGTCTGAAGAAGTAGAAGGGACATGTCAAAACTCAGCAAATTATATCCTGTTTTTGTTCATTCAGGCTGCTATAACAAAAATACCATACCCTGGATGCTTATAAACAACAGAAATGTATGTCTCCCAGTCCCCGAAGCTAGGATGTCCAAGATCAAGTCACCAGCACATGCAGCATCTGTTGACAACCTACTACTTCTTGTTTCATAGGTGTCTCTCTTTTCTCTGTGTCCTCACATGCTGCAAAGGGCAAGGGATCTCTCTGGGTCTTTTATAAGGACGCTAAATTCCATTCCTGCTGGCAGAGCCCTCATGACCTAATGACATCAACAACGGCCTCACATCTTAATAGCATCACCTTGGGAGTTAGGTTTCCACATATGAATTGTAGGAGGACACAAACATTCAGTTTATAGCATATGCATAAGCAACTAAAGAGCAAAAAGAAGAGACTATGGGCATCTCCTAGATAGGAAATTGAAATTCAGAAAGCATAAGTAACTCAGTCAGGTGTGAGAAATGGTGGAGCCTCCTTCCTATTATACTCTGTAGGAACAATTTAAGGTTCCTGTATGTGTAATTGTCGGGATAGCAGCTCTAAATGTTAGATCATTCTTACCAGATAATATAAAAATGCAACATGATTCAATCTGGTCAATTTTGTTCTTTCCACCTAAAATAATTCTTCATTAAAATATAGTTTTAATTTACTGAATTAATTCTTTAAGCTGAATATAAACACAGTTGCAATGTGAAGGAAAAGTAGAAAGCTTACATAATATATGTAATGTGGACTGTCACCAATCACCCCTAACTGTAAATACATGCTACAGATGTTTTCTTACTTGTCTGAGTTGGAGCCCTGAACTGTACCCAGGTGTGTCCACTCTGAAAAGCTGTACTTCTGGGCTAGCACAGAAACAAACAGTAATCAGAAGGGGTTACTAACCTATTTCTCACCTTGGTTCTTCTGAATAAACTCAGAATTTAATCTCACCATCAATATATTGATGCAGATCTCGGCTCACTGCAACCTCCCCCTGCCAGGTTCAAGTGATTCTCCCGCCTTAGCCTCCTGAGTAGCTGGGATTACAGGTGCCTGCCACCATGCCCAGATAATTTTTGTATTTTTAGTAGAGATGGGGTTTCGCCATGTTAGCCAGGCTGGTCTCAAACTCCTAATCTCAGCTGATCCACCTGCCCTGGTCTCCCGCAGTGCTGGGATTACAGGCATGAGCCACCACACCCCGCCTCCAGGAGCTACTCTTTATAGTCTTCTCTCTTCTGTCTTGTTTCTCCTGTGGTTCTGTTTTGAGGCTTTCACACTTTACTCAGGATGTGTACTTATCACAGCTACTTTTGGAAGGATTGCTGCTGATGTAATTTATTACTCTCTTTACCTCGATTTTTAATAAAGAAAGCACTTTGAAAATGTTTTTCTTTTACTCTAACTATATTCTCAGGAGTTTATTACTACTTGCTCCAAATCTGGGTTGTTTCCCTTTTGTTCACTTTGGACTTTTGTCTAAAGACCTCTGTTAGTAGATGAATATTGCCTTTGAACAAATAAAAATATTTGAACACAGTTTTACATTGATCTATTTTAATGAACCAAAGCAAGTTTTGCATGAGTGTGCAGTAATAGATTTCCAATGAGACTTTTAAAGTCAGTTTTAAAATCTGCACTTTTGAAGATTAATTTCTTGTGCCATGCCAATGAAACACTGTCCCATTGCCAACTCCACAATGATGTTTAGCTTTACTGAACTTCCTCCTGTGAAACTGATCTTCAAGCCAAGTTAAACTTGTTTCCTTCATAGAAATAGTTATAGGGACAAATGACTTTAAGCAATAGGATGGATCCAGCCTTCAAGGTGACATGTATTCACCTTAGCTCCAAAGCCAATTAAGTAAACCAAAGGATCCTTTTTTTGAACTATCCTAAGCCATTCCAAAATTATTTGTTTTATCTCATGGAAAATGTTTTGAATCTCAAGTCCCTTAAAACATACTGCAGTTATTAACAAAGTCAAGGAGTTAAAAGGCAGTCTGCCTGCAGAATCTGCTGAACAATGTGTCAACCTTAGGGATATAGTTAAAAACTGGAATGGATCTGGCCAGTCCCTTTGGTCTCACAGAAATTCCTAAACCACACTGTACTTTGAAGCAATTTTCCAGGCACCCCTCTTTGCAAGTTCTGCATTGCTTCAGGGTCCTGACTTCTAAGGTTTATTTTAAGATCTTCTAAAAAGGGATTAGAAATCAGAGGATGAAGGGTGGGAGGACGGAGAGAATACTAGGCTTAATAGCTGGATGGTGAAATAATCTGTACGACAAACCCCCATGACACCTGTGTAATAAACCTGCACATGTACCCATGAACTTCAAATAAAAGTAGAAAAAAAAAAAAGAAATCACAAGTCAGTTGACCACAGAAAATCCCTTCAGCCTAAACTCCACCTGGAATATGAAAATGGGCCCCAATGACAGATAATAATTAAATGGTCCATGGTTGATTATGATAATAAACACATTGGAGAACACTGTTAATTGGGAAAATGTTAACTAAGAAATTGTGGAGATGCATGGTTCTGAGAAGAATCGGGGAATTTTGTTATCCTTTCCCCACACCCTAGGCACAGTATTGTGTTTGGCATTAACTACAGTGGAGCTTTTAATAAAATTGAACAATATTTTGGAACCAACTGAAGGCAACCAGTGAAGGCAACAAGCCTATCCTCAAATCTCTAATTTTAGATACTGTGTGACTCTGGTGGCTGTCTTTAGAATGTTTGTGGAATGTGCGGCTATTTAGTGCCTATTGTTCTCAAGTGGTAGCTTTAGAGGGCTCCAAACACAAGAGGACAAATCCCATTCAACAATATTATAAAGTTTACTTTAATAAAATTTCTGATTTATAATAAAAATACACTCCTAATTTATCTCATTTCATAAGCCGTTAATTTTTTTTAAAGGGTGACTAGGCAACAAATACATTTTAAAATAAAATGCTGTGTGATGTTTGGATTGGGGTACAAAGCTAATAGAAAACAAAGGTTGAAATTTTAAATGTACTAATGCATTAAATGTTTGTGTTAATTAATTTCAGAATCGAATATTTGAAATTCTTGTAGTTTTAAAAAGTAACCAGCTGGTTTATTTTCATACTTCTGTATGTTGTTTTCATACGAATTTCATCATTACTCAGAAATCATTTTTCAGACCTGTTAGTGCTTTTCTGCAAATATATATGATCTTTCTTTCCAATGAATGGAAAATTAATCTGAATATTTATTATAGGTTCTCATTTGATACTGGCTTTTAAAAAGCCATCTTTATGAGCTGTACAATACTTCATATAAATGGAACATGTAAATCTTAATGATCATCTTTATGCAAATTATCAGAATAATTATACTTTTTATGCTCCTCAATAATTATTTGTATTTCAACATCAGTGGTCCTTGTGCTTTCTTCTTTTATGGAGGTAAGACTAGAAGGAAAAAAATAATTCCTAGTGGTGTAATGGTCAAAACCACTAGCGGCCCTCTTCTTGGAAATAAACAAAGATACTCATCACATTCCTCCCACGTACTAACTGCAAGCAATATCACCCTGTAGGCACTCAGGGCTTCTCAGACTGTGTGCATTTAAAGGGAAACATATGGAAAATATTTCGCTTACTTTTCATTCACTCTCTGACTACCCACAATGTGCCAGGCACCTGCATCCAAAGAGGAGAAAATGCCATCTTGCCATGTGCCCAAAAGCAGCAGCTCTAAATCCAGCTGAACAAGAAACTGTGCAAAGGATCCCACCAAGCATGCTTCTGCTCACTGAACATCATTTTCTTCCTAAAAGCAAAATGTGGCCAGGTGCGATGGCTCACGCCTGTAATCCCAGCACTTTGGGGGGCCAAGGTGGGTGGGTCACGAGGTCAGGAGTTTGAGACCAGCCTGGTCAATATGGTGAAACCTCCGTCTCTACTATAAATACAAAAAAAATTAGCCAGGCATGGTGGCACATGCCTGTAGTCCCAGCTACTCCAGAGGCTGAGACAGAAGAATCGCTTGAACACGGGAGATGGAGGTTGCAGTGAGCCGAGATTGTGCCACTGTACTCCAGCCTGGGTGACAGAGCAAGACTCCGTCTCAAAAAAAAGAAAAAAAAAATGCATTAACTCCTCCCCAAAAGACACTAACTCAATGTCTCATCCAGTCATGACTCCAGGATTCTGGGCAATGCAAGGTTGTCCCTACAGCCAGTCCAGATGTGACTCTTTATGAGCTAGAAACCTATGACCCAATGCACACTTGTGAAATGAGATGGGATAGACAGTTTCAGAGCCTCCTTGCTATGTGGAATGAGGTATTTGATTATTTGTACCTAATTATAGGTACCTAATTATTTGTACCTAATTATAGGCACCTAATTATTTGATTAGGTAGTAATTTTGCACTCTGGGAGGGGGCCACCAGTCCATTGTTATCTGAAGTGATGTCATTTTCTGGGAGTTTTCCAATTTTCTATCGTCTGCCTTAACTCGACCTCTGAAGCGAGCATGGGAGCATACACTTTCTTTAGGAGCTAAGAAACTTCTTCAGATGCTTTCTGCCCTAGAAGCTCAAGGATGATTTATAAGCTCCAAAAGCGATTGACTTTTTTAGAGAAGTTTTGGATTTCTTTGGCAGTTTAACTCTTTAAAACTTTGCAGTTTTGTGATCTATTTGATTTTACTTGGTTCCATGGGCCAGTAGTTACACCCACAGTTTTGATTTTTTTTTTTTCTAGAAGTACTTCTCTTCAATCCTAAGCCTCCTGCTGTTTCTCTCTCAGACCTTATGCCCTCAGGTTTTGGTGGGAGAACCACCCCTTTGCTCTCTTTTCCCTGAACCATTTCTCTATTAAGCAAGCATATTGGGCTTCACCTTTGAGCAGACCTTGACTCTGAGATGCTTTCAACCATTCACAGGCTTTAAGAAAGGGCATGTAGCTCAAAGGCTTATCATTTTTATTTTATTGGTATTGACTTGGAGTTGCGAAGCAGTTGCCTTTTTCAACCTCGAAAAGCTCCAAGTTTTAAATACACTCTATCTCCTTTTGATCCTGTGTGCAAACTGAGCAATTCTTTTTCTTAATACCCTGCCAAATACAGCCTATGGCAACTAACATATGCTGATAAGTTTGTTAATATTCTATCTTCCAACTCCTTTTCCTAGGGTGGATATTTTCTAATCCATTCACCAAGTTACTACAGGTGACGTTTTAACCAAATATTTCCCTGCTGCATAACATGGATCAGCCTCTATCCAACGCCCAGTTCATTTCCTTTCCCTTGCTGACTGAGCACCAAGACAGTGACACATAGCATCACCCTTCTCAGCTGACTTCTATTCTTTATTTCTTTTATTTTTTTTTAAATTAGACAGGAAATGTTAGGCACGCACCTGTAACAAACAATCCCAAAATTTCAGTGTCTTAACCCAACCAATTTTTTTTTTCTCAATTACACAGTGAGTCTGCAGAATGGCTCTGTTAATCATCGACATCACATATTCAGACTGATGCAGGCACCATGTTGCCATTTGCTATTATATTGGCCTATTTATGGTGTTTTCCACATAGTGGGACTCAAAAACATGTTCATTGAATGGAATGGATGATGTGAGATGAAGGAATGGAATGAGTTAGATGACAGATGTCAAAAATGACCCCAAGGTTTGTTACATGGATTGAATAAGAAATAACTATCTGCTGACAACCCTGGGTCACCTTTGGCAAAAGTTGCCTGCAGGCTGCCATCAGCAGGGATTCACAAGCTGTGTACTCAGCATGAGACCAACTCAAGGGAGCTTTCCTCTGCAGCAATGAGGAAATAGCTTCGTTTTAAGGAAATAAGTCTGCCTATCTGCAGGCTCCACCTCTGTCAGTAGGAGCCACCAGGGACACTGTGCTCCCAGAAGGACCCCCCCTCCCCGCCATCCCAACCTCCCTTTAGTTCTCATAATTTTCCATAGAGCATCAGCATGGGGCTGTCAGAATTAATCTCAACGTGCCCTTTATCTCTGTCCATGTCAGCTACATGCTCTTTCTCCTGCCTCTTTCATCTCTAGAATCTCATATCTTGGGCTTTATGATGGTCTTTCCAACTCCTTCTCATGCCCCTGCACACATCCTGATATTCTTTTTATGCTACTAGAAGTCATCATCAACCAAAATTCTTGATGTCACTTCCCTCAGCAGCTATTGTGCCAGATATTTCTCTTCTTGACCTAAAAAAAATTACAAAATAAATAACTTCTAGATTGAGTTGTCTATTATTTAACTGTCTGCACTGACTCCAACTTCTGTTTCTCTTCTCTCCTGCTTTCTCTTGCACCTATTCAAGCTGTCTTTTGTCTTCCAACAAAGACAATAAGGGAAGCCTAACAAAAACTTTCCTTATTAAGGGAGCTAATGCTACCTTAAGAAAAAGGTAACAAAAACTTTCTAACAAAACTTTCCTTATTAAGGTAGCTATGCTCTCCAGGTTGGAAAAATCTTACAATCAATTTTTGGACTTCATTTGACTTGAGCTTTGCTAGCATGAAAAAGTCAGCTACTCTCTCCTCCTTGAAATATTTTTTGTTCTTGGCTTTCAGCATATTGCACATTTTTCTGGTTTCTTCTTCCTTAAATGTCTGTTATGTCTTAGTTGCCTTCCCTGTTTGTTTCCCAAATATCGAACTGTGGGAGTATCTCAGGTCTTAGCCCTTAAATGTCTTCTTTTTTTCTACCTACTCAGACTTCTTGGTGATCTCATTTAGTTCCGTGACTTTAAAAGGAATCAATATACTGTTGACTCCCACATTTATAAGTCCGATCTGAATTTCTCTCCTGAATACCAAGCTCATATAGTGAACTGCCTATTCATCCATCCACTTCAATAACTAATAAGAATCTGAGAATTATTTCTAAAACTGAACTCTTGTTATTTTCCTCTAAATCTGCTTTTCTCATAGTCTTCATCATCTCACTACATGATAAATCCATTTTTCCAGTTGTAAAGGCTCAAACTTTTGTATTCATCTTTAATTTCTCTTTCCCTCATACTCTGCTTGCAAATCTTGTAGGCTTTCCTGAATATATCCTAAATGTGAATGATTCTCATCGCCACCATTCCCCACTCCACTGCTATATTGATCCTAGTTACCATTCCTCTTCTCCTGTTATCCATTTCCACTGCTTCTCCTCAACCCTTTTTACTGCTTTTTTAGTGGCAACTTTATTTTTGTATTTTACTCAATGCCTCTTAATACGTGTTCATTTGATGCTATTCTACCTTACATACCTTGTACTTTAAAAAAACCTAGGAATGTCTTTTGTCACTTCTTTCATGCTATTCTTTTCATTTTTCCTATAGTTTTTGTTCATTTCCATTCTTAGTTTATGAATTTTTGATTCAAGTTTATATTTTACACCCTCAATGATTGAGCACATTCAACTATTTTTGGAGTGTACTCATAGTTTTCTTCTGCTTCATGTTACTTTTGGGGATTGAGGTGTGGTAGGAGTTTATTTTCCTTAATTTATTTGAATTTGTGTGAATTTTCTTGTCTTGAATTTCTGCAGTAGTTCTCTATGGACTTTTGTTTTCTTTGCTGATTTTTGTGATATCGGGATGATGTATAAGAGTCCTAGTTTGTTGTTTGGCTGGATTTGATCATTCCGCAATGTATGTGACTCAAAGCATCATGTTGTACATGATAAATATATAAAATTTATATCTCAATCTTTACAAAATTACATATTTGAACAAAAAAGGTTAAAACACAGCATCTGACTACTCAATAGTTAACAGAGTTTGTAATTAAAAGTACTTTGTCAATGAAAAAGTCCTAGTTTAATATTGCCCTTTTTCTGTCATTTTAATAAGGCCCAGGAAGTATGGTAGGGTTTTGTTTGCTTGCCTTTTGTGATAGGGATGGTCAGTTCCCTGATACTGTGGCAACATGTTACTTACAGGACCCTAATCTTCTACTTTTTCTTCTTTTCCCTCTACCACCCAATTGCTAAAGGGTGTTTCTTCCTCTCTCTTTGCTTTTATTCTTTTCCCTTCAACTTTTATTTTAGGTTCAGGGGAGTGCATGTGCAGGGTTGTTACATGGGTAAATTGCAGATTATTTTGTCACCCAGAAAATGAGCAAAGTACCCGACAGGTAATTTTTTGATCCTCTCCCTCCTCCCACTCTCCACCCTCAAGTAGGCCCTGGCGTCTCTTGTTCCCTCTTCAGTGTCCATGTGTACTTCGTGTTTAGCTCCCACCTAAAAGTGAGAACATGCAATATTTGGTTCTCTGTTTCTGCATTAATTCTAGTAGGATACTAGCCTCCAGCTGCATCCATGCTGCTACAAAGGACATCATTTTGTTCTTTTTTATGGCTGCGCAGTATTTCATGATGTAAGCTATACAACTGGAAGACTTGCTCCTCTAAACCCAATGTGTTTTTTAAATCACATGCTTGGCCTTTTATATGACACCTGTCCTTTATACCAGATGTCCTTCGAAATCTCTTCCTTCGAACATTTTCAGTACTTTCAGGTTACTGGTGGATCTAATCTTTCTGGTGGTTGCTCCAACTCTCCCTCGGACCCCTTCCCGCACCCCCCCGCCGACCCTCCTGGCTCTTGTTCTTGGTTGGCTTTTGGCAGATCAGCATTCTCTGCCTTGAGATTTTCTTTTCCACTTCATGTTAATAATCCGGAAATTCCTATTTAATTTATTAAGCTTCAAGTAGATTTAATCACACCATATTCCTTATATATATTTCTCATTGCTTTCATACATCACATCCCATTAATTAGCGTGCTTGGAAGCTTTCCTATTAGAAAGGAATAAAATATTTGGCCTTTATATTTGTTTTGGTGTTTTATTACTGACATAACAAATTGCCACACACAGTAGCAGAAAGCACCACAAATTTATTATCTTATAGTTCCGAAGGACAAAAGTCCAACACTGGTCCTCCTCGGAAGAAAATCAAGCTGTTATCAATTTGATTTTTTTGAACATATTTATTTATTTATTTATTTATTGTTATCAATTTGATTTTCCTTCCTTTCAGGAGGCTCTGGAATAAATACACTTTCAGATTTGTTGGTGTCGTTTGGCCAAATTCAGTTCCATGTTCAATGGGGACTAACGTCAAAATGTTTTTGTAACAGATTTGGTACAGAGAAACAGTTTTAGAGCTCTGTATGATTTCAGACTTCCAGTTTAGATACCCATATCGTTGGCTATGTTTTCATATTCCTGCACACAGCTCTTCCTGTCTCTTTCTCTCTCAACTGCCAACCACCTCAGAAGAGTTGCACAGAAAGCAATTGCTTTTGGGGTCTTAGGAAAGTATGACTAAGATAAAGGGTCTTGATAGCACCTCTTCCTCAAAAAGTTGTCTGCTTGATTATTGTATTCTTGAGAAACCTAAAAAACTTGTGCATCAATTTTTTTTTTTTTTTTTTGAGTCAGAGTCTCACTCTGTCACCAGGCTGGAGTACAGTGGCATGATCTTGGCTCACTGCAACCTCTGCCTCCCAGGTTCAAGTGATTCTCCTGCCTCAGCCTCCCAAGTAGCTGGGATTACAGGCACAAGCCACCATGCCCAGCTAATTTTTGTGTTTTTAGTAGAGACAGGGTTTCACCCTGTTGGCTAGGATGGTCTCAATCTCTTGACCTCGTGATCCTCCCACCCCGGCCTCCCAAAGTGCTGTGATTGTGGGCATGAGCCACCGTGCCTGGCCTGTGCATCACATTTTCTATTGGCATCTATTAAGAATTCTCCCCCAATGCTGGCTTTCCATCACAGAAATGCATTCATTCTCAAGGTGAGCTTCCAAGTTGTCGGAAAGGATCCTTTTTAAGCTTGTAATTTTTAAAAAATATCCAATTCCCATCTTTGCCTCCCTCCCCCAACACACACACACACGCACACACGCGCACACATACACACACACTACACCATTCTTTTCAGATCATTTACTGGTGTCCATTTCTGTTCTTTCTTGTTTTCTCTGGATTGTTTTAAGCTCTTGTGTCATTCACTAACCTCCGTATTAAAGAATTTTACAATGAATTATTGTCAGGCAAAAAAGCAGCACATTTGATTGTTCTATCAATTGCAGCTATTTGTCATTTGTTACTTTGGAAAATAGGTAGGGGCAATTTTCTCTTTGGCCATGTTTGAAAGCCTAATCTCACTCCTTCAATTCATAAAAGAAGTAGCAGAATAAGGTTTTCTCTATTGAGTCCAGAAAGTTGATGTATCAACCTGCTGTTAAATCAAGGAAAACAAGTCATGATTATCTGCATCAAAGATGCATTTAGGTGGTAACACATTTCCTTGGCTCTAAGTTGACTTTTTCTAAGATTCCACTGTCATATCTATATAGAAAATAAAAATTTAATCAAGTGCTGATCACAAATAAAATTAGAAGAGTTTATGCAAAACCTTCAGGTTGCATAAATATTCCTAATGAGGTTGAAAGAAAAAATAGCCAATAAAATAAGAAACCTTTTTTGAATAGATGATATTTTATCATTACCTAAGTTCAGTAGGGAACCATGTCAGGTAGTGCTCTGTTTCTTTTTCTAAAGATCTATTTTATCTAGCTAAGCAAGACTTATAAACTCTACTTAAATTGAGACAATAGAGACCTCAAAATATCCTCCAAGAGACTACTCACCAAATTATTTGCATTTGGCTTTAGAATTTGTTTTGAATTTCTGGGAATAAACTGCAAATGATATAGACCTAATTGTTCCATATTTATGTATTCATTTCCATATCCAGGTGCAGTTCTAGGGTAAAGGGTGACTAGATCAAGTAAGTTTCCTGCACTCCAATTTCTTAAAGTTGACTGGGAAAGGCAGAACAATCGCTCATTGATACTTAGGGGCGTCTACGGCCATACCACCCTGAATGAACCAATCTCATCTGATATTTAGGGGCTATGATAAAATTCTCTACACTGTTATGGAAATGTAGAGGAAAGGTGTCACATCTAAACATGGGTCTGAAGAGCTAAACTAAGAAGGCCATATTTGAACCACATTTTAAAGGACTATTAGGTATCAGTGAACTTTGTGGAAGGGAGGAAATGAGGGGAACTCCACAGAAAGGAAATAAATGCACTTCCTACTTAGAAAACTAATCGTACCCCCATCTCTACACTGGTCAACTCTACAAATCTGACTTCAACAGAAAAAGCTTGTTCCTGTAGGCTAACCAGAGATCCATGCTTTTGATCTTTGCTGAAACAAGCATTTAGGTGGTTTTGTTTGTTAGTTTGTTTGTTTGTTTTGTTTTGTTTTGATGGAGTTTTGCTCTTGTTGCCCAGGCTGGAGTGCAATGGCGCGATCTCAGCTCACCGCAAGCTCCGCCTCCTGTGTTCAAGGGATTCTCCTGTCTCAGACTCCCGAGTAGCTGGGATTACAGGCGCGCAGCACCGCGCCCGGCTAATTTTGTATTTTTAGTAGATTCGGGGTTTCGCCATGTTGGCCGGGCTGGTCTCAAACTCCTGATCTCAAGTGATCCGCCCACCTCAGCCTGCCAAAGTGCTGGGATTACAGGCGTGAGCCACTGCGCCCGGCAGTGTTTGTGTTTTAACTGGTTTCTTGTCTTCCCACTATTAAAAAAAAAAAGGGGGGGGTGGGGGCGGTGGGGAAACAAAAGTCCATGAAACATCAGCAAGGCCAGTTAAGTAGAAAGTCACGCCAGTTTTCAAGAATGAAAGCATCATCAAAATGTCTTATATTTTAATAGTTCTATAAATTTTAAATGACAATAAGGGAGAGTTTTATATTCTCTAAGCAATAGCCTGTAAGGGAAACATTTTTCTTCACTTCACAGCAAAGCATGTATTTAAGACGTTAATAAATATGAAAACAACCTTTATCATCAAATCATAGCAAATCTGCACAGAACATAAGAATTAGATAGAATTAAGAATTTCTGCTTATGCTGAAGACAAAACAGGATTATTTTGTCTACATTTTCCAAAGATTATTAATAAAAGCTAACTCCAGTGGGAACTAGATACAATGATTTATTATTTTCACACAAAAAAGTCTTACTTGCATCTTCTAATAAAATAACATGAAACTGATGCAGTGCTGTTTTTAATTCTGCTACATAATTTTGGGCTGATAGCATATTTTCTGTGTGTATATATATATATATGATGAAAACTTTTTCACTCTGTTTTCAAATGTAGCTCATTTTGGATCATTTAACTTTAATGTCATTATCTTAAGGGCTAAATTTAGTAAAAGCAATAAAGCTTGAATCTAATTACTTAGTCAATAGGCATTTATTAAAGGTCTTCTATTTAAATACCTCTTCTCTGATCCCCTTCAAATCAGAATTAAAAATAGCACTGCATCAGTCCCATGTCACTGTATTGTAAGACACCATACTTTCCCCAGAATTCTGTGGAGAAATGGAAAGACACTGAAACAACACAGGGAGGAGCCACCATCTTTGACTGAATTGGCTTTGGACTCCCATCATTTTCTCTGCAGTCAGTCAACCCATTTGTCACATAATTCACCATTTAATTTAATCTCTAGTCTCCATTTGTCTTATTATTCCCAAATGACTTTCAATTTTCCTTTTGGAAATTACCAAATTTCTTCATTTAACTAATCCTCTATATAATGAAAACATTATTTGTGTTTCTAGTCCAGAGAAAAAGTTATTTACTCAATTAAAAATTTGAACATAGCTGCAAGCTATCTGAAAAAGGCATCTTCATGAAAAAGCACTTCATCATGAAGAGAAAAATAAAAAACTTTATAGAACCCTTTAATGTCTTTATTCTCCCATAATGAAATTTAATTATTTACACATTATGTGTAGACTAAAAAGTTTGAAAGATAAAGCAAATTACAAAGGCACTCGGTCTATGGGAAAATAAACATTTTAAAATGCAGTGGGTGGGTTCAGATTATTGCATTTGTATTGAATCTCTGTTCTGTAAAAAAATATAAAAATGAAAGGTGAAAGATAATTTAGAGAAAAACACCAATTAAATAGTGATAGAAAAAAATTAACATGCAATGAAAGATTAAAAGACTTCAATACATAGAGCTTGCCTAAGAAAGAAGAATTAAAAAGCATAGTTGTAATATTTGAAAGGTGGTGACTGTCAAAAACAGATTTATAAAACCAAAGCTTTGTCTAAAAGTCAAAGAAATTCAGCTTATGTGCAGCAAAACTGTTAGCTCCAAGTATACAGACTACAAAGGTTAATACTTTTGAGGTGAAGTTTTAGGACTGATCTTATTGAGCCAAATACTAGAAAATCATGAAAAGAATGAACTGATACTGTTTCTCACATTTTTCTACATGAACTCAGAGCTATCTCCAGCTGTTACAGGATGTCACTCTTGCTACCCTGCAAATGTCTTTCCCTCTCCACCCCAGGCATCTCCCTCACTCCTCCCAGACTCCTCCAACACACACTCATACACTCACAAAATATGACTACAAATGCACACTCACACACACTCATCAAAACTGCTGTGTGCACACACACCCACACATTACACATACAGTGCTATGCACACTCACACCCACATACTCACACACACTGATATACACGCACGCTCACTAACACACACATCATCATTTTCTCTCTGCTTGCCCTGATACTTTCACTCTGCTGAGCCTTTGGCATAGCTCCTCAGTTTCTGCCTAGCTAGGCTAACAGCCTTCCAGAGCACCATATACTAAACCCACCTGCCCATCCCACTAGACTCTATGATTATTGAGAGCAGAAATGGTGTGTTTTTCATATAACCTCCTAGCACAGTGCCTGGCATATGGAGAGTTCACAATAAATATTTGTTAAAGGAATGAGTCCTGAATTGTAAGAATCTCTCTTCCTCTCTCTCTCTCTTTGAAATAGTTTACAGTTCAGTCTTTAGTGTGACAATATGTACTCTACTTTTATTATTCTTGCTATTCCTATTCTTATATGCTACTACACTACTAAAATGCTGAAGCACTGTCTGCAAGAGACATCTTTATCTGCTGGTAGGAGCCCATGAATACCTCTCATTGCTGTGATGGGAGACTTCTTTGTTCCAGCACTTACAGAAATTCTGCATTTAGTTCTGCTTGAAAGAGTCCACTCCAGTTTCATAGAAGCCTTTTACTGTATGATTGCTTTCTTCGTCTCATTAAACCCTGGGACAAAAGACTTAACACAAAGAAGGAGTGAATTATATATTTCTTAAATGTCTGGGCATGCACCGACTTACTGCTTAAAGAGAATATTGGCACCAAGGTGCTTTGACATATTTAACGTTCTGATTTTTACTCCCAAATAGCACATTAGATATTTTCATCCTTATCTGTAGAGAACTGGAAATACTATTACAAAGAATAATGCAAAAAAGATTTTAATTGCGTGTGACTTTACATTATTTTTACATCGTGGAGTCTTCTGAAAATTTTAAAACATTAAAAATTTAAAAGAAAAACATACCTAATGTTAAATGACGAATTAATGGGTGCAGCACACCAATATGGCACATGTATACATATGTAACAAACCTGCACGTTGTGCACATGTACCCTAAAACTTAAAGTATAATAATAAAAAAAAGAAAAAAAGAAAAACAATAATCATAGTGTCTCCCTTGACAGAAATTTCAAACATTTCTTGATACATAGCATGTAAATTGGTTTAACCTATAATATTTTGGTTGACTGTTAGAAAATATTTTAAATCTTGTATACATTTTATAAATACTTATATATCTAATAAAAGTACGTTCAATATATGCTTTTGTTGCTCCTATAAATTTTTTCTATGAAGTCTGGCATTTACTTCCTAAAAGAAAAAAGTTTTGTTTTTTGTTTTTTGTTTTTTGTTTTTGTTATTTTTAGTAGCCTCCACAAATGGTGCATTTATTATATTGGTAGCCTTGTGGTTGGAAAGGATTATTTTCTGGGTTCCTAAGGAAATGCCTGAGCAGCTAATCCCAGGCCTCTGACTCCACTCAAGTGAGGGAACCAGGCCCTCTTGAAAATCTTCCTGATCCTTGACATAGTTTGATAGTATGCCTTACATCAGTGAGGGGATGGTCCCTGACACATGCAAACTGTACTTTCGTAAATAAAAGTGCTTCTCATGATAGGAACATTGGAACTATTATTTTTATTAGAACAGGATCCCATGGGGAACTGCATGTTCTTTCTTTTGTTATTTTTAAAAGTATGTCATGGTCTTGAGAAAAGTAAAAATAAATGATAAATTTGTCTTCACATCTCATTGATGAAACTTATTTTTGCTGCAGCATGACTAAGCTCAGAAAGAAAACATTACCCAAATTTGATGGTGTTGACCATCAAGGAGAGCCCAGTGTTGGTATTTAGATCCCAAAAGTCAAGAAAACCTGTCACAGATAACTTTTCATGGGGCATTTAAAATGCCAAGACAAAGGGTGAGGTGTCATCCACAGAGAGCAACAAGAGATTTACAGAGAATCCATATTACACTATTCTAGTACAGATTTATGCTGTATGGAAAAGTCAGAAACTTCTCTGGGCAGACGTCAATGGAAAGTTCTTATCCAATTTCTGTACAGTGATATTGGAGCTTGGCCTAAAATATTAAACCTGAGACCCCTTTTCAAATTTCTGCATAGTAAAATAGCTGGAAGACTTGGTTGATTTCCAATTCTGTTTTGATGCTGACCAATGATTTGAGGCACAGATATGATCCTAACCCTTGGCTACCTCACTCGCACAGGGCTTACACCAAAGTCAAATTCACTTATGTTTATGAAAGCCTGTGAAAACTTTAGATATGACAGGATTTTGTGTTGATGTAACACATTCTAATGTTTTAAGCAAGAGGAAAATGTGATTATAAAGAAATTGGGAGGTAATCATAGAAAAAAAAAGCAATGATCTAATCAACGTCTTAGGTAATTGGAATTTTCCAAAGAGAAGAGATACTTTTAAATTCTACCCCAATTTTTTTAAAAAATAAGAATAGCCTAATTTGTATTGTTTACAAAGAAAAATGATCACATTCTAGAGCTGATTTATGATCCATTACAATTCAGAATGACTTGGGGATCAGGTCTTCAACTCATACAAATCTAAGTCACTTTCAGGAAAACATTCATTTGTTTAATCTAACCTGACATTTTTTCAACTATTACACTTATATATTTATTTTCTATTTTATATTTACTTAATTTACATTGACATAAAATTAAATGTATTTATTATGCAAAGCATGTTTTGAAGTATATATATGTGTCTATATATATATTATATATGTGTGTGTATATATATATATATGTATATAAAATGTAAAGCATGATGGCTAATTTATTATTTTAAGTAAATTTTCCTCCCCAAGTAAAATCAATCTAAACTATGCTATATAAGAAACAAATATTCTCAGACTATTATTTGTAAATAAGGTAAAGTACTACAAATAAGATAAACCACTTAAAAATATAATGTCAAAGAGTAGGAAATAATTTTTGGGACTTATTTTCACTTCCTAAATACAGTTTTTTGTTGTTTTTTTAAAGGCAGGTTCTTAACTCTTGCCAGTTACCTGGGAAAACAGTTAAGGAAATATTCTTCTTCCATCATTCCTAGGGAGCATTGCTTGACTGGTGATGTTGTGGTTACTTTCAGAGCTGGAGGCCGAGGAGTGGTGCAAGCACCTCTGCATGGAGTGTCTGGGGACCAGGCTCAATGATATCAGCCTTGGGGAGCCCGACCTTCTGGCCGCAGGAGTGCAGCGGGAACAGAATGGTAGGTGTGAGATTGCCTTCCATCACTTCAGAATACCCTTGTAATTGTAGAACTTTGAAACTGGAAAGGATCTCAGAAATGTTTCAGACCAATCATATTTTTTAAATCAAAAAGGCCGAGTGCAGTGGCGCAAACCTGTAATCCCTGCATTTTGGGAGCCCGAGGGTGACCCATCCCTTGAGGCTAGGAGTTCGAGACCAGCCTGGGCAACATGGTAAAACCTCATCTCTACTAAAAATACAAAAATTAGCTGGGTGTGGTGGCCCGCACCTGTAGTCCCAGCTTCTTGGGAGGCTGGAGCATGAGAATTGCTTGAACCTGGGAGGCAGAGGTTGCAATGAGCCAAGATCACGCCACTGCACTCCAGCCTGGACAACAGAGTAAGACCCTGTCTCAGAAACATATATATAAAATAAACTGAACAGTTCAAGTTATTAAGGGACTTTCCCACAATGGTGTAACAACTGGAGAAAATGCTAAGGTACAACCCGGGTCTCCTGGCTTCTTGTCTGTGGCATTGCCTTTTATCCTAATAACTAATAGGTTAACTTGTTCTTCAGAAGGCTTTTGAATGGCTAGCATCCCTCCAGTTTCTTCTTGGAGACTTATTATAGATTTAGAGTCTATATTAACAGATTTGGCTTATCAGGTTATCGGTAGCTTTTAGGACATTTGGCTAATATTACAAGGAAGAAAGTAATGAGTAAAATCTCAGGGTTTCACAAAACTGAGGTTTTTGTTTCTAATGGTGTTGACTTACTACACTGTTCTCTAGTTTAACAAGCATTTCTAATGTCTCATAACAATTTATGCTGCATGTTCTTGACTAGCAACTCTAAATAACAGAATTGGAGTAATATTATTCAGCCTGTCAATATTCATTGATTGTGAGCTCATTTATAAAAATATGATCACCACCACCAGATGATTGAATAGTGTGAAAATAGAAACTTTTTAGTGTTGCTAAGTTTTGATGATCGGTGTTTTGAAAGGTTGAAGGATATTGAGGAAACTTGACATTATTTATTAAGAAGAAATTCTGGGCCAGGCGTGGTGGCTCACACCTGTAATCCCAGCACTTTAGGAGGCAGTGGTGGGTGGATTGCTTGAGCTCAGAAGTTCAAGACCAGCTTGCACAACATAGTGAAACCCTGTCTCTACAAATTACAAAAATTAGCAGGCTGTGGTGGCATGTGCCTATAGTTCCAGCTACTCGGGAGGCTGAGGTGGGAGGCTCGCTTGAGCCTGGGAGGCAGAGGTTACAGTGAGCCAATATTGGGCCACTGTAGTCCAGCCTGGGTGACAGAGTGAGGCCATATCTCAAAAAAAGAAAAAAGAAAGCAATTCTTGAATTATCTGTGGGTCATAAACTAAATAGCATAGGTAAAAGAGCACATGATAGCACATGATGATTATATTCTCATTATTACTAATAACAATACTGTCAACAGCCATTGCTAGCTCATGGCCCATTGTAGCACTATTTTTTATTTGTTGCTAAAATGAAAAAAGTTTTTTTCTGCTCGTGGATCATGAACATATATAATAAGTTCCAAATATTGCTTCCATTTGAGTTTTTAGAAAGTCACAAAAGTATTTCTGTAGCTCTTTATCTAGCTTCTGGTTTATATTCCAGTTCCTCTCCCACACTCTCTCAAATTTCATCTCTGATTTGTTTTCTGAGAGCAGTGCTAAGCAGAGTCCATAATCATGCTGTTTAAAATGTATGCTCTCCATTCACAGTTTAAGAAAAGGAAACACCTCTTACTGATAAAAATTTGTCAAGTACTACATAAAGCAAATATGAAAAAGTGAATAAATTAAGCTTGTAAATAGAAATACTGTGCCTCTTGTAGCATGGACTGTATGCTTTTTACTTTGAAGATTTGGAGATATATATGGTTTCCATCCAAATGTATAATGTACTTCTTTGGTTTATCATAATTTTATTTCTAATTTGATAATAAGGTCAAAGTAATTTGTCTAGAATATAAAGAGAAATTTTTAATATAGGTTTATTTTAGAATAGGACAAACAGAATAAAGTGCCAAAGCTACATAAAAAGCAGAAGGTGACTTTAAAACACATACACACACACACACAACACACATACACACACAAGTCAAAATAAAGAAAGAAAAAATAATTCCTGTGTATACTTTACAGTGGACCTAAAATTATATCACCAGTGCTATAAATGCTTTTCTTAGATTAATTATGTTTAATAATCCTAACTTCAAACAAAAGGATATATGTGCTTTAAAAATATAGTTAACAAATCTATGAGTAATTTAGCTGGAAAAGGTAATACTGGGTTTATTTAAATGGCCCACAAAGATACATGATATCCTATAAGGAAATTTGCAACTTTAGTACACATGCTGGGAGACAGACACGTACTCACTAAGACTCTTCAATGTTTAGCATTAAAAGAAAATTCCTGGATGGGGAGGATTTCCTGTCCCTGGGAATCTCCCTCCCCTTAAAGGAAGTTCCTTATTTGACTGCCAAGGCCACGGATACAGCCATTGCTCAGGGTTCGTCAAGTCTGCACCCCCCTCTTTAAAGAACTTCCATAACTTTTGATGATATCCCTTTTCTGTGTTCCTCTTGGCCCATTCAGAGCCAGCTAGAACTTTTTAAAATTTGCATCAACACGTTAGGAGAATAATAAAAGGAATAAACATTGAGGCAATATCAAGATTTCAGACTCTATTCTTGCTAGCTCAATAATCTAGTGTGTATACACAGAGACAACTATACACACACAGAGATTGGCACAATTTCTTAGGTGTATACCCCAGTGTTCTCACTTTCTATTCAACAGGCTTCCCCCATACTTATGATAATTCCAATTTAGAATGCTCTCTCAAACAATTACCAGTAGGCTATAAAACCTCATGGTAAAGACTAAGATATCTCATCCGTCAACTTGGACCCTCCCACCCAGTCCTTGGAGTAGGTAGCTATTTCTTAGACAATATACTCACTTATTTTACTTAAATGTGTAGGGAAAGCATTTTAGCTAACTGAAGTCTTTAAAAATAAAATTGACTTTTAAAGCTGTCATTTCACTGACTCTCAATCACTCTTCCAGACTCTTCAAGCATAACACCTTTTAAAATAAAATCATTAACTTACTAATACATGGTTGAAGTCACTAATATATATAGATTGAATAATCTTTTATCAAAGAATTAGCACGATAGATTGTTTATTAAGACATTTTAGTATTAAATTATATAGCTGAATCTTCATCAGGAACATGATTTTATTATTTTGCCAATAATGTGCTTGGATAGTTTGAACTTTTTCTACTAAGAGATATGTGTGCAGAATTACTGTAATTAACTACATTAACATGGTTTGTGGTGATCTTGTAGTATTCTATCAGTATCAAGTCACACCGCTTAGTCTTTACCACAGCAATTTTTTGACATTCAAAAATGCTACTTCTCTTCTTGTGTTTTCCTGCCTCTTCAGACAGCCTGAGACTAGCTAAGAAGAGACATTTATACAAATAATTTTTAAAGGTGAAAGATAATGTGTGTTGCTGAGATAAAAGTGGTTATTGATTAAATCCTTTGCTGTAATCATCTTTATCTACTGCTGTCAGCTTGTTTTCATATCGACCCAGAATCCCACATGGTATGGGGAAAGTTACATGAACACAAGTTCACATGCACATGTGCATAAACAGACACACACACACACACAGAGGAAAATGTGTTCTGATTTCAGATGACACTGCCACAGGAAAGTGCATACTTGGTAGACATTTCAAAGTTTAAATTCTTAAAATTTCCAGGATCTCCAGGTCTTTCAGTAGTATTTAAGATAGCCTATACTGACCATAAAAAATATTAATATATGGCATTACAGTTATTTATAAAGGATTCACAACACATAATAGCAATTGTGGAAAACAAATGTTGCTTATTCATCATGAATAGCAAAAGTGAACGTCGTAACCAAGAAGCAATTCACTTGTAGGAAATTCCTGCAAATGCAGTTGGAAATGGACACAAAGGATAGGTCCAATTTGCTACTGATGCAAGAGATCTCCATCTGGAACAAAAATAATGGAACCTCAGACTGCCATCTGGTTTATTCAGAGTCAGACTGAAGGGTTTGCCTTTCTCTGGGACCCAGTGTCTCTGCTCATGAGTGGGCTACATACATTTCTTCTTTTAGCCTAAAGATCTGTATAACTTGTCTCAGAACCAAAGCAATATGCTAGTGTTGTTTCTAAATTATTACCTGGTTGCTATGGTAAACATGCTTCCTACATTCAACTCAGACACCCTTGAATGTCATTCATTCATTCTGGACTCAAACATTGTGAGGACCTATGATATGTAAGAACTAAACAAGAAATGTAAAATTGAACAAAATGCTTAGAAGCTCACAAAGTAGTAAAGGAGACAAACATAAACAAAGTGCATCAATTCATGTTTTGTAAAATAATGTTGTGTTACCAGTCAACAAAAATCTCAGTAGTACAGACCTATAAGCAGATCTTCGTTGTTCAGGCACAGGTAAAAAGGCTAAAGTTGGGCTGAGTTAGACTGGGTTGTGCTGAGACTGGCTCCAAGCTGCAGACAATGCCAGTGTCTATTTCATCTGTCTCTCAACCTCCTTACACTTGCAACTTCCCAAAGCACACTTCTCAAACAAAAGATAACAGTAATGCATGATAGTATGCCCAGATTTGCAACACAATTTGAGCCTTTGAATATTTCATGTCCACTAACATTCCATTGGCCAAGGCAAGTCCTATTGCCAAGCCCAAAGTCCAGAAGCACAGTACACCCCATCTATGAGGCCACAATAGCAGTTAGAATGTATGACATACGGAAAGGAAGTGAAAAGCTGATATAAAAAATGATACAATCTACCATCTCAGGTATAATAAAAAATATGCCAAAATAAAAACAAAAGGAAAGTACTGTGGTAGAGGTGAGATTAATTCTAATCAAAGTAGCTTACACTTTCCTTTTTATAATTATTTCTTATTCCTCTAAATTAGCTTTCTCAATCAGGCAAGTCTGAAACTCTTGATGTCCATCAATGATTAAAGCCAATATTAGCAGCACCTTACTCATGTGGAAAATAACCAGTTAATGACAAAACAACGGCCACAGTAACAATAGGCCTCTCTCTGTTTTGAGGATTTTCCCCCAATATCTTACTAAGGATCTGGGGTAAACCATATTCACTTATATACATATTCTTTATAACCAAACAAAAGAGTTTTCCAGGGCAATAATTTTATCTATGGGATGACCCTGAACAAAACCAACTTTTGCATCAGGAAAAAAAAAAAAACAAGCACACTCACATCTGAGTTTCTAAAACGCCATTCATATGCTCTAGTCTTGCCCAAAGTGAGTTCCTGGAAATGCTACTCTGACAATAATGACGACCTGCTCTCTGCAGTGAGGGAATCAATCTGTTGAACTTAACACTGTATCACAATTGTGTCCCTTCCAAGAAGATATGTTGAAATCCAAACCCTCCATAACTTAGAATGTGAATTTATTTGGAAATAGTTTCTTTGTAAAGGCAATCAAGTTAAAATGAGGTAATTAGGGTTGGCCATAATCCAATGACATCTAATATGTCACTGTAAAGTGGGAAGGTTTGGACTCAGAGATAGATATGGACAAGTGAAGATGATGTGAAGATGCACAAGAAGATGGCCATGTGGCTGGAGTGATGACACGTCCACAAGCCAAGGAACATCAAGCATTGCCCATTAACACCAGAAGCTAGAAAAAGCAAGAAAGGATTCTTCCGTTGAGCAGCCAGAGAGGGGATGGCCCTGCCAGTACTCTGATTACAAACTTCTAGCCTCCAGAACTATGAGATGATATATTACTGTTATTTTAAGCCAACCAATTGTTGGTACTTTGTTATGATAGCCCTAGGAAACAAATACCAGCCCTGTATGATAGTCACAATATACATTAGTAAAGCTGTTGAGAAGTCCTATAATAATCTGTTTAACTTTGTATAACCCAACATTTCCCAAACTCACGTGACCTAGGTGCCTCCTTCTGCACCTAACATGTATTCATATCCTGTGGGACTTGTGTTCCACGAAACACATATTTACAAATGCTGATATAATCAGCAAAGGTTATTATCTACAGGGAAAGCTGAAAGGCAATGATTATGGAAGCAGCCCCTCTAGAAGAAATAAGATGACACTAATGGATGAAACACAAAGTCTTGAATGGACCGTAGCAATTTTGCCTGCCATTGTGTTGTACCATTTTACTTTTATTATTTGATTTATATAGACACCACCTATAAATTTGAAAAATACAAATTATAACCACCACTTTTCTCACTTGGTCTTCAATACACACTACACCAGAAAAAGGTCAAAGCTATATTTATTTCTCCCTATACTTTGCCACAGATGCTTCAGGAAAGCAAAAGATGTTTTGTAGTGCTTCTCTTCTCACAATGTCAAATCTAAATGATCCATTTGTTCATGTCTAACTGTACTGTTATAAAGGAGATGTATATGTGAAGAAATACCTTGAAGCACCAAAGGACCGATCCTGGTTCTTTTGCCCTGGGAACATGCCCTCTGTACAGTAAGAATAAAGATGCAGATTTTGAAAGTATTCACAGCTATGTAAGGAGAAAAGCTTATGGGGGAGAATACTGAATCCAGAATTACTGCTCCCAGGTATGTGCAACAAGATGAAAAGAGTGGCTTGAAAAGAAGAGTTTTATGGAAAATAAGAAATAGATCCCTTCCTTGCCTTTCCTCTTTTCATGGGAGGTCAAGTGGGTAGTGACACGTGCTTATATCATCCTGTATAAATTGGAGGTTTCTTCAAAAGAAGACTAGAATGTGATTTTCCCTGTTGGGTTTAACGAAAGGCATAGGACAAGTAGCAGACAATGTTATTGGAAGCCAGAGAGATTTAAGAAAGTAAAGAGCCTCAATTTTCTCAAAACTGAGTGTGGCATGGAGAGGGTGCTCAACTTTTCCTTAGTTACAGGCTGGACCCCAGATATTATCTGGAAGCAGAAACTGACATGGCACAGGAAAGCAGGGACAAGGAACTTTATTGGCATACAGGCGCATACAAATGAGATAAGATGACCCCTTTTCCTCTGCCAGCTCCTGTGACTAAATCACTTCTGCCAGCTTTCAATTCAGCCTAGAGGAAAAGGCAAGGGTGCTCAGGGATTGAACTTTGAATAACAACAACAAAAAAATGGGTTAAGTGAGTCCTCATTTGACAGAAAATTAACGCAATTTAACACAAAAAGAAACAATATAATCTTTCTAAATTCAATATATAATATTGGGATTTCATTTTTTGGTATACGTAAGTTTCGATTATCCATTTTTTTTTCCTGCTGTACTAAAACAAAATATTGTATGAAGCTGGAAAGTCAAATACGTAGCCTGTCAGAAAAAAGTTGACAAAGTTAGTATGTCATCAAGTTCTATTCTAGTTTTTACATGCTATGGGGCCTTGGTCAGATTAGTGAAATTCTCTTAATCTCTGCTTCCTACTCTGCACATTGAGGATAATGATAGTCCTTATTTCAGAGGATTGTTGTGAGGACTAAATAAGATATGACTTGGAAAACAGGCAGTACAATGCCTGGCAGGAAAGTCAGTTTCTCTGGGATGTGCGTGAACATCTCCATCACATTCACATTGGGTGCACATTAAACAAGGGAATTCTGGGCTCACCCACACCTACAAAGTAAATATCTGGAGGTGGAGCCTAGACATTTCTATTTTAACAATTCTAGTGATGCTCATATATACATTAAAGCTTGAAATTTGGGGGTAATGTACTGTCAATTATAATTGGCTTAAAAAAAATCTACCATTGATTTTAGGAATTTGCCCATTGCTTGAAAAGTTTCAAAATTACTGGCAAAAATTTCATCAGAGTATCTTTGCGTTATAATTTTAACATCTTTTTGTAGTACGGTGGCAACCTTTGCATTCATTCCTTTTGGTCATGTGTGGCTTCTTTTCTTAGTCGGCATCACTAGACACGTGCCTATGTGTTAAACCTCTTTTCTGTATTTTGTGGGCTGAATTTTGTTTCACGCAAAATGTATATGTTGAAGTCCTAACCCCTGGTACCTCAGAATGTGATAGTACTTGTAGGTAGTACCTTTAAAGAGGTAACTGAGGCAGAGGTGAGCCCTAATCCAATATGACTGGTGTCCTTGTAAGAAGAGGAAATTTGAACACAGGCAGAGACAGAGGGAAAACCATATAAAGATATAGGAAGAAAATGGCCCAGTACAAGCTGAAGAGAGAGGCCTCAGAAAAAAATCAACCCTGCTGGCACGCTGATCTTGGACTTCCAGCCTCCAGAACAGGGAGAAAATAATTATCTTTCTTTAAGCCACCCAGTCTGTGGTACTTTGTTATAACAGCCCTGGCAAACTTTGTATATATATTTTTTAATTTTATTAATATTTGCTCTCATTCACTATTACTAATAATTCAGTTGCTCTACAGTTTTGGGCTTAATTGCTGGTTATTTTTCAAATTTCTTGAGATAGATATTTCAATAACTAATTTGTAACTTTTCACTTTAATATATTCTATAAAGCTCCACATTTTTCTTTGAGCATGGATTAAGACCTTAATAGCAACAATATTATTCCCAAATCCCAGATGCTACTACAATAAATATTAAATCTGAGGGGGGATCTAGGGGAGGAAGAAATGCCCTAAATTTCCCATCTGCTGTAATGGAAACATCAAAATAGTATCTTATAGCTCTGGAAAATAAAGCAATATATCATTTATACCTCAAAGTTCACTGGATGAAGATAATTAAAATATAAAAAAGGAAACAGGAACCACATATAATAAAACAAGATAATATAAGACACTAGCTTTAATAACAAATCTGAATAAATTATTTTTATTTAAACATAGTTTTTCTTAGATTGAGTTAAAATAATCTAATTTCATATCATTCAGTGGTTTCAAATTACACAGTCATACTCAAGGAGAAACAGAAAATCCAAAAAGCCCTATAATCATTTAAAAAAATAATATGTTATTATGCAACTTCCAATACATAAACTTTAGTTCCAAATAGTTGTTAAGTTATATCAGACACTTAAATAAGAAATAATACTAATGCTATGCAAAACTATTCAGAAAAAACAGAGGAGGAAATATCATTTCACAACTCATTTTATGAGGTCACTATAACCCAGATACTTGAAACCAGACCAAGTTTATACAAGTAAAGGAAATTTCAGACAAATATCTTTCATGAATCTAAGCCTAAAATTACTTTTAAAATATTAAGAAATTGAATCCAATATTATACAAAAAAGATAATACACCCTGACCAATGTTGGCGTAGCCCAATAATGCAAAGAATCCCAGAAATCCATCAAAATATTTCCTTATGTTAATCCATGAAGGGTGAAAAATTATGTGATTATTATAATTCATCTGTAAAAAGCATTTGATAAAATTCAAAATTCATTTATGAAATCAACTCTCAAAAACCTAGGAATAGAGGCCAGGCATGACGGTGGCTCACACCTGTGATCTCAGCATTTTGGGAGGCTGAGGCAGGTGCATAATTTTAAGTCAGGAGTTCGAGACCAGCCTGGCCAATATGGTGAAACCCCATCTTTACTAACAACACAAAAATTAGCCAGGTGTGGTGGCGGGCGCCTGAAGTCCCAGCTACTCAGGAGGCTGAGGCAGGAGAATTGCTTGAGCCCAAGAGGCAGAGGTTGCAGCGAGCCACAATCACGCCACTGCACTGCAGCCTGGGTGAAAGCTAGATTCTTTCTCAAACACACACCCACAAAACCTAGGACTAAAATGAGACACTAACAGACTGAAGAACATCATTGGAAAGCCCTCAGTAAACATCATTCTTGAGAGTAAAGTACTCAATGTTTTTCTCCTAAGGTTGGGAAAAAGGCAAAGATATCTTTCTCATTACTTCTAATCAAACTTTTTACTGAAAGTCTTTATGTAATATGACAAGAAAATAAACTAAAATTATAAAAAATGATAAAGAAGTATAATCTAGATTGTGTACTCGGAAAACCCTAAAATTCTACCAGAAAGTAACTATAGCTAACAAGTGAATTCAATGATGTTGCAGGATAACAAGTTGGTATTCAAATTTTTAAATATATACTTCTATTTCATATAATGCAATTAATATTATAAAATTAAATATTAAAATACCTTTTATAAACCCATGAAAAACCATCACATACTGAGGGATAAACTAGCAAAGGATACACCAAGCCCCCACACTGGAAACTAAATGTTTCTGAGAGAAGTTTTAAAAGATCTAGGTAAATGAAATGATAAACCACTTTTATGATTGGAACACTCAATATCATTAAGATATCAGTCTTCAGAGATTGATCTGTAAATCCAACATAATCCCAGTAAACCAGACATGTTTCTTTCTAGAACTTGACAAGTCAATTTTAGATGAATTTAGAAGGCAAAAGACCAACACGAGCCAAATAATCTTGAAAAGGAAAAGCCAAGTTGAAACCGGTGTCTTTCCTAATTATAGCACTTATTATAAGTGATAACAATTAGGACAAAGGCTACAGAGATCCAGGGAACAGAACAGACAGAAGAAATAGACACACACATATGTAGACAAATAGGTTGTTGCTGCTGTTTGAGTCAGAGTCTCGCTCTATTGCCCAGGCTGGAGTGCAGTGGTGCAATCTCGGCTCACTGCAACCTCCGCCTCCTGGGTTCAAGTGATTCTCTTGCCTCAGTCTCCCGAGCAGCTGGGATTGCAGGCACCCCCCATCACACCCGGCTATTTTTGTATTTTTAGTAGAGATGGGGTTTCGCCATGTTGGCCAGGCTGGTCTCGAACTCTTGACCTCAAATGATCCACCCACCTCAACCTCCCAAAGCAAGGACAATACTCCTTTTCATAAGCTTATTAGCCATTTTAATGAGAATAGTAAAACATCTGAAAATAAGTTATTCTAGAATGACTGGATATCTGTGTGAAATGATGAACCTGAACCCCTATGCACACCACAGTTAAACATCAATTTAAGATGGATGCAACTTAGAGATATATAAAGATTTCTTATATAAAACGCTGGAAACACAAACTATAAAAAGAAATGTTGAACTTCATCAAAACTCAAACTATTGCTCATCAAGAAAGTGCCATCAAAAAATTAAAAATAAAAAGGGAAGTGACAGATGGAATCAAGTCATGATGTGCGGGTATCAGTCCACAAGAACCTTGTAGAGAATAAGCAAAACTAACCTAAGAGTGTTAGAAATCAGATCAGTGGTGGTTCTGAGGGCCTGGACAACTGAAAAGTGGTGTAAGATAACTCTCTGTGGGGACAGAAGCATTACATGTCTTGCTGTGCCTTTGTCAAAACTAACAGAACATTATACGTAAGATATGAACATTCCATTATATTTCACAATATAGTTCACTCTTTCAAGAATGAAGGACTTATTACAAAAGTTAAAGAAAATTGTTTTCTAAATAATGTAAACAAAACCAATGAAAATCTGAGATGAAGTATTTGTCATAAACATCTAAAGAAAAGTTTCCAATATACAGAATTCTCACAATCAGGAAAACAAACAGTAGATGTAATTTTTGATAAATCTGGCAAAAGACACTTATAATGACTCGCTCTATATGTATTTTGAATATTTATTGGTAAGGGATTTCTGGAAAGCAATTTGGCAATGTGTGATTCTTATAAGAGTTTATAGTATTTGCTCCAGTGATTCAGATTTTAGTACTCAATGTAAGTTTATAATCAAAGATATTAAAAATTATCTAAAATTTATATAGGAGAATATAGTACAGTAAACTCTATGAACCAATATAAAAGGACTGAATTATTCAGCAAATTGAGCTAAAAATTGGTTATTTTATTGCATCTTAATTTACATTAGATTAAAATTGGCTTACTTTTAATATTCGTTAAACAGATAATTTAAATAAATTATAGCACAGCTATATAGTGTAATATTATGCATTTCTTAAAAATTGTAGCACCTTAAAATATTTAATAGTGTCTGAAAATGCTTGTAAGTGGAATATATAGGTTAAATACTTTCAGTATAATAATTGTGTGTGAATATTTTTGTATATTATGATACAGTATAACAGAAATCTCTAAGGTTTAACAGTTAAATTTTTAATTTTTAAAAATAATTTTCCATATTTGCTGCCATGAACATGCTTTACTTGGAAATGCAGATAAAATCCATGCAATAGTCAATTTTTGTAAAGCAAAAAAGAAATTTCTGGGGAATTTTAAAAAGATACTGTGGAATTTTTTTTTTTTAAGTACTGCTGATTGTTCAAGAAATGTAAGCATTCCAATTCACAGTGATCTTCGACACTGAGCAGATGGCACCTAGCAACTAAATCTATTGCTATTTACACATAATAATAAAATAAATTTTGATGAGTTTTAGTTCTGTGGTGGAGATGGAGTCACAATTTCTGAAGAGTTCTACAAATTTTGACAAGCATAAATCATGTTTTGTTTATTCGTGGTTTAATTGTATTATACAGATCTAAGGATGGGTCTAAATGTGTAAACATCCGCTTTTTCAGTGTGGTTTCAGCTTCTAAAGCTGCTAGAATTGAAGAGTGACCACTGCAATAATCGTCTATTATAGAAATTTTGGAGATAAGATTATAAAGAACAGAATGATCTTGAAATGTCTCATCTTCTGTGTAATATCTGGCTCTATTTAGTTCCTTTAGCATTTCAAGTAACTATTAAGAAAAAAACAAAGCAGACTGTTTAAACAATGGGATGAATCTAGATTCCAAATTCATATGAAACTCAATAATAAATCCCAAGCATTAGTCCAGTTTTTCTAATACCAGATTCTTGAGGACTTACTCATCAACACTTAATATTAGACTAATGTCTCTGGTCTTTTGCCTAAATACCATTTAGTAGTTTTGGATTCTTACTAAAATTTCATGTTTTAATTGGTATGTAAAAAGTGTTAAAGAATATAGAATTGGGCTGGGCATGGTGGCTCACACCTGTAATCCCAGCACTTTGGGAGGCCGAGACAGGAAGATCATCTGAGGCCAGGAGTTCAAGACCAGCCTGTCCAACATGGAGAAACTCACCCTGTCTCTACTAAAAATTCAAACATTAGCTGGGCATAGTGACAGGTGACTGTAATCCCAGCTACTCTGGAGTCTGAGGGAGGAGAATCACTGCCTCAGGAGGCGGAGGTTGCAGTGAGCCAAGATCGTACCATTGCACTCCAGCCCGGGCGACAAGAGCGAAACTCTGTCTCAAAATAAATAAATAAATAAATAAATAAATAAATAAATAAATAAATAAAAATATAGAATTGGACTTTCTTGTTGTCTCTGTATTGTGGCCACAGAGCTGTGGATAGTGGGTGAAAAGAACCAAGAAGTGTTAAGAGAGACATAAAGATAATTCATTGAAAGTCTTTTATAGGAGAAGGGCAGAAAGGAGAGAATATTCACCCCTCTCAAGCCCCATGAAAGAGGAAGGGCAAGAGAACTACTTGTAGAATTTGGGTTGTTTGTCAGGAGGACAGACTGGCTTCTCACCTCACCCATGCTGGTAGAACTGTAGAATCAAGTAGTGCTACCCAAGCTGGTACCTGGGCAGTGTTCAAGAGAGTTTGGGGAAGAACCTGAGTTTGGGGAAGTAGTGGTTTCAGTTTTCACCATGGTGAACCTGAGGTTAGGATGCAAGATGGGTCTGAAGCTGTTTGTGATAGCCAAACAAGGAGAATGGATCAGCAACTGGACAAGATACACTGCCACATTCAGTGGGACAAGTGCACACTTTATAGTTAGCTGAGCTTGATTCATCTTGAAAACACCCACACCAGGACAACTCTTGCCTGTGAGAAGGAGCTCCAGCTGAAAGATGATAAAGGTGGAATGCAGAAAATAGAAGCTAAGGGTAATAGGCTCCATGTCTAATCAAGGCACCTCCCCTTCAGGGAGCAGGGGAGATATCTGAGGTGTTGGGATGGTTTTTCTGAGGTGTTGGGATGGTTCTTAGGAACATACCATATGCCTCAAAGAGAGCGGTAGCATTTGAATACATCTTGTCATTAAGAATTCAAAAGTAAAGAAGAATTTTCAATAGTAACTATTTAGAAGGAATTTACCCCCTTTTCTTTTCATTATTCTTACCCTGGAAAAGTCAAAAGCAAAAGAAAGTGGGGCGGTGGGGAGTCACCGTGGAAAGACGGTGATGGAACAAGCAGGAAAGAGCATATTCTATCTTTCTCATTCTCATTGCTGGACTCTCAGTAATGGACTTGACCTGAAAGAAGAGGAGAAACTTCCATTTATTTGAGACTTTAAAATTATCAATTACACCAGTCATCTCATCTGAGACATAAAGTTGACAATATCCTTATGGGCAATAGTGAATTAAACACTAATCTCTGCCTGAGATACCGCCAGGGGCAAGAAGTGGAAATTTCATAGTTGTGTGAGAGCAGGGTTGGAAGAAAAACCATTTTCCTAAATTACATCCTACTAAATCTGGGTCTTTTAATGAATTAGCTACAGTAACAGATTTAACCTAAACAATGTCTTCCATAAATACTGGGGTTTTTATCACGTGATATTTTGAAACAAATTTGAAGCCTCCTGCCATCAGAGAATCTCAGTTAAATCTTTAAAGTTATTTTGACCAGTTGATTGTATATAGAAGTGAGTCTTAACTTTATGGAATCACTCGTTAATAAAAACAATGAAGTGAAATTCTCCTATTTAGAGTTGACATTTGCCATTTATGCTCAGATAGGCCCAGGCCATCCAAGTTTTGCCTGTGACTCTAGTTATGTACATTTATGGGAAAAACAATAGATGGATATAAACTACAGCAGAATGAAAAAATATGTAAACAAATTATCCAATACTTACAGCTATTTTAAATCATTATATAACCAGTTTACAGCTACTGTATACATTTATGTAAGTATTAATTTTATTTATGTTAACTTAATAATGCCTAGATATTTTAATTAATAAATTTTAACAAATATTTAAGCCTCATGAGGGATAAAGGTTCAATTTTACACAAGGAATTGTTTACAGCCTAAATCATTATGTCACCAATGATCTAAATCAAGAATGCCTTTCCTTTTGTACAGTTTCTTCTTTTGAGCCATTTTTGGCTTTTAAGAGGAAGACAAGCTAAAAGTATAAGGAGTTCACATGTACTTACTTAGCTGAAGATATTGTTAGATTTAACTCCTATCTGTGGAAAACCTAATGAGTTAATATTTATACATCTCTTGGTTTCTGAATATTTAGGTATAATACTTTGTTCCATGTTCCATTGTTTTCTTTTGACCCAACCTTCAAACCCATGACTTCTGAAGCAGAGGAAGAAATAGAATACAGTGGAAAAAAGTCTTCTTTGAAGAAAAAAAAAAAAAAAAAAAGAATCTATTGGCTTCCAGTAGACATTTTTCAAATTTCTTCTAACTAACATACAAAAATGCATTTTATGTGTATGCAGTCACAATGCACTGAATGTTCACCATGTGCTAGATGCACACTTATTTAATACATAAATTCCAAAAGCCTCTTTTTATATATATATTTCTACTTAGTATAAGGGAAATTTAGCTGAACAGACGTCTGTTTTCCTGTACGGTTCTCCATTAAACATAGTTTTCCATCTGTATTCTTACAAAAGGGAAATTATCAAGGGGTTGTTTGAAGGACTTCTCACCCGTTTGTTTTCTGTGTGTTACTTCTTGTCAGAAATCCCCATCTCTGATCCTTTGCTTCTCCAGGCAACTGCGAGATCCACTTACCTCCACCTGCCAGTCTCAGACTCACAGCTATACTTGGATTTGTTCCTGCATAAAATAGATCTATTTAGGCCGGGCGCGGTGGTTCACGCCTGTAATCCCAGCAATTTAGGAGGCAGAGGCGGGCGGATCATGAGGTCAGGAGATCGAGACCATCCTGGCTAACACAGTGAAACCCCGCCTCTACTAAAAATACAAAAAAATTAGCCGGGCGTGGTGGCGGGCGCCTGTAGTCCCAGCTACTCGGGAGGCTGAGGCAGGAGAATGGCGTGAACCCGGGAGGCGGAGCTTGCAGCGAGCCGAGATCCCGCCACCGCACTCCAGCCTGGGCGACAGAGCGAGACTCCGTGTCAAAAAAAAAAAAAAAAAAAAAAAAAAAAAAAATTGATCTATTTAAAAACTCACTGGCTGACAGGGAAGATTTCAGTTCTTCTCGGCACTGATGACCCATTCAGTCCCCTCTCGTTCCACCTGGAGCCTTGCTGCCCCTTTTCCCTGAGTACAGTCACCCTGTCTTGCCAGACCTTGATCTATTCAATTCGTCTAAGCCTTGTTTTGTAGCCCTGTCTAGACTCTCGTAGTTGCAGCCTTACCCCTGTATCTCAGGCCTTCCCTGGGCATGGTCTATTCCTTTGGACCTCATCATTCAGCCCTAGTGAAAAAGATGCCCTTGTAAACATAATTGCAGATTCAATACTAGCATCTTTGTTGGATGCAATATTTATATTATAATAAAATTATACACTTTATTATAGCATAATTATATATTTATAATATTTAATAAATATTCCACCCTTGGTTTTTGTTTCAACCATTTAAAATAAAATTATATTTTCTCACATATTAGCTAATATGGGACTCTAAATTTTACCAACATACAAATTCACAGGCAATGTGTTTGGGACTTTTTAACTCTGTAGTTTTAAATCTTATATGAATGAATACATTTTGATTTGGTATTTGTTTCTACATAACCTTTTCAAAAATTTGTTTTTCCATACGTTCAGCAGCCTTCACAGATTAGCAGAATATTTATGTTTTAGGATATTATTATCATTATTTAAACAATTAGTTTCCTTTTCAGTACTTTTGGGTATTTGGGAATGGGTTTAGTTTTCTTTAATAATGTTTTCTTGTTGTTGTCAATCATCTGATAAGGAAAATAGTTGGAATACACATATCTTGATAAATTGTAAACCATCTTCCATGTATCTTTCTTTCTATGCTCCTGTCTCTTGTTTTGTTCCAATTAGCCTAAGAACTCTTTCTTACAAAATCAGACATGAATCAGTTGAGATGGGATTAATTTATTTGGGCAGATATTAGATAACACTTTTGAAAAAAGCAAGTGTTCTTTTGTTCTGCTGGTACATGGCATCATTTTCCAAAGTCATTCCTCATGATTTCTCTAATACTGCTACTTCCCTGGCAATATTTTAAAGTGAGTTTCACAAATCAACAGTTCTCAAAGTGTGGTCCGCAGAGAAGCAGTGTCAACATCTCTTAGGAATAAACAGAAAATGTAAATTATCTGGCTCCAGCCCAGCCCTATTGTACCAGAAATGATAAGATTGGAGGGGGCCCAGCATTCTGTGTTTCAACAAAGCCTCCAGGTAATTTTAGCACACTGAAGTCTGAAAAACCAGTGGTATAGGAAATAAAAACCGAACATGGGTTCTTAAATTTAAAAAGCAGCATAATTAGAGAGTGATTTAAAACGCCTGCTTGATAGAATTGTTTCACAAAGATAAACATTTTTTAAAAATCATTTTAATGGAGCCAATTTTAACCACTCCATTTTGAAATGGTCTTTCTAGCAAAGCCTTAACAAATTTTTCAGTAAAACAAAGTGTATTATGCTACTAAGAGAATACACTGATACAGTCACTGAAAAGGCAGAAAGCTTCCTTCGTCATTATAACGGAATTCGGTTAAGTATAGTTAGGTAACATAATGTGCTGCCTTCATCTTTTTGTGCCTAGTTTTCTGCTGGATTAAATTTGTTCACTTTTTAATTGAATCTGAAATTCTTAGAAATTAGCTGTTAGGAGAGAATAGATTTTGAATATTTGAAAATTGAAAATATAAATATAATCTTAGCATAATGTCTTTCTAAAGTTGCAAGAAATAGCATCCAAAGGAAGACTGGAGAGTTCTAAACCACAACAAGAAGGGTTGACTTGAGTTGCTGGGTAAAAAAGTATGTGAGGACAGGGAAAACAGAAGACAGGCAAGAGGGTAGAGGCACCACGGGTAAATTTCACCTGCTGGTATTGACTAGAGATGGCCCTGGAAAAACTCCCTTAGGGCAAGTTGTCCAGTTGCTTTTTTTTAAATGGGCCTTGATGATATACATAGCGATAGAGACAGAGACGGAGACAGAGATAGAGATACATAGAGCCCTATATCATGTGAATCTTATTAAATTTACTTACTTGATTTTTTTCAGCTTTCTCCAGTGTCCAGTGTGATGCTTGTACTCTCTCCTTGCTTATTTTTCCTAAGCTCTATCTGCTAACATTTGAGCACACAAACATTTCAGTGAAAATGTGATGGTCCTTCTGGGTCCACTGTTACAGGTCATGTTTCATGTACCATCCACTGGAAGGACACTCAATGTCAAGATCTTTTTTTAAACATTCTATGTTTTTAACTATCAAACTATGGGCATGAACATCAAGGGTCAATACAGCCATAAGCAACAATAATACTGGTTAATGATGTTTACTTCAATATTTTGGAAGAAATGTTATTTAGTGGCATTTTGGCAATTATTTTTTCGGTTGCTAATTCTGACTCTGAAATTGATGGAAAGGAAAAAATGTAAAGAAATGTTTTACTTTCCGTTTCTATAACAATATTTTCTCTATGCACAACAGGTACCACTGACATATGATTAATTCCAAATATAGGAGCTGAAATTTATCAAAAGCTTCTTGGCCAAAGAAGAGAAGATTGATGTTCGGGCCTTGTGTATATTCCTGTGTAAAACCTTTGGGTCCAAGTTTCATTTATTGTTTTATATGAGATCATGCCCCCTTTAATTTACTACTAATCCCATTGGAGTGTGAATTATGATGGGAATGTGACTGATGTGTTTAATACTAAATGTTAATACTTCAGTTGGTTGCACATAAGAATTTTAAGCTATTGGGAATATGTATATATTTGGGCTTTTCACTGCAGATAATTAATGAGGCAATGTTCTTTCTTCAGCTTTTAGCCATAGAATTGATTGCAATTTGTCGTTTCTTAGGAAATGAATGTGAAATCCATACACATATTAGTTTCATGGGTCAATAATCTAAAAGACTGAATTATTAGATAAGCTATTGTCCAAAATATCAAGACACATGAGTATAAATATTGTTTTTATGGCTAGTTAATGTTAAGCTATCATGGTTATGTTAATTTGTAATTCAAATATTTTTTTTGGCATCAGAGAATCCTTACTAAGTAAAATATCTGCCAGAGAGAAGAATCTTTCTATTATACAATTTCAGCTCAGTACCAGCAAACATGTAGCATTTAAGATTATGCTGTTATGATGTATAATAGTACATTCCTAAACATATCAATCATTTTCCATCTGCAGCTGCACTATTTCATCTCTCAAACTAATTAATTCAACAGCACTGACTTTAAAGCACTATTCACAATTAAATCCTAACCCACAGAGGTATATCTGCCAGTAATTCTTAAAGTTTTTCTTATGACTTTTTTTGTAATTCTTCAATTCTTGCATCTCATAATTCATCATGGCATAGATGTATTTTATTCATACAGTTATCAAATATTTATTGGACACAATGTAAATCAAAGATATGGTGCTAGGAACTAGGGATACTTTATAGAGTATGTTGTAAGGCATACCAAGTTCTTTTTACTTCCTGGAACTTGCAAACTAATCTTATTTTTCAAAAAAAAAAATCTATTTAATGCATCTAAATGGGAATCAAAGGCAGCATAACTTTGCAATAGCCTTTAAGAAACACAGACAGACAGTTACAAAGTAAGGTTTGGAATCATTGCCTAATAATATTTTCAGCCATAGGATATCCAGGAATGAAAAAAGTTAAGTATTTTTATTTTGCTTACCAAAGCAATGTCTTAAGTTCTGCGGAAGGCTGTAATGAATATCTGCAATTATCATATGCTAAATTTGACCATGACTACAATTTGTTTTGAGATACAAACTAAATGATTTTTCCAGTGCTTAAGTAGTTAGTGAGTCAGTCTGAGGGTGCATTAAATACTTCACATCAACAAAGGTAAAAATCAAATAAGATCTTGCCTAAGGAGAGCAAATAAGACATCCCTCGCTGGAATCGTATCTGTGATATCCACTTAGATTGTGTGAAGGAACAGACCATAAGCACAATTTGGGCAGAGACTCCCTTAACTTTTGCCCTTATTTTTCCATTGTACAATTTAACTACTTAATCCTCACCATAGACAATACATGCAATGAAAAGTCGTTGAGTGAATGAATGAATTAATGATTCAGAACACTTTAATGAACTCCTTTTCTCATACAAATTTTGAAATATGTCATGTTCTACAATGTTTATCCATATCACCTAGGGAGGATGTGGTCATGTTTCCTGCAGTCTGTAGATAAACAAATTAATATCGTATGGCCATAGACACTCACACCTCTTTTCACTTAACCTTCTCCATTCTTCGTCTCTTCACAGAGAGATTCAACGTGTATCTTATGCCTACACCAAACCTGGATATTTATGGTGAATGCACAATGCAGATCACTCATGAAAATATCTATCTCTGGGATATCCACAATGCCAAGGTCAAACTGGTGATGTGGCCTCTCAGCTCACTGAGGAGATACGGTCGGGACTCAACGTGGTTCACGTTTGAGTCAGGAAGGTAAGATCTAGTGCAGCAGCCAAGTGCAGGAGTTGTCTGTATAACAGAGTCTGTATAACAGAGTCCTGAAAGAGAGTGCTGTCCATCATTGCCCCCAGTGAGCACTGTTTTCATTCAGGGTAAAAGTTACCAAATACATAATTTCTTCAGATTCTTAATAACATGAATACAATTCTGTTAGTTTTTTGGCAGGCTAATTACCCCATTCAAAATAATTTCAGTTTCTTACACTACCATCAAACTCAAACTGGTTTTGTAATTATTTTAATAATGTAATATGTTTTGCAAGATTATTACAATACTATATTTTCGGTGTGCCTGTATGCAAAAGGACCTCCATAAAATTAAAGGCAGCATGTCCTTGCTTGCATTGTTTTTGTGAGTGTTTTTTAATAAGCAAACAATCTTTTTTTAAAGTTTTAAATAAATTTAAATATTGCTTTTAGGCAAATATACTGCTTTCTTGATCACAGCATATGGTTGGAATCCATAAGGGTCTGAAATGAATCCTTGATTCACAATCATTATTAATAAACACGGATTTAGACATAAACTACAACCAACCAAATCATTGTCTTTATGCTATGACCCCATTGTAGTATTGTCACACATCCAAGATAAGACTTAGGTTTGGGGATTTTATATGAGGAGATGTTTAATGCTTCCATCTTCACCCAGGGTACATGATTTATCACATTCTTAAAATGAATTCATGGCCTTATAAGGCAATTATAGTGAAGTTTTATTGCATTTGATATAATATTTTTAAGTTTATAACTTTCTTCTTAAAAACTGCTAAATATTTACTCAATGTCACATTCTAATAATATCTATCTAGCCAGCTAGGGTAGGTCCCATGTCTCTTAAAATTTTAAGGAGGGAAAAAACAAACAAAAAACCTGAGCTGGAGTAATTTTACCAGTCTGGGGCCCTTTTGCACTACAGTAATATTAAAGTCTCTACCACACTGATTTCTCTGAAAAGCATTAGATCCTGTGTTTACTTAGTAGTTATGAGCTTGTTCAACTATTTCTGTCTACCTAGATATTGAGAGTGCAATAGTGTAATCACATTCCGATAGCCATTGGGAAATACAAATTCTAATAAGAAAATGAATATTTTTAAGATATGTTTACTATTTTAAAAATTATGACTATGAAAATGAGTTGACATGTTTTAGAGATTCACTGACCTAAAATCTATGATGCACCTTATTTTTTTACTGGCTTTAAAAAGGTAGTATATTAATCCATTTTCACACGCTGATAAAGACATACCCAAGACTGGGCAATTCACCAAAGGAAGAGGTTTAATGGACTCACAGTCCCACGTGGCTAAGGAGGCCTCACAGTCATGGCAGAAGGAGAAAGACACATCTCACATGGCAGCAGACGAGAGAAGAGAATGAAGCCAAGTGAAAGGGGTTTCCCCTTATCAAAACATCAGATCTCGTGAGACTTATTAACTACCATCAGAACAGCATGGGAGGAACTGCCCCCATGATTCAGTTATCTCCCACTGGGTCACTCCAACAACACGTGGGAATTTTGGGAGCTACAATTCAAGATGAGATTTGGGTGGGGACAGAGTCAAACCATATCAGTTAGTTTTACATATATATACATATATATATATATATATGAATTGAATGTTGTTGTTAAGGTTTTGTCGGGGTTGGGGTTTTGTTTTCGTTTTTGCATCATTTACCAGCACTACCTCCAGGATCCCTTCCCTTGGATCCTTCTAGATATACCTATCTTCCTCTTTCTATGGAAAACAATTTAACTATTTTGTCTGTTACAACGTTTCAATAGACTTCCACTCAAAATTTTAAATAACAAGTCATTTTCTTTCATGAAGAATGGTTATTCAGAATTTTCACTCCATTTATACCTGTCCACATTAGTTTTTTAAGATCTTTCTATTTCATAGAGGAATTTGGTATCTATTTTTTTCCCTCTGTTTATTTCCTTGTCTTTGAGATTAGAGATCTGTCCTTTGGACACAGTTCATTTGTGTGTTTCTCCTTCTCTGAATTTTGGGTGTCATTTGCTCTTTAGTGACTGAGAAATTGTCCATAATTTTGTGCATCTGTTTTGTAAATTCCAGATGACTTCACTGTTGTTAAAATGAGCCAGTGGGGGAAGGTCTTGTCCATACTTGATCTAGAGAAATAAAAGTGGGACATTGTGTTCCCTGGGTCTGGACTGATGGGGTCACTGGTGATGAGACTGGGGACAATTTAGAGGGCAGATTGGCAGGTAAGGCATGGCCAGTCATGCTAGCAAACCAAAGCCAAAGGCCAACACTTTCTAGGTTTTATTAGCTCATTGCCCAAGGCATATCACTTGGTATAAATTTTAGCTATTTATTTATACTACTATATGCACTAATAGTAGTATTAGTACAAATAATACATATGAAAATAATACAATTGGATATGTCAAAATACTTTTTTCATTGACACACTTTTTCAAATGCATTGTTAAATTCTGCTGTAAAACTGACATGTAGACATGAACAGTAGGAATGGATATACATCGTTTATTCTGGAGAAGCATCCTTCAGTCACCCTTGTAATTATAATTATATGCCATAAGTCTCAAGGAGCACTCACCTAGTGTGGGGCAGAAGGAGAACAAGGACCAGGAAACTCTCCATGGTAATCATCCTCAGCGCAGCATGGCGCCCAGGAGATGTATTCATAGTCTCACATCAGCTCGGAGCAATTGCTCTTTTACCATAAGGATCATAACTTTGCATTTTAAAGGTAGAAACAACCAATTTGCCATGCAAGCATATTTTCTCAAGATAATCACAAAAAAATACCAGACCTTCAGAGGAAGTGATAAGATTCATGATTATGTACAATTTTATCCTGTGAAAGACAAAACTCCTTTATTTAACTGCTGACTTGACATTTTTACTTCATGTTACCTCATAAATATTGTAAGCAAAAATCAAGATGAGTGAAAATGCCTGCATGGCCAAAATTCAGGCGAACCCCTGATCTTTTGTATGAATTATTTTTCAAAAACTAAGCACCCATATTCAGCATGATGCTTACTAGTAGAAAATTGGTGCTTAAAATATGTGTCTCACTAACTTTGATAATATTGCTTCCATTTAGAAACCTGGGAAAAACCCAGTTACTAATTTTTAACAATTAGAAATGCAAAATAATACTTAAATATTGCAATATAGTTATTATGAAAAGGTGGTTAGTGGTAGCAAATGTTATATGTCATACAATTAAGGATTCTGTGATGTCATAGGTAGGCTTAATTTATTCCTAAACCTTCGTTGGTCAGGGATGCAAAGAGAAAGAATCTTTTCTCTAATGCATAACCAAGTGGTTAAGAGGAAAGATAAAACAGAAAGTTCTTAAATATGATACAAAAGCATAAAAATATAATTAATACATAATAAATATGAATTATGTTATATACACTATAAGGTCTAAGTTAGTTAAGGAATTTCTCACATATGGACTCCAACATTTCTGTACTAACCCAGAGTTATCAATGCCCTTCTGGGTTGGTTTTTTTTTTTTTTTTTTTTAAATATCATTTGATTTGCCATCAAGAGTGTTAGTGGTACACATATCTTCATAAAAGAGTGTACTGCTGGGACTCTAAGATTTTCTTCTGAACTACTGATATCTGTCCTGCAAGTTTTTTATGCTTGTTGGTGCAAAGTTTATCTACCAGAAGGTGTACACAGTAGGTTTTTAGACAACAAGGTCTCGTGTTTCTCTTTCAAATGGTCCTAAAACATTTCTTGACTGAAACATTGAAGAGTTGCAATTAACTAAAATATAGTCAAACACAAGACATGAAGTGCCAACATTGCACAGAGCTTCAATTGAAGTGAGGAAATCCTGAGCCTGTACACACAGGCAACAGCAGCCACATCACTACCACCACTTGGCAGCCATCATTTGGAGGCTGCTGTTCCATAGACGATGTCATAACAAAATATACCCCAATTTCAGAAATACTAAAATGTAAAAACATGTGCTTCTGTTGAATGAAGGAATTAATCAATGAATGGCTTCATTGTTTGAATAAAGCCAGCTGGGGGTGGTATATCCTGGGATACAGAAACCTATGAGTGAATGTGGTGACGTTTCACAAATCATGGGAGGAGATCAAACCAGAACTTCACAGCTCTCTTGACTTTATCTTCTTGATTCCAGAAATCATTCTTGATTTAATGACTATGAATGAAGTTTAGGAACTTTCTGAATGAGAATAAAAGAAGCCTAAAAGGCGACCAAAACTGTCATTGTGATTACTACAGACCAATTAGTAAAAAGCAATTCACGTTAAAGTATGTGTGGGTTCAATAAAAATGTATTGAACTTTAAACTTAATTGAGCAATAACTAAGATCAGAGTCTCCATTTCTCAATAAAAACAGTTTCCTAAGTCATTTAATTAATGCTCTCTCCGAGGGGGAAAAAAAAAAAGCAGACCTGGTATTATCATAGCAAGAGATTTACCAGATTAGATACACAGAAGGAAAAGGCACTAGGTTCCTAAACACTTTGTCTTGGCATTATCTCTTTGGAATTAAAGCAAGGGTTTATATAGACCTATGATTTTAAAACATTGAAAACATCCCTGATGCAAATTTTTTTCATGGAGGCCTTTGCTACTCTATACTTTGTAATTAAAACCCAATTAGATATTATGATTTAAATCTTTTTGTGGCACCAGAAACCTCATTTATTCTCTGGGCTACTTTATTTCATTTATCGAACACTATGGTAAGAACTAAAGAAACAAAAATAGGTAACACATAGTCCCTTCCCTTAATGAGCACATAGTGTACTTGGTAAGATAGATCAACTAATGATTTCAATATAATATAGGAATTGTAATAAAATACATCCCAGGAGGGTTGTGTATTAGGAACATAGGTTAAGTTGTATCATTTTAAAAACATTAATGATGTCAACCCCCATTCTCAATAGCTCAATACAACAAAGATTTATTTCCCACTCAAGCTATGCCTGATGCAGGCTTGGACAGATCACCAGGGCACCTGGATTCAGAAACCTAGGATGCTGCAATCTTGTGACTCAGACATCTTCATGCTAACCTACCTCATTGCCATGCATAGCAGGGGAAGAAGGTGGGAACATTCTCCAACAAGCATACTATGGACTCAATTGTTTCTCCCCAAAATTCATATGTTGAAACCCTAAACCCCAAACTTCTTATATCTTTATGACAAGAGCCAGAGATGATAGGTCCTTTATAGATGGAATTAAAGTTAAATGAAGTAATAAGGGTGGGGTCCTAATCTGATTGATAGGATCGGTGGCTTTATAAGAAGGAGAAAGAAACCTCTCAGTCCCTCTTCTCTGCCATGCGGAGGAAAGACCTCAAGAAGGTGACCATTTCCAAACCAGGAAGAAAGCCCTCACCAGAACCCAACCATGCTGGCACCCTGATCTCAGACTCCAGCCTCCAGAGTGAGAAAATTAATTTCCGTTGTTTAAGTCACCCACTCTGTGTCATGTTTTTCTTATGGCAGCCTGCGCTAATACAAAACATTTAAATACTTTAGTACAGTGGTAATGCATGTTATTTCTATTAATAGCCCACCACCCAGAAGGTGGCCTCCACAGCCCCCCCACCCCACATCTGCGAGGGGACAAGTAGGGAGTATGTGGAATATTTGGAAAGTATATTGTCTCTGCCACAGTCATATCTTCTGATGAGCGAAGATCCCTTTTCTCTCTTCTTCCTACACACTCAATTGTTCCTTAAGGGAAACAATCCAAAAAGCAATCCAGCAAGCCACTGATTATAGCTCAAAGTCCAGAGTCTGCAGGCGATTTGTAGCAGTGTGTACATCAGGTCCAGATATGACTTTTTTTTTTTTTTTTTTTTGGAGACGGAGCCTTGCTCTGTCGCCCAGGCTGGAGTGCAGTGGCGCAATCTCGGCTCACTGCAAGCTCCGCCTCCTGGGTTCACTCCATTCTCCTGCCTCAGACTCCTGAGTAGCTGGGACTACAGGCGCCCGCCACCATGCCCAGCTAATTTTTTTGTATTTTTACTAGAGACGGGGTTTCACCGTGTTAGCCAAGATGGTCTCCATCTCCTGACTTCGTGATCCACTTGCCTCGGCCTCCCAAAGTGCTGGGATTACAGGCGTGAGCCACCATGCTAGGCCGATATGACTTCTTATAGTTCCAAAAGAATGATCCAGAAAAAGATGCTTTTTTTCCCCCCTCTACCCACCCTGGCCCAAGGAACAGTGGCTTAAGAGAGGTGGGATGCCTGCCCCTGCAAACACTCCCATTCAAGGGAAAGTTTGGGAGGCAAGCAGGCAACAGTCACTGGTCCTGGTAATTCTGAATTGCTGCTTGCCAGATATCTTCAGGGTCTTTATCCAGAATTAACAAGGATATGTGGCTGGGCCCTCATTCTGCTCTTTGGGAAGAACGTGCCAATCCTCTATTCCACTTGGTTCTGCCCTCGGCCCTCCAGGAGGATTTTCCTTTATCATTATCCTCCTTGTCCATATTCGAACTGGACGTTGGGAAAATGTTCTCTTTGAAGCGTTGCACGTTTCTCAGTCCACATTCTACCCTGAGAAGTTGTAGTAGAGATCTGAAGGTTACTGAATCTTAACAAGTTATAAATATTTTTTATTTACAGCCTGTTTTCCCTGTAAAACTTTGTCAAAATATTACAAGATTTCTTGTGTATTTAGTGCCAATCACTTGTACCAAGGAAGTGTTTTCTTGGTTTGTTTTTGTTTTGTTTTGTTTTGTTTTTTGAGCTCTATTTCTCAGATATGCTCTGATTGTTTATTTCTTCCCTCAAAACTGTCTTTTGATTTGAAAGGTGCCTTGACTTTGTCAGGTTTTTGTAGGAGCAGCACTCACTTAATTAGATAAAAATGACCCAGGGCAAAGAATTAACAGATTATAATGGGTATCCTACCCTTGAGCTGCTTTTTACCTTGACATACCTTAATTGAAAGGTTTTAGCAATAATTGTGGAGATTACACTTAATCTGCTCTTTTCCTTGAGACTGCTTTAGCTTGGTTTTGTCACTTAAAAACATTAAGTGTCTGTCTCAGAGTTCTCTTTTCCAATTTTACAAGGTTTTGAATTTTTCAAATGCCTTTCATTTTTGCTTGAAAATTCTCAATTTCTTTCTAAGAGCCTCTTTCTTTTTAGTACCATATCAGTCAACAAACACTGTTAACGTTTTGTTATCTAACCGCTTTCCCTAGATGTTGTTGGAGGAATAAAATTAAAAACAAAATCTCCCAATGCAGAAATCTTCTCCATAAATGTGATTAAAAAAAAAAAAAACACTCCATTATTTCTGCTAAGAAACTGCAGACAGAGGGAGAATACCACCCTTTGATATAGCCATCCAGGTACAACTCAATACATGCAGGTTCTCAAGGTAAACAATTACTGGTCTCAAGCGAGAGAACTTGACAGCACTGTTTGTCACACATGCCTCATCCTTGTAACTGGGGTAACCATTTGTGTTGGCTAATTGGCTTTATGCAGAGGAAAAACAAACTTCTTGTATCTTTATGACAAGAGACAGTTTTGCAAGTTGGAGAGAAGTAGCACCTGAAGTTAGGCACCCTCTCTGTTACAGAAACTAGGAGATGGGGGTGCATCTCCCTTCAGATTTACATGTCAAAGGCACGGTTCATGAGTCCTTGAGAAAGGCATTTTAGGGTCTTAAAGCTGACAAAAGACCTATCTGGTTTTCAGAAGAATTATTTACATTTCAAAGAGAGGAGGAAGTGCTTACAACCGAAAGTTTTCTAAAGTTATATGCCCTAAAAAACAGGAAGGACAATTGCCCATTTTCAACAGGGAGAATAGAGCCTCTTATTTTTAAATTTCACATTTGTCCATACAATCAAGAAACTCTTTTTTTTTTTAATTTTATTATTATTATACTTTAAGTTTTAGGGTACATGTGCACAATGTGCAGGTTAGTTACATATGTATACATGTGCCATGCTGCTATGCTGCACCCATTAACTCATCATTTAGCATTAGGTATATCTCCTAATGCTATCCCTCCCCCCCTCCCCCCTCCCCCCACCCCACAACAGTCCCCAGAGTGTGATGTTCCCCTTCCTGTGTCCATGTGTTCTCATTGTTCAATTCCCACCTATGAGTGAGAACATGCGGTGTTTGGTTTTTTTGTCCTTGTGATACTTTACTGAGAATGATGATTTCCAATTTCATCCATGTCCCTACAAAGGACATGAACTCATCATTTTTTATGGCTGCATAGTATTCCATGGTGTATATGTGCCACATTTTCTTAATCCAGTCTATCATTGTTGGACATTTGGATTGGTTCCAAGTCTTTGCTATTGTGAATAGTGCTGCAATAAACATACGTGTGCATGTGTCTTTATAGCAGCATGATTTATAGTCCTTTGGGTATATACCCAGTAATGGGATGGCATGAGTGAACTCCCATTCACAATTGCTTCAAACAGAATAAAATACCTAGGAATCCAACTTACAAGGGACGTGAAGGACCTCTTCAAGGACAACTACAAACCACTGCTCAATGAAATAAAAGAGGATACAAAGAAATGGAAGAACATTCCATGCTCATGGGTAGGAAGAATCAATATCTTGAAAATGGCCACACTGCCCAAGGTAATTTATAGATTCAATGCCATCCCCATCAAGCTACCAATGACTTTCTTCACAGAATTGGAAAAAACTACTTTAAAGTTCTTATAGAAACTCTTAAGACATGAAATCGGCCTACCAAGTTATCACAAGTTCTACTAAGAGGCAAGAGCTTTACCGAATATCTCACTGCTAAATATCATTCTCCCAGCTTGCTTACTAGTTTCCTTCATCCCTGGCCCAGCCACTATTTCAGTGCCCTGTATCTTAGGGCTATTTATTCATTTATCACTGTACCACTATTAGGATCAAGTATTAGGATCATCACTTATCCTTAAGTGATGAACAAAGTCTCCGTGGTTTATGCAACTGGAACTGATCTCTCACTCATGCTAGTCCACTCTGATTCTGGGCAACTATCCTAGGCAATTAGGACAACACTCACATCAAAAAATAGATGCTTTGGCTTCAGCAGGTGTCCCTTCTGTTCATAGCCCTTTCTTGGGAACTAGTGATAAGGTTTCCAGATTGTGCTGGGTGCAGGAAATGAAGGGGAGCATGAGACATTTGGAGAACAGTCCTATCTAGGCAAACGGGCACCAAGTTTAATTGTAGGGACTCAGGAAAAGCTTCCTGAAGAAGATGATTTGCACGGCGAATCATAAAATATGAGTTGGACTTCTTTAAGGTAGAGTGTGAGGTTGGCATGAGGATAGAGGGGTCAGGTTACTCTCCACGACGCACAGCACAGGCAGAGCACGGATGGTTCCTTCTTAGCGGATTTTAGCTGCTGGAGATTAGAGTAAGAATAAAGTGGGCAGAGAGTTTGTTAAAAGTCAGATAAAGCTCAAAACCAGGAGTGTTTTCTATGTCATGTCAAAAAATAAATTGGACTTTATCTTACAGGCAGCAAGGAGTTGTTTTTTAATGTAGCAAGTAAACAGATTTAAATTTTAGATATGTCTATCTGGTGACTCTGTGGAGGATATTTTAATAATAATCCTTTAGGTTAATAATTTATAATACGCAATGTGCCTAGGGCAATATTGTCTGAGCAATCGTGGTTTGAAATGACATGGGAGAATGAATCAGACCGCTCCGACTCCGCTTCTGCATGAGCCAGCACTTTCCCTGTGCCTTCAGTTATATTCTGTTAACCTTTCCAAGGCTTGATTTCCTCATCTGTGAGAACCTGATAAAAATATACTCTGCTATGTCCACCTTCAGTGCTGATATGAGGATCAAATGAAATAATGTGCTTTGAGGCCGGGTGTGGTGGCTCACGCCCGTAATCCCAGCTCTTTGGGAGGCCGAGGCAGGGGGATCATGATGTCAGGAGTTCGAGACCAGCCTGACCAACATGGTGAAATGCTGTCTTTACTAAAAATACAAAAAACAGCTGGGCATGGTGGCGGACGCCAGTGTCCCACCTACTCGGGAGGCTGAGGCAGAAGAATCATTTGAACCCAGAAGGCAGATGTTGCAGTGAGCCGAGATCACGCCATTGCACTCTAGCCTGGGTGACAGGGCAAAAATCCGTCTCAAAAAAAAAAAAAAAAAAAAAAGTGCTTTGAAACAAGGGCTTTGAAAGCTGTAACACAGGTATAAGAGATGATTAAATTCGGCAAACACCTATTTTTACCTGCACAGCACTGGACAGGGCAATATAGGGAATCAAAAACGAGCCTTTCCTTTGAAGAAATCAACATTCTTTCACGAAAAATGCTAAAACACCAGAGCATGATTTTGTAGCTTGAGCTGCAGGAGAGTGATTGCAAACAGTGAACCGAGTGTGAACTCACAGTGGGGCTCTCTCTGTGGGAGAGCGATGCCAATATCACTGCTTTGTCCTTATTTAGAACATTTCGTGAAATCTTCTTTAAGGGGACTTTTCAAAGCAAGTTCATGTGCCCTTCAAGAACATCCATCGTATGACTCTGGTGTCACTTACTTTAATGGTGGTAATAACCACATGCATTAGCCTCACAACTTGTGAGGCTTGAAATCTAATGAGTGCTAGGAATGGAGTCCTGAAACTATTATTTTTAAATTAAATAGCCAAAGTCTTGTCAAAATTCCTTATAAATGAAAATATGTTTCATTCTTAGTCAAATAGATTAACTTATCCTTGACACAAATGTTAATTTTTTTCCCATTTTTTATTGCAATATTTTTTAAAAAAATATGTTGATAGATGTGGATTCAAGTCATCTACTTTTGTTGGGAAAATGTTAAAACTCTCACAACAAAAGTCTAGGAGGAGGGTCAAAATTATAGTTGCCCTTGTATTTACAAGATTTTTTTCTTGGTGTTAAATAAATTCTAGACAAAGATTATAAATTCATTATTATCTTTATCTTTTACATACACATATCATATTATATGTACTTGATCATGGTAATTAACTCACAATGTCTTATGTTTTACTAAAATTAAAGAATTTAAAATTATCTGGGTTATTTAGCATTAGCAAAAGGGTAAAGAAAAAAGATATTTTTCTTGTTATAAATAAAATTCAAATTGTGATAAAATCTGTTCTTTCAAAACTATTTTTTGGTCTTTTATTTCTTCTAATATCTTTACTTGCTTAGATTTTTCACCATCTGATTATAACTTCTTGGCCACTTGATTTTTTAAAAAATTATAAACTTACTGGCTAGGCACCACTGCTCAAGCCTACATTCCCAGCACTTTCAGAGGCCAAGGCTGCCAGATCGCTTGAGCTCTAGGAGTTCAAGAGCAGACTTGGCAACATAGTGAGACTGCTTCTCTACTAAAAATACAAAAAATTGGCTGGGTGTGGTGGTGTGCACCTTTAGTCCCAGCTACTGGGGAGGCTGAGGTGAGAGAATCACCTGAACCCGGGAGTTTGAAACTGCACTGAGCCATGTTCATGCCACTGCACTCTAGCCTGGTCAACAGAGTGAGACCCTGTCTCAGAAAAAAGAAAATTATAAACTTACTATTTTTAATAATTTTCATTACTGTAAATGAAGCAGATCAGAAGAGGTTTAACAAAACTTAAAGGGGAAAAAACTGACTTTTTGGACACTGAATATATTCTAAACATTTTTCTAATTTTCACATACATTATAGCACAAAAGTCCTACAAAATAGGTATTCTCATGCTTCTCACAAATGAAAGGAATACAACTCAAGAATCAAAATCAATTTGCACACACATAGTAAAACCAATCCAAACCTCACAGTGCTGCAAAAACACATGTTCTTCTCATGATAACATAGCTTTGCTAATACGTCTCAGGTTTTGTGTTTGGAGGTCAAAGAACTTAATTTGTGTGGTAGAGGTTCCAACAGCAATTACTAATAGATGGGAAAACATATTATCTTTTGACCCGAGGAGATATTAGATTACAAAAAGCAAAATTAGTGCTAATGTAGAGCAAAATTAGTGTTAAGTGTAGAACTTCCAGACACTAGATTTCTTTTGTTAATATTTCTAAGTAGATCATGGATTCATAATTGTCTTAAAAGATAATGTAGTCCATCATAAGATATTCTGCCATGAGAACAAAAACCGATTAAACTACAAATAAAATTGGGTATTTTTTGTTTGCTTATTTTACCATGAAGAGTTGACTTAGATGAAATAGGTAGCTTGGTTTATTCAAAACAAGTTCTACTTTCACCTGACCCAAGCAAGGCTGTGTCTTAATAGAAGATACAGAGACACTAGAGGTGATGGGAGCATAAGGCTCAACATTTGCTGCTGATCTTAGATCTGCCCTCTAGCTTTGGTTTGTCTGCTGTTACTCTTCAGGCTAGGTCTACAGTTCCAGAGAAATATTTTAGAGTTAATCAACCCTTCAAATAGAGGTGAGAAAAAGCTTTCAAATTTGTTTTCCATATATGGCACCTGGAACACCGGCTTTATAAGACACCTCCAATTCATATCATTAGAGGAGCAAAGAAAACAAATGCACAGAGATCCTGAGTCCATGATATGCTTTCCCTCAGACCTATTTCCAAATAAATATTTTCATTTACAAGTAAAATTAGTAGGCAATTAGCACCTATGGAATTCATTACCTTTGGAAATACAATCCCGATGATAGTGGAATCTTTTAATGACGAACGAGGTAACATATTCAAATAAAATCATCCTTAATGAAGCTGTGATTAAAAACCACTGCAATTTTCATACCGTTGTTAAAAATTATGTTACTTGTAGAACTTTTACTAAATTTTACTTTTCATGTTGATTAAAAACAAAGCAATTAGTTGGTATATTCTCTGAATCATTTCTTTGGAAAATCAGCATCTACTTGGATTACAATTAGTATACATGAAAAAATAATGCTACTCTATTCTTTAATATGAAAATATATTTGCTCCTTGAAATTCTGAACAATCCATTTTCCTTTGACATTTGTTTGTCCAAATACTCCTCAGGGCATCACATATTTATTTGCTCATCTATTGCCTGATGTGTTTCAATTATTTAATTGTATAATACATGAAAAGTGCCAAATAGTTAATTTTATCCTACTTTGTAGGGCTGATGTCAAGTCAGTTAGGAAAATAAACAATACCACTTTGTATCAGAAGAAAAAATCTTTCCTGACTTTTAATACTTTGTGAATTCTGTAGGCGAAACCATTCGTGGCAGGCCCCATACTTGTTTTCTGTTAGTTTTAGGTACTTGTCTTTTTCCTTATAGTCACCCTAAAAAACTCAAAATAACCAGACAATTGATGATTAATCATTCTCTATACTGGCATAAAAAATGAACCTTTTCGGCCGGGCGCGGTGGCTCACGCCTGTAATCCCAGCACTTTGGGAGGCCGAGGCGGGCGGATCACGAGGTCAGGAGATCGAGACCATCCCGGCTAAAACGGTGAAACCCCGTCTCTACTAAAAATACAAAAAATTAGCCGGGCGTAGTGGCGGGCGCCTGTAGTCCCAGCTACTTGGGAGGCTGAGGCAGGAGAATGGCGTGAATCCGGGAGGCAGAGCTTGCAGTGAGCCGAGATCCCGCCACTGCACTCCAGCCTGGGCGACAGAGCGAGACTCCGTCTCAAAAAAAAAAAAAAAAAAAAAAAAAAAAAAAAAAAAAAAAAAAAAATTTAACCTTTTCCGAATCACATTTGTGTAGAAAATCAATTCTGTGAAGGAACACTTTTATGAAAGAGGCAATGGATATTATTGTGTTTATTTTGAAGGGTGCAATTTACAACTCAGAATAAAATAGGAAAATACTAATTTTCAGGTGAAAGAACACCTAGACAGATAGTGTATAAATGTATATAATCCACCAAACTCTCTGGGCATGCCAATTATCTTTCTATAAATGTACATTGGGACCTGGCAAGGTGGCTCATGCCTGTAATCCCAGCACTTTGGGAGGCTGAGGCAGGCAGATCACTTGAGGCCAGGAATTTGAGACCAGCCTGGCCAACATGGCGAAACCCCCCATCTCTACTAAAAATACATAAGTTAGCCAGGAGTGGGGGTGTGCACCTGTAGTCCCAGCTACTCAGGAGGCTGCGGCAGGAGAATCTCTTGAAGCCGGGAGGCTGAGGTTGCAGTGAGCCGAGATCACGCTACTGCATTCCAGCCTGGGCGACAGAGTGAGACTCTGTTTCAACAACAACAAAAATGTGCATTGGAAGCTCACGTCTCCAAAATCCCCAGTAAATGAAGTGCTAAATATAAAATTATATCTTTCCTGATTTGATTACATAGGTGGAAAAGATGCTTGAAAATATTGCTTTCAAGATACACGAGACTGACCTTGAAATTACAGCTACAATTTAGAAACTCGGAGATTTTTTGCATGCCAGATTATCTAAAGGGTATCCGTTACTCTCTCACAAATGATCACTGAGTTTCTATTATTTCAGAGATATTCAGGACGCCCAGATCACAATCTATCCCTAGCCAGTTGAATGAGAAAGCTATTATTTATCGTTTTAAAATCATGATTAATCCAGTTGTGGGAAAAGCACAAAGAAATGAAAGGTAGAACTTGTGACAATTATTCAACGAGATCTCAAATTCATGAAGATTTTTGCTGAATTGGGGAAGAAAAGATTTAGAAGTATGCAGGTAGCTAAAAAGTCAGATATGTTTATTTCTGTCATCATTATACCAAAATAGCATTAAAGAACTAATACTGTGGGAGGTAGCATGGATTGTGGAATAAGCTTCCTGCATACCAAATCTCTTTTATTTATGTGTATTCCAGAGGTTCCTAACAACTGAATGCAACTCTCTTAACACAAATATACTTATGTACAGGCAGAATTTGCTGAGATACTAATGAGCTATGGCTTCAGGACCCCTCTGTTAAAGGTGACCTTGCACCCTGTTCACATGTGATCATATATTTTTTGTCATTTTGCACATGACAATTATTTTTCTGTTCTTTATATTTAAGTAAAACGGCCTCTAAAATTGTATAAGTTTTCAGCCTCACAAAACTTGCATCTGTACCTTCTTACTCTTATATCTGTTTAATTATCTTACTCAAAGGGGTGCTGGATTTCTAGAACTATATCATACCTTTTTTACACCTCCTCCTTTTCAAGTGGAACCCGTGAAACTCCCAGGATGGTAGATCTGCATTGGTGTTGTGGTATATCACCATGAAACGTGATGCTACTGAATCACATAGGATTAAGCTCCCAGTCTTGGCTCTAAGCTCATCAGTACTCCCAGCAAAGTGGTGAAAATAAATTATAGATTCAAGGATGTGTCCCACTATGGTGGAGGAAGGTACACACCTAATCTATGATCATTTCTGTCTCGAGTACCACTAAAGGGACCTCCAGCGGGACAGGAGGTGATGCAGTCTCATCTCCTTGTAAACGTGCTGGTGAGAAAACTCCTGGTAAATAGACTACTGATCTTTACCAAAAAGAGACTCCCTATATACAGACTGCTCTTAGCAGCATTGCTTCTAGTTTAGGATTACCTATGGTAAACAGACGTACAGCTTCTGGATTTAGGAGGCAGAGCTTTCTGGAGAATAACAAACTACAGTTGGGATATTAAATAGATTTCCTAACTCACACACTCCTTGCTGGGGGCACTAGTGCAGACCTGGTGTAGTCTGAGCCAGACAATGCACACCCGAAGGCAGAAGCGGGGCCCTGGGAGCTGCCTGGACAGACTAGACCTCTCCTGCTTTGTCCTGGGCCTCCTGATTCTTTCTGTCGGTGTTTCTATACTTAGATTGTTTCTAAATATCAGTAACTTGATGTTTAGTAAATTCTCTTGATAATTTCATCCTTTTTATTGGCTCATGCACCAATATGCTCAAAAATAGTTTATGTGGAATAAGTAAAATAAACTTAGAACAGAAATTATGCTCTGTTAATGTTCTTTTATAAATGAGTAAGCCATAAAAATAAATATTTTTTAGCAATATATCTGCCTCAGAAGAAAAAAACTAATAAACGTTGCAAAGAGATTGTTTTAAATACCAATATACCAATTGGTATAAAAAGAATTTAGAAGGAAATTTTGCAAGGCAATTCACCTTGATCATTAAATATTTAGCAATATTTTCATAAAAGTATTTTTCATCTATGCAGTGCAAAATGTGATGAGTGTATTTATATAAATTTAGGTAAGTTGGATTATACTTTCATTGACTCAGAATTACTCCAATAATACACGAATCAAGAAAGACTTGGTATGAACAATATGTATATGCAGAAATCAAATCATACCGTAGAAAATTACTTTGTATATTTATTTAATGTGTTTTTTTGTAATAAATACAATATGAGACACTCATTACCTAGGGAAAAGCTCTAGAATGAAAAATCCTTTATATATGACTAAATGTGGCACTATTACGTTATACATGTCTCCCATTAAGGCCATGTAAGGAAGTGCTTTGAACAAGAATATAAAATCTACAAGACAAATCGGTCTAGATTCTGCAAGATACTTCTCTCCTTTGGGGATTAGTTTCCTAATCTAAAAACTGGAGATTAATTTTGCCCAGGCCACGCAGTTGTTTTTAGAATTAAGTGAGATGACACTTAATTTAGAATTAAGTGATGATGACGTCCTGGCAAAATGTAAGCACACCATAAATGGAAGCCACATTTATTATTAATTGGACCCATTGATGTCTTCTTTAAAACTTTAAGACAGTAGCAGAACTTAAAGGGCACCAAGGTTTTATATTTTTAAAGATAAAGTAGAAATCAGGTCCCAGGGCAGGATGCACACAGGCTAAACTAAGTAGCATATGGTCTGGCAACTTTTCAGACTGTAGAGGCAGAGGCATCAATCAGCTCTCGCGATCTCACGCACCCTGTTGCATGACAGAGCTGTCAGTCGAGTGCATTGTTAACCACAGGCCTGATGAGGAGTGGGAAGCACAACTTTTGACATTTGACTTTGCAGATGAATGAATTCTTCCAACTTTACAGTCTTTGAAATAAAGGACTCTCTCTAAAGTTCTGTGTGGCAGACTCATGCTCCATTACTCTGGAAAGAGATTGTATTAGAAACCAGTCAGATCAGGATCTGAATTGGTCTTGTTGGCGTTGAAAGTCCCCCTTGACTTTCTATTTGCTTTCCTATTACTGCTCCAAAACCATTCTACTGGTTCACTTAGCGATTTTTGAGGCTGATGAAGGAAGTGATTGGGGTATGGACTGTGAATTGGTTGGTTTGCATTTGAGGTTGCATTCATTATATCACTACTCTATGAAGATAATTGGCAAAACTGTTCATTCAGCAGAGAACTAGAAAACAAAACCATTCGTTATTCTGCTAGAATTAATTTTTTTGTAAACATGAAGTCTAATCAAAAGAAAAAGGAATGCTTTAGCAACATCATTTTAGCAGCTGCGTCCCAGATCTATTCAAATCAAGTCATTGATATTTTCTCCAATCGTGCTAAGCAGGCTAAGATACTGATACATATCTCCTATGGAGGTCAGAGAGCAGCATCAAACCCTCCCAGATAAAGCAGGGCCACAGTGAGACAGTATTCTTTTCTACCTACTGGATTTATTGAGGGAATTTGTAATTTGAGGCTCATTTAATCCATGTTATTCTGTAAAGCCATACTTTGAGGGGTCAACAGGAAATATTTAGTTGAAAATGTCACCATGCAATGCGAACTATGAGGCAATTTAATATGCAATTATTTTAAGCATAATTAAAAGTGGCAAACTATAAATATGTTGCAATGATGTTCTAATACGAGTGTTTCAATTTCCTCTTCACTTTGGAAATGATGAAAACCTTAACCCCTGAAATAGCTCGGGTTTTATTTTGTCTTGTGTCTTCATTTGTACAGGTTCTCTTAATTCTATACCGTGTACACACTGCTTTTCCTGTGCTAATCTGCCTCAAAATGTCCCTTTGTTTCAGAACCCTTATTGCCATTTAAAGAAAATTCTCAGACTGTGTCTGCAGTTGCTCATAGTTGTTTTGGATAACAGATTCTCTGCAGAATTGACAAAAAAAAAAAAAAAAAAAAAGTCTTCTGGTTACCTATAACCAGGAACTGGCTTTTTAAAAAAATTGTTCTTGCGCCCTAAAGTGGTGTTTCAAATTCTGCTCCTTTTCCTAGGAGTAATTTCTTAATTATTTCTGATTTCCAAATGGGTACCCAAGTGATCAAAGCCATCGACTCCACCCAGCACCTGAGTAACACTGACTTCATTTCTATCCCTATAGTCTTGCTTTGTACTAGAATGTCATTTAAATGCATGTCTGGCTACTTTCACCCAGTGTAATGCTTTTTAGATTCTTCCATGGTATTTCACATATAGGAGTTTATTCTTTTTTATTGTCATATGAATATACTATAATTCCTTTACCCACTCACCAGTTGAGAATTTTAAACATATTTTAGTCGATTGCTTTATATAAACTTGTGAATTCTGGTCTAAAGAATAATTCTGTCACACCCTTCCTGCAGCACAGGTGGAGAGATTGACTCGTTTTATTCCATAAACTCCTAAAACCCAATGTAGATATATTTCTGGGTTTTAATATCTATACATGTTATTTTTATGACAAAAGTTTTTGTAATATAAACATTAATGTGTAAAAGTATTCATTAAGCCTATTTATATTTCTCAGTGGGTAAAACACAAGCTTTGAAAAACTTAAAAATATGAAAATGATAGAATATATGAGGAAATATATTTCATATGGTACTTAATAAGTGCTTATAAACAAAAAGTTGCTTAGAGCGCATGGGTGATTGTTTTAATGGGTTTTATTATTATTTAAGCATGATGAGGTCAATAGATAAGGACATCATTTTCTTTGAAAATATAGTTTGTGACTCTGTTCCCAAGAGGAGGGAGCATGCCATGGCTCCAGGGGGCCACAAAGAGAAGTACTGGGTTTAGTCACAGGCAGAGAGAGAGGGAAACTGGCTAAGAGCCTTCATTGTGTAACTGGCAAGCCAAAGTAAGCAGGTTAGGATTCCTTAGTTTGAAAATTTCAGCATGCTCTGGAGCATAGAAGCTGTGCCTCCTGATCTGATCCTTGGCCCTGGGGTGATCAGGGCAGAGAGATAGTATCTTAGAGTTAAAGAGTCTGATGAAGGAGGTGGTTGTGAGTGTGGGCTGTATATTGGTTGGTTTGCATTTGAAAAGCCCCTTCAGGGAAGTTATTTACTATCTCTAGGACTTGACTAACCATGGTAGGGGCAGTCCTTCCAGTGGCATCGAGGCCTTAGATGTCAAAGAATCGGAATATAGAAAATAAAAAAATATTAATAGAGTAATGTGTTTTCTAAGTATGTTCCTTTAAGGAGCTTAACTCTTAAATTGGGTTAATGCCCTTTTAATATAAGTTAGAAAGTTGCCTTGTTTAATCTTCTGTGGCAGGATTCCATATCCAACAGCTGATGAGGACAGCAACAGAGAATCTGTGGAATCCACATTGAGTCTTAGAGACAATTAAGGGGTGGATTCGCCTATTCTTGCATTTGAAATTCCCTAAGCAACCAAAGTAATTTTGAATGGGTAGAAGGGGAGAGTTGGGAAGACCCATTCAGGAACCTCCCTCTCTCACAGGAGAGAGAGCTATTCTCCTTTCTCTTTCTGTTGCCTATTAAACTCGGATCCTAAGTCCCCAACCCCCCAAAAGAAGCTGAGAGTTGGGGTGAGAGCACACAGCAGTTGACTGAAAGATGAGGGAAACATACAGTTTCCATGCAACAAGAAGTAACATTGAGAAATTTAATTCTTGATTCAGAAAACAGTAAACTCTTATGTGAGTTGAAAATAAAAATAGGGCACATTTTATCATGAAAGGAATTATGAGGCAGGGATTGGAAATAACAAGTTAATAAAACAGAGAAATTGTTTCTCTACCATTATGAGGCCCCTATTTAGCTTAAAAAAGAAAGGATATTATGCCATTCTCAAAGAGTGAGTAATCACTTTCTATTATGTTCATAGCTTTACCTCTCATGAATAGAGGACAACTTGCTTCATGTTTCATACTAGTCATGAATTCTACTACTAAAATAAGCCTAACAACATTCACTGTGAGCACCTACTTCATCCCAATATGTTGGATCTCTATTTGCCCCTAGTTTTTTTAATGGAACCCACAAAACCATTGACCTGGATAAATACTGGAAAAGAGAATCAAGATGACCATGCAAATTAATATATGAGTATACTAGATTCTAACAAAAGGAAAACTGGAATCTCTGCTCTAAATCTAAATAAAAGCTAAGAATTTGGTAGTATAATATCACAGTTTAATATATTCTAGATCTCAATAAGTCTATGATCTTAGAAGAAGAATAGAGCTGAAATTGTTGGAAAAAAATGTAATTATTATAGCCCAATGGGTTCTTGCTCTTGGCACAGAAATGCCAATACACTGAGACAGTGGTGTTGCAACAGAGAAAGTTTAATTATTGCAAATCAGCCAAATGGAAGGACAGGAGATGTTTCTCAAACCTGCCTCTCCAAGAGTTCCGAAGCTAGGGTTTTTAAAGAAAATTTGGAGGGCAGGGGGCTAGGGAATAGGTGCTGCTGATTGGTTGGGGATAAAAATCATAGGAGTATTGAAACTGTCTTCATGCACTGAGTCAGTTTCTGGGTGAGGGGTCAACAGGACTGGTTGAGCAAGTTCCTTGGTATGAGTCACAGGTCAAGTGGAATCAGTTGGTCTGTCCTAATGCAAAGTCTGAAAAATACATCAAAGACTTAGGTTTTACAATAGTGATATTATCTGTTGGAGCAACTGGGGAAGTTACAGATCTTGTGACCTTTGGCTACATGACTCCTGAGCAGTAAGCAATTATAGAAAGGCAAACTAAGGAACAATGGCTGGTTATCACTTAACTATGCCTGCATCTTAGCAGATTTCAGGCCCCTACCATAATTCTAACCTTGGGCCTTTCATTCATTTTGAAAAGGTACTTTTAGTCCTCAAACAAAGAAGGGGTCAGTTTGGGGAAGGGACTGTTATCATCCTTGCTTTAAAGTTAAACTATAAACTAAATTGCTCCCATAGTTATTTTGGCCTATTCTCAGGCATGAGCAAGGACAGTTATCTTATGAGGTTAGAAGCAAATATGGTGTCAGCTATGTTAGATTTTTCTGACTCAATTTTGCAAAGGCAGTTTCATAATCAGTACCTGAAAGTCCCAGGCCCCATGTGGTTGAGGATTCACTTATATTACCATTAATTCTCACCAACACAACAGGCATTGAAATCACCGAATCATGCACTTTGGGAAGCCAAGGCAGGCAGATCACCTGAGGTCAAGAGTTCGAGACCACCCTGGGCTACATGGTGAAACCCATCTCTACTAAAAATACAAAAATTAGCCAGGTGTGGTGGCACACCCTTGTAGTCCCAGCCACTCAGGAGGCTGAGGCATGAGAATCGCTTGAACCTGGGAGGCAGAGGTTGCAGTGAGCCCAGATTGTGCCACTGCACTCCAGCCTGGGCAACAGAGGGAGACTGACTCAAAAAAAAAATTTTTTTTTTAAAGCATGAAACCATGATCTAACCAACACAAGACTTGCGTTGATGTTTAGGCCAACTTTCAACTCATTACCTTTACCTCCCAATGTCTAAAAGGAAAATTTGCTAGGCAATAAAATTATAGCAAGTGATCACCATCAGGGAATGTATGTTTTCATTTATGTTTGCATTCCCCTTTTGATCCTATATGCTAATTCCATATTTAAATATGCTTAAGACAATGAAGAAATTTTCAAAAAATTGCTCAGGTGATGAATAGAATCTTAATCCAAAATGCAGATCATTTAAGTTTAAGTTGTTATTGGCACAAAGCTTCAAAGTCGACCAATTTCCTAAAGGGCTACTCAGATATGAATTCATATAGTTGAAAGTCTTCATCAAATTTTTTGCCACGATTTACATGGATATAATGCTGACTCAATCCTTTTATCTAATCAAATAGTCACAAAAGTTCGGTTATTTTATTTTGGTTTTGCAATATGCTTAGCATAGTGATTGTATAATTTTGTCCCCTTAAAATACTTATTTCTTTTAGTAAGTCAGCTTCCCAGGGCACAGTGCCAGATAGACAAGTTTTATTTTTATCAAAATAAAACGAAAAAATTCTCTGTAAGGCAGTTCAAAAGTGATCATTTTCATCAAATGTAGCTACTTTAAAATCTAAAGAGATGAAATATATGGATTCCTACATAGAAGACTAAATACAACCAGAACGGAGGGAATTTTTTACTTTCCTACTAAAATGCCTTATATACAGCCCACCCAAAAAGGATATTTGTAGGTTAAATCTTGACTTTATCATTTTTATTATTAATGTTGTTTGTGTTCACTAACATAAAGCTTACATAAAAATTCCAAGTCTTGCCTTCTTCAGTTCATAAAAAAGAAGTAGCTATCCTCACATACCCATGATTATATACAAATGTTAGATGAAAGGTTCCCTTTTGTATTATTGTCAGGAGCTCCCTGCGATAAAATGTTATAGAATATATACCTAATGTCCTTCTCTGAAAGTTCTTTTCTCCTACTAACATATGTGTTCCTGGCACATAATAGGCCCCAAGAAATATATGCTTAATTATTTGAAGACATGCATAGCCTAAGCTAACTATTTACCTGAAGAGCGAGAATTTTATTCTGGCTTATTCCCTCTTCAAACAGCAGGTGCTTGATGAAGTACTCAGCAGAGATTCCAAGGCAACTGGCTATAGATCTTTAACAAAAAATAAACATCAAAATTTCCATAAAAATATGCTTATGACAATATAAATTATAAAAATAGGAACAATCATGTTTTGGTTGTCAAAAACAAAATTATAAGTTTAATTTATTTTCTTCAATCACATTGTGCTATTGTTTGCAGTACACATTCAGGTGCATTCTTTAACTGCAATAAGCATTTTCCTCTCTGTGTCTTGACACTAGTCATCCATCAGAAAATGCTAATTATATTAGTTCTTTCATAAGCTGTCTCCCTTGGAAGGAATTTTTAAAATGCAGTAGAAGCACTATTATGAATTTACTTAAAAGTATAATATTTCATACATTAATGAGAATAAAAATTATAGAAACTTACTGAAGAATTATTTTTCTTCCAGTTACAAAAGACAACCTAAAAAAATAAATAATTTAAACAGTGCTGTCTTTTTAAATAGAATGAAGCTAAAGGATCATTGAAAGTTTATTCTCCGTAAGGCAAACTGTGAATATACCATATAAAACCTGTTTGCTCTGTCTTTAACGAAAAGCCTTAATTAATAAGAGAAAATTTAGACTGCAAAGTGTCACTTCCAGAGTTTGTATGGATTTGGAATATTATGATAACTCGTGGGAAACCGAAACCTCCCTCAAAAAAGACGTGGTGTTATTTCCAACCTCTTTTCAATGGAAATCTTAATTCCATATTATAAAATGAAATCATATGTTTGGGTCTATGTGTCACTTTTGATCACTGTTTGAAGAGCTTTGATATTCTTAATACATTCTTCAGGGAGGAAAAGGATGCTAATACTATTCGCATTTACACCTTTGAACTTTTAGTTCATATTTATAAGAGAGGGTATTATCCCAGTAAGTTATTATTCTTATCTCCAAATGAGTGCTTTCGAACAGCCTAGCAACTCCTCATTAGTGTGGGGGACATCCTCATTAAGTGTAAGCCTACTGTTTCAGCCTGGACATGTTTTTCCTTTGATCTAGAACTAGAAGGACATTAATGACCAAGTTTTAGAGACAGCTACTATATCCTCTCCCCAAAATGCCCATCGCTTTGGTGCCTGTCTCAGAGAGGCTTGTAGAAGTCAGCTTCCCAGGGCAAAGCACCAGATAGACAAGACAAGGAAGGACAGAGAGTAGATATCAGGGCACAGTCAAGGTCAGTCAAGGTCACGTAAGTCATTATTCACGCAACCCTGAATATAAACCTCTATCTGTGGAAACTGAATCCAGTATGCTTTTGTTCAACTCTGAAATTTAAATTGTAAATTAGATTTTCTTTGTCATGTGTTTGCATTAACAGCAAAATACTTCATATCTCTAAAGTTAAATTCAGTCACATTTATGTTAATTTAAAATATTAACAAATAATCAGCACCAAAATCAAAAATAACAGCCCAGGATCCTGAGGGAATAGATAGCATTCCTTTAGCTACTAGTAAGACTGGTTTAAAATGAACCCTGCAATAACTCAAAAATACTAAAGAAATTAGAAATATTCTCTAAAAGAAATTATGTTTTCTTACTCTTTGTGCTAAGGAAAATTCATGTTTTAAAAAGAGCCCCAGAGAAAAATCCATAAAGTCAGCCAAATGCAAAATCAGAAACTAAGTCTTTTTTATTTATTCCAATCCTAATCAACTATAAGTATTTTTATATTGCATTTATATTAAATATGCCGAAAGCTGACAATAGGTATAGGAATGGGTTATTTTGCCTGCAATGCTAACTACATCATCTGCATGCTCTGCTGCACTAAATGTAATGAAACTTGGTCTAGGTGGAAGATAGCACAGCCCCTGAGAACAAGAATGAATTCAAGAAGGCAACATTACTGGAGCTATATAATCAACACCTTCCACTGCACAAGAAACAGGTTGAGAAATGACCTTTACATGAGCTAGTGAAATAGCAAAGTGTTTTTTGTTCCCTTCTCCATTGTTGTCTGTGTTGGTGAAAGCACAGGCAGATTTCCTCCATGGAAAGCTGCCACTTTACCAGGGGAAGCAGTTTTTCACAGGCAAACTCTCTGATGGGGACAATTGCTAGTTTGATAGAACACACGCTCGGGTGTGATTGGGCCTGTCAGGGGTATTGTGGGTCACAGTCTAAGAACAGGAAACACCATCTCTAAACATAGAAAATGCAACACCATTGGGGAAGGTGGCAGAGGCCAATGATATTCTAAAGCACAGCAGGAAAATATTTGCAAAGGAGCATGTTTTAGCTCTCTAGGCAGTGTAGTGCTCCTGTGAAACCATTGCTCATAATCACACTGATAGTATCTTTTATTTCACAGTGCCTGACGATGTTCAAAATGTGTTCATATTTTGATCCTCATAGCAACCCTCTAAGGTGTGAAAGGCAAGCAGTTTTAGAGATGGGCAGCCACAGACTTGGAGGTCAGGTGACTTTTCCAAGGCATCCAAGCTGAGCCCAGGGCCTTCGATTCCACTCAGTGTGTTTCCCCAGGATGTCACCTGCCTTCAGAAGGCAGTGTTTGAACTTTGCAGGGTATCCTGTCCACTGCTCTGTGCATCCTAGTGCACCGCAACCTTGTAATCTGGTCTCAAAACCTTTACTTCTTTCTTGGCATAATATTAATTGAAAAGAAACACAGGAGATTTGCTTTTTAATTCTCTCATTTTCTACCTTGCTAATTCCATCTCCCCTTCAATTTGTAGGAATGCTTAATGAAAGCAGCAAGAGAGATTATCATTGGGAACTGAAATGTGTAATCAATCCCTGAATAGAAAAAAATAGTGGGAATTATATAAATAAGATAATTTTATAGCTCAAGTACTTAAAATCAGACAACAGAGCAATACAAAACTTTTTATGATGGAGTTTCTATAATTCATCCTTACATACAATAAGAAATGAAACCCTATAGATATTACTTTAGATATTGCTTAGGAGCAGACAATCTTTTGTTCATAGAGAAGATAGCATTGAAAATGAACATTTCATGGAGCTTTAACAACTAGCAAAGCTGAAAGAAATATTTTTCACTAAGATTGCTTTGATCCATGATAGGTATTTACAATATGCAGCCAAGGGCTTTGACCATTAACAAAAATAAAATAAAATATATAGTGCTTGAATTCCCATTAGGTCTCAAGGGTAAAAGAGTAAATTTCTCTCAACAACTTTCCTTATGACATTTTTATCCCATTCTTTATAATAGTTGGTGCTGGGTTGAGAAAAGTAGAAGAGATTCCAGTAAGCTCCTACCTTCTTTACTCTTCCATAGAGTTTCATCTCAAGCTGGGACAGGAGCTAGAGAGGGAGTGAGACAGCCAGCTCATTCTGTCTTCTCCCCCATCTTACGTCACTGCTCAAGAAGCGGGTGTGTGGAGTCCAGAGAGGATCCAGTTGTTAAAACACTTACCTGAGGCACTTAGACCAGCTCTCTCCAAGATTATATGGAATGCTAAGTTGCTCTTGTCTGCTACTGACGAGTGCTGTCTCCTTTTCTCCTGACCCACCAGGACTCTGATGTTGCTATAAAGCCCAGTGGCTTGTAAAACCAACATTGTAATGGCTCTTACTTCTAAATATCTGAAATTACCCTTTCCAGAAAACCAAAACTCTTTCTGTATAAATACTTCTCAGTTATGTACATGATTCATTCATTTCTACCATGAGCCCCTGAATTCTCCTGAAGGTGTTAATAACTGAAACTATTTTTGGAAATATGAAATAACTTCATTTGGGTCCAGTCATGGAGATGTGGTGATCTGGAGGTGGTAGACAGAGGATAAACTACTCCAAACAAGCGTCAGAATCTTACTCATTCGGGCAGCTTTCCCGATCACCACCCGTCAGCCTGCAGTCACATACTTGGCTGGGCAGAGCGCCTTGCATGCAACGAGGGATGGATAAGCGTTTGTTGAATGAGAACAAGCTAATGAGACTCGGGTTCTGTAAGGAGGCTTTCTGTAGCCCTTGGTTCTTTCTTCATGTTCAAAAGAACAGGAAACTCTCCTGGGCTTGCTCTAAAAGTAGTTTGAAACTTAAATATGCAGAAGTCACCTAAAAAGTGTGTTCATTTTTATTTTTATTAATTTTTAAATATGTATTTATTGAGACAGTGTCTCACTCTGTCACCCTGGCTGGAGTGCAGTGGCACGATCTCGGCTCACTGCAGCCTCCGCCTCCTGGGTTCAAGCAATTCTCCTGCCTCAGCCTCCCGAGGAGGTGGGACTACAGGTGTGAGCCACCACATCCAGCCAATTTTTGTATTTTTAGTAGAGACAGAGTTTCACCATGTTGGCCAAGCTGGTCTCGAACTCCTGACCTCAGGTAATCGCCCACCTTGGCCTCCCAAAGTGCCGGGATTACACGCATGAGCCACCCCGCCCACCCCTGAAGTGTATTTAAAATACTCAGTCCCCATTATCAGAAAACTATGGAATCTAAATATATGGAACAAAGTGTGCCTTGCATCAGGCAAAACGGAATGGAGAGCTAACAATGGAGGAAGGGGCTGTGCACCCTCGCTAAGGACCCAGCATCTTCCTTTGCTTCCCTTTCACAACTGAACTTCTCTCGCTGGTGGTTACTCCTGTGTCTTGTAGATGAAGTCACTCAGTGGGGAGAATTTGATTGTCTCACCAGCCAGCAGCTTAAGTTATCAGGAAAATGCAGTCGGTACACCCAGCCAGAAGTGTGGGCAGCATGGAGAGAGGGTTGTCAAGAATATTCCATGAGGATGAGACTTTGAAAATCATTTTTATAAATTTAACTTCGCTTCCTCTGCTAGTTCAGATCTTCACTCCCCTCTTTCTCGCTTCTTTGGCCTTTTTCTGTCTTCAGATTATAACTAGCTAGTTCACTGAATAACGCTCTTGTTTGAGTCATCACTCTGGACTCAATCCTTGTTGATTTTTATCACCATTTGACTACTGACTTTTCCCATTCATCTTTTTGTTCTTTAATCTTTTGTTTATTTGCTACTCTCTCAACTCATACCGTTCCTCCAGTTTCCGGCTAAGCATTAATCTCACCGGGGAGAATATTGTTAGCCTCCAAATTCAAACTATCTTAATGTCGCGTGTGAATGACCACAGCAGAAAGGAGCCCAGTGCCTAAGTATGCCTTGCCCTGGTGACCTCACTTTGTTGTTGGACTCTTAGTCCATTTGGACTGCTATAATAAAATACCATAAACGGGGTGGCCTATAAACAACAAATTGTATATATATATAAACACACACACATATATGTACATGTATGTATATGTGTGTGTGTGTATATATACATATATTTTTTTTCTCACAGTTCTCGTGGCTGAGAGGCCTAAGAGCAAGATGCCACCAGATTTGGTGTCTGATGGGAGCCCACTCCTCTTAGGTGGTGGTTTCATGCTGTGTCCTCACATGGTAGATGGGCAAACAAGCTCCTTTGGGCCTTTTTGTTTTGTGATCCTTTTTAAAAAAAAAAAAAAAAAATTGAGACAGAGCCTCACTCTGTCACCCAGGCTGGAGTGCAGTGGCACCATCATAGCTCACTGCAGCCTTGACCTCTTGGCCTCAAGCGATCCTCCCACTTCAGCCTCCCAAGTAGCTGGGGCTACAGGTGGATGCTGCCATGCCTGGCTAAGTTTTTTTATTTCTTTATAGCAACAGGGTCCTACACTACATTGTCCAGACTGATCTCGAACTACTGGGCTCAAGCAATCCTCCTTCTTTGGCCTCCCAGAGTGCTTGGTTAACAGGCATGAGCCACTGCACCAGGCCTAGGTCTCTTTTATAAGGGCACTAATCCCATTCATGAGAGCTCTGCCCTCATGACCTACTTACCTCCCAAAGGCCACACCTCTCACTACCATCACACCAAGAATAGGGTTTCAACACGTGAGTTTGGGGGAACACAAACATTCAGACCATAGCAGACTGTTTTGTGAAGTGGCTGAAATCTAAGTCATTGGAGCCTGTTCTAGCACGTATCATTCTACATGCTCAACATTTAAGAATACATTTTTAATTTTGGCTTTTTGTGTGTGGCTTTCTGACAATGAAAAGAGCCTCTTTAGTGATAATGTGAATCAAAATAAAATATATTCAGTTCACTCCATACCCCCAAGTGATTGTAGAAGGCAGGAATGAAGTAGTGGAAGAATTAGAAAGATGTGTGGGCAGAAACTTAGAAAAAATATTTTTCCCCAAATTTAGGGAGAGACTGTAGATCTGGCCTGATGACTATATAAATGTGAGACCACGGTAAAAGAAAACCTTTGCCAATTAATTTTCACAGACAAGGGAGTAAAAGTTTTGCTATTTGAAATTGCAGATGCTTTACAACTGTAGCAGATTCAAGAATTTAACACAACCTGATTCAGTTAAGAAACTGTAAATTCTTTGTTTCTTATTGAATATTTCTCAGGAACCCCTTCTCACTGGGAAGGGGATAATTATAGCTTGCCATTTCAAATCACCCCTTTCAAATGACTCACCTTGGTGTGATACTATTTTCTGCCCCTTCTTCCCAGTTTTATGTAGTTTGATGTTTAAACACACAAAAATCTTACATGACCTTATGGAATAAAAGGAACCCCAGATTCAAGCCTCGTCTGGTCTGGTCTGTTCCAGGCTGGCATCTGCTGTAGTAAATATAACTGAACTGATTTGGGCTTTGCAGGGATGCGCTGTCACGCTCCACTGAAACCCCTGATCCTGACCAGTTTCCTCGATCCTAGATTTCTCACACCCTGCTCTTTGACTCCAGTCCTCCACATTGGAATTTTTGGATGGCCTGCAGCCAGATGTAGGCACTGGGGAGTCAGGAGTGTAACCTTTAGCTCACCTATCTAGAGACCAATTTATTTCACATTCCTGCATTCTCCAGAATTTTCACTCAGCTAAGAGACATCGGGATATACAAGTCTCACCCAATGCTTTCTAATTTTTTTCCCCACAGTCACCCAGGTCCAGATGGAACAAGGTTGCCTCTTAAATCATGTTCTAATCTCCCTCTAGCTCTGATTTATAGCAAAGCTGACTTAATCATCTAGATTTGGCTTTTACAAATTCATCAAAGTCTGCCTGGCTAGTGACTCAAATCTTACTCCAAATCTCAGAAGTGAAATGTTGACTTCCTATTTCTTTTGCTGTAATAATACTTTCCATAGCAAATCAAAGTCCTTGGTAGATTAGGGGAAAATGTCCACAATAATTTCTCAGTGGAGAAAATTCCTTAGTATACTGAAAAAAAAAAAAGTAAAGCCATTGCACTACAGTAACTTCCTGCCCCCCTTTACCCGAGTTCTGCTGTGTCTGCAGCTGTTTGTGGAAGAGAAAAGGTCTCCTTGGATCTGCTGGGCAGCATTTTTCTTACCTTCTCAACTACAAGCTGGTTCAGAGAGTGAAAGTCTACCTGGATCTCAGGAGAAAGACAACTTGAAGAGTAATGTCTATAGTGATGCAAACACAAAAACAGAAGAAACTTCTTCATTTAAAATACAATTTTTATTTAATCTTTGATCTCTCAAGAACCACCATGATTTTTGTGACATCAAGGACAGCCCCTGCAGTGCATCCCACTCATCCTACTCACCCCTCACCTGACCAGGGCCAGGATCAGATTTCCATGGGGTCAGCAGAGGGCTGAGAAGTCAGAAGACAAAGATCTACAAGCTCTGTTAATTAGGAAGCCTCTAGAGAAGCAGACCAAAATAATATGCATATCATATGTTATACATATACACACATAAACACATATATATAATATATACATGCACATATATACATGTACACATTCATATATATACAGACATACATACACATACATACAACATACAAATACTAAATACAGGTCAATTCCCTTCAACCAAAGATTCTGTATTCTGTGAGTTAAACCTCGCTTTGTTATTTCATTTTTTTCTTTATTCTATTAGAGGACTCAAGTTTTGTATTGTTTCTGCTTTTTCATCATTACCTGAATTAGCATCAATTAAGAAATTATTTTTCCTTCATTATATCTTTCCCAATTGTTCTTTCCTACCAACATGTTTGTCTTTTTAGCAAGAAGTGAAGGTTTTATTTTCAAAATATTAACTGAAATCAGCTTGACCAGACTTTAGTATTTTTTTTTCTTTTACAGTTAGAATCATGAAGTCTAACAACAGGAGGTGGGAAACTATCTCAATTCCATTCCCAAAATGAGGTAGATGGGCACCAGTAAGAAATGAGGATTCGGAGCAACTCTGTGCATGTTGGTTGAGACTCCAACCAACCAAAGAATAGGAATTGGCTGTCACCGAAGTGAAAAATACACCCGCCAAGGGAAATTCCCACACACAATCTGTTCAAATACCAAATCTGGATATATGCCCCCAAATGTGAGGGCAGATAAAAATGTAAAAATGGGATCTAGGAAGCAAACAAATCAGATAGGTAAAAAAGACATCATTCTCAAATTTAAGAAAATGGAGTGGCTCTAAAAGTTTTATTGTAAAATCTAATAAAGGCTTTCAAAAAGAAGAATCTTTAAAGGTCAAAGAAGGAAGCCATAGGAAGAAATAAGAACAAAAGAAACATATGTTAAGATGATGGGAAGGACAAATATGACAAGGTTTTTCAGAAAGCTTAGAGAAAGGATAAATCAATACGGAAGGAAAAGAGGAAGATAATGAATAGGGAAGATACACTACATAAGAGATACAGCCAAGTAAAAAGCTAAAACAACTGGAGTCAAAACAACAATTAGGAATGCTCCTGTTTTTCCAGCCACAAAGCAGCCTGCTCTGACATCTGCAGGATCCTGGGTGGAAACCCACCACCCTGTCTCAAACACCAACATCCCCTTTCATGGACTGAGTTGCCAGCCTCTATAGGTTTTATTCTAAGTTTTATTTTCCTCCCTATCTACTTGTATTTTCAGGGGATAAGTCTAGTTGGGAAAACATCATGTAAAAATAAAGATAATGAGATATTAGAAGTACTATAATACAGATTTATACTTAATTCAGCAGGAGAAACAGAAGTGGTTGGTCCATTCCTAAACTAGAATTTGTTAGTATGAACTATAATGAGACTAATACTGTATATAGCTAAGAAGATCAAAGATATCAAGGAACAATACAAACTGATTGATACTTTTATTTTTGATAGGGAGATATTTACTCCACTTCTTAGCTTCTACATTGAAGGTGATTCAAGCTATCTATTCACTAACATTTTCGATGAAGATTGTTTTAAGAAATACAATCTAATGTGTTAAAATGAAGTTAAAATTTTAAGGTTGAAAATCCACTAAGCTGAAATGAACATTTGACATTTGAAATTATAGAACATCTAGGTGATTGCATTTGAAATTCTTTAATGTTTAAAACTTAGATTCATTTTGTTCATGATTTCAGTAAATTTTAATTTCTGTTTCAAAATGAATTAAAAATTGGTAGTTTAGGCAGGATGTGATGGCTAACACCTGTAATCTCAGCACTTTGGGAGGTGAGAGAATCTCCTGAGCCCAGGAGTTTGAGGCCAGCCTGAGCAAGAGAAACCCTAGCTCTACAATAAATAAATATATGAAAATAAAATGTTAAAAATTAAAAAAAATTCAGTAGATCAAACATATTCCTACATCTTTTATAATACCAGTCAGTATTTGCCCCGAGTATCTTAGAATGATTTGTATTTTGTTGTTTTACTGGGTAGCTTGTTTTGATAATCCCAACTAAAAAAAATGTGGTACTTTATCAGTGATCTGTCAACTGAAAATCTCTAGAGAAAACTAACACAATAAGGTAATAAATTCAAAAGTTCTTAATCTCCATATACATTTATGTAATCATCTACTCACTGAGTTTTTAAATAAAAAGTTAAATGCATATATATGAGAACAAATATAATTCATAAGATAATGGTAACTATTTATGTTTTTAAAAATATGATTTTAAAAAATATTACATCTTCCATTGAAAAAAGTAATATGGTTATCTCTGAAAATCTAAAATCTAATACAGTGCCTGACAGGTAGACAAGTGGGTAGTGCCCAAAAATATGTTGACAAATGAATAATTGTAACCTGAGAATAAAAGTCAATCCTTAGTCAAATCAAATCCAGTCTTATATTTATTTTCTATTTGGCTATGATACTTCGTCTTTTTTCTATGGTCAGTTGAAATGCTGAAAGGATCTTTCACATAATTAAAAAATTATCTTAACTACATTTAAAGCAAAAGAGGAATACGAATATAATTGTAAACCCTGATTACACATGATTACACATGTTCTTTTTGCTCTGAAGAAATATAATTCTTATTGTTAGGTTCTCCTCAAAATGTTGAAAAAAAGCATAACTCTTCTCTAATGCAGAGACTAAATACTATTAAAATTTGGGACAAACTAAAAACTGTCCCAATCGTAACATGGCAGTTAAATTCACGTTAAAAGGAAAGTATACTTCATAAATGACAGAATTCAAGTTTCTGCTTGTCTTCTTTTGTTATTAGCTCTTCACCACAAAAATAGGTGTGAGTATAGATCAGTAGCTGTTCCATGTGATACACACAGATGCCCTCAAACAAGTTTAAAGTAGAACAAGTCTTCCACCCAGGATAAGAACGTATCACTTCTCTGTATTTAACTGTTTTATCTACCCCATTTGGAAGAGCACACTAGCACCAAGGCACCATTCTTCAAAACAATGTTTCTTTTATAATTTGTTTTGCTTTTTTTTCCTATCAGAAACTAGAAAATCAATACTTTTTATTTAGCCATTATATTGATAATTTTCATTTGCTTGGGTCAACATTTAAGGAGTACACGAGGTGCTTTTTGTGATTAACATTGGGAGTTAAAAATGTTAAAATTCCTGATTGTCAGGGAATATCTGATATGTTTACAATAAAGCCTCCAGGAGCTATGTATATAGGGCGAATATAAAATCATCTGTCAATCTTTTAAAATTTTTTTCCCATTAAACCCTCATTAACATGTAACCATATAATAAGGATAATGGTAATTTGTGATCATATATTGAGGTAATGCAAGTCTTATGACTTACATCACATCTTTACATGGTGGGTTTTTTTGATTCTGAATTTTTGAGGCATAAAGATAAATAGAAGAGCATCTTATATGTATATATTTTCAAAGATTTACTAAAGCCAAACTCCAGAGTGTTCAGGGAGACTCAACTAGTCGTCTTATTGAGTTAAAGTAAAAGAAAGAAAAGAAAAAATAAACAGAATAGGGTAAAATGAAAACTTTGGAAAGATGTGAAAAGATAGATTTTAACTAATGTGATTGTAATTGTGCCATCACTGAGTACACAGGTGGAAGAATTGTAGAGTTTGAGTACAAATGTGTACCTTAGATATGGTTTATGTTCACTCTTTCATTTAAAAGCTGAATTTTAGAGAGGGTTAAATGGCATTTCACAAAGCTAGTTGGCAGCAGAGCCCAGACTAAAACCAAGATTTCCTTGTAGGCATGTGTATTAGTCCATTCTCACACCGCTAAGAAGAATTATCCGAGACCGGGTAATTTATGAAAACAGGTTTACTTGACCCACAATTTTTAACAGGCTTAACAGGAAACATAGCTGGGAGGCCTCTGGAAACTTACAATCATGGCAGAAGGGGAAGTAAGCATGTCTTACCATGGTGGAGCAGGAGAGAGGGAGAGAGGCATGGCAGTGTACGCCTGTACAAACAGCTACTCAGGAGGCTGAGGTGGGCAGATTACTTGAGCGCAGGAGTTCAAGGCTGCATTGAGCTATGCCTCTGCGCTCCAGCCTGGGTGATAGAGTGAGACCTTGTCTCTATGAAAAAAAAAAAATTCATTTAATTTACATTAAATAAATCTATAACTTTCCTTATTATTTATGTAAAGATTTATTAGTGAAAATGTTCCTTCTATACTTAAACCCCATCTGCTTCACTTCACGCCCAATAAATAACAGTTAGTAGGTTTTGTACATTCTTCCAGAGTTTAATGTACATACATGCAAAGATGCATATAAATTCTTCCCATGCACATTTTTTACAGTGACATAAAATTGTATTTATTGTGTACAACCTGATATTTTGAAGTATACAAACATGTGGAATGATTAAATCTAGCTAGTTAACATATGCATCACCTCACATAGTCATCATTTTCCATGCTGAGAACACTTATCCACCCACTTTACATTTTTAAGTATACAATATATTTTTATTAACTATAGTCACCATGTTGGACAATAGATCTCTTGAACTTATTCCTCCTATTTAACTGAAATTTTGTCCCACACATCTTTTTTACACAAACATTAGCATGCTCTACATATTACTTTCACCTGAAAAATACTTTTCATAATTTTTTCATAGAGTTCTTTGAGCATTAAAAAATTAATGTGTGTAAACCCTAAAACCCTGTAACTTATCATTCTTCACTGTATACTACTATTATTATTACGACTATTACTGAAAAGGAGTAGTCTTCAGTAGTTGAATTTCTAAAATATGTTGCTAGATGAAACAAGAGGAATTAGTGTTTTGAGTTTCAATCTTTTTGTTTTTGTCTTATGTTACTTTTTAAAAATAATAGATATCAAAAGATATTTTCACCGGCAAATTCATCTATCTTTTCTTCTGTGACTTTATTTGAATCCTCGCTTGAAATCCCTTCTCCTTTCTGAGTTTATGTAGAAATTCTTCGATATTTTCTTGTAGTGCTTTTTTTTCCCCATTTGCTTTCTCTGAAATTTATATCAATGGAGGAAGATACATGGATTCAAATTTTTTTTTTTCCAAATGACTACCATTCAACAGTTTATTGAAGAGGTCAGCTTTCCCTAACTGACTTGAGACTCTACTTGGACCATATGTTTAACTATTATATGAACTGGGTCTATTTCTTGACTTTCTGTACTGTTGCTTTACTGACTTTTCTGTACTGTTGTTTTTTACAAGCTGTCTGTCCATTTTGCCTAGAGTTTCTTAGATTAAAGTCTGACTCAGAGTAACCAATCTTTTCATAGCAGCAAAAAAAAAAAAAAAAAAAAAAAGGAAAATTCTAGCATCGTTAAATGACAATAAAGATTAAACTGTTAACAGAATAAGTGTTAATTGGTTTTAACTGCTCTGTGGAAAAGCTGTGCTTTGAAGAATTTCATTATGTTCTATAATTAAACGTTAAATTTTAAATACTGAATAGAAATACCACTGGGTTTTTAGGAACATGCTCCTACTCTACCCCATTACTGAGAGTTTAAAATTTCTGTGTTCACAGAGACTAAATATTTGGTTATTAAATATGTACACAATATTGCAAAACTTACAGTGACAATGAAATTATACAGCTGTGAAGATGGACAAAATTGCCAGATGTCAACTAATTCATCTGTAGCAAAGTTTTATCTATAGACCCACAAAAAATTATCTTAAAGTATCTACACTTACTTTAAGTAAAATGTCTCCATAATTTTTGACTTGGTAAATTTCTTTCACACATCATGTGGGAAGAAAGAGTGGCATTTCAAAGTCACGCCTTCATAGAGAGCCAAGTTTGAGAGTTACAGACAAGAAAAAGAGGGCGTGGTCTAGTAGTTCAATGCTAGTAATATTTTCTCCAGAAAATTCCTCCACGCACCATGTTAGGGCTGATTCTGCCCTTGAAGGCAACTAAGAGAACCATGAATAGTGGAGCACCTCCTCTGGAGTTCGGTTTCCTTCAAATATATACATCCACATGATCCCTGGTTATTTTTTATTTGTTAGAACATAACAGATAAGTCTGACAGTACTGTTATCTCAAGTGATTCTGGATGCAAGTGGTGAGGCTGGATAAAGAGGATATTCTCTTAGATTCCATAGAGGAATGTAATTTGACAAACAGACATTTAGGGAAAAGACTAGGAATTTTACACTCTTACTGCATTATTGACTCCTTAGCACATGCTGTCAGTGTCAGATGGAAGGGTTCCCAAGGCCACCCTCCAGCTCAATACTCCTCTAGAAGACTCACAAGACTCAGAAAAACACATTATGCTCACAGTTTGTATCACCACAGTGAGAAATAAGATTAAAATCAGCAAAGGGAAAAGTCACAAGGGATAAAGGCCAGGAGAGACCAGGCAAAACCTTCCAAGGCCCCTCCCAGTGGGGTTGCATGGGGACACCCTTAATTCTCCCAGCAATGACGTGTGACAACACATGCAGTGCCATAAACCAGAGAAGCTCCCCTGAGCCTTGATGTCCAAGGTTTTTATTGGGGGTCAGTCATGTAGGCATGCAGCACCCCCAGGACTGACTCAGCTATTCAGGCTCCAGGCTGCATCAGAGTAAAAACAGGCATCCCCGCTAGGCTGTCCCTTGTTGGGATTAATGTATCTGGTCAAATGGGTATAGCATGGCCCAAGGTCTCAGACTTACAGAAACAGGCAGAATATTCCAAAGGCCCCAGAAATCAAATCCCAGAAGCCAGCCATAGGCCTATCCTAAAAATAGGAATGGAGAATGTGCAGGGTTTGAATAACCAACTGGTGCCTGCTAAGTTAACCCCTTCCTGCCCACTATCACATATATTACTTCATTTAATTAAAAACAAACTGATAAATTCTTGTTGCCAATTTTATAGGTGAGAAGTTAATAGGTAAAATAACTGGCTCAGATTGATCCCCAGTTGTCCTCCTCATGGCCCTGTACTTCTCCCTGGTAGCACATATCACAGTAAGTTTGTGATTCTTGCTGGCCTTTCCTGACTACTCAAAAGCCTCAGAAGCAATAGGCCATATATATTTTTCCCTCCTATTCAGTTCCCAGGCCCAAAACAGTGCCTAGGTTATAGTAGCTACTTGAAAATTATATGATACATTTATATGACAGGCTAGAGCATTGTGGTTGAAATCGGTGCCCTAGTCTTTTGAATCCTATATTGTTATAATTTCCCTATATCACAATGTTGAAAACAAACAAAAACAAAGAAAATTCTGGAAACAAGTGTCCCAGTTCTGTTTACCTCTTAGAATTTTTATGAGGCCCTAGAATATTCCTCAGAGCTGAAAGAAACCTTAGAGATTATATTATCCAACATCCTATTTTAGATAAGAAAAAAAACATTCATTTTGTACAAAGACATTGTTAGATATAAAGAGATTACAATTGCAATTGTCTACAAACATCAATAGAATTCTAGTTTGAAGTCAGGACAAACACACGTCATCCATATTTTCCCTGTTTCACAAAATAAATGCAATTGAGGAATATGCATCTTGTTGGCAAGGGAATTGGGGGTTCAACTGTAACACCTATGTTTTAGCTTTTCCCAAGTTAAGGAAATAATTCTTTGGGTTCATTTGCCCTTTTTGACATATTTATTTATAATATTAGTTTTATATATCACAGTCTTAAAAAGTTGTGCAAATACGTCTTCTAATATGTCCTCCTGTGGGTCTCATGTGTCATCTCCCACTCATCTTCAATGAAATGGTGACCTGTGGAGAAGGTTCTGGAGTCTAGTCATCAACAAACATAATGTGCATGTGAGTCACCTTGGGGTGTGTTAAATGCAGATTTAGATCTGATGGTCTGGACAAGCTCCCAGGGAGGCAGATGCTACTGATCCGTGGACCATGCTTTGAGGAGCAAGTCAAATGCCATCTAAATTATTTCCTCTTTCTCCTAATTACATTCTCTAGTATTGGCTTGTTACCACAAGACTGTTTAGACAGATATGAAACAGTCTATCTGTTCCCTAACAGCCCCAAAAGAACACATTTTAAATAATAAGGGAAACCTAGAGTATTAGTGCATTTTCACACTCCTACAAAGAAATACCCAAGACTGGATAATTTACAAAGGAAAGAGGTTTAATTGACTTAGTTGCACATGGCTGTGGAGGCCTCAGGAAACTTACCATCATGGCAGAAGGTGAAACGGAAGCAGGGACCTTCTTCACATGGTGGCAGGAGAGAGAAGAGCAAAGGAAGAACTTCCAAACACTTAAAAACCATCAGATCTCGCGAGAACTCGTTCAATATCAGGAGAGCAGCATGGGAGAAACTGCCCCCTGATCCATTCACCTCCCTCCCTCCACATGTGGGGATTACAGGTCCCTCCCTGGACACATGGGGATTACAATTTGGGATGAGATTTGGATGGGGACACAGAGCCAAACCCTATCACCTAGCCCATTTATTCCAACATGGCTGACAAAAAATCATAAATATGACCTTCATCTAGGCTTAGGTACAAACACTGAAGAAAGAACATCTTCTACCTAAAGTTTCTTTGCTTTTTATGCTGTTTTAGATGCCTTATTTCATGATCAAAGGATGAAGTTTACAGTAGTTTTTACTTCAGAGACAAAAATCCCTCCTGTAAGCATGCAAGCTCTTGCGCGGGGCAGAGTCAAATCCCAGGAAGTGGACAAGCACTCGACCTTTACATCTCAATGACCGAGTGTGACATAACAATTTGTGTCTTCATTATCTCATTTCCAAAGGCTAATAAGTACTGTTTTTCAGATGACTATGAACAAAGCTCAACCTCAAACAAGATGCACTCGCTACTTATCAATGGTTTTGTTGCTGCTGCTCCTTACTCCTCTGAATCAACAAAGAAAGCTCATTTGTTTCACTTTGTGAAAACTCTTCATTTTTCCCCCAGACTTTCCATTTCACGCTGTGTGAATTTTATTAAGATCTCTTTCAGAGAAGCTAAGTGCTGGCTCTATAGGGCCCTAAGGGATCACAGTTGCAGCCTCTGTAATGTCGGAAGCCTCTTGAGACATTTCTTTTCTATTGAAAACTCTTTGGAGAATCATAGAGAAGAATCTAAAATCTTTTTGGTGCTTAAAGAAATAGTTATCCTCATGAATATTTTTATGTTATAACTTGAAAATCGCTTGATGTTGTAATCTGAAAAATCAGCAACACAGAAATCCAATTAATATCCAATATCCAAAATATTAACATATTGATATTGGGTGGGTCTTTCTGAAGACTTTCTTAAAAGCTAGCTTAAAATATTAAAATGTTTTCCATTTTAGAGTTAGCCTTTGTTAATAAAACTTACCTATAATCCTATTGAATAACAACTTGTCAGTGGAGTTTTCCTAATTAAAAAAAATGTTTTTAAAAAGTAATTCTAATTAGATAGTTGAAAAAAGAATTTGCATTCTGATTTTTCCCTGAATTGACATAAGAATTTTAATGCTCTCAGAAATGACATGGTGATAACTGCATAACAGTTTGCCCATATTGTATCATGATAGTCTATGTCATAATGGCAGATAAAAACACTAATTCATTTAAATATTGGAAAGCATCCACTGTCATTGCCTAAATCACCTTTTTTTTCTGTTCCTTTACACTGTTGTGAATGCTTCCTTTTTAAACATCCAAATATACATGGATTTTTATTTTTATTTCCATTTTCATGTACCATATAAAGATGCACTTTTTGGTTGGTTTGGTTACGGCTGAATCAGCCTCACTAACTCCTGTGGAGGTCAGGAGGAGGAGGCACAAGGGCAAGGGCTTTGTCTACGTGGAAAACTGTTATGCACTTGAACACATGGAGACCCATCTCTTTCCCTATCTCTATTCTCACAGAATGTGTGACACAGGAGAAGGACTATTCACTTTTCAAACAAGGGAAGGAGAAATGATCTATCAGAAGGTTCATTCTGCGACACTGGCCATAGCTGAGCAACATGAAAGATTAATGCTAGAAATGGAACAGAAGGCCCGGGTAAGGCCCCTTCCTTGGTAACCTATCAGCTTGGAAATGAATGTCACTGGGATCTGATGTACACTGTGTATGTGTGGGGCCATTCATGTCAGCGCCTGGGTGTCCACCCTGCCCTGATCCTGAGGGCTTACCCTACCCTCTCATCTCTCTAATATCCTATTCAATATGTCAAAAAAGAAGTTATTGTGGCCACCAACTGTGAGCCCTGCACTTCTGGCATCTACCTATGTAAGACCTGTTGCCTTGGATGTCAGAGAGTAGATTGCATGAAATAAGAAGCAATGCTGTCTGCATGTCCCCACATACAGTTGGACAATCAGATTTAAATATGGGCTCAAAATAACTAGGAAAATTAAGTTCTCACCAGGAAGGGTTCCACTTTATTTTTTAACCTTTATGTTTATCCTAGGTGCTCTAAAAGTTCTAGCTCTTCCTGTATGTATAATAAAATGTTTACAGAAGGAGGTTATGCTGGTTGACAATAGAATAATTTGTCTATCATCTTGTCCTGGAACTGTAGTCCAGTTTTAGGATCAAGCTAAAAAATAATCTAGTAAAGAATCTAAAGTAGTAAATTTTATTAATATGACAAGCTGAAAAATAATTATAAGCTTTATTACTAATTTGCTTGAAAAAGCAAACAATGAAATGACTATTGATTATGATCTTAAGAGATGAGTATTGTTTTTTCTCTAGGATTTATAAAGATGCATCAGAGTTCATCTATAGAAGGACAGGTAGTGTTTGGGAAGCATCTATAATTCTCTTTGTGAAACATCAGTAAGTCTATTGTAGTTTAAGAAAGTTTCATATTACTATTATTTTAGTTTTTATCTCTAAAATTCTATGAAACATTTTGAAGTATAAAATAAATATTTTTAAAAGAAAGAGAACAGAAGTAGCTTAAATGATCATATTTTACTCTTAATGCACTTTTAACTTTCTCAATACTATATTTCTCTCTCCATCTGGGGTACGGTTAAAAAAGAGCCTTCCTAACACCTCAGGAGGGAAAGGGCAACACAGGGCATTGGACTCCCCATGGAAATGAAAGAGTAGCTTCAGCATTTGTAGGATGATTAGGATGAGACTGTGGGGTTGACTGAAGAATCATCAATTAGAGAGGGCTGGTAAAACAAACTTCTAGAAAGATTTGGGTTAACTTTAAACCATTGTAACAATTATCTAATCAACGTGATGTTTTTCTAGCGATTAAAATCAAGTGGAAAAATATAACTATCAAATTTCAAATTATTTCAGAGTCATGCATATTGATCATCAGCCCATATTTTCAATCTGCTGGTGCTTGTTTTCAACCAAGATTTACCATGGGGCTAACCATGATGTCACTTGCTATTAGTTAACCTCTGTACTTCTTTACTTATAGTTGTTTTAAACAAGCAAAAGCTCATAGAGTGATTTAAATTATATTTTAATGATGGAAATTCCAAGAGCTCTTTCACATACTGTAATTATCTGCCATAAAGAAGAGTACCCCGTTGGTGCTCTGGGCTTGCATCCCAACACCACCACTTACTGGCTGTATAATCTTGGGCAAATTATTTAACTCTGGTTTTCCTTTATCTGTAACAAGGGCATGTAATAGTTCTACTCATTTGGTTGTTATGAGGTTTCTGCGCATTCATCTACATAAAGTGCTGAGAATCAGACCAAGCACATAGAAGTACCATGAAAGTGTTCATTATGGATGACGGTGATGTCGGAGTGACATTGTATAGTTATAAGAGTTGCTATTATGGCTACATAATATCCTTCACAATCTTTCAAGTATTTCTAACAATGTTGTGCCAAAATATTTGCTAAACAAAACTTAATTCACTTTTGTTGTTGATGTTGTTGTATGTTTCTCGTGTCCTGTGCCACTGAGAAGCAAGTCAAAGGAATGGAGCCAAGTAATTGCTTTTAATGGCTCAGAGATGAGATAATGGATCCAGTCAATGTAACCACAGGCAGTCTAAAGCCAGGGTGTACACCACAGGCGTGGGTGCCAATATCAGTGCTGAGACAGAGATAGAAGGGAGAGCGCAACAAATGTTTAAACAGCAGGCTCAGCAAGGCTCAACAGAGAAACAAAATGTTTCTAGAAATTACAAAATCAGAGACTCCATCACTTGGCCCATACATGTCAATAGAGTGTTTGATTTAATTCAGAAATAATTTCCAACTATGCTTTTCTCTGCAGGTTAATGCTAGTAAGAACTACTCCATGGCTAATTTGTTCTTCAGAGTAAACTGAACTAATCCTTTCCAAGTGCAAGCTGCCTCAAGTTGATAAATGCCTAAATTTCCAAAATACTACAACCAAAAGCAAAGTTTTCCAGTTCTCCAGATACAATTTTTTTATAGATACCTCAACATGCACAAAACTTTTCTTTGTTGCTGTTGTTTTTTGAGACAGGGTCTCGCTCTGTCACCCGGGCCAGAGTGTAATGATGTGAACACAGCTCACTGCAGCCTCAACCTCCTGGGCTCAAGCAGTCCTCCAGCCTCAGCCCCCAACTAGCTGGTACTACAGGCCTGCACCACTATTCCTAGCCAATTTTTGTATTTTTTATAGAGACGGGGTCTTACTGTGTTGCCCAGGCTGGTGTTGAACTCCTGGGTTCAAGCAGTCCAACTTCCTTGGTCTCCCAAAGTGCTAGGAATACAGGCATGACCACCATGCCTGGCCACAGAAAACTCTTATACAAAAATTTCCAACAAGTATGAAAGAGTGTTTAAATACTCTCTAACTCTTCATTTACTATTTAAAATAACAAAATTGTAACTTGAAAGTTGGATAAAAAAACTCAAATGAGAAATAATGTCTCAACAACCATTTCTTACTATGAAAGAAAATTCAATATGATCTTTTCACACCATATAAGACCTTATTTTGCCCTTGTTTATAACCCACTTTCTTTGGGGGGCCACATGAATAAACATATTTGACATATATCCATAGTCTGAATTAGGACATTTCTATTCTTGCTTGAAGAATTTGATGTTTAGAAAAATTTCTCAGCACTGGCCAGGCACGGTGGCTCATGCCTGTAATCCCAGCACTTTAGGAGGCCGAGGCAGGCAGATCAGCTGAGGTCAGGAGTTTGAGACCAGCCCAACCAACATGGAGAAACCCTGTCTCTACTAAAAATACAAAATTAGCCAGGCATGGTGGCACATGCCTGTAATCCCAGCTACTCAGGAGGCTGAGGCAGGAGAATCGCTTGAACCCAGGAGGCAGAGGTTGCAGTGAGCCGAGTTCGTGCCATTGCACTCTAGCTTGGGCAACAAGAGTGAAACTCCATCTCAAAAAAAAAAAAAAGAAAAAGAAAAAGAAAAATTTATCAACATTGTGAGAAAACATTGCATTTGCCACTCAAAAGTAACTGGACAAAAGAACCACTAAATTGGTAAGATAATTAGAAGTGAATGTCTTGATTTCCTTCACTGAGAAGAATAAAAAATTAATATTAACTGACAACATATTAAGGAGAGGTTATTGGTTTATTAACCATTCACAAGATTATAAAGTGCTTGCACTATGCTGAGTACCCTGCACAGTGGTACAGGGAAATACAAGAGGAGAGCAAGAAAGTTCCTTCTCAAGTAGCCCAGAATTGTGTGGGATCAAATAATTTGTACTGCTCAGAACAAGATTATTGCATGTCCTTTGACTCCTTGAAATATCAAAAGTTTTCCATACCTCAATGTATGTATGGGTAAGACATCACCATCATTGAATTTTGCTACATGATAATAAATACACCATTTGAGCTTGTTCATATTGTCATGGCAAGAGCCTGACAGATTATTGGGATAATCAACTTATTGGAGTCGGCCCTCCATAGAATGATCTCTGTATTAGAAGATGACATGCTTGCCATTTTGCATTCAGAGGTACAGCAACAGCTTCTCATTCCTGCCTCCAAGTGAGAATCAGAAACTGGTCTTGGCAGAAAAGGAGACAGCAATCTTAAGGAGTCTCTATACCTTCTTCATTTTCAAACTACAAACCAGTCTAATTTTAAAAGAGTTTGAAGATACATGGGAGAATTAAGCTAGGGTAATACATATTAAACTGGAACTATTTTTGAGGAATATGTTTCAAATATTTGAGAAAATGATTAAAGCTAGATATTTGAACACGATATGTTCATCTCTAGAAATGTTTCCATTTCACAGAGATCATTCTTGTTCTCAGAGCTAGCAGAGTTCTTTGGATTCCATTGCCAAAAGTATCTGTAGATGGTTTGACATGCATGTGCAACATTATCAAAAAAAGTTTTGACACTGTGATAGAAGCCACTCATCAGAAACTGTATCACAAATGCTCCCATGTGACTTAGCCTGTTAAGGTTGAGTACAGGCTGAAATCATCATGGACACGGCCTCAACTGGATTGAAATAATTTAATTTTAGATTTTCATGGATCTGCTTTACATGCACACACATGCACATTAAATGAAAGGTGCTTTCTTTTAAAATGTGCCTTTTATGTTCTAAAGCAATTTATTATAAAATGCTCACATGTAAAGAGCAGTTGAGAAGACAAGAATGAGAAAAAAAAAGATTTTTTTTTTCTGCTATATCCAAAATAAGTAAGCAAAAAGAAGTGTGGGGGGGATTGTCAGTAATTTCCAATCTTCTAACATTGCAAGTAATTTAAAAACATTTGTATACAAACACCCTCACAAAATGAGAATTTCAGTGTATTAAAAAAAAAAAAAAAACAGCATTTAGGATGCTCCTGTTCTGTAATCCCCATCTCCTGCTCACCAGAAAAGCTCTGTATACAGTGTAAGGACAAATAGCATGAGTGCTGTTGAAACGCCAGGAAGATATCAAGACTTTGTCTAATGCCTTAAAAACATCATCAGTGGGACTTGTCAAATGGGCTGCCCTCCAGAGCTGTCAATCCTGTGATTTTCCTAAGCTCTGGTGGACAGAAAAAGAAAGAACATTGGGAGGCCAAGGCAGGTGGATCACCTGAGGTCAGGAGTTCAAGACCAGCCTGGCCAACATGGTTAAACCCCGTCTCTACTAAAAATACAAAAATTAGCTGGTGTGGTGGTGGGTGCCTGTAATCCCAGCTACTCAGGAGGCTGAGGTAGGAGAATTGCTTGAACCCGGGAGGCGGAGGTTGCAGTGAGCCGAGATCGCACCATTGCATTCCAGCCTGGGCAACAGAGCAGGACTCCGTATCAAAAAAAAAAAAAAAGAATAACTGCAAATACAGTTATTATTCAGAGTTCTATTCATGATTTTATCACTCAATATTACCAATGTTAATCATAAGATTAGAGCTTTTGATTGCTGAGAGTGATCACATTTGCATATTTGTGATTTTTTTTCTTTTTTTACTGATAGTCATGGATTGCGATGAAACAACACAAGCTGAATTAGAACAAATTATTATGGTTGATAATGAAAATGTGAAAATGGATCTGTGATCCCAATTAATCAATTCACTTACTGTTGTTCAGTTTCAGAACACTAAAGAAAATTTAGTCTAAACAACAACAACAAAACCTCACTTGGCTGGGCGGGGTGGCTCACGCCTGTAACCCCTGCACTTTGGGAGGCCGAGGCGGACAGATCACTTGAGGTCAGGAGTTCAAGACCAGCCTGGCCAACATGGTGAAACCCTGTCTCTACTAAAAATACAAAAAGTTAGCTGGGCGTGGTGACGGGTGCCTGTAATCCCAGCTACTTAGGAGGCTGAGGCAGGAGACTCACTTGAACCTGGGAGGCAGAGGTTGCGGTGAGCAGAGATCACATCATTGTACTCCAGCCTGGGTAACAGTAGCAACACTCCATCTAAAAAAAAAAAAAAAAAAAAAACACCCACACATACACATGCCCAAGGAGAAACATGTATCTCTGCGTAAGGACACGAAGGAGGTAGAGATAGTGAGAAAGCAATGTGTAATTTATCTAACCAGTGGTGTTCTTGCATGATGTGAGTAAAAATTAGACTATCATGTTCTTTTTTCTTAAAACTTGTTTCCTTAAAATTGATATTTTAGATGTCACTTCAGAAAATGCATTTCATGTATGTATGTATGTACATGTATGTACTTCTCAAATGTAAATCAAATAGATCAGAGTTGGTTCTGTGTAAGAAAAATCATTGCCTAACACAAAATATTGCAATTTCTGTGTTTAAAAAAATACAGTTTTGATTCTTTGCTTTGCTGGAACTGAACAATATAAAGAAAGCTGCACAAGGATAGTTTTCTTAAATGAAAATAACAGATTTCAAAAGGTTCATCAAAATGACCCAACATACAGACATTATGACAACATACACACATATAACCCAATGGCTCAGACTATCTTTTCTTTGGAACAATGCTATAAAACAGAAGTATTTTTTAAATGTAGGCCACGAAAATCTAAGGAGTTGATATAAGCATTGCCTGGGAGGATAATGAAGGCCACATCCAGTGAATGTGATAGGAAGTGTCAGTTCCTGGGATGTGTTCAGTGAACACAGATGCAGATTGTAGAAGAAACACAGTAGGATTTCAGAGATTGATTCCAGGGAGACTACAACAGAGCTATGTGACCTTGGGCAAGTTACGTTCTCTGTGCTTCAGTTACCTGTACTTAAAAGGTGTTGAGTGAAGCACAATGATATCATAATATGTACTTCACAGTGTTAGAACACCACCTGGTCTTTAGTAAAAGCTCAGTAATTATGAGCTAATTCATAAGATGGCTAGCAAGAAAATTTAGCTTTAAGTGGGAAAAACTGTTTTAACCATCACTAAAAATTCATCCCAGCTTTCATTACGTGCAGATATTGGAAATTAATTTTATGAACTTAACGATAGCCTCTAGATATTTACATTTTTTTAATTTAGAAAGAGCCCAAAATTTGATTTTAAATCACTAAGAAATTTAACGTTTTATGTGTATTTATCATGTTCCTTTTATTCAAAGAGCAGCTCTGTAAATGTGTCTTACTTACAAATAGATAAACAGAAATAGAGATAATAGAGAGATTAAGAATATACATGTTGTTAAATGCATTACTGATTGCAGACGGAAATGATGTTGAAAGTGAATGACAGTTTCTGCTGTTATTCTCAAACTCAGCTTATTTTCAGACTTCCTGAAAGTATTTTGGTCCATACATGATTTTATTTATTTAATTATTTATTTATTTATTCATTTAGAGACAGAGTCTCACTGTTGCCCAGGATGGAGTGCAGTGACATGATCTTGGCTCTCTACCTCCTAGTTTCAAGCAATTCTCGTGCCTCAGCCTCCCCAGTAGCTAGAATTACAGGCACATGCCGTCACGCCTGGCTAATTTTTTGTATTTTAGTAGAGAGCATTTTGCCATGTTTCCCAGGCTGGTCTCAAACTCCTGAGCTCAGGCAATCTGCCCAGTTTGGCCTCCCAAAGTGCTAGGATTACAGGCATGAGCCACCGCACCTGGCCAATACATGATTTGAAATATACAATAACACTCATTTCTTCAGGTTTAATGAAAATATCCTACAAAGTTCAATTAAATGACATCTAGCAACTTTCATTCAATGACCATGTAAATATTACCTTTTATTTGTCATTCTGGTACAGACCTAGCATGGTATCTTCTAATTCCTTTCCATTTATCTTGAATAAAATGGAAGATTAAGGGTGAGGTGTCCCTTATTGAAAATTAAGCCAAGTCTGTGATAAGCCAATTGGTGTTCTTCTTGAACATGAGAAGGTGTTCTGTCTTGAACATGAGAAACAGGCACTCGCATTCCTGCTCTGGTTTTGTGAAATTTACCCAATTGGTGTAATTCTCATCTTATCTGTATCCTGGAGAAGAGAGATCCAGTAATGTATTTTACAGTGAGTCATGGGGAAGAGGGAAGAATATCAAGACTCTGAAACCTCAGAGCCATCTCTCATTAGCCGTGTCACCATGAACAAATTATATTATCCCTCTGTACCTCATTGTCCTTGTCTGTAAAGTTCAGATGGCATATTTGTTGACAATTTATGTGAATATTCAGTAGTATAATATATGAAACCAATTTGCACATTGCCAGGCACATAGAGAATGGCTCATAAATGTCAATTTATAAATGCTGAATTTCTTCTCTCTCAGTTGTATATAGATTTGTCTCAACTGCTAATCCAATTTTTAATTTTTAGGCAATCACTAGAGAGATAAAGAGCAAAAGGAAAGTCAGTTAACAGTTTTTTTATACAAATGAATTTTATGTAAATGAACACAAATTAGCATCAATGTTCATCACAGGGGGAAGAAAAGCCTCAAATCAACAAAGGAAAAAATTTCAGAGACAGTAAGATTACCTAAGGTCATATTTTTGGCAAAAGCATGAAGAGGTGTGGGTTGCCAATACCTTCATAAAATTCCCAACATTTGTCAGCCCCACCTTCCTAGTAACTTAGGTCTTCTCAAGGGATAAGGGTAGAATGTCCACATTGCAATATATTAGGGAGGAAGCTCTTTCCGCTCCGCCCCCTCCCCCCCACAGAAGATATCAGCATCAAAGTCTAAAGAGCAATGGGCTCAGAGTCTAGAGAACTGTTTTCTATTGGGAGCTCTGTAGTTGAGATTTACCTTGAGCAAATTCTTGAATTTTTCTGCATGTTGATTTCCCATCTGTAAGAAAATTGCTAGGCTTTCTAAGAAGGATTTAAACCTTGAATTGCATGACTTGTCCACATAGTTACTTGAAGCTTCCTCACTCCGTAGCAGTCTTACATGTATGCAGCCTTACAAGGTGACTCAGAAGAAGTGAGAGGAAGAGGAGCTGTCATAAGGGTCTTAGAAGTCATGTCCACAGCAGACATAATGTCACACCTACCATATGTTATACTGGTCAAAACAATCACCAAGAAGCCCAGATTAAAGGGAGAGAACAATCTTACATGCAAAGACACACATAGACTCAAAATAAAAGGGTGGAGGAAAATTTACCAAGCAAATTGAAAACAAAAAAGCAGGGGTTACAATCCTGGTTTCTGACAAAACAGACTTTAAACCAACAAAGTTCAAAAAAGACAAAGAAGGGCATTACATAATGGTAAAGGGGTCAATTTAACAAGAAGAGCTAACTATTCTAAATATGTACGCACCCAATACAGGGCACCCAGATTCATAAAACCAGTTCTTAGAGACCTATAAAGAGACTTAGATTCCCATGCAATAATAGTGGGAGAATTTAACACCCCGCTGTCAATATTAGACAGATCACCGAGACAGAAACTTAAGATATTCACGACTTGAACTCAGCTCTGGATCAAGTGGACCTGATAAACCCACCCCCAAAACAACAAAATATGCATTCTTCTTGGCACCATGGCACTTACTCTAAAATTTATCCCATAATTGGAAGTAAATCACTCCTCAGCAGATGCAAAAGAACTGAAATCATAACAGTCTCTCAGACCACAGTGCAATCAAATTAGAACTCAAGATTAAGAAACTCACTCAAAACCACACAACTACATGGAAATTGAACAACCTGCTCCCGAATGATTTCTGGGTAAATAATGAAATTAAGGCAGAAATCAAACAACAGATGCTGGCAAGGTTGTGGAGTAATAGGAACATTTTTACACTGTTGGTGGGATGTAAATTAGTTCAACCATTGTGGAACATGGTGTGGCAATTCCTCAAAGATCTAGAACCAGAAATATCATTTCACCAGTCATCCTATTACTGGATGTATCCCCAAAGGAATAGAAATCATTCTATTACAAAGATACAGGCATGCATATGTTCACTGAAGCACTGTTCACAATAGCAAATACATGGAATCAACCCAAATGCCCACCAATGATAGACTGGATAAGGAAAATGTGGTATATACATACCATGAAATACTATGCAGCCATAAAAGGGAACAAGATTATGTCCTTTTCATGGACATGGATGAGCTGGAAAGCCATTATCCCCAGCAAACTAATGCAGGAACAGAAAACCAAATACCACATGTCCTCACTTGCGAGTGGGAACTGAACAATGAGAACACATGGACACAGGGATGGGGACAACACACACTGGGGCCTGTTGGGGGTTGGGGTGGGGAGAGGGAGACCATTAGGAAAAATAGCTAGGCTTAATATCTAGGTGATGGGTTGATAGCTGCAGCAAACCACCATGGCACACAGTTTACCTATATAACAATCCTGCACATCCTGCACCTGTACCCCAGAACTTAAAAATGAACATTTAAAAAAATGAAGGAACATAGGCAGTTTCTGAGTGCCAGCTTTTAAACGAATTTGCAGCCATCTTCAATCTTTCACAAAATAATGCAATATTTATTACTATTTATGATGTAAGATTATGAGGAAACATTATACAGAATCTCTTGATGATGAAAAAAAAGGACAAAAGCATAGAGCAGAATCATGATTCCAGTTTTGCTTCCACAGGATATATGTTCTTAGGAATGTCGATTGATATTAATCAATCAAAGCTTCAGCATCCTCTCATTTTAAAGAGGGATACTTCATCCCTTTCCTATCTTACAGGAATTTTATGAGGATTTAAGTAGATAAAAATCAATGAGTTGGCCGGGTGCAGTGGCTCACGCCTGTAATCCCAGCACTCTAGGAGGCCGAGGCAGGTAGATCATGAGGTCAAGAGATCGAGACCATCCTGGCCAACATGGTGAAACCCTGTCTCTTCTAAAAATACAAAAAAAATTAGCTGGGCGTGATGGTGCGCACCTGTAGTGCAGCTACTTGGGAGGCTGAGGCAGGAGAATTGCTTGAACCTGGGAGGCGAAGGTTGCAGTGAGCCACCAAGACTGCGCCACTGCACTCCTGCCTGGCGACAGAGCGAGACTCCATCAAAAAAAAAAAAAAAGTTCTGGGTCAAATACCGGGTAAAATGACTAAAGGGATATAAAAGTGTAGAATACTTGAATTTGGCTGAAAATAAGGAAAAGGCATTTTATATATATATATATTATATATATATAATATATATAAAAACATGTATGTGTTAAAAATGCTCAATAATTTCTACTAGAACAAGTGCAGATGAAACAAAGATATTAATGGATGATGAACAACACTGTTTCTTGAAAGGAAAGCCCAGACTTCCTAGGAGAACACAGAAGAGATTCTTATTCATTTGGAAGGGTAGGGGCTAGAAGATGGAGGTGAGGTTGAACATTAGGCCTGGGCAGAACTTTTAAAGGAGAGTTTAATAAAATAGCTAAGGAGGGGAAATGTAAGTTATAGAACCATAGAACAGTCAGAAAGCTTTGTGAATTAAATAAAATACCACTTTCATGTATAAAATAGTACTTGAAAAATGGGCAAGGAACATGAGCAGACATTTTTCAAAAGACATAAAAATGGCTACAAAGGTTCATAAAAAATGCTGTACATTGCTATTCATTAGGGAAATGCAAATAAAACCACAATGAGATATCTTCTCATACGCATCAGAATGGCTATTATAAAAAGATGAAAGGTAACAAGTGCTGGTGACGACATGGAGAAAAGGGGACCAGGACACTGAACACTGTTGCTGGGAATGCAAATTAGTACAACCATTGGGGAAAACAGCATGAAGGTTCCTCAAACATTTAAAAATAAAACTACCCCATAGGCCAGCAATTCTACGTCTAGGTATGTACCCAAATGATTTGAATCAGTGTCAAAGAGATTCAATTCTCTTATATTCACTGCAGCATGTTTCACAATAGTAAGTTTATGGAATCAGCATAAGTGTTTATCAACAAATGAATGGATTAAAAATGTGGAACACATACGCAGTGGAATAGTATTGAGCCTTAAAAAGAAAAACTCATTTGCAGCAACATAGCCTTAAAAAAAAAGAAAACTGACATTTGCAGCAACATAGATGGAATTGGAGAACATTATGCTAAGTTAAATAAACCAGACACAAAAAGACAAATACCATGTATTCTCACTTATAAATGGAATCTAAATCAATCAACTCATAAAAGTAGAAAGTAGAAATGTGGCTACAAAGGCTAGGGGCTCGGGGGCAACAGGGAGATGACGGTCAAAGGGTAAAAGTCTCAGGCAGGAAGAGTATGTTTTATTTTGATTTTGAGTGTTCTATTGTGGCAAATATAGTTAGTAATGCTGTATTGTACATTTCAAAATTACCAAGTAAATTTCAAAGGTTCTTATCACAAAAAAGATAAGTATTTGAATTAATGGTTATGTTAATTAGATTGATTTATTTCACTTGTATTCATAAATTATAATATGTGCCCCACAAATATATATAATTATAAATTGTCAATTTATAGTACAGTTAAAAAGTACTTAAAAGATACAAGAGGAAATGGACAGAAACATGCTAATCAGTCATTTGAAATTAACACTTTCATATCTTGATACAGTGGATTAAAAATTGAACAAATATATATAGAGCAGGAAATGCAGAGTGAATAGTGTTTATTATGTGTATATTTGAGTGTGTGTAGAGAGATTCTACATCAGTGTGTGCATCTTTTCAAGTACTTACAAGATGTACAGAAATTGGCCATATTAGTTAAAAATGAAAAATAAATTTTAATGTACGGAAACTACTCAGTGCATGTTCTCTACTACAAAACATTAAATAAAAAATAATAAAATTTGCACAAATGGCCGGGTGCAGTGGCTCACACCTCTAATGGCAGTGCTTTGGGAGACTGAGGTGGGAGAATTACTTGAGGCCAGGGTTCCAGAGCAGCCTGGGCAACATAATGAGATCTCGTCTCTACAAAAAGGAAAAAAAAAGTGCACAAAAAATCATTACCTTAAGAAAATATACACAAGCAATACTTTATGTAAAAAAGGAAATAAAGCTACAATTTACAATTATATAATTTTAGGAGAGAATACCTTCTATTCTACTTCATTCAGAAGCAAATGCTTTTATTAAACAAATACAATTTTAATTAATACTTAACTTGAGAAGGTAAAAAAAATAGATCAAGAAGATAACCTAAGAAAAACAGCAGGTGGAAATTAATTAGCACAAGCACAAAATATAAGAACTGAAAAATATGAGTTATTTACATAAATGAAAACACAAGTCTCTCTAAAAGATAAATATAAAAATATAGAAACATTATCCAAAGTAAAACCCAAATATATAAATTCAACATATGAAAGGACTTATAAAAATGTATTTTTTTAAAAAATCCTACAAGAATTTGATGGTTTTGTATTAAAATGTGAACACCAAATAACCTTAGGAGAATTGATGACTTTTTAGGGGAACAACGGTCATAATTCTACTTATACATACATCAGCTAAAGTCCCTAGATGGCATAACTAACCTAAATGTTTAAAATTTTTCTCAAAATTTTTTAGTTTTGAGATTTTTTAGTTTTTAGTTCCAAAAGAGCAGAAATAAGTTAATGCCTTTCAGTATGGATATAGTGAATACATTTGGGGCATAGCAAGGTAGTCCTTTGTATTATTCAGGGTCCACTTAAGTAAATGGAGCCTGTGATAGAGAGTTCAATGAAGGAACTTTAATACAGTAATTTAGATTCAAGAGATAGGAAGAGTAGAGACAATCAAAGATTAGCAAAAGCAGGAAAGATGCTACCAGCCCTGCTTCCCTTGCCTATTAGTTTCATGGATGTTGGCAGAAAACACAAAAAACTCCTGAGTCAGAGACAGAGGACTTGATTCCTGAGGCACAGCGAGCATCATGAGTTTCATGCTTCCATAGGTTTCCCTGGTCCCCTGGTCCCACGGGGTCATGTGGAGCAGCCAGGGTGGATGGTGCTGCATATTACCACAGCCAAGGGATCTGAGTTAGCAACTCCCCATCTTATCAGGGGGCTGCTAGCAACCCTGCCCAGCCTTTGCCTTGGAGGAAAATAGGATCTGTACTGTCCTGGTCAGGAAACAAATCTGCCCTCTGCCTGGAGGCTGTTTGCTGTACAAACATACTTGAAAAGATAGTAACAAAAGTGCAAAGCCAGAGTGACACAGGACTCATTGTTTCCTAAAAATGACCTTTTCAATGAAATGTGTTCAAAAGAATCTTCTGAAGTTTAGGGGAGGAAAGAGAGATGAGGATTGGAATCTCTTTGATATCATCTACGAATCTCAAATATTTACAAATAAAAGATAAGTGTATTTATATATTGCCTAAATGGGAAAAACACAAGGAACCCACCCTTGTTTCTATCTTTACAAGAGCCCTCTAAATCTAAACCTCTTTTCTGGTTGGGGAGAAGGGTCTATTCTCATCAACTTGAGGACAGCATAACTCTCATTTGTGTTATATTCAAACAAAGGTATCAGTGCAGTCTCCATACAGCACTTAGGGGCTAAATTATTTTCTTAGACTGTTGGCTTTGTGATGAGATGTGTCGGTTGTCCCTCTCAAATAAAACACAAATGTTTTAACTACTCTCCAGGCTTATTTGAGCTGTGATCTCTACTCTTTCTAGATGCTAACTAACTCCTGATTCATTGCTCATATCCTAGAAAACTGACTGCTGTTTCAAAAGAATAGAAGGAAGAGAGAGTTAGAACCAAAAATGACAAAAAGTGATGGCAAGTATATCAAGAACTGAATCAATGCCTCCTAATCTAGTTGATTTCTGTATGTATGCCAGAGCATCGTTTCTAAATCCTGACCCTATGCAAAAAGGAGAAGCATCGCCTACAGGAAATAGTCTTATAAATAACAAGGGAATTCTGGCACAAAGATTGCAGAATTTTGTATCGCTGTTTGAGACTTTTTTTTTTACTAAGTCCACTGAAAGAATCAATACAGCAGACCCTTGCAGAGAAGGAATGAAAGAACTTCAAACACATGTATCCATCTTGTTTAATTTCTTAAAATACATTGTTTAGAAATAATCTCATAACATAATTTTTTATATAAATATTTATTTGCAATATAAGTTGCCTTATATATTTTGTTGATATACATACTTTTATGGTCCTAAAAATCCTCCTGGTCAAATTGATGCATTGCTTTTTCAATGAAGGCATTACTATAGCATTTTAAGTTTTGTTTTTTCTTAATGCTTTTAATTGAAGCATTATAATATGAAAATAGTTAAGGATGAGTTTTAATTAAATAGTTAAGGATGTGTGTCCTCTTTGTTGAAGCCTGTCATCAAAAAAAGTTTTACACCTGTAATCCAGGCTACTCGGGAGGCTGAGGTGGCAGAATTGCTTGAGCTTGGGAGGCGGAGATTGCAGTGAGCGAAGATTGCACCACACTCCAGCCTGGGCAACAGAGTGAGACCCTATCTCCAAAAAAAAAAAAAAAAAGAAGTTATCAAGAGTGCTTGAAATACTGTCTTAGTCACTGCACAGATCAAACAGGTCAATTTCTAATACATTGCTTAAAGTTCATAACAAAATTAAGAATTGCTGGTTAAATCAGATTCTGCATTTCTTAGATTCCCCATGAGAGTACTCATATTAGTTTGCTCAGCCTGCTATAACAAAATACCACAAACTGGATGGGTTAAACAACAGAAATTTATTTTCTCAGTTCTGGAGGCTGGAAGTGCAAAAACCAATATACCTGCAGGGTTGGTTTCTCCTGAGGCCTCTCTTCTTGACTTTTAGATGGGCACTTCCTTGCTGTGTCCTTAATAGCCTTTTCTCTGTGAATATTTATCCCTGTGTCTCTTCCTCTTCATCTAAGGGCACAAGTCCTATTTGATTAGGGTCCCCACACTTATATCTTCCCTTAACCTTCATTAAGCTCTTTAAAAGCCTTGTCTTCAAATATAGTCATTTGGGGGATAGTGTTTTAACATATGAATTTGTGGGGGAACACAGTTCAGTCTACAGCAGTACTCAATACATAGGTACACATGGGGAATGGACTCTATTTTAAAAGTCCAGGGGAACATTTAGACATCTGAGAAATGGGGGACTAGATTTGTATCCCTGGCAAAGATCCCAAGAAAATCCATGATCAATTTTTTAAATACAAATTTTCCATTTTTCAGCAATAAATTATGGAAGTAGAATAAGGAGAAACCTAAAGAAATAGAATATCATTAAAAGCATCCTAGAACACGAAAACAATGAAGAGGGAAGAGTAGAGAAACATGAGGCGTAAAACAATACAGGGTGATTCAGAAGCAAATCATGTGGAAGAGTTATTATCCAGTGGCTTCCAATTATATTTCCAGCAAACAAAAAATGCTTACTCTATTTCCCTGATGCTTAAAACTGACCACATTTGGGAAGAAAAATGTCTCCCAGAATAAAAAAAAGAGAAGAAAAAGCACTTTCATCACATTTTGGAAAGATTAATTTACCATCAATGATCTACTGTATGCTGAGTAATAAACAAATTATAATACATTAGAAAAAGGAATAAAGAGTAGACAGTAGGCAGAACGGTGATTAATATGAGACTGAATCTATGGATTGTTGTTATTAATGGGCATTGCTGACATGAATTGAAGATTTATGTGTTTAATTAAGTTTATGCCTCATATGGGAAATTGGCTTTAAAGACGAAAGTCCTATCTTTTCTCCTAATAATCCTTTCATAAAATGAGCCTGGCCTCTAGTTCTTTATGGTGGTGGATGATGGACTTCCATCCATATGAGGGTGTAATGCACGTTTTTAACGTGCATAGCTCTACCTGCAGAGTCCCCCACTGTTAGGTCCGGGGTAAAACTGGAGACCTCCATTGTTGATGCAGGATTTTTTTGCTCCTTAGTTCAGCTAAATCCAGGTTCTTGTCTCACAACCAGGAAAAATTAGGCATGTGAACACATTGAAGGGTGAGGAAAGCAGAATTTATTAAGCAAAAGGGGAGCTCTCAGCAAAGAGAGGGGTCCCCCACCAGCCAGCTCCCACCTCACAGATTGAACACAAGGCCACCACACAGGACCTGAAGGGGCCAGGCTCCTCCCCTGCATCAGGTGTGATTTCCTGGTGGCTCCGCCCCATTTTTTCCAGTGCACATGTGGGCCCTTGGTCTGAGCCACCCCAATTCATTTCCTTTACTACGCATGTGTTAAGGGACAGAATATTTTTTACGTGGGCTTGTTTAGACAAGTCCCATATGAGCAATGACCTGGGTGGGTCAGAGGTTCCCCGGGGAGCCTTCCTTATCTGCCTAGCCATTTCACCGTCTCCTGCCGTTATTATTGTTACCAAACCACCCAAAGATTCTGAAAGCACTACTCTATGATAACCCAGAAACTTGTCTCCTTAGAACCCCACCCCTGTAAACACCAACCACAGGATGTGGATGTGGATAGTTCACCTGTTTATGTAATAAGCAGGAAAACTTTGAAGTCTACCAAATTTTGAAAAACAAAGAATGGCTGCAAAGTTACCATTGGGAGCCATCTTTAAAAAAAGAAAGATACCTCAACAGTCCCAGACTTTTAAATAGACTGAGTATGGCACTTCTGTGACAAGACGTAGCAGCTCGAGAAATGCCTTACTACTAAGAAAGTAAAATGAAATAAGTAAGTTCAAGCTCTATAATTCCACTTTCTATTAAAATGTAAGAACCTCTTAGTTTTATGTGGCCTTGAACGACCTGGTGTGTCATATCAGGTACTTTCCTGATAGCATCTTCTATGAAGGGTGGTAAGAGTCAAATCCAATGCTGGATGCAGAAGTATGTGACCCATCCAAGCATCGAGGACCAGGCACGGGGTGTGCAGGTGCACCGTGGGAGGTACACACCACAGTAGCAGAAAGGCACGCAAAGCCTAGATTTGACAGAGATGATCTTTGCAACTCAGTTTTGCCAGGAGTCAGGCATTACATAAAGAGAAAATGTGAGATTTTATTCATTAGAGGATTGCTCATTGTCTGTCAAAAAGTAAACATTTCCTCAGGTTGGGTCAGAGACATGTGTGCCGAGACTAAATAAAACCATTTCTGCATGCTTCTTGAAATTATTTCTGCATTAATAAAAATAAAGCTATTTCTTGGAAGTCCAATGTAAACTATTATTTTCTTTGAACTAATCATGTGCCGGAGCACGTGATATTGTGTGAATCTTCTCAGCAATCCTTAAAATGTATGTTTCGAATAAACAAACATGCCACAGTTTTATCACAGTGTTTCTCAGAGAATACCTTTTTTAATATGTACAAGATTCTATAACAGGGGCAAGGAAAAAGGTCTATTTGAGAAAATATCCATTGTGTAAGGTTGGGAGGAAGTGTAAGGAAAAATGTTTAGCGATTGAAATGGGTAAAAAAAAATAATAACGGGTATTCTGTAAACCTTTCATGGGTCTCTGCTTCTGAAGCAGCTGGCACCTTTACTTTTTTAGTTATTTTACAACTCTGTAAATTGTGGAAAGCTGAGAGTAATGCAAATAATTCTTGTCCATAGAAATGTAAATAACTTTGTCAGGTGGAGTGAGTACAATTGATCATGCCCTGAGTGTTTGCCAGCATTCCCCATTGCTACAAGTCATTGGAATCATTCGTACCATCTTAATGTTCTCTTCTTAATTAATGAGTAAAATTGTTTACAAGTATTCCTTTCATATTTTTGAGTAATGATTTTACTTTAAAAGTTATCCTTACACCGGGGATCATGCAGGTATCTATAGCAGATTCTATCTGTCACTCACATTTAACCCTGAATATTTAGAAGAGCAGATTTCAGTTTAATATTTTAAAACGAGGCCTAAAACACATTCTTTTCTCTTTTAGCTTCAGACAAGCTTGACTGAACCAATGACATTATCCAAATCAATATCTCTTCCTCGCAGCGCGTACTGGCATCACATCACTCGTCAGAACAGCGTTGGTGAAATCTACAGTTTGCAAGGCAAGTCACTTTAATGTAAGAAAGCAGTGCCTCCATAAGCTTCCTCCAGGTGGACTGAGTCATGCAAATTGCTTTGTATTTGCATTGCTTGCTTTTCCTCCCATTCCCATTTATCAGCTGTCACTGGCCACAGTGGGAGCTCTGAGATTTACAGTGGCTTTTTAAAAGCTATCATTTCATATACTCATGGTAAAAAATATTTCAAAAATTACTGTGAGGGCTAAGGACCCCATTTGGCACGAGAACTTGACTAAAACATTATACCAAGCACATTATCAGAAGCTAAAAGCTAATGCTGAGATCTGCTTCATGCTGTTGTTTTATGAAGGATTTCTTTTTTCGCATCTTTTTTTCCTTGAAAGGATTCAATATCAGTTCAGGAGGCTGACTTCAGGCTTTAAGGCTCTGCCATAAACTGGTATATAAACCTACCCATGAAAGTCTTAAAGTTTAGTCAAAGCCTTAATACAGAAACCATTCGGAAAGGGTGCAGGGTAGAAGGGGCCACATGTAGATACTTTGCCTTTGTACTTTTTCTAATGATAAACGGTCAATTAGCTAGCATAGGAATAGCTTGCCAGATGAATCAAATTAATAGCTAGCAGATTTTTTTTTTTTACTAACAGCAGCAAACAACCCAGCTTCAGCAGTTGTCTTCCTGTTCCTTCCCTTTTGTTTTAAACTGAATAATCTTACCCTTCAAATAAAATATTTGATTGGCTACAAGCAACTGACTAACAGCTAGCCAACACTGGAGGAAGCAAGAAACTAGAAACTAAGAAAATAAGGCTGAAACACACACAGCCAAGAGCATTTACTCATCCAACAAACATTTATTGAGCACCATAGGCTTGAATGTAATAAGCATCCAATAAAATATCTGGGGAAAGTATGACCAAGTATGACCCTCTGGTAGTTAGACATTCAGACTGTGTTTTTCTTTCACACATTAGCTTTTGCTCACTATTAACAATGCTGTAAGTTTTGACAAAAAGAAATATTTCCGTTGCAAGCAAACTGAAGTAATGTGTTTTTTATAGCAATATTTGCTTGCCAGGGTTTCCAAACTAGACTAATGGAGTTCGATCATGGAAATTAATGGTTAAAGATATGTTCTACAAGGCAAAGCAGTTGGAATGGTTTTAGTCAATTACTGAAGGCAATTACATTTTATATTGTAAAGGGACTCTCTTATGGCCAACCTGACTGCCTGTATTTAAGAGTTATTATCTTTGTTATTTGTATGATAAAATATTTAACAGAATAAGGATTAGAGGGTTAAGAAAAGTGAGGAGTGGAGACTGGTTTGGCAATTTCAAGAATCGGAAAGAGAAGACGAGTATCTTATGCTTTTATTTCCCTGTTCAAATGCCAGCAGCCACACACTCAAATTGCCTGAGTCATGATCATGCAAAATTAACCTTGCCTATTTCTGGGATGAAAAATAATTTGAAAGTATGCTTGTAATATAAGATTTTTATTTAAACATATGTTTAAATATTGATATTCACTTGAAAACAAACTATAAAATGTTTAAATGAAAAAAACTATCAGATTTCTAAGCAATAAAAGTGAGATATTAGTGCTCTTAATACAAAAAACGTGGGAATAGGTCAGAAGTAGTATAATAACTCTAGTTTTTGTCAAGGGTTTGGCCTATAATTCCAGAAAATAAAAACTCTTGTTTTCATGGTAGTATGAAGGAAACGTTTTCTGAAGACAGAGCTAAGATTTAGACTGATACACAATTTCTGCAATGGCTTTGCATCTGATAAAAATTAAAATGCACTGGAATATCCTAAAACATTGCCAGAGACTTCTTGAAGGAAGATGTTGATTTATATGTTGTATAGATATAATAACTGATTGAAATACTCTCACTGATGTTAACTTGCAGCAAAGTTAAAGGCTTGACATGCCTTTTCAATTACAATTTACTTAATCTCAGTATTTCATGTTTCTCTGGTTGGTTGGTGATGATTACAGAGTGAAAAATATGTATTGACTAAGGTAATTACTTAAGTCAAATATTTATAAAATGTATTCAACGGAAGTTACGTTTCACTATACTGTGGGTTTACTTTTTGTACTGTGTGCTTCTTAGAGCAATACGTTTTACCACCCTGTATACCCCTCAGTGTTATAGATATAAAAATTTAAGTATCCAGATAAGGGGATAGATGGTTGATAGTAGGCAGGCATATAATATAGAGATGAATAAATAGATAAAGTTGTTAGTTATACTTTGATAATGGTCACGTATTTTATTCTTCCTTCGTTCGGTTGTGATAGTCAAAACAAGTAGAGAGCAAGGAGCCTCAGTAGTTTTTTTACTAGGTGCTAGTCCCTAATGGAATCAGGGTAGAATAAAACTATTGAAAATAAGGAAGAAATAAAAAGAGAAATTCAGAACCTCAGCACCCTTCCACGAACACGTACGTTTTTCACAAAACTACATTTAGAAGCCTAGTTATCCACTGAGTGCGGTGGCTCATCCCTGTAATCCCAGCACTTTGAGAGTTTGATTTTTTTTTCCCCCAGAGCAGAAGCGAGAGTTTATTAAAAAGCTTTAGAACAGCAAGGGAAAGAAAAGAAGGAAAGTTCACCTTGGGAGAGAGCAAAGCAGGCGCCTTGAGAAACCAAGAGAAGGAAAGTTCACCTTGGGAGAAAGCAAAGCAGGCGCCCTGAGAAACCAAGTGCGCAGCTTGACCTCTTGAATTCGGGTTTTATACTTCGGGTTGGCTTACTTCCGGGATCTTGTATTACTTCTCCCTACTCCTGAAATCTTATTGGGAAGCTGCTGATCAGTTTCAGGTGTTTTCTATCTAGTAGGAGCCTGCCTTTCCCGGGGGCCGGTTGTGACCAATTATTACTACTCCTGAAATCTTATTGGGAAGCTGCTGATCAGTTTCAGGTGTTTTCTATCTAGTAGGAGCCTGCCTTTCCCGGGGGCTGGCTGTGACCAATTATTACTACTCCTGAAATCTTATTGGGAAGCTGCTGATCAGTTTCAGGTGTTTTCTGTCTAGTAGGAGCCTGCCTTTCCCGGGGGCCGGTTGTGACCAATTATTACTACTCCTGAAATCTTACTGGGAAGCTGCTGATCAGTTTCAGGTGTTTTCTATCTAGTAGGAGCCTGCCTTTCCCGGGGGCTGGCTGTGACCAATTATTACTACTCCTGAAATCTTATTGGGAAGCTGCTGATCAGTTTCAGGTGTTTTCTGTCTAGTAGGAGCCTGCCTTTCCCGGGGGCCGGTTGTGACCAATTATTACTACTCCTGAAATCTTACTGGGAAGCTGCTGATCAGTTTCAGGTGTTTTCTATCTATTAAGAGCCTGCCTTTCCCTGGGGCCGGCTGCGACCAATTATTACTACTCCTGAAATCTTACTGGGAAGCTGCTGATCAGTTTCAGGTGTTTTCTATCTATTAAGAGGCTGCCTTTCCCTGGGGCCGGCTGCGACCAATTATTACTTTACCAAAACAGTTAACAACCGCCTGACCATCAGCTGATTGTTGCCCAACACTGCTGGTGTGTGTTGGGAGTGGGGCTTCTCTCTCTTGCTCTGCTCATACATGACTAGCTACCTGCTGTAACATTTCTCACCTCAAGAGTCCAGGACCTCAAATCTTTGGATGAAGGTCTGTCATCCAAAATGGATGACTTCTGTTTTCTGTAACTGCTTCCTGCTGACAGAGGGGTGGTCGTGGTCGGGTGGATCTTGGCTCCTTGCTACCCGTCAGGGCTGAGTTGGCTGCATCAGTTGGTGAAAGTGGTATCCAGCCAAGTCCAAGGGAGACAGGGGCAGGATTTCACCACTGTCTTGTCCCACTGATGGGAAGTGCAGAGGTCCTCTCTAGAAGGGTGACTCTTGAATATTGAGAGGATGGTTTTCCTCACTGAGGATTGTCTGGAGCTCAATGGCCACTAGGAAGGTATCTGAGTCATGTGGACCAAATATGTTAGCAGTGGCAGATATCCGAGTTACGCAAGTTACCGGCAGCGAATCCATATGGGTCCACAGCAACCTCAGTCCTTGTCTCTTCAGAAGAAAGAATTCTACTGAGGGGCATAAGGCAGAAGGAGAGACCTAGGCAAGTTGCAAAGCAGAAGTGAGCATGTATTAAAAAGCTTTAGAACAGTAAGGAAAGGAAGAAAAGAAAAGAAGGAAAGTTCAACTTGGAAGAGGGCCAAGCCGGCAACTTGGCAGAAGGATTGCTTGAGCCCAGGAGTTAAGACCAGTCTGGGCAATATAGTGAGACTCCATCTCTGCATGCATACATACATACATACATACATACATACATACATACATACATATTGCAGGGTATGATGGCACACGCCTGTAGTCCTAGCTACTCTGGAGGTTGAGATGGGAGGGTCACTGAGCCTGGGAAGTTGAGGCTGCAGTGAGCCATGATCACACCACTGCACTGTAGCCTGGGCTAAACAGTAAGACCCTGTCTTAAAAAAATATTTTTTTAAAGTCTAGTTATTTTGAATCTCGCTTTTTCAGCTGTGCTCCTTGAAGTGGCATTACCTCTTCTTTACAAAAAGGAGAATATCGTCAGCCAACTGTCATCACTGATTTTGCCAAATCAAAGTAAAAGTCTGGCAATGTGGGAATATATCATTGTCAAGTAAACTGCAGGTAGCACTGAGGAATACAAATATATCTTTAGAATTTTCAAATATTTTTTAGGTGAAGCTGAGATCAATATGAATTAAATTTAGCAGACTACATTCAGAAAACAAAAGCAGAAAACTTTCATATATTTAAAGTTTAAGAGATTAAGATTCATTAATAAGCAGCACATGTACTCAAAGTTTTTTAAATGCATGGCGTGGTAACAAATTCATTCTATAGTAAGACACCTATAACTTCAGTTGTCTGTCAGCCTCAAAGCTTTGACTTAGCTCAGTTTTGCTGTATTCATTTCTCTCATCCATTGCTAGATACACACGTAAAGATTGACATAGCAGGACAGAGATCCTGCATCTACCTTCATCTTTGGAGAATGTCTAATGGTGATTAAAAGTCAAGGTGAGAGCCTTAAAGTAAGAAAAAGTCAGTAATCTGATTTCCTTGTTTTTTGTTTTCTTTTTCTTTCTTTTTACCCTTTCCTGTGCTCCCCTCCTCAATTGGAGAATAAGAATCTCCAATACAATCTGCCTCATCTTTCCATGCTACGCCCAGAAGGGTGCTCTCAAAGAATAAGTTAATGTGATTTCCCCATTGTATTCTAGTAGTCTGGAATCAAAAGAGTGAAAAAGGGAATAATTAGCTTCTAACAAGCACATGTTGTACGAAGTACTTGGCAGCCACTGTTTAAAAATCTCTGTCCGTAAGTGGTTTGTAGCAGGTTGAGTTATGCCACCTCTTCTTGCAGAAGTGGCAAACAGACATTACTTTTCTTTTTTGCCAGAGTATCATAAGGATAGTTGATTTGTATTTGAAAGTAATTTCTTATTTATACTTCTCTAACTTCCTCTGTGCTTATGAAAAATGTTTATATCACGCTCATACTAGAGATGTTGTCTCTAGACTGAGGGAAACCTAAACCGTAAAGGGATGAACATGATTTTAAACTCGCAACTCTGAAGTGAATACATACTATTTGTTTTAATATTCATACAATTGTATTTCCAAGGCGTTGGGAAATGTAGTAGTAATGTTTTGAAAGCCCTGAGGAACAATCATTTAAAAAAGAGAAAGAAAGAAATACAGAGAAGTTGAGGAGGGGAGCACAGGAAAGGGTAAAAAGAAAGAAAAAGAAAACAAAAAACAAGGAAATCAGATTACTGAGTTTTTCTTACTTTAGGGCTCTCACCTTGACTTTTAATCACCATTAGACATATTTAGATGACAGGCTATACAGCAGGGTTTTTAAGTCAGGATTTGTGAAGATGACAAAAGCATTTATTGAAAATGACAAATCAAACCAGTAAAAGCCATTGACGGTACCAGGTGTACTGCAGGCACTCAGTAAAGCCTATTGAATTCTAAAGTGAATTAGCAATGCATTATAAAGCATACATGGAGATATGTGACATCAGGACCACATCCTCCTCCATGAGGGTGGACCTGAGAAAAATTCTCTTCTATATCAAGGAATCATGTCTAGTCCCACATGTGAGCCCCATGCTCTTGCGCAAGGTGAGGTGTTTGTTGGCATTTCTGCTTTTTGCTTTAGGATCATTTTGACTGAGCACAGATACTTGCTACTACTAGTCTTTATTTTCATGAACACAGGAAGGACTGTGAAATGCTAGATCTGCCCCTTTAACATGATGGCTCAAAATCCGTCTCTCTACACCTGCTGCCTTCTCTCCGGTTAGTTCACGTTCTTCTTTTATAAACTAATGGTGAGAACGAGGGCCAAGAATATGAGCTGAACACAGTGCCCAATGAGCAGGTTTATGGGACTGCACGTGATGACTAAACTTTCTCTGATGTATGATGATATGGTCTGGCTCTGTGTCCCCACCCAAATCTCATCTTGAATTGTAATCTGAATTGTAATCCCCACATGTTGGGGGAGGGACCTCATGGGCGGTCATTAGGTAACGGGGGCAGTTCCTCCATGCTCTCCTTGTGATAGTGAGTGAGTTCTCATGAGATCTGATGGTTTCATAAGGAGCTTTTTCCCCTTCATGCTCCAATTCTCTCTCCTGCCACCACGTGAAGAAGGATGTGTTTGCTTCCCCTTCCGCCGGGATTGTAAGTTTCCTGAGGCCTTCCCAGCCATGCAGAACTGTGAGCCAATTAAACCTCTTTTCTTTATAAATTACTCAGTTTCAGGTGTTTCATAATAGCAGCTTGAGAACAGACTAATACATATGATAATCCCTTATTTTCACACAAAATAACGTGGAATATACTTTGACTCCTTTTTTTTAAACAGCTTGAACAACTACACTCTTTGAATCAAGAATGATTGTATATACCATTTGTAAAGGTCGTAGCTTTAGGAGTTCTGCTTTCAGTAACACTGATTAATATCCACAGGCCAGCTTTGCCTCTGTATATCTGTAATTAAGCTACAGACCACCAATGTCAGCACGGACACATACCTAATCACCAGAAGGCATTTGACGCTCACGGAAAGGGTGTCTGTGGCTTCATTTTCTCAGAAGGACAGGATGGAAATAGGCAATTAGAATTAGAGATAACCTTCAGAAAATGGTAAATAGAGTTCTGCCATAGATTAAGGAGGTAAATCAAAGACTTTGTTTCCTCTTTGCTCAGCAATGACCTTCTGTCCTTCTCTACTGTCCAAACTGCATTGTATATAAATTGCTTCTATTGAGATTTTCTATTTTGTTTTTCAAGTTCAAAGCTAATAAAAGCCTCTGATAGCCAATTTTAAAAAATATAGAAATTTGCAACAGAAGTAAAATGAAGCCTGATAGCCATTTGGCAACAGCCATTAAAACATGAGCCACTTTCTAGAAGCAACACTTCTGTCTATTAAACCTTATTTATAAACATTTATTGTATGCCCATACCTTAAGAAAGGTATGTCAAAGGCAGGAAATGTATCCCTGGATGTCAATTTTTAGAGATAAATGAATTGGTTATTCCCTAAAGCAGACATCATAAAAATGCACAAAACATTCCCACTGTGAAATGATCCTCACATCCTGCAGTCTTAATTAATCACCTGCTTTTCCGTGCTCCCATAGACATTTGTGTTTAACTTTATTAAATGAATGTGTTTATTTACAAACCTGCTTATTCCACTGGATTATGAGGCAGTAATTTTGTGAAAGATTTTATCAAACAAATTTTGGGGCTCAATTATCTTGAAGATGTTACCCCTAGAGGTTAAAATCTTGAGTTCTGGAGTCAAATATACCGGAGTTTGAATATTAACTTTACCACTACTGACTGATGTGATTTTTGGGCAATTTACTCAACCTTTCTAAGCTTATTGCTTGATATCTAAAAGAAGATAGTATTATCTCCCATGATCTCATTAAAAGAGATCATCAACATAAGATGTCAATATTCAATAATTATTAACTATTATTAATATATTAAAGTACAGTTGACCCTTGAACAACATGGGGGTTGAGGTGCCTACCCCACCCCTGCACAGCTAAAACCAGTGTATACAATAGCAAAGACATGAAATCAACCTAGGCGCCCATCAACAGTGGATTGGATCAAGAAATTGTGGTACATATACACCATGGAATACTACCCAGCCATAAAAAAGAATGAAATCAGGTCCTTTGTAGCAACATGGATGTAGCTGGAGGCTATTAGCCTAAGCAAATTGAACAGAAAACCAAATACCGCACATTCTCACTCATAAGTGGGAGCTAAACATTGGTTACACATGGACATAAGTATGGCCATAGTAGACACTGAAGAAGGAGGAGGGCAAGGGTTGAAAACTAACTATTGGGTACTATGCTCACCACCCGGGTGATGGGATCAGTCGTAACCATAACCTCAGCATCATGCAGTATACCCAGCTAACAACCCTGCACATGTACCCACTGAATCTAAAAGAAAAGTCGAAATTGTTTATTTAAAAAAGAAAATCAATGTACAACTTTTGACACCCCCAAACTTAACTACTAGTAGTCTGCTGTTGACCAGAAACCTTTCCAATAATATAAATAATCAATTAATGCATATTTGGGTTTACACGTATTATATACTGTATTCTTACAATAAAGAAGTAAGCTAGAGAAAAGAAAATGTTATTAAGAAAATCATAAAGAGGAGAATATATATTTAGTATTCATTAAGTGGAGGTAGATCATTAAATTGAGTAGGTTGAGGAGGAGGAGGAAGAGGAGAGGCTGGTCTTGCTGTCTCAGGAGTGGCAGAGATGGAAGAAAATCCACACATAAATGAACCCATGCGGTCCATACTGTGTTGTTTAAGAGTCTGCTGTAAACCAAACTCTCACTATGACGTTTCTTTTTTCTGGCAGAGGCAGATAGGCTGTCCTACTCCTATTTATTCCAGTGTTGACTTGGAAATATTATTACAGAGTTCTTACTGTGCTTGGGGAAATTTGTTTGGTTCTAAGGACTATGAAAATCTGGCTTTAGGCCAGGTGTGGTGGCTCACTCCTGTAATTCCCACACTTTGGGAGGCTGAGGCAGGCAGATCACTTGAGGCCTAGAGTTCGAGACCAGCCTGGCCAACATGGCAAAACCCTGTCTCTACTAAAAATACCAAAAAAAAATTAGCCAGGCATGGTGGCTCACACCTGTAATTCCAGCTACTCAGGAGGCTGAGGCACAAGAATAGTTTGAACCCGGGAGGCGGAGGTTGCAGTGAGCCAAGATTGCACCACTGCACTCCAGCCTGGGCGACAGAGTGAGAAAGTCTATCTCAAAAGAAAAAAAAAATCTAGCTTTAATAAATGGTTTCTAGTTTTTAAGGTTTTAGAAAAACTAAATCTAAGCTTAACTCTCACTCTAAGTTTTTAATACAAGGAAAAAAAATTCAGTCTGAAGTCTTCATTTAAGTTTTTTCTTCTCATCAGTGAGTATAAACAAGACATGGCACCTTAAACAGATAAACCACCTCTCCCATGCCTTATATTGCTCAGTCCAGGTAGCCTAAGGCAAACTATAGCCTCTTTTCCAACCCAAGGTTTGCAGAACTCATGGAAGGACTGTGTTTAGCTCAGCCCAGTGCAGAGGAGAATGCCCCCACCCAAACATACTCATCCACACCCACCCTACCACTTACCCTCCCACCCCAAATCAGTTCTTACTAATTAGCTTACCCTAACTGCCCAGAAGCCTTTCAGAGACCTTTCTTCCTCCATGAGGCCCCAGCCTCTTTCCTAATGTGGACTAGCTTTCTCGAGCCAGTTAATACTACACTGATTCTCTCTCACAGTGCATTCTACTGGCTGGACTAGAGGCGAGCAACAAGATTTACATTACTAATTGAATTCTTCTGCATCACCCAAATTAAAATCCGAAGAGGACTCACAGTGCAAAATATACCAAATCAGCCATTTAATCACTTTTTACCAGATATGTACAAGTAATTACTAAAAGATAAAAGATGAAGAGTTTCCAGATGTTACACTGGATTAGTATAATCCACCAATGGTTTTATTAAAATGAATTGCTTCACTCTCTTTAATTCAAATTTGGTGGAAATTAAAATCTCTGTTCAGTCTCTATATTTTTCTCCATCAAGCTTCCCCTACTGAATTTTTTAAATAAAAGAAGTAACATACTGAGTTCTCTATTAATCAAATTTTGTGGGGAATATATATTAAAGGCATGTCAAATAAATTATACATATATATTCGATTTTATTCAGAAGGGAATAAACAGTACATAATATTAGTTCAGGGAAATGTCAATACAACCAGATTAATTAATACAGACAAATGTTAATACAGACAGATTTTAACACAAATGGATGCTCAACTGTCTTTGTCATGTATATGTATATACACACACAAACACATATATACACAGAGAAAGAGAGGAGCATCTGGTTCACCATATATGGCTTCTCATATACTTCCCTCAAACATGTATGTATTAGGCTAAGCTTCACAAATTGTAAACTACAAAGAAGAACCTAGAGGGAAAAATGTTCAATTACCTTTTTTCTCCTTGGTCTCTATTTCTTGTTTGATTTTTCTTAATCTCATCTCTGTCTCTGGCCCTTCAACTAAATGTTCCCCATCCCTAATTATAGGTTCAATACATGTATTTTGAACAAGTTTTCCTTTATTTTCCTCTGCGGGCCAAGCAGAATACGGCAGAGACTTGATAATGATTGAAAGATAATAAAAGATGAGAAACATCAGGAAATTAACATCCTTAAAATTACACTTGCCAGAGAATAAACTGCAGAGTTGATGTTGATTTAAGCCTGGATATGTCCTTCACATCTAGCACAGTGGTGGGCAGGTGTGAAGAACCTCTTTGAAAGTTCTAGCACCTGCCAGCTGTCCAACAATTAATAGACACTAACTGGAAATTTGTTGCTTCGAACTTCGAACCACCCAATATTTTGAAACTCAGGAGCATGGTTATATGTTTATATAAGAGGAATTTATGCTAAGATTTGAAGGGTGTGCGTGTGTGTGTGTGTGTGTGTGTGTGTGTTGAATGCCTGTATTTAATTCAGGAAGAAGAATGTAGTTTGGGAGTGCTCTTAGAAATTTTTGGTTGCCATTGCTATATTATGTTGGTTTGGTAAGAAGTTTAAAACTTTTGTGTTATTTTTTGTTTTACTATTCATAATATTAGAAAGAGGAGTTTGATATGAAACTCTCAGTGACATAGTATGTCATTTATATATATGATTAATGATAAACATTATCAATGTCTTTTACATATATGTAAAATTATTTTAGTACAAAATTTCTTACTGACAATTACAACTCTAAGACAAAAGCTGCACTTAGTTTTTTATTCATCAGGAAAGTTCATTCTTCCAGATAAACATGGAAAGTTTCCTCTCTAGTGTATATTTGAAGAATAGCCATTGTCTGTGGCTCTATCATTTCCAGTTTAGGATTCTGTATGTGCTCAAAAAAGATGTTGTCTAAGAAACATCCTGTGCTTGTATCTGTAACTCTAATATGATGAGTTGAAACTTTTCTTTGAGATTGATTTACCATTTATAAATTTCTTTTTAAAATATTTTAAAAATTGTCCAAACTTCTGATAGTATAATTTAGCATTGTTCTTACATTTACCAAAAACCCACATTTTGTGCAAAAACAACAACATAAAAAGCAAATTATAGAGCATAATCAGTTTTACTGTTTGAGGATATCTCTACATTAATGTCCCAGCTTCTTTAGAGGCATGTCTAATAAACTGCTGTATATAAAATTAAAAATCCCAATAATTAATTTCCTAATCTACTACTTATTTCCTGGATCTCAGCACTGAATTCATCCTTCTGAAAGCAGTGAGACACTAAGAGTCAGGAAGCCAGAGATCTCACCCCAGTTCAGAATTTAACAGCCATTCAATGTTCATTTAACTTTTCCAATCGGTAAGTGGGTGGGAGTGAACCACTTACCAGATTTCAAACAGATTGCATGGTCTGAATAGCAAGAGAGGAGGTGTAACATGTTTGAAAATTTTTGTAGGAAGAAGAAGGGTATTTTATTGAGCAACCTTCTATGAACAAGATATTATGCTAGGTGTTATCACAAATATAATTTCATGTAAACCACAAAAACCCCTGAAAGGGTAGATCGTTAGGAGTGGCGTTTTTATAAATGGAGAGAGGTGGTGTCATTTTCAGCTTGGCTGATATTTACTCAGCACTTGACAGTTTCATGATATTTAATCTTCCCAACAACTCTCCAAGGTAGGGGCTATTATTGTCCCCATTTTACAAATAAGAAAACCGTGGCACACAAAGATAAAATAACTTGCCAAAGGACACAGAGTGGGATTATCAACGCAGGCAGTCTTGATTTGCTAGCTAGATTGTCACTTGGATAGGAAAGTTACATAACTACCTTGAGGCAACAGAGTTTAAGCAGAGAGAAAGAAAACATGTATAATCTCTACCCTTCTGCCCAAGGACATTCTCTTTGAACTATAATCAAGGTTTACAAGAATGATTCTTCTGAAAAGCAAGCAACAGCTCTTCTCAAATGTGCTTTAAATGAGACAACCCAGATGGAAGCCATCTAAGCAATTTGTGTAAAGTCCGTGGTGTCCAAAGATGACTTGTATACAGTTTGGTCACTGCTTTTAAAAATCTCGTATAACAGCCTTGCTCTTTTTGTGGAACAATTTAAAGCACACCGTATATGTAAATTAATGGGTTTAACTCGTGAGGGTTGCCATTACTTTTCATTATTGCTTTTCCAGCTTTTTAACTAAGCTTTATAGCACATTCAAATGTGTTCCTCCCTCATTTCAACTTCTTTAGAAGTGTCTTATTTTGGAGATTTCAGAATCACTTTTCCTGTTGCAAACCCCTTCTATTTCTTACACTTTCCACTCTCCTAAATATTTCCTTTTCTTTTCTTTAGGCATTAATGCTGACATATGGAGCCTCCCTGTTGTTATTCCCTGTTGTTAGTTCATATGACTTCCATAACAAAAGTGTAAATGTCTTCTTAGACAAGCTTTATTTCCCTTAAACAATTTCTGTACCTTCCATTGAAAAGTAACTTTTTAAGTGAAGGCAGTATGATATCTGAAAATCTGATGGAATTCCAAGGTATAAATACATTAAGTTTAACTGAAATTAATAGTCAAATTTATAAATTGCAAAATAAATATAGCCTAGTTGAGAAAACTCAAGACATGAAGAAATATGTGAATAAAAAGGTAAAAATCATCACTACCATATATTAACATTTTTAAATATGGGTATAAATACATAGATAAAAGTATAGGTCAAGATAAAATTCATATATGTATTTATAAAATTAAGATCATACTACATATGCACTTACTTGCTATGTTTTTGTATTCTGGTAGAATTGAAACAAAGTCTAAGTGGCAATTAAGGGCTGCATAATATTCTACTGCAAACTCTAGTTTATTTAACCATTGCTCTATTGTTTAGCATGCTGTACCTTATCCTTTGCTTTTTACTATTATAAACAATGTTTCAGTAAGCACATGTGTATATAATACTTTATACATTATACATATTATATGTGTATAATGTTTATAATAACATTTCTAGGAGTGGAATTGATTTTTTTTCAATCAGAATTTATGGGGCTGTGTCAGATCCTGGGGATGTATCTCATTTACAGAGCGCAAAATCACTGTGGTCACCATCTCTATGTACATTAGCATCTTATTTTTTAAAAAGGCACATAGCTAACTACAGCAGATTTATTAATTTGTTCATTTATTTATCCATTTACCACCTATGCATTGAATTGCTTTATGTCCTATTTCTAGATAGCTGAAGACAGAGAGATGAAGAAAAGAAATTAGGTATTTTCCATGAAAGTAAATACCAAAAAAATTAAGTGAAGAAAATAATATATGGGATAATTTCAGACCTTGATGAATGTTATAAAGAAAATACATCAAAATGATGACAAAGATAAAGGAACACTTAGGAATAAATTTAAGGATATGAAAGATTGGTACACTGAAAACATAGAACATTCTAGGCAACACACTGAGACCTCAGTAAAAAAAAAAAAAAAAAAATGGCTTTTAGGTGAACACCTTTAGTCCCAGATACTCGGGAGGCTGAGGTGGAGGATCACATGAGCACTGGAGTTCCATACTACAATGAGCTATGATTGTGCCATTGCACTCGAGTCTGGGTGACAGAATGAGACTCCATCTCTAAAAAATAAATAAATAAAACAAATATTGAGGAAAGAAAGTAAAATAGATACAAATAAGTGGAAAGACATCTTGTATTCACGAGTTGAAAGAGTTAATATTGTTAACATGTCTATACTACTCTAAAGCATCCATAGAGTCAATGCAATCCCCAAAAAAATCCCAAGGTATTTTTCACAGGAATGGAAACAATTAGCAAATTCATGTATCACCACAAAAGACCTCAAATAGCCTCAACAATCTTGAGAAAGAACAGAGCTAAAAGGATCACACTCACTGATTTCAAAGTATATTACAAAGCTCCAATAATTAAAGCAATATGCTTAAAACAATAAAACATAAAGTTAGACATATAGAGTAATGGAACATAATAGCCCAGAAACAAATCGCAACATTATAAAGCCAACTGATCTTCAGCAAGAGTGCCAAAAATACACAATGGGGAAAGGATAGTCTCTTGCTGGGAAAACTGGATATCCACATGCAAAAGAATGAAATTGGACCCCTATCTTACACCATGCACAAAAGTCAACTCAAAATGGTTTAAAGACAAAGGTTAAGGCCTGAAACCATAAAACTCCTAGAAGGATAAGCTTCAGGCAGTGGTTCTGGCAATGGTTTCATGAATCTGACACCAAAAGCACAGGTAACAAAAGCATAAGTAGGTAAGTGGCATTATATCAAACTAAAAATCAACTGCACAGTAAAGAAAACAATAAACAGAGGAAGCAGTCAACCTGTGGAATGGAAGAAAATATTTGCAAACTGTATATCTGATAAGGAACTAATTTCTAAAATACATAAGGAACTCCTACAACTCAATAGCAAAAAACACCTACACTAATTTAATTTTTAAAACAGCAAAGGACTTGAACAAACATTTCTCCAAAGATATACAAATGGCCAATAAGTACATGAAAAGATACTCAGCATCACTGATCAGCAGGGAAATGCAAATCAAAATCACAATGAGACATACCTTCACACTTGCTAGGATGGCTAATTATCTAAAAAACAAAAAACAAAGTATTGATGAGGATATGGAGAAACTGGAACTCTTGTACACCATTGATGGGAATGCAAAATGGTACAGCTGCCATGGAAAACAGTATGAAGATTCCCAAAACAATTAAAAATAGAAATACATAAAATCCACAGCTCCACCTACGGGTATTTATCAAAAAAAATATGAAAGTAGGATCTCGAAGCGATATTAGCACTTTCATGTTCATTGCAGTAGTATTCACAATAGCCAAGATATGGAAACAAATGTTTGTTGATGGATTAATGAAGAAGGAAAATGTGGTATAAACATACAATTGAATATTATTCAGCCTCAAAAAAGATAGAAATCCTGCCATATGCTACATCATGGATGAGCCTTGAGGATGTTATGCTAAGTAAAATATGCCATTCACAGAAGGACAAATATTACATAATTCAATTTATGTGGAGTATATGAAATGGTCAAATTCACAGAAGCAGGGAACAGAATGTGCTTACCAGGAGCTGGAAGAGGGAGAAATGAGGAGTTGCTGTGCAACAGGTATAAAGTTTCAGTTATGCAAGATGCACACATTTTACAGATCTGTGCTTAGTTAACAGTACTGTGTTGTACACTTAAAAATGTGTTAAGACTCTTGGTGGGAATGTAAACTAATACAACCACTATGGAAAACAGTCTGGAGACTCCTTAAAGAACCAAAAATAGAATACCATTTGATCCAGCAATCCTACCATTGGGTACCTACCCAGAGGAAAAGAAGTCATTATACAAAAAAAAGATACTTGCACATGTATGTTTATAGCAGCACAATTTATAATTGAATGTGGAACTAACACAAATGCCCATCAGTCAATGAGTGGATAAAGAATTTGTGAGATATATATATATAGATATATATATATGAGATAGATTTATATAGATATATATATGAGATAGATTTATATAGATATATATATGAGATATATATATATATATATATATAATGTAATACTACTCAGTCATAAAAAGGAATGAATTAGTGGCATTTGCAGCAACCCGGATAAGATTGGAGACTATTATTCTAAGTGAAGTGACTCAGGAATGGAAAACCAAACATCATATGTTCTCACTCATAAGCGGGAGCTAAGCTATGAGGATGCAAAGGCCTAAGAATGACACAATGGACTTTGGGGACTCAGGGGAAAAGGGCGGGAAGGGGGTGAGGGATAAAGGACTACAAATTGGGTTCAGTGTATACTGCTCAGGTGATGTGTGCATCAAAATCTCACAAATCACCACTAAAAAACTTACTCATGTAACCAAACACTCATTCCCCAATAACCTACGGAAATAAAATTTTTTTAAAACATGTGTTAAGAGGGTAGATCTCATGTTAAGTGTTCTTACCACAGTTAAATTAATTTAACATTAAAAACTGAATTGTGAAAGTGGTAACTTAGTCACAAGTGCAGAGAAAATGAGAGAGTTGTAGGATAGGAGGAAATCATTCAGCGTGCAACAGAGAGATGTTAAGGAGATGGGAAATATAAAATATCTTTAGACATACAGAATAGAGTATGAATATTGAACACAGATTTAATAATCATTCCTAAAGGAGATGATACAGCAAATGGGGATGAGGTAAATATACAATAACTGGTAATTCTACAGACTAGACAAATGGTATGACTTGTCAGATTGAAGAAGTACATTGAGTTCCAGCATGAAAAAAATAAAAAGCAATTCATACTTTGAAACACGAGGGTAAAATTGCCCAATTCTAAATGCAAAAGGAAGTTTTAAAATCAGAGAGATAAGACAGATAACCCACAAAAGAACAGCAAACCAGATTGACATCAGATATCTCAATAGCAACGAGATAGAACAGGAAGTGATGAAATGAAATCCCTCGTTGGCCAAGAATTTTATAACCATTCAAGAAATGAGGCCAGATGCAATAAAAGCCAGAAAATAATGAAAACCATCTTCAAATAACTAAAAACTCTATCACCAACTGAAATATGCAAGAATAAATACTAAATTGATTCATCTTTGGAAAATGCTGAGTTTACCAAACAAAAATTCCCTAAAGAAAATAAATAATGGATGTACGTAATGGAAAATAAATTTGAACTCACAAAGAAGAACTGGAGTACAAGAAGTAAAGATACTGTTAAACGTGACCAAACCTAATATACATTAACTTTAATAACAGTGATGGTAATAAAGAGTAAGTTTTAGATGTTTAAAAGAAAGGTAGAATTAAAATAGTTGATAGCAGTAACAAGAAATGGAAGGTAATAAAAAGAGAAGTATGGATACGTTTATATTTTACATTTGATTTTACTTTTTGGTCAAGTGGGCACATTAAGTAAACTACTAAAAGATTATAAATACATCTAAACAAGTAAATAGGAGAAAAGGGGAAATTTTTAAATTAATGTAATTAGAAGTAGAGAAAATATAGAAAGAAAAAAGAGTAAATAAATATTATAACAGACACTATAAAATAAGAGAGAGAGAAAATATAAATATGTAGAATCAAAAGAAACAAAAATGATTACATTTGCCTGTTATAAAAGAGAAGGAAGAAAACCTTAGATTGAGTTTTAAAAGCCCAACTTTGTGCGTTTCTAACAGAAAACATCTAAAGTTTAAGATACAGGAATGTTGAAAGTAAACTGAAGGCAAGGCAAAACACAAAGTTTTGGGAAAAGAGGGTCATTACATGTTATCATTAGAAAAAAATGATTCATCAGCAAGATGCAATATATCTGAACTCTTGATAAAATATTCCCTTGAGTGTATTTTAAGTTTGTACACACACAAAAATGGACACAATTATTAGATGGAACCTATTGAAACTGCCATAATTGTAGGTCAGTACTGTTAAATAACAACCATTTCATGTGATTCAACCAAAAAAATTGAAAACATGACAATTATAATGAGACTTTTAAAAAGGTACATCTTATAAATATTAGACTGCATGAAAAAAGTTTCTAAGGAAATAGAAAATTAAACAGCATAAAACAAGCTTAAGCAAAAACAAAAATCAGAGACTATACATTGCTTTTAAACATTCTTGGAACATTAACAAAATTTGACAACATAAGATGCCACAAACACATCTTAACGTGTATAAAATAATCAAGAGCCTATAGAACATGGGCTCATGTTTTCAGATCATAATGCAATACAAATAAAAGCCAAAAAGCCTATACTTTTAAAATTAAGAACACGTCTGTAAGATCTTTAATAAAAGACAACACAATAAGGGAACTTATTACATATTGGAACTACACGATAATGAAAACACTACATCAAAATTTATGAGATGTGGCTAAGTTGGTAGAGAAAATTTTATAGACTTACATACACGTATTTAGAAGAAAATAGGGATGGAAAATTAATCAGCTAAGCACTCAACCTTGTAGGTTAGATGAGGACAATACAAAAATAGGATAAAATCAACTAATCTCAGAAACATCAATACTAAAGACATCATCACAACCTAATTGTATACAGTCCAGAAAGTAAGGCTACTTTAACAATAAAATATCAATAAATGATTTTATGTTAGGAAATGGAAGCTAAAATTCTGAGATGATCTCTATAGGTACAGAAAAATATTTGATAAAATTCAGTATTCATCAAGAGGTATCAATATATTCTAAAGAAATGTAGGCATGTGAAATCTGTATTAGACATGACATCAGTTTGCTTCACTTCTACTTTAATTATCATAGTTCTTTAAAAAGACTGCATGTTCTCACTCAGGTGGGAATTGAACAATGAGAACACACGGACACAGGAAGGGGAACATCACACTCTGGGGACTGTTGTTGGGTGGGGGGAGGGATAGCATTAGGAGGTATACCTAATGCTAAATGACGAGTTAATGGGTGCAGCACACCAGCATGGCACATGTATACGTATATAACTAACCTGCACATTGTGCACATGTACCCTAAAACTTAAAGTATAATAAAAAAAAAAAAGACAGGATAAAAAAGTAAAACTAACTTTTTCAAAGCCTCAGTATTCCATCACTTACATATCAATTTTTTTGTAAACAAATTTTCCTTAAGATAATTATTTTCATTAATATTAAGAAAAATGTCTTACTGTATTAATGGAGATTTCTTTAAATAAATTATTCTTAAAGTTTCAGATTTGTTTAATAGAAATAAAATTTTGATGAATTATATTAGAGGTATGATATTCTCAGTAAGTCCTATTATTTATGCTAAAAATACCCTTTGGGTTTATACATAAAGTGCTTAGCAAAGCAGTTTTTCACTTTCACTTGTAACTCCTTAACAATGTTCCTGACATCACCACCAACCTCTCTTTTATCCAGGCCTGCAAAATGACAGCCATCCTTAGTTTTTTTCTTACCCCAGCAATTGACTCAGTTCTATTAATACACATTAACAGACCTATCACAAAGGACTACCCAGTTTGGCCAGAGAGTTCTGAGATGATATATTTAATTCAAAATGGCCTCCTTCCCAATCTCCCACCTCTTCTCTCTCCTCAGCCCCTACACTTCACAACAAGTATTAGGTCTAGACAGGACTGTCCCCTTCACTGACAAAAAAAAAAAAAAAAGCAGAAAGGATTCAACATGATATCTGTTTGTGGATGATAAAAAAAATTTTTAAAGAGAAAATCAACAAAGGGAAACATGAAGAAGAAACAAAATTTAAAAAATATTTATCTGTACATCCAGGAAATCATGAAAATCGGCACTCCGATTTAACAGGAAAGAGTTGCAAGAAATCCGAGAACAGGTAAGACAATGGGAAGGATATAAAGCAGACTAAAGTGCTCATCAAAGTAAATTGAAAATAATGATAAATGCTTCACACAAATAAAACAATTTTTATAAGCACTTAGAAATCCAATAACTGTAGCTGAAAAGAGACTATAGTAGCTTCAGAAAATAATAGGCATTAATAAAGTAACAAAGAAAGAAATTCAGTCAGAGAGACGGAAAATACATGGGTATGCGCACAAGTCAAATAATGGAATTGAACATACAGGTTTTCCTGAAATAGAGAATAAATACAAGATGTATATAAAGTCTTTCCTGAAATAAAGGAAGACCTATGGCTTAACTCAGGTCCTCCTAGAAGCAGATGCCGAGATGGGTTGAGATGCACGAGAGTTAGCCAGTTAGGGGTCACCAGATATTTGAGGAAAGTATGAAACAAAAAACAGAGGCCATAGCAAATAAAATTGCGTCAAAAGGAACCTCGAAGAGACCGAGGCAGTGCAGAAAGCAGAATAAAACCATGCACACAAGCAGGCTTACAAACAAGGCAATAAACACTTCACTCAGAAGTTAACTCAGATGTTTGAGAAAAACAGACATGAAACCACTGTAAACTACATGGCTGGCTTATAAATCATAATTGGATTGGTGATACTAATGCAAATGCTAAATACTGCTTTTGAAATGTACTTATTCTGAGCATGAAAGGAGGGAAGGTGTGTGTGAGGAAGGAAAGGAGTGGTTCAGACCACTAAATCATCATATTCCATAGTAGGAAGAAAATCTATAACATCTAAAAATGAAAAATCAAAACCCAGCTTTTAAAACCATTTTCATTTAAGAATATGAAGGTCAATATCTGAAGAGATAGCCTAAAGGATTGTGACTGCTAACTTCTGAAAATATAGCATAGTACTGCCATTGTTAGTATGTTTCCCTTGTTTGTTTTTAGACATGGAACTTTAAACTCCAGCCCCCTAATGAGTGGAATGGGGATGGAAGGAGCAGAGTGGTTAGAAGAATTTTACCGGCTCACTTCTGCTCTATTTGAATCTTTTACAAAAATCAAGTTATCATTTGTAATTTAGAAAATGATTTTAATATACAAAATACAAAAAAAGCATTAGATGCTTATTGCCATCAAGATAATTTCTAGATTTTTCTTGATATTTACGGTGCTTCATATTCTGACCTCATCTTCGTGCTGTTGAAAGGGCTCTTTCCAGCACTGTCTCCCTCAATAAATCTGTTGCCCAGGACTTAACTGTCCCAAATGGTCATGTACTTTCCCATTTTTACCCTCCTTTTATACCATTGCTTTCACTCAATGCCTTTTTCACAATCCCTACTTGTGATGTGGCTAAACGTACTTAGATGTCCGGATAACAGTGGATTAATTTTACCCTACTGCATATATGTCCCTGCACGCTCACTAGATATCAAAGCAGAGACTATCTCCACCTCCTCCAGTACCTACTGAGCATAGTGCCCTACACAGCTTTATGGCACACACACAGTCTACACACACACACACACACACACACAAACAGTATGTTTCTGGCAAGAAATGTCAGTGTTGTTATGCTTGCTATTTATTAAATTCTTGTAATTATGTTGACTTGTAATAGAAATTGTAAATAGAGAGAATATGTATCCCAAGTTACTACTCTTTTGATTTGTAAGGAAAAAAATAAAAAATATTATGAGTGCTTAAAAGATAATTTAGCTGTAACAATAGGAGAGGTCTCTCTGCCCCGTGTGTGTGTGTGTGTGTGTGTGTGTGTGTGCATGTGTGTGTATTTGTGTGTTCTTAATCTGCCACTGTATCATAGTCCATTCAACTTCATATGCAGGGGACTTGTAATTGGTCTTCTTGACAGAAGATACTATTGATCATGCAACACCTCTGATGCCCTTCAAACCTGGACTTACCCTTTTCTATCCTGTGAATAAATATTTGCCATATTTTTCATGTTTTCACAGTTTCATGAAAAAAATAACTCAAATTCAATCATAGTATCCTATTTATTGTGTTATTACTGGAAAAAGAAAATATTTTATTTAGAATTGTACAAATAACTATAATTATATAAATAATAGAGCATGAAAATATGGTCCTACCTTCACATTTGAGAAAACAAAAATTTCTGAAAATATAATTGTTTAAAATATTCTAAAATACAAAAGAATAAAAGCATTAGATACTCACTGCCATCAAGATAATTTCGGATTTTTCTTCGTATTTTTGGTGCTTCTTATTCTGACCTCATTTTTGTGCTGTTGAAAAGGCTCTTTCCAGCATTGTCACCCTCAGTAAATCTGATGCCCAGGATTTACCTGCCCCAAATAGCCATATATTTTCCTATTTGAAACATTGGCTAGGCACGGTGGCTCATGCCTGTAATCCCAGCACTTTGGGAGGTTGAGGTGGGAAGATCACTTGAGGTCAGGAGTTCAAGACCAGCCTGGCCAACATGGTGAAACCCTGTCTCTACTGAAAATACAAAAATTAGCCGTGCATGGTGATGTGTGCCTGTAGTCCCAGCTACTCTGGATGCTGAGGCAGGAGAGTCACTTGAACCCAGGAGATGGAGGTTGTAGTGAGCAGAGATTGTGCCACTGCACTCCAGCCTGGGCAACAGACCAAGACTCCGTCTCAGAAACCAAACAAACAAAAAGAAACATTGAAACATTGAACATTATGTTTCAGTAATATAGTATATAAAGCTTTCATGGACACAATCTCTCTTTCTATACGGAATACAACATTAAACAATCAATTATCTTCTGCTATGTATGCGAGTATATTCATTATTCAATTGAAACCTTGGTATTGGCAAGTTACAAAACTGAGCTGAGATTTTAAGTGAAAATCATGTGACCATGTTATATGTGTCTGAAGGTACACAGGATGAAGAAAGCTCTGTGTTTCCGTTCTCTTTGTTTTTCAATGGACACCAAGATGTGGATATTTATGGGCTGTCTATGGTAGAGCCATGTGTAGTAGCTATGGGATTTCTTAGTTTAGCCTGTAGATCTCCACCGATTTCTCTGTTCACTGGATGACAGACGGCCATTTGTCAGAAATATTATGGTGCACACTGTGTCTTTGCAATCCCCACAAACAATTTCAGCTACCAAGAGAAAACACTCTGAAAATAGATTCCAAAATTCAACTGCTCATCTGCTTGTCTCCCTTTAAATTTTTCAGAGGAAACTGTCAGAAGACAGTTTTTTCTAGACTTCATCTGCACTCTTAAAGAGGATTTTTTTCTATAGTGCTATAAAAATAAGAAGGTTTTGCCAAAGGAAGAGTGAAGATTGTCTAGTTGGTAAGCCTGACTGATGTTTTCTCCCATGACATTCCTAGATTTCTTGAAGAAAATGCACCCTTGGTTATGTATGGCATCACTCACCATCTGTTCATGGATACTTCTACATGCAAAGTTGTACATGACTTGGAATAAACCAGCTCTAGTTTTATCATCAGTGTTAATTGTAAATACATTATCTGTAATCAGAAATAAATGTTAGTGATACCATGATTTATTTATGACATGACTTACCACCTAAACGTATGAATATGCCAAGTAAGTGAAATTATAGTGGGTAAAGCTTATGAAAAGTACTCTATTACTAACCGTTTCTGCATGGAAATTTGTATATTCTAGGAGTAATTGTCTCAGCTACAGATGGAAAAGCTAGGTTTCAAAGTAGATTTAAAATAGTGTTATGCAGGATTATATAATATTCGTTATTTTAATTAACATTTTCATATATTGAAATCATTTACCATTTTATGCAAATGACATCATTTGGAAGTTTAATTTCTAAAATTGTGAAGTTTTTCCTGTTAAATAAAAATTTATCAGGGTAAAAGTGATCTTTTCATCCAGATGACTACCTTGACTTCATATTTACCTTTGAAAGAAAACTTTGTTATGGTTATAAACAAGTAAAATTATATATTTTCTAGCAAAAGAGAGATTTCATTAAAGAAAAATAATTACTTCTGGAATTGGGCAGTTTATAATTCACATTTGTAATATAGAATTAGCTTAGGGCAACTAAGAAATAAGAATGAAAAATATAGCAGTTCTATTACAGCCCATGGTTAATAAAATAATTACTGTGAAAAAAATGGAAAGATTATAGGAAGATTAGCTATAGAGACTACAGAAAGAGTGGATGTTTTGAAAAGTAAGTTCCTTTTTTTTCTGTCAGTGACCAGAGTTTTTTAAATCCAGAACTAACTGGAAATTTTATGTGTTCTAAGATTTTTTTTTTTTTTTTTTTGAGATGGTGTCTCGCTCTGTCACCCAGGCTGGAGTGCAGCGGCGAGATCTCAGCTCACTGCAAGCTCCACCTCCCAGGTTCACGCCATTCTCCTCCCTCAGCCTCCTGAGTAGCTGGGACTACAGGCACCTGCCACCATGCCCGGCTAATTTTTTATATTTTTAGTAGAGACTGGGTTTCACTGTGTTAGCCAGGATGGTCTCGATCTCCTGACCTCGTGATCCCCCCGCCTCGGCCTCCCAAAGTGCTGGGATTACAGGCGTGAGCCACCGCACTCGGCCGTGTTCTAAGATCTTCTAAAGCTTCATGCATCTTCCTGAAGAAACTATCTTAGAAGTTAGTTCCACAAAGACAATAGAACAAGTTGTGTTTCATTAAACTCTTGCAAGACAGGTGCAGTGGCTCACACCTGTAATCCCAGCACTTTGGGAGGCTGAGGCAGGAGAATCGCTTGAACCCAGGAAGTGGAGGTTGCAGTGAGCTGAGATCGCACCACTGCACTCCAGCCTGGGCAACAGAGCGAGACTCCGTCTCAAAAAATAAAAATTAAAAACTTGCAAGAAAATTCCTATTTTAAAAACATATCAAAACAGGTCACATGTGATTTAAAACACAAGCTTGCTATTCACTCCTACTATCCTCCCTGAAGTGTGACCCATCCTCTTTTTCCCTCTCTGTGGGTTCCAGATTCTCATTTCAGTAGCCAGCATGTGTGTGCCCTGTAGCCCACGAACTTTGGAAGAAATTGACAGCAACTCAATTCCAGGTGTGGCCACACTGGTGAGCTTAGTTGGTATATTTCGTTTGCTTGATCAGAGCCATTGATTCAGGGATAGACATGACCCAGGCAATGAAAGAGACTTGCATCTCAGCCTTTTGTTCAAAAGTACTCTCACCCACCAGGCTTACCTGAGAGAGCAGACAGCTCCTACTGTGGCTGTGGCCAACCTCTTTCCAAAGGAGTGGCCACACGACAGCGAAGCCAACACTAGCACTGTGCATCCAGTACAATAACCATTGCCACACATGGCTGTTGAACACTTGAGATATGATTAGTCCGAATTGAGATATACTATAAGAGAGATACACACACCAGATGTGAAGATTTAGCATGAAATAAATGTATCTCATAATTTTTATATTGATTACATGTTGAACTGATAATATTTTGGATACATTGGGTTAAAAGATGTTACCAAAATTAATTCCACCTCTTCCTTTTTGGATTTTTAATGTAGCTACTAGTAAATTTAACGTTACATTGGTGTTTTATATACTACGTGCATTGGGCAGCATTGTTCTGGTATGATCCAGGTGCTGATGGCATTCTTGAGTGGCCAGATCAACCAATTGTGAGTTCCACATGACCTCTGGATTTTCTAGAGACAATTCAAGATATTTCTTTATTTTCTAAAATCACTTTGGATTTGTATTTTTAATTATTTATAATTAAAAACATCCAAATCAACGCTCTGGTTTTATATTTAAGCACTTGATTTATCTGTACAGTTATTTGAAAAATATGAAGGCCTATACTCAATTTTTCTTTAAAATTCTTATAATTTTCAATGAATATCATTTAATTTTTCAAAAAGTATAAAATTTTAGTGCATTCATGTTTCTAAATTTATATTTAAAATACTAAATGTTCCGCAAGTGATATTTAACGATTTTCTGCCCTTGGCTGGGCGTGGTGGTTTATGCCTGTAATCCCAGCACTTTGGGAGGCAGAGGCGTGTTGATCACTTCAGCCCATGAGTTTCGAACCAACCTGGGTAAACCCCATCTCTACCAAAAAATACAAAAAATTAGCCAAGTGTGGCAGCATGCACCTGTAGTCTCAGCTACTCGGGAAGCTGAGTGGTGGGAGGATCACTTAAGCCCAGTAGAGGCCACAGTGAATTGTCATTATGCCACTGCACTTCAGCCTGGGTGACAGAGCAAGATTCTGCCTCAAAAAAAATAAAATAATAAAAATTTTCCACCCTTTTGTTAATATCATTACCATCATAACGGATTACAAGTTAATTTTTGATATAAAAATGATAAATGTATGTGGGCATAATAATATTTGTATTCTAAAGTAACAATCCCATAATTCTTAGGCAGGAAATATGGACTTATCTTTAATTAAATTGTTAGCCTTGCCCTAGACAAAACATCATGGTTTTATATGGAGTTTTTATATATAAATAAATTATTCTCATAATATTACAGTATCAAAAGAGCACACTTTATTTTATAATTTAATATAAAAATATAAAATGTAATATAAAATATTATGATGCACTTGTAATTTATTATTGCAAGTAAAATTGTGATTAATTTCTTTAAAAATTGCATAAGATTAAGTGAAAATGGCTATCCGTCATCACTTTATGTTGGATTACATTTTATTCCATCCAAAAAAATTCATTAGTTTAATTTAATTCCTAAGATATTCCTAAGCACTTATCAAATATGGCAATGTAGTTATTCCATAGGGAGAAAAAAATCTATTTCCACAAGATAGATAATTCTTGTTTTTATATAAGATTTTCACACTGTGTTTTTCAAAAGTTAATGAGAGATTCATCAGATTTTCCATTTTCTTGGTCATGGATCATTAACCTTATAGAAATGCAGGTAAAATTGACTTTACTATGTTTTTTATCATTATAAATCTCAAAGTCATAGAGACTGTTTGTCACCCATGCTGGTGCTGAAAATGCAGTTCATAACCTGATTCCATAAACACTACGGCAACACTTTAGACTGAGAAGCATAATCTCATGCTATATGCTATAATTAAAGTACACTCAGTGTCCTTTTGATGGGATGGCAAATGACGGTCTGTGATGACTTGCTTTTCCCATTATTGCTGTCATATAGGACACATAATTCAGCAAATGCTTCCATTTCTCAGAACTTTTATGTGTGTAATGACAGCCCAACATCAGCAATGTTCTGTTAATATAGTAAAGAAGATAAGATTGCCTGTTTGGAGCTGGACACTAAACAGATTATTTGGATGATGTCTTACTGAGCATCTTATTCATCAAATCTAGAATTTAATTCTAAGATGTAGGTTTGCAATTACGCATTTGGTTCAGCAAAACATTTTTATATACTGGGTCTTGAAATTCTGTTCGTCCTGTTTTGCCCAGACATCTGTAATTATGTCCTCAAACTATATAACTATGGTGGTCTCCGTTTCAATTCTAATAAAAACCTATGACCCTCGTTCTGCAGCCAAGGCCATGGTGGTTTAACAATAAAAAGGGATATTAACATGAAAAATATCGAAGAGCATCAAGACATTAAATCAAGGCAGGTTTTTTTTCCCCTAAATTGTACCAGTTATTGGGAATCTTCTTTTAGGAATAGATTTTCCATTAGTTCATGGGTATGCAGATCTAGAAACCTCAAGAATTCTTTTTGTTCCGTTGCCAGATTTGAAACTCAGTCACTGCCTTTTTATCTCAATGTGCTTTGTTGCCATATTTCTGATGTTTCTTTCCTCATTCCTGACATTACGTTGTCCATTATATTATTCATTTCTCAGTTGCTTCCTTTCTTATGATTTATGCTATAAGTTACCATAATACTTTGTGGAAAGTCTTGGTATATAGTTATTAAATGTGAATGCTAATCAAATATGATTAAAATGCTCTTCTAGCTCTCTTTGTTAGAAAGGTAATGCTCTCTCAGAGTTAGACCTTCAAATTAAGTCATACGTACTCAGCTAGTCTTAATGCCATTAAAATATCTTCAGGATTATAGAATTGGGGAAGTTATACTAAGTAAAAGACTTTTGCATATTTGGTTTGTTTATCAATTGTGCTTTCCTGTTGTATGCGTTTGATATTTAAAATGCTCTTATGAGGAAGGGGAAAAAACACCTATATTTATTTCTTAATGGTTTCCACATGCTTGAAAAAATAAATCAAAACTTGACATGGAGACCATCTAAAAATTCATTGACTTACGCTTAATATAAAATCTGAGGCCTATATTCTCAGAAAACAACCAAAGCACATGATAATAATCTAGCAAAAAAATCCTATATTTGATTTTTGAAATATGTGTTGATCTTAAAAATTATATTTTGATACAAGCATATTTCATATGTTAGACTGCTTCCCTTTATTTTACAAGTCTGAGCTTTCAATGAATGAGTCACTTGTGGCTTAACCTAATTCCTATTCTGAACATAATCTTTAATATAAAGAGTCAGCCTTATGGAAAAAAGAGATTGATGTAGAGTTGAAATAACGGTAATGTTATATCACAGAAAGTGTTGGGGGAAATTTGAGTGGTGAGATCAATTAATTTTCCTCAGAACTTAAACACAAGAGAATCTTGCACAATGAAGTGTTATTTCCTACTAGTAGCAAGTGTTCATTTTCTGGCTTTGACATACAATGTATAGTTTCAAAAATACTCAGAAGTTAGTGCCTTAGCACAAAGCTTGCAACAGTTGCAAAAGGCACCTAAGGAACATTTTGCACTGTGATCAGTAAAACACTGAGACATGCACAATAATTAAATACAGTAAACTTTGACATTTTGCAGACATTTTGTTATATAAAATTCATACATATGGGTACATTATGTTGAACCACGTGATTCCTAATTTTGTAGGTCAAAAGTGATTAAGTACCAGCAATTTCAGATTGTTTGACCTAATTCAAAAATGCACAGATCCCAAGTGTACAATCTGATGGCCGGGCTTGGTGGCTCACGCCTGTAATCCCAGCACTTTGGGTGGTTGAGGCAGGCAGATCACTTGAGGTCAGGAGTTTGAGACCAGCCTGGCCAACATGGTGAAAACCCATCTCTATCAAAAATACAAAAATTAGCCAGGCGTGGTGGTGCATGCCTGTAAACCCAGCTAGTTGGGAGGCTGAGGCAGGAGAATCGCTTGAACCTGGGAGGCAGAGGTTGCAGTGAACTGAGATCACGCCACTGCATTCCAGGCTGGGCAACAGAGTGAGACTTGGTCTCAAAAAACAAGACAAAACAAAACAAAACTTGATGAATTTTCTCATACTGAAAATATTTTTATAACTAGCATCAAGATCCAATATACTTTTTTTGGTCATAATTATGTGTCTTTGTCAAAATAGGACAATATAACATATTTCCTTTTACAGTGTGTTAACTTTATTTGTAACATACGTATTTAGACAGGTGGCATGTCCATTCAGATTCTCACCTTGGGTCCACCTCTCTGACAGTGGAAGAGAAAATGGAATCAATACATTATAAGGAAGAATCATGAAAGTCATTTTATTTGTTTTTCTTCTGTCAAGGGTCACAGTCTTGTGCTGCCTGTTGTCCAGTGTGTGAAATCAATTGTTTTATATGTTGATACAGTTTTTTTAATTGTTTACAACCAAAAGGGAAAGCCAGCTCATTCCTAGATATTCCATTATGACCAGAAACAGAAATCTAGGGCACGCTGCTAAACAACCTCAAAGTTAAAAGTGGTTCTAGTATGATACAGTACCTGTTTTCAAACTTTTTAGCTAAGACAGATACATGAAGGGAAGGAATATGTGCTTCTCTAGAGCCTGGGAGAAGACCCAAATGAGTTCCGAAAAAGACAAACTATCTTTATTGTCATACTTAAAAGGTTGCAATTAATCTGCTTTCTCCTCCATGCTCTACCTTTAGACTAAATATATATGCACTTTAGACTAAATATATTCAGCCTCGGCAATTAGCTTACTTTTGAGGGTGTCCATACCCAACAGGTGCTACCACTTATAAGTGTATTTCTGCAGAAGTTGCTGAGTCACCAGCAGCTCTAAGATATTATGAAATCCTCCAGTGCCCTTCTGGAGCCACTTGGGGGACAAGGGTTTTAAATGGTAGAGAACTCTTGCGTGGAATCCTCAAGTCTCCAAACATCTGTACTTTGTCTAGAAGTCAACTCCCAAGTGCCTAAAGGATTATTAAATAACCAGGGGTAATCTAGGTCTCTTCTGGATTAAACTCAGTGCCCTAAAGTTCTCCTCACAAAGCAGGATACACACCCAACAAGGTACTAGAACTGGCACGTTACTAGTTGTGTGTGTTAATGTCTTTAGGAATCTAGAAATCTCCTAAGTCATCTTCTCACTCACTTAAACAATTGTGTAGTTCACAAACACGGAGGGATGACTAACTTCCTGAAGAATGCAGCCACAATTTGTAAGCATAAATGGGCTCTTTGTAATGAGAAGAAATTAGAGGGTTCTGTTCCATTTTTATTATGCAGAATGGAAGTTTTCAATGATATGTAACACATAAAAATTAAGGAGTAGGTGGAGATTCCAACATTAAGGTAATGTTAAGCATATGATCTATTTAAACTTGGCACTTAACGAACAGAGAGTAAAGCTATCCAAGGCGTCCTAACTGATCATTTGGAAGACTGGCAAAAGTGTTCGGCATAAAACAATATGCATTAGTGTAATCAGAATGTGTAAATTGTAATCATAATGCCTCTTAAATGTACCCATGTCAGTAACAGAATCGCTGCCAGGTAATGAAGACAGACTACTTGGTGAGAAAGAGCTATCTCATTTACTTTTTATTATGTCCCAATCTGTAAATTAGGAGCACAAAAAATTGGTCCAGCTGCCCTGTGTTTTCACTTTCAGCAACGCTATCTCATGAAATAATGGAAATGTTTTCCCGTAAATAACCAAAGAACAGAAATAATGCAACTCATTAAAATACAATAGTGTATATGACTTCAACTCGTCTTAACAAGGTTGGTATTCCCAATAAACAGTTCCTTAAAACAGAAAATTAGTGGGCATTTATGGAAGTTCTTTAAAGATAAATGATGTTTTGTTATTACTTTTTAAGAAATCCTTTCCAATAATAACCAAGACCATGTATTTGAGTTACAAACATGACCATGATTCAAAGCAACAATTGTGAAAATGATGCTAGTACAATTTTGTCTCCCTAATTCCGAGTTTCTTCTTCCACAGTGATTAGTATTTATTCATAGGCTTAATGGAAATTATTAAATATTTGTTAAATAAAATAATATATGGTATATACGCATATAAAATCTGGCTTTATGAGTAAACTAAATACCTTTTATAGGACCTTTTACTCTTATTTCATTCAGTTTGTTCTTTCCAAACCAAAAATTAATGCTTGCATTATGTTGGTAAATCTCCCTAAATGTTCCCAACTCAACTATAAATAAAGTGGATGACCCATTATATTGGGTCAGGTGTGTGTATGCGTGTGTGTTTGTGTGTGTGTGTAAGTAAAATAAAAAAGAAATTCAACAAATAAAACTAAAATTATCTCTATATTTTATAATACCACAAGAAACTGCTGGTCACTGTACTCCTTTTTATAGTGGGGTGGTAAGCAACTGAGAACCTGAGATTGTTTATGTTCCCAAAGATGACATTAAAAAGAAACTTTTTACAAACATTCTTGGCAGTATTTCTTTTGCCAAAATTTGTATCAATTTATTAACTACATGAAACAGATTAAATATATTAAACCTAGTTTTTTCCAAACCTGTCCATGGCTAACCATTAAGATACCAGCTAGAACTATTTGAATATCATCTTCAGAATAAATTTGTAAACACTTTTTCTTCTTTACTTGATTATCCAGCAAGTTTTCTGCCACTAAGCCCTCCACACAACAGTAAGCACATTAGGGGAGGCTGCAGTGTAAGTCTGTGGTGATATTCCACTATTTCTGAAACACAAAGACACTTTTGATCCCCTATGACTTCACATGCATGTTACTGAAAAGGCATTATTGACTTCCCTTTGTTGCTACAATGGAGTAACAAGATCAAAGTCCTCAGAGTTGAACAAGAGGTACAGACTAAACCCCAAGTCCTCTATTATCTGTGACCAGAGATTTTGTCAAAGGAGAGGATGTCTCTTAATCCATCAGGAGAAGCACCAGGCACCTGTGCAATTTTAAAAATTGCTGTGTTTCACCACGTTTCACTCATAAGTGGGAGTTGAACAATAAGAACACATGGACACAGGGAGGGGAACATCACACACTGGGGCCTGTCGGGGGGTGGGGGGCAAGGGGAGGGATAACATTAGGAGAAATACCTAATGCATGCAGGGCTTAAAACCTATGATGGGTTGTTGGGTGCAGCAAACCACCATGGCACGTGTATACCTTTGTAACAGACCTGCAGGTTCTGCACATGTATCCCAGAACTTAAAGTATAATTTTTAAAAAATTGCTGTGTTTCTGAGAACCACTAAATTATAAAGTCTAGAATGTGTTTATAATTAATTATACAATCTGAAGCATGCGCTAAGTAAGAATTTTTATATTCTTAAAATAGTATATGGACAATATTAAGATCTTGGTTTTCTATATTTAGTAATATGTGCAGTAATGCAGGGTTGCATTGCTATTGGGCTTTTTTCTTTTTAGAAATTTTATTTTATTTTTGTAAGTACATAGGTATATATATTTATGGGATACATGAGCTATTTTGATATGGGCATACAATGCATAACAATCACATCAGGGGAGTATTTATCACCTGAAACATTTATCTTTTCTTCATGTTACAAACAATCCAAATATACTCTTCTAGTTATTTTTAAATGTTCAATAAATTTTTGTTGACTGTGGCCATCCTGTTGTGCTATCAAATACTAGATCTTATTTATTCCATCTAACTATATTTCTGTACCCATTAACCATCCCACCCCTCCCCCACCCTTCCCATCCTCTAGTAACCACCATTCTACTCTCTATCTCCATGAGGTCAATTATTTTAATTTTTAGCTCCCACAACTAAGTAAGATCATGCAAAGCTTGTTTTTCTGTGCCTGGTTTATTTCAGTTTAAATGATGACCTCAAATTCTATCCATGTTGTTACCAATGACAGGATCTCATTCTTTTTTATAGCTGAATATGTCTTTATCCATTTGCCTGTTAATGGATACTTAGGTTGCTTCTAAATCTGGGTTATTGTCAATAGGGCTGCAATAAACATGGAAGTTCAGCTATCTCTTCAATACACTTATTTCTTTTCTTTTGGGAATATACCTAGTGGTGGGATTGCTGGATCATGTGGTAGCTCTACTTTTGGTTCTTTGAGGAACCTCCAAACTATTCCCCATAGTGGTTATACTAACTTACATTCCCACCAACAGTGTGTGAGGATTCCCTTCTCTCCACATTCTCACCAGCATTTGTTATTGCCTGTCCTTTGAATAAAAGCCATTTTAACTGGAGTGGGATGATACCTCAATGTAGTTTTAATCTGCATTTCTCTGATGATCAGTGATGCTGAGCAGCTTTTCATACACCTGTTTGCCATTCGTATGTCTTCTTTCGAGAAATGTCTATCCGGATCTTTTGCCCATTTTAAAATCAGATTACTAGATTTTTTTCTATAGAGTTCTTTGAGCTCCTGATATATTCTGGTTATTATCCCTTATTGGATGGGGAGTTTGCAGATATTTTCTCTCATTCTATGAATTGTCTCTTTACTTTGTTGATTGTTTCCTTTGCTGTAGAAGCTTTTTAACTTGATGTGATCCCATTTGTCCATTTTTGCTTGGGTTGTCTGTGTTTGTGGGGTATTACTCAAGAAATATTTGCCCAGTCCAATGTCCTGGATTGTGTCTCCAATGTTTTCTTTTAATAGTTGCATAGTTTCAGGTCTTAGATTTAAGTCTTTAATCCATTTTCATTTGGTTTTTGTATATGGTGAGAGATAAGGATCTAGTTTCATTCTTCTACCTATAGATACTCGGTTTTCCCAGCACCATTTATTGAAGAGATGGTCATTTCCCTAATGCATGTTCCTGGTGACTTTGTCAAAAATGAATTCACTGTAGATGTATGAATTTATTTATGGGTCCCCTATACTCTCCCATTGGTCTATGTGTCTGTTTTTATGCCATTACCATGCTGTTTTAGTTACTATAGCTCTGCACTATAATGTGAAGTCGAGTAATGTGATTCTTCCAGTTTTGTTCTTTTTGCTCAGGATAGCTTTGGCTATTCTGTATCTTTTGTAGTTTTAATAGAATTGTCTTTTCTGTTTCCGTGAAGAATGTTATCGGTATTTTTGATAGGAATTGCACTGAATCTATAGATTGCTAGGTAATATGGAAATTTTAACAATATGGATTATTCCAATCCATGAACATGGAATATCTTTCCATTTTTTGGTGTCCTCTTCTATTTCTTGCATCGGTGTTTTACGGTTTTTTTTGTAGAGATCTTATCACTACTTGTTTAATTCCTTTTTCAGATTGTTTGCTGCTGACAAATAGAAATGCTACTGCTTTTCATATGTTGATTTTGTATCCTGCAACTTTATTACATTTTAAATCAATTTTAATAGTTTTTTGGTGGAGTCCTTAGTTTTTTCCAAATATTAGATTATATCATCTGCAAACAAGGATAATTTAACTTATTCCTTTTGAATTTGGCTGCTCTTTATTTCTTTCTGTTGTCTGATTGCTCTAACTAGGTGCATTGCTACTGTGACCCAAATTCCAGTATGTAAGAGAATCTCACCCATCAAAAATAAGAACAATAAGTCCTTTGAACCTTGTAATTGCAACATATTACATGCTTTTCCAGGTTTTGCTGTCCTTGATCAATTTGCTAAATCGTCCTTCAGGAGATAATAAAAAGTGATGCAAATTATAGAAAAACAAGAAATAATAGTCTCCATTGAAAATTAGTAATGATCTATTGAAACAAAGACTGACATTGAAAATGAAGAATAACTTAGTGACAAAATGCATTCAAATTTATAGCCAGTCATCTTCTAAGAAATAGATAAATATCCATATTAGAAACAATTATTTGCAGCAGAATTTTACTTTTATTGTATTAAAATCTCCTAGTTTTAATAAATAGTACCAGAGGATCAATAAACTGTATCATTTGTATACTGCTTCACAGCCTGAAAGCTGAGACCAGTAACTCAATAGATTGACTTATAGTTTTCTGGTGAGTTTTCGGACTTTGACCATGATTTTCAGTTTATAGAATTTTTGAAACAGTAACAAAAACAGACATATCCATTTAATTTAGAATAGCATCCACAAATAGTTATCTACAAATACAAGGCACTGTCCTAGGCATATACTGTTTTTACCTATCTCCAAGGAACTTGTGTCCAACTGATGATCCAAACATAAAGAAAGTGTTGGCTAATGGTGAGATCAAGGTGTTGACAGAAAGGCCAGCTAGTTGATTACCGCACCAGAGTTTCATAAAGTGACAATGCTTTAGTTCCACACAACTCCAGTGCCACTTTACATGTGTAATTATGGTTGCATTGACACCTATATCACAATCACAAAATAATGTTTTATTTTAAATACAATCTTTTTTAAAAGGGGAACTTAAGACTCCTAGGGATCTGAGGAAAGGGTTCAATGTAAAAATTTTCTTACTTTTAGGAAACATTGAATTAAATCATATAACTGGAACGTGACAGAGCCAGAATTTAAACCCAAGTTTTCAGAGTTCTTTTCACTACCAGAGAGAAAAGATTTCTTAGAAGAGATAGCACTTTCCCAACATCTTTTGCACATCTAGAGAGAAAGAAATAAGCACTATGGGAAAAACAAATGGTATTTTCATTGTTCCTTGAAAAAAATAACCCTACACCAAGAATTATAGGACAAAAGCCCAATGGGATATTAAAGTAAAAGCCACACTCAACGAAACTGAGGACTCTTTTCTTGTTTTGTTGAGATGCTGTGATATAGACATTAAGTTTAGCCAAATACTCCTCTTCCTATTTATTTTTATTTAACATCCCTGACAGAATTATGAAGCTTCAGATGAATACTCAGAGTGATAAACGACAGACTGCTCTCCCAACACCCTGAATGGAAATTTTTCATTTTGCTCAGTACATTTATGAAATAATCCTGTTATGTGTCTTATGGTGGTCATCACTTGGATCCTGCCTACTTTCCATGTCATTGGGGCCCCATTTTCACGTCTTCCCTCCCAAGCATCCCCAGTACTGTTCAGTTATACATAATTCTATCAAATACTCAAATTCCTTTTAGCTAGCTTTCTACAGAAGTATCTGCCTTTTGCACTGTTCTAGGGTAAGCACCCTGCCAGAGGTCTGCATTGATGTCATTAGCAAAAGGAGAAAGTAATTAAATGGAAAATGAATGCCTATTTTCAATTCCACCAAAATATGTTTTTTTAACCATTATGATTTTTCAGCTATAATATCCATTGTTTCTGTTTCGTTAAATGAGGTAGTACTTTCCCTTAGGAATACTGGCAGTGGGAACATTGACAATGTCTCTTATTTCACAGAATGGGATTTCAGAACAGATATGCCAAGTAAGTTGAGTAAGATTCCACTCCATCACCATACTCATCATATTCTACTTCCAGATAGGATGCAAAGCAGGGGTCCCAATCACCAGGCCAAAGACCAATACTGGTTTATGGCCTGTTAGAAACCAGGCCACAGAGCAGGTGAGCAGCGGGCAAGCTAGTGAAGCTTCATTTGTATTTGCAGCCGCTCCCCATCACTCACATTCCTACCTGAGCTCTACCTCCTGTCAGATCAGCGGCATGAGATTCTCAAAGGAGCATGAAGCATGAACCCTATTGTGAACTGCGCATGCGAGGGATTTAGGCTCCGTGCTCCTTATGAGAACCTAATGCCTGATGATCTGTCACTGTCTCCCATCACCCCCATATAGGACTGTCTAGCTGCAGGAAAACAAGCTTAGGGCTCCCACTGATTCCACATTATGGTGGGTTGTATAATAATTTCATTATATATTACAATGTAATAATAGAGATAAAGTGCAAAATAAATGTAATGCACTGGAATCATCCTGAAACCATCCCCCACCCTGATCCATGGAAAAATTGTCTTCCATGAAACTGGTCCCTGGTGCTAAAAGGTTGTGGGCGTCTGATATAGTTTCATTTACAATAACTCCATTATTCTTGGAGTTCGGACACCTGGGTTTTCAACCCAGTTTGGTCACTAACCTCTTAAACAACCAAGACAAGCGGATGATCATCTCTGAGCTGTACAGTTCTCATACAAGATAGACACCAGACGATGGCAAAGGCTGTTTAAGCTTTAAAATGCTTAGCCCTTCCATTTTTTTCATTCAGAATATGTTTTACAATGGGCATAGAAATCTTTCAGTCTTTAAAAACGTGATGAAGGATATGAGACTATTTCTATAGAGCTAAAAATATATTTATATTTTGAATTATGAAACAGTGTGTAGGAACATCTTACAAAACTTAATAGTAATATATTGAAAGACAGCATAACCCAGTTGCCAGAGAAAGCAGAAATCAAGACAAAGATCTTGGAACAACATTGTTTAATGTGAGAACAAGGTTCCAGTTCTCTGACGCCTGTATTCATTTAACAAATGTTTACTAAGCACCAACTGTGTGCTAGGCAAAAGGCCAGGCCCTCTTTTTAATAAAGTTCGTTCATGATACACACTGATTGATTTAATGACAGCCCGTTTGGGAATTTTCTCCATTTGGCTGGCAGGATAAATGGAATGTCTTGCAGCACTCAAAGTAAAGGTCTTTAAGGAGAAGTTTTATCTGCTTTTAACCACCTCCTAACAAGTGGGAAAGAAGAGAGAAACAACTCTATGTGTCTGTTCAGGTTTATTTTTCCTCTGAGTAATCAAACTGTGGAAAGCAGCTTTGACCACGTAGGGAAAGAGCCAGCCACTGAACTGTGATCCGAGCTCATCCTGTAACAGAGGGCCTGAGGCACTTTCTAGAAGAATGAGTTTTCTGCCTGAGTGTTTCTTTCAGAGAAGAGAGAAATGAAATGTCACAGCAATTATCTGGGCAGCGGCAGTGCAGGGAAAGCTGGCTGTGGCCAGAGTCCCAATTACTGGATTAGGCAGAGACGGATCTCAGCAACTCCTGTTGCTTCAAGGTGAGCTCAGTAACAGCGTGATGGAAAGGATGAAAATTCCAAAGAAGGGTCCTGGAAACTCACAAACGAGGCTGACTTGCTTTTGTGAGAAGGCTTTGGGATCCACATTTACAAACAATTTCTCTAATCCCCAGTTCTGCCATTCCACATAATGAGAAACTGTTACCAAAGGTCTGTCTGCAACGATAATAGCAGAGTGCCCTCCTTGCCCATTCCTTCCATTCTAATTAACTTCTTATTAATATACATAAGCCTAATACATGCTGGCCACAAGAGAGCAATTTCTATTCACTTTCACCTCTTTGCCAGCCTTCTAAGAACATGAGACAGCAGCATCTTTGATGGTACTTTGTCAGTAAGAGTTCTGATAGGTATTAACAAACCTATCCTTAAAAATAGAGTGTGCTGTGCACAAAACATAGCACACATCAATTTCAAAAAAAGACCAGTCTTTCTCATGAAATAAAGTTTATGGAAAGATTAAAGTCACTGGCAATGCCCCATCATGAATGAATTTAAAAAGTGTACCTGTCAAATTAGCTCGTGTGTACAAATACTAGACAAAGCACACATGTCCAGAAAAGAGGCACAGTCAATCTCCACAACTGTGAAGCCAGCTGCAGGACTCTGTGAGGCATTGGCTTGTAATTCTCATATGCTTGTTTCTTGAGTAGGCTAGAATATTGAAGTTATTTGATGTTACATAACTCCTCCTAAGGCTGATGTCTTGAAAAGAGGGTAAAGTTTAGATGAAATAAATCCTGAGTCTGATTCAATGTTTTTCTTTAGTAAGATTCTTGAAAAGAGCTTATATTTGATGAACTGACTAAGCTGGACTGTAGTGATAACTCTTTCTGGAAATTGTATCTGTCAATCTACTAATTTCTTTGAAGTTAATCGATTATTTCCAATTACTAACTTACCTCCTGATAGATGAAATTGCCTGTATTTATCAGGAAATAATTAGAAAGCAATACTTTACACCTGCACAAAACCTGCCCCAAATGATAGGGCTTCTCACCAACCGAAAGGAAGAATATAAATGATTTTAAATTTAATTATGTGTTGGCATTGCTCAGATATAACTCGTCTAAGATTCTTTGAGAAGAGTTACATCTTTTTTATGGTAATGAAATGCCACCATCACTGTAGTCGGATAATTTTACCCACTGAAAATGCATATTAAATGTGAAAAATATAAAGTTGTAAAGTTGTTAGAGTGTTGCCTCAGGAAGTTAACATCTTGAGATTATATTAACCTTTACAAAATACCCTCATACATTAAGGCAGAATATAAACAAAAGCAGAGGCAGTAATCCTCTATTTTGCTAACACAGGAAAAATAATAGCCCAGTTTTTAGTCTACTAATTTTTAAAATAATATACAGAATAAATTTGACATAAGTATTATTGCAAATCAGATGTCTTCTACTTATTTTATTAAGACTTTATCACTGTTTTCCCAATGAGATGTAATTTTTCCTCTTTTGAATTGCCATAACATTTTTTTCCTTCTTTTCTTATTTGGCACTTACTGTTTTCTATTTGATGTTACAGATAACATTGCATAGAGCTCTTAGGTTGTAATATTTTCTTACTTCCTCACAGTGCTATCACTAAGCCTTATATTGTATTCATTTCTTCTTACTATTCATTCTTTCATCAAATATTAAGGCAGGCAGTAGTGCACTAAAAAAAGTGATTATTGCCTCCTTGTAATGTTCTCTAAATAGCAGTTGTTAATATCAAAGAAAAGGAGTGAAAACCAGACTGTGCCCCAGGTGAAAGAATCTAGAACTACCAATAGCCTTGACAAAGATTCAAAGCCGAATCTAATCAAGACTCTATATCTGCTACTAATTTTCAGGAATATAGAGAGGAGAAAGGAATATAGGCAGCAAAAGTGTGCAACAGCAAATCTAGTCTGTGGACATATCCGCAGGTCAGTCAGTCTGGGATCTTTGACAGATAAATTGCAAGGAAAATAAAGGGATGAAGAGGGAACCTGTAGATTAAAAGAGACATACAAGACATATAAATGGGTCTAGGGATGCACACTTAGGTGGTAAAACAATGGAGAATTGCAAGGAAGTGATTACCATAAAGGTCAAGACAATAGTTATTTTGGAGGGAAGAAGTCTATGATAAAGATGGACCTATTGAAGGGCTTCTGGGTAGGAGGGCAAAGTTCCATGACTTATTGTGAACGATGGTTATACAGGCTAAAGGATTGTAAGAGTTACAAACGCTGAAGATAATTCATTAAGCTATCATTTAATGTGGTTTTCTGTATCTGTGTGTATTTTAAATAAAATGGTTAAACTCTTGTATGTGTAGTACCAAATTATACATACAACAGTTTATCTACTGTTAAATTTTTTTAATTTTAATCAGCTGTATTTATTGTATAGCATTTGTGCATTAGATCATGTTTTCAAATCTCTGTGAAAGTTTAGGTTATCTGAAATGCCAGAAGTTAATCTTACCAGATTTGGGGAGAAATAAAAAAGGTTTTTGTTTTCTGTTTTATGTTATTTTTAGAATCTCTTAAATAAACTAAATCAATTGTATCATATGTTATTTTAAAATTATTATTATTATATATTTAGAAATAAATGTTCTGCATATTACCATTTACAAGTTTTTATGTTATAGAGACAAGCATTTTCACTTCATGATCTGTTCTTTAGCTTCAACTTATTCCTACTGTTATCCTTCATAGCAGAGAGGACGGTTTTGAGATGAGACCAACTTCATTGGAATCCTCTGTCAAGTACTAGCAATACAACTGCAGGCAGGACACTTAACAACTGTATTGTCTCTGTTTCTTAATGTACAAAATAGAACTAAAAATCGTTTTAGCAAGTCACTGGATTGTAAACAGAATTTAATATAATTATTGAAAACATGGACCCTAGTACATAAAAAACTTACATTCAGCATTAACTGTCATCATTTTTGCTATTATTATTACCAAGCATTACTATTATTACTAGTATACTGACCTATAAGAAAAAAAATGGAGTCGTGAGCTAAAAGGAAATACTTCTTCATTTGACATTTTAAATGTTTTCAGATTTTCTATAATCCATTAAGATGTTTCAAAATTAGAAATTCCTATTCTTTAAGAAGTTTATCGTCAGCAGCAATATGCTGAAGACTAGCTAAAAAAGATTAAATATTTGAAATTTAGGAACACCTAACCTCATTTTGTAAATGAGATTATTAATCTTGACTCGTCTTTAACCTAAAAACTAACAGAATCAACTATGAAAAGCACCTATCATTCTGAAATCACTAAAATTGTCCATTCTCGGAAAAAAGTGAAAAAAAGCATAAAATGTTTCTTCATTAACTCCGTGTAAAAAGAAAGGTGCATGTAGTTCTTCAGCATTGCTTATCTCCAATATTTTCCTGACAAGCATTCAAGATCACAAAATGCCCCTAGCAAGTCAGTAAACTCTATAAAGAAAACTACTTCCACAACAAGTTTTGGCCATGGGTTATAAATGTGATAGCTTTATCAAGCAGAATCAATGTCTTAAGTAATCAGACTGTTTCAGCCATTTGTGGAAGATACAGCATAATAAATCTGAGGTGTGGTTCTATTCTGAGAATCAATCAGTTTTAGGGTGCCCTCAGTGACCGAGGCATTTTATTACGCTTATCTCACACTTCAGTGTCTCCAGTCTCAGATATCAGCTGAGCAACCTCTAAACTTAACCGCACAACTTGATTCTCCAAGCCATTTGACTTTAATATAAAAGCAAATAAAATTAATTATAATAGCTGTCTTTCAAGGGGTGGGAATCGGTTCCCAGCATATACAATTTTAAGGCAACAAATTGAAATCAGCAGGAAAGAAACATTTGCAGTTCAGCTTATTTTTATGGAGTTATTTTTACTATTTTTAGTTTTTCTTTATTTCTCTACGTTCTATTAAAAAAAAACACACAAAAATGGAGCCATTCAGTTTGGCTTATTTTTTCTATTGCATTGAAACAGTAAATGAAATATAAAGCCACTAATCTATGGATTTACCTAATTTCAGAGTATTTTAATATTTTCCTTTAGATACTCTGCTTACCAAATGGCTTCTCATTAAGTGGGATTTTAAAATTTTCCTGTCTTACAATTAGTTTCTTCTCTTCCCCATTATATTTTCAAATTGCTTATAACAAAGAAGCTAAATCATCCTGCGCTTATTTTGTTTCTTTTTAGTTCTTCTTTTCATAAATCACTTATGCTAGAGAAATTACCCATTATGCCTCTGGAAAAGATATTAAGTGCTATTATTAAACATGATTCATCCAATGTACTTTATCTGTATACATGTGTAATACAATTGCTTTAACACAAAAAACTTTGTTAGTTTATTTTGTCAGAACTGGTTATTTGGGGGGAAAAGGGTTCATGTGAATATTTTGTCTTCTTCAGACTTTTTCTATTTCAGTTCTATAATAGTTTCAGAAAGATAGATTGTTTTTCTTATTTATGAAAGTGACCTCTGAAAAGCATGGGACATCATTTTTACAGTGGTTCATATCACATGCCCTTATTTAACCTGGCCTCTCTGAATCAACCACTGAGCAGTTTGGACACTGCACAGATTAGAAATGTTATCACTATCATTTTGATGAATTTTATTCTTCAAGAAATGTGTGACTTTACATTACATTCTTTTCAGATAATGTGATACATGACTTTTGAAATATTTCTTTAATGATTTTTCTTGTTATAACAAACAAGTTTATTTTAAAGTACATGTTCTTCTGAGTAAAATAATGCATAGCCACCAAAGAAAATTTGGAGAAAGAAAAGAGCACCAAGGATAAAATGAATTTTTTTATTTTAAAATTGATTCATATCTCCCAGAGACAATTGTATTGGTATTTGGGTATAAACATATGCCCAGCCTTTTTCTTTACTTTGATTTTGTTTTGTTTTGTTTTGTTTTGTTTTGTTTTGTTTTGTTTTGTTTTGTTTTAGTGACTCATGGCTTTAAGACTACTTTTTAATCAGCCTTTTCCTCAGCAACATGCCTTGGGCATTTTCCCCAATCATGAATGTTCTTAAACAACATCATTTATAATGGCTATATAGTATTCTAGTCCATATGTCTGTAGCATAATTAATATAACCAACACTCATTGTCAGGCATCTAGGTTGTTTCCTGATCTTTTGTTTGTTTGCTTGCTTCTGCTATTAAGTGCCAAAATTAAAAATCATTAATTAATTTTTAATGAATAGTTCTAGTTTTAAATGATAATTTCAAGGCCACCAAATATCGGAAGATTATGTAAACTATTAAAACAGCCACGTAAGTAGTTTCCCAAACTCGTCTCCTCCTCTACAGCCTGCTTCAATCCATCTGTTGCTTTGCAGCAAGCATGATCTCAGTAGAAATGACTGCTGTGGTCCCATTGTAATGACTCCCTTTGGTCATTGTGTTAAAGTCTAAACTGCTTTCCAGGACTTTTAAGGCCCTTTACACTGGGGGCTGTATTTTCTCTCCAACCCCTTTGTCCCACCTCTTCACACGGTCCCTCTGGGCTGCCAAGTCAGCCACACTGATGTTTTAATTACCAAAAGTTACTGTTCTTTCTCTCAGATTAAAACCATCTTATGTGCTTTTCCCTTGCCTGGGCAACCTAACCCAGGCTCCTTATCTCTGCTGTAGGTAAAAATGATCAGAATTGTTCTTGCAGAGTGTTGAGTAAAAGAAAGTAGGGCTTATATAGGAAACAATTTCTGTTAGCTATTGTCAATACATATTATAAATAACATTGGCAAAGGAAGAAGGAAAAATTCAAATTTCAGTCTTCTTCTTTAACACCATCACTTTCAGAGGCCTTTTATGATGCTCTAGTTCTGGGAACCCTTTTTCCTCCATCCTATGCACTCCATGGCCCACCCATGCCAAGGGTTCTTTCATATCATCTGAACCCCACCCTCCCATGATAAGGCACATAATGTTTTATATGAATATATGTTTAACGGTGCAATCATCTCTTTCTACAGTAGATCACAAGGCCCCTGAGAACAGAAATGGTGTGTTTTTTCTCCTGGTAAAGAGTGCCCACAACAAATAAATATACATAGTGTCTGATTTACCATGGTTCAACTTGAAGATTTTTCAACTTCATGATGGCAAGAAAGCCACATGCATTCGGTACGCTCCTTGACTGATAATGGAGCTACATCCTCAAACTTTTCCAGAAGTTACCCCATAGTAAGTCATGGAGCATCAGTACTTGTTACAGAAATAAATCTTATCTCAAATTTCTAAAAAGAATTATGTCTTTCTTATTAAAATTAAAATGCAAGATGTTATGGTTTGGATGTTTTGTCACCTCCAAATCTCGTATTGAAATGCAAGCTCCAATGTTGAAGGAGGGTCTAGTGGGAGATATTTGGATCATGGGGGTGGATCCTTCATGAGTGTCCTAGTGCTGTCATCACCGTAATGAGTGAGTTCTCACTCTGAGTTCACACGAAATCAGGTTATTTAAGAGTCTGTCATGGCCTCCCTGTCTTGCTCTCTCTTTCTCACCATGTGATATGCTGGCTCTCTCTTGGCCTTCTGCTATGATTAAAAGCTTCCTGAGGCCTCAACAGAAGTCAAACAGATGCTGGCACCATGCTTGTACAGCCTGCAGAAATGTGAGCCAACTAAACCTCTTCTTTTTTTTAAATAAATTACCCTAGTCCTAGGTATTCTTTATAGCAACAGAAAACTGACCAACACAGAAGATAAATTACAATATTTTTCTATAAAATTTAAGCCAAAGAAAGTAGGAATTGATATAAGAAACTATCTCCTTTAGCTCTTATTTTTAATAACTTTAAAAATGGAAGAAATGATAATTAGTAGCTATTAAATGATATATGAAAGATAGATTGAAAGTCCATTATTAAAAATTTGTTTGATTTTATGATGTTATATATACTATTTTTGTATTGATTTATCTGATTATAAAGCCTCCATTTTCACCTAACACTTTGCAGAAGCATTTTACCATATTATTAAATAATTATTGAATTTAAAAGTAATTATGTTGTTGAATTAAAATTTCTAAACGTAAATCTGGTAATTATAATAACAATTTTATGAAATGCTCTTTTGTTAATATTAATTCCTAGCAATATCACAGACATTTGATAATGGTTTCCCAATCACTACATAGTAAGGCAAGAAAAAAGGAAAATCCATTTTGTACAACATTCAGAAAATTCTTCTTAAATAAGATGCAAAACCACCTTCAATAAGAGGTTAATATGTCAAATGCAAGAAAACTGTATAAAAATGCACCAAGCAGGAAATAAGATGACTCACAATTTTATAGAATTCATTTACTCTTGATAAATCTAATGAAAGAAATTCCAAAGGGAAGATTTAGTGAGTAACAGAGATTTATTTTTAAAAAATAGCTATGACCAGGTGGCTCACGCCTATAATCCCAGCACTTTGGGAGGCCGAGGCAGGTGGATCACGAGGTCAGAGATCGAGACCATCCTGGCCAATATGGTGAAACCCCGTCTCTACTAAAAATACAAAAAAGCCGAGTGTGGTGGTGGACGCCTGTAGTCCCAGCTACTCGGGAGGCTGAGGCAGAAGAATCACTTGAACCCGGGAGGCAGAGGTTGCAGTGAGCCAAGATCACACCACTGCACTCCAGCCTGGGCACAGAGCAAGGCTCCGTCTCAAAAAAATATATATATAGCTATGACCCACACTGTAGAAGAAGTATAGTGCAGAAAAGTTGCAGGAAGAAATAGAAAGTCACTTTGGTTTAAATTACCAAAAACTCTACCTTATTTCTCTATTTCACATGAGTTTTGGTTAAATATAAACCAAAAACAATTCAGCCAAATGAAAACAGAGGTAATTCAAACTAGAAATGTCAGAAAGAGGATTGATTTTCCCTAAACAAAATTTTTGAGGTTAATGTCTGGGTTCCCAGAAGAGAGCAATACAAAGAGAAAAATGACCTGGGGGAGAGCATGTTTGTCTGTTGTTTTAACTTGGTGAATAAATATTTAGGTTCAGATGACTTGAGGACTCTCATTGAAAAGTTGTTTTCACTGAGACAACGAAAAAACAAGACTTTTAACTTTATAATTCATTATCACAAAGTAGACTTATGATGTCTAAGAAGGTCAGTTGCTCAGAAAAATGAAGACATTTTGTGCTGTTGAGGTTTAGAAAATCTCCTTTCAATTATATTGACAAATGGTTTAATTCTTCAATTTACTATGTGATGACAGAGTTTTCATAATCTGTAAGAATAGAATATATACATATATACAATCATCAATTATTCCTTTTAACTCTGATTTCAATTAGAAACAGAGATACTTTCTAAGGAGATACTATGATAAATTATACACATTATATGAACTGTCCATGTTTTCTAAGTCTGTAGGCTAGAAAATCAGTGGCATGTATTAACAAAATTGTTATTTATCTGTGTTTATGGATGAACACATTAACACATTTAGGACAATGATTTTTGTGACTGTTATTTCTATCTTCATTCTATGGCCAGAATTATGCCATAGAGGATGAGATTCAGGACCAAACCAGTTCAGCCTTCAACGAAACTACTTAAGCTTCCTCAGAAAATCTTAAGTCAAATGTTTTTATATTGACACATATGCTTGTTCTGCAGCCTCAGTTATGGACACAGACTTCCAATTGGTATTGGTGTTGTGTAGTCAAATTTTCTCTGACTTTGACTTTGGTGACGAGTATCTACCAAAGGGAGTATATGCCCTGTTGGATAAATAACGTACGAAGGAATATGAACAGGGGAAAGGTCAAAATACATTTCTGCTCAGAGAGTAAGGTGGAGTCCTTGTACTGTGGAAGCAAAGGCAGTAATTCCCAGCAAGCTACACTTAAAAAATTTCATGGCTAAAACGGAGGCTTACAAAGGAGAGATTCGAAACCCACTCACTTAGTGATTAGTATGATTAAGAGCTATCAATAAATCAGGAACTGCACAGCACAAAAAGAGATAAGCTCCTGCATTTATGGTTTATTCTGTAACAGAGGCAAACATACTGTTGAGACAGTAAACTCATCATGAAGAAAGTTTTTTTATCTCAAAGGGTAAAAGTTCATGAGCATGTATAGGTTGGTTTTATTTCATAGGTTGTGTCCTTTTATAGAGGGTGGAGATGGGGGACAGGGTGTGAAGGTGCTCTTGAAGGCCCTTGTGAGGTTTTATGAAAGAAGTGAGTAATGAGAAATAATGGCCTGAGATATATTAACTAGTCTATGCAAAATAAAATACATGTAATCCTTTTTAAAATACATATTTCTGTATTCTGGATGTGTTCAAAGTAATAAAAAATAAAACAATTACACTGCAAAGTAGGTGGTGCTATAATTTTGCTTGAACCTGTTTCTACAGTTTGATGTTCTTCACTTGATATTCCATAAAACCATAACACTGTTAAGAGCCATCTCATGAATATGTGGGGAAACAAACAAAATAAACCAAACAGACCATAGTATTTCCAAATAGATTTCTCACCAAAAAATCCTGATCTAATGTAAAGCATATATATGATAATGTTTGAGAACTGTCAATTAACAAGCAATACACATTTTCTTGAAATACTGGCTGAAAGTTTATAAGCTTAACTGAAACTTCTTGTGGTACGAGTATACAAATAAGCTGTTAAGAAAAGTAATATGAATGGTGCCTATCCTTTCAAACCCGTTTTTTACTTTATTATGACAGTAAAGTCTATTATAATAATTTATCTTAATTATTAATTATATGGTTTTTGGAACTAAGATTATGTATGCATATGGGAAGTACATGTGTGTATTTAAATTTCTGCTTGAAAAAGTATAGGTTTTTTGCTTTCTTGTTTTTTCTTCAAAGTTTCTTGGACACATTTTGAAGTTTTAAACCGAAATTTTTATTGTACCCATTTAAATCCCTTTCTTTTCTGGGATCATTTTTATTCTTCTAGCCTTGTATAGCCCCAGCCATAGAGAAGTACTTGTTCTATTATAATTAGTATAATAAATGATGTCATTAATGGTATCCACATAGCTAAGAAAATTAGTTTTACTTATGTTTTCTTAGATGGTTTTGCTGCCAAGAAATTCTTATTGGAAGATAGTTGAACAAAATATAAAAATGTTCAGAAGCATGCTAATTCTATTTCTGGATTTGTGCTGTATGTTAAATTTTGGCACTTTCTAACTTTTAATAATGTAAAAGGTTAAACACTCAATGCAAATGTATTTTAGAGTATCTACACTAAATGCCACATTAATCTCAGTGTAATTAATGAGCTTACCCTGTATGTATTAAGCAGGAAACTAGGATTATTTCCCTCAGAACTCATGAACCTAGCAGAATAACAGATTAGAAAAATAAATTTTGCAGCTTCTGTCCTGACTAGAAACAAACTAGATGGTCCATAAATGCATTTTGATTTAATTTTCTAAGATTCAGAAGTACAGTATAAATCTCATTTATCCATCACTATAGTTCCATTATCATCAGCCTTAGGGATCAATATTTTACAAGGAAGATTAGGTAATCAGAGACTCACACCACTGGGCAGGTTATAATATAATATCATTATGTTAAATGACAAGCTCACTTAGTAATCAGATTGCATGCAAATTGACTGTTACGTCTACAAATTTCTAAAATGTAAACACGATCCAATCAAGTACATCATGTATTCATATGGAAAGTAGAATCAATATTGGACTTACATCAAGTTTTATACAGACCTTGTCAGGAGATGCTGATGAATATATTATGGGCAAACTATATCTTAGTTGCTTATTATCTAAAATGTCAGGTTACATAGTTTTATTGTCAGTTTATTGATAATGACCACTATTTGTTACTCTCAATCACAAAATGTCAAAGCCTATAGAAACTTAGAGATGTTCTAGGTCAGTAGTTCTTAGCGTGTGGGCCCCAAATTAGCATCATCAGCATCACCTGGGACCTTGTTAGAACTGCAAGTCCTCAGTGTGGAGGTTTTTTTTAATGCAATCAAAGTTAAGCTGTTATCAGCTTAAAATAACCTGTTATAACTATAAGATGTTTCCTATAAGCCTCACAGTAACCATAAAGCAAAAACTCCTATAGTAGATACACAGAAAACAGAAAGTAAGAAATCAAAGTATGTCACTGGAGAGAATCGTTTAATCACAAAGGAAGACAACAAGAGATGAAGAACGCAGCAAATGATCTACAAAACAACCAAAAAACAATTAGCAAAATAGCAGTAGTAAATCCTTGCTTATCAATAATTACTTTGAATGAAAATAGATTAAAATTGTCAATCAAAAACATGGAATGGCTGAAGGTATTAAAAAGAAAGACACAACCATATGCTGCTTATAAGAGACTCACTTCATTTTTAAGGACACATATAGACTGAAAGTAAAATGATAGAAAAACATATTCCATGCAAATAGAAACCAAAAGAGAGCAGGGGTAGCTATACATGTATCATATAAAATAGACTTTAAGTCAAAAACTGTAAAATGAAACAAATAAGATCATTATATAATGACAATGGTGTAAATTCATCAAGAGAATACAATTGTAAACATATGTGCACCCCAAATTGGAGCACCTAAATAAATAAAGCAAATATTAATAAATTATTGAAGGGAGAGATAGACTCTAAAACAATAATAATAAGAGACTGCAATATCTTACTTTTAGCAATGGATAGATCATCCAGAGAAAAAAAATCAATAAGGAAACATTGGACTTAAACTATACCTTAGACCAAATGGATCTAACAGACATATACAAAGCATTCCATACAATAGCAGCAGAATATACATTTTTCTAAGCACACATGGACTATTCCATGTTAGATCACATGTTAGGCCACAATACAAGTCTGAACAAATTTAAGAGGACTGAAATCCTGTCAAGTCTCTTTTCTGACCACAATGGTATAAAACTATAAATTAATAACAAGAGGAATTTTAGAAAATTCACAAATACATGGAAATTAAGCAGCATGCTTTTGAAAAACAAATGGACCAGTGAAGAAATTAAAAGAGAAATTTAAATATACCTTGAGACAAATAAGGGACACAGCATACCAAAATTTATGAGGGCCAGCAAAAGCAGTTCAAAGGTTAGCTAATACCAATAAATGCCTACACCAAAAAAGAAGAAATGTTTCAAACAACCTAATGTCACACCTCAAAAAACTACAAAAAGAACAACAAAATAACCCTAAAGTTAGCAGAAGGAAGGAATAATAAAGATCAGACTCAAAGTAAACGAGTTAGAGACAAGAAAAACAATAGAAAAGAGCAACAGAACTAAAAGTTGGTTGTTTTTGAAAGATAAACAAAATCAACAAACTTTTACCTAGACTAAGAGAAACAGAGAAGAGACTCAAGTAAATAAAATGAGAACTGAAAGAGGAGACATCACAACTGATGACATTACCACTACAGTAATGCAAAGGATCGTAAGACACTGCTAGAACAATTATACACCAACAAATTGGATAACCTAGAAGAAATGGAAAAATTCCTAAACATATACAATCTATCCAGACTGAATCATGAAGAAATAGAAAATGTGAACAGAACAATAACAAGTACAAAGATTGAATCAGTAATAAAAGTCTCCCATCAGTGAAAACCCTAGGACCTGATGCCTTCACAACTGAACTCAGCCAAACATTTAAAAAATAGGGAACATTAATCATTCCCAAACTCCTGTCACTCTTCCAAAACATAGAAGAAGAGAAAATACTTGCAAACTTATTTTACAAGGCCAGCATTACCATGATATCAAAATCAAAGACCTACAAGTAAATCACAAGCCCTTATCTTTGATAAACATAGATACAAAAATCCTCAACAGAAAACTAGCAAACAGAATTCAACAGGACACTAAAAGGATCATTCACCATGATCAAGTGGGATTTATCCCAGGGATTCAAGGGTCATTCAACATAGGCAAATCTTATACTCACAACATATGCAAATGTAACATACCACATTAACAGAACGAAGGACAAAAATTATATAATCATCTCAGAATGCAGAAAAAGCATTGGACAAAATTCAACGTCCTTTCATAATAAGAAAAACCTCAATAAATTAGGTATAGAAAGAATATACCTCAACACAAGAAAGGCCATCTATGACAAACCCACAGTTAACATCATACTCAAGAGTGAAAAGTTGAAAATTTTTCTCTAAGATACAGAACAAGACAAGGATGCCCCACTTCTCTGTAACATAGTACTGGAAAAGCCTAGCCAAAATAAGCAGGAAGAAAAAAGAAATAAAGGGCATTGAATTGAAAAGGAAGAAGTTAAATTGTCCCTATTTGCAGACAACATGATCTTATATATAGAAAACCCTAAGACTTCACACACACAGACACACACACACACACACACACACACACACAAAAGAAAGAAAAAAAACAGACAAAACTGTTAAAAATAATGAATTTGGTAAAGTTGCAGGATACAAAATCAAAAGTCAGTAGTGTTTTTATACACTAACAAAAAAAATCAACAAAATAATCCTATTTATAATGGCTACAGAAAATTAAATAAATCAAATACTTAGAAATAAATTCAACCAAGGAGGTGAAAGACCTGTACACAGAAAACCACATAACATTGATGAAAGAAATTGAAGAAGACACAAATAAATGAAAAGATATCCTGTGTTTATGGATTGGAGGAATTAATATTATTAAAGTGTCAGTACCATTCAAAGCTATCTACAGACTCAATGCCATATCTATCAAAATTCCAATGACATTTTTTATAAAATTGAAAAAACAATTCTAAAATTCTGATGGAATCACAAAAGATCCTGAATAGCCAAAGTAATGTTGAACAAAAGGAACAAAGCTGGAGGCATCACACTGCCTGACTTCAAAATATACTACAAAGCTAAGTAATCAAAACAACATGGCACTATTGTAAAAGCAGACACATAGACCAATGGAATAGAATAGAGAGCTCAGAAATAAATCCACACATTTATGGTCAATTGATTTTTGACAAAAGTGCCGAGAACAGTTTCTTCAATAAATGGTATTGGGAAAACTGTATATCCACATGCAGAAGAATGAATTCAGACACATCTCACATAATATACAAAAATCAACTAACAATGGATTAAAGAATGAAATGTAAGACCTAGAACTGTAAAACTACTAGAAGAACACATAGAGGAGGAGCTCCATGATATTGGCCTATGCAATGATTTTTTTGATATTATATGACCCAAAAACCACAGGAAATGAAAATGAAAATAGACAAATGGGATTACATCAAACTAATAAGCTTCTGTACAGCAAAGGAAACAATCAACAGTGTGGAGAGACAACCTACAGAATGGTAGAAGATATTTGCAACCATCCATCTGATAAGGAGTTAATATCCAAAGTATATAAGGAACTCAAACAACTAAAAAGCAAGAAAACAAATAACCTGATTTTTTTTTAATGGGCAAAGGTCCTGAATAGACACTTCTCAAAAGAAGAATGGCCAACAGGTACATGAAAAATGCTCAACATCACTAATTATCAAGGAAAAACAAATAAAAGCCTCAATGAGATATCACAATGGTTATTGTCAAACAGACAAAAAAGAATAAGTGTTAGTGAGGATATGTAGAAAAGGAACCCCTTGCACAACTGCTAATGGGAATGTAAATTAGTAAAGCCATTATGGAAAACAGTATGGAGGTCATTCAAAAAATTAAAAATAAAACTACCATAGGGTCCAGCAATCCCAGTATTGGTTATTTAGCCAAAGGAAATGAAATCAGTACATCAAAGATATATCCATACTGTCATGCTTACCATAGCATTATTCACAGTAGCTAAGATAAGGAATCAACCTAAGTGTCCATCAAGAGATGACGAATGGATAAAGAAAATGTGGTACATACACACAAACAAGTAGAGTAGTATTCAGGCTTTAGAAGGAAATCCACCATGTATTACAACATGGATGAACCTGGACAATATTATGTTAAGTGAAATAAGCCAGACACAGAGCGGAAAAAAATACCATGTGATCTCACTTACGTATGGAATCTTAAAAAGTTGAACCCACAGAAGCATAGAGTCCAGTGGTGGTTACTAGAGGCTGGTGGGGAGCTGATGGATTGGGGAGAGGTTGGTCAAAAGACACAAAATTTCAGTTACATAGGAGGAACAAGTTCAAGAGATCTATTGTACAACATGATAACTATAGTTAATAAAAATCTATTCTTGAAAATTGCTGAGAGTGGATTTTAAGTTCTGTCTCTATAAAAAAATGTTAAGTATGTGAGGTAATGCATATACTAATTAGCTTGATTTAACCATTCCATTATATATATATATATATATATATATATATATATATATATATATATATATATATCAAAACACTACGTTGTACACAATCAATATATACAATTTTGGTTAACTAAAAGTGAATTAACTTTTAAAAAGATATGTAAGTGCCATCCAGACCTCCTGAGCCAGAAATTCTATGGGTAAATCCCAAGAATCTGTGTTTTGCAAACCCTTTGGGTGATTCTGATATATGCTTAAATTCCAGGCAACACTGTTCACTTCTTCCAGTTTTGTGAGAAAAATGCAGAGGTACTGGACAGCAAAGTCAGAAGGAACCTCAGATCTCCTGATTTCCCTAAGAATATCCCACTGCCATTTAAGTTACCTTGACTTGACTTTGTTATGCCTCAAGACAAAATAAATGTTTAGTGAACATCTTCTCTGTGATATATATGATATACAAAGTCTGCCTTCATGGAGATATATTTGCAAAGAGGAGGCAGGCAACAAACAAAAACTATGAAGACTACAATATATTTAACAAATACATACATACTCGAATAAATTTAATAAATTATATATACACAAGAATATATTTAATAGAATGTTAAAGAGTGCTCATGCCATAAAGACAAATAAAGCACAGTGAAGGGAAAATTAACCACAGAGGGTGGAATCTTAGCGTTGTCAGAGAGACCCTCTCTGTAAAAGTAATTTCATGTTTGTTGTTCCAGAGTTACATACTCTCAGCCTGTATCTTGGTTAACTCAATTCAATTGCAAGATACTTTTACCCTGTACTGTGTGTTCCAGTTAATAGGGAATATAGTGATAATACTGTACTGTCTCCACCATCCAACACCCTTTTCTGTGATAATAAATTATATCATTTTTCATATATTTTTGAAAAATCTTTAAGAACAAATTGCCATGCAAAACTGAGGAATGGTACATCTCCTAGATCGGACAGTTGTCAATGGCAACAAACGGGCTGCTGTCAGCTCCCAAGGATCTGAAGGCAAATTGCAGATGTCCTGTGATGGACAGCTCCTTACCAGAACCTACCTCTTGAGGGGATGCACAGTTGAAGGACAACGCTACCTGGTTTGAATAATCAGCATGAATGATCCTGACTTAATGAGTCAAAGCATCCTACATTCTTCATTCTCACACTGCTAAAAACCTGAGATTGGGTAATTTATTTTAAAAAAGAAGTTTAATTGACCCACAGTTCTGCATGGCTAGAGAGGCCTCAGGAGACTTAAAATTATGGTGGAAGGTGAAGGGGAATCAAGGCACCTTCTTCACAAGGGCAGCAGGAAGGAGAAGTGCTGAGCAAAGTGGGAGGAGACCCTGACAAAACCTTCAGATTTCATGAGAACAGCATGGGGGAGAATGCCCCCACGATTCAATTACCTACATCTGGTCTCTCCTAGGTGGGGATTATGGGGATTACAATTCAAGATGAGATTTGGGTGGGGACACAAAGCCTAACCATATGAACGTGACACATAAAAAAATAAATTGCAAGATACCAGTATAGCATCAAGCACGTTTCACCTGATTACTAGAACACAGTAGCTTCATCTTATGCAGATAGACAGTGTCAAGACTCTACTTCATGCCTACCTGACTTCCAAACTTGCACCTGACAAGGGCACTACTTTATTTTACAGATGAGGAAACTCAAGCCCAAGAGATATTAAGTGACTTTTGAAGTTCCAAAATTTGAGGTGCCCTTATCTGCCATTGTTTTACGTAGTAATGAAAAAGGATCATACCAAGGGAAAAATATACATGTAATTAATTGAAAGTTGTCACTGTGTGGGAGTTTCCAGGTTGAACGTATGTCCTTATGGGGATGTTCAAAATAGTATTTAATGAAAGGCTGTGAGAAGGCTAGATTGTTGTCCTGCAGTGCCCTGGGAGTATAAAAATGTTGTCCCTAATGTTTCTATGCTTACTGATCTAGTGAAGTATGATTGGGGAGGCCCAAATAGAAGCACGGTTTATGCAAAAAACAAGAAATAAATAAATTAGGAGAAAAGGAAACCCTCTAACCTTGATGGGCATTTTCTTTAGGTGGAAATTAAAGAATTTCTAGAGATTGCATTTTTTTAATAAGCAAGCTGGGTTTCATCTTGGGGGTTAAGTGATGGGATAGGGGAACCTAAGGAAAGCTTTGTCTTTAAAAGGATCATGGTGTTTCAGAAGCTACAAAGCACAGCACAGAGGACATCTAGAGCATGGTACACAGGAGCAAATACACAAACTAGGAATTGGGCAATCTGGGTTTTAGACCTTACTGTAACCTAACAATCCTAGCAAAGGCATTAGCAAAATCATGCAAACTCCTCCAGGTTCAGTTTTTCCGAGTGCTAAGTAGGAACAAGGCTTATTCTCATTTCTCAATGCTATTTTCAGAATTAAATGAAGTAATTATATGTGAAAATATTATGAAACTTAAAAGCAATATACATACATGTTACTACCTCGATTAAGCATGTGACCTGCCACCAAGAGGATGTAGTGCCAAAGGGAGGAGACACCAGCAGAAGAAGGCCAGGAGTGGCAGGTGTCTGACCCAGGGAGGGCTCTGGTAGCAGAGTAGGGATGGGAGAGACACCCAGGGAGGAAGTCAGAGAAAGCCCATGGCCTGGAGTGTGTGACCTTGAGAAAATCAATAAAAGAAAATCCAAGGAAAAATACAGAGGCCAGTAGTCAGCAGCAAGAGCCAACTGGAAAGAGAAATGAAAAAGGTAGCCTAGACCAGATACTCCTGATCAGAAATCTGCAGTGCAACCAAAGTGTATGTGCACTTTTCAGGCTATGTTGGCCCTGAGTGAGGTGAGGGAGGCAAAGTGTGTTGCCATGTCATTTGAGGCAAAGGCCCCTTCAGGTGGATAGATGGTCCCATCTGGAGGTGATGGGAGACAGTGACAGATCATCAGGCATTAGATTCTCATAAGGAACACACAATCTAGATCCCTCCCCTGCATAGTTCACAGTCGGGTTCATGCTTATATTAGTCCATTCTCACACTGCTATAAAGAACTATCCGAGACTGGATAATTTATGAAGAAAAGAGGTTTAGTTGACTCACAGTTCCACAGGATTAACAGGAAGCATGACTGGGAGGCCTCAGGAAATTTACAATCATGGTGGAAGGTGAGGAGGAAGCAAGGCATGTCTTCTCATGGTAGCATGAAGGAGAGAGAGTGCAAGGGGAAAGTGTCACGCACTTTTAAACCACCAGGTCTCATGAGAACTCACTATTATGAGAACAGCAAGGGGAAAGTCCACCCCCATGGTTCGGGCACTTTCCACCAGGACCCTCCCCCAACACATGGAGATTACAATTCAAGATGAGATTTGGGTGAGTACACAGAGCCAAACCATATCAGGTGTCATGCGACTAGCAGAGTTTGAGTGTCCAGATAAGAAAAAAAAAGGTAAGATGGAGAGGTGGCGAGGTAATCCCTCTTCTCTGATATTTTTTTTCTGAGGTCATTGTGATCAAACCTGACACCCATAGGAATGAAAGGGGAAGGAGCTGCGTGCTCTGTTCCCTTTAATTCCTACCCCCAGAACAATAACTTGCAATGCAGTAGATCAGGGGAGTCAACACACTGCATCAAGAAAAGCAAGGCAAGGGTTAATGGGAAATGAAAGACAGCACAAGGAAGAAAGAAGGGAGGGAGGCGGGCCACACATCCTCCTGTGAGATAAGATTCCCCTAAGGGAAAACTAAATAGAGATGTAGAGATACTTCAGGGCTGACATAGAAGGAAGGGAGGGCAAGGAGGGAAGATTCACTTTGCCTTTGTTCACCTTTATATTGTATTATCTCACTTGTTGTGACAAATGTGCATTCCTTCTGTGATTTGGAACTCATCAGAGGAAAAACGTTAACTACAAAGCAGTAATATACGATAGAGATAGGTGCTAAAATTTGCATTGTGGCAATTACTTGGGACTACGAATAAGGTTAGACCCATCTGCAGTGTCAACGTGATTAGTGCTGCAACTCTGTTTATATTACGATCATGCTTTCACATAAGAATGAAGCTGCAGGAAAAAATAATTTAAATAAAAGCAAATGAAATGACAAGTAAGAGAAAATCTTATGATAACCACCTAATTCTTCATTCCATCTATGTATTTTAAGTTGAACTGTGTGAAATTACTTATATTTTACAGTAGAGGTGTGATCTACTGTAATTTCATAGGATTCAATTTTATCTTTTTATCTAGACAGACCGATGGGTAGATATAGATAGTAGATACATACATACATGCACATATATATGTATATATACAAACATATATGTGTCATTTGAGGCTTTTAATATTTGCTTAAAATTGTTTGTTTTGGTCCTACTTTCTGTTTCATTAAGTATATTTACATAAAGATCATCCTGCCAGTTATATGCTTATCCACTTGCACTGTCTATCCTACATTTTATGTCTTCTAGGATTTATGGAAAACACAAGTTTCTGTGGACATGATTATGTTTTCCAGAAATAACACACTGTGACTTAAGAGGAGAAATGGAGGAGAGCCAAATATATTGATAATAATGACAATGTTAGAAAAAGACCAAACATAGCAATTCATCCTCTATGTAGTGATATTTTCAAAACATAAAATAGGCTCATGACTCCATTAGGAGGCCCTCTCCGCTCCCACTGCTCCTATTTTGGGTTATTGAAGAATCAAATTCCAGACACGAAAGGCCTACGGCATTGCCAGGCCCCTTTCCAAATCTCCTGATCTACTGGACATTGAAACGACAGCAGCTGCTCCTATATTTTTCTCTGCCAATAGACTTTACCCTTTTATGTCTCTTGTGCTATATGTTCCTCTTCGAAATAATAGGAACTATGCATAATGACAGTCGTGACCACACATCTCATTATACATAGACCACAGTCCCTATGAGCAAATTAGTGAATTCACCATACAACCTTAAAACAGATTAGCAGTAAAGAGACTATGTTTTCAGACCAAAGTTTGGAGACTTGTTACTTTGGAGTATTATATCTTCCTCCACGATAAACATAAATATTATGTATGGAGCATTTACAGGAGTAAATAAATACTATACTTTTTACTTAGCCTAAGCCATGAAGTAGGTATTATTATCCCCTGTTTTAAAAACACAAAACCTGGAGCCTTTCAGTGACTTCTCATTAAAGGCAAATTAGGGTTTAAACCAGATCAGTCTACATGGGAACCCTGTACTCTATCTTAGACTTTGACTTGGAGGTTAACTTCAGAGCCGCTGGTGGCGGAACTGTTCGTGACCATTGAATGAAAGCAAATAGGACATAGGAGGAGAAGAGAAGGTCAAAACCATAGCAAATTTTAACAGCAAAAACTTCAACAGGGTCTTAGCAAAAATTGCAGCAATATCTACCAGTAGGAACTTGAAGAAAACCCCAAAAGGAAAACAGTCTGTATTTGGTGCTTCATGTGAAGAGGACAGCAGCATTCTCACACATTTCTTTTTGCCCATGTAAGTAGTAAGTAGACACATACCTTCAATAAACACCAAAGGATGTGCATATTAAACTGCTAGAGGTGTTATCTTTTGACTATTCTTGAAGAGTAAGCTTTAGTTCCTCGAGTATGGAGCCCAATTCATCCATTTCTTTCTTATTCTTTCATAAAACATTTTTATACAACTATGGCAGCTGTTCAGTAAATGTTTACGTCTTGAACTGACTCTTCATTTGTGATCAGTACCGTTGATCATTTCAGATATGTTTCAACTTTATTTAGTGAAAGAAGTCCATTTTTCTTCTTACTTAAAAAAAATGAAAATAATAAAAATAATCCTTAAGGTTATTTGACCCTAAAAGAGGTATCTCCAACATTTACCAAAGTCAGTCTTTGTCTTGCTCTACTCAGATTGTCATAACAAAATACCACAGACTGGGTGGTGTAAACAACAGAGATTTATTTTCTCACAGTTCTGAAAGCTGAAAGTCTGAGGGCTCTCTTCGTGGCTTGCAGACAGCCGCCTTCTCACTGTGTCCTACAGGGCCATTCCTTTGTGTGTGTCATGGAGAGAGAGAGGAGAGAGAGAACTGCATTCTCTCTCTCTCTTTCTCTGCTTCTTATAAAGCCATCACTTCTATAGCCTTAGGACCCACCCTTGTGACCTCATTTAACCTTAATTACTTCCTAAAAGTCCTGTCTTCAAGTACAGTCACATTGTGAGTGAAGGCTTCAACATATGCATTTTGGAAGGAATGTGATCCGGTCCTGAGTCATCCTCTAACAACGGAGTGTAGTCCAAGATGCCAGTAGTCACACGCTAGATGCAACATGAGCATCCAGAGACCAGTTCACCACCAGCTGCAACATCTCAGAGAAACTGCCTGGCTACACTTAATCCAATTATGGATTTTATTTCTAGACTAAAGCAAAGGCCCATTTAAACTAAGAAAGCTTGCCAAAAATCAAAATTCTGAGGTTTGGACTTTCTTAGAGAACTGAGAAACTCAGGAAGATTCCTTGGGACTCCAAACAAAACATACACCATACACCTCCTTCTCCTACAAATACCTATGGAAGGAAGGATCCCCTTCAAGTTTAGAACCCAGGAACTTTGAGTACCTTATAAAACCACCAGACTCCTGACACTTGCCCAAGATACAAAGCATCCCTGGCCTGCGAACAGGGGGCATTTTGGCAGCAGGGGCTCTCCCAGAATCATTCTCCTTTGCACGTCCCATTCCAATGCAGTTCCTTCACATCTTGAGACATCTCAACCAGGAGGGAGTGATGAGAGGAATGTGCTCTGAGATGGCTGAGTTTGTTCTCCGTGGACACCCCTGTGCACCAGGCATGGTTCAGGCAAAGAAGCAGAACCAATGGAAGATAAATATTAAGAGGCTTATTTCGAAGAACTGGAGTATGTGATTGTGGGGTAACACTAGGCAAATCTGAAGTCCAGGGACCAGGCCTCCAGCAGGTGTAAGCTGGATATGGCCTGAAGTTGCTGTCCACCTGAAGGATTTCTCCTTCACCAGGAAATCCTCAGCCTACTTTTCAGGACTTTCAACTGATAGAATCAGGCTCGCCCAAATGACCTAGGATAATCTTCCTCATAACGGACCTTAATCACCTACAAAATACCTTCAGAACAACACCTACATGAGCATTTGATTGAATAACTGGGGCTGTAGCCTAGCTATGTTTACACATCCAAAGACCACCACAGCCTGTATACAGTCCCGTGACACTGCTGAAGGCTACCAGGCCCCAGGCCAAAAACTGGAGCCACGTAGAGATGATAAAGGCCCCCTAGTTAGATCCTGAGAAGCAACGAGAAAAGCCACAGTCATAGCCCTGGGATTTGGCACAACCACCAATAGTCACACAAGCCTCCCACCATCACCAGCAAAACCTGAAGGATACTTCCCATTGGGCTTGCCCTCAGCAGGCTATTGTAAGGGTTAAGTGGAAGAAATTTTTTAAAATACGGTGAAAATCAAAGTTTTACATACATATAAAGGAGTGCTGTTTTTACTGTTATTATTTTTTGCTATCAGAGAATGTTCACTTTTCATCTAGAACCTAGGAATATCCTCACAAGTACACAAGGGTATTAGGCAGTATCATCTCCATAAGAGTAAACTCTTTTTCTATTGTGGAGTTCCATATATTTCTTACTTTTAACCAGTATCACTCAATCTAATCCATATCAGTATCTTAATCATAGGATAGTAGCCATCTCTTTTAGCATGTATTTCTCTCAATGGATGAAGAGTATGCATACAATCAAGAAAAAAAATCCCGAGTAAAATGTCATTAATGCACATTTTTAAACCCAAAATGTTTTGCTGCTCATCAAACAAGCAAGCAGCTCCTCACAATTCTGCTATCCTGGCTGCAAGAATATGTGAATATCTCTCCTGGGGGAACTCATGCAACTTGCCCAGGATTCATTTTCATTCCAGCATGTACAATCCCAGAAATTTAATAGGATTTCAGGCCATCTTTTTGCTTTCTAACTGTGGTAAGAACACTTAACATGAGATCCACCTTCTTGAGAAATTTTTAAGTGAACAATACAGTGCTAAAATGACAATGTTATACGACAAACCTGTAGAACTTATTCATCTTGCATAACTGAAACTTTAGACCTGTTGAACAGCAACTTCCCACTTCCTCCTGCCCGTAGACCTTGAAAAGCATCATTTTACCCTGTTTCTATGAGTTTGATGATTTTAGATACCTCATATAAGTGAAATGATGCTGTATTTGTCCTTCTGTGTCAGGTTTATTTCACTTATTATAATGTCCTCCAGATTCATTTGTGTTGTAGCACAGGGGTGTCCAATGTTTTGGCTTCCCTAGGCCACATTGGAAGAAGAATAATTGTTTTGGGTGACACATAAAATACACTAACACTAACGATAACTGATGAGGTTTACAAAAATTGCAAAAAAAAATCTCATAATGTTTAAGAAAGTTTATGGATTTGTGTTGGGCCACATTCGTAGCTGTCCTGGGCTGCAGGTTAGACAGGCTTGTTTTAGCAAATGGCAAGATTTCCTCCTTTTTTAAGGCTGAGTAATATTCCATTTTGTGTATATAGACATATAGTGTGTATGTTTACTATATTTTCTTTATTCATTCATCAGTCAACAGACAATTAGGTTGTTTCCATATCTTAGCTATTGTGAATAATGTTTAGGCCATGATCTTACCACTACCTAGTATCCTATACTAATACTTAACACTAATACCCCAATCACAAATACTTTAATGAACAAAAATTATTATGCTTGCATTTTCTGCTACATAGATTTTTATACATGCAAACTTACTCAATCTCTGTAAAATAGCAAGTGTCAGAAGAAAGCAAAAAGCAGAATCCCAAATAATTTTTCCTAGTAATACACACCAGTGGACTTCAAGCAAGAATCAAGCTGCCTCTGTGCATGGGATCATCTCCATAGGGTGCGTAGATTACTACTAAGAATGAAAAGTAACAGAGACATTTGGCCTTAAACTTGCTATTTTTAAATCATGTATCTTCCCATCCGGAAACTTAACGCAGTATTAACATATAAATTTAAACATACAGAAGCAATAAGAAAATATCATCAGAATGTATTGTTATTAAACTAAAAAAGCTAATTCACTCAACAGTTTCTAAATACCAAAATAACATACTCTATACACCATGGAATACTATGCAGCCATCAAAAAGAGTGAGATTATATCCTCTGCAGGAACATGGATGGAGCTGGAGGCCATTATCCTTAGCAAACTTAGGCAGGAACAGAAAACCAAATACTGCATATTCTCACTTATAAGTGGGAGCTAAATGATGGGAACACATGGACGCATAGAGGGGAACAACAGACACTGGGACCTATAGAAGGATAGAGGGTGGGAGAAGGGAGGGGATCGGGAAGAATAACTAATGGGTACTAGGCTTTATACCTGGGTGATGAAATAATCTGTACAACAAAACTCCCCATGACAAAAGTTTACCTATATAACAAACCTGCACATGAACCCCTGAACTTAAAATAAAAATTAAATTTTTAAAAAATATTCATTGTCCATTCCTTGATTACATTATCATATTTTTGTTAATACAATCATGTGAACCATGCTATGAAAATTGTATATATATTGGTTAAAATGGTCTAGAATCCTGAGAAAAGTCAATAATTGAAAGTTACCGATAGGACATACATGTCTGAGTCTCGACTTGCTGCTCATACTCCCTGCATCACACTTCCTATGTGGGCCCATATTTCTCTGCTTTCTATTGCACATTCTAACAGCCAGTACCAGATTTCCCTAAAATACATTATGTCTGCATCTTTTAGGTTCAGTTCAACTGTCTGTTACGGGGGTGGCAGTGAAGGGAATAAAAAGAAGCTCTCTTAACAAAAGAATTCTGATAAGAGATATATTCTCTAGTGAATCATCCTCTGAATGTTAACCATCACAGTTTATAGGATATTTACCCCGTAATCTCTTTATTTTCCATCTTTAAAAGTACCCTATTGTGGTATAGCAGTAGTCTCGTAGAGCAATTTTATGGGGCAGCAAATCTTTGAGAACAATTTTCTATATTCAGAATTAAAACACGCTTCACTCTTTTTAACAATGGCTCTAACAGGATAAAAGCTTGATTCCAAAACCACAGGAGTCATTCATTTTCTCTTCTTTGTGTCGGTCCTAAAATAATTTTTCCCCTGTGAAAATCACATGAGCTCTCTGATTTTTTTCCATTTCATATTTGTTGATAGCATGCTATTGTTTTTTTTTTTAAAAAAAATCCTTTGAAGACTCTTGCCATCAAAACAATAGCAACAACAAAACTCTATGGGTCTTATGAGAAATAATTTAAACAACACTTCTCAGGTAACTGAACTATCCTTACCAGAAATTAATTGTGATTAATAGTTTAATTCAGTTCTCTGAATTTTATTGGTAAGAGGGCCACTTACCTAATTTTCTTTTCTCTAGTGAAAAAAACATTGTCTGTATTCACTCTTTCTTTCTCATATATCACGAGGTTATTCAACTCTCCCTATGAAACTATCCAGTTGGTCACTATTACATAAATTATCTCATTAAGACTTGATAATGCATTTCATATAAAGGAATGATGGCACTGAAACTTAGCAGAGTCTTACTGAATAATGGGTAAATGTCAGATCCAGCAAAATTTTGAAGCCTCCACCTTTAGCGTGGGAATTGTTAAATATCACTCCTTATTGACATTGTCAAGAACTATGAAGGGCCTGAAATTTTACCCTACTTATAAGCTAACAAATTAGCCTGCCACAGTTTCATGGATGTTGGCAGAAGACATGAGACTGCTGGGTCAGAGACAATGGGCAGTTTATTACTCATAGCAATTGCATTAACAAGAGTATTAGCCTTTTTGATGGCTAATTGAATCCCAATTCCCAAAAGATGATGTAAAAAGTTCAGGTGGCACCTGCACATGAAGTAGCTTGTATCACAGGAGGGAAACTACAAGTTTGGGGAACCCCAGTGTTTTAAAATAGGCAATAATCCAGCCTGACATTTCCCCCAGAAAGAGACATTATCTTTTTTGTACTGGAAAAAACAAATCTTCCTTTGGCTTCAGAGGAAGACCTTTGCAGGCGTATGTTTCTTGACATATCCTCAAAAAGATAATCCAGAACAAGGCAGTCATTGCCTTTGCTCACAAAACATGCAGAAATGCAAAAGACTCACGGAGAACAGTCTATCAAAAAACGTTCATTTTCTCACTAAATCTGCATCTGTTTACATTTTTTAAAAATACTTTAAATTGTTATACTTGTTGGGACCAGTGTGTTATAATGAAGTTATAAAAGTTTTTTTAAAAAAGAAATAGTAATTTCCTTATTCTCATACCTATAGCATACATTGACAATCACATTTAGCTTTATAGTATTTTTACATTTTTATTTTATAAAGGATTGTCATTTCCCCATGTCAGGACCAGGCTAAATAATTAAAATACTTTGATTCAACAGGTAATGATTAACAATCAAAAATGTGCAGGGCAAGATGAGACATCTGTACTTCATTTTGTGTTCCACTCTATCTGTGTACACAGGAGTGAGCTGCTGCATCCATTTTTCATAATTTTACTCATTAATATTTATTGAGTGCCTGCTGTGTGCCTGGCATTTCACAAGGCTCCAAAGACACAAAAGTAAATAAGCTTCCTCTTCTCAACTCAGTATAATCTTATAGAGGAGAGACAAAAGCAAGGAGATGAGAGATGAAATAGAGGTATGCAGAGGATGCTAACAGACAGAGTGAAGTGGCTTCCAACTCAGGTTGGGCAGGATGGTGGGGAAGAGCGTGTAAGCCTTCCTAGATAAATTCTTAAAGAAAAAATGGTAATTAGCATGGTAGGAGTTGAAGTTCAGATGAGTGTGAGGGCGAGCATTCCTAGTAAAGAAAGAAGCCCATGCCACAGCTCAGAGAGCCTGCTTTCTCTGGAAACTATGTGTAGTTTCTAAGAGGGCCATTAGAGCAGAGGGTGTCAGGATGGTACTGGAAAGCTGAGGCTGGAGAAGCACATTTCAAACCACAAAGAGTCCTTAGGAGAAGGAGAAGTGTGTGTGTTTGTGTGTGTGTGTGTGTGTGTGTGTGTGTGTGTATTTTAAAGACAAAGGAATTAATTGTGAAGCAGGGGTATTCTCCATTCTCTTATATCAGCATCTTCCTGGTGCCTTCCTTCTATGACTCTGTACTTTTAGCTCCCCTGAGACCCGTTTGAGTTGCTTCTCTCATCTCTATCAAGGTTCTTCTATGATCATTTCATAGGATTTATATTTGGAAAGAACTGTCTACAAAAAAAATAGCATTTACTCTAAAAATACAATTTGTATTTCATTTGCACAAGTCAGAAACTTACGTGTTTGAAGATCAAAAGTTATAATCATTAGATGATAGTGCTACCAACCTGACCTGTGTGTGGTATGTGTTCCAAAAAAAGCAAACAGAAACTTACATCAGACAGCCTTGTTATAGTAGTTATTTTTCTTTTTTTTTAAAAATTATACTTTAAGTTTTAGGGTACATGTGCACAACGTGCAGGTTAGTTACATATGTATACATGTGCCATGTTGGTGTGCTGCACCCATTAACTCGTCATTTAACATTAGGTATATCTCCTAATGCTATCCCTCCCCCCTCCCCCCACCCCACAACAGGCCCCGGTGTGTGATGTTCCCCTTCCTGTGTCCATGTGTTCTCATTGTTTAATTCCCACCTATGGATGAGAACATGCGGTGTTTGGTTTTTTGTCCTTGCGATAGTTTGCTAAGAATGATGGTTTTTACAAAAAAAAAAAATTTTTTGAGACAGGGTCTCACTCTGTTGCCCAGGCTGGAGTGCAGTGGTGTCTCAGCTCACTGCAGCCTCAACCTCCTCCTGGGCTCAAGCAATCCTCCTGCGCTCAAGCAATCCTCCTGCCTGAGCTTCCCAAGTAGCTGAAACCAAGGCACGTGCCACCATGCCAACTAATTCCTGTATTTTTTGTAGAGATGAGGTCTCACCATGTTGCCCAGGCTGGTTTCAAACTCCTAAGCTCAAGTGATCCTCCCACCTTGGCCTCCCAAAGTGCTAGGATTACAAGTGTTAGCCACTGCACCCAGTGTCCTTCAAATTTTTAACAAAAATCGTTTACAAACCACTTCAAACCCATTCACTGTCATGACCCCTTGTGAATCCAGGCTGAAGTGTTAATGAACACCCAAATGGTATTTATTAAAGGAGATTGGTACCGCCCTGTCCTGAGAAAGCCACTTTAAATTGCGGCTCCGCAGGACTGAATGAAGTGAAGACTGAGAGGAGTCATATCCAGGGTATGATTCTTTTAGTCTTAGTCTTGAAAAATTACAAATGATCATTCATTTCAACTTCAACTGCTTTTGTACTTAGAAAAATCTCACAATTCAAACTATTTTTCTAAATTTCTTTCTAGTGTTACTTAATGCTTATCTACTTCCTTATTTCTCAAGGTCTTTGTAATTTCTTTTCATCTATAATGTAGAGAGAGAACATAAACTAATATGTTTCTCCAAAGAGCTACCCAAATTTCCCAGTACAGGAAGTTTTTTTCAAATTTGATAGAGGTATAGAGACTTGTGTGCAGGCTTAGAGACAAAAAGACTCGAACAAACATAAACTGTTTCTGTCTTTGATTTAGTAAGATTTAGAAAAACTTAATTTATGTGACTTACCAATTTGCATTAAGTCAATGTTATTAATTATGGAAACATAAATGGTTTACATTAAAATACTCTTATCTTCTACTGCAGTAGTGAGAGCACAGAGTGAATTTAGGAACATTAGCCAACCCATTGTCACCAATGTAATCCAAGAATCCAAGAACATTGCAAACGGTTTATCAATCATAACTTCTTTTTTTTTTTTTTTTTTTTTTTTTTGAGACGGAGTCTTGCTCTGTCACCCAGACTGGAATGCAGTGGCACGATCTCGGCTCACTGCAACCTCTGCCTCCTGGGCATGCTATTCTCCTGCCTCAGTCTCCCGAGTAGCTGGGACTACAGGTGCCCACCACCACGCCCGGCTAATTTTTTTGTATTTTTTAGTAGAGACGGGGTTTCACCGTGTTAGCCAGGATGGTCTCGATCAATCATAACTTCTATTCAAGATTTAACTTTCTATTCTATTAAATGATTATTACTCATAAAATAAAACAGAAACACTAATGTTTCTGACTTTCACAATTATGAAACGAAAGTAAAACGTAAAGAGATAACAAATGTTTGGGAAAAAATATTCTCATAGTCAAGTACATACAAAATACAAATAATTCAGATTATGCTGTGCTCTTTTGAAAATCTTGTAACAGTGTGGCATTAAAAAAAAAAAGCATGATGCTTGCCTTGCACCTTTGCCTGTAAAATATGCTTTTATTTGCAAAATATTGTCCTTTTCCCCAATCACTGTGCTGTATGGCAGTGTTAACATTTTGGAGGTCAGTGAAGAGTTTTGAGCTGGTAGCCTGAGTTCCACCATTACTGTCTGTGTACTTCAGTGTCCTCATCTAAGAATGAGGATAAGAGCACCTCTCCTGTAGGCCTATCAGGTCTATTAAGTAAATTGACATAAATGGGATGTCTGACACTGCTAGTGCTCACTAAGCTTTCAGTATTATCATGAGCCTAACACTCTGCTACTTGATATGTGATTATATTTGACCCAAAGTAAGCTGGTAAGTGCTAGGACTGGCCTTGGCATCTGTACTCTCAGCCTTTTCCATATCCTGCAGGTTTTCAGTTCCATCAGAACATGGACCAGAATATTGTAAAGTAGCAGTTACTCTGAACGTACATTTCTTTAGCCAAAAACATTAGTATTTAATATGAAAAATAATTCATAAAAATATATCTCAAATATATTCTTCCAATTAATACATTAAAGACTAATAAGGGGTTAAGATGACAATTTTTATTGCTGCCCACTGGCAGAGTGGTACTATGGCTAATAAGGGTTGCTAAACCCACCTAGAAAAGTGTTCTCCTAAAACATGAGGAATGTCAAGAAAATTCCTTCTTTCTCCTACAATCTTGACTCCATTTTCATGAATCTCTGATCTCTTACTTTCTATTGGGATGGTTACAATACTAGTAGAAACATATTGCAATATCCAGTCCAGTAGGTGTTACTAACTAGAAAGTTATTTAGATTTCAGATTTCTAGGCTCTGAAATTATTGCATGGTTTATTCATTGTATAATGCAGACCTTAGAATCATGAACTTAACTGTAATAAATAATTATAGATTTTTCTCAGTAAGAATAAACTTTCTCAATTCCCTATCATACCCACCCCTTCTGGTCCCATTCTTATATAGATCTGTATCCACAATTCTCAACTCTCCTATTGGATGCTAGAGGATTATAATTTGCTGCAGAAAATGGGGAATTGTTACTAAACCTTGGGAAATGCAAATAAAACCAGAAGCTTCTTTTTAATCTCTGTACTAGTCTTGCATAAAAACAATTGTTTGATCTAGGGATAAATTGTTACTCATCAGATATAGTATAGTGGAAACAGAGTTGAAAGCAGCTACTTGGTAGTCCCATTGAATGAGCTTCCAAACCATAAATCTGATCCAATCACTCACTTTCTTAAAATCATTCAAAGCTTCCTATCACCTATTAGAAAAAATTATCCAATCTGTTTGGTAGAGTATAACAAACTTTCCATGACTGATTCCCTCTCCATTCCCAATCTCATCTGCTACTACTTGCCATTTGGATTTGGGTATAATTCATAATGATGAAACATAAAAAGTTTTAAAGCCATGACCATTTGGACATTGTAGCCTTATAAGAGTGACAAAGGGAATATTTACAAATATGAAAGTCAAAATTTTGTTCCTGATGATCAGAATGCTTCCCAGATCTCTGAAAAATTAATCTAATCAGTTATCAGAAAGAAAAGCCCTAGGCAAACTTCTTCTTTGGTAATTCATTTTGATAATTACATATCAAACTTCTAGAAAGTAAGATGAAAATTCAGATCTTTATCAAGTTAAGCAAATTTTTTTAACACATATCGTCGAAGTCATTTCAAAAGCCCTTGGACTAAATGCAAGCTTAACCCTGTATCCACCACAGAATAAAATTGTGCTACATTATATGAATGCCAGATAGTAAATTTTAAATAATTTCATGATGTTTCTTATATGTAGCCTGAGCTTTCTGCATACTGACTCCTCTGTAAATGTACGTAACATTCAATAATTTTGTCTATACTATTTCTTTTGTAACAAATCTTTAAGTATATATTGCGCAGAGAAGTCTCATTCTCATGAAAATGTGTTTTCTTGCATTCATTTAAATTTTTAGAAAAGAAATGTAGCAAAATTTTCAAGTTTTTTCTTAATATATCGTTTTAAGAACTATAAACTTACATGTATTATTCTTGTTATTGATTTGTAGGACATTAATATGGTGTTTCAGTAAATTTCTTTAAATAGCTCACTTTATGGTTCAGATCTCTATCTAAACCGGGAATACTGTACTTCATCATCCTAAGTAGTTCCTTGATTATTAAAACTCTCTAATAATATGTTCAGAAATTAAAACAAAGATACTTTAATATAATATTCTTTATGACTGAGACTTTGAAGATAGCAATGAAATATTTATAGTTTAAAAACTAAATACCTGAATTTTTCATTATATTTTCCCATTCCTCTTGTTAATCAACATTAGTGAATTTTTATTTCATGTATTCTCCAGTCTTTATATAATGTTTTCACTTAGATTATGCCATTTTAACATTTACCATTTTACTGGCTGTCACAGATTGCTTATAAACTTCATAATTATTCAAATGAATTATCTATTTGCTAATGGTAAAGAATTCATCTAAGCTTTGCAAAGAGATCGCAGTTGTAGAAAATTAATATCTCACTAGGTAATTACAATAATTAAAATACAAGAGAAATTAAATGCAAGCAACAGAAACAAATGAATGCTACATTGACTAAAATAAGAGACATAAGACTATTTTTATTATGGAGAATTTATAAAATAGCTATGAAAATATAATTCTATTTGAATCAAATTAAACCATCTTCAAGACAAATCAAATTATTATAAACTACATTATATTCACTATATTTTAGTGTTTGGATATTGCTGTTAACCTACCAGTCTTTTTATAACTGTGGGCTGAGCACTACATAAAATTAAATGATAGGCAGTTTTCCCACTCAAATATTTCTATCTAAGGTTTAAAGATATAAGTAAAGAATAGTTGCATATCCACTTATGAGATAAACAAAAAAGAACCAAGCTTTGAGATGAAAGTCCCATTATTAATAGCAATACATTTATGTGTATATATATATATATAGTATGTATGTTAGAGAAAGGAGAGAGTGAAGGGAGAAGGGGAATAAAAGCCTTTATAAATTAACATTTGGGTAATAGAATGTTTTTTAATTCTGTAAATCTCAAAGATGAGGTTAAGGAAATCACAAATCTCCCACATAGTAAAGCAGCAAAAAGGAGAGTGAAAATAGACAAGATTAGAAAAGTACCAGATCAGTACACCACTTGAACATATAATTAAGAAATGATCCAGAAAAAGAGAACAGAGGTGGAAAAGAGGGAGAGAAAACAGAGAAATGGAAGGAAATAATTAACAGGAAATTATTTTAATAATTCTAAATATTTCTTGGAAATGAGAGACTTTGGTTCCTTAATTAAAAAAAAAAAATACAGCTTTTCATCCTGAAGCTTAAAACACTGGAAACAAAGAGAAGTTTCTAAAAATTCTAAACCAGACAAAAACTAACACTATTGTTATCTAATATTATCCTGCACCATTATGTACTAACTCATTTAATACATGATTCTATTAGTAGAAACTATTATGATTGCCATTGTACAGCTGAGGAACTTGAGGGAAAGAGTAAAGAACTTTCTGGATGTCACCCAGCTGGTAAGTAGTGGAGCTGGAAGTCAAACCAAGTAGTCTTCTTTTAGAGTTTATACTATTAACCATTACACAATATAGGAGTCCTTAATTTAGAGTGAGAGCCAAGATAAATTCCCAATGAATTAAAGAGCTAAAGTTAGAAGAAATTTATGAAAGTATTAAGAAGAAAGTAGGAGAAAATATTTTAATATTACTGCAATGAAGAAAGACTTGTTATCAAGACACAAAACCCAGAAAACACAAAGACAGATTTGACCACGAGAAATGAAATACTTTCTATAGGAAAAAAAAAAAGAAATTAACAAAACAATGAGATGTAGTTTTTTGTATTCAACTTGGAAAAAAGATTTTTAAAAATCTAATAATATTCATATCTAATGTTAAGAAAGAAAGTACTTTTATATCCGTTAGGTGGGAATGTAAATTAGTGCAATGCAATTTGACAGTTTATGTCAGAAACCTAGTGACATATAACAGCCATTAAATTAAAACTAATTTTTTTGACAATTTGAAGAATCAGAAATTACATGCCATATTTAATCATTGTATGTAATTTTAAGCCAAATTATATAATTTCACAAACAAGTGCAAATACCTTCCAGAAAAAAGGCCAAGAAAATAATTGTTCCAACGTCCAAACCCACTAAATTATGTACATTAATTATGTTCAGTTTTTGTTACCAATTATACCTCAATGAAGCTGGAAGAAAAAAAGTCCCTAGAAAAAGAAAAGATGTTATGAATTAATGTCTCCTGATTCATTTTGATTTTTATAGCTTGTTATAGACTGACTTTATCCCCCCAAAAATACATAGGTTGACTCCCTAAACCCACATACAACTGTATTTAAAGATAAGATCTTTGAAGAGATAAGTAAGGTAAAATGAGATCATATGGGTAGAACCTCATCTGATACAACTGGTGTTCTTATAAGAAAAGGAGATTAGGACAACTGACATGCTCACACACAGAGGAAAGGCCGTGTGAGGACACAGCACAAAGATGGCCATCTGCAAACCAAGGAAAGAGGCCTCAGAAGAAAGCAACCCTGCCAACACCTTGATCTTGGACTTCCAGCCTATAAAACTTTGAGAAAATAAATGTGGCTGAAGCTACCCAGTCTGTGGCATTTTATTATGGCAGCCCCAGCAGACTAAGACATAGCTTTACCTGTTTGAATTGTTTTTTGTTATTCAGCAACACACTTCACAATTTTGAAGGAACGTGAATCAAGTCTTAAGGCATTGAGTTGTGAAAATTGACATTACTTCTTCTCTGAAGCTGTACTGTATCCTAAAGTGACCCATGTGTTTAAAGAACTTCTATAAGGAAAAGGAGAACATGTTCAGGGCAATGCTTTGGCTTCTGTTTCCAGGAAACCTAGGTCTGACTTCTTCTGCACTATCCAGCTTGGCAAGTTGTTAAATACCTCTGAGCTTCTAATTTATTTTTTTTCCACATGTAAAATGAAGATATGTGTATGAGTAAGGGTTTTCCAGAGAAATAGAACCAGTAGGATACATATAGATATATAAGAGGAGATCTATTATGGGAATTGGCTCACCTTATTATGGAGGCCAGGAAGTTCCATGATCTGCCATCTGCAAGCTGGAGACCCAAAAGAGCCAGAAGTGAGACACAGTCCAAGTCTGAAGGCCTGAGAACCAGGAAAGCCAATGGTGTAGGTCCCATAGTCCAAAGGCCTGGAGCTCTGATGTCTGAGGGCAGAAGAAGATGGATGTTCCAGCTCAAACAGTGAGAAAATGTGCCATTCCTCCTCTTTCTGTTCTATCCAAATGGACTGGATGATGCCCGCCCATATTGGTGAGGGCAGATTTTCTTTTCTTAGTCTACTGATTCAGATGCTAACCTGCCCTCAAATACCTACACAGACACACTCAGAAATAATGTTTCACCAGCTATCTGGGCATTCTTTAACCCATTCCTGCTGACACATAAAAGCCATCACAATATGCAATCTCACTGTACAGAGTTGATATGAGGATTTTTAAAATATGATTTCTAAGGTACTTAGCACTGGATCTACATGAAATACATGCTCAATGAACAGTGGTTATTATATTATGGCTTTTCTACATCACTGTCTTTATGGATTGAAACCATTGATCTTCATTCCCCATTTCTCAAATGTGCTGAATATGAGCCTGGACACCCCCAACAAATCTACTTAAGGTCATGAAGCTACTGAGACCCTGAGATCTCCAAAGGAATTTCAGAAGCACTCTAGGAGAGCACAGTGATCAAATCATAACCATACTAGTCTGGTTTGACTTATAATTAAAACAAATTGAGTAAAATTCAGATACAGTTTATAGAAAAGATGTTGGCAATAAGTCCTAGTATTGCTAAGCATAATTAATATATGGTATATTGATTTTGTATCCTGCAACTTTAGTAAATTTATGTACCACCTCTAAGAGTTTTTTAGTGGAGTCTCTAGATTTTTCTAAATATGAGATCATAACAACTTCAAACAAGGATAATTTGACTTCTTTTACAATTTGGATGCCCTTTCTTTCTTTTGCGTAATTGCTCTGACTAGGGCTTCTGGTACTATGTTGAATAAAAGTGGTAAAAGTGGGCATTCTTGTTTTGTTCCAGTTCTTAGTGGAAAGGCTTTCAATTTTTCCCCATTCAGTATGATACTAGCTGTGGGTTTGTAAAAAATAGCCCTTATTTGGTTGAGATATGTTCCCTCTATACCCAATTCTTTGAGGGTTTTCATAATGAAGCAATGTAGAACTTTATCAAGTGCTTCTATAGCATCTATTAAAATGATCTAGTTTTAGTTTTAGTCCTTGATTTTGTTGATGTAATGTATCATGTTTATTGATTGTTAAACCATCCTTGTATCCTGAGGATGAATCCCACTTGATTAAGGTGAATGATCTCTTTAATGTGTTGTTTAATTCTATTTGCTACTATTTTGTTGAGAATTTTTGAATCTATGTTCATCAGAGATATTGGCCTGTAGTTTTCTCTTTTTTTCTATATTTTTCTGGTTTTAGTATCAGAGTCATACTTGCCTCATAGAGTAGGTTTGGAAGTATTATCTCCTCTTCAATTTTTTGAAATAGTTTAAGTGAAACTGGTATTACTGATAGGCAAAGGTTGGCAGTGATTCCACTAGGTCCTGGGCTTTTCTTTGGTGGAAGACTTTTATTACTCCTTCAATCTCATTATTCATTATGGCCTGTCAGTAGTGTTTCTATACACTAACAGCGAACAATCTGAAAAAAAAATAAAGACAGCAATTTCATTTACAATGGCTACAAAATATAAAGAAAACAATTTCATTTACAATAGCTATTAATACAAATATAATACCTAAGAATAAATTTAACCAGAGAAGTGAACATCTTTACAACAAGGGACAATATAAAATACTGATGAAAGAAATTGAAGAGTACAAAAAAATGGAAAGATATTCCATGTTCATGGATTGGAAGAATAAACATTGTTAAAATGTCCATACTACCCAAAGCAATCTACAGATTCGATGCAATCCCTATCAAAATACCAATAACATTCTTCACAGAAGTAGAAAAGACAATTCTAAAATTCACACGGTACCACAAAAGACCCCAAATAACGAAAGCTATCCTGAGCAAAAAGAACAAAGCTGGAGACATCACAGTATCCCAATTCAAATTAAACTACAATGGTATAGTAACAAAAACAGCATGGTACTGGCAAAAAACAGAAACACAGAACAATGGAAAGAGTTGAGGACCCAGACATAAATCCACGTGCTTACAGCCAACTCATTTTTAACAAAGATGCTGAGAACATACCTTAAAGAAAGGACAGTCTGCTTAATAAATGGTGCTGAGAAAACTGGTTATTTATACACAGAATTAAACTAGAGTCCCATCTTTCACCACATATAAAAATAAACTCAAAATGGAGTAAAGATTTAAATGTAATACCTAAAACTTCAGACTATTAAAAGAAAATATTGGGGAAATGCTACAGGACATTGGTCTGGACAAAGATTTTGGGGAGTAAGACCACAAAAGCACAGGAAACAAAAGCAAAATAGACAAATGGTATTACATCATGCTAAAAAGCTTCTGCACAGCAAAGGAAAAAAAGCTAACAAATAAATGAGACGACCTAAAGAATGGGAGAAGATATTCCTAAACTATTGATTTGACTAGGTATTAATAACCAGAATATATAAATAACTCAAACAACTCAGTAGCAAAAAAAAGCAAAATGTAAAAATAAGCAAACTCCTGAATAGACATTTCTCAAAATAAGATATACAAGTGGCAAACAGATATGTAGATATAAAAGCTCAACATAACTAATCATTAGAGAAATGCAGATCACAACTACAATGGGATATCATCTCACCCCACTTAAACTGTTATTATCAAAAAGACAAAAAATAACAAATGCTGTCAAGGATGTGGAAAATGGGAATGCTCAAGTGTTGTGGGAATATTAAGTAGTACAGCTATTATGGAAAATAAAATGGAGATTTCTCAAAAAAACTAGCAATCCCACTTCTAGGTACACATCCAAAAGAAAGGAAATTAGTATGTCAAGGAGGTATTTGCATTCCCATGTTTATTGCAGCATCATTTACAATAGCCAAGATAGAGAATCAACCTATGTCCATAAACAGATGAATGGATAAAGAAAATGTGGTACATATACACAATGCAATGCTATTCATCCATAAGAAAGAATGAGATCCTGTCATTTGCAGTGACATGGATGGAACTAGGGTCATTATGTTAAGTGAAATAAGCCAGGCACAAAAAGACAAATATTACACGTTCTCACTCATATGTGAGAGCTGAAAATGTGGATCTCCTGGAGATAGAGAGTAGAACGGTGGTTTCCAGAGGCTTGGAAGGGAAAGTGGAAGAAGGAGATAAGTGACGTTGGTTAATGGAAACAAAAATACAGTTAGATAGAAGGAATAAGTTTCAGTATTCCATAGTATAGTAGATAAATTATAGTTAACAATAATTTATTGTATTTTTCAAATTAGCTAGTAAAGAACTCCAATATGTCCAACACACAAAAAGAGATAAATGCTTGAGATGATGAATATCCCACTTACCCTGACTTGATCATTACACATTCTATACATGTTTCAGAACATCATGTGTTCTCTCAAAATATATGCAACTGTAATATATTAATAAAAAATATACAAACATACATTTAAATAGTAAGTTTATTTATTACAAGATGTCGTAGAGAGCCCTGGGTTGCTTCTACTTACATCTGGTTTTCACATTTACTTAACTGCCCAATTATTAGATACTCTGTATGTATTAGTCCATTTTCACACTGCTATAAAGACATACCCAAGACTGGGTAAGTTATAGAGAGAAGACATTTAATTGACTCACAGTTTTGCATGGCTGGGGAGGCCTCAGGAAAGTTACAATCATGGCGAAAGGGGAAGAGTCACATCTTCCTTGGCCTCAGGCAAGAGAGCAAATGATCAAAACAGGACCTTGCCAAACACTTATAAAACCATTAGATCTCGTGAGAACTCACCCACTATCGCAAGAACAGCATGGGGGAACCAACCCCATAATCCAGTCACCTCCCGTCAAGTCTCTCCCTCAACATCTGGGGATTACAATTCAAGAGGAGATTTGGGTGAGGACATAAAGCCTAACCATATCACCATAAGAAGCTTCTGGGCCGGGCGCGGTGGCTCACGCCTGTAATTCCAGCACTTTGGGAGGCCGAGGTGGGTGGATCACGAGGTCAGGAGATCAAGACCATCTTGGCTAACACGGTGAAACCCCGTCTCTATTTAAAAATACAAAAAAAATTAGTTGGGTATGGTGGTGGGCGCCTGTAGTCCCAGCTACTGGGGAGGCTGAGGCAGGAGAATGGCGTGAACCCGGGAGGTGGAGCTTGCAGTGAGCCAAAATCGCACCACTGCACTCCAGCCTGGGCGACAGAACGAGACTCCGTCTCAAAAAAACAACAACAACAACAAAAAAAAAAACAGCTTCTGGCCCCCAATTCATTGCAGTAAGAGCCTGTGAAATAAATAAAAGGGCTCTCTTCTGTACCCAAGTCGTTCCTTCCATTCTGTCTCCACCATCCATCCATGCTTACATCTGCAGCCTGCCCGCTCCTTTTTTCTCTAATGGCTAGAAGCTTACTTGTTAAAGGATGACAGCGTCTCCTCTGTGTCTATCTAGGCCCAACTGTTAATGCTTTGACTCTGGGCTGCTTGTGTCCTCATCAGATGACTTTGTTATTTATTTATCACATTGTTTGTTGTTTTCTTTGTTATTTATAGGGACAGTACCCTTTTATCTCCCCCAGATTCTAACAAAGTAATAAAACACATAAATTCAAACTATTAAATAGCTTTACCAGGCCCATTGTCTTTTACCAATTAATACTGCAAGTTTTATGCTTTGGGATCTTTCTGACTTTCTACAAAAACAATTTCCTTCATAGTATATATCAAGAATAAAATCAGTGTTATTAAGATAAAAATTCAGAGACTAGCCAAAAGGGAACCCTTGTTGGTCATTCTGTGTCAGCAACAATGCATTTCTTAATTCCTCGGGAAGGAGAGGATATTCACAATGTGTTGTCAGTCTCCATTTTTTCTTCCATTCATAATGTGAATCTCTGGTCTTGCATTTCAATTTGATTGTTATTTTCTACTGAATTTGTGCTCCTTCTAGTTCATTACTGGTTTGGATTTTTTATGATACAGCAGGGAAGCTTCTTTTTAAGGCTAGAGTGGTTTTGCTTTTATTGTGTGATACTCTTGAGTTCCTGGAATTAGAGAGAGGGTCATATAATTTTGGCAGAATAAAGCAAATGTTTTAAATGTCTCTGTAGCCAATATATTTTCTTATTTATGGAATGGGACTACATTTCTAGGGCATGTATACATACCTTAGTGAGAAGCTGGCAGGTAGTGGTAGTATGAATGTCATTTCAGAGTATACTTGAACTATGAGATAAATGTGATATGTTTTTTTTTTCCCCAGATTGTCAACATTACCTAGATATATGGGTAGAAAATAGTATTTTCTATTAAAACAAACATGAATGCACAATAGATTAGAAAAGGTAAGAGGACTTTTAAAATAAACCAATAACCATTAACAATTTTATTGCTTTTAAATTGTAGCATCCCTTAGATTCCAAAGTTACATATTTGCCTTATTTGTCTTTAGTGGGTGATCTGGAGGAAAAGTTTAGGAAGCATTTAACTAGAGTCCTTGTATAGTGTGATGAGCAAGGCTGTTGCATCAGGTTTTTAATTGAAGCCACAGAGTTGATTTTTATTTTGTTTTGCTTCCATCAACACTGTCTAGGGGCATAATTCAAATGAACATTGAAAAAATGCTTAATTATTTCTTTTTTATTCTCATACTCATTGTTGCCAAAATCAGACAGCATTTACAAAACCTTCATATATAGAGTACTGACTGAGGTATGCTATTTTTGTAATATGTATTAAATAGCATCATTTGTGAATTATCTGTAAAGAAACGGTTGCAGTAAGAAAAATCATAATTTAATTTCTAATTAGACTAGAAATTCTTCACAGAGGAGGTGAAGAAAGCGATGCTGACCTTGAGGGGGAGAATATTCTAAGTATGTCATAGTGAATGTCTTAGTCTTTTTTGTGTTGCTATAACAGAATACCACAGACTAGGTAATTAATAAGAAAAGAAATGTATTTGTTACAGTTCTGGAGACCGGGAAGTCCAATATTGAGGGGCCCACATCTAGTGAGGTCCTTCTTCTTGCATTATCCTGTGGTGGAAGGCTGAGGGGCAAGACAGGATGAGACAGCAAGAAGGAGCAGAACTCACTTTTATAGCAAAGCCACTTCTGTCATAATTAACCCACTTCGGTGGCAATGAAATTAACCTATTCATGATGACAGAGCCCTCATGACCTAATAACCTCTTATTAGGCCCCACTGCCCAACACTGTTGCATTGAAAATTAAGCTATCAACACACAAACTTTGGAGGACAAATGTGAACCAATTACCAGTGAGAGACAGCATGTTGAGATGGTGGAGAAAGCGCAGGTGTTCAGCAAAAAAAAAAAAAAGTGCAAGAATATCACCCCTTTAGTGCAGAAAAAAGAAAATTAACATTTATTGCCTATCTGTCATACTAGGTGTCTCCTATATGTTGTTTCATTTAAATCCTGAAAATACCTTGGGAAACTATATTCTCCCCATGCAGAAAAAAATGAGGCTCCAAAAGGCATGGAAGAACTCATGTCTGTCTGTTTCAAAAGCCCATGGTAGTGGGGGAGTTTGCACACTGTGCAGAGGAAGTTATTTGTGATTATTGAAGTGACATGTACAGTTTTATAACATGCTCTTCTAAGCCCCATTGGCTTTCCTCTGTGACCCTGTATAGCACTGGCTGTATGGACTCTTGATTTGATGTTTATTGTTGTCTGTCTTTGACCATCATTCAAAACAGCATGTGGACTCTAAAAGTCATACTTCCACACTTTGCCTTTCCTGTGGAGCCTGGAATTTTTTAATAGATGATGGTTAATATTAATCGCATGATTGACTTTTTACATCTAAGATTCTAGGATTTAAAAAAAGTGTTAATAAGCAAAGTCTAATTTGAATTTTCTTTTTTTATATTTTTTTATTATAACTTAAGCTTCACTTCTCAGCCCACAAGTAGTGTGAATTAAAGCTGCCTCAGCATTTGTTCTCTTTCAGATATGTCTAAAACTTTAAAAAAAAAAAAAAAACAGGATAAAACCAAGGCCAGGAGCATTATCTTAATATTATACTTTCCAGCTATCTTATGCTGATAAATGCCAGTATCCCCAATTACAGAAACTATGAATTGTCATCTAGAGTCAATGGTAAGATGAGACAAAATCATCAAAACTTTTAAGTGCTTTTTCCCATATCAGCTTAGTGTATCAGAACTTTGTCATTTCATCATGCCAAAATGCCACCTCCTTAGGGAGGCCTTTGCTGACCTCCCTAGTTACCAATCCTATTTGGCGATTACCATGACATGGTGGCAGCACTTAGCATGGATTAACTCATTGATTTAATACTCAAAAGGATCATATAAGCTAAGTGCCACTATACCATCCAGAATTTTTAGATAGGGAAACAAACCCAGAGATGAAGTAATTCCCTTAAGATGGGTTACAAGCTAGGAAGTAGCAGAGGCAACATATATACCTGGTGTTCTAGCTCCAGAGATCCTACTTCTAACCTCTAACTACTCCCTTAAAATCTCCCCTAGCCCCTCCCCTAGAGCCTCCCCAGCTCCTCCCCCTTCCCTAATCCCTTCCCTAGCTGCTCCCCTAACTCCTCCCCTAGTTCCTCCCCTAATTCTTCCTGCAGCTCCTCCCCTAGTTCATGACTGCTTCTTTCCCTAGCCCCTCCATTAGCTCCTCTTTCCCTAGCCCCTACCTTAGTTCCTTCCCTAGTCCCTCGAACTCCTCCCCAAGCCTCACCCCTAGATTCTCCCCTAACTCCTCCCCTAGATGTTCTCCTAACTCCTCCCCTAGCTCCACTCCTAGTCTCTCCCTAGCTCCACTCCTAGTCTCTCCCTAACTCCTCCTCTAGCTCCTCCCCATCCCCTCCTGTGTCGCTCCCCTTGTCCCTCACCTAGACTCCCCCTAGCTCTTCCCCACTCTCCCTAACTCCTCCCCTAGCTTCTCCCCGAGCCTCATCTCCTTAGCTCCTCTCCCAGTCTCTCCCTAACTCATCCCCTAGTCCCTCCCCTAGTCTCTCCCTAACCCCTCCCCTAACTCCTCCCTAGCACTTCCCCTGGTCCTGCCCCTAGTCTCTCCCTAGCTCCTCCCATAACTCCTCCCCTAGCCCCTCCCCTGGTCTATCCCATGACTCCTTCCCTAGTCTCTCCCTAGCCCCTCCCCTAACTCCTTCCCTAGCCCCTCCCCTGGTTCCGCCCCTAACTCCTCTCCTAGCTTCTTTGGTAATCACTACCTTAACCCATCCTTTAACTCTCTTAACTCCTCCCCTCCTCTGCCCTGCTTCATTTTTCCTTCACTATATCATCAGGGTCTTGCAGGAAAGAAGATGCACTCAGCTGAGATTAAAAGAATTTGATGAGGAGGCTGCTTCAAGAGCTGGGGGAACCGATGAGAAAATGCAGACATGCGCAACAGCAGGAAGCATCACCACCCTCAGGCCTGCGGGCCAGGCGAGGAGGAGTGCGGGGCAGGACCCTGGGAGAGAGGGGAAGGAGGGACTAGTAGAGCCTCCAGGCGCCGTGGGGCAGAAAGTTCTGGAAGCTCAGAGGACTGGCGGTGGCAGAGCCAGGGGCGTGGGGCAGGAGGTGCGAGGGAAAAGCCCCTCTTCTCTTTGATCCCCTCTTGCTGAGCCTGGTGCACTTTCCTTGACGTGGACAGCAACAGAATCCAGGACATAGTGAATCTAAAACAACTTTTTTTTTAATGCAAGATTTTTCTCTCAGTATTTTGACATTTAAATGGTTCTACCGCTAAGTGGTTAAGTGGTTCCGTTCTAATTAGCCTTTTACCACCCAGTTCATCCGAGTTTCCTCCCTGCATCCCAAGCTTCCCACAGTGAGAGAGTATTTTCCACGTCGCCAAACACACCTGGCAATAGAACAGGCTGAAAGCGAGTGACATTGCCAAGGACAGAGCCACCTGCGGAGCCTGACACAGAGATGGTCGGTGCTCGGCGTTAACAGATTGTCTTCTCTGTGTTCCTCGCCCAGGCGATCAGATGACACACAAATCAGACTCAGCACAGTCCCTCCTTTGGGTAAAATAGAAACTCTGAAAGAGCATGACTTACTACATCTATTTTTCTTCTCCCTCTAAGCTCATCCATTAGATACAAGTCATTCTCAAGTATGAAGAATAATTGCTGGCTTAAAAAGGATGAGGGGGAAAAAACAAATAAAGATGAGGAAACGACTGGAAAGTTCATCAGAAGCTTTAGTTAGCATGCATGCGTTTCTCTGTACATTGTTAGCATTCTGAAAAGTTTTCGGTAATCACTTCTGTTTTCGGTTTGCGATAGACTATTTCTCATGCAGGGGTGCAGCTGAACAACCAAAAGCATAGACAGAATTTTCTTTAAATGTATTTTGTATGGAATTTAACTTTTGGCCATTTTGGTAGCCATCGAGCTTAATTGTTTGGGTTAACCATATCATGAAGTGAGTTCAGTGACGGTGACTCACACACCGGCTAGGATAAGTCAGAATCTCTATCATTGTAAAAGCTTTCTTTCTGATAATTCATGGTTACTGGTTAGGGTAAAGCACAGCTTGCCTGTTCCCAGAGATTTTAAGAAAGTGTGTAATTTGCTTTTATATGCTGAAATTGAGCATAAAGGAAAAGAAAGCAGCTTACAGGCTCTCCATTAAAAACAGCTTTTTCTGGGGAAAAGCTTTTCTGCTTTTATTTCAAAAGTTGAAGAACAGCAGAAGTTTCAGATTCCCTAGAAAATCTACCTAGCTCTCTGGCATCCAGAATTTTTGGCAAAGTACATTTGGAGGAAATATTGAGCTCTGAATACATTTTAATTCATCAAGGATCAAGGCAACAAGATTGCTCAATTTTTACCAACTTATCTTGAGCTCAATATTGAGGATGTGAAAGCTGCTGCCTTGTTTATTGTTCTTAAAAATATAGATAGATAGATAATAGATAGATGATAGATAGTGTATCTTTTGTGCTTCTGAATCTGTTTCTCAGTAGAGCTCTCCTTTCTTCCTCTCTAGGTCATGGGTTTGGTTCGTCAAAGATGTCTCGTGCACAGACATTTCCCAGCTACGCCCCAGAACAGAGTGAAGAGGCCCAGCAGCCGTTGTCGCGGTCCAGCAGCTATGGATTCAGCTACAGCTCCAGCCTCATCCAATGACACACAGAGAGCCGCTGTTGACTAGAGAGACAGTCTGTCCTGGACCCGTCTGTGGGGTCATTACCCTCTGCCTCCTGGAAGACCAATTGCAGTACAAATTGAAATGGGTCGGCTCTAGCCCCAGTCCCATTGGAAGGTTAAAAACTGGAGTTCTGCTTCCTTGATTCAGTGGCTAAGTCCTTTATTTATTGAATTTCTTTGGGGGAATCTATGTTTTACATAAATAGAATCCAAATCGTATGAACAGTTATTTAAATAAACAAAATTCTTTGGGTCTGACAGTAACAGAAACCTCAGCACTGGGAAAAGTTGCCCACACTGGGGTATGCCTGGGTGATGGGCACCTCTCACTGACCTCACAGCGCAGTCCGCCCATCTGAGCACAGGGTCTGTCCTTAGACATAATGGTGACCCTCCACAAGCTCTGTGGCTTTTAAAGTTCTGACAGGGATAAATACAGTAAGCTCTGCAAATGACATCGTAGCTGCATATAAATAAACCCAGTGACAATTAAAGGAACATGAAATTCAGAACACACTATTAAGCAGGGCCCTGTAGCTCTACTCGTGTGTGTGTGTGCGTGTGTGTGTGTGTGTGTAGACAAATGGATATTGCTATATCCATCTATATATAACAAGTATATATCAAACATGTGCTGAGGGTGACAGGATATGCTCACTTAAATTGTTGAAAACCATAATTTGGTGCATTAAAGTTAAGATTGTTATGTTGAATAGCTATTTTTAAAATAGTGCTGTAAAAAAAAAAAAAAAAAAGGCTTCTTATTAGCAAAAGTATATGTAATCCAGTCTGTTCCTAACAAGTGTAAGCAAAAATGTGAGAAGGGGAACATTCAGAAGCAAAAGAACCAGTCTAGCTGTCCTACACATCATGTCATACCCTGTCTTTCTGGTGAGCGTTTCCTTGTTGCTGACAATGTTGCTCCCTGTGGCCATCCATCTGAGCTACGTGAGGAGGATTCCATGTGAACGCCGATCAGCTTCCATTTAACCTTGAGAGAAAAGAGAGGTTCTAAATGAAGAACTCTTTAAGAAAGAAAGAATACACCCATAAAGAACTCAGCTATTTTGCAGTAAAGAGAAGAACAAAATGGGTACAGGATTGTGGATATCATAGATGCTGTTCTCACACAACCACTGGGGGCTTGTAATTTACTGTGTAACCAGAACTTGCAGGGCTTTATTTTTTCTTTTACTGGACACAGGTTGTCTGAGATTATAAGAAATAAAATAGATCAATAATTTTCATCATCCCTGACACTGATTACAAACCTACAGTGTTTAAAGGGAGGTAGTGAATTCCACGGAAACTGAGTTTGGCTAATTCAGGTCAACAAAGATATATTTGCCCTTAATTCTGGAGTTAAGTAAAAATAAAAATTATCCTGCCTGAATCATCTGATGCTTTGTGCCTAAGATGGTTATCTCTCAAATACTCTAGGGTGGGTTTAAAGAACAGTGAGCTCAGGTCACGCAAGATGAAAACCCAGGTTTTTTTTTTCTTAATAGGAAAATTTTTTAAACTATCCAAATTAGTCTGTTGAAAGGGTACCTTTTTTGCTGATCTCTGATGAGTTGTCTTTTCATCCCTATCTGTAGCTTGAGTGCAGATTGACAATTCATTTCAGTGAATTACTACCGAATAAAAGTGGTTCCGGATCCCTCCTAGATAAATGTGCACTTACAGCAACTACCTAGGCTCTCCAAATCACTCCACTCGGTATGAAAACCCCATCAAGATACTAATCGTAAGAGTTAATGTGGCTGCAAAAAATAATTATCCTAAGCTTTCAGGGATAAAAAGAAAATTACCCAGGTTCTCTGCACTGTGAATTTTGCTGACACAGCGGAGGAGCAGATGACTGGTTCCTACAACTGTACAGCCTTCCTTGAAATCATAGCTTTTGGGGTTAAACACTTGTGAATTTCTTTTGCACATGGCATTTGCTTTTGAAATGCCTTTAGTCAAATACACCAGAGCAACTCCCAGCTGAGACCATTTGAGCACAGTTCCTAGTGGGGCCACATTCAGAGCAAGCCTCTCGCCGGCTCACTCAGTTGAGCTGTTGCTTAGACACCACAAGTTTCTACAAGGGACTTATGGGGAACGGCCCTCAGGGGTCCTGGTTCACATCTCAGCTTTATTCATGTGCTGGAAGCACAAACAGCGAGTCCAGGGAGGGATTCTGCTAATCAGATGAGTCTGCTCTTGTGTCTCTTTCTTAGGAGACAAATACCTGTATGTAATTGCTTCAAGAACTCCATTTGGTTCTGATCATTACCAATGAATATAACTGAAGGAGCACCAAAGATCAGGCATAACCTCGGGCCAGTTCATTCTGAAAATGATGTCGTAAAAAGAGTATGTGTGAGAGAAATCTCCTTCCCAAGTTTTTAACCAGATCTCGTCACAATGAGGAGAATGCTATAATCTATCTCATGGTACATTTTTGGAGCTTAATTCTAGCATACTCCTCCAAGTACACTCACAATTGTAGCTGAGTCAAGACTGCTAAATGAACAGATAGGAGAACTTATATTAGACTAATATCCTTGACACGAAGCAGGGTTCATTGTAATAAAAACGGCAAACAGATAAATCTTCTACCAAAACCAAAGATGGAAAGTCACTGCACCAGTCTCCTGGAACTTCATAAAATCAATTTCACTGGAGCAACCAGAAGGGTCATGGAGATGTATACCACTCGCTTGGGCTCGTAGGTTTTTGACTGGGGATGCCTCTACACTTTGTAAGTCATTTCTCCCTTCAAAAATTGTATTATATCTTTAATATATGTGTATTTTTCAATGCGAGGGAGGAATTACTATGAACCAAAGATATCTTTTGGCTCCTTCTGAAAGTGACTCAGTTTGAATTCCATTCAGATTTGTACAGATAAATAGATGGTCACCATTTCTGCATCAGGTTGGAAGAGACCAATGATAAAGGAACCCAACGTAAGGAATAGCAGTTCTGAAAATAGACAAAGCCTAGAGGAGGTATCTATTTCACTGAGAGATTACACGAGGGGACTTATTTTTTATGTTCCCAATTTTTTCTTCTGATAATATTAATCAATGTACACATGATTGATGCATGATATTACACTTAAAATGCAGGAGAGTACAAAACAACCTTGATCCAATAGTTTCCTATTCTGGGGGGTGGGGGCAGAGGCGGAAAAGAAAACACATCTTTCACTTACTTATTGAACAAACAATAAGCACTCAGAACTAATTTATTTATGCAGGTTGCAAATATGTATGAAGCAATAGGTTCTGGCCACTGCCACAATTTGAAATCAATAAAATAAGAAATATATATTTATATATGAGGGAAGATGCTGTTTGATAGAGCATGTGAAATCAATGGAAACATATTTATTAAAAGTAAACCTCACCTTTTTCACCAAATAGTAACTAGAGAACTAGTCCTAGTATCTTGCGTAATTCTTCTCTGTCTTCATTGGGAAATTATGTTTGAAAATCTTTCATCACCTATAAAATGGTGAGCCTCTTGTACTTTCTATTCAGTGTAGAAAGAGTGGACTGATAAATAACTTTACATTGTTGGTAGTAGTTTCTACAGATCCAGTTTATTGCATGTCGTATCTTTATTGTAGATATTAAAAACACATGATAAAAATTGATGTGTGCCCCTCCTTGTTTGGCCAGTATCACAGAAAACTTTGTAAAAAAGCATGGGGACCCTACTCCCTAGATTATTTGAGCCATTTACTAAAATTGGCCATTAGTGATACAGTGAAAACAAGCTAAGGAAATGATATTCTCCTAAAAAGTTATATTCCAGTTTTGATTATTATAACACAGCACAATAAATGGGCAGTATACGTCTAATGGAACTGAGATTTAAGGCTTTAACAATTCGTGTTTTAAAATATTATATTGAAGACTGCACAAAGAGAAAATTATACATGTTTCTCCAATCCTGTGATCATGTCTGTAAATACCTTGCAATTTCAAATTACTTCATCCGTCATTAACTATATGATCTCCCAAACACAGCCTTCTCAAAATCGATAAAAATTTGCCACTGAATATGCATTAATAGCTATAACAATGGGTGACATGCCACACAAATTTAGCTTATGCAATTTATGGGGTGTGTGTTTGCAGACTATGAAATGTATGAAGTGCAGTCTCCCATGGAGAGAATAGAGAGGCAGGATGGCAACTAGTCATGAACGCAACAATTTAGGTTAAATGATAAAGAATACAATGAAATGTCCAGAGTAACACTTGGTCTCTACCTTTCTAACATTCTAACCCAAGGCCAGTGTCATGGGCTTGGCTTTCTTCCCTGTCGCCTCATACTGAGTATGCAATTTACAGAGGACATCTGTTGCTTTATGTCTTAAGGCCACTAGAGGAAGTCACTACATTCCCAACAAAGATGTGTCTTTCGGCTTAGTGAAAAACATTTAACAAGAAACAATGTGTAACCAAGTCCCCACAGTAAAATGTGTCTTCAGAAACATGAGAATCACTTTTATATAGCCAACCTCATTTGAATTTTATCATGAACATAAATTATCGGTGAGACTGGTGTGCGGGGCTGGATCTGTGAGACAAGCTCACACTCTCATGTGTGCATTCTCTATTAACATATTTGGAAGATTGCCCACATTTTCTCTGCAGACCTGCCACAAATCCTTACCTTCTTACTGAAGAATGTGACTATTGTAGCATTCGTGCAATTATGCCAGCAGAGGAGGCACTAGACAGTTTATAGACTCTTATGGAAGTTGGGCACATTTCCCAGGCAGGTGGAATGCTAGCTAGATCTAGAAGCACCCTTAAAGGTCATGTAGAATCAAGGTCCCACTTTATGTTTCCCTTGGGAGAAAACTGAAACCCATGGATGCTGTAATTTGTTTAACGGCAAAGAAAGAGCCAAGAATTGTTTCTCGTAGTTCCAGGGTCCTGATCTAGGAATGTTTCCTTGGCTCCATGGCATCTCCCAGTTTGACATAGTGGGAGCTGAGAAATGCCATATGGCCTCAAAATAAATAAACCCTTGTACATTTAAGTGTTTTCCCAGATTTTCAGATGCCTCTACTCTTGCTGAACTCATCACCAGCTGTATCAGTAGAGAGGTGTTATGGGGCAATTCATTAGATTTCTGGTAGGTCATGAATGGTTGGTATAAGCTTTATTTACTCATATATTGTCATCCAGTTCTTTGAAATTCAATCTTATCCTAAAGTGGTAGTCAAAGTAAAACACATTAAGTAGGTGTTTGTGTTTAGCAGTCCTACTAATTCATCACAATCACATAGTAATTGTGATTATAATTTTTGGAATCTTTATCACTTTCTAGCACTTTACGGTGTCATTATTTATGGCATTTTTAACAACTTTGTTGCATAATTGATAACATCAGGGCTACATTTTTTTCATGTGAGCCTCAAGAAGCTTCCATTATCAACAAGAATTGGGGAAATGACTTTTTTACATTATAATACCTTATATATTAGGTTTTTCCTGATAATCTTCAGTAGACAATGATTTAAATTAACTGAAGTTTAAATAAGAAATATGTTAAAATTACTAAATAATATGAAAACCACATTATACTTGTAATTTTCAGACACTTTTCTCCTACCTTAAGATTTTAACATCTTGTAAATATTAATATTTGAAGGGGAGAGGAAAAATACATTTGTAGTAGAAATATTCCCTCTAACAATTCTGTTTAACTAGTAAGTTTTTTTTAAGTTATCTTCCATGCCTGCTTCCCTAGTCTGAACTCCACATTCCAGTTGTCAGAAGAATGAATGGATTTAAATTTTCTAATCATTATTTTGGGCCCATGTTAGCAGTTGAAACAATTAAGTTCCTCACTCTTTCCTGCTTTTAGGATGATTTTAGACTGTGAGCATAAAATCAACCCTTTCTGTCAGCACAGAATTGAACATCGAATGGAGCAAGGTCTACACTCTCAGCCTGTAGCTGTGCTAATGTTAGGATTGAATTGTTCTATTAATTCCCTCAAGAGACCCACAGCCTCAAAAGAGTTGCTTATTATCAGATGTCCGAAATTCAGAAACCCAAAGTCAGGCAAAGAAGGAAACTGAGATAATGATTTAATTTTTTTAAGTCACTGCAGGATTTCTCTCAAAGAAAACATCTGAAAATGGTTGAGAAAGTAGTTCCAGATCATTAACTATTTTACAGAGGGACTGAAAGCCAGGGAAAATAAAGAACAGAATGATAGTAGTATCTTGATATTAAATTTGCATCAGAAATGAGCAAAATATGTCAATATGAAATAATTTGAAATCAAATTCAGATTCACATGTATAGTGCATAGTTCAAGAAATAATGCTTACTCTTGTAAAAAAAAAAAATATATATATATGTATCAGCAGGTAGAGTGTGGGAGCTCCAACTTTGTTGTGAAAGCTGATAACAGAGTATGATTCTTTCCAGTTACAAAATACTGTATTACTTTAGTTATAGCAAGCAGTACATAAATGACATCAACAACTCAGGCTGCTCCCTGACATAAAAGCCAGTTCCATCTTTACTGCAGATGACAGGAGACTTTCCAAGACCTGCAGAGGCCCCCTCCACCCCAACCTTAGTGCATGCTCACACACACACACACACACACACACACACACACACACACACACATTTTTGGCTTTTGACCCACTCTGTGTGTTCCACTGAAGTTATCTTTTCCTTAATAGATTCACACAGAATTACCCCATCCTGCAAAATCCTTATCCCTATGAATCTCTAAAATATATTAAATAATGTGTTATATATTTGCTTTTTGTAAATCTTTATTTAATTAATTTATATATACTTTGTGAAGTCTTATACTGTACATCATAAAGCGATGTCATCTGTAGTTGGTTCAATATAATGTTTATGATCATTTTGATAAGAAATAACTTTGGACATTAGGCCCTTGTTAAGAAATAAAACACCCATTATAAATTTGCTTCTGTTGGAAAATACATGATTTGGCATACTTCATTTTTAGTAACAATCTATTCTAGATAAATGATAATTTGGGGACATCTGTACTTAAAAACTAGCTGAACTACGTTTTGGGATGAGATGCAAAGCAACAGCTGTCCCTGGAACTGAAATGTGAATTTCTAGCAGAACAGAAAATATTATAATAATGAGGCAATAATAAAATTAGGAAATTAAATTATTTTTAAATCTGTCTGTGTGATTTTTCCCCTTGGTAAAAATACATGAAATACATAATTGAAAAATTACCTTCTTCTGAAGTCGTAGTTTTTAATCTTAACCATCAATAAATAAACCTATTGTTAACAATGTCTTATTCATAATTCTAAAAAATTTACAAATGATATTGCTATGAGGTTGTGCACTATTAAAGTTTGCTCCATCACTTAAAGGTAAAGCAGTTCAAAAATACTACTTTACATCACAACTTTGCATGGCTGAGATTTTGAACAACTAAATTGATGGTTTTACCCACAAGTTATTTCATAAAGCTAACACTGTAATATTACTTGGTTTTCTTATACTTTTGTTATCATGTGATGAAATGTAACTATGTAATTAAACAAAATTCTGACAATCATATTCTGCTAATGTTTAAAATGTTACTTATTCCTTCACTTATTAGCTTGCTATTTTGAAAATAAAGTGAAAGAAGGCCCTTTATTAAATGAAAGGTTACCGATAATTTATTATGTATTTCCAACGTTTTCCTAACTCCATCTTTTAATATAATTGAATTTTTATTAGGTTGACTCTGGTCTGAAGGAATTATAGAATTTAATATGGAAAATGACACTAGAGATTAACACTTTCGGATATCCAGGCCGGGCGCGGTGGCTCACACCTGTAATCCCAACACTTTGGGAGGCTGAGGCGGGTGGATCACTTGAGGCCAGGAGTTCAAGACCAGCCTGGCTAACATGGTGAAACCCCGTCTCTACTAAAAATACAAAAATTAGCTGGGCGTGGTGGCAGGCACCTGTAATCCCAGCTACTCAGGAGGCTGAGGCACGAGAATCGCTTGAACCTGGGAGGCGGAGGTTGCAGTGAGCTGAGATCGTGCCACTGTACTCCAGCCTGGGTGACAGAGTGGGACTCGCCCTCAAAGAAAAAAAAAGATATTCAGAGAGCTTAACTGGCTTGCATAATGTTGCACAGCTAGACAATGGCTTTTCCTACAGAACTCTGCTAATAGACAAAAAAAAAAAAAAAAAATTGAAAATAAACATCATTTGGTAGATAAAGATTTAACTTCAAAAGTGAAATGCATGCAGCTGTGACTATCATGCTGTTATCAATGGCTTCTTTTATTTTTCAGCCCATGATTAAGTAGCCTTTGCCACTCAGATTTAGACCTGTCTAGAAATACACTTACAGAATCTGTTTTTCAAACTTAACCTTTAAATATTAGCTGGGCATTTCTTATGGGCTTACTAGATTAATTTGTTATGAGTATTTTTCCTTTTAGAGAATAATGCTTTTAAAGAGAGTGTGAAGCTCCAATAATATCAGAGAAATCAAACTAGGTGAGAGAAAAGGAATCAAGCAGTCAGTACTGTTAAAAATGCCCTTCAATGGGTAAGTCTGGGCCAAATTCATGAATTGAAGAAAACAATGAAAAATGTATGAGACCTTTCCATTTTATGCAGCCAATAGAAGTTTGAAAAATGTTCAGGGGTGGCAATGATGATGAAATCACCCATTCTTTGTCAATATTGAATGAAATACAGCTTATTCTGAATATGAATTTTTAGTGATACATTTTCGTAACAAATTGGTTGTATGAACTTGATGAATTTTCTTTCCCTTTTTGTCACTATTAAAATCATGGAGACTATATTTACTTGGGAAAATGTATTTAGAAATAATGTAAAGGTTTATATAAGCTTAGAGCTAACATCAAAGAAGGTATTTAATAAATATACGTCACGAGGCACAGCTCAATAGCAATTATGCTGCTATTTTCGTAATGTACAAAGAACATCAACTCTTTCTACTTCCAGTTTAGTCAAGAAATATATTTTTAAAAGATTTATCTAATATTAGCATCCATATGGTGAATTATTAAAATAAATATTTGAGTAAGAGCTGCATAGAATATCAAAACATTCATGGAAGTATGAATTACACTAATATGTAGGTATCTCTAGGGTATTAGCCTGCTGATTTCATCTGATCTCAAAGGCCAGTCAATCACTACTTTTTGCGTAACTGCTACCTCCAAAACATGAGTGGAGGACAAACAATATCTCCTGATCTTTCTTCTTGCCTCCTTTTAATTCCATTTGATATGCATCAATGACAGTATGGAGCTGTGGCAGCAAATATGTACATGGCTTTCTGTAGGAGACATGAAAATGGATAGAAGGAAGGAAGGAAGACAAGAGAGACCATCCTCACTAGCTCCCTAAATTCCTTTCTCAAAGCTATGTCTGAACTTCTCTTTCCTTCTTCCTCCTCCTCCTTCTCCTCTTTCTCTTCCCCGCCCCGGCCACCCCACCCAACAAATAGGCTGCATTTTAATCACAAAAAAATTATTAGACACACAGTCTAACCTAACTCCAAAATTGTCTCTTGTTATTTGAATTGTATAAATGTTTTAAAGCCTCTTTTTTAAAAAAAGAAAAAATTTATTAGATGCCATAATCTAACAGAACTCCAAATGTATCTGTTGCTACTTGAGCTCTATACATTTTTAAAACCTCATTTTAAAAAAATCCTCTATTTCTTCCTCTCTTGACACAAACTTGCATATAAGACAAACATACACTCATTGTCTTTTTTTTTTTTTTTTTTTTTTTTTGAGATGCAGTCTCCCAGGCTAGAGTGCAGGGGCACGATCTTGGCTTACTGCAACTTCCATCTCCCAGGTTCAAGCGATTCTCCTGCCTCTGCCTCCCAAGTAGCTAGGACTACAGGCGAGTGCCACCACAACCAGCTAATATTTTTGTATTTTTAGAAGAGACGGGGTTTCACCATGTTAGCCAGGCTGGTCTTGAACTCCTGGCCTCAAGTGATCCACCCGCCTCAGCCTCCCAAAGTGCTGGGATTACAGGCACGAGCCACCACTCCTGGCCTCATTGTTACTTTCTATTCATGTGTGAATTACAGAGATCCATTCTAAATATTCAATACTCCCTGAATATTTGCAAACTTTGGTTATGAGAAAGCCAAAGGGGGAAAATATTATTCAGAAATTCAATTTTAAAAGCATGAGCTGAATGTTCTAATTACTGGGAATTCAAAAATGGGTAAGATTTGGTCCCTTCTGTAAGATTTGGCTCACCATCCGGAGAGGAAGCGTATTCCTCAAGCCATGAGGCAGGTATACTTAGTCTAATCTTGCTTAATGACTGTCCTTTGAGTACCATTTGACTTAAGAAATTCCTTTCTTGTTCCAATATCTATTAAAAGTTACAGATAACCTGCTGTTTTTAGGTAACCTGCTGTTTTTGAGGCTTACGGTTTTTAACAAATCCAAGTACACTTCAAAGAGCCAAATACAGAGCTAGAAATTCATGCTACCCCCAAAAAAATAAAGACCACTACTCAGCAATAACCCATTTTACTTACTGTAACTAGTCACTTTACTCTCATCAGAACAATCTAAAGAAAAATGTTACAAGAAATAGATTTAAAATGTTCTACTCAGCTCTCCTCTCCTCCCTCCCTTCCTCTCCCTCCTCATATCTGACCCTTTTTCTCAATAGTGAAAAGGGATGGCATTCTAAATTCTTTTTTATTTTATTTTATTTTTTTGAGACGGAGTCTCGCTCTGTCGCCCAGGCTGGAGTGCAGTGGCGGGATCTCGGCTCACTGCAAGCTCCGCCTCCCGGGTTCACGCCATTCTCCTGCCTCAGCCTCCCAAGTAGCTGGGACTACAGGCGCCCACCACTATGCCCAGCTAATTTTTTGTATTTTTAGTAGAGACGGGGTTTCACCGTTTTAGCCGGGATGGTCTCGATCTCCTGACCTCGTGATCCGCCCGCCTCGGCCTCCCAAAGTGCTGGGATTACAGGCGTGAGCCACCGCGCCCGGCCTGGCATTCTAAATTCTAAAATGCATGGATCATCAAGAGATCTGACTAGGAAATGTAACTAAAATGGAATTGTTATAAGTTTAGAATTTGTAAGTGGGATGAGTAGGCATTTAATGGGAGATAATGTCCATTGCATTTTTAAGATTATGCACAACTTAGACTGATTTGGGGTGACAATTGGTATCTCAGGTAAAACCAACATTACATATAGTACAAAATGTTCTCTAAATTCATGAACAAAACATAACTCCATCCTTCATGTGACATTTGTAGTGTCCAACTCTTTAATGGAGATGTTAAACACATAGGTATCTAAGAGACACTATACGCCAAGAGATGTTACATGATGGTGTTTTACCTTGTAAATGATAACATGTTGATGGTATGTTTAACCATGTGTTTAACTTAAGCTTATGGGTGGGGTTTGGGACATTATTTTTAATATATAAGAACACTGTGATCTCTCATGTAGTTCAGATCATTACCGTTGACTATTTAGTAAAAGAGATCGCATTTGACTTTTTTTGTTTCTATCTAGACACAATATTCTTCCTGAAGCTAAAATGCCATGTGATTCTTACTGGTCAGTTATTATTTAAGCTTTTTCTTAACCTGGAAAAGATAGTAACATGTTTTGGGCAGTATTGGGTTCGTTTGTTCATTTGTTTATCTATACTGACAGAAAATATTCAACACTACTTCCACTAAACTGTAGAGAGAAAAGGGGTTCAGCTTTAAGAAATTATTAAATGATCTGTTTATAAAAGCTTTGCACTATTTACATATGACCATATGGAGTGAACAAACTATGAGGCAAGTCTGTAGACGTAGGTCTTTATTTCACATTAAAATGACTCTCACACATTCTTAAAAAACATTCCACAAACAAACGTTGCATAAAAGGCCTCAGGACGTATAGACCTTCTGCCCTCTGTTGTGTTCATCTTCCTTCCTATTGTGTTTTTTTCTCAGAAGCCTAATATCTAAATATATAGACATAGAACCCTTGACAATGCTTTACTTCTGTGGCTCCTCTTACCCATGGAGTCTTCTAATTCTCATTTACCTTTTGTGCAACTAAACCTTAAAATGAATTAATATTGAACACATATGATGAGTGAAACACCACCATGTGACTCATATTTCATTTTAACAGAATTTCCCCCAAAAAATGCTTGTGAAATCTGGTGCTTTAGACTGAGCTCTGTGATGAGTGAGCATCCCCAGCAGTTCATCTTTAGTTTATTTCCAATCGCATAGACTTGACATGTTATCTCCTTGTGGCTTGTGCTACAAATTTTCCTTATTACCTTTTGCCTCTGGACTTGAATATTTGTATAAGGCCTGATGTTGATCCAAGCACAGACAGTGAAACTCAGTATGATCTACTCATCTTCAGTTTGATGTCTATACTTCATTTCATATTTATTTAAAAAATAAATATGTGCTTCATTTTGGATCATGATTTATAAAGATGAGCCAAAGAGCAGCCTAGACGAGAGCAAGTCATATGGAATGGAGTCCAGCAACAGGAACCCTAGTGCAGTATCAGAAAGTCAGGGCAAAGAGACAGGTCAGAAACCACGATAACAAAAAACATATGTGTTAAAATGTTTATACATGGAGATCGACTTCTGCCTTTAGTGTCATCATGTTAAGGCATGGAAGATGTTGCTGCCATGCTTATAACAAGACAAAGCTGGAAAGTTGGAAAGCTGAAAATCAATGACTTTTCTTATTAGACCTATTAGAGAACCAAGGTCCTGAGCAAACTGCCACCCCAAAATCTGGAGATACAGATACATCCAGAGAGATACGCAACCAATAGCCATTTATCTGGAGTCAAAGCACTGGAGCCATAAACTAGTATGAGCCTTTATATGGTAAGTTGGGTGAATTGCTGGCATCTGTTTGTGGACTGGTGTGAGCAAGAAACCCATGGGGGCTGTGCTCTTGAGGCACTCCACACATTCAAGGGCTTTTCCAGTAGGAAACTCCAAGGTTCTCATTATGAGGATCCAAGAAAAATTTCCTCGTGGCTCTGGCAACAGATAGAGAGGGACATCCATTGAGAAATAAGCCATGAACCTTCTTGGTAACAAAGATGGAAAGGACTCTGCCAAGCACAATTCCCAAACCTCATCCCAGCCCCTGAAGTCTCCCTGTCCCACTTAAGGAAAGAGGGAAAATAACAGTCAACAGGGGGCAGGCCTTCAAAGAAATACATTGGGAATGCTGCAGCCAGGAAAGAGAGTTGAGGATGAGGAAGCAATACCACTGGAGAAGCTCTGTGAATGTCCCAGACACAGACCCACTAAAAGACTGAGATTTCACTGTAAGATTACAGAGCACTCTCCTTTCCCACAGCTTAGTACTACACCAACAGGGCTCCAGTATAGTAACAGTGAATTGCAGAGGAAAGAGCTGAAAGACAGAAAGTCTCTCTGAAGAGGAGCACTTAGGGAAGCCTGAACTCAAGAAGGGGAAAAACACATGAACAAACAAAACAAAGACACTAGAGGAATTTGAAGAAATTTAGCACCTATGGTTATAACAGACTTTAAACACAGTCTAATAGTTAGTCAGATTAAGATAAGTCTGCAAGCTAAAGACTTATTTACCTGTTCCTATTACATAACACACCAGATCTGGCTTGCAACAAAAAATTCAAAAAAAATGTCAAAGAACGTCAAAAGGCAAGAAAAGTCATGGTCTGAAGAGATAAAGCAATCATTGGAACCAGATAGAGACATGACACGTGTCAGAATTATCAGACATGGAACTTATCATTAATATGTTAAGAGCTCTCATGAAAAAAATAGACAACAGATGGATAATGTAAGAAGAAAGATGGAAACACTAAGAAGGAATAAAAAAGAAATGGTAGCAATAAAAAACATAGTAATAGAAAGGAAGGATATCTTTGATGCAATTATCAGTTGACTTGGAACCCCGAAGGAAGAATGAATGACTTTGAAGCTAGGCCAATAGAAACTTTTCAAACTAAAATTCAAAGAGTGGGAAAAACCCAGAATATTCAAGACTATGGAATAATTGAAGAAGAAGAAAGAATGGAGCAAAAGAATGTTAGAAGTAATAACGTCTGGGAACTTGCCAAAATTAGTGATAGACACCAACTCAGGTAGCTCAGATAACACTAAATAGAATAAATACCAAAAAAAAGAGGGGAAAAGGAGAAAAACCTAGGTTGATCAATGAAAGATATGCCACGAGAGAAAATTAAATCATGTAAAAACCCCAGTTAAAATCAGAGAACACAGAAAAAGGAGGATAAAAAAGAAAGAACGAGTGCAAGGATAGAAAAGTTACAAACATAGTAGATATTAATCCAACTATATCAATAATCACTTAAATTTGAATAATCTAAATGTACCAATTAGAAGTGGTGGGTTTAAACACACAAAAAAGATGAATGTTAGAGGTGACAGATATCACGATTACCCAATATGATCATTACATATTGTATACAGGTATCAAAACATCACATGTACCCCCCAAATATATACAACTCCTATATATCTACAACATTTTTAAGTAAGAAAAGTGGGGAAATTACAAATAGACGCAACTATACATTGTCTATAAGAAAGGCACATTAAATATAAATATTTAGATAATTTAAAATTAAAAGGATAAAGATGTGAGATGCTAATGTTAATTTTTTAAAAAACTGAAAGTTATGTTAATATCAGAAAAAGCAGACAGAACAAGAAAGATTATCAAGAATAAAAGGGACATTACATGTGGTAAAGGGGTCAATTCTCCAAGAAAACCTAACGATTCTGAAAGTATATGTACTAACAAGAGTATCAAGATACATGAGACAAAAACTAACAAAACTGCAAGGAGAAATAGAAAAATCCACTATTTTACTTGCAGTCTTTAACGAGACTTGATCACTTGATCTGTCAGTATGTGATAGATCAAGAAGAGGGAAAATCAGAAAGGATATAGATAATCTGAACGGTGGTATCAATCAGTTTAATCTAATGGACATTTGTAGAATATTACACTCAACAGCAGAATGAACATTCTTCTTAAGATCACATGAAACATTCTACAAGATAGACCATATTCTGGGCCATAAAATACACCTGAAAAATTTAAAAGAATAGAAATTATACAAAGAATGTTTTTAAAACATGATGAAATTAAGTTAGAAATCTGTAAGAGATATAAAGTAGAAAAATCCCAAAATATATAGAGATTAAACAACACATTGTAAATAATTCATGGCTCAAAGAAGAAATATCAAAAGAAATTTTAAAATATTTTGGACTAAATGAAAATAAAAATAGAGCTTACCAAAACTTGTGGAACAAAGTGAAATTTATAGCATTAAGTGCCACTATTGGAAAAGAAAACAACATATAAAATCAATAATCTAGGCTTCCACCTTAAGAAACTAAGGAGGCCGGGCGCGGTGGCTCACTCCTGTAATCCCAGCACGTTGGGAGGCCGAGGCGGGCGGATCACGAGGTCAGGAGATCGAGACCACCCTGGCTAACACGGTGAAACCCCGTCTCTACTAAAAATACAAAAAAATTAGCTGGGCATGGTGGTGGGCGCCTGAAGTCCCAGCTACTCGGGAGGCTGAGGCAGGAGAATGGCGTGAACCTGGAAGACGCAGCTTGCGGTGAGCCGAGGTCGCACCACTGCACTCCAGCCTGGGCGACAGAGCGAGACTCCGTCTCAAAAAAAGATAGCTATTCATTAGACATTGAAAGAATTATAAAATAGACATACAAAATTACAGAAAGGTTAGAAGAGTAATCTCTATCTCTAGAAGCTACTGAGCCATTACATTTCTTTGTACATTTTTTATGTGAGCTAAAATCAAAATTTGCTTCTGAGGACCATTATACGATAAAAATAAAGTGTGGGATAAATCAGCTCAACTGAAGCCACATCCAAAGCTGTTACTCAGAAAACTTAGTATCACTGAGAGTATATTGGAGAGCTCAAAGTCTTACTCAGGCAGCTGATCAAAGAATAATGGTCTTAGTCACTGTAAGTACTTTTGGATACCTGGCATAAAGGATGTAATGAATACATGATTGAATAAGGATATATCTTAAGAATGCATTTTCATAAAAACATAAAATCAGTTGAGATTATGTAAATTTTGAAGAATGAAGAAAGTAAGTTATCATAGCTTCTTCTCAAGTTTTATTTTTATGTCTTACAAATATGGCTGGGCAATACAACACAAGGCTTCCTTTTCAGGAATTTGGAGAACTTATGCTTGGTATTTTAAACTCATGAGAACTTAGTCTAGAAAGGGCCTCCACTTATTTGACCACAGGTAGAAGATTGGCTCTGCTTTCTTCCTGTAATAATATTGGTTTCTATAGGTCAAATGATACACAGTATAATTTTGTGGCATTTTGATTACAAGTTTTCCATTTAAAAATGGACAAAAATCAACTTCTTACTTGAAATTTTGGAGGTAGTATGTTACCAAAAAAAATGGTAGTTCTTGTAAAGGTATACCTGTGTCTAGACATAAGTTGCAGGTTTAAAAATCAATAGATTTGAATAAAGTTAAAGTCTAGAAAAATATGCAATGTATACATGCGGATGATTAGTAAACCCTAATATCCAAATGCAATGTCAATAGTGTTACTAAAAATGAACTATCGGCCATTATTGCAAAACTGCCAACTGAGAATATTGATATAGATACTAACTGTATTTATTTGTTTTTTCAGCAATTTATTTTAAAACAATCTTGGATATATTTAGTTACATCTGGAATAAACTCAGGTATTACACAGGGCCTTGAAACATTTATAAAAGGGTATATTAAACCCTGCCTTTAAGAAAACTATCATCTGGTCGAGGAGGGACATTTGTCAGTTGAAGTTCTTCAACGAGCCTGGAGGGAATGTCGCAGTGTGTTCTGTTTGGAAAGTAAGTTGTACCCTGACTGCCACTATGGAAGCTGAAGGGGGAGATACAAGCTGCTGCCTTCCAGATATATTTAAGAGACACTGATTTTGGAATAAGTCAGTGAATAAAAATAGGGGCTCAGGACTCATCCGAACGTGGGGTACTGATGCTGCTCAGATTCACTGCCCTGTGTTCTAGGGAGGGTATCGAAGCCCAAATTGTTGCTTTCTGCAGGAAACGAGTGTTTCCTGCCTCGTTTCCCACTGGAGTTGCCACATGTTGTGTTTTGCAAGCCTACTCCATCGGGTGTCCTGGGAATTCTATGAGCCACCCCTATGTTCAAATACTTAACTTTTTTTTTTTTTTTTTTTTTTTTTTTTTGAGACGGAGTCTCGCTCTGTTGCCCAGGGTGGAGTGCAGTGGTGCGATCTTGGCTCACTGCAACCTCTGCCTCCCGGGTTCAAGCGATTCTTCTGCCTCAGCCTCCCAAGTAGCTGGGACTACAGGTGCGTGCCACCAGGCCTGGCTAATTTTTCTATTTTTACTAAGACAGGGTTTCACCATATTGGCCAAGTTGGTCTCAAACTCCTGACCTCGTATTTTTTTTTTTCTTCAACAGTCAGTATCTGTTTTCGTGCTTACAACCAATACCCCCAACTTTTACAGACACAAAAGCAAACATAATAGACTTATTATTCCTTGTTATGGGCACTCGTTAAACATTTACAACACGGAAACACATGTCCTTTTGTTCTGGAAAATGTTTTAGAGTGGATTCTAGGTTTCATGTATTCCTCCCCCTTTTTCTGGATGAAGGGAGACACCAGGATGGCAGTTGTGTGCCTCTCCTTCTAGCCCCAAGTCAAGCTTCTAATGGAGTCTTTCTAAGGAAGTTGACGTTGGTAGAATTCCTGCTGCATCACAGGGGAGTTTCAGGTCAATTTATGGTAAATACAGAAAAAGTCAGTCCCCAGAATGACAATTATTAGCTCTAGGTGGAAAAAAAGTTATGTAGGAGGGAAAGCAAAATCATTTTTACCATGTAGTTTAACTAAGAGTACTGGCAAGGTCATAAGAAATAAATGCCAAATATTGATATAATCATATTTTAATACAAATATTTCTGAAAGAGACATGAGAAGAGTATTTTATGTGGTGAGTTTGGGGAGAGAAAGACATCTAAATGAATAATGAATGTCTAAAATTGAAAAAAAAAGTATTAGTGTCATAAGCATGCTATTCAGAAAAGTGAACATAAATAAAATAATGAGTTAGAAGTAGTAAAATTTGTTGTCTCAAGGTAACAAAAATGAGGAAGGGCAAGGGACTACTATGTTTCGGGAAAAACAAAAACAAACAAACAAAAAACCTGTAAAGCCCTTTGACCCTTTGCACTACATGCACTTATAAAATACAAAGAACAAGGCCAGGAGTGGTCGCTCATGCCTGTAATCCCAGCAATTTAGGAGGCTGAGGCAGGTGGATCACCTGAGGTCCAGAGTTCAAGACAAGTCTGACCAACGTGGAGAAACCCCGTCTCCACTAAAAATACAAAATTAGCCAGGCATGTTGGCATATGCCTGTAATCCCAGCTATTCAGGAGGCTGAGGCAGGAGAATCACTTGAATCCGGGAGGCAGAGGTTGTGGTGAGCCGAGATTGTGCCATTGCACTCCAGCCCGGGCAACAAAAGTGAAACTCCGTCTCAAAAAAATAATAATAAAATAAAATACAAAGAACATTGCATTGAGATAAAAATTACAATGTATCATTGATTTGAATTTTTTCTGCATGTAATTCATCAGTTAATTTTATTCTGTAGAAATTTTTCCCTGCTATTTCTCCATGGCAAATGAAAGTAGTGATCGTGAAACATTGTGTTTTATTCATTCAAAACAACAGAATACAAGACAAAGGAAAATATTTCTATACCCTACAAGAACCAAAAATCCAAAAGTACACACTAACACTAGAAAAAGTGTTCTGAACAGGTTGACCATATAACTTATTCTAACAAGGATAATACGAAATAAACCAGAATTATCCCAGACATTTATTACTCATACTTCCAAATGGACCTTTTCTTACATCTTACAAGATAGTTAGTGCTCTGAATCTGGAAAAATATGTGTAAACCGACCTTGAGGATTTATAAAATTTCCTTAGAAAGCATTGCAGTTAATTCTAGAAGCTATTTTTCTACCTATTGAATCACTAGAAATAGAGAAGCTTTTAAAAAAATTAACTTGTTTTTAGTTTTCAGATACATGTTTTAAGAGCCCAGAGTCTTGGCTGGAAGAACTCTAATGAACAGATCAGTGAAAAAATATACTTATACAGAAGTCTGAAGGTGGAGATCAGTACTTTCTAGATGTTACATTTTAATAGTAGCTAAACTAATGATGACATGTTTATATTGTCTTATATTTTTTAAAGATATTTTCTTATCACTGTTGTGAAAAAGAAACTTTGTACTCACAATTTAGCGTCTCCACTTACACTTTATAAGCATCTTTATAATATCGTCAATCTTGCTGAAATTTCATATAAGCAGTACAAAATACAGTACATCATTATAAATCAAGGAGAAGCATTTTGGTCACAGTGATCTCTAATTACAATGTGGACTCTCTCAATTTAGAAAACTACTGTTATACAGCTGTAATTTTTACTTAATGCCATTCTATACAAACCAATATAACTTGGATGTTCACAATCCACGAATGCCTACTAAAAGTATTTTTACTTACTTTGTCTTTTAAATTGATAACCCATGTATTTTAAGTTTATATATATAGTATTTTAGTAATACACTGAATTACTTAAAACATAAATTGGAGTTTTTACTAAAAATTATATCTTCACCTACCTGCCTCCCATTTTAAGCATGATTACAAGTAAATGAAATTTCTATTTTATTTTCTCAACATATTATACCTAAAGTTCTTTAAATAAAGTTTGAAGGTATCTCTTATAATAATATAGTCAATGCATAGTCATCATAGTTCAATAAGATGTGTTCTTTCCCTGACAAAACTGTGTACTCCATTAACAAGTCTTCCTATCTTATTATAACAAAGTAATTTCCTTTCATTGGTTACTTTAACATAAATATTAATGGCATTCAAAGGAAGCATAGATTCTTAATGTATTATCCATCGATATAAATTATATGTGTATATATATATGTATATATATATATATATATGTAAAACTTAAGAAGCATTTTGCTTCCAAAGCAGCAACTTGTAAAAAGTATCTGTATTTAAAATAGAATTTACTGGAATTCTGATCGTTTATTCTGTGGATCTGTTTTTCATCTGCTTTCTTAGTAACAATCAGAATCATAGGTGCAAAAGAGTAGAGGGGGAGAAACATACACTAGGGAGAGTCCCAAAACTATCACGAATTAAGAATGATGTTAAAAAGATGACAATGAAAGTGCTTTGGTAAGTAAAGATGTCCAGAGAAAGAAAATGAATGAATGGAATTTCACAAGCATTACCCCTGAGGGTATAACAGGAGCATCAGAAGACGTCAGAGAATTTTTGGGAGGACTTCAGATGGCTCCAAATTCCTGAAAAAACCCTACACTCTGTAGAGGAAGAATATATAGAGAAGAAAGGACAGAGTAAATAGTTCTCATCAATATTTTGAATGAGAGACCAAAAACACAAACACACACAAGGAAAAAGAGACAAGTTCCAAATGTTCTGGAGGCTTTGCAATACTGCAGTGGTTTGCTACAAAAGTCTTTCATGAAGTTCCCAGTAAAAACCACCATGACAATGGTATCTGACTATACTGTCCCTTCCACACCCAGTCATAATTTTCTCTCTTAAAATTGGATTTATATTTCCCCATACTACAACTGTAAAAATGTTTTCCTGCTCACATACACTAATCATTGAGAATTTGGTTATTGGAGTTTTCCAGAAAGTAATATTTTGATTGTCTTTACCATTCAGAAAAGAAATTATTTACCTTTTAATTGATGCTAAGCTTGCTTCACCATGCAAACCAATAAATTCACTCACAGAATCTTTGATTGATCTGATAGTAGAGTGCTTTCTTGTAAACTGCCTTTCAAGTTTGTTACACTAATATATTTGTGGAAACATTTCATGAATCCAGGTATAAAAAGATCTTTAAGCAAACATAATAAAAATGAGAGTTTACCCTTCTTGCATATACTTAAGCACAACCAGGAAATGGTCGTTTTTATTTTTTCACTCCTGAAAAGGGTTAAAAGAAACTCACAAATTTTATAATTCACAGAAATGTGGGCACTTACCATTTCTGTAATTCACAAAACAAGTGCATTATTTGGCATACATGGTGTTTAAGGCTAAAATCATAAAATACTCACTAATTAGCTTAAAAGTGTAAATTACATCTTAGAATCTGTCTAGGCAACAGGAGAATTTGGATTTGCTTTATTTAAGATTATCATGAAGTCCACAACTTTGATATTTAAATACAGCCTTCATAATGAATCTTTTCTAGATGGTGGTCTTTAGAAATCTTTAGAGATAAATAATGAATCTTTTAGACATGAATGATCACTATATTTAACAATAACCATTGTCCTTTCAAGGTAACCATGACAGTTTTATTCAGTTTGGCAAATACTTTTCATTGTTAGCCTACATCTAGAATTTAAACAATATTAGGTATGGTCTCTAATTGCTTTGACTGTTGGTGATGTCATTAGGGCTGTCTTTGTCTGAATAGTGAAGCAGAAGTTTCCCTTTGTATTTTTCTGTGGTTTGATTCCTTTCTCCTGTTGCCTGTACCCTCCCAATTTCTTTTTTCCCTCCCAAATTTCTACCCTACCGTCCTATGCCACCACTTTCAACTGTCACTTTTAGTGGTATATTATATTCAACTTTCACATAATCATTAAAAAATAATAACTAGGTGCCTGACCCTTTTGAGAGAATTTACATATTAAAAATAATTCTCAAAAGTAGACAAAATATGTCCAAAACATTAAGTTATTTATTATTCGACTATCTACTACATTTGCTCCTAAGGCTAGACCTGGGATGGCGGCAAGAATTCTATACAGAATGAGAGATAAATAAATATGAGAATAGTAAAGGATTGCCCTCTCGCATTTATCTTCCTCTTGAATATTCATTTCTTCTACTGCCAGGTATTCTTCTGGACTATGCTGATAGAGTGGATTCTAGAAGTATGGACAGAGATACCCCATTTCTAGAATCCATCCCATATTTCACTTTTTAGTTAACAAAAATGTCTTGGTTAATCACTGCAGTCAATATTTGTTGGTAAACTCTCCAGCTTTGAGACTCCCCTTTCCTCTTCTAACCATGCTCTGAATTGCCCAGTATTGTGCTTTGACCCTGCTTCTCAGCTCTAGAAGTGAACCCTTAGTTTACTTAAGCCATTCCATCCTTTCTGGTCATGTTGCCTATTTAACAATGAAAAAATAATCAAATTTGTTTGCTCCATTTGAGAAGCAAACTCTCTACCAGACAGAAACAAGGATGTATGAATTGCCAAGAGTTGGCAGCCATCTTGCCAACACAAGAGGAAAGCCTGCATGAGAGTGAGGCCAAGACCAGGGAAATGGATCCAACACTCTGGAAAGGGATTCAGAAGCCAGTTTATGCCCATACTTAATTCTAGACACAACATTTAAGCCCTGGTAAATAGCCCTTGCCCAAAGCTTAATCTCCCCTGGATCATTCTGTTATATGATACAGTAAGTTTTCTTTTGTATATAAACCAGTTAGAGTCAGGTTTTCTGAAACAGTTCTATGAAAAATGATTTTAGGTAATGAAGTATTTTTCCTATCAAAGTAACTCAATTCAGACAACTAGTATCTAAGGTAGACCTTGGGTAGTGGAAAAAAATTGCATAAAGATCCATGCATGAGTACATAAGAGTCATTACTAATGCACTCATGTCAAGAATAAGCTTAAACTCTAGTCTTTGGTCTGCGAGAGAAGGTTGGATAGTTGACATAAATATCCTCTCTTGTATCATCCATGGATTGATTGGTAGGTTGACTGGTAGAGATGGGACTTCTATAGTTATTGGGTGCCTAGAAAGACAAACAGCAGAGAGTGTCAATAATTCACTGCATTTCAACAACTAATGAAGACATTCAAAACATACCTCTCATAAATGCAGGCATGATATGGGACAAGTTTCCATTATAATTAATTTGATAAAACATTCTCATTGTATTGAACTTCTGTTGGAAATCATATTCTTGACTGAGATGCAACAGAAATCTAGTCTAGATTAATACTTGCTGTATTGTGCTATGAATTACCTGTTTCAATGTAGAACTCCCTCTCCCAATGTTAAGCTATTTTGATAAGAACAATTACTATCATTTTTATATGGAAATTCTAACACAGTGTCTGAACTTTAAAAAATAAGCAACTTAACATATAAAAAGTTAACAAAACTGACATCAAGATGATATTGTATAATCATTAATCTTCTCTACCGTAATCAAGTCACTTTGACCACATATGTATGTATGTAACAGAAAATATGCAGGTGTGAAAAAAGAAAGACAAATTAAGAGACAAAAGAAACTAGAGAAAGGTCTTTTGATGAGTAATTTAAAAATTTAGATTGACCTTAGTGTTGTTGGTTTTTTTGAGTCAGAGTCTCGCTCTGTTGCCCAAGCTGGAGTGCAGTGGCGCAATCTAGGCTCACTGCAACCCCCACCTCCCAGGTTCAAGCAATTCTGCCTCAGCCTCACGAGTAGCTGGGATTACAGGCAAGCACCATCACGCCCAGCTAATTTTTGTATTTTTAGTAGAGATGGAGTTTCGCCATGTTGGCCAGGCTGGTCTCAAACTCCTGACCTCAGACGATCCGCCCACCTCAGCCTCCCAAAGTGTTGGGATTACAAGCGTGAGCCACCATGACCAGCCAGATGTTAGTGTTTTTAAGAAGAAAGCAAAATGAAAATTCAAGTGCCATGATTACTTATAGAGGTTATCTTTTAAAAAAGAGAATGAAGTAGTTCTAATGTCTTTTTTTGACAGTCCAACCTATTAACTCTTTAATAATCCTTCAAAATATTATTCTACAAAAACCTGAAAAAGTTGGATACCTAATATAGACCGTTGCAAAGCTCCCTTTCATTCCCCAAATTCACAACAATAAATGTGACTAGACTGGCATGAGTAGACAAAGGCTAAGGATGAAGAAGGGAATCCCAAAATTGTGTATGACAGAGCACCAATTTATTTCTTGCTGAAGTGGCTGATGAAATAAAGCAAGGTTTCTTGATTCTACAGTTGGCATCAAGAAGCAATCCATGTTTTTTGCCAACAAACAAAAAAAATATTTTTTGCAAAAGTAACTACTTAATAAATAAAAAGTTAAACTGATAAATTATGAAGGCATCTGATGAACACATGTTGGATTGTCAGAACCTTTTTAGTACTTGGCTTGTGGCCATGTAGAATTCCACTGCGAATAGTTAAAATGAAAAGAAATTTATATACTTTTGGCTAGGAATTGGGGAATTTTTTGTCTTAGTTTGGGCTGCTGTAACAAAATACTGTAGACTGGGTTGCTTAAACCACAAACACTTATTCCTCACAGTTCTGGAGGCTGGGAAGTCCAAGATTAAGAAAATATTTTCCTAACTTGAGAAAAAAAAAAGAGTCCAGTGAGGGCCTGCGGGCCTGTTTCTTGGTTTGCAGACAACTGTCTTCTCAGTATCCTCACATTGCAAAGAGCAGAAAGAGGAAGCAAGCTCTTCTGTCCTTAAAAAGGCACTGATCCCATTCACGAAGACGCCACCCTCATGATCTAATTACATCCCAAAGTCTCCACCTCCTAATATCATCGCATTAGGCATTAGGATTTCAACATATGAATGTTGGGAAGACATAAATGTTCAATCCATAGCAACTTTTTTTGTGAAATTTCATAAACAGGATGCTATGCATTAAAGGAAGAGATTTGAAGTATAGTGGGGATAACGAGCATGAAAATACATATCCCTCTTATCTGCAAACCCAGAAGGAAGTTTCTAGTCTTTTAGTTAAACACTAAGGGGCAGCAGCAAGGCAGAATAAGGAAGAAACTTTTACAGCTCATCAAACTCCTGCAGCCCATAAGGAAATAAAAAAGTTCTTTGGTTGTATAAGTATACACTAATAACTTACCTCCAAAGATAATAATAATAATGAATATCATTACGTTCTTCTATGTGCTTGCTACGCTTCTGGTTCTTTTATGCAATTTAACCATCACAATAACCTTATGACATAAAAATATTATGTCCTCTCCTGGGTTGGATACTGTCCCCTGCAAATTCATGTCCTCCTCAGAACCTCATAATGTGACCTCATTTGAAAATAGGATCCTTGTAATTAGCTAAGCTCAAACAACGCTGTGCTGGAGAGGGGTGGGCCTTTAAGTCCAAGATAACTGGGGTCTCCATAAGAAAAGAAGGAAGGCAGACACACACACACAGCTGAGAACAGTGATGAGAGGGGCAGAGATTGGAGCGATGTGTCTACCAGCCAAGGATCGACAGCTCCACTAGAAGCTGGATAGAAGCATGGGATGGATTCTCATCCCACGAAGAAACCAGTACTTCTGACACTGTTTCTTGTACTTCAACCCTCCAGAATTATGGAAGAATAGATTTCTGTTGTTTTAAGCCACCCCGTTTTGGTAATTTGTCACAGCAGCCCTAGAAAAGGAACAAAGATTTAGGGAAGGCATAGTGTTGATTGTTATTACGCCAGGGTAATTGCTCCTTTATTTATATTCATATAAAAAACTTAGTTTCAAAGGGTATTAAAAATAGAATAGTTCAGAAAATAACTTTCTCCAAATAGCTGATATTTAAATTACAGGCAACTGCATGGTCAGGTTACTGAAAGGACAATAAAATATAAGATTGCTAACTGCAAAAGAGACTGACTTTGCATCTGTAAATTACAAAAGAAAAAAATGACAGTTCCGTATAAACTTACCTTCTGTGTATCCCAGGACTCTGTAAATAGATCTCTTCTCTCTCTCCTTCTCCTTCTGGAATGCATATTCAATAAAGGATATAAAGATATGATATTCCAGTACTAATATTATTTCGAAGACTCTATACCTCACTGTACCCCTAGCCCACATGCACCTTCTAATATGTTGAAGTAGCTTTATGCACATTTATCCAAAATTCTGTTACCCTACAGTTTTTTTCATTTTCCCTGTCTTCTCCAAATTGCTCCCAGATGGTGAGGGCAACTAAATGGATATCTAACCACTGTGCATTAGTAATTAATCTCAGTGATTTTACTAAAGAATGATTTATAGTGACTTATTACATAAATGACTTATAGCTTTCTCCAAATAACCTCACATTTAAGACATTTTCCACAATTAAAATTTATTTTAAATGCCAGCAGTGTAACTTCTTGGATGACAATATAATGAAGCTTTATAAAATCTTTTGGGTGTTATTCTAAATCACTCGTATGGATTATTTTATTAAATCACTTATGTAGATTATTTTATTAAGATTTCATATAAACAGGTTTAGAAACTAAGGTGTGAAGAGGAAGAGTAACTTGTCCCAAATCACATGATCGGTTGGTGTAGTGCTGGAATTTAAATCCATCGCCCTCCCTCTTGACTATTAAGCTCTCCAACTTCTGGAATCACTTCGCCGTGACTGAAAGGACCATCTGCAACCACAGTATTCAATAAACGCTCCACAGTTCCAATGAAACCCATAAAAACCTAACCAGGGGAATCATAGAAGAGAAAATACCAGAGAAGAAGAAAAGAGGCTACTGTAACTGAATGCAAGAGCTGATATAACTGTATCCAACTATATAAAATAGTTATTATAGGGAGATGGTGACTCTTTTTATCTCCCTAAGGAAAAGATTCTTATTGAACAACAGACTCCTCTGTTAGATACAGAAGATACAGAAATGTAATGTTTTGGGAGTTCTCTTTAAGGTGAGGTTGTAATTCCTTTGTGAATATCTTGAAAATAAGATGGTCTTTCTCCAGGGAAAGGTTATGCAGGAAATGGATATTGACTCCAATTGTCTCTTCTAGTTGCTTTGAAATCCTCCTATCATGTCAATATAATCTTACCTTATTCTATGTGCATTTATTTTCTTATTTATTATTATTTTGACCAATTATTCATTTATTTGTTTATTCTATGTGTAAATTTACTATACACAAGGCATATGGCTAGGTGTTTTATATAAATTAGATCATTTACTCCTCAAAATAAATCTATGATATAGATGCTATTATTATCCTCATTTTAAAGATAAGGAAAAGATCTATGATCTTTGACCTTTTATTAAATTGTGGTTCACAAGGCTTGCTATCTCACAACGTGCAGTTAACGTTCCCAACCAGGCCCAAATGCACGCACATGCACATGCGCACACGTGCGCGTGCACGCACACACACACACACACACACAGACACACACATACACATTTAAATAAGCCTGGAGCATACAATGTGATGAAACAAAAGAGAACATGGAACTTAGAGTCAAATGATCTATGTTTAACTTGCACTCTGCAATTTACTAGCTGAGTTATTTATGTCTTTAAAGTTCAGTCCTCTCATCTGTATTATTAAAAAGTCAAAAAATATTAGATGCTGGCAAGGTTGTGGAGGAAAAAGAACACTTTTACGCTGTTGGTGGGAATGTAAATTAGTTCAGGCATTGTGGAAGACAGTGTGGTGATTCCTCAAAAACTTACAGACAGAAATACCATTTGACCCAGCAGCGCCATTACTGGGTATATGCCCAAAGGAATATAAATCATTCTACTATAAGACACATGCAAGCATGTGTTCATTGCAGCACTATTCATGATAGCAAAGACATGGAATCAACCTCAATACCCGTCAATGATAGACTGGATAAAGAAAATGTGGTACACATATACCATAGAACACTATACAGCCACAGAAAGAAATGAGATCATGTCCTTTGCAGGGACACGGATAGAGCTGGAGGCCATTATCCTTAGCAAACTCATGCAGGAACAGAAAACCAAATACCACATGTTCTCACCTATAAGTGGGAGCTAAATGATGAGAACACATGGACACATAGACGGGAACAACACACACTGGAGCCTACTGGAGGGCAGAGGGTGGGAGAAGGGAGAGGATCAGGAAAAATAACTATTGGGTATAAGGCTTAATACCTGGGTGATGCAATATGCTATACAACAAACCCCATGACACATGTTTGCCTATGTAACAAACCTGCACATCCTGCACATGTATCCCTGAACTTAAAATAAATGTTAAGAAAATAAAAATGAAAATAAAAAAATAAAGAGAGTAAACATATCACAATTGGATTTACGTTGACCAGCCATTCTGGTTTGCCTGGGACTAAGGAGTTTCCCAGGATGAGAGATTTTCTTTTTTTTCTTTTTTTTTTTTTTTTTTTGAGATGGAGTCTCGCTCTGTCACCCAGGCTGGGATGCAATGCTGCAATCTCAGCTCACTGCAACCTCCGCCTCCCGGGTTCAAGTGATTCTCCTGCCTCAGCCTCCTGAGTAGCTGGGATTACAGGCGCCCGCCACCATGCCTGGCTAATTTTTTTTTTATTTTTAGTAGAGATGGGGTTTCACCATGTTGGTCAGGCTGGTCTTGAACTCCTGACCTCATGATCTGCCCACCTCGGCCTCCCAAAGTGCTGGGATTACAGGCGTGAGCCATCGCACCCAGCCAAGAGATTTTCAATGCCAAAACCCAGAGAGCCCCGAAAACCAAGGTTCCCTATCCATTAATGCCAGTGTTCACAAGGAATGTAAAAATATATATCTAACATTTTTCTCCCTAAATATTAAATTTCTTCCTACACTCAGGTGCACATCTATAGAACACAGTTTGGCTCCCCCTTTTTTTTTTTTTTTTTTTTGAGACAGAGTCTTACTCTGTTACCCAGGCTGGAGTACAGTGGTGCAATCTTGGCTCACTGCAACCTCCATCTCCCGGGTTCAAGTGATTCTCCTGTCTCAGCCTCCTGAGTAGCTGAGACTACAGGCACCCACCACCACGCCCAGCCAATTTTTGCAGTTTTAGTAGAGATGGGGTTTCACCATGTTGGCCAGGCTGGTCTCGAACTCCTGACCTCAAATGATCCACCCACCTCATCCTCCCAAAGTGCTGGGATTACAGGCGTGAGCCACCATGCCTGGCCATATTTTGGCTCCTTTCACACTTGCCAATGTGAGGCTGTTTCCCTAGCCATGGTCACTTAGTCGTGTTACTGTTGCTATCTCTGCATGAAAACAGCACAAACCAGGAGCAGAGAAGCTGCCGCCAATCCCTCCAACACACAGGCTACCAGGCACTGAGTGTGAAGTATTCAGTTTTGTTCAGGGACACTGTCTGATTTATGTTGGCTTCTATCCAAGTCAATACATCTGAAGCTGCAGGATTATTTTAAACAGTCAGTAAAACGGAGTTCAGAAGGTCATTGTTGGAGCCCTTGGGTCATCTTTCGAAGCATTTCTATTGGAAGTAACAACCACAAACTGATACTAGTGACGAGGCAGAAGGAACAAGTGCTTTTCCCTTGTGGTGTGCATCCATGATTACAAATTCAAGTCCACTAATCTCCTTTTATCACATTTAACCAAGTGGGACAATGTATTCTACCGTTCAATTTAGCTATTCATGTAAAAGTAATGCATAATGCATTTTCATGAAGCAAAATTTTTCATGAAGCAAAATCTATCATGTCCAACATCTGTGACCCTGTGGAGGTTTGTCACCACTCGCTGTCTCTTAGTCACATTTGCCCGGTTCCCATGTGCTCCCTCTGCCATCTCTGCCCCCAGGATGTTTCCCATTGCCAAGGTGAAAAAGTGGAAGAGTCCGTGGTGCTACTAACACCTCGGTTCCTTACTTCAATTTGCTAATTTCTGTTCAGGGAAAGACTTAAGGGCAGTCCGTGATGGGGAAAAAGGTGAAATGACCTGACCTCCTGTTTTAGTTTAATTAGACAAATGTTTATTGAGCATTCATTATTTGGACAGATTAGTGCTAAATGCTACCAAATGCTAAAAAATGAATGAAACACAAACTCTGCCATTATGAATAGAAGGGATGGCAAGCATGAAAGTGATTAAAATACAAAGCAGGATGTGAGGAGTAGCAGAGACGTACACAATGATTCCAGATGGTGACATCATGTCTATTTGCAGGGACAGAGAACAGTACAGAGCTCACAGAGGGGACAGGTGTTTCACACCTTGAATGATACATAGGAATGCAGCCAAATGTGGGGAAACAGCACTTTGGTAGCAAACCAGATGGGGAGAGCAATGGGTGTGCTTCAGTTTCCACAAAATTTATCAACATCCGGGAGATTAAATAAAGTAGAAAGTATGAATAAAAATTAGGCTTCAGTCAGGGTTAATGACAGGGTTAATGAGTTTTAACATTATTCTGGTAGGAGTGGGAAGATAACCAAAGATATTGAACAGGAAGATGACATGCCAACCCAGCCTTCAGAAGAAGACCCAGGGAAACTGGATGGGTTAGAGAAAGAGGCTACAGCTGAGAGCAGGCTGGAGACGTTACCAAAACCAGGGAGCAGTGATGACAGCTGCTAAAGAGCCAGAGGTCAAGGATGAAGAGACAAGATGGAGAGACACTGGAAATCCTATTAACAAGGGGTGTGTGTGTGTGTGTGTGTGTGTGTGTGTGTGGTGCATTTGGTAACATTACTGAAGGAGAGGAGTGCAGATGGACATATTCACCTACCCAGCAAACATATATTAAGTATCTATGATATGCCAGACATGAAAAATATAGACATCAAAAGTGTGGTCCCTTCCTCCCCTAAGAAGATAACACTTTAGCTGTAATACATTATAAGGAATAATTTCAACCTGCTATGATTACAGCAGATATGTAACAAATACCTACACAAGTGAGCTGATAAGCACAGGAGAACTAGAAGGGGAAGAAAAACTCAGCCAAGAATATCCTAGAAAATTCCCAACTGTGCTACAATACAGTAAAAGGTTTTTTTAATTTTTAATTTTTGTTATTGACAGGGTCTTGCTATGTTGCCCAGGCTGGACTCGAACTCTTGGACTCAAGCAATCCTCCAGCCTCAGCCTCCTGAGTAGCTGGAACTTCAGGCACATATCACTGTGACCAGCCAATAAAAGATTAAAAAAAATTTAGTATAGGCCAAATGGCTCCCTGCTGTCTCTAAGGCAGCACCCTCCAATTCCTTCTTCTCAGTAATTTTAAGCACCTAGATTTCTTGGTTCTGAGAATATACAACTATTTGAAATTATGCTGTTTGCTTATTGGGATGTGAGCTTCATTATGTCTTGTTCACTGCTGTGCACAATAAATATTTGATGAATGAATAAATGAAGGCTTTATCACTGTTAAACCTTGTTCTTCCCCTTCTCAGAATCTGTATCCATCTCGCGCTGTGTCATACACGCACACACACCACCCCCTCGCTGTCAGCTTTTTCCTTGGAGGAGGAAGACAGGGCAGGATAAAGAGCAGAGGCATCAGGCAGAATATAAAAGGGGCAGACCACCAGCTTCTACCAATTCTTAAATGAACTATTCCAGCTCTCCCTGTAACATTACCACAGCTACTTCTCCTCCTTTGTGTTAGAACAGTACTCACAAAAATATATATGTGAATGCTGAGACAGCTTGACAAATTACTGGGTTATTAATAGAGAACCTCTAACATGGTGAATAAGATTCAGCATAAGTTGCACTACTCACCTGTTAAGGAAAATGACAATGATGGTGGTAATTGAGATAACAAACAACAACAATAAAACTGTCCCTCCAGCCACAAAGAGGGTATATTGGTTATCGGTTTTACCTAGGAGAGAAAAAAAATATTGTAGGAATTAGGAATTCAGCCAAAGGCAGTAAAAAGTAAGGCAGGAAAATAAAGAAAAGATACATTAATTATTGAGTAACAAAAACAAAGAATCCAACAAAAAAAATAGAATGAGTTACAGGAAAAAGAGAATTTTTCTTTTAGAGTCTCCTAAATATTTCTAACTCCTAATAGATTTTTATTTGTTTTTTGATTAAGCTGAGTTTTACACATTACAAAAAAAAAAAATATAAAGAGCATGCGTTTGCCAAAGACCTCATTCAAATAAGCTGCCAATCATATACACAAAACCTTTTGTAGAAAAAAAAAAACTATTAAAATAGGAAATAGGCCAGGTGTAGTGGCTCAGGCCTGTAATCACAGAGGTTTAGGAGAGGGGATCACTTGAGGCCAGGAGTTCAAGACCAGCATGGGCAACATGGTGAAACCCCGTCTCTACTAAAAACACAAAAAGTGATCCCAGTGTGGTGGTGCATGCCTATAATCCCAGCTACTCATTAGGCTGAGGCACGAGACTCATTTGAACCCCAGAGGCGGAGCTTGCAGTGAGCCCGGATCTTGCCACTGCACTCCAGCCTGGGCAACAGAGAGAGACTCTATGTAAAAATAAATAAAATAGTAAATAAACAAAGATTATCTTTTATGCCTGATATATTAAGTACATTCAACATACAACAGAATATAACTCTGATGTTTATAAGTATAATTTAAGAAAAATAGATATTTTCTATTCAATTTGGTAATGATACAAAAAATCAGAAAAAAAAAATGTTACTCCAACTCAATGTCTGAAAGTTTACCATGGTCCAGTAATCTGAAATTCTCATCCTAAATCTTTCACAATTCAACTGACCGACTCCAGCAAATTCCTTACTGTGGATGTGTCTCTTCATTTGTCAACTGATGGCAATGGCAGCAGCCCTAATTACATCACAGAATTGTGATGAGACTCTCATGAGTCAATATTCACAAGAACAATCAACTGCGATTAGAGAAATGTCCCCTCTGGAGTGTGAGCCCAGTGAGGTCAGAGAACATTTTATCTTTTTGTTACATCCTCCTGCCCACAACACACCTCTCACCCTTCAACCCACAGAGCATGTTGTGAGTGCCTCCCACAGGGAAGAATCCCATCAACATCTGCTGCTGGGAATAGGACTGAAATGAAACCCAATGGTCTTCATTGCTGTCTCTCTTCGGGAAAGCGAACCTGTCAATCACCCCACCATTAGGATGATGCCAGGCTCTGAGAGGGCAGCACAATTTCCCTTCCTCCTGAAATCAAAGCTTGAATGTTTGTACTGTGACACCCCGGCTGTCTGGAATCCTATTGCAGCCTGAAAACCATGACTTTCAACCAATTCTTCCCCATCTTTTCCTCAGAAAATTTCTTCTCACTTTATCCACTATGTAGCTGCATTTTTTTCATAAGAACTCAAAGTATAGACCCACTTATTCTTTCACAAACTTTACTGCAAAGAGAAACTAAGACAAATAAGCAAACATTTTATTTTTAAACGTTTTAGACCTAGATTCCACAAATAAGTGAAGTCATACAAAATTTTTTCTTTTTGTGTCTGGCTTATTTCACTTTTCATAATGTCCTCAAGGTTTATCCACCCTGTCACACATGATATGATTTCCTTCTTTTTTAAAGGGTTAATAGTACTACATTGTGTCTATGTACCACATTTTCTTTATCTATTCATCTGTTGATGGACACCTAGGTTGCATCCACATCTTGACTACTGTAGACAATGATGCAATACATACACGGTGCAGGTATTTCTTCAAGATACTGACCTCATTTCCTTTGTATATAATACCCATCAGATTGCTGGTTCATATGATAGCTTTATTTATTTTATTTTAATTTTATTTTATTTTTGGGACAGAGTTTCACTCTTGTCACCCAGGCTGGAGTGCAGTGGCACAATCTCAGCTCGCTGCAAGCTCCACTTCCCAGGTTCAAGCAATTCTCCTGCCTCAGCCTCCAAGTAGCTGGGATTACAGGCACCTGCCACCACACCCAGCTAATTTTTGTATTTTTAGTAGAGATGGGGTTTCACCCTGTTGGCCAGGCTGGTCTCGAACTCCTGACCTCAGGTGATCCATCTGCCTTGGCCTCCCAAAGTGCTGGGATTACAGGCATGAGCCACCGCACCTGGCCTATTTTTAATTTCTTGAGGAACCTACTACCTGTACCAATAACGAGTGTACCCATTTACATTCCCGCCAACAGTGTACAAGGGTTGCCTTTTCTCCACATCCTCACCAACACTTGCTATCTCTTGCCTTTTTGATAACAGCCATTCTAATAGGTGTGAGGTGAGAGCTCACTGGGGTTTTGATTTGCATTTCCCTGATGACCAGTAATGTTGAGCAGCTTTCCATATACCTATTGGCCAGTGTTATGTCTTCTTTGGAAAGATGTCTGTTTTTGCCCACTTTTTAATTGGGTTGCTCTTTTGCTGTGAAATCCTGCCATTTGCGACAGCATGGATGAATTTGGAGGACATTATGTAAGTGAAATAAGCCAGACATAGAAAGACAAATACTGTATAATCTCACCTGTATGTGGAATCTAAAAAAGTCAAACTTATAGAAGCAGGGAATAGAACAGTGGTTGCCAGGAGGTGGGAGGGCAGAAGATAGGGAGACGCTGGCTAAAGGGTACCAACTTTTGGTTATAATGGGGACCTACTATACAGTATGGATGGTGATACATGAGTTAATTAATTGTGGTGATTACTACACCATGTTTATATACATCAAATAATCACACTGTATGCCCTGAATATATTCAATCTTTATTTGACAGTTAATTATTTAAAAAAAAATTTAAAGCAATTGTTTTCTTTGGGCTTTTTTATATTTTCCAAATTTTCTAGACGATGTGTTCATTTTGTGATCAGGCAAATACAGTACCAAAAAAATAAAGATCTGCAGGCTTAAAAAAGAATATTTTATCAAATCTTAGTGGTTAAAGTACAGGATGTAGAAATCTTTTCTTTAGAAATAGAATACTTAACAATTAAGATGGCTTTCTTTATGAAGGTCTAATTTATATGAATTTAACAGTATAACCTGCTTGAAAGTACGACCACTTGTGACACACTGTTCAATTATAAATCCAAATTTCAGATGCATTGTTTCATAGGAAATATGTTACCTATTTGTAACCCGTTTTTAGTAATGTTTGGCCTCTTGGATCAGATCCATTTATTCACTCAGTCTTTAAACACAAAGTATTTCAAGGTGTACTGTATGCCTGGTACTACAGACAAAGTGGTAGGTAAAAACAAGTTTGACACCTGTGTAGAAAAAAAACTCTCCAATTGTGTTTTTTCTCTGCTCTCACACTACCACAGCAATCGTCAACAGACTTCTGTGACCAAAGGTGTGGGTGGTTTTCCCCCACAGTAACAGGCACCAGCTGAGTGTCCGCCAATTCAATTCTGACATGATCTACCCAAGGACAGTATCAGATCCCACAGGCTGGGGGCTCAGTCCCAAAGACATCTCACCCCCTCCTCCATTGCTAACCCTGCCCTTCAGACACCAATTGCAAGTCCAGGCCTCTAGAACTTTTTTTTTTTTTTTTTTTTTTTTTTGAGACGGAGTCTCGCTCTGTCACCCAGGCTGGAGTACAATGGCAGGATCTCGGCTCGCTGCAATCTCCGCCTCCCAGGTTCAAGTGATTCTCCTGCCTCAGCCTCCTGAGTAGCTGGGATTACAGGCACCCGCCACTACGTCCAGCTAATTTTTGTATTTTTAGTAGAGACGGGGTTTCACCATGTTAGTCAGGCTGGTCTCGAACTCCTCACCTAAGGTGATCCGCCCTCCTCGGCCTCCCAAAGTGCTGGGATTGCAGGCGTGAGCCACCGTGCCCAGTCCCAGGCCTCTAGAACTTCGGACCAATGGGCCTCAAGCTGGGGTTCCCAAGACCCCTTTTTCAGGTTTGGTTAATCTGGTGGAGCCAGTTATAGAGCTCAAGAAAACACATTTGTCAGTTTAATATCAAGGATATTGCAAGGGATACAGATGAAGAGATTGGTAGGGTGAGGCATGTGTAAAGGGGCACAGAGTTCCCATGCCCTCCCTGTCCACATCACCCTCCAGGAGGCTCCACATGTTCAGCTGTCCAGAAACTCTCCAAACCCCATCCTCTTGGATTTTTATGGAGGCTTCATTACGTAGGTATGACTGACAACCTTGTAGAAATGGGACTGGGCAAAAAGCATATCATCTAAACCCAGCAAGTCCTGTCCAGACTTTAGATATGGGGTGGGATCCTCTCTGGAATGAGGGTCTTTTGACCCACATTCAGATTAGAGTCTTACCTTGGTCAGGAGAAAGGACAGGAGAAGGTCAGAGAGAACTTCTGTTTCCTGAGGCCTGAAGTGCCCCAACATTATAACAAGGACCATGTGAATTTTGAGCCAGGACCCGTGGATGAAAACCTATAGATCTGCATATCCTAATACCACAATACCTGATTTAGTGGAACATATATTGTTTTGAAAAGTCCTAGACAATTTAAAAATAGTTAGGGAAAAAGGATTTTTTCTTAAGAAATAAAGGTGAAATAAAGCATGGAGTCAGGTAGAGATTCAATCCAGAGACATTTCAATCTAGAGTGGCCCAGCCTGTAGCTGACATGGCTTCTCAGTCCATTCCCTGCCTTGCCTGCAGCTTCCACATGAATGACCACTGGCCTATACAGGGCTTGCACCTTGCTGGGCCCTGTATGGCTGGGGAAAATAAAAAGGAAAAGCAAATGGGTACGGATGCTTTGGGAGTTAATCAACAGTTCATAACATTTAGTTTTTTAAGTTTTGCTAATAGATGTCAGATTGAGTAATGTCAGCCCTGAAGCCCTTTTCTTTAAAAAGGAAGCCCTTTTCTTTAAAAAAGAAGAATTGTTTCCAGAAGCCATTTTTTTGCTAACTTTTTTCACTTATATCCCAATGCTGTGTTGATTCATAGGAGGAGAAGTGTCTTGAACTGTAAAACCATTACCTTACATCACAGAAGATAAATACAGTTAAAACAATTTAAAGCAAGTCAGTGAAATATATAAAAGAATAATTTACTCCAGGATTGTGACCCTCTAGGCTAAGTTTCTGGCAATGACAAGTATTTATGGCTGAGTTATACACTCTTAGAAAAGGCTCATGATAGAAATATTGCCAGTCCCTTCTTCCCTCAGAGTTCGGCAGGCAAGAGTGGCCATTAATGTCTATAGTTTATCCTCTATTAGGGTGGGGGTGGAGTTAGGGAGTGAAGAAAGCAAGTCACTTAGAACCTAAATAACTGGGCCAAAGAATATGCCAGGGAAAACCCGCAGGTCCTGACTCTCTAACATCAAGCGTTAGGCTGGAAACTGCAAATTAAAACCACAATGAGAGACCACCTCACACCTTTTTGAATGGCTTTTCTCAAAAAGATGAAAGAAAACATGTGGTTTTCGCCGCCATCATGGTGTGTGTGGTTGACTCCATTCCTCACCATGTCTTCTCCCAAGACTTTCAGGGTCAAGCAATTCCTGGTCAAGAAACAAAAGCAAAATCATCCCATTTTATCGGGGGAACCTGCCCCTGATAATTCAATGTAGGTTCTTTTCTATTTTCCCTAAGTGTTGGCCAGTCTGAGAAATAAAGGGAAAGAGTACAAAAGACAGAAATTTTAAAGCTGGGTGTCTAGGGGAGACATCACATGTTGGCAGGTTCCGTGATGCCTCCTGAGCCGTAAAACCAGCAAGTTTTTATTAGCAATTTTCAAAGGGGAGGGAGTGTATGAATAGGGTGTGGGTCACAGAGATCACATGCTTCAAGGGCAACAAAAGATCACAAGGCAAATGGAGGCAGAGCGAGATCACAGGATGGGGTGAAATTAAAATTGCTAATGAAGTTTCAGGAACACACTGTCACTGATAAACATCTTAACAGGGTTCAAGAGCAGAGAACCAGTCTGACTAGAATTCGCCAGGCTGGAATTTCCTAATCCTAGCAAGCCTGGGGGTGCTGCAGGAGGCCAGGGCATGTTTCATCCCTTATCTGCAACTGCATAAGGCAGACACCCCCCGCTGAGAGGCCATTATAGAGGGCTCTCCTCCCCCCAGGAAAGCATTCTTTTCCCAGGGCTGTGAATTATTAATATTCCTTACTGGGGAAGGAATTCAGCGATATTTCTCTTACCCATTTTCGATAATAAGAGAAATATGGCTCTGTCCTGACTGGCCTACAGGCAGCCAGACTTTAAGGTTATCTCCCTTGTTCTCTGAAAATCACAGTTATCCTGTTCTTAAGGTGCCCAGATTTCATATTGTTCAAACATACATGCTTTACAAACAATTTGTGCAGTTAACACAACCATCACAGGGTCCTGAGGTGACATACATCCTCAGCTTACGAAGATGACGGGATTAAGAGATTAAAGTAAAGACAAGCATAGGAAATCACAAGAGTATTGACTGGGGAAGTGATAAATGTCCATGAAATCTTCACAATTTAAATTCTTCTGCCATGGCTTCAGCCAGTCCCTCCGTTCAGGTTCCCTGACTTCCCACAGCACCATTTCCCAGTGGATTCAGATGACAGCTGGTAATACAACCAGTTACAGCTCCAAAACGGAGCCACTGAAGAAGAACCAAGCTGGGTTTATACGGAATTGTACGTGAGATGGCACACAGGTTTACGCTGTGTCAAAGTCATGATCATGTCACCATATCGATCTGTGAATGTCACCACTATCTGGACAGTCGAACATGTTTTATTGGGAATATGTTTTTTCTCTTTGTTTATATGCTCTGCACTAGTAGGTAGGTTCAGTAATAAATATGTGAGAACTTTTGTTTCAGTAAAAGAAGAAAGAAAGAAAGGAGAGAGAGAGAGAAAGAGGAAAGGAATGGAAGGGAAGGAAAGCGGGGGAGGAAGGCAGGCAGGCAGGCAGGGAGGAGAAAGAAAGAGAAAGGAAGTAAGGAAGGCGGAAAGAAGGAAGGGGAGGGAAGGGAAGGGAAGGGAAAGGAAGAGAAGAGAAAGAAAGAAAGAAAAAGAAAGAGAGAAAGAAAGAAAGAAAGAAAGAAAGAAAGGAAGGAAGGAAGGAAGGAAGGGGAAAGAAAGAAAGAAGGAGGGAAGGAAAGGGGAGAAAGAAGAAAGAGTTGGCAAGGGTATGGAGAAGAGAGAACCCTCGCACACTGTTGAAAGACAAATACCACATAATCTCACTTAAATATGGAACCTAAAAAAATTAATGTCTTAGAAGTAGAAAGTAGAATGATGGTTACCAGAGGCTGTGCAAGAGAATGGGGAGGGAGATAATGGGAGTTGTTGGTCAAAGAGTACAAAATTTCAGATACACGAGGGGAATAAGTCTTAAGATTTCTTTTTTTTTTTTTTTTGAGACAGAGTCTCGTTTTGTCACCCAGGCTGGAGTGCAGTGGCACGATCTCGGCTCACTGCAACCTCCGCCTCCTGGGTTCAAGCGATTCTCCTGCCTCAGCCCCCTGAGTAGCTGGGACTACAGGCGCCCGCCACAATGCCCAGCTAATTTTTATATTTTAGTAGAGATGGGGTTTCACCATGTTGGCCATGCTGGTCTCGAACTCCTGACCTCGAGGGATCCACCTGCCTCGGTCTCCTAAAGTGCTGGAATTACAGGCGTGAGCCACAGCACCCAGCCAAGTTTTAAGATTTATCATACAGCAGAGTCTCTATAGTCAATAATAATGTATACTTCAAAGTGACTGAGTAAATTTCAAATATCTCACAGTAGAAATCATAGGTAAATGAAGTGGTGGATATGTTAATTGGCTTGATTTAATCACTCTACATTGTATACATATGTCAAAATATCACAGCGTACCCCCAAAATATGCACAAATATTATTTGTCAACTAAAATAAAATTAACTTTTTTTAGATTTTAAGAAAATAAACTGAAATATTAGACCTTGTTTTGTGTACAGATGGACCATAATGAGTGAGTTCACACAGAGCAGATGTGGGTGAGCTGACAGATTCTGCATTATCAGGTCATACAAAGTTTTGACCTTCTATATAATGTAAACAAATATTCAACCTTTGTCCCACTTTAGACATTGGTTTATTGAAAACAGAGACTGAGGAGAAAAGCCTTGGGGCCTAGTCCTGTCTTCTAATTCTTTCCCCTGGAAGACTTCACATAGGACACTTAATGTTTTAAACAGTTTTTTTTGGCAACTGCATAATGATGATAAAATTAACCACAAGGGTAGCTATGAGATTTAAATCAAGCATGCAGAGGTGGTTTCAACATTTTAAGCGCCAAACGATTTAGGTTATTAATCATGCATATTTAATATGCATTTATATTTTACGTAGACACATTCCAAATGAGGGTTAATCAGATAACTTGTTTCTATTTTTTTCATGTTGAGATGTCACATTGAAGTAGTCGTGTACAGCAGAGCATGCTTGCTCCTGCAGCTAGACTCGCCTTCCTGGGGAAAGGCACAGGTACTGTTGGTAAACATCTATACAATAACTGTTGCCTTGGCAGACCACCGGAAATAATAGTAGCACAAAGTGTGTTGAACTTTCCTGTATGCCTGAAATACGCATCACGTGGATATTGGTATGGTAATATTATTCCAAGTTTTCAAAGGTCAACTTTCTTTGTCCAGATAAATCAGTTTTATACTCTGTATTTCAGAAACCTTTCTGTGTTTTATAGCTAGAAGGTCCTAGAGTGTAAATTATTTTCAGAGAATTAAAGGGCCATGGCTTCAACCTCTAATCCTTCTTCTGAGTAAATAGCAACTACTTTTCCTCAAAATAAAAGTATTATCAGGTTTTAACTAAGAAACATAAGGCCCAGAGAATCTAAATAATTTTTCTGTCATTATAGAGCAAACCAGTGAGGGAAGCAAGCTTCCTAGCTGATGTAGAAATTTTGCTACAATTTGCCTCTCTTGATGGCAAATTATAGCAAAATTAGTATATCAGGTGGGAAACTTTCTTTATGTTGAAAATACTTGTCCCAAATAGTTTAAACACTTTAAAGGTTTATGTCAGTTGAGAAACATATACCCTAAGATAGCTTGTGTGTACGTTTTACCTACACAATATAGAATGACTGTATTAGCTACTTCTTCTGGTGCGATAATGTAGCATCATTCAGTACTGTGGGCCATAAGTTCTCCACAGTGATTGGTGTATGGCAAGGATATTTAAGTGAGCACATGAGGACAAAGAGATGGGAACATCTTCAAATTGACACATTTATTGAGAAAAATGTTACGGCTGACTCCTTTGTATTAGATATCTCATATTTTTACCCAAATATTTCTGAGTCTTATACTTCTTGCACATTTACCTCAATTTTTATGAACATATTATTTAAAGAGACTATATAGATGCTTCAAAAGTCAGAATGTCAAGAGCTGCACATACCTTTCTCACTGTCTTAGTGAATTAGTGTGCAGAAAAGAGTTCATGTAGCAGGCTTGGATTCTGGGTGATCCTCCTGCCTCAGCCTCCCAAGTAGCTGGGACCACAGGCACATGCCACCAGGCCCAGCTAACATTTTTTTAAATTGTTTGTAGAGACAAGATCTCGCTATGTTGCTCAGGCTGGGGTTGAACTCTAGACCTCAAGCAGTCCTACTGAAATGGCCTCCCAAAGCATTGGGATTACAGGCAGGAGCCACCACGCCTGGCTCCAAGGGATTATTATGGACACTTGACTCTGAGTCAAAGCCTAGCCAAGACTGTTTCTGTTTAGCTTTATTTCTAGTGCTTTTGTGTTCATGTCTGTAGACATGTCTTGATTGAAATCAGGAATTAGAAATTAAATGCCAAGTCCATAAAAAAGAAGATGAAGTAGATGCAACAAGTTCTCTGCTTGGATAAGCATAGCAGTGAGACTGTCATAGATACTGTCACCTTTGACTCATAAAGTGTCTCTTGGGAATCTGGCTTCCTGTCATAACAGAAGTTATTTTTTAACTTTAACTTTAAAACCGTTGTTTTTTATAACAATAAAAAAAACCTAGAAAAATGGCAAAAAATAGACTATGGAATATTGAGGAAAACAAACGAGGTAGGTGATGCTTTGTAGTGAGCGAGGGGACCAAATTCAAACAAACAAACATACAAGAGTATAATGGCACAAGGTAATTTAAAGCGGGGATTAACCATCTTGCTTCTCATTATATCCCACCACATAGAGCAAAGCGCAAGACTTGGTGCTCAGAGGACACCAGGACAGCCACAGGATGGTTATATCTATTGTCCTCTGTTTAGTAAGGCAAAGAAACATGCTATCCAGCTTCGAATTCTTTCCATCTAAAAATGATAATTTAAAAACTTGGTACATAAAAGGAATAAGCTTTACTAAACTTAGAAGATGTATGTATATAAGACATGTCATTACTTATTGCCTACAGAAATAAGGCCTATTGTATATGCAAACTGTGTTTCAAATAAAACTAGTATGAGAATGTATATGTTCTTATAACAATAGAAATATCATCTTAAAATGAGCCATCAGTATTAAAAGGCAACCAACACACTATTTCACGGTTGTGTTCAGGGTGCCCCCTCCCCAGGATCTGGGATTTGCTGGAAGGACACACAGCTTTCAGCCTGTACCCACGTCACAGCTCAGGTTTATGACAGCAGAAGGATCCAAAGCAAATCAGCAAAGGGATAAACTGCCTGGGCAAAGTCAGAAGGACTGGCTGATGTCCCTGAAGAAAAGCAGGTGTTTAGCATAAACCACATGGGTTGTATAAACATTTAGACAGAATAAGCCACCCCAGCAGTCAGAGAATTGTTGAAAGCCTCCAAAAATCCAAGTTCTCACATGCCCACAGAGAGCCAACCTTGCAGGCAGGCCGTCCTAAGGACTGTAGTCCCAGGCCTGGATGACAGAGCAAGACCCTGTCTCTAAAACAAAACAATACAAATGACCACATGGAGCCTTGTGGAATATCACCCTGATTCCTAGGCCTGGGAACAAGTCCCAGGAATCCATGTCTTTCAGCAAGCATACCAGATGATCCTGATGTTGGTGTTCCACAGAATGGCATTGAGAAACACTGCTCTACTCTAGAAAGCACCTTCCAGGGGAGCTCCAGCTGCTGAGCCCCAGTCTGCCAGTGGATTTCTCCTCCCTCCTTTCTTAGGGTATTGACTTTAGAAAACTTGTAATTGGCAGTTCTGTCTCTGTCTCTTTGAAAGACATGCACATCTTTTTAACGGCCAGATAAGTCTTTTGTCAGCTTTTGATGGAGAAATGTCTTTCTCGAGGACCTGGGAGCCATCCCTTTGAAATGTAACCATCAAGGAAGACAGCACCCTTACCTCCCAATTTCTGAGAGGGTAGAAAACTACCACAAGCACCTCACTCAAGGTGCAAAAGTACCTCCTGTCATAAAGATGTGAGAAGTTTGTTTTTCCTTTGGATAAAGCCAATTATTAGCTAACACACACAGTCATCCCCAATTACCAGTTGAATCTAGGATGAAGCATGTGTGACAAATGTCTGACAAGCCCTCTTACTTGAAGACTAGTTATCATTCATCTTTAGAGCATGTATGTAATGGGTTGTATCTACTTGGCTGTATGAGAGAGTGAGATTTCTTTGTCTTTGCAGTCTCTTAGGAGGTTGCCTGTGACATGCATTACATTCTGATTTAGTGCTTATTCAATAACAAAATTATTTTGTTTTCTACCTTTGTGGAGCAGTTTTCTGGGTAGGGAGGAGATTTTGTTTCTAATTATATTTCTCCGGCACACTTTTATTATTACTGTTGTTTAATCAGGTATAACTCTACATTACAGTGCTACCATTATGCTTATCCTCAGGAAATAGGAAATTTTTCAAATGTTGTAGTGAAATCAAGATAAACAACCTGGTGTCTGCAGGTTGCAACAGGACACACAATAGGCATACCATACCATTTAAATATATTATGTATTTAGCTGTACAATATAAACTACATAAACATGAGAGAACATAAGTGTTCAGAATGTTTTAATATGGAAAATAAACTTTTGTTTTTGGAAGGGAGATTTTAGAGGTGAAGCCCTCACTGTCCCTAAGGAAGGAGGGACTAGTATTCTGATTACTCCAGCTCTGGTTTCAAGAAGCCATTACGGTCTGGGCACAAGAGCAAGAGAGCAGGATTTGACAGGAAGAGAAGAAGGGAGAAGCCTCAGAAGGAGGAAGGAAGGGCGTGCTTGGGAACTTTTAGCAGATTCCTGGAAAGCTGTTCAAGGGAGTGGACTTTCCCACACAGGAAGCGTCCAGTGGGTGGATCTGGTGAGGCCATGAGAACAGGTGCTTTGTAGTGGCCAGAAGCTGTGCCTATGAGACCTGAGCCATCACCAGGTCTCCTTTGCGCAGAGGCTACTCCTAAAGTTCCCCTAATCTGTTCCTGGTGTGGATTTGACTTCACCAGCAACCAGCACCTCCCCTCCAGGCCTTCACACCTGCTACCTGATTGTGCCTGTCCCTCATGGCACTGTGTGGACAGCCTGCCTCACGTGACTCCATGATGTGCACAAGCCCCTAGAAGGAAGACAGGAAGGAAGGGGAGAAGGTCCCCTCATAGCATTGGCGTCAGCGAAGGATCCCGAGCTGAAATAAAGTAGCGGGAGACCACGAACCACCCCCGCTCCCCGACTCCTTTGCCTAAACTTGCTCTAGACATTGGTTCAGCCTGAAACCTATCACTTGTATAAACCTCTTGAAGAAGGACGCTCTGTAGCTCCACCGTCACCAGCTTCTGTTGTGATGAGTCTCCTGATGAGAGTAGTTTTTCTCTTCCACTTTGAGCAGAAAAGTAGTGCTGGGGCCAAGAATAGGAACTCTGAAGCCAGTCAGCCCGCATCTGAATCCCTGCCCCTCTATTTATTAGTTACCAAGCCTGAGATAAGTCCCGTCAACTCTCCATACCTCACTTTCCACAGACGTCAAACGTGGGCAGTCAGGCTGCTGTGACAAGTAAATCAGTAACTACGAGTAAATTCTCAGAACAGCCACTGGCACACATAGAAACATGGTATGTGTGTTTATCATATAGCGACCAAGACAAAGCCCTGTGACACGTAATTCTTAGAACAGCTACTTATAACTCTTTCCTTGGGTCCTTAGAAAACTTCAAAATGTGACCAGGTGCAGTGGCTCACGTCTGCAATCCCGGCACTTTGGAAGGCCGAGGTGGGTGGATCACCTGAGGTCAGGACTTCGAGACCAGCTTGACCAATGTGGTGAAACCCCGTCTCTTCTAAAAATACAAAAATTAGCTGGGCATGGTGGCAGGTGCCTGTAATCCCAGCTGCTTGGGAGGCTGAGGCAGAAGAATCGCTTGAACCCAGGAGGAGGAGGTTGCAGTGAGCCGAGATCGTGCCATTGCACTCCAGCCTGGGCAACAGAGTGAGAACCTGTCTCAAAAAAAAAATAAAAATAAAAATAAAAGTAAAAATAATTTTTTAAAAAAAGGAAACTTGAAAATGCAAACCATATAGCATTTACAAAGACTTATATCTAAAGGTGTTATAAATGTTGTACAGATCTTTTCAGAATATGAAATTCAGCAAGCCTTAGGCTGAATACCTCCAAATAGACTATCCAATTTTAAACCATTTTATGAAAAAAATTCCCTAAGTGCTCTACAAAACATGAAAGCCTATGCCTGGCTATAAGAAATAATAACTAGGAATAATTTCAAAATCTGCTGCTTTATGCTCTAGAGTTTAATAACCCATCTCATCTCTCTTTTTTAAAAAGAGCCAATAATTTAAAAATGAATTATATGATTAGATTTCAAAACTGATACCTTTATCTGCTGGATCAGGAAGAGAAAATAGTCAATATAAAAGCAAAATGACTTGTTTGGATTAAAATATTTGGGATTTGGCATGTGTGCATATGGTAAGTGTGGTTATAAAGTTGCCCACACAATCGTGTGTATTTGTTGAGTGTTTACCATACGGCAGGTTGAAAAATAAACTTGTTACTCCTCCTAACAAATATTCATAGATATCTCAGTTCATACACCTACACATACACACACACACACACACACAAATTAAAAGAGTGAATAATCAATCCTAATGCTCCACATAAGATGTGAAAAACTGAAGACACAGTGACATCAGGATAACTATACTTGGTGAGCCTGTATTTTTCTGTATAAACTTCCCTCCCATGGGTTCATTTACACATTGCGTCCCACAGAAAATACCCCACCCTTTGTTAATGAAATCTTCTCAACTCAGCATCTACTTTTTATTTTACCCGTGTCCATCATCATCACAATAAGGTTTTTTTTATTGTTTCACTCACTGTCCAACATAGCTAAAGCCATTTTCACTTTCCACCAATCCAACTGAGAGTATTAACATTTCAACTTGATACTTGTGAAAGACTCTCTCCCTGTGAGTTAATTAATTAAAATGCCACTCATATCTAAAGGATTGTGAACACCATGGCCTACCTTTGAGTTCTACCAAAGTTAAAAACATTGAATTAATCCTGGAAATGAATTTTAGAGTGCTCAATGAAGATTGCAAAATATTTATTTTATAAAAGTTGCACCAAAAAAACTTATATTCCTGTTGAATAAATGTATTTTTAAAATCCCTGAATCATTTTAGTATAAATAATAGCTTAAAGATAGAAATTGGGGTTCAAAGATATACTTCTACTTATGACAGATCTGTTTATTCTTCATTTTCCGTCCTCTTAAACAACATAGTCCTCCAGAAACCTAGTACATCGCCTTTGAATATTTATCAGGATCCATGTCAATAATGTTTGAAATACTTCAGATGAAGTTCAAAGTAATCGACTGATTGAGTTGTAATACTTAAATTAGAATTTCTATTAAGAATGAAATGCTATTAATCTTATAAGAATAACTTATTTTACATTTTAAGTAATTTTCTACTTGCTTTTGGAGAAATCTTTGATCAATCATTTATGTTCAGTTTTTAATAAGGCTCTAAGAGACAACCTCAAGCTGTTAACAATTCCCAGGTGCTTTTAGAATGTAAATTCCATATACGACAATAAAGTATAAATGGTTATTTCACAGTCAGAGTCATTTGAAAGGTCTCAAATAAATGTAGCCATGCACTGACTATTTTTTTCCTTTCTCTTTTTTTTTTTTTTTTTTTGGAGACAGGTTCTGGCTCTGTTGCCCAGGCTGCAGTGCAATGGTGCAGTCATAGCTCACTGCAGCCACTAATTCTTGGGCTCAAGGACTCCTACCGCCTCAGCCTCCCAAAGCACCATGTGTGAATTTTAAGTAGGAAGAAAATCAGTACATTTGTCTGAATGTGAATCCTGACTTGTAGTCTAAGTTCCCAGGGAGAGAAAAACTTTATGAAAAGAGTTGAAAATTCAATCAGAAGATAAAGGTCCACCTGTAGAACAGCAGTTCCTAGGATCAACTGCTTTCTAATTCTACAAACTTGCATTGTTTATAGTGGTGTTCTGTTAGAACTTGCTTTATGTACATGAGGTAGCAATGTACAGTCAACAATGTTCTTCAATATAATAGTGTCATCAGATAAATTCAGCATGTAACCTTTTAGAGTTTCATTCCCTCTGACAATAACTTATCACTATTATTCAATATCTTACTTATCTATACAATAATAGTATGTATAAAAAATGACTGCAGGCAAACATTCTAGGTTTTTGTGTGTTCAAAAAATGAATAGATCAATACTAGGGCTTACAAAACAAATTAACTGACCGGTTGCATTTTTTTGAATGCAATAGATCATTAAAAAAAATGATCTGGGCAGAGGCAACAGTAAAGTAAAGATTCAACCACATAATAGCCATGATTGAGTAATCAACTCACTTGTGATGCTGGAAACTATGTTTCATCTGGATACCCAGTTTCACCGAGAAAACTAAATTGGGCTGAAAATTGTGGTTGATCTGTTTGAGTAGAGGTTATTTTAGCTTGTGAGCAGTGACACGGTGCTCTGGGATTCTGGTCGTGTTGCTCCATCATATAAATTAACTGTCATGGACATTTTACTTTCCATGTAGGTAAAGATAATAAAAGGCTGAGGTTCACCACACAATGTCATGGAAAGGGACATATCTGTCAGCCCAGTGCACACCAGTTCAGACAATCCTCATGTCCACAAGCTTTATATCTATTCTAAATTCATAGGAGTGGGACAGAAGGTTCTGGATTAATGGAATCCTTAAAAAAAAAAAAAAACTGTCTTGTCTACAACCTGAAACTCTTCTGGAATCCAAATGGACTGGGAGCAAACTGGTTGGTTTTTGACAGAAATAAAAGGCCAAGGAAATAAGCAAAATTTATTTCCTTTCTTCAATAATTTTATAATCCAACTCAGGAGCACAGAGTCTCAAAGTCAGTAACCTCCCACAAGCCATCTACAGGCAAGATTTATAATCTGTATAAATAAGATGTATCATCTATATACGGATGTATTTATAACTTACAGCACTCTATTCCCCTGTCCTTCCTCCTTGTCAATCCTATACCTCACATCGTCCCAGAGGAAATATCTGGGAAGATTCTCTTAGCTGTGGCACTATGATTTCCTAGTGAATAGTTTTGTAATCTTAATTTACTAATCCCATCCTTCTATTCAGATGACCAGCAATTATGTGCCACTTATATTAAAAATTCAAAATAAGAAAATGAAAGTTAAAAAAGTAAATAGCCCTATCTGAAAGTTATATATGTAAACAAGAGTTCATGAAAGTTTTTTCTCCAATCACTGTAGTTGATCTTTTGAAAGTTCAGTTTCTTTGATCAACAATCAGTAAACCTCAAAGGTTAAACGTTGAAGAAAAAAAATCTGGAAAGAAAAGAGGTAGAAAACTTAAAATTAAAATGGACACAGCCCCTACTAGAATGAATAGAAACATTAACATAATCGGTCAAGAACACTTACTGGGCATATTCTGAAAAGATGCTTTGACAACTTTAAGCAGATGCCATAATCCTTAATCTCAATTAATTTCTGATAACCAGAGTTTGGAACATTACAAATAGATGCAGGCCAGGTGTGGTGGTTCACACTACCAATCCCAGCACTTTAGGAGGCTGAGGCAGGGGATTGCTTGAGCCCAGGACCATCCTTGAAACCCCATCTCTACCAAAAATACAAAAATTAGCCAGTCTCATAACCCGGTCTCAAAAAATAAATAAATAAATAAATACAAATAGATGGAAGTTAATAAGTCACTCGAGGGTAGCAATTTTCAGACTATAAAAGTTTGAGAAATCCAAGATGCTTAATATTTCAATGATGGGGAAGCAGTTTGGTCTGATGTGGAAAAAAACATAGACATTGAGACGGCTGAAACTCTATAGGAAAGAAAGCAAATGTGATGGAAACTTAGTCAGTTAGAAAAAGGAGAAAGTAGGAAAGTGTGAGTGTTTTGAGGCAGTGGAAAGCACAAACTGAGATTCAAATCATGCTGACAGTATCTCTCTACCCTGTGTAGGACACCTTTGTGCCTACAAAGGTAGGTGGATCAGTGGCCTATGACCCATCACTGATCCCAGGACCAGGTGGCTTCACAGATGAATTCTATCAAACATTCTAGGAATTAATGCCAATCCTGAGTTTAGAAACAGTTCTACATTATCATGTGTAATCAATAAATGATTTAATTCTTTTTTAAAAAAAGAAGCAGTTCTAAACTCAGTTTATGAGACCAGCATCACCCTGATACCAAAACCAGACAAAGACACCACAAAAAAAAAAAAAAAACCTACAGGCTGACATCCCTAATGAACACAGATGAAAAAATCCTCAACAAAATACTAGCAAACTAAATTCACCATCACATTAAATGGATTGTATATTCTAATCAATTCTGATTTATCCCTGGCATGCAAAGATGGTTCAACATATGTAAATCAATCAATGTAATACACCACATTAACAAAGTGATATAAAAAGGCCACATGATCATCAAAATAGAGCATAAAAAGCATTTGACAAATTCAACATCCTTGTGTGATTAAAAAAAAAAAACTCTCAACAAATTAGGTACAGAAAGAATTTACCCCAACACAATAAAGGCCATCTATGAAAAGCCCACAGCTAACATCATACCAAGTCATGTAAGACTGAGAACTTTTGCTCTAAGATCAGGAAAAAGACAAAGGTGGCCACTTTCAACACCTCTGCTTAACATAGTACAAGAAGTCTTAATCAGAGCCATTAAACAAGAAAAAGAAAACAAAAGGCATTCAAATCAGAAAGGAAGAAGTAATATTATCTCTGTTTGCCGATGACATAATCATATATGTATAAAACCCTAAAAGTGCCACAAAAAAACCTGTTCAAACTAATAAATGAATTCAGTTAAGAGGCAGGATACAAAAATCAACATATAAAATATCAGTCAGGTTTCTGTACACAAACAGCAAACTATCCAAAAAAGGAATTAAAACAAAATCCCATCCCCAATAACAATAAAAGGAATAAAGTATTTAAGAATAAACTTAACCAAAAATGTTAAAGACTTGCACACTGAAAATCATATAGCAACTTATTCTTTCATGATTATTGTTTTGCCATCTTTGCTCAAGAACTAATGGTAGCTTTGCTTGACAATTATATGAGATGCAGGTTTTCACTGTCATCACTTAATTTAACCTACCTCGTCCCATATTAATACATAACTTAGACTCTCCATACCAACCTAGTCATTTGACTACAGTCTCCCATGCACCATCTCCCCATTCCTCCTGCATATTTGGGGTTACTCTTCATAACCTGTTTCATGTCATTCCTCAGCTCTAATCATCAATGCCTCATTTGAACCTTGATGGTCCCGCCTGAGTGGTCTCACTGGTGGAAGACGATTATACAAGGACATGAGTAATTATACTTATCAATAGCAAACAGAAGTTTTTTCAATATTAGCCTCCTCCAGAAACTTTCTGCAAGAGCTGATTTTATTTCTTTTGCCTTCATTCTTTTTATAGCCAATAAGGTCAGTTTAAACAATAGTAGTCTGCAAATCATTTAGCTAATATTAAAATATTTGACAAATTATTTTAGTGGCACCTAAAATACTTCTCTTATGACAAATGAAAATCCAGAGGATGTTAAGGGCCAAAAATAACTGTAGTCACTGTCAATAAACAGACATTCCCCTGTGCTCCCCCCGTCCCCACTTTCCTTGCCCTTCGGTCCAGGCAAGTTTCAAATTCAGAAAAGTCAGTCTGGAATTATTTCATTCTACATTTCAGGACATAAGTGCAAAGGACAAGAGAAATGTATTTCTTTTCACTCAGCAAAGAAAGTCAGTGGTAAATGTGAGTTCAGTTCTTGCTTCTGCCATTTTCTCCTCTGTTCAAAACCAATCAAGGCCTGGATACTTGACCTGCTGGTTGGCAGGGGTCCTCTGTTGAGTGACCTGGTACTTGTCTGAAGATGAATGCAGGCAGGTAGGAGTCAGGGGAAGAGCCCCTCTCTGTGTGTGTGTCCGTGTCTGTGTGTGCATGTGTGTGTGTGTGTATGAATATGAGAGTCCTAAAAATCTCTCTTTTAGATCCAATACTATGTGCTATAAAAGAAGTCATTGAGAACTAACAAAAGTATGTACAGCAATTTATAAAATCTGCCACAATCACCTTTCCCTTGGCAGTTGAAATAAATTAAATCTGTCCCACATCTTATATCTGTCTCTCTGCTTTAATCTCCACATTGATTTTTGACCAAAGAGCCTCAAGACGTGAAATAATCAAATTGCACCAGAGAAAACACAAATGATCTGTTTTGCTTTGCATCTAAGTTTTATATTCAATCTTTCACTTATAAAAATTGAAAAAAGGAATTAAACTGAAACATACAGTCAATGGCTGTCATCTTCTGTCAATGATAACTTTTTACTAATGGATACAAGGTCCAGTTGACATTCTTTCAATCTGTCAACTGAATGTCAAAAAGCCATTTGCAACTGTTCAAAACACATGGACACTAACACTACTGACCATTACATTTAGTCATCTTCATTTCATTGGCAGAGTTTGACGCTGTTTATAATTTACATACAAAGAAATAGTTTTGTGCAAGAAACTTAGTCATCTTTGGACAGATGAATGACATTTTTATTAATTAATAAGAGTTAAATAACCATATCTCCTAAAAATCTGTTACCTTCATTTTCTCTATAATTTAAGATGTTTACAATTACTTTTTCAGCATATAATGGGCAAAATCTTATACGTGTTTGAAAATGATTCTTTATGACACTTTTCTGAATAGAACATTTTTTTCTTGCCTTGGTCTCTAATCTGTTTTCACTGTTTCTTTTTCCTGACCAGTTTCAAAAAATACTTCCATAATGCAAGGGATTTTTAGGTAAGAAGTTCTTTTTGTCTGTGTCTGAAGGAACAGAGTCAACATTTAAAATGAGGAGTCTCTGCTAATTTTTCCTCCCCCAAATATTTCACCAACCACTCATCATTTTCATTAAATTCTAAGTCCAATGTATGTCTCACCACAGTTCCTAGAGGAACAAGGGAGGCTTGATGTGGTCCAAGGTGATTGTGTATGAAAAGATGTTATTCCCTGAAAATGCTCTCCTTATTATACACAGAGCTATAGTGGAAGCTTCTGTTTATACAAGACCTTTTCTTCTTCATTTTCAACACAGGAAGAAATATCAGTTTGCAATATGAGCAAAGTCTATAAAGGGACAGCCAAAGCCTAGCAAGCGTTGGCTCTACAAGTCTAACATAAGTCAAAGGTAAATTAGCTGGCTGAAAGCATGTGGAAGGGAGAAGGGAAGGAAGAAAAGAAAAGGGAATGGAACAGAGTGAAAGAAGGAAGGAAGGGAAGGAAAGATGGAAGAGAGTGAGGGAGAAAGGGAGGGAGGGAACTGTAATACAGGCCTCTACACAGAACTCTATATGGACCTCTATATTTGTACTTCTGTAAATAAAAAAAAAATCACTTTTTCTCACAATCATACAAAGTGGATCTAGGTTTTGTGGGGGCTGGAATCTTACACAATTTAAGGATTCATTGTGACAAAAGAGACAAATGCCTAATACACAAATAGTGCAGTGCTTTGGAAGGGGCCTGCTCAAGTGGGAGGAAGGAAGGAAGGAAGGAAGGAAGGAAGGAAGGAAGGAAGGAAGGGAGGGAGGGAGGGAGGGAAGGGAGGGGAGGGGAGGGGAGGGAAGGGAAGGGAGGGGAGAGAAGGGAAGGGAGGGGAGGGGAGAGAAAGGAGGGGAGGGGAGGGGAGAGACAGGAGGGGAGGGGAGGGGAGGGGGGGGAGGGAAGGGGAGGGAGATGGGGAGGGGGAGGGCAGGGGAGGGGGAAGGTAGGGGAGGGAAGGAAGGGGAGGGGAGGAGGGGAGGGGAGGGAGGAAGGAAAGGAAGAAGGGAGAACAAAGTGAAAGGTAAAAATAAATTATTTTCTCTTCCGTGTCCCGACAGTGAGGAAGCTGGCCCAGAGGCAGAGCTGGGAGAGCCTGGGATGGCCTTCCTCTCTCTCAACTGTAATGCAGGCCTCTACACAGACCTCTATATGGGCCTCTCTATATTAGCACTTCTGTAAGTGAAAGAAATTACTTTTTCTCATACTCATGCAAAGTGGATCTAGGTTTTGCAGGTCCTGAAACACAATGAAAGGCTTCATTGTGACAAAAAAAAGACAAATGCCTAATATACAAATAGTGTGGTGCCTTGGAGGAGGCCTTGGAGGAGGTGGAAGCCCCAAAGGCCAATTTCACCAGCACAAAGATTATACTCAGTAATGGTCACCAAAGATCTAAGTCAGTGGTTCTTATAGTATGTTTGGGGGTCCCTGAGGATCCCTGTGTCCCTTTTGGGGATCTGCAAGGTCAAACCTATTTTCCTAGTAATATTAAGATGCAACATCAGTCTGTTTCTGCATCCACATCTGAAAAAGACTGAGAGAAAAAAAGGCTCCTGTCTGGCAAACTGGCAACCGCATTCTCAAACACCTGCTGAAATGCACTCAACGCAGCCCTGCTTCAGCCATATCAACCTAGCACTGTCTTGTATTGCTGGGGTATGTGGGGATTCTAACACCTTATCACCACCATCAAAAATATTCATGTAATTGGGAAGATAGGAGTTCTACAGCTGAAACCTGAAGGCTGGTAATACCATATGTTTTTCAGCCCTTTACGAATTTCTTTTTTAAGCTTCAGGATGGTGGCAGATAAGAAAATTGGAAAGATTTTTATTGCTGTATCTGATTGATGGATTCACAAGATAAAGAAACCCTCAATACTAGAATAATGGCCAACTCACCTAAATTCAGCCATTTAAAAAAATGCTGAATATGCGCATTAAATGAACATGTTTACCATAAATAAAAACAGAGACCAGCCCACGGGGCTGGCTTTTTCCATGTTTGATACCAGAAGATGTCTGGTGCTCACTCACCCTCGGCTACAGTCAATCTCATCACGAAGGTTTCGTTTTCTCCTGCGCTGGCCTGCAAGTAGCAGCGGTAAAGCCCCGAGTCTGAGACTGTGACATCGGGGATGACGATGACGCTCCACCTTCCGTGGCTGCAGTTGCTCACTATTTGTCTTGGGAACTTGGAGGTGAAATTTCTGCCATGGACCAAGTTGCAGTAAGTTAAGAGGTCGATCTGACGGGGCTGGATCTTTTCCCACCTCACTGCCTGCACAGGCCACGTCATCTGAGGCTGACAAGTGAGTGTGACATTCTTTCCAGGTTCCGAAACAATGTGGCTATTTGATGGCACAGCTGCCTCAAAACTATCTGAAAAGAAGAAGCAAATGATTAGATACAGGTTGTCAAATTTTGGGACACCCAACTGGAAGATACTTAATCATAAAAATAATTGGTGATGTTACCTAACACAGTTCTTCCGTTGTGAATGACCTCTTTATACTACTTTTTTTTTTTTTTTCCTGAGACGGAGTCTTGCTCTGTCACCCAGACTAGAGTGCAGTGGTGTGATCTCGGCTCAATGCAACCTCCACCTCCCAGGTTCACGCCATTCTCCTGCCTCAGCCTCCTGAGTAGCTGGGACTATAGGCGCCCGCCACCGCGCCCGGCTAATTTTTTGTATTTTTAGTAGAGACGGGCTTTCACCGTGTTAGCCAGGATGGTCTCAATCTCCTGACCTTGTGATCCGCCCACCTCGGCCTCCCAAAGTGCTGGGATTACAGGCATGAGCCACCGCACCCAGTTGTGAATGACACATTCTTGTAAGAGAAAGGGTTTTTTTTGTTTTTTGTTTTTTGTTTTTAAGTCCGGGAGATAAATAGAAAAGAGGATATGATTGTTCACACATAGTTCCATAAGTGTTACTTGGTTAACCATGTAGTGAGAAACACAGCCAAAACCCCTGGTGCTTTTCTTGGTATCATATCAAGAGGCTGAATTTTACAAAGAGACTGTTAGGCAATAATGCTGGGCTGGTGTCTCTGACACTGACCTACAGTATCAAATGTTCAGGTTATAATCATTCTGGCTAAGATTCTGACAGTTATGAAAAAGATACCAAATCATTCTCACTGAATATACACATGATCTCATTCTTCAGATATACAGGGTTGTCTTACACATGGGTAGAGTAGGGCCCCACATGTGGTATCAATTCTTGATACCATGAAAGTCCAGTATTCTCCCACCTTCCTCACACCATTTCTGGAATTCCTACCATAAAGTACTCAGTAATTGTCACTAAATATCTAAGTCCATGGTCCTTAGAGTGTGTTTGGGGGCCCTGGGCATCTCTGTGTCCCTTTAGGGGATATGCCAGTTCAAATCTATTTTCCTAGTGATATTGAGAGGAAATTCCCCCTCTTCACTCCAGTTCTCTCACAGGTATACAGTAGATATTTCCAGAGGCTCTGCCAGCTAGTGGTATGCATGCTTGAAAATTCTTGTGTTTTAAATTTTGCTCAATATTGATTTCTAATACAGTAAACATGACAGATATAGCGTACATAAACAAACACTCCCTGAGGGCCTTCAGTAATTTTTAAAATAGCATAAAGGGGTCTTGAGACCAAAAAGTTTGGGAACCCGATCTAAAGAATAAACTGTGGTAACTCTTTCTTAAAATTAAGATAACCCAGCAAGGTAACAAGTGGATCTATTTATTAGTGATGAACACCTTCTTTCTTCTGATGGCATCACTAATGCCAACAAATCCTGACCTGCTATTTCAGTAGAGTGAGGCCTGGGCAGTAATGATGTCACAAAACTCTCTGGCACTAAGGGAGAAATGCAAAAAGTGGGAAGTCATCTGTCACTTCAACTATGTGACAGTTTCACTCAGGACTGGCCCAGGAGCCATTGTCTTGGCATACAAACAAAAGAAAAAAGAAATAGAGAAAGAGAGAAAGGAAGGAGGGAAGGAGAAAAAGAAGAGAGAAAAAGAAAAAAGGAGGGAGGAAGAAAAAAGGAAGGAAAGGAGACAGAGAAACAAAAGAGATGTCACATTTCGAAAGAGAGAATGAAAGCAAGTCTAAAGTGCAGTAAGATTTGCCATCTATTGAACTAGAATATCATGGCTACGATAGTTTCAGCCGCACCAAAAACTAGCTTCTCATCTTCAGCATGCGGTTCCATGTGTCAAAATGTTGTAAAAAGAAAACCACAGCACTCCAGCTTTCTCCTCTGTACAACCGTTTACCAAAGGTAGCACTTTACCCACATAACACACACCCGGAAAACATTTCGTCTCTAAGTAATAAAGCAACACAAGAAAAGGGGAAGAAAGAAAAGCAAAGGAAGAAAATTCATTAAAAAAGGGAAAAAAGGAAATAAAAGCTTAAAAGAAACAAAAGGAAAATTAAAATAAAAATTAAAACAGGGAAAGGAAGACGTGAGAAAAGAAGGAAATGCGTGACAACATAAAATCAGATGCTAGCACACCATGTGGAGAAATGAAAGAACATAAAAGAAATGAAAAAAAGGAGGAGAAATCGACTTTCATGTGAGCCCTTCTGGTCCCTGGGAAGTAAGAGGCAGCGTGAATGCGTGTCCTCAGTGCTCACACGCACAACTGTTTTGTGTTTTTCTTCTTCTTCTCTCTGGATGCCGCCCCGTCCAATCTCAGGAGTTTCCTTTGTCTGCCTATCTAACCAAAACCATGCTGTCAGGCCCCCGTGAACCTGCCGACTCAGGTAGAAACAGGGGTCTACTCATAGCCGTGTCTGCATTTTCACAAAGGACAATGCAGGAAGCAATGGGGAAAATCCTAGAGGGGATGCAGCTGTCTTTGGGGAGCAAAGTGCAGGGAGGTTACAGCAGAGGCTCCATGTGAGGACCTAGACCCGCCTCTCAATAGACTCAGCCTGGAGGTGAAAGAAGTGGTTCCCAACCCTAGAGCCAGGTGGTTCAGAAGCTCAGAGTAGCCCCTGATTAACCTTTCCTGACAAACAGAGTAACTGATTGGTGTTAGATGAAAATCAAGACCTATTACGAGGTCGGCCAAACCTGCCTTGCCTCAGATATTGCTTGTGGCTTCTCAGACCACAGGCTCTTCCTGCAAAGCTCAGTGGAAGGCAGCTCAAAATGACCTTGAAAAGAACTGCCAGAAAGAGCCCACACAAACAAGAGAACCGTGGGATCCTGATGAACTTGGAATTGGAAAGTGGATTCACGTGAAACAGACCAAAATGTCGTAGTTAATTGGGAAGAAAAAAATTTGATTTCAATAAAACAAATACAAATAATGAAAACCAGCTTATACTTATATGTAGCTACGTATTAATACTTAGAATAAACATTGAATAGACTGTGTTGTTTTCCCATGATTTTTATTGCAGGATATCATGATTAAATATTCTCTATTTTGTATGTGGCTTCTCTGGCTTGACCACAAATCATCCTTGGAAATTATTTCAGTGCTTCATCACTTTTCCAACCACTGCTCATGTCCTGGGTACCCCAAACATTGCTGGGTACATCTTCACATCATGCCACTGCCCCTGCCCACTAGCGCCTCCCTGGCTACTGACCTGTCCTCCTCACCATCCTCACTGGTCAACAGTTCTGCATATGCAGTTTGAGCAGCTCTGCAAAATCCTTCACCCACTTCACAAAACCCTGAGTCATTTTACTGTCAGCTTCGTAAACCCAAGCCTCTGTATAGCTAGACCATTTTACACTGCTCTGTACTTAGCACCTAGAACCATGCTTGGCATAAAGTAGAGAAGTCAATCAATATTTTTTGGATAAAAAATTTGCCAACCTAAAGAATGGGAGGAAATATTTGCAAACTATGCATCTGACAAAGGTCTAATATCCAGCATCTATAAGGAAGTTAAGCAAATTTACAAGAGGAAAACGACCCCATTAAAAAGTGGGTAAAGGACACAAACAGACACTTCTCAAAAGAAGACATATACGTGGCCAACAAGCATATGACAAAAAGCTCAATATCACTCATCATTACAGAAAGGCAAACCAAAATGACAATGAGACACCATCTCATACCAGTCAGAATGGCTATTACTAAAAAGGCAAAACATTACAGATGCTGGTGAGGTTGCAGAGAAAAGGGAACACTTATACACTGTTGGTGGGAGTGTAAATTAATTCAACCATTGTGGAAAGCAGTATGGCAATTCCTCAAAGAGATAAAAGCAGAACTACCATTTGACCCAGCAATCCCATTCCTGGGCATATACCCAGAGGAATATAAATCATCCCACTATAAAGACACATATGTACATGAATGTTCACTGCAGCACTAATCACAATAGCAAAGACATGAAATCAACCTAAACGTCCATCAGTGACAGATGGGATAAAGAAAATGTGTTACATATTCATCATGGAATACTATGCAGCCATAAAAAAGAATGAGATCATATGTTTTGTGGGAACATGGATGCAGCTGGAGGCTATTATCCTCAGTAAACTAATGCAGGAATTGAAAACCAAATACCACATGTTCTCACTTTCAAATGGGAGCTAAAGGATAAGAAGTTAGGAACATAAAGAAGGAAACAACAGACACTGGGTCTAGTTGAGAGCGGAGGGTGGGAGGAGGGAGAGAAGCAGAAAAGAGAACTCTTAGTTACTGAGCTTAATAACTGGTGATGAAATAATATGTACAATGAACCCCTGTGACACATATTTACCTATGCAACAAACCTTCACATGTACCCACAAACCTAAAAGTTTTTTTAAAAATTTTTCTGGCCGGGCGCGGTGGCTCACGCCTGTAATCCCAGCACTTTGCGAGGCCGAGGCGGGCGGATCACGAGGTCAGGAGATCGAGACCATCCTGGCTAACAAGGTGAAACCCCGTCTCTACTAAAAATACAAAAAATTAGCCGGGCGCGGTGGCGGGCGCCTGTAGTCCCAGCTACTCGGGAGGCTGAGGCAGGAGAATGGCGTGAACCCGGGAGGCGGAGCTTGCAGTGAGCCGAGATTGCGCCACTGCAGTCCGCAGTCCGGCCTGGGCGACAGAGCGAGACTCCGTCTCAAAAAAAAAAAAAAAAAATTTCTAATAAAATAAAACTGTATTTCTGACTTTAAACACTTGAAAAAATTAATTTGCAATTCATTTGCACTCAATGTGCATGTATTTTTATTGATTTTGGGGGAGATTTACATCTATAATAACCCTAATATTAAGAAATATATTTAAAATAGTATTAGTCATGCCTAAACGAATTGAGAGTTCTAGGCAACAATCCTCAGTGTCTGCAAATTCACAAATGCCATTTATGTTTCCACAGTACCACCTTGGAAGTCATAGCCTTGTCAAAATAATCAAACCTGATGCTAATCAAGCCTCCAAATCTAACCACCAACTTACAGAACTGCAAAGAGCAGAGAAACGTATCAAATGCCACCATGGGAAAGCAGCCCACGGGAATATGAAAAACTCAAGGTGACAACAACAACAAAAAAATGAAAGGTGGAGAGGAATCAACCTACAGGTTAAAGGGAGGTATTACACAGTAACAATGTGTGGAACTTAAAAAGGAAAAATTCATAGAACTGGAGAAATGCAAAGTAGACACTTAATAATTTTAAGAAATTATTGCTGTTTTGTGAGGGGTGAAGGTAATGATGGTATCATGTTTATGTTAAAAAGAAAACTCATCTTTTGAGATTCAGGCTAAAATATTTATTGATGAGATGACTTAATGGCTGGAATTTGCTTCAAATTAATCAAGGGAAAGAGAGAGTGTGAGAAATAGAGAACAATAACACTGACCCAAACTTGATAGTCGGCGAAGCTATATACTGGTCACAGGGGAACTGATTATGCTATTCTTTCTATTTTTGTATATGTTTGAAACTTCCATTAAAAAAGCTTTAAAAGTATTTATTTGTGCCCGGGCACAGTGGCTCACACCTGTAATCCAGCACTTTGGGAGGCCGAGGCAGGCAGATCACGAGGTCAGGAGATCAAGACCATCCTGGCTAACATGGTGAAACCCCGTCTCTACTAAAAATACAAAAAATTAGCCGGGCGTGGTGGCAGGTGCCTGTAGTCCCAGCTACTCAGGAGGCTGAGGCAGAAGAATGGCGTGAACCCGGGAGGCAGAGCTTGCAGTGAGCCGAGATCGCACCACTGCACTCCAGCCTGGGCGACAGAGCAAGACTCTGACTCAAAAAAAAAAAAAAAAGTATTTGTTAGTACAAGATTTGAGAAGCAAGAGAAGGAACCTAAATTGGAGTCCCTGCTTGTGAAAGGTACTTCACACACCCAATCTCTAATCCTAACAATAACATCCAATCAGTATTAATGTGCCTGTTTCACAGTTGAAAAAATAAATATACTGAAGTAGCTTTCCCAAAGAGCTGAGCTGGCAAAGAACAGAATCAGAAACGCAAGAAACTAATTTGGTTTTAAAGCTCATACATTTTTCATGCCAGAACACCACAAATGCTAAACTCTCTCCTGTATCTTTAACCTCCAATTCTAAGTGGACTGTTCTCTCTCTCACCTCTAAACGGGATCTTTCTCCCATTCCTGAAAACCAACTTTGGACCTTTTGGCGCCATCCAGTCCTTGTTTCTTCTTCCCTATTCATTCAAAATTCCAGGAGTGGGTTCCCATCCTGCTCGGCCTCACCCTTTCCCATGTGTGCTTCGACACAATCGAGCATCCATTTCCACCCTTCTACCAAGACTGCAAATGTCATCAGTGTTCTTGACCTGAATGCTGGATGTCCAGCCCTCCTGGAAATACTCTACCCCTTGGCTTCCGTGACATTGCACTTGCCTGCCTCTCCTCTCTCCTTTCTGACCTCCCTCTGCTATCTCCTTCATGCTTTCTCTTCTTCTGCTTGTCCCTAAAAAAAAATGTGTGTTGTGCCCCCAGGAGTCCACTGCCCTTCCCTGTCTACTCACCATCGCTGAGTGAGCCTATCTACTCTCCTTGTTCAACCATCTCTTAGGTGCAGATCAAGTGCAAATCAATAGCGCCTGCTCAGTCAGACCTCTCCCCAGGGTTTCTAAAGCACGAGACGATAACTTGTTCTTACGATGCTTCAAATAGACTAAAAATTAAACAGCCCAGCATTGCCCTAAGCCATCTGCAGGAGCACTATTATTACACTAGCTAATTAGAAATGATGATAGTAGTAGCTCCAGTAGCTTCACGTATTCCCAACTGTGCCTAGACTATGAATATGCTCAATTAAGAACTTTTCTACAAACTCTTACTAGTCACCCAAATAAATGCAAAATGAAATGTTGACTGCATGATGACTAAGGAGGTCTCCTAAAGTGCCTGAGATAAAGTTCTCAAAAATAAGCAAGCAAAAGAAATAGAAAGGCAAGTTCCCAGTTACAAGCAAGCAACAAAGTCCAGAAAGTGGAAAAATGGCACTTTTGAAGCTCATAGGGCATGCAGTGTGGGAGGACATACTGAGGACAGAAGGAGAAACACAGACACAAAAGGCAGAATTTTCCAAGGATGCCTTTGCCTGCCTCATAGTTCTGGCTGTGACAGCCAAAAAGTGAAAAAGACAGTCGTGGTGGACACTGAACTGAGCTGTCAGGCAGCTTCAAGCAGAATAGAAACAGAAGCCTCTTCCCTAGAACGCATCAGCATTCCCAGAAAGAGAATGCAAGCTCCTGCCTACACTGTAGACTCCCTGTGTGCATTCATTTCAAACATAGACAGCAATGACAGTATTGGATGGCATTTCTCTAAAAAGCTGCAATGTTCCCAGATGGCCAAGTTTGGGGATGTTACAGGTGGAATTGTGTCCCCCAACATTCCTATGGTGAAGTCCTAGCCTCCAGTACTTCACAACCTGATCTGATTTGGAAATAGGGCTGTTGCAGATACAATTAGTTAACATGAAGTCATCCTGGAATAGGGTGGCCCCTAATCCAATATGACCGTGTCCTTATAAAAAGGGGAAATTCTGACACAGGCATGAATACAAGCAGAACGCCATGTGAAGATGAATGCAGAGATTGGGTTGATGCTTCCACGAGCCAAGGAAGGCCAAAGATTGCCAGAAATTGCCAGAAGCTAGGTGAGACCTCTCCTTGCAACCCCCAGAGGGAACCAACCCTGCTGATACCTTCACTTTGGACTTCAAACTGCAAGACAACACATTTCTGTTAAGTTACCCAGCTTTTGGTATCATGTGCCAGCAGCTCTAGGACACTAATAGGGAGTAAGGACCATCAGGACGACATCTTGGGTACAGTCTGGGCCTCGCCAGCACCCATCAGAAGCAGCAAGTCCATCCTGCTGAGAAAATCGGCCGTCTTCACAACACTGCTTCCCACACGTTGCCATTTTCTGTCTTTCATCTAAAGTGCAGATAAAAGGTAAAGGACCAAACAAGATAAAAAATAAGCTAAAAGACCGCTTAACTGAAAGGCACAGATAAAGTGGGAAGAGTGAGTTACAATAAAGAGATAAAAACACAACCCGACAAAGCCATCATGAAGGAAAGCCAGGCAAGGCCATTTGTGGAAATAAAAAAATGAAGGGACTAGATTCAGGCTGCGTGTCCTGCATGGCAAATCAGGATTCAGCCCAGAAAATCCATATTAAGAGATGATTTGCAGTATGTCCAAAGAGCGATTCCCCTGTCTAAGCACTGAACAGCAAAGGACTTGCAATGCAGGCCCCGGCAGCTTTGTGATTCAGATTACCCAGGAGTCAAAGCAACTGCTGAGACCACCGGCCTCCCCAGCTTCAGAGCCCAGGCTGCCTCCAGGGGCAGCTCCGTGGAGCTCCAGAATCTTGAGATTGGCTCCTGAAAGGTAACCGTGGGTCCCCTTGGTGTAATGTTTGTTCAGGTTCTAATTGTTAAAAAAAATAACTTTCAATCTCTCCACCATGGTACAATGAGAATGATGTTTTTATTATAGTCAGTATCATAAGATTTGCTGAATCACATGGAAAAGTCAAACTTTTGAGCCATTCTGCAGTTTCTCTCAACCAGAAAAATTACTGACTAATGGGATATAAGAATTTTAAATATAGGTAGTACATCTCTGAGGTCTCATAAAACCAAAAAATAAAATGCCCAAGAGCATTGGTCTGTTTCTTCTACTAAAATGTTACCAATTGGCCCCCCAGGTTAGACAATTTAATGTAGACTTTCTGCATGGCAGGTTTTTAACAGAAAAAGACATCAAGAGATTAACACCATCTCTAATGATTCTGTACTAGAGAATAGATTGTTAGTGATGGTCCCTGGAGACTACATTAAGCATTTTGTCCCATATACTTAAAAATATTTTCAGTATATTTTTAAAGTAAAATAATAAGCCTTGAACGAGTCCTTACTAAGTGCCAGCATTAAATGCATTACCTAAGCTAGTGCATTTAGTCCCCACAAATAAGTCACCCAGCTGTGAATGGCAGGACATTCTTACCTAGGCAGGGCGTCTAGGGAGCCAGTCTCAAACCAGCCCTGAGAAGGGACTCCGGTGACAGCCAGAGTTTTCTTTTCCACCCTGCAGCAGGGCAGGATCTCAGAGGCAACATCAGCTCCAAGGATGCCTCTGCTCCTAGATAGCTTATTTTCTGATGCCTTAACTCTTATAATTAGAAATCAATTTCTGCACTTGTCCTTGTTAAAATGCATATAAAATTTTCAATTCCCGGCAGGCACCAACACATTAGTGTGAAATTGTCCATTAGATTGTTTTCCAAGTAGAAAGCAAGGAAGATGTTTCCCACAGGAGAGTGGCCAGCAATAGACTTGCTGTGGCAAAGGAGAGAGAGGAGAGCCCAGAACTAGCCTTGTCCCTGCCAAGGTGAGTGCACCGCGGGGCAGAGGGCAGAGAAGGAGAGTGAGTGGAAGTGCGGGATTGGTGGGAGACTCATGCAGAAAGATGGACTGCAAACCAGAGGCGGTGAAATTTTACCTCCTTTATTTTTCCTTCCTTTATTCATTCAACATTCATTCCTTCATCCACAAAGATTACTGGGTGTAAATAAAACACAGACTGGGTTAGGGGAGAGACACACAAGCAGATAATTGCTGTAAAAAGACGATAAGTCCTCCAAAGAACAAAGTGATGAAAGCACAAAGAGAGCCTGTAGAAATTCCCCACTGAGGCCCTGATGGCATCTGCAGAGACCCAAAGAGACAGAGCTGTGAGTTTCAGAAGCAGCTATTGCCCGACGGTGCTCACCAAGGTCTGTCAAAGATTCTCTCACCAAACACAAGGGTATTTGCCAGAAGAAAATCTATTTAGGACTCCAAACTTAAGCTGTTCGATTGCATAAGTTTGATGCCTTTAGAGCATCTACTCCAGGTTCAATTTCCTTCCTCTTCTCATATTTTCTGACCATGTCACTATTTTAGTATCTACTTCATTACATTTCTTTGGTATTTCCAGATGGCTTTGTGGAGAACAAATAAGTACCATTTGTGATGCATGACATATGAAAAATGACTAAGAACCAACTGATATAATGTTAGAAATGGGAAACCAAGAAACAGTACCTGCACACCCTCACAATGTACTCTACACATACTATATACGCCTAGATGTGAACTTACATATTTTGACTTCCATTGAAAAAAAAGATGTAATAAAATTAAGTTAATTCTAAAACTAAGTTTTAAAACACACTGCTCAGGAAATCAGAGGTTCACCATTGCTAACAGTGTGATTCCTATCCAATTAAAATTGCTCTGAAAATTGGAAGATAATTTCTGCAAATTTCTGCAGGCAAAAGACATGACCTATGAAATAGAAGCCATTTTCTGTAGGGAAAGGAGAACACAAGGTCCTCTGGTCTTGCTCAGCGCTGCAAAAATCTCGTCAGGAATAGCAACAGGACTCAAAGAAAAGCAAACTAAAAATTCACCCTTATGGCTCTCTCCTGAAAATGTGAATATGAGCCCTATTTTGCCTAGCAAAATATTTCACGCTTTAACTGGCCGCAGGCAAGAAAGGTGAGGATTTCTTGGAGGACTTCGAGTTTCAGACAATATTCACGTTCGTTGTAAGGGAAAATGGCAAATGACGAATGGGAAGAACTGAAAGATGAAATCTTTGCTTGGGTTTCGCTAAGCAATAAGTTCCAAACACCCTGCAATGCAGGGAACTCCATAAAAATGGAGCAGGAGCCGGGCTTGACTCGGACAGTGAGCAGATGCTGTCAGGCTCTACGGACACCTCCTGGGACCTTTCTGCCTTCTTGAAGCACCCCAGCTTCTGTGCTCTCTTCTCCCCTAACAGCCAGCACCTGCCCCGCTAGGTTGGAGCACTGCCCAGGGTGGCTGGAGCCTGCCTGAGAATGCACACACTGATCAAGGGACCCTGATCCAGTGACTGACCCTGGTAGAGTTTGCTTTTCCTGACCAGGCAGCTTCCCTAGACTTCGCTGGATCCTGTGCCCTTGCTGGATCTCTCCTTCCCTTTCCAATCCAGATCCCCTGATGGGTTTCCCTGCGAACACTTCCTAATGGGTCCTTTTCACATTTATCCTCTTCTCAGGGACTGCTTCTGGTGAATGCAATCTAAAGCAAGCACAATTGTAGAACTTTACTAAATTGTACTTGGAGCCTAGAATCTAAATTTCCATCAGTGTGCCTGGAACCAGATTCCTAAATGTCTTTTTTGTTTGTTTTTCAGATGGAGTCCCACTCTGTTGCCCAGGCTGGAGTGCAGTGATGGTATCTTGACTCAGCACCTCCTGGGTTCAAGCAATTCTGCTGCCTCAGCCTCCCGAGTAACTGGGATTACAGGCACACACCACCATGCCCAGCTAAATTTTTTGTATTTTTAGTAGAGATGGGGTTTTGCCATGTTGGCCAGGCTGGTCTCGAACTCCTGATCTCAAGTGGTCCGCCCACCTCGGCCTCCCAAAGTGCTGGGATTACAGGTGTGTGCCACCACACCTGGCCCTTGAATGTCTTCTTGATAACATGACCTGAGTCAATGAAATCTCTCTCATAGAAGCAGAGGGTAGGATGGTGCTTACAGTGGCTGGGGATTGGGAGAATGAGGGGATAACGGTTAAGAGGGTACAAAACCTCAGTCAGACAGAAGACATAGGATTCTTCCTTTTTTGAGCTCCGTCACACAGCTTGATGCATATAAATAAGAGAGTATTGCCCATTTCAAAATTTCTAGAGAGTGAATTTCAAATATTCTCACCACAAAAAAAGTTAAGTATTTGAGAGGATGGATACATGAACTAGCTTGATTTAATTATTACACATTATATTTATAAGTTATAACCTCTGTTTGTACCCTATAAATTTATAGAATTATAAATTGTCAAATTACAATTTAAAAATTAATAACAAAACAAAACCGACTCTGTCTTTGACTCTCTGTTTGGCTCTATCACTCTCTCAAGTCCCAGCTTGACCTATCTCTCTCCCAGGACTTACCCACAGTAATCTCTCAGCCACTGAATCCTACGGCTCTCTCTTTCCACATTTTTGTGTAATTGGATATAACAAAGTACTGCACTTGCAAAATATAAACTGTCGTGTTTTCTATTTCTGTGGCTATGTCTTGCTTTTCTCAGTTATGCCAAGCTCCTTGGAGGCAAAAATAATTTCTAAAATATTTGTTTGTTTCTTGTTACTCCACCATGTTTCAAAAGCTTGCCAGTTAATTGTAGGGTGAATTGTACTCCTTCTAATCTCAGGAAAAACCTTATATAATAGCTTGTACATATTGGATGATTAATAAATACTTGAGAATTCATTTACTACATCTGTAGGAGTTAAGCACAATCTCAAAGAAATCTGCACAACAGCAAGAATGACTAACACAAAGATGATGAACAGTGTTCTTAACCAAACAGAATGAAAATTTGAGATATGGTTATTAGAGGCTTCCCTACATTTTTTCAACTGGACTATTAAAATAGTTGTCAAAATGAACTCTAATTGTAGCCCCTTTTCCCTCCAATTCATATTGCATCAAAGACTATATAACTAACATATAAATCTTATCAGGCTACAGCTGTACTTTGAAAGGTTCAGACGTTTCCTATTCCTACTACAGGACAAAGCACATGTTCTTTAGCAAAATCCTATATGATTTTATTCTTGCCTTTGTCTCCATTCTCATCTCCTACTAGAATCTGCCATATACTCCAGTTTCCCCAAGAACATTATTCACCTTTATGATCTTGCATCAGCTATCTCTTCTTCTGGAATGCCTTCATATAATCCTTCCACTTCATTCCAAGAACACTGCTATTTATCCTTCAAAATTTATCCTGTGATGCCACCTTATCCTGTGATGCCACTTATCCTGTGATATCACTTATTCTGTGACATCACCTATTTCAAGGAAGTATTTTCTTACTCATTTCAAAATAGGCTAACCACTCCCTCCTCTGTTTTACCTCTACCTTCTATTGTGTTGTTTTTTATTTGTTGTCATTTACTTCCTGCCCTAAGAAACTATCCACTCCTTAAAGACATTGTACCTTCAGTATGTCTAATCTTAGCAAAATGCCAGGCACATTAAGTTTCCCAATAATTTTGGGGGGACTACATGGATGAGAAAACATCTCCAAAGATGATGTGTTGTAAATTTAGTGAATGATACCAGGAACTCAGAGCAATATTTTCCAGTCCAGGCCCTACATGAGTTTGGGTCTCCATTCCCACTTCTGCCAAATGGAAACCCACACAGCAGCTTTCCCTCCTGGCACCACTCACCCCTGAGCATCAGCCAGCACTGCAAATTTATGGTTTTAATACCAACTCTCCAAAGAGCTCCAGGTGCTTTTCAAACCACAGAAAGATCAACAGTATTTCTCACAACTCCCTGAGGTAGAAGAGGCTGAAATTATTTAGTTCAAACCATAATGAAGTTAAAATGAAAAATATAACAATATTAAAAAACCAGTGTGAGTACAGCTATTAGCAGGGATAGTTGTAATCATCACATCGATTCAGAAAAGCAAGTAGCCCAGAAAAAACTAACAGCAAGAGGGAAACAAGAGTGTCCATGGTATTTATTTTGGATTTGCAATGAAATTTGGGAATTAAAGGAGATAATAATACATGTATTCAGCATTTAATTTGTGTTCTTTATACGTCAGAGGAAATGTCTGCAAATTAATCCTACGCAACAATAATTCTGTAAAGCATTACATATGTGAAGATGACTACACCAAGCATTAGTTGAAATAGAGAATATTGGAAAGAATCTAAATGTCCAGAAACTTAACAAGGTGAAGCAAATCATGAAAAGTAAAGATCAGTCTATCAGTATTGGAAATGCTTATGACATAATGTACAGAAAAAAATTATCAATGACATGTATGTACACTTTGCTAACAGTTAGAACATGTGTGTGCTCTGAATGAGAGTTGAACAGGAAACGGGAAGAGGAAACACAAGAACGGCAGCCTGAACTTTTTTCATTTATTTCTCTTATGCATTTTAAAATTTCTGTAAATGTTGTTTTGATACTCTTGGTGCACTGTGTTAGTAGTTTTCTAAAGAAGGAGGCAGCCCTGTGAGGATGGGCACACCTTGGAGACTTGCGTCCAAAGACTAGAACACAGAAAGGAGAAATAGGAACTTGACTTCACAGTGGGAAAACGTGGCAAACACACCTTAACCACATGATGGAGACCAACATCTCAGTGACGCTGCGTGGATATGAGGTACCCCTTGATATGATGTGATGAGAAGGGGTTCATGACTCTGGTATTCTTTCCAAAATTCCATATTCCCAGTCTAATCATGAGTGAAACATCAGACAAACCCTAATTGGGAGATGCTCTGCAGGACACTGGGCTAGTATTCCTCAGGCCTCACAGGGTTGTGAAAAGCAAGGAGAGATAGAAACTGTCACAGATCAGAGGAAACTGGGGAGAAGTGGCAACTCAATGCAATGTGGTGGCCTGGTGGAGGAGACCCTGGAAAGGAAAGAGGACAAAACATAATCACTTTGGATCCAAATAAAGTCTAGAGCTGAGTTAACGGTAGTATACTAGTTTCAGTTTCTTTGGTTTAACAAACATACCACAATAATGTGAGATGTTAACAATGGGGGAGACTGGATAAGGGGTATATGGAAACTATCTGTACTAGTTTTTCCACTTTTCTGTAAATCTAAAAATATTCTAAAATTTAAAGATTATTAGAAGGGTAAGAGGGCCAGATTTGGGAGTCTATAAAAGAAAAGAAACACAAGACAGATGGTAGAGCAGAAGGAATGTTTTTGCAACACCATCTTGAGTGGTACAAGGCAATGGAGTAAACACCACAAGACGCTGGGACTACACTGCAGTCGGTTAGGAAAGAGGAATAATAATGAGTTCTCATGGGTGGAACCGAGGCCATAAATAGCAAACTGGGTGTTGGCGAAGTGAGTTAGCTCAACATACTGGTGCACAAGAAACAATGTTAATTGAAATGGTCCAACATTTTGCTAGCTAAAAAGTATAAATTTCTCTGTCTTCCTTGAGATAGGTCCATGTTGGCACATGTGAGTTAATCTTATTTTTTGAAGTGAGTACTGTCAAAAAACTCAGAGAAGGCTTCAGTGGAACAGGTTTGGGGTGCTGGAGATTGCCACAGAGCCCCATCTTTCCCTTGAGGAAGGGTAATAGAGTGGATTAGCAAAGAGCAACTGAACACCGGCATCCTTTCTCCAAATGCTGACATTTATCCAACTAGAATATTGAGCTATTAAAAGTCTATTAGCCTAGCAAGCCCTGGGAACTGCCTTCTTCATTTTTGGAAGTTGGGACCAAAACAAATTGAAAATAAACCCTAAACAGATATTGCTACAAACCACATATGAAGAGCGACCTTAAAGTCCATGTTCACAGAGTGGGCACAACTGATGCGGCCAGGCACTCCACTTCACCCATCCCCGCAGGTCGGCAATACTCACACACACGGGAATGCTAACACTCATATAAGTTTGGAATAATACCCAATTCACTCAAAATGAGGCCAGAATTCTCAACTCTAATCCAAAGCAACTCTCTTTTCACCACACTTATCTGCCCCATGTATTACTTTTTCATGTATTTTCTAATCACTTGATTAAAATAAAGAGGTAAATACTTTGGTATACATTTTTAACTGTGATTTTTATTCTTTTCTCAAAATAAAATAGAATATGCTCATTTTACATGTGTGTATGTGTGTGTGCATATGTGTGTGTGTATTACTAATAAGCATACTGAACTAAGAGTCTTTGCCCACAAAAATATATCTCTTAATCATATTTCTTGGCTGTGGACTTAACTTTTTGTTCAGCTGAATACAGTAAATCTTCATTTTCTTATATCTATTCAAAATGTTTCTTTCTTTTTTTATTATACTTTAAGTTCTAGGGTACATGTGCACACGTGCAGGTTTGTTACATATGTATGGTGCTGGGAAAACTGGCTAGCCATATGTAGAAAGCTGAAACTGGATCCCTTCCTTACACCTTATACAAAAATTAATTCAAGATGGATTAAAGACTTAAATGTTAGACCTAAAACCATAAAAACCCTAGAAGAAAACCTAGGCATTACCATTCAGGACATAGGCATGGGCAAGGGCTTCATGCCTAAAACACCAAAAGCAATGGCAACAAAAGTCAAAGTGTTTCTTTCATTTCTTCATTTAAACATAAAATGGTTGAGCCTTCTTACAGGAAGAAATTAGTGAAAACCCAGGAGACATCAAAATCTGCAATGTTGTCATAAAGTGAGTGGCTATTTTTAAAATGATGCCCCTTCTATGTTTTTGTTTGTTTGATTATATCCACATATCTTTTCCTTCCTGAGTTCTGAGAAAGGGTATACAAAGCTCTGTACATTTTGAGATTGAGATGTCTAGGCTACAAAATTCTTTAAATTTTTGGACATAAAATTCCTCTCTACTGAGGGCTAGAACAAATGTCACCTCTGATTTGCTCAGGGATTTGGCTATATTTCATGATCTTTATTAAGAAAGATGATAATAATCTAGTCTTTAGGTCTGATTAATAATAATAACAGCTATAGTTTGAGGACTTATTATCTGCTTGTGACTATATTCAATGCTTTGCATATGCAGTACTATTTCATTTTCACATTTACAATTCAGTGAAGTATGGATTATTGTATCATTTTATAGAGGATGAAATTCAGGGTAGAGAAGTAAAGAGAAGAATCAGTCTTTGGATCTAATCACTTGTAACAAATGGGATCTGTTTCTCTCTCTCTCCTCAGCTTTAGGAAAGGAACCACACAGCACAACCAGGAGCTAGCAGATAAAGAGCATTTAGGGAACTCAGTGCAACAAACAGTTTGTCTCACTGGTTTCTTATAACTAGAATAAGGTACTCCCAGATCTAAATGACACTCTGCTTATTATGAATAGGGACAATAGAAAAGATCACTTCTGATGGGCAGATTCCTCTAGCACCAGCACCAGATGGTGGGATAAACGGGCTCTGGGATGCGCCGTCATACCTGCCAGCCCAGCAACCACAGCCATCTTCCCCGTCTCCACACCCTCACCTTTCCCAATAGCAGTGGAGAAGAGAGAGAGACATCACAAGAATACCAAGGATATCATAGAAAGAAAAATGAACGTGGAAACATTTTAGAAAATAGATCGCCAGAGCTCTGAAAACCAAAAAAGTCCTTATTGAAGAGATAAGTGTGCCTAAAGGATTTGTTATTGTCACAGAGCACAGATCAAAGATGGGATTATTTAAGCTTTTTATTTCTCAGAGTGAGAAAAGGACAGGTCTGTTCATAATTAGAAAACAAAATAAACTTTTTATTTTCTAAACATGTGCTTTTTTCTAAATGAAAAACTGCCTAAAGCAACTCTAGAATTTTATTAATCTATGTTTATGCATTACATGTGAACATTATTTAAAAAAAATAGATCATCTTAGAGCAAACTCAGTAAACGTATGCCATACTCTTAGAGTAACAACCTTTGTAAATTACTGTTTAAATTACAAGCGTGGGGTAAGTTGGTGCTTAGAGTAGTTGGGAAGGAGGCAGGAGAAGTCTCTGCAGGATGGACCTCACGAGCAGGCAGGAGTTCAGTGTGGGCAGAGAACTCTTTTTGCAGGGCTCAAGTGTCCTAGTGAAATGCTAAGCCTGCATATTATGGAGCAAGGGACCAGCCCTCTGAAAGATGGGCTTCAGATGTGCTAAAAGAATTGGAGAATTATAGACAACCTCACCGGAAAGGGAGAAAAAGGAAGAAGATGTTTCTTACTAAAGTGTGAAGGGGAAAAAATGGCATCCCACGACTTCTCTATCATTCTATTGATCTTAATGAGGTTTCTGGAAACAAAATGAGTTGGGGGAAATGCACTACTTCTATTAGAGAGATTTCCAAAATTTGGAAAGCTGTCTCACTGTGATCATATTTTCATAGCATGATTTTGGAACAATAATCTAAAATGTCCAGTATTTATACTACCATCTATGAATTTGGCTTGTATGTATTATGTCAGAATGTGAAAAATCTCTGGCTCTGAAATTCTACCTTTCTATATAATATTTCAGATCACACCTGCAAAACTACTCTACGACCTTGACATTTTTGATGAGTTTGATGAGATCTTCGACTGCTTCAAGTCAATCACCTCATATCAGTGCCATTGGCAATTTGAGGAAGACAAAGAGGAGCTTGGTTCAAGTTGATTAGCACTACCAGAAAAGAAACTCACAGTGAACACCATATATCAATTATTCCATTGAGTTCATGGACCAAGAGGAGAATATTTATTTTCAAGTTTTGTGGTTAGCAATTCCTTGTGATAGTTCTGCCAGTTTCCAATTTTCTCACTGAAGGGCTACAGAGTTCCGTATTTGTGCCAAGTCCTATATATTGCTCCTTTACAAAAGCATTTCTACTGAAGTAAATTGGAAAAAGAAGAAAAGGCAAGATAGACTAGACTTTTGGCCCTCCTTCTAATTGAGAATGACAACCACAACCATTTCAGTTGCATTCAGCTGTCATTCTGTTACTCCCAATAAAACAGAAATGTTCATGCTCTAAAGTAACTAACACAAATAACCATCAATTGAGGACCTACTATATTTAAGACAATGTCCCAAATTCTGAGCCAAATCTCAAGGAAATTGCAAAGGAAAGTCAAAGGAATTAAAATCAATAATGCAATAGGTCCTGACTCGCCTGAAAGTAAATTGGCACAAGAAAACATCCAAAAAAATATTTTTTTACTATCTTAGCATACTCTGATTTTCTAGAAATTCTACTCTTGTTCAGTTTAAAGTGAGGGAAGATTTTACTTTGAAGTATTAGAGCTTTACCAGAGTTGTTCATTTTGGAAACAGTATCGTTAATGATTGACAATGCCATTCAGGGTAATCACATCTTCTAGTCATAGTTCACGGTGATTCTAAATGGAGGTGAACACATTTCACCATTTCATTTTATCCCTCTCACACAATAGCACCTGGACACGATTTCAAAATGGTTAAGGAGACTTATAAAGTATTTATTACAGAAGAGAACATTGGATCTGATAGGGTTGACAATCATTGCTATTTGCTTTATTAGTAGCAGAATGAGTAAAAATATGCAGAAATGCATATACACTTTAGCAAATGATCAAAGAGTCCATATGATGTATTTTTAATCTAATAAATGAATTCAATGTTAATATAACTAACCAAAGGTCCTCAGCTACTTTTTATCATGCCATGGTTCTCCATTTGCCAGAATTCATCTAACAGCCCCATTAAAATTGTAAACACTGGAAGCAAAGATGAAATGGAGAAAACAAACAATTCTTTTCCAGATTACAGTTAGTTCTCAAATATACCTTTGGAAGCTAGGTCAGAAAGAACTTAGATAAATATGCTTCCTATGAATTGGTATATGTCCTATTGCTACGCGCCATTTTTTAAATGCGGAAACTAATTGAAATAGTTGCTTTGAAATATTTAAGCTCAGTGTTTGCCATTCTCCTTGGCTCTTTTATCTCACTACACACTCTTTTTCTAAGTTAGGGATGACTTCCATTTCCCCTGCATAGTACGCACTTCCCCGAAGTCTGCAATTTAATTTCCACCTCCATAATTTTAAATATTTTAAAGTTATCATTTTACACTCTCAATTTTCCTCTACAATTGCCTTCATAATGGCTTCCTAACTCTACTGTCTTGGAATTACATTTTTCACATTTATAGGTTTGTCTTTTAAAAGCAAAACAAAACAAAAAAGCCATAAAATTTGGGGATCAGAATCAAATCACAGGATGTGCCAGAGCCAGTGGTAATGATTACAGATATACCCTAATGTGAGGTTTATTGCAGTTGTGCTATTTCATTTCAGAGGTATATTACTGTAGAATAACAGTTAAGAGAACAAAGCATATTTTTTGCCTGTCAATAGATTCAATTGCATTTTACAGCAAAAATAATTTACTCGCAGGTTTAAATTAGACATCTAAGTGATGCAAATAAATAAATCACTGATGATTTCAGCAACCAGAGATAACCACACAGATACTGATTTGTGATTTATTTGTAATATACCACAAACAAAACTAAAAACTTCAATGTATATTTCAGGAAAAGATTAATTTGGTGTGTGGTTACTTATAAAATCATGTAAGAGTAACAAGACAAAACCAATTTTAAATAATAGAATTTAAGAATGCTCTAGTCCTAAAGAATAATTTAGTATGACATTGACCATCTAACCATCCCTCTATTTCCTCTCCCAAAATATAGTTCGGATGCTGAAAGTGAAATACACCTTAAAAAATAAAAGGTAAAATATAGGCTGTCAGACTAATCTGTACTGAATAAAATACCCTCCGGAAAGCCATGACTCAAAACATTTATCATCTCAACAAGAAACAATGATGTGTTTGATTCATAAAGTAATACAAAAAGTATATTTGTTTTCCTGATGTTTAGACAAGCATCAAACCACACAATATTTTTTAATGAGTCATTGGACTAGAAATCTGAGCTTTATCTTTCATACTAAATACACGGTTCATCCACTAGGGTATCAACCTACTAGGGGCATGAACTGTCCTTTTTATACATTTTGTACATAAGGGAACAGACGAGATTCTTATACTCAATATGAGCACCCAATGGGCACTCATTATATGCTCATCAAGTTTGCTTTAAGGGATGTTGAGAGAGCAGTATAACTTTCTGCATACGAATTCTGAACCTTTGTGACATGGTATCCTTCTGACAATCTCTATCTTGGTTAATACCATCTCCCCACATGACCTGCTATCAAGATTTGAAGCCAAGCTTCACTCCTTCCTTTGTGCATCCCTCCCATTTCACTCACACCCAAATCCTGTCACTTCCTCCTCCTTAATAGCCTTACATCTGCCTACTTCTCTGCTTTCCCACTTGAACAGGTTCTTATCATCACCTCTCCCCAGGTGGTAATGACAAGGGCCTTGTCATAATTCTCTATATACATTACATAGTACAGCCAGAGTAATCTTTGTAAAACAGATCTGGCCCTATTAGTCCCTAGCTTAAAATTCTATGTATCCCCAAAGCCTCCAGGATAAAATTCAAACTTCTCAGCACATATTCTAAGGCCTAATAGAAGTAGTCATGGTTTCTCCAAGTGTCAGCTCTGGTCCACCACTCACCTTGCCCCTGGGCTCATTCTCAGATCCTCCAACTCACCACATACACTCCATCTCACGTCTGAACTCTGGACCAGGACACTCCCTCCCCCAGCACCATCTTTCCTTCCCTCCTTCTGCTGCTTTCTGCCTCTTCCATTGAGCTTTCCTGGGTTGCTCCTCCTCCTCAAGCTAGGTTACACACCCCCCCAACACATGCACTTTATGCTCATATTTTAGCCTATATGCACCTCTTCATTTACAGTGCTGCTCCTAAGATATGCCTCTTGTGCAGCTGTTGACTTTTTTAAAAATAAAGCACAGGAATTTATATGTTCTCCTACCTGATTTTAGTGAGTTAGCGCTGTCAGTTTAGTTAAGTTGATAGTTTGAGTTTACTTTTCCAAATGGGTGCTTTCGTCTATCATTGTGAACTTCAGGTATGACCTGCGTTATGTGTATAAATATATCTTTAAGTCTTCATACAGCTTCTTGGACAAGGGGGGAGTCATTGAAAAGGATCAAAGATTGAGTCTCCTGTCTAATACTTAATCCATTGTTGATTATGCTTTGAGATCACAGAGGGAAGTTATAGTGAAGGAAAATGAGTGGTTTGAATTCACTCCAAAGAGGAGCAAAAGAGCTTTATAATGACCAAGAGCCCCTGGCTCTAAAACCTTGAAAACAAGTCAGCTGCCCACTGAACCCACCTACCCAAGGCCATATGAGATTAAATTTGTGCCTCACCAGCCACACCAAGCAAGGAGAAGGGCACAGCCAATTTAGTCTTCAACATGGAGGTGAGTTCATCTCAATTAAACAAATCTACTTTTAAGGGTCTATTGTAAAATATGTGTGAGGCAATGTTGATGGGACAAGACCCATCACGTCCCTGAAAGAGCTTACAAAAAGAGTCACCTACTTCAATTACAAATTCAGTTCAAAAATATTTGGTAAGGGCCTAGTACATGAGAAGTACTAAAGAAGCTATTAGGGCCAGGCACGGTGGCTCACGCCTGTAATCCCAGCACTTTGGGAGGCCGAGGCAGGTGGATCACCTGAGGTCAGGAGTTTGAGACCAGCCTGGCCAACATCATGAAACCCCATCACTACTAAAAATACAAAAATAAAATTAGCCAGGTGTGGTGGCAGGCACCTGTAATCCCAGCTACTTGGGAGGCTGAGGCAGAAGAATCACTTGAACTTGGCAGGTGGAGGTTGCGGTGAGCCGAGATTGTGCCATTGCACTCCAGCTTTGGTGACAGAGTGGGACTCTGTCTCAAAAAATAAATTAATTAAAAAGCAGCTATTAAGGATAGAGTGGATAATACCTCAGGCATGGTCTCGGTCCTCACAGGGCTTAGGAACTAATAAGGAAGCCATAAAACTAAACAGATGTTTACAATGTAAAATGCACTGTGAGCTCTGTGCAGGGACACAGTAGGAAAGGAGCCAGATAGAGAGCAATGTCTTGACTTGGAGCAGAGCCACAGCCATCAGCAGGCATCCAGGGCACTTATAGACACCCCTGTGCAAATAGGGGAGTCATGGAAAATACAGATGGAAAGTGGAAGGCCTGGACTGTTGCCCAATACGCATCTGTATAATTTCGTGGACTGAATGTGTGGGGCAGGCTAGTGATACTTCAGGAAGGGCTGAGATTGTTGCTGCACTGATACAGACATGGGATGCAATCAGAGGAGGTGGGGGCCATGGGCCCTCCCAAGGCCTAGAAATGGAAAGATGAAGAAGTATTTAGGAAATAATGTCACTGCCAGAGGACCTGGCAGCCAAATGAAGAAAAAAGAGCCGAAAGGAAATAAATGGCAAACTGAGAAAAAGGTTAACACTTTAAACAGAAAATGTTCGGACAGTTGAGGCTTCAAGCACTGCGTCCAATGAGTACTGGATATTATCTCAGCTAATTTGCCACTTCGTTTCTCAAGGATAACCAAGAACTGGTTGTGGCCTCTCTGTTTCCATAATGCTCAAACTGAAGAAAAATAACGGAGCAACCCAGGCAATTTAAACATTCCAGAAACGCTGTCAGGGAGCTTTTTTCAAACATAGGAAGGAAAAAACTGACCGTTTACATAGCTACAAAAAAATATCTAAAATATTGTCAAAAGAAGTCTTGAACCAAGGAAATTTATCACATAAGACAAACCATTTCATTTTCACCATAATATTTAAAGGATCATCCAGGAAGTAGACAAAACTCTTCAAACAATGTCTAGTATCAAAAGAAAGTGAATAATTCTACTTTCTGAAAGAACTGAAGGCAAGGAGATTACCTAAATTTTAAGAGTAAATAAATGCTGAAGAGACAAAACATAATATCTGTCTGTGAAGTAAATGGCACCAGGCAAAGCACATTTTCATCTTATTTCGCTGAACAATGCAGGCCAGGGTTATTAAGTCTGACAAGGCAAATTGTTTATCATGACTGAGTCATAAATACTAGTACCAAGAGATGTGATTTACTGAACAGTACCAAACACCGAATGAGGATTTTTTAAATGAAGTTATTTCAAAAAAGAGTCGGTTACTATAAGAAGCATGAGTTATCCTCTTACTTTCATCTACTTTTGTTGTCACTCTTTTTTTTTTTTTTTTCCAAAGACAAGGTCTCGCTCTATTGCCCATGAGCAATCACAGGTCACTGAAGCCCCGACCTTTCAGGATCAAACCATCATCCCACCTCAGCCTCCTAAGTAGCTGGGACAACAGACATGTGCCACCACACTCAGCTAATTTTTATATTTTTTTGTAGCAACAGGGTTTTGCCAAGTTGCCCAGGCTGGTCTCGAACTCTAGGATCAAGGGATCTGCCTGCCTCAGCCTCCCAAAGTGCTGGGATTACAGGTGTGAGCCACCATGCCTAGCCTTGTTGTCACTCTCTACACAGGCTCAAACCCAAAAATAGAAACAGGAAAAACTGAAGATATTTTTTAAACTGCTTTGCTTTCCTGGGGAAGATATTACAAATGAACTTACTTCTCTACTTCCATTTGCTTTGATAAAAAGACTAGAGGTCTCTTTGTTCTTCACATTATGAAACAGGAATTTTCCATAGAAAATCCATCCCCTACTGCCTTGAAATGTCCATTTATATACAAGATAAAAACAATGCTTCATGGAGTTTATAATATAGAATCACTTATTGCCTCACCAATGCATTCATTTCTTCATTTTTATATAAGAAAACTTGACACTTCTCCTTTTTACTTACATGAAAATTCATTCCTCTGTATTTTTCTTTATACCCAGTAGTACTTACAATTACTCCTCAAAAGAAAAATAACTTTGCTTCATTCTTCTATATGTTGTTATTTGGGCCAATTAATCATAATAAAAAATTTAATATATACTAAGTATTTATAATGAGGCACGATGTGTGATAAACACTTTGCAGCGGATGTTTATTGAATCTCACCTTTCATTTGAGGCACTGTTATTATGACTCTCATTTTAAAGATATTGTAACAAGGGTTATGACTAGCGAAGACAGAGTCAGTATTTGAACACAGAAATTTGACTGAGTTCCTTAAAAGAACAAAAATAAAAACTTACGTACCCAAATAGTAGATGAATAGCATCTAGCACAACATGTTCCCTAAAATGATAACTACAAATTATTAATTCTGGAATCCTTTATACAAAAAAGTCATCTCGCTTATGCAGCACAACTCAGCCCTGTGTATTTGTCTTTTTCCCATCTGCAGGTCACTGCCGTCACAGGACGCAATTGCTCAGTTCTTCATGCCGAGGCAATGAAAACTTATACCCAATGTTTCCTCTGGGAGGGCAATTCTTCCCAAATGTAAATCTGATCATGGACCTCTCTGCTTGCAAACCAGTTTCAATACTTGGAGCTTCTTACACTCATGCAAGTATAATCTCTCTCTAAGCCTCCTTCTCTCTGCCCTCACCTCTCACTACATCTGTCCATGCCCCACAATCACCACCATTAATCACCACCACTCCAGGCCCTCATGTGTTCACCTCTCTTGTCCACGCCTCCATGCCCCGTGCAGGTTGTTCTGTCTGCTGAGATCCTCAAACCCTGAAGGCCTCCTCGCATGGGATCATCTGGGAAGCTTCGCCAGCTTTGGGGGCGCAGTTTGCATCCTATCCTATCTGCACTCTGGCCATCTCTGTGAGAAGCTAACACATCTTATTGGGCCATTGGATTGTAAGCATCTCCACAGAAGGAATGACTTCTTAGTCATATAAGAGGGCACCACATCTTTTAACCTTCCTACCCAATCTCTTTAATAAGGTGGCTGTCCTCCTTCCCCCAGGCCGAGCCACAAGGCAGAACATCACACCTGCCCTGTGGGAAGACCCATGAGGCCCTTCGTGGATTGGCCTTATCTTTTGAATATTATCTTAAATCACTTGTCTCCTTGTTAGTCAGTTTAAGTAACTGTAAGTCAAAGGGAAGAATGCAAATCTACACACTCCAAGTTTTATCCAATGCTCTTTGGCATAATTTGCCTCCATGATATTCTTTATTCTTAGTCTTACTGCTCTACTGACTTCTTTCCTCCGGGTTTTTTGTTTTGATTTAGTTTGGGCTTTGGGGATTTTATGGGTTTTTTTAATTTGAATTTTTGTTTCTTTGTTTCTTTTGGTAGAAATTAAAAACAAGCTCCCATTTTTGTCTTTGGAAAACTCCACTTGAGGAAGTACCAAGAATCTTCACTGTTTTAGGGACCTCGTTATTACCAGTCACATCAAGCATAAGAAATCCCCATGATAAAGGACTAGTTACACTTACTAAACGGAGCACTAAGGTGTACAAAAGTCTGGAAAAATAAACATGCAGGAGGTTTTTCTAACAGCATCAGAAATGTGGCAAATGTATTGCAAATGTTTTTATTTTTTCTATCTAAAAAGCATAAATATTTAAAAAATATTAATATAGGCCTAATTCAAGGAATGGCAAATGATTTCATTGTCAAGAAGTAAGGCCTTGAGTATTTGTTGAATGTCTATAATTTTCGTTTGTTTATTTTTTGAGATAGGGTCTCACTCTGGCACCCAGCCTGGAGTCCAGTGGTGCGATCATAGCTCACTGCAGCTTCAAGCACCTGGGCACAGGCAGTCCTCCTGCCTCAGCCTCCCAAGTAGCTGGGACCACAGATGCATACCACCACAACTGGATAATTTTTTATTTTCAATCGAGCCACAGTCTCACTATGTTACCCAGGCTGGTTTCAAACTCCTAGGCTCAAGCAATCCTCCTGCCTCGGTTTCCCAAAATTCTGTGATTACAGGTGTGAGCCACTGTGCCCGGCTTTGTATAATGTTTTACACTAAAAACAGACTTCTGTAAATGGAACAATTATGGAAATGCTGGACTTGAGAAATGAGGACTCATCTCTCCACAAATCTTATCTAGTCAAGAAACAGACCAGGCCATTGTGAGGATGCACAGTGCTGAAAACGAACCCCTGGGAATGGGGCCCTTCGCAGTCTACCCAATTCCACCCTCATACAGCTTTCAAGTAGTGAGAGCTGATAAACACTGGCATGAGAGCAGTTTTGAAAAGAAAATCTCATAACTGGCCAGGCTTGGTGGCTCATGCCTTGTACTCCCAGCACTTTGGGAGGCCAAGGCAGGCAGATCGCCTAAGGTCAGGAGTTCGAGACCAGCCTGGCCAACATGGTGAAACCCCCATCTCTACTAAAATTACAAAAATTAGCCAAGCATGGTGGCGGGCACCTGTAATCCCAGCTACTCAGGAGGCTGAGGCAGGAGAATGGCTTGAACCCAAGAGGCAGAGGTTGCAGTGATCCGAGATTGCGCCACTACACTCCAGCCTGGGCAACAGTGAGACTCTGTCTCAAAAAAGTCAAAGAAGAAAGAAAGAAAGAGAGAAAGAGAAAAAGAGAGAAAGAAAGAAAGGAAGGAAGGAAGGAAGGAAAGGGAGAAAGAAAGAGAGAGAGAAAGAAAGAGAGAGAGAGAAGGAAGGAAAGAAAATCTGATAACAAAATAGCAAAACATGGCATCATAATGTTGGAAGGCAAGTGTCGTGTTGCAGGAAGACAAGAATTGGGGGCCAGGAGTGGGATCAATGCAGGGCTGAAGTTCTCACTGGTTAGAATCCTGCCCCCTCCTCAAAACCAACTGCGAAAACGTCCTCTTTTTATCCCTGCCTTACCCCATCAGCTCTGGCCTTTTTAAAAACATTTGTTGTTCTCTAGTGAAGCCTCTATCACCTTCTCTATCTGAGAACTGACCAATGGAAATTCATAACTTTATCTCCAGAAATCCCAGAGGCCTAAAAAAATTAAGAGGATTAATGGGAAACTTGCAAGAAAGTGACAACCTCGATAGAAGTGACACATCTGATTTAGGATGGAAAAAGGTTAGTCAATAAAAATCAGGCCGGGCGCGGTGGCTCACGCCTGTAATCCCAGCACTTTGGGAGGCCGAGGCGGGCGGATCACGAGGTCAGGAGATCGAGACCATCCCGGCTAAAAACGGTGAAACCCCGTCTCTACTAAAAATACAAAAAATTAGCCGGGCGTAGTGGCGGGCGCCTGTAGTCCCAGCTACTTGGGAGGCTGAGGCAGGAGAATGGCATGAACCCAGGAGGCGGAGCTTGCAGTGAGCCGAGATCGCGCCACTGCACTCCAGCCTGGGCGACAGAGCGAGACTCCGTCTCAAAAAAAAAAAAAAAAATCAATGGAGTATTGTGTCCTCAGACTTCAAAATAAAAACAGATGCAGCATCATTTATCGAGGATGGCTTCCACAAAACTCATATCTAAATAGCAACTGCCAACAGAAACCTCAACACTTTACAAGGGAGAAACGAGCTTCTTGAATTATACCATAGACCACCGAGCCAACGTCATAGAAGAAAATATTATGCAAAATGAGACAGATGGAAAAATTAAATTAGGAAGGACTAACGGACTACTTCCATTATCTGCATCGTATCTTGAATTCTACCTCTGAAAAAGCTACAGACACACTACATTTGTACTACACATAACTGGCTCCTGAATTTATAGGAATAAAAATATATGGAAATTTATATTGCATTGCGGAATGAAATAGATATATACAATATGCACTTTGAATCATCTGTCATGATCAAATGACAAAAGGTGATTCTGACTAGAAAGGCAAAGTCAAAAGTTCATTGGAAATTTTTGCATAATTACAAATGAAAACTACAATAAAATGCAAATATTCTGGTTAAAAAAGTAAAAGTATAGTTGAAAAGGTAAAAATCCCAAAGAAACCCCTAGACTTACAAAAAAAAAAAAACCAAAACATGTTTTTGAAAGTCCAGGGAAAATATATGCCAACAGATCTAAAGGGCCAAGTGCTTCAAATAAAACCCCTTATGGCTGAACTGACAAAGTCAAAGGGCAACAGTAGGATGAAGGTATTGCCAAAAAAAAAAAAAAAAAAAAGAATCATTCAAACTGGGGAGAACTGCAAAGCCCAGAGGTACAAATAAGCAGTGAGGCCCAAAGAGTGTTTGAAAACTATCTCACATAGCACTCCAAAGTAAATGCTGAGAAGTTTTTCAGCACATCAAAAAGAGAAAGAGAGGGAGAGAAACTGCATGGCATTTGAAAACAACATACACAACAAAAGTTTTTCAGTGAATAAAAACAGAGTAACAAGGACACTAAAGGGATTCGTTTCATCTTTTTGGAAAAAGTGATTAGAGAATTCCTGAATTTTCCATTAGAACAGATAAGCAACATATATTACTTTAAATAAATAAGCCTTTGACCTAACTCATGAACTGAACAAAACGTTCTCACCGGGAACAAAAATCCTCCACTCAGCTTGCTTTGCAGGTGCTACAAGACAACCTGTTGGACAAAATGCACTTCCGATATTTGCAAATGGCCACCATGCTTCAGAATGAGTGTGTTTTCAATGGGTGCCATCCAAAAGGGGAACTCTAGGTAGGTCATGAAATTAAAGCCAGAGAGTCTCACTGCTATGTCTAAAAAACTGAGAGAATGTGCTGGGACAAGTACTTCGTGCATAACCAAATACAAACTAGGATCAGAAATGCAGAATGATCTCTGCAAAGAAAAAGAATGCAAATTCACCTGCTAGAATTTCCTGGGTAGATAAATCACATGTCAAAGGAGAAACAAAAGAAAAAACTCGTTTAGATTTTCAAGCTCTTTTTTTTTTCCACTTTCTATTCACAGATATTCCAAAACCATATTCCCCTCTCCAAACTGGCTCCTTTTTACTCTCCCCACTGTTCAGAAACTGGGTATCCTTCTTAACACCTCTTCCCTTTCTCACTCATCCAATCAGTTGCTGGATCCCGTCAACTCTACCTTTTAAACATCTCTCAAACATGGACCCTACACTCTCTATACAAATTGCCCTATTCTGCTCCATCCCTACTATATTACTAAAATAGACTTCTGCCCAGCCTCCTTCACTCCAGTCTCGCTCCCATATGAACGACAGTCCACGATACCATCAATCTGATCTCTCTCTCAAGACATTAAAACCCTTCAATAAACTCTCAGTCCCCTTATGGTGAGTATGCACTTCTCACCACAGCACATAGAATCACTTAGCAGGCTGGAAACAGTGGATCCTGCCTGTAATCCCAGCACTTTGGGAGGCCGAGGCGGGCAGACCACCTGAGGCCAGGAGTTCGAGACCAGCCTGGCCAATATGGTGATACCCCATCTCTACCAAATATACAAAAAGTAGTCAGGTGTGAGGGCGCACAACTGCAATCCAAGCTACTCGGGAGGCTGAGGAAGGAGAATCACTGGAACCCAGGATGTGGAGGTCGCAGTGTGCCAAGATTGCGCCACTGCACTCCAGACTGGGCGACAGAGTGAGACTCCATCTCAAAACAACAATAACAACAAAGAACCACTCAGCATCAGGTCTTTGCCTACCTCTCTGCTTGTATCTATCCCATTCCCACCTCATACATTATGTTTCAGGATGATGGGCTGCTTTTCCATCCTCTTACATCTCCCGCTTTGTATTTCTTCTCGGGACCTTTGCACTTGCTATTCCTACTGCAAGGACACCCTGCCCTTTCTTTGGCTAACTCCTACTTCTTTAGTTGTCAGATGTGTTTTCCATCCAACTTGAACAATGAGGAATGACAACAGTCATCTTAAGGACTCTGAGAGTCCCCTTTATGGCATTATCCCCATGAGAGCGTTATTTCATACCATCATGTAATGTCTACTTACATATGATAGGGAGGAGGGCAGGAGCTATAATATCTCATTCATCCTAATATTTCCAGTTCCTGATGGAATGCCTGGCAAGTGGTAACAGCTAAATATGTGTTAGTTGAAATGAGTTGAAGTTTCAGACTCAACAAGATATCTAATTCTTCAGGGAACATGGAAAGGGAATTCAATGGAACCATCATGTGCTGGGCAACTTCCATGTGCCAAGTATTATATAGGATCTTTGTATATTATCTCATTAGTTCTCATGCCTCCCCTAAGGTACATATTATACATGAGTACTTTCTATACATGAGTAAACTGAAGCTCAGAAAAATGAAGAAACTTTTCAGACATCACCAGATGAGTTAGGAGCAGGACAGAACTCAAAGCTCTGTGTCAACAAATCCTTTTTTGTTTTCGTGTAATAAAGACAAGAACCAAAACAATAGATAGCAGGAATTTCTCTAAATAAAGAATTGTTAACAATGAAATTTCCCTTGAAATAATCCTGGAACTAAGCTCACTGCTATGATCTGAATGTTTCTCAAATTCATATTGAAACCTAATCCCCATTGTGGTGGTATTAAGAGATGGTGCTTTTGGGGACATCATTAAGTCTTGAGAATTCTGCTTTCATGAATGTGATTAGTGCCCTTCAGAAAGATGTTGAAGGGAGCTGCTTTGCCCCTTCCACCATATGAGGACGCAGCAAGAAGGCGCCGTCTTGGAAGCAAAGAGCAACCCCTCACTAGACAGTAAATTTGCTCGTGCTTTGGTCTTGGACTTCCTAGCCTCTAGAACGGTGAGATATACAACTCATTTATTTATAAATTACCCATCTAAGGTACTTTGTTATAGCAGCCTGAACAGACTAAGACACTACACACACACACACACACACACACAAACACACACACACACACATATACCATCTTAGCCCTTTTAAAATGTACAGTTCAGTAGCATTAAGTATATTCACATTGTTGTATACCCAATTTTCAGAACTCTTTTTATCTCACAGAATCGAAATCCTACCCATTAAACAACTCCCTGTTCTCCCATCCCCCACCCCCGACAACTACCATTCCACTTTCTGAATCAATGAATTTGACTCCTCTGTGTACCTCATATAAGTGGAATCACAAAGTATTTGTTGTCTTGTGACTGGCTTTGTTCATTTGGAATAATGTCCCCAGGGTTCACCCATGTTGCAGCATGTGTTCAAATAGTCCTCATTTTTAAGAATGAAGAATATTCCATTGTATATATTCTACATGTTACATACATTTTATATACATATACGCATAATAGATATACACTGTAGATATTCTGCATTTTGTCCATTTATTCCTCCGTAGACACTTAGGTTGCTTCTTCTTTTTAGCTGTTGTGAATAATGCTGTTATGAACATGAGTGTACTAAGTTCACATAATATGTTTACAAATAATGTGCTAATAAATATCCCTATCAAAAACTTGCAAATGACACTAAACCACTCTGAGTGGTAAAATAACAAACTAGTGGGTGAAATACTGAAGAATCTCATTAAGCTATGAAATATGCAGAAAAGCGGTAGATAAGTTTCAAACCATTTAGAAAGACAAATTCATATCCAAATACACTTCAAACCATGTTTCACATATGATGAGCTATAAACCTTTGTTCCCACCCAGGGGAATACTTTTCACTTACTCGAAAGTACTCATAGGCAGCTGTTCTATTCTACTTAATTACATATGGAATTCATACGTTTCCTATGTACAGATCAGCAATTGGTGCTGATCATTTTCTATCACTCCCCCTACTTCACCCCAACTCTTTTGCTGTTTTATTGAGCATGTCTCCTAAGGGCAAAGCTCTGTTCCCAACATTATTGGGATCATGAAGAGGGAAATGGGATGTGGCCTGCCCTCATTCAGGACAGGAGGCGGTGAGGGAGATGGCAATGGTAATCACTAGATGGAATGCAAGGAAAATAAAATATGTTCAATGAAAAGGTGGCCACAAACAACATCCGGGGGAATGCAGGAAACATGGATTCCTGTTTTAGGGGTGGGACAATGTTTCCTTAGCTGAAGAATGAGTACAGGTTGAGTATCCCTTATCCAAAATACTTGGGAACATAAGTGTTTCAGATTTGGGATTCTTTTGGATTTTGGAATATTTACATCATACCAGCTGAACATCCCAAATCCAAAAATCTGAAATCTAAAATGCTCCAATGAGCATTTCCTTTGAGCATCATGTTGGCATTCAAAGAGTTTTGGATTTTGGAGCATTTCAGATTTCAGATTTTTTGATTTGGGATATTCAGTCTGTAGTACACAGAGTGAAAGAGTAAGGGAAAGAAAAGGCACAAGCAAAAATATCTACAATTCAGAAATGCAGAGGATGCCTAGGGAATTTGCACTTAACCATGTTTGGCTGAAAAAAAGGAATGCAAAGTGACTTTGGAAGGTATGCAGGGACCAAGCCTTAGAAGACCTTGAACAGCACTTGTAAGAATCAAGATTAACCACGTAGGTGAGGGCTCCAAAGACAAATTCCCAGAGGGTCCAGGAAGATCATGGAAATGACCAGAGCCAAAGGTATTACAATAGGGAAGAGTGGGGATTGTGGGTGACTCAGGAATATATTATTTACAAAAAGGTTGCTGCTACCCAGCCTAGAAAATGCTGCCAAGCAGAAAACTTATGGCAGTATTAATAGTCCATCCAGATGTGCATATGAGTGTTTCTGATCTTCCAAAAATGTGTTGGTCAAATGAAATGGGTGTTACAGGCCACTTGTTTGCAAACTGTGGTGTGGATCGTGAGGACACCCTGGATCTAGTAACATCCCTTCCATCTTGATTTCTTCATGTACTTGTAACATCATTTTATCAAGTCACTCTCATGTGCTAGGTCCTTTTTCTCCCTATATGCTCCATAGTCTATCCTCACTTTTTAAATTTTGCTTTTTAAATTATGTATTAATAATACTATCTCCCTCACAGGGACAATGTGAGGGTTAAATGAAATAATCAATGTAAAGCCTTTAGAGCCCTGCCCAGGGCTGCCACATAATAAACATTCAACGGTTATGAATGTGAAGGAAGACTAGCCAAAGCTCTCTGTGCATACTCGTACACCCATGACTTTACCACATTTGCATCTCCAACCCAAGTTCTCTCTTGGGTTCTGATTAAAAAATCCTCCTGCCTGCTAGAGAGCTTCACTTGGATGTCTAAACCTAAACGATTCAACCCCACTCCGGAGCTTCTCATCTCATTCTCCCTGATGCAGTCAATGACAGCACCATCTACTCAGGATCCCAAGTAAAACCTGGTGCCACTCTTGAATCCCTTTTCTATTTCACACGCAACATCGAATATATTATGAAATCTGTCATTTCTCAATTTCTCTCTCTGTCTCTGTGTGTCTCTCTCTAGCCTATTGTCTGAGCTCATTCCCAGAAATATGGAAATTCCACAGGCTGCATGCCATCTCTGGAGGTGATCAAGAATGAAGGAGGTCTGGCATCTCTCCTCTGCACCATGAGCACGGGCAACTACAAACAAAATCCTACTGGGACTGGAGAAGAGTCCAAAAACTGGGGTATTTGATACATCATTCCTGGGAAGATGATGGGCTACATTATTCAGATCAGACTTTCAGGTAAAAGCATCTAGATGACAAATATTTTTTAAAAAATACAAAGAGGTAAAAGATGAGTGTTTTGAATGAAGGCTGTTGCAATATGGTTTGAGATAAATGGATATGAGGTGTCTATTTTGCAAGTCTAGACACTTAGATGTGAAAAATGAGGCAAAACAAAGCATAAAAGATGACTTCTATGTTTTTAAGATGTGGGAATATTGACTCAAATGAGAAAGACTGGGAGCAGGACAGATTTGTGAAAGGAGCAAATGTATTTGTGAAAGGAGCAAAAGCATCAAATCTCTGAGAACACAGGGACCACCGGAAAAATCCAGGTAGAAGTGAAAAACTAGAGACATAGGGACGTGGAAGCCACTTCTGCCCTGAGCACACCTGCCAGTCTAAGCAACGTGAACTCTGATTTTTGAACCTCATACAACACGAAAGAAATAGGTGTCAAAACCCAGGACCTACCTGAAGTGAGAATTAAAAAGAAGACCTTCCTCTTGTCTTGTCGAGACCTCTAAGTGATACTCCTTCATGGTAACAATGACCTGGAAATAAGCATGTGCTCACCCGCATCCCCAGGTGAATAAGGGAAAGAAAGAAAATCCTTGAGTAGTTCTAAGCACAAATCAGTCCTCATGTGGATTTATAGCCTAAATTCCCATAGTACAGGTGCTCCATAAAGCTCAGGCTGAAAGTAATCCAGGTTTCGACTCCTCTGAGAACAAAGGTCCCTTCATGTTAGACTTCAGAGAATCCCCAGAAGGCTTTATCAAGGACTATGAGCAGCACACAGTGAAAAATAACCACAAACACTGCGGCACTATTCACAGTAGCAAAGACTTGGAACCAACCCAAATGTCCAACAACGATAGACTGGATTAAGAAAATGTGGCACATATACACCATGGAATACTATGCAGCCATAAAAAATGATGAGTTCATGTCCTTTGTAGGGACATGGATGAAACTGGAAACCATCATTCTCAGCAAACTATCACAAAGACAAAAACCAAACACCGCATGTTCTCACTCATAGGTGGGAATTGAACAATGAGAACACATGGACACAGGAAGGGGAACATCACACACCAGGAACTGTTGTGGGGTGGGGAGAGGGGGGAGGGATAGCATTAGGAGATATACCTAATGCTAAATGACAAGTTAATGGGTGCAGCACACCAACATGGCACATGTATACATATGTAACAAACCTGCATGTTGTGCACATGTACCCTAAAACTTAAAGTATAATAATAATAAAATTTAAAAAAAAGAAAAGAAAGTAATGACAGGAAGAAAAAAAACTGAGCAAAGAAGAAAAAAACAGACAACAGAGATAGAACTACTTTAATATTACAGCATCAGGCATAGATTACAAAATAACTAAGTGTACTAATTCTGGGAAAGATGGAGGTGTGTGCACTGCAAAACACAAATTAAGGTAGAGAGACCGACAGAACCATGAGTGAAACTTTGACAAAGCAAGTAGGCAGGGAGCAGTGTTCCAGCAATTTCTGAGCCAAAGCTCTGGCAGTTGTAATAGTTTTTTAAAATGTAAGACCTGAATCTTCAAGAGGGGAAGAATTCAGAATAATGAAGAACACACTAGGAATAAAATTCATCTTGAATATGCCCCATCTGCTTTATCCCCACTTAAGCTGCCTTAGTTTAATTCTTTTTCATCGCTTGTCTGACTTATTCCCATCACCTCTGCATTAGTTTGCTAGGGCTGCCATAATAAAGTACCACAGACTGGATGGCTTAAACAACAGAAACTTATTTTATCGCAATTCTGCAGGCTAGAAACCCAAAATTCAGGTGCCAGCAGGGTTGATTCCTTTTGAGGCCTCTCTCCTTGGTTTCCAGATGACCCTCTGTGTCCTAATCTCCTCTTCTTATTTGGAAACCAGTCATATTGGATTAGATCCCACCCTAATAACCTCATTTTAACTTAATTACCTCTTTAAAAGCCTCATTTCCAAATAGTCACCTTCTGAGATATCAGGAGTTGCAACTTCACCAAATAAACTTGGGGACACAATTCTCCTGACTTGTCTTTCCTCTATTCTCTCTTACTTCCAATCTCTCTTCTAAACCCTGTCTGAGTGCTCTTTCTAACTGCAGACTAATCGAAATCCCTTGCCTAAAATCTAAAGTCAAAATATCTTAGAATAGTGTACATTTGTGACATGACACGACAATGTAACTAGAGGGAAGTAAAGCTCCTACTCCCAGCCCACTGCAAAGAAAATGCATCTAAGTAAGCATGTGGGTTTGCTGTGAACATGCAGTTCCAAATCAAGTGTTCTGAATGCCCCCTCTTCTAAGCAAAAATCTGGAGCTCCTGCTGATCACACATCAAATTTCTTTATCACCACTATCCACCCCTCCAAGTTCACCACCTGGCACCACTACCCACTTAAATTAGCTTTTACTCAGGCTTTATGATCCATCCTGCAATTCCCAAGCACACCAGCCTCATTTTGCTTTTGCGCCATTAGCATGATTTCCCTCCAGCAGGAATGCCATCCAGCTAACAGCATGACCACGCTTCAGTCCGTTCTCATCTTCCCTCATGAGTAAGCTCTCGTGTCTTCTGATCTCTGAAGTTCCTTGAATGACCCCTTCCCTCACTCCACAACCCTCCTTCCCACATGCACACACATACACTGTCACGACCCACTCCTAGCTCCACCAATTCCCGTCCTCTGCACACAAACAATGTAAGCATCAAGTCACACAGAGCCTTGAGCTTGAGATGAGGGACTGGGACATTTCTCCTGTATGCCTCCAACCTCACACAGGCCCAGCATATGACAGACATTCAATAAACATTTATAGAATTAAAGAGCGGGGAAATGGGAAGGAGAAACTTGCAGCAGGGGAGCTTTCCTGGTGTGTAATTTGGAAAGACTGCTCTGGTGGGCTGCACCGTGGGGGCAGTGTCCTCCCTCACTGCAGGGCCACAGGCCTCCCACTTTCTTGCCTGTTTTCGTGTCTCCTATCTGCCTGCTTTTGTGCCTCCTATCTTTCTGCCTTCCTACCTCTACATCATCCTCCGTGCTGTTGGTAGGGTCATGGCTCCCAATCATGGCCAACATGAGACTTTCACTATTTGAAAACTTTACTAACAACCAAATGAAGTCCAAAATCTGGACCTTCCACCCTCCGACCTTCCCCTAAGCCTCTGGCCAAATTTGTTTTTCATGTGCCTCAAACACAAAGAGCATCTCCCTGGTATGCGATGTTTCTTGTGATGCACTTTCCTGTTTGAACTTCCTCCCTCTTCCTGCCAGCCCTTGTCTCCATTCATCCAAATTACACCTATATTTCCAGGCCATGGTTTCCCCAAACCAGAAGTAACCTCTGTCACCTCCAACTCCCCAAACCTTGCTTTAAGCTACTTTCCAAATTCCACCTTGCATTACAGTCACTTGGCCCAAACGTTTTACATGGCGTATAGGCATACATTCTTTCTTTTCCTCACAGCAAACAATAATATCTATTCAACAGATTTAGGTAAGATTTACAGGGATTTTTTAATTACTGTTATCATCCTTCATCCAATAAAGCAGATTCAATTACCTCTGTGTCATTTGAGCAACAACAAGGTTTAGCCATTTTCCCTTTAGTTCAATTCTGCTATTTTCACTGAAAACAGAATAATCAGACCATGTTAAGAATGAAAATTCAAACACTGTGTCAGCACAAAGAAACACAATGTGAGTAGTTGAAAATATTTTCATCTTATTAAATGTTTGCTCTTTCCAGAAACATTTATAGGATTTAAAGAGAATAAAAGGAAGAAGTTACAAGCCCTATGTTAAGTATTCTTTATTTCACTTAAATGAGCAACTATGTTTCTTAAAAGATAATAAAGAGGTATTTTGAGAAATCTGATGTCAGGAGTTAATGGGACTTTACAAAGGATCTCTTTTGGAGACATATACTAACATTACCAATACAACAACTGAATTCTTTGGCTGTTTCTCACATGAAAAAGGTATACATTCAACTAGAGCTTCCAGTTTGCAAAGAGAAATAAATGTATCCTATTAGTGAAATGAATTAGGTAAATGACTTAAAATTTGCTATAGTCTCGGGTTCTTTATATATCATGAAGGAAATGATCCTGTCCACACAGAGGATACACACACACACACACACACACACACACACACGCACGCACACCCCTTCACTAAGCAATTCTGGAAATATCGGTGTTGGTAGCATATAGAATTTTATGTAGCTGGCCAAGAATTGGAACAAGTATGTTCTTAAGAGCCTGTCTGCTAAAATGAGAATGTTAAGTTTCTTAGGATTCTGCTCATTAAATGGTGCAGCTAAATGCTCCCAGAATTAATGCCCAGATTTTATTCTGTTTGGCCACGGTCACCACTGTGTGCAGATATGATGCACATAGCTATTTACAACACTAGTAAGTATGAATATTGTGTTTTACACCTCCATCCTTGGAAGTCTTCTTATATCAGTATTCTATGAAACATGGCTCTTTCTCTCGAGGCAGATTACAAAGAAGATTTTTTTAAAGTGTAAGTTGGTTAAATAGCTGAAGTCAGGAAAAATTTTCTCACATTAAGAGTTATTGGATTGTGAATAATCTCTCAAGGGAAGTGCCAGAAGCCCCATCAACTGAGTTATTTAATTAAAACTGCTCAGGAGTAAGTAGAAGAGATGTTGCCTGAGGGAATAATTTCACACTGATCCCTGAAGGATTGACTTGATGGTCTTGAAATTCTTAACAGTTTCAAAATCTTAAATGTCTTCAGAAATAGTCTCCTACCATTTTCTCCACGGAAAGAAAAAGCCATTCTGCCTGCAACCTCCTCTCCCTATAAAACCAAACAAAAACAAAAACCAGCAACAAAAACCATAACTTAGAAACCAGATCTTTTTATCGACGCTACCTAAACCATCACAGGACAGCATTAACTCAAAGATAAAGCCACAGAGGAGCTCCAAGCATCAGTAAAAACTGAGAGCTTTACCAGCTAAGAGCTTTTGGACTTTCTTCAGTTACTTATTTTCTTTTTGTTTGCTTTTGAATATCTCAAATCTCACATTTTTTATTTTACAAAATGCAATTTATAATGTTACTTTCAGTTAATAATGTGATCTGTTAAGAGGTAAATTCCTATAAGGCCTTTTTGAAGGTCACTCACACCTACTCACTAATCCTATAAGGAAGTTTCCCAGAGCAAGTGCTGGAGAACAATGCCCACTATCTGCAGCTCTCAACCTTTGAAGTGAGGAATTTTTTAAAAGATCACAGAAGCCGAGATGGTCTGAGGAGGAGTCTCAACGTGTGTGGGCTGAACATGTTCCACAGTTATTTGACAGGCATTGAAGGCTATAGGACACCAGCTCTTACTCATGTGTGAGGCCACAGTCCCCACGCTGCATTGGCACCCACACACCACCAACACCCATTCTGAAGAGGAAATGTATTCCTCATGTTGTGGTTGGCAGCCGCCTTCAGTGCTGGGTAAACAGCTGTTGTGGTAAAGGTGTGAGTTGTCTTGATCACTGAGAGTTGAAGGAGGAAAAACCAAGAACTGTGTAGTTTCCAGCTATACTCACAGAATGTTCTGAGGTCACAGGAGAATCAGTGTCCGAAGCTTCAGCTGTAGCCCATTCTCTATCAATTCAGCCAAGCATACCCCTACTCTACAATCATCTTGAAAATATAAATACCTACAATAAGAAGGGTACAGTTTCAAGTTTACATAGGTAGTATAAATAAACAAAATGGCTGCACACAAAGATGGCAGCCAATTCCACTCCCTGCTCTGGCTCGCCTGACTGCATTTGACAACAAGCCCAAAGTAAAAGTTTCCTCTGGATTTTGCTACAGCTCAGAAGTGTCAAAGACTGGGGTGTCTCACGGGGCATAAAGGAGGTGAAGGAGGTAGAGAGAAACCCAGGCATCGAGACAGACGGACAATCTCAATCCCCAAAAATCCAAGCCTGTACCCGTGCCTGTACGTGAATTCCACTGTATCAGCCATTCGATTATTGAATTCAATTGTGTATATAAATTTAGTATTATCTGGCTTTAGAGAGTTTTTAAACTTTCTCTTTTTTTTTGATTTTTGATTACAGAGCTTTGCCTGAAAGCCTGAGGGTTGATTCCCACAGTGACATGTGTTCTTGTGCCTGTTCCTTCCTGGGCTTAGCACAGGGAAAGCACGTGGATAAAAACAACCTTGGCACACGTTCTGGTAACCATCCACTTTCAGTTTCCCATTTACTTCACCCTTGAGAAGTGCAGTGACCATAACCTTGCTTTCTGTGAGTCTTAAAATGTTTTTTATCGTCTGCCTTCTTTATATACTATTTTATTTCATTACGGAGTGAGATTTTTAAGCCTTTAAAATGTTTCTGCTTCATCCCTTGTGGATTCCTTATAGGTACCATTTAGTATTTTTTTCTTTAAATGAAAAACTGCTAAAATGTAACATTTTTTAGTCTTGTGTGTGTGCATGCATACACACACACATGGATATATAAAACCTTTATGACTTATTTCTAATCTCACCAGAATGGGCCTGAAGAGAGAGCTTATGGCTTCATTCTCTAATCAGTTGACTTGGAATGACTTTTTTTCTTATTTCTCCATCTGACTTAAGAAAATTAAAAGTGATAGAGATACATATGATAGACAAAACTGAAAAAGGTCTACACAAGGACTAAGGAAGCTAGCAGGAATTGGTGACCCTTATAACAGGAGAATAAGAAAGACTCTTTCTCTGTGGCCTTCTTAACCTTGTTTGAAATTTCCTTTGACAGGCAATAGCCTTTCAGACCAAATCTCCTCCTCCATCACTTTCACCTGTCATTAATAGATATGATAGTGTCATTTTCGTATGTTTTCTTCCTTCCTTCTGAATTTGGGATAGGCAAAACAAAAGCCGAAATGAAAGTGTGCAAATACCGTAAGATAGGTTGTAAAATACAATTGCATAGTGCATCTGGCTTCCCTTGCCTTTTGAAGCAGCAATTCAACATGTCAACCAAGCCATGAATTGTAAACCGGAATAAATTGCTTTAATTTGTTGATCAATTCTATGTGTTGGTTCAATTTTAGAGGTTTTTGGTGTTTTGTTGTTGGGGTCCTTTTGAACAATGAAAATTATCTTCCAAAGTAGGTTACACTGGAGCCTACTATCTAGAAAATAGCTGTCTATTTTCTAGATAATTTTCTAAAGCAATTCTCCTGGAATAGTGCCTATTAATCTCAACATCCAAATTTTCTGGGTTGGCAGTTCAAATTCCACTTTTTCAGGGACTCTGCCCTGAATTTCCTAGGTAAAATAAAATTATATCCTCTAGACTACAATGCGACTTATTTTTTTGCCTCAAATAATAATTTGTGATATAAACTTTTCTCTCTCCCAATATTCTACATCCTATTTAGAGCTAAGATCTATGTCTTTCTATCTTCCAAACCACTGAACATTACATTGTACATTGTAGATTCTCAGGAAAGACTTGATGAGTGAATTAATGGATAAGTGGGTTCAGCTCCTGCAAATCAGCACACCCATTTATAAAAGCCAGATTTGAGACACTTCCCTCTCCCCAGCTTTAAATCAAATTTAAAGGCTGAGATTATACCCCAGCATTAGAAAAATGTTGGCCATGCTGCCCTCAACTAATATATAGGCCAGCATGATCTTTAGAATCCCTTTCATCATAGGATTCCTCAGAACTGCCATCAATTCTGGAGCCCTTAATATTAAAGGAATCTCTTTAGTGCCACTAACCAGCAGATATATACAAGAATGAAAGAAAACTTTGGCTGCTATGTCAGCTGCTGGGAACCTGGACAGAGAACACTTGTCCCTGAAGGGTGTAGAGATAAGAGCCTTCTAAGAATGAGCATGGATGGCATATAAGGAGCCTCATCCCACCTGGGAGAGAATGAGACTCTTAAAGGGAAACAGTGAGGAACATCTCTGTGCCCAGTTTGAGATAAATGGACTGGAATATGGGAGATCACAGAGTCAGCAAACATACAATACAGCCAACACAAAGTACCTGCATGTGTGGAGCAAGAAAATCTAACCCTCTACTATAAATATGAGTTCTATGTGTCTTCTGCTCTCACATCAATAATTCACCTGTTCACTTTCCTCTCCCTCCCAACTCTCCCCCTCTTTTCTCTATGCCCTCTACATTCTTTAACATGAACACCTTCTTTAACACACTACAATGTGACCATCCTCCAAGCCACAAGCTATGACCTTAGACTTCTGCCCCCATCCATTGGTACTTTCTTAGTTAACCCCATCCATCCACATGTGCTGGATGATCATTCAGATGACTTCAAATTGGATATTTTCAATCCTGGTTTGTTGTTCCATAATTTCAATTGTCAGCTGGTCAAAGGCTACTTTACAATTTAATACACCTGAAACAGACTTAATTCCACTCTTGCTAGCCAAGTTGGTCTCTTAATTTCACATCTTTTTCACTAAAATCATCATTTTTTAGTCCTTGGATCATAAAAATTTGAAACCATTGCTGAAACTTACCTCTACCTGGCCCCCAGGCCATATCAGAATGAAGATTTCATCCTTACCTTAGAGCTTTCAACTGCTCAAAAATTGCAATCACATCTCTTTTCACCATTAGAAATCAGTAGATTTGGCCAGGCAAGGTGGCCTATGCCTGTAATTCCAGCACTTTGGGAGGCCAAGGTGGGGTGGATCACCTGAGGTCAGGAGTTTGAGATCAGCCTGGCCAACATGGCAAAACCCCCATCTCTACAAAAATACAAAAATTAGCTGGGTGTGATGATGCAGGCCTGTAATCCCAGCTACTCAGGAGGCTGAGGCAGGAGAACCACTTGAACCCAGGAGGCAGAGGTTGCAATGAGCTGAGATCATGCCACTGCACTCCAGCCTGGGCAACAGAGTGAGACTCTGTCTCAAAAAAGGAAAAGAAAAAGAAATCAGTAGATTTGAAAGAAATCTTCTAAAACATTTTGAGACAAATGCAAAATAAAACACCTGTATAAGGAAAACACCCTGACTATGAGCCTTAAAGACCCTTTCAGCCCTTCCTGATTCTATTCTATCCCCCACCTACCATGTTTCTGAACTTTGCTTTTCTTTATAGTTTTACCACGTTTGTATCTATAAATAACGTATTGTTTAATTATGCATATTTCTAAAACCTTTAAAGAAAAGGAACCCTAGTTTACCTATTTTTTTTGGTAACTTGCTCTTTTCTTTCAACACAAAGTTCATGAGCTTCATCCATGTCGGTGAGCAAGTGATAATTCACTCATTTTAGTGATGTAGAGTATCCTAATGTGTGAATAGACCTCAGTGTGCTTTTCGGTTCTACTGTTGATGGGTATTTGGGTTGTTACCAATTTTTTGCTATTGCAATCACTGTTGCTATAAATATTGTCAGGAATTTTCCCTATAATGAGAGAACTCTTGGATACCAAACAGAGTAGAATTATTGGATCATAGGATTTGGGGTTTTTAACTAGCTAATGCCATATCATTTTCCAAAACAGGTATGATGGTTAATTTTACGTGTCAATTTGAAGGGTGTTTTGGGATGAGATTAACATTTAAATTGGTGAATTTTGAATAAGCAGTTTGCCTCCATAATGTAGGTGAGCCTAATTCAACAAAAAGACCAGCCTCCCCAAGCAAGAGGGATTCTGCAGCAGATGACCTGGGCTTCACCTGTACCATCGGCTCTCCTGGGTCTGCAGCCTGCAAGCCCACACTGCAAATTTGGGCTTATCAGTCTCCATGATCATATGATATAATTTGGCCGTGTGCCCACCCAAATCTCATCTTGAGTTGTAGTTCCCATAACCCTCACGTGTCGTGGGAGAGACCAGGTGGAGATAACTGAATCATGGGGGTGGTTTCCCCCATCCTGTTCTCATGATAGTGAGTTAGTTCTCATGAGATCTGATGGTTTTATAAGGGGCTTCCCCTGCTCTGGGCACTCACTCTTCTTCTCCCTGCTACCATGTGAAGGACATATTTGCTTCCCCTTCCACCATGATTGTAAGTTTCCTGAGGCCTCCCCACCCATACTGAACTGAGAATCAATTAAACCTCTTTCCTTTATAAATTACCCTGTCTCAGGTATGTCTTTATTAGCAGCATGAAAACTGAGTAATACAGTAAATGAGTACAGCAGAGAGTGGAGGGTTGCTGTAAAGATATCCACAAGTGTGAAAGCAACTTTGGAACTGGGTAACAGGTAGAGGTTGGAACAGTTTTGAGGGCTCAGAAGAAGACAGGAAAATGTGGGAAATTTGGGAACTTCCTAGAAATTTGTTGAATGACATTGACCAAAATGCTGACAGTGATATAAACAATGAAGTCCAGGCTGAGGTGGTCTCAGATGGAGATGAGGAACTTTTTGGGAAATGGAGTAAAGGTCACTCTTGCTATGCAAAGAGTTTGGTGGCATTTTGCCCCTGCCCCAGAGATCTGTGGAACTTTGAACTTGAGAGAGATAATTTAGGGTATCTGGCAGAAGAAACTTCTAAGGGGCAAAGCATTCAAGAGGAAGCAGAGCATAAAAAATTTGGAAAATTTGCAGCCTGATGATGCGACAGAAAAGAAAAACATTTTCTGGGAAGAAATTCCAGCCAGCTGCAGAAATTTGCATAAGTAATGAGGAGCCAAATGTAAATCACCAAGACAATGGGGAAAATGTCTCCAAGGCATGTCAGAGACCTTCATGGCAGCCCCTTCCATCATAAGCCTAGGAGGGAAAAGTGATTTCCTGGGCCAAGCCTAAGACCCCCTGCTCTATGCAGCCTCGGGACTGCATATGGTGCCCTATGTCCCAGCCACGGCTAAAAGGGGCCAACATACAGCTCAGGCTGTTGCTTCAGAGGGTGCAAGCCCCAAGCCTTGACAGCTTACACGTGGTGTTGGGCCTGCGGGTGCACAGAAGTCAAGAACTGTGGTTTGAGAACCTCTGCCTAGACTTCAGAAAATGTACAGAAACACCTGGGTGTCCATTCAGAAGTTGCTGCAAGGGCAGAGCCCTCATGGAAGACCTCTGCTAGGGCACTGCAGCAGGGAAATGTGGGGTTGGAGCCCCCACACAGAATCCCCACTGGGGCACTGTCTAGTAGAGCTGTGAGAAGAGGGCCACCATCCTTCAGACCCCACAATCTGAATCTGATCCACAGACGGCTTGCACCATGCAACTGGAGAAGCCACAGACACTCAACACCAGCCTGTGAAAGCAGCCAAGAGGGGAGGCTGTACCCTGCATAGCCAGAGGGGTGGAGCTGCCCAAGACCATGGGTGCCCACCTCTTGCATCAGCATGCCCAGGATGTGGGACATGGAGTCAAAGGAGATCATTTTTGGAACTTGAAGTTTTAATGACTGCCCTACAGGATTTCAGACTTGCATGGAGCTAGTAGCCCCTTTGTTTTGGCCAATTTCTCTCATTTAGAATTGGTGTATTTATCCAATGCCTGTACCCCTCTTTTATCTAGGAAGTAACTAACTTGCTTTTGATTTTACAGGCTCATAGGCGGAAGGTACTTGCCTTGTCTCAGATGAGACTTTGGGCTGTGGACTTTCAGTTAATGCTGGAAAGAGTTAAGACTTTGGGGGACTGTTGGGAGGGTATGGTTGTATTTTGAAATGTGAGGGCATGAGATTTCAGAGGGGCCAGGGGCAAAATGATATAATTTGGCTGTTTCCCCACCCAAATCTCATCTTGTAGTTCCCATAATCCCCATGTATTGTGGGAAGGACCCGGTGGGAGGTAGCTGAATCATGGGGCCAGTCACCTTCATGCTGTTCTGGTGACAGTGAGTGAATTCTCACAAAATCTGATGGTTTTATAAGGGGCTTTTCCCCCACCTCACTCTGCACTTCTCCTTCCTGCTGCCATGTGAAGAAGGACATGTTTGCTCCCCTTTTCACCATGATTGTACGTTTCCTGAGGCCTCCCCAGCCATACTGAACTGTGAGTCAATTAAACCTCTTTCCCTTATAAATTACCCAGTCTTAAGTATTTCTTCACAGCAGTGTGAGAATAGACTAATACATCATGTGAGCCAATTTCTTATAATAAATCTCCATGTATATACACATTGGTTCTCTTTCTCTGGAGAAGCCTGACTAAAATAATAGAGATACCAATTAATCCTCCTGCTAGCAGTGTGTAAAGGTTCCAATCTACAGATGCCTATTTGCTTACCTTGCCTGCAAACTCTTACTCTCCTAAAAGACTGCAGCTAGTGTAATCTTTTAGGTGGTGAAAGAAAAATCTGGTTTTATTTTGTGTGTCTCTCTAAAAACTAGTCAGAGATGTCCCCTGGTCTGCATTACAGACAGAAGTCAAAATTCCATTAGGCACATCAATAACTTTTCGGGTTTATTTCTGACATTCTGCTGCCCTAGTGAGCTGCAACTCCTTTTTCAAGCACAGAATCTACTGTACTAAAGCTTTTCCTGAAACTCTAAAGTATCATAAGCTGAGCCCCTTTGCTGGTGCATGCAGGGAGAGAGTCTCACTCTCACAGTGTCTTCCTTTCCTGGGAGGCTGCCTCTCAGGCCACCTCTGTGGGTGTAGGGGGCCTCAGAGCCCAGGGTGAGAACCACATCTTATCCAAATCCAGTGCCCTAGTCAGAGAAGGCCAGGCTCTGCCTCTTACATGAACTTTACACCTCCACTGTGCCCTTCTTTAAGCCATCAGTACCCCCAGGACACCCTTCCCTCTCTGTCTTCTCTCTTCCCCAGACCCCGGCCTCTCTAATTAAAATATTCCTTCCAATTCTTCAAGGTCCAGCACGACTTTTCTCTACCATGGCCCTCCCTGGTTCATTCCACTGGAGTTAAGATCTCTGGCTCTTCAGAAAAATCAACTGGGGTCATTCTGGTGCTGCCACTTGGCAGCTTGATAACCTTGGACAAGTGAGTCTACCACCCTGAACCTCAGTGTCTTCTGTTGTATTACGGGAACATATTACCTCCCCATAGTGCTTCATAAGGATTAAATGAAATGACACGCAGTTGCATCCTACAGAGCAGGCACCCAGTAAACACTAGGTGGCAGAGCATTCTGAGTGGGTCACTCATTTTGGGGGTATTTCTGTAAATGCAACTATATTTGCTTTAACTGACTAATAAAGCCAGAGACACGTAGGTGACAGTAGTTTTCTCCATGACCTCACAAACTCTGCTAGAAAGGGCTATCTGGAAAATGTGGTCCCCCAAGTCATCTCTGCATATTTTCTCACAAACTAGGTAAAAACAAATGCATTTATTCTTACCATCAGAGTCTCTAAATCAATTGCTAATGAAGAAATGCCTGTTCTGGAAAGAACACATATTTTCAAATAACTTTGTATTAGTAGTACCATTTATTCAGAATAAGATGTCCTGTTTGCTCTTAAACTCTAGGCTGAAAGCTGGAGAGGGGTAGCATTGATAGGAGGTACAAAGGCCAAGGTCTCCTTCTTCAAGGGCCCTGGTGGGTTCCCATGTCCCCCAGGCTGACAGTTACATCAATTTGCAACTTTATCTGCTGGGACATACGTGAAACTTAGGGCCTTGGAAAGACTACTAGACCTCACTGCACTTCAATGTCATCATCTGTAAAATCAGGCAATACAAACGTTCAAGTGCACACAGGAGATTCAAGGAGGAAGTCTATGAAGATCCAGACTATGTAAAATTCCGCACATAATAAGCTATCAATAAATAGCAAAAAATCAACATATTTACAGAGCATAGGGCCCAACTCCTTCATCCTTCTGAAGTTCTTACAATCCATTATACAAACTAGGATTTCTAGATTCCAAGTCTTTTTTTTTTTTTTTTTACTATTTAATGTATTTTCAACTCCCCCTTTACAGTATACAAAAGTACAATATTTGCAATCCCAGTATGTTGTTACTGAAGTACATAAGAAAATTTCAAGCACACCTAAGGTTAATTTTGAAATACAACTAATATTTTTTAAACTCACTATCATTCTTAGTTTAAAAAAGTGAAGCTCTCAAACTCTCAAAATAGGGTAGAATGCCCTCACTAGCCCATTGCATCAATCTGCTCTTTAAAATACAAATAATCAAAACAAGAGCAATGGATCATGGCTAAGGATACCATCATGAAGAATTCAAACTAGACGGACAGCCGGTATTCCTTCCTCTGACTGAAAACTGACTGAAAATCTCCACATTGTATTTTTTTAAGCCCCATGAAGGTGACAGCTCTCTTTTCCTAACCTCAAAAACTAGCAGTAATGACAAATCTGGATGAAAACAACAGGAAATATTCCGAAGACTATTCATATGTGATGTTAAAAATCCTACCTTTGCATAACAACCATCATTTAGTTCTCTACAGGTTAGCTCCATCCTCTATCCTGAAAGGTTGAGCTGTTTTCAATTGGTTGTCCTGTGACAGAAACCAAAACAGCTAATTTGGAACCCAAACTTTAAAGGCATACCACACAAGGCAGCAGTGGGGAGTGCATCCTGTTCTAGCTTTGGTGGCTCAGGCCTTGTTTCCAATGGCTCAGTCTATGTTAAAAGCTTTGCCAATCTTCTACTTCGCCTGCCTGACTGATTTATAGCAAACTACACAGTAAAAACTTCCAAGCAGGATTTAACAGGTGTCTACATACAACAGCAAATGAGGACTTGTATGGTGAAACAGAGTCTTTAATAAATAAACATTTAACTAAAGAAACATTGTAAATTGACACTCTATAAGCCTCAGCTATATACACAAAATTAGTCTTCACCCTAGCTACACCTAAAGAGAAAGGGAAAACTAAATATATGAAGATGTTTCTTATCTCCTGACCATTTGATATTCCTCATATAATTCTGTACTTGTTCTTTTAGAGCACAGATCCCTTAAAAATAAAGCACTATTATGTCAGATGTCATAAAATGTTCTTCTCTGTACAGCCATGAGTATAATTTGAGAGACACCACACAAGAAACACACAGTTCCAAAAATATTCCCTGCTTTAGATTGTCACTAATATCTGAAAATTTCATTATTAGTCCTTTTGGATCACAAGCATAGGAAATAATAAGATGTATCATTCTCTGACTACCATGGACCAAGTTCTTTAAATATATCGTCCCTCAGCCATTCAACAAGTAGAATGGCACTACCAACCCCATTTCCTCTTCAGGAACCTGAGATTCAGAGGGATCGAGCAACTAACACCAGGTTGATGGAAAGTGATGACTATAAACCCAAGTGTTTCCAATATACTACAACCAGTTCATGTAGTCATCACTAGAAAGACAAAACCACAATCTCTGGTAGATAAAGCAAAAAACACTCCAAGGGATCATTGGGTTCTTTCTGACACCACAGCTCACAATTTATGAAGAAAGTGTCCTCTCTAGCTAAACCTGGATGAGGTGAAAGATAGAGCCAGGGCCAAGCTTGGTGGTTCATGCCAGTAATCCTGGCACTCTGGGAGGCCGAGGCAGTTGGATCACTTGAACTCAGGAGTCCAAGACCAGCCTGGGCAACATGTTGAAACCTCATCTCTACAAAAAATACAACAATCAGCCTGGCATGGTGTATTAGTCCGTTTTCACCCTGCTGATGAAGATATTCCCAAGACTGGGCAATTTACAAAAGAAAGAGGTTTAATTGGACTTACAGCACCACATGTCTGGGGAAGCCTCACAATCAAGGTGGAAGGCAAGGAGAAGTCACGTCTTACATGGATGGCAGCAGGCAAACAGAGAGAGCTAGTGCAGGGGAACTCCTCTTTTTTAAACCATCAGATCTCATGAGACTTATGCACTATCATGAGGACAGCATGGGAAAGACTTGCCCGCACGATTCAATTACCTCCCACCAGGTCCCTCCCACAACACATGGGAATTCAAACCATATCACGTGGCGGTGCACACCTGTAGTCCCAGCTACTTGCGGGGCTGAGGTAGGAGAATCGCTTGAGCCCAGGAGCTGGAGGTTGCAGTGAGCCAAGATCATGCTACTGTACTCCAGCCTGGTGACAGAGCAAGACTCCATCAAAAAAAAAAAAAAAAAAAAAAAAAAAAGAAGGAAGAAGAAAGAAAGACAGGAAAGAAAGGAAAGAAAAGAAAGAAAGAGAGAGAGAGAAAGAAAGAAAGAGAAAAAGAAAGAAAGAAAACAAACTTAGATTTGGTACTGTAGGAAGAACCTTGAACACACAGGGGTTGATGTGGGTGCTGGAGTGTCCAGCAGAAGGGAATGGTGCTATGTCACTGTGATAAAACCCTGAAAGGATCCTGAACCCATGTGTTGCCAACATCAGTTTAATCAAGGCTCAGGTTATCATTAAGACAACAAAAAACCTGTGCTTTCTTCTACTACATTCAAATTTGAAAGGCACTTCTACTCGGACACAACAGCACAGTCAGAAAAATGAAACAGACTCCCAAGATTGCTCCTTCAAAGCAGTAACATCAAAGCATCTAGAAATGGAATTGGAGAATGCCACAGAAATACGAGAAGACATTCTATAGCTTCTACTTGGGCTTTATAGAAATAAATGTTGTAAGTGGATAAAAAGGGATTTAAAAAAAAAAAAAACTTGCCCTTACCTGACTGAACCACCTGTATCACCTTCTGCCAAGTTCCCTGTGGGTAAGTGTAAAGAGAGCAGGAATAGTAGCCAACATCATCTTCAGAGGCATTCCGAAAGAAAAGAGTCATGTTATTGGAAGCCATCGTTGAATTCAAAAAGTAAACCCTCTCAGCATAGGGCTTCCTTATGACCATGCCATGAGTAGGGCTGAAAATGGCTATGGAATCCTGCTGGGTCCCGATCTTGAACCACTCCACCTGTGTTAAGATGCCCATTGATGGATACACACATTCTAGAGACATGTTCTCGGCAAAGGGAACTGATGTATGCCAAAGCACCTCTTCACATAGAGCTGAAATATACAACATCACATTAATTGTTAGCCTTGATGATGGAAACACCAAATCAATATCTTAAGCTTTTGAAGACCTAGTGCATTGAGATCACAGTAAAGGCTGACAGTTTCTGCCTTTGTCTAAAAAGGCGTCCTGCTGATAATTGGAAAATGTAACTTTTAGTTTTTCTGAACAAGTGAGAAATTATCCTAGCCAACTAAAGAGCACTGTAAATTCTGAATATGCCACACTGTACAAACAAAAACAGGAGCAAAACTTTTAAATGAAAATATAAAGATCATCTTTACCTCTGTATACATGAAGAAGAGCCAAAAGTAAAGTAGGATAATCCATCTCTGGAAACTGTTTGAAAGGCTGGTTCTATTAAAAAAAAAAATTGCTTTTTATAATGTGACATGCAGATCCCCAGCACAATGCAGTTTCCTTCCTCTCAGATGTTATCAGTCGTGTCTTCTTTTTCTGAAGTATGAACACAGGAAAAAGGCCTTAGCTTAAAAGACAGGTTTGCTCCTTTATGAGGATGGGCAGATTTGAGTTTCTTCTCTCTCGGGGAACCAGTCGGCTTATTTTCGGGCTTTCATTTTCTACAAGGAGTCATTCATTCAACAAACATGTGCTGCATGCATTCTCTGTGCCTAACTCAGCTGTAGGCAATGAGGATACAATAATACAAAAAAAAAAAAATATTGCCATGATAGAACTTACATTCTATGTGGAGGAGGCAGAAACTAAAATAAAGATGTAAAAATATAAATAATAAGTGAAAGGTGGTGCATGCATGGAGCAGAGAAGTCCTCACTGAGAGCATAAGATGAGGCAGAGGCTGAAGTGGGCGGAGGGAGCCTACGCCCAGCGCTGACAGCCCATCCTGTGGCCTTCCTTTCACCTCTTCCTCCTTGCTGATCTCAGACATTTGCTTTGATGAGGACCAAAAAACAGATCAAAAGCCCATCAGATACAAAAGTATGCTGGCCCAGGGCATATGCAGATCTACCATTATGAGAGATTTAACTTCTGATTTTGAAATAATTATAGAGTCACAGTAAGTCACAAAGAGAGTACAGACAGGTCCCTGTCCCCAGGTTCTGTCAGGGGTCATATCTTACATAATTATAGTACAATATCAAAACAGGATTCATTTTTCAGGTTCATCATTGCTCTCTTCTTTCTCTTATAAAATACAAGTTCCAATTCTTAAGAACTTGTTAGGTACAAGTTCCAATTCTTAAGAACTTGTTAGGAACATATCAGCATGTTAGTATAAAAAGTATACCCCTACAAAAAGAGGAATTGTATAAATGCATTTGACCCTGGTAAGACTGTCAAAATAGAAGATGAGTAAAAATTGGGAAAAGTAGGAGCAGAAACCACTGAAGACAATTTTATCTAATGCCGACCCTGAACTTTGTTTGTGACTCAGTCTCAAAGTGTATCAGCAAGTGTCGACTACTCAGCATGAATATCTAATGTGGGAACTTTCTCAGGGAACATAAAATCAACAATGCAATGATAATCAGAACAAAATTGTAATGTGTACATATAATCAAGCATGGTGTCACCTTGTGTTTATATGGCATTATATTTTCTAAAAGTTTTCACATCTATGATATTATTTGTGCCTCTAGTTGTTTTGTGATGTAGTCAAAAGAGGCATCTGTTATCTCTGTTTTGTAAATAAGTCAACCCAACAATTCCTCCAAATTGTACTGAGTTATGCTGGGTCCTCTGCTTAGTCCCTTGGAAATACAATCATAAAGAGGACACATCTCTGCTCTCAGGTTATGCATAATATAGTGGGTCATATTAATTTTAAAAGCAATTTATTGTAGCAAAACATGATCATCTCTATACAAGTCATTTGCTAAGTTTTATGAAAGCCAGAGAGAACAAATCATTCTAATAGATTGTGGAAAAGGTTTTATAGAAAAAGTGGGGGGAAAACAGAGGCGTGACAATGCGGGTGTTTCAGGAAATGGTGTGACTACAGTCTAGTGGGTGGGGAAGTGACCGAAAATGAGACTGAGTCTGGACTGAAAAGTGACCTGAGTGACACACATAAAGGAACTGAAACGTAGCAATCAGAAACCGCGGCGTCATGCTAACTTCTGTAACTCCAGCACCCAGCACAATTCCTCAGGCAAAGCAGGCTCTCAGTAACGCCTGTGACGTTAACACATTCCTGAGAGGAACATGGAGCCGCCGAGGAGCTGATGGAGAAAGCGGTGCACACAACTTCGCGTTTTGGAAAGATAATCTTGGTCACTGTACAGAACAAACTGGAGTGGCAAGGACATGGAAGACCTCCATCAGAATTGGAAAAATTAATTTCATCTATTATGTCCTATTATGTCCTAATGACAAGATTTTCCCCTGACAGGCACCAGCAAAAATCAAACTACAAATGCCGGGCTAAACCAAGTCCAGAGAATTCCTGAGGTCCTGAGGACAGGGTCCCCCTAAGTACTCCTCCTGCATTCATATCTTCTGTCTCAGGCCTGTGTCCCTTCACACACACACACACACACGGATACATGCACACACTGACACACTCACGTGCTCAAATGCATGAACCCACACATGCTGTCTCCCAAACATGCATGCACTCACACACACATGCAGTCTCACATATGCACCCACACATGCTCTAACACACATTCACACACACAACATGCACCCACATACACATGCACCCACACACACATGCTCACAGTCTCAGACACACAATCACATGCATGTGCACACATACTCTCACATCCACGCACACTCACACTCATGCACTTACACGTTATCACTCACATATGCACACTGTCTCACTCTATCTCAATCACATGCATGTGCACATATACTCTCAAACACACATCCACACACACGCATGCACTTACACATGCTCTCACACTCACATATGCACACATTCACACTTTGTTTCTCACACTCTCTCACACACACAATCACATGCAGGTGCACACATACTCTCAAACACGTATACATGCACTCACACACATGCACACACGCATGCACTTATACATGTTCTCACACATGCTCACATATGCACACACAATCTCACACAATCACATGCATCTGCACGTACTCTCAAACACACTCGTACATGCATACACTCACATGCACGCACACATGCATGCGTTTACACATGCTCACACACATTTGCACACACTCTCACACACTCTGTCTCTCTCTCTCTCTCACACACATACTGCATCTGGCGTGATCTCAAAACAGAGTGTACGGCCAAAGTCTAACATACCACCTGCTCTTTTACAGAAAAACTTTTTCATGCCCCCAGTCTAGTTGGAAAGACAGACATCAGACGAACATACAAATAAATGCACAGTTATGAAGTGCATGTCACGTTATGAAAAGGAAGCAACACACACAGGCATGGGAGAGAATGGCTGGGGCTGCAGCCAAGCAGAGGCTGTGTCAGGTTGGTGGTCGGGAAAGGCTCTCGGGCAGTGAAGTGTGTTCTGGAATCTGCAGAAGCAGGAGGCTGTGGCCACATGCAGGGTGTGGCCAGGTGTGTGAACGAGCAGTCCAGGTGGATAGGAGAGCAGGTGCACAAAGTCAGAGACTTTGTGGAAGTTTTTCAATCATTGTAGCTGGATACATTGAGGGGAGATGGAAACAGAAAGATGTAGAGATGAGTGGGGTGGGAGTACATTTGCCTTATATACTTCCTGGTACAATTCTAAGAGCGATTGGAGATTGTTAAGCACCAGAATGATATAATCAGATTTCAATTATTAGAAAGATAACTGACCATCACCCATTTCACTTTCCTCACTCCTAGCAGTACTGTACCTGAGTTTGAGTATCCACCCCTTTCCACACGCCACAGAGATATTATGACAAATAGAAGCTATTGTACTGAAAACTATGATTTTGTGTGTGTGTGTGTGTGTGTGTGTGTGTGTGTGTGTGTGTGTAGAGGTGGGGACGTGCTATGTTGTCCAGGCTGATCTCAAACTCCTGGTCTCAAGTGACCCTCCCACTTCAGCCTCCTGGGTAGCTGGGACCCAGCTGAGCCACCACACTCAGCTAATTTTTTAAAATTATTTTTTTTTTGGAGACAGGGTCTTGCTACATTGCCAAGGCTTGCTTGGAGCTTCTGGACTCATGTAATTTTGCACTTGTACATGTTGGCCTCCTAAAGTGTTGGGAGTACGGGCATGATCCACCATGCCCAGCCTGAAAACTATGATTGATTTGAGGGGTCAGAGAAGCCAACTATGGCCTGAGTTGGCCCATCAGAGTGAAGGAAGTTATTCACATTCCATGCCAGAAAAACAGCATGGAATGTGAACAATTTCTCTTCTCTCCATCCTTGTTTCTATCTTTATCTCCTCTCATTATGCATGAACAAGAATGCTGTCCTGGTTACCACAGGCAGCCATATTGAAGGAAATCAGCCTGAGGACAAACAGGGTGGTAGAGAGAGACAGAATGAATGTGGGGCTCAGATGGCATTACTGAGCTACTGAATCCACCAACTCTGAAGTCTGAACATATTACATAGAATTGCAAGGGGTCCTGAATAGCCAAAATGGTATTAAAAAAGAAGAAAAAGCTGAAAGACTAACATTTCCCATTTCAAAACTGTAGTACACAGCTACAGTAATCAAAACAGTGTGGGTATTGGCATATACATAGACAAATAGACCAAGGAAATTGAAATGATGATCAAAACAGATGTTAGGTAGGATGTGGAGGAAAGAGAACATTTATACACTGTTCATGGGAATGTAAATTAGTACAACGTCTATGGAAAATAGTATGGCAGTTCCTCAAAGAACTAAAAATAGAATTACCATTAGATCCGGCAGTCTCACTACAGGGTATCTACCCAAAGGAAAAGAAATCATTATATTAAAAATATACCTGCCCTTATATGTTTATTGCAGCACTATTCACAATAACCAAGATATGGAATCAACCTAAGTGCCCATCAATGAAGGGTTAGATAAAGAAACTGTGGTATATATCCACAATGGAATACTACACAGCCCTAAAAAGAATGAAATCATGTCTTTTGCAGCAACATAGATAGACCGGGAAGCCATTATATTAAATGAAACAACTCAGACACAGAAACTCAAAAACCACATGTTCTCACTTATAAATGGGAGCAAAATAATGTGTACCCATGGACATACAGTATGCAATAATGGACACTGGAGACTTGGAAGAATGGGAGAGTAGAAAGGGGTGAGGGATAGAAATTACTTAATGTGTACAACATATATTATTCAGGTGATGGTTATATTAAAAGTCCAGACTTCACCACTACATAATAAAACTGCCCTTGTACAAAACTGCCCTTGTACCCCTTGAATTTATACAAATAAAAATAATAATAAGCCCATACATCTATGAACAATTGATATTCAACAAGGTGCCAACCCCACTGAGTGGGGAAAGAATAGCTTCTTCAATAAATGGTCCTGGGACAACTGGATAGCCACATGCAAAAGCATGAAATTGGATCCCTACCTCCGTGAAACACAAAAATTAACTCAAAATGGGTTGACCTAAATATAAGACCTCAGACTGTAGAAATCTTAGAATAAGCACAGGGGTAAATTTTTAAGACCTGGAAGTTGTCAACGGATTCTTAGACATGACAGCAAACCTATGGGCAACAAAAGAAAAAAATAAATTGGACTTACTAAAATTAAAAACTTTTGTGCATCAAAGGACATTTTCAAGAAAGTGAAAAGTCACCCTACAGAATGCAAGCAAATATTTGCAAATAATCTATCTGATTATGGTCTAATATCCATAATATATAAGGAACTCTCACACTTTAACATAAAAGAAACAACCCAATTTTCAAATGGGCAAAGTACTTGAATAGACATTTTTCTCCAAAAGATGCTCAACATTATCAGTCAATAAGGAAACACAAATAAGAACCACAATGAGAACTCACTTTATATCTACTAGGATGGACATAATCAAAAAGAGAAAAATTAATATGTTAGGGAAAATGTGGAGAAATTCGAACCCTTGTGTACTGTTGCACAAGCGTTGTAAAGAAATGTAAAATGATGCAGCTGCTGTGAAGAACAGTTTAGAGATTCTTCAAAACGTTCAACAGGATTACTGTATGACCCAGAAGTTTTATTCCTAGGTATATACTCAAAAGAATATACTCAAACCAATATTTGTAGACCAATGTTTACAGCAGCATTATTCACAAAAGCCAGAAGGTGGTAACGATCCAAGCGTCTGCCAACAGGTGAATGAATGAATGAACAAATTGTGATCAAATCCATACAATGGAATATTACTCAGCCATAAAAAGGAATGAAGGGCTAATGCATGCTACAACATGAATAAGCCTTGATAACATTATGCTAAGTCAAAGAATGCAGAAACAAAAGGCCACATTTTGTAAGAATCCATTTATATGAAATATCCAGATAGTTAAATCCATGGAGATGGAAAGCAGATTGGTGATTTGCCAATTGATTGACTGTTGGAAGGAGGGAATAGGGAGTGACTGTTTAAGGTATGGGGTTTTCTTTAAAATGATGAAAATGTTTTGGAATCTGATAAAAGCGGTCATCACAGAACACTGTGGATGTACTAAATACCACTGAACTGTATATTTTAAAATATTTAATCTTGACCTGGTGTGGTGGCTCACACCTGTAATCCCAGTACTTTGGGAGGCCAAGGCAGGTGGATTGCTTGAGGTCAGGAATTCAAAACCAGCCTGGCCAACATGGTGAAACCCCGACTCTACTAAAAATACAAAAATTAGCTGTGCGTGGTGGTGCGCAACTGTAATCCCAGCTACTTGGGAGGCTGAGACAGGAGAATCGCTTGAACCCAGGAGGTGGAGGTTGCAGTGAGCTGAGATTGTGCCACTGCACTCCAGCCAGGTCAACAGAGCAAGACTCCGTTTCAAAAAAAAAAAAAAAAAGTTTAATCTTATGTTGACTAAATCTTAGGTGAACAATGTTATGTGAATTTCACCTCAATTTTTAAAAATTGTTACTAGTGAATAGTATGAGTCCACATTCACCCCAGGTCTTACCAATGAATGAGGCCACCCCATCTTGCTGTTGGCCACGTATTAATTGATTTCATTTGATCCCCCAACCACCCCGGTCCAAAGATGCCAAGTACATTCTAAGAATACAGTACATTAGCATAGTACAGTCTAAGCATAGAGTCCACAGACACACTCTGTCACAACTTTGTGATAACAGCTGGAAATCAATAATGCAAAAGATCATGATAGTCGAGGTTGTCAGATAAATGATTTAAGATATTTTTAAAAATCATTATGTGCTTATTAAACAAATGCCAAAACATATCTATTTTCTGAGGGAGGGGTCAGGGTTGGGTAAAGTGGGGTAGAGGTGCAGGTAGAGAGGTAGAAGGGCTGAGGGCCAAGCAGGCATCTGCAACACCGTGCTGCCTCAAATCCTAAAGGAAATGAGATGAAACCTAGCATCATCCACTCTCGGTGGTTTCTATGATCAGGCCCAAAGTGAACTTCCTCACCCAGGATAAAGAAATGAGGTTCATGGGAGGAGGACTGGAAAAGGGGTACTAACTGGTAATAACTTGTAGGAACTCCTTATTCCCAAGGCATCCAGAGCCAACTAGTCAAGAGATGAAGAGAACTTGTGTATTTGCACCCTGGAATTGAGGGTCCTAGAGGTCACAGATTCGAATGAAAGGGGCAGAAAGACTTGCAGCTGAAGACAAAGTCCAGCTGTTACGACTTTGCTAGAGATGAGCCCTATTTATCAACATCTAACCAAAGACAAATAGAGACAGCGCTTGAGCTATTTTTGTTGTGTCAGCAGCCATTTTTTGCATGATTTATGAAGGGATTTTGGCTTGAGGTTTTTTTTCTAATAGAGCTGTCTGTATAAAAGAGCTTTGTCCTCAAGGAAGTCATTAATCAAAATATTACTGGATTTCTCTACTATTAAAAATGTCTCAGCTAACCACATGAGCATGAATTCATCTCACAAGCTTGCCTCTGAATGCAGACTCCTAGGTGGCCTGGGTGGGTGGGGACGGGGAACACTCTTCAGCCACACTGTTCTTCTTCCTGTAGGCTGTCCACCCAGGTAGAACCTTCCCTGTCACCTCAGTTTCATTGTTTCTGCTACCTACAATATGTCCTGCTTCCCCAGATGTCTCTATGGTTTCTGAGCATTGGGAGGAGTCTCCTAGTGTCTACTCAATGACCCCACCTTCCCCAGTTTATGCAAAAACACCTGATGTGTGTGATGGAGAATCTGCTCTGATACCTTTCGACACTTGCTTGGAAAACTATTCACATGCTGGAAAGCAGAGGACTGTGAACAGAAAATCTAGCTAAACTCAGAACAAGTGACTGGGGCTGGGAAGATTATAGTGTGAGAGGTCGTTTGCTCCCTCCACTCCTTCTCAGATGCGAGGGTTTGCCTGCCTTCTGCTGGGATGCCCCAGCTGTTAAGAGGCTCATACTTCCAGTAAGATTTCCACAGGAGGCCGGGTGCGGTGGCTCACGCCTGTAATCCCAAAGTGAAGGCCGAGGCGGGCGGATCATGAGGTCAGGAGATCGAGACCATCGTGGCTAACACGGTGAAACCACGTCTCTGCTAAAAATACAAAAAATTAGCCGGGTGTGGTAGCGGGCACCTGTAGTCCCAGCTACTCAGGAGGCTGAGGCAGGAGAATGGCGTGAACCCAGGAGGCAGAGCTTGCAGTGAGCCGACATCGCACCACTGCACTCCAGCCTGGGCAAAGGAGCGAGACTCCATCTCAAAAAAAAAAAAAAAAAAAAAATTTCCTCAGGAACACAATAGTCTGGGTTTCTGCTCCCTTCCTCAAATAATCTCATTAAGAGAACCTTTCCAATGTGGGCCACATGGTCTCCTCTAGACCACGATACCCTTAGAACCTTGGCAAGTCATACACATGTCCCCAGGAGTGAGGCTACTGCTGAGTGACCAGTAGAACCCCACTTCCAGTCAACGCAAAGACTCCAGTTGGGGTTCAGCAGGGATCCTCTAAGACAGGGTTCTGAAACTATGGCCTGAGGGCTGGGCGCAGCCCACTGATTTCCATAAACAGTTTGGTTGGAGACAGCCATGCTCACTTGGTTACATACCATCCACCGCTGTTTTTGTGCTGCAATGCTGGAACCAAGAGGTGTTAGGTCACAACTGACAGACACCACACGGCCCACAAAGCTGTAAATATTAACTATCTGGCCCTTTACAGAAAAAGTTTCCCAACCCTTGAGTAGGATAATAAATCTTTGGATCATGGACATTTATTATTTAAGTTCATCCTTGTTCAGTCTTGCTGGAGAGAAGGAAGATTTAAGCTTGACAGACCAGATGCCGGTAAAATTAGCTCAGTTTTCTTATTCTCAAGAACTTTACGATCAGATCTATTATAAATACAATTCTAGAGACAGACTGAGAAAAAGTACTTAACTGGCACCCTTTTACTACAAACTGCACCCCTCATTAAACTAACAGTTCACAGAACACCGAGCACTTAACTTACTCCAGCTTTTTCCGGCAACTCTCTTGTCCTGCTGCATCAACTTGCCATGGTTTCACTGGCAGCCCCCACCCTTTCGCACACGATTCATTTAAAAAGTTGAGCTCAGACACATCCAGTCTTTTTTCTGAGAAGGTTACTAACCTTGAGATGTGAGTGCTGCTCGCTCTAACGCTTCTTCCCATCTGCGTCTTGGTTAAGGACTTTTATCGTATCCTGTTTATCGTGGCCTCCTAGCCTCAACACCCTCTTGGTCACTGCAAGCTCCCCGCTGCTCCCTCCCTTAATTAGCACTGCAGGAGCTGAGGGGAGCGTTCAGCCCACTCAGGAGCTGACTCTGCCCATGCTCTTGAGCTCTTCTCTCTACCAGAACTTCCTCAGATAGCAACTGAAGTGAATCACTAATATTTCATGAAGCGGGGTTTTTTGAAGTCAAGTTTACCTGCTTCTGGAAGCAACTTTACTATTGCAGCTACTCAGACTCATTCCAAACTCAGATAAAGTTCTGTCCCTCTTTTCCCCCAAAGAATCTATAATTTGAAAGGACGCACTTCTCCTTTGTTCTAGCTCTAAATAGAAACTACACTCCCCGCCGAAATCAGTTTGTTTCTTTGCCTTTTCTTCCTCGTGTTTTTTCCTGCCAATCAAAGCACATTAGATTCAGCCCTCTTTTTAAGTCAAGAGGCTTCCTTATCTCTGCCCATATCTAAGTATGTTTCGGTCTTACTTTCTAGATACTCTTTTTTTTTTCTTTGTCTCCCATTCTCCGACAGAAAAAGTACACAAGTCGGTGTTTCCTGAGAACGAACCCTGCATGTTTAGCAGCTTTTGTCTCTTAGAAACACTAGGTTTTTTGCTGCACCAGGCCATGGCAACGTTAGTTTTATTGATTCCTTTGATTTATTAGGTTATGGAGGTTCCCTGCTGGTTAAACCACCATGAAGGATTGTGGCTGAGGCTTTAGTGTGTAAAATTCATAGAAAGACTAGGAAGGAAGGACGTTTGACAGGTGAGAAGGCACTCATGGGGCTGCCCTACCCTGCACATTTAATTATGCATCGCAGGTACAGGACTGGTCTCTTCTGCTGGACCACCGCATATACGAAAGCAAGGGAGAAGAAAGTGCAATACTGCCTCTCAAGACACAAGTGTTTACTAAGACTTATTGTGGGCCAGAGGTAGCCAGAGTAGCCTTCTCAAACACCTGCCTGACTCTCGTCACTCCCTTCAATGCCTCACTGTCCCCAAGAGAATATCCAAATGTCTTACTGACTTGCAAGGCCTGCGTCATTGATGACTGCCATTTTCCCAGTGTTATGTCTTATAAGTCTTCTGCTCACTCCTAGCCTTTATTGCTCATCCAACTTACATTGTGTAATTTGAGGACAATGCTCTAATGGGGCAGGGCCTTTGCACGTGGAGTTTCCTCACCTCTTATCCCTCTCCCATCCAGCAGGTCTCAGCTCCAATGTATCTTATACTCTCCCTGGGGCCCACATCTGTCCTGTGAGTTTCCTGAGAACCCCAAATATGTCCTCACTGAAATACTTGCCACATCCTATTATGCCTATTCACTCGCTGCATTTTTTACTAGAGCCTGACAGGCACTTCCAGGCCCAGGTAAAGTCTCTTATCCCTGCTCTATCAGATCCTTGCACAGGGCCCTTGACCATGCCAGGTGCTCAGTCAGCACTTGTAGAATAGGACGAAGCCATGCAATGACTTCCATCTGTAAGGTTTCCATATTGTGATCACAATCCCAATTCCATCTTGTTTCCAATCTGCCATCGTTGGGGCTGCTTTTTTGCCTCAATTTTCGATTTTCTCAAGGAAAAAGACAAAAACAGTCTTGACCCAAAACACCCACTGATTTTTGCAGGACACACCCAAAGACAAGTTTTCTTTTGAGTCAAAACTCTTCCTCAAAATTATTCAGTGGGCCCTGAAGTGAACCTCACACATCGGCTGAAACAGTCACCGTCTACCCACGTGGTTCACAATAGGGTGAATGCAAATCCTATCTATCGTGACAGTAGCTGCTGCTCATACCTACAGGGACCTAGCTTGAAAGTATCTTTTGCTTACTCCCTGACTCACAAAATGCAGATTGATACAGGCTGGGGGGTTTTCCCAAATTAGTTTTTCATGGTCACTCCCTAATTCAGTGTTCACAGGCAAACACACACACACACACACACACACACACACACACACACACATCCTTCTCCTTATCACCCATAATAAAGCTATTGCTATTTTGTTTTTTATTTTTATTATTTAGCTATTGCTATTTTTAAGGGAGGCACAATGGAGATACCTTTTGTTGTTTCTCTGTAGAGGTTTATCCTCTCTGGTTTATTTAGCTTCCTCTTGGAGGCTCTCGAAATATGGTAATAAATACAAAGAACCCAAGACTTAGCTTTGAATCATTTCCAAAGAAACACAGGCATCCCAGTATCTTGGCCCCAAGGATGCAACATTGTTCCCCCAACATGGTAACTACAGAATTTTACTCAGCAAACAGGGGAAATGTTGAAATATCACATGATCGATAATAAATTACAAAACAAACAATAAAAATAACCTGAGACAAATTAAATTGCCCTATCCCTCCAGAGAACAGATGTCCTAAATGTTCTAACCAGCAGAACAAATGGACGTAAAGAGGGAAAGCAGTGAGATAGAATGAAGATTACCACTCAGAGATCAACAAGAGCCCTCTCTCCAACATTTTTTCATGACCCTTGCAAAAGGCTTTTTGAACAACTTAAAGCAAAGACACTCTTCAACCTTACCAGTTGCTGACAGAAGCAGGAAACAGCAAAAGTCATCACATCCCTAGTTGCAGCATCGCATCAGCTACCTCCTTCCTCTTTTTTTCTAAGGTCACCAAGGCACTAACTTGCTGTTCTAACAAAGGGTAAGGAAAGAAAGAATCAAGCATTTGCTCTGCCTTTCCTGTACAAATTATAATTCAAGGTGACCCGAGTTTCTCTTTATAGGAAAATTCAGCTACTAAGTGGAAAAAACAATCATAGTTATTTTTTAAGTCACCATTTTGCAACCCCTATTAAAATAATAGATGGAGACAATTGTTAATAGATGCTAAAACCATGAGGTGGAAGGTTAATGGGGAACCCTATGATGAAACGTGCTGCTGACTGACGATACCTGAGCCCTCAGATCAGCCGTAATCTTGCTAAATATGGCACAGCCAGGCATGAGAGGGACTCCCAACACGATGCAGCAGGAAGAAAGCAGCGCCACCTAGGAAGTCCTCTTCCCCGAGTAGCTGAGCCTGAATGCAGCCAAGCCTCTAGAAGTAACCAGCAGTGCATAGAAAATGCAGGCAATGGCTGGGCACGGTGGTTCACACCTGTAATCCCAGCACTTTGGGAGGCCAAGGCAGGCGGATCACATGAAGTTCGAGACCAGCCTAGCCAATATGGTGAAACCCCGTCTCTACTAAAAATACAAAAATTAGCCAGTTGTGGTGGTGCACGTCTGTAATCCCAGCTACTTGGGAGGCTGAGGCACGAGAACCACTTGAACCTGGGAGGCAGTGGTTGTAGTGAGCCAAGATTGTGCCACTGCACTCCAACCTGGGTGACAGAGCGAGACTCCATCTTAAAAAAAAAAAAAAGAAAAGAAAAGAAAAAGAAAATAAAAAGAATACAGGCAATAAAAGACTGAGTTAAAGGACACTACGAGACCACAAGGAAGCAACGAACTGAACATAGAAAGCAGGAGCTACTGCAGAACAAACATCTCAGTTTCCTCCAGCAACAAAAGGCAATTATGATGAACACAACCAGTAAATGCCAAAAAGATACTTGACAATTTTCGTTGTTGTTGTTGAGATGGAGGCTTGCTCTATTGCCCAGGCTGGAGCACAGTGACACGATCTTGGCTCACTGCAACCTCCACTACCTGGGTTCAAGTGATTCTCCTGCCTCAGCCTCCCAAGTAGCTGGGATTACAGGCATGCACCAACACGCATGGCTAATTTTTGTAATTTTAGTAGAAACAGGGTTTTGCCTTCTTGGCCAGGCTCGTCTTGAATTCCTGACCTCAAGTGATCCGCCTGCCTCGGCCTCCCAAAGTGCTGGAATTACAGGCATGAGCCACTGTGCCTGGCCAGATACTTGATAATTTTAAATATCCTTTCCTGGGAAAGACTTACAGCAATTTTACAATTTCATCAGCATGATAAAGAAAATTTATGAGAAACTAACAGCAACCTTGATAGTGAGACACTAGAAAAATCTCAATTCAATTTTGAAATAAGACAAGGATGGCCACAATCACTGTCAATATTTAACATATTCTGGAGGTTTTAACTAAATGTAATGGATTTTAAAAAGGAATAGGAGCTGTAAACCTTGAAAATTATTTAAAATGTAGGATTTGTAGGTGATCCACCTAGAGAACATGGTCAAATAAAACAGAAAAGAATTTAATAAGCTGCCTAGCAAAATAATTTTATAAGACTCAGTAGCTTTATTGTATATCCTATCCAAAAGAACAGCAAAATTTACACGTGTATGTATATGTAGGTATAATTGTGTGCCTGTGTGAATATATATGAATGTACCTCAAGAATTTGTAGGATTTAAACAAAGAAATTTGCTAATTTATCAAAGGAAATAAAAGAAGTCTTGAATAAATGGAGGTATGTCCTATGCTCCTCTATGGCAAGACCCAATTTTGAGAATGCATCAAAAATATTTTTTTAGTTACCTGGAATTTTATACTCTTTTACATTATTAAGCAGGTCAGGCTATGAATGGCTATTCATGAGGCACTTATTGACGGCACTCTGCAAAAAGGTCTTCACCTAGTATATTGTGGAAATGTTATATGTTTGCACAATCAATCATTGAAGACCTTTTACAACACACATATCCCCATGAAAGTAAGCAATGGATGAACTGCTGTGAAAGGTGCTCCCTGGAGCAGAAATCCACACCCTGGTTCTTACCTGGTTTTAGCATTGCCAAGGGCCCAGCAAACTTCACCCACGACTCCCTTGGCCACTGTTCTTTTCTTCCTCCACTGTTTTTAGTCCCCCTCTCTTGAGGGTCTCAAGGTTTCAAGGAAATAAGTACTTACACACACACCTTAAGGACTCCAGACCTCAAGCATCAGGCCCGGGTAAGTGCTAAGTTCTTCTTTGGGAATTTTTCTAAATGACACCAGGAAGCAGCAGCCAGCAGTACAGCTATATGGACAAACAGGGACTTGCAGATACCCACTATCTCTTTCCCCCAGTCCCAGTTCCCTGACAAAGCTCATGCCTTTCTCCTCTGCATTCCACATCCCTTTCTGCTGCAACTATTTGATAACATTGCACACTGCATTGTGGCTACTTAGTAAAGTGGGCGAGAGCTGCCATCCTGTAAGTATAAGAGTGTGAGCTTTGCAGAGAGACTTGGGTTCAAATCCTGTTCCACGCCTGGCTAGCTGTGGGACCTCCAGTCCTCAGCACATTGATGGCAGTGCAGATCCCAGCTAGGCCACAGCTGATCGTCCAGGAAGGCAGCCCCCACCTCATGTTACCCGTGGCCCAGTGGGCTCCACTCTTGTCGGGGTCCACTGAGGGTCTTTTAACACTCTCAGTGTCAAAAAGGTTGTTTTGCCTCCTGAGCTCTCAATACTGCTGTATCTCAGATTATTTAAAGAAAATTTCATTTTCCAAAATGGCAGAAACCTCATATTGTTTAAATTAAGATATATTCTTTCTAGAATATTTTACTGAGAACATTTTCATCTGCAATTGGACAATGTAGCTTATATCTGAACTGCTTAGTTAGCATCTACAGAACAGTCACTGTCCCCAAAACCCACCACCTTAGCAAGGTGCCTGAATGAGGGAGGGTCTCCAGCCTCAGCCACACATTGGCTGCACCTCCCTGGAATCTGAATCTGGTACAATGTTATCTAATGTGGTTAAGATCACATCTCTCGGGCTCCCTGAATCCAGTCCAATATACACCTTGTTGTATTTATTAACAACCTGGCATTTCACTCTCCAAAGTGTCTTGATTTGGGTGACAAACTCTATGGTCACCCTAAGAGCCACCAAGGGGGCTGTGGGTTTGAAGGAAACCCCTCAGTTCTGGGAAAACCAGGACAGTGGGTCATCCTTGATATAGCAGTGACCAGGACTCCCTGGGTCCAGCCCACATTCCCTCATGGCCAGCTCTCTTGAGGGGATGGGGTATGTCTTCTACCCACTCCTCAGTAAGGATTGCCCTCAGCTATCAGAAAGCATCTAACAATTCTGGCTTTAAAGGGGAGCAGGGCCAGAGTCTCACCCTCCTCTTCCTAGGACATGTGGCCTATTTGAAAAGTTGCCTCCTTGGCCCCAAAGACTACACGGATTCAGGAAGGGCAGGCTGCATCAGCCGGAAAAGGTCCTTCCATAGACTTACCCCAGGCAAGGGCATTTATTCACCCCTACCTGCACCTGCTTGAGGCAGTCAACAGTGGTTCCGAAAACCAAAGAGTGTGCTGAGGGAACCAGCTCTTTCATCCACTGGAGAAAGAAGAAGACAGCTCATTTTATAAAATAAACAGATAAACCAATATACATATAAATACTTTAAATTCTTCCTAACCTGCTGGCACACTCCATGTAAAGTTGTGCCCTTTGTCTTATGTTTGTATTTTGTGTTCGTCTCTGGACCCTCCAACTTGAATATGTGTTCCTTGATGTGAAGACTGCCTCGTTCACCACTGTAACAAACCAACCAACTGTCTGTGTTTGCCTGATGCCACGTAGTTTCCCAGGACTCAAGACTTTGAAGTGCTGACTCCAGGACATCCCCAGGCAAACCCAGACAGCTGATCACCCTAGCTGTATCCCCAGTGCCAAGAGCAGTGCCCAGCATATAGTAAGAGTTCACAAAACAATTGCTGCCTGGCTATGATCATAACTCTTATTTTGCAGTTTTGTTCTTAGAATTTAAAGAGCGAAGAAAAGAACCGAAGGAGATAGAGACACAAAAAACCCTTCAAAAAATCAATGAATCCAGGAGCTGGTTTTTTGAAAAGATCAACAAAATTGATAGACCACTAGCAAGACTAATAAAGAAGAAAAGAGGGAAGAATCCAATAGACGCAATAAAAAATGATAAAGGGGATATCACCACCAATCCCACAGAAATACAAACTACCATCAGAGAATACTATAAACACCTCTATGCAAATAAACTAGAAAATCTAGAAGAAATGGATAAATTCCTCAACACATACACCCTCCCAAGACTAAATCAGGAAGAAGTTGAATCCCTGAATAGACCAATAACAGGCTCTGAAATTGAGGCAATAATTAATAGCCTACCAACCAAAAAAAAGTCCAGGACCAGACAGATTCACAGCCGAATTCTACCAGAGGTACAAGGAGGAGGTGGTACCATTCCTTCTGAAACTATTCCAATCCATAGAAAAAGAGGGAATCCTCTCTAACTCATTTTATGAGGCCAGCATCATCCTGATACCAAAGCCTGGCAGAGAGACAACAAAAAAAGAGAATCTTAGACCAATATCCCTGATGCACATCGATGCAAAAATCCTCAATAAAATACTGGCAAACCGAATCCAGCAGCACATCAAAAAGCTTATCCACCATGATCAAGTGGGCTTCATCCCTGGGATGCAAGGCTGGTTCAACATACGAAAATCAATAAACATAATCCAGCGTATAAACAGAACCAAAGACAAAAAACACATGATTATCTCAATAGATGCAGAAAAGGCCTTTGACAAAATTCAACAGCCCTTCATGCTAAAAACTCTCAATAAATTAGGTATTGATGGGACGTATCTCACAATAATAAGAGCTATTTATGACAAACCCACAGCCAATATCATATGGAATGGGCAAAAACTGGAAGCATTCCCTTTGAAAACTGGCACAAGACAGGGATGCCCTCTCTCACCACTCTCATTCAACATAGTGTTGGAAGTTCTGGCCAGGGCAATCAGGCAGAAGAAAGAAATAAAGGGTATTCAATTAGGAAAAGAGGAAGTCAAATTGTCCCTGTTTGCAGATGACATGATTGTATATCTAGAAAACCCCATCGTCTCAGACCAAAATCTCCTTAAGCTGATAAGCAACTTCAGCAAAGTCTCAGGATACAAAATCAATGTGCAAAAATCACAAGATTCTTATACACCAATAACAGACAAACGGAGAGCCAAATCATGAGTGAACTCCCATTCACAATTGCTTCAAAGAGAATAAAATACCTAGGAATCCAACTTACAAGGGATGTGAAGGACCTCTTCAAGGAGAACTACAAACCACTGCTCAACAAAATAAAAGAGGACACAAACAAATGGAAGAACATTCCATGCTCATGGATAGGAAGAATCAATATCATGAAAATGGCCATACTGCCCAAGGTAATTTATAGATTCAATGCCATCCCCATCAAGCTACCAATGACTTTCTTCACAGAACTAGAAAAAACTACTTTAAAGTTCAAATGGAACCAAAAAAGAGCTTGCATTGCCAAGTCAATCCTAAGCCAAAAGAACAAAGCTGGAGGCATCACGCTACCTGACTTCAAACTATACTACAAGGCTATAGTAACCAAAACAGCATGTTACTGGTACCAAAACAGAGATACAGACCAATGGAACATAACAGAGCCCTCAGAAATAATACCACACATCTACAACCATCTGATCTTTGGCAAACCTGACAAAAAGAAGAAATGGGGAAAGGATTCCCTATTTAATAAATGGTGCTGGGAAAACTTGCTAGCCATATGTAGAAAGCTGAAACTGGATCCCTTCCTTACACCTTACACAAAAATTAATTCAAGATGGATTAAAGACTTAAATGTTAGACCTAAAACCATAAAAATTCTAGAAGAAAACCTAGGCAATACCATTCAGGACATAGGCATGGGCAAGGACTTCATGTCTAAAACACCAAAAGCGATGGCAACAAAAGCCAAAATTGACAAATGGGATCTAATTAAACTAAAGAGCTTCTGCACAGCAAAAGAAACTACCATCAGAGTGAACAGACAACGTACAGAATGGGAGTAAAATTTTGCAACCTATTCATCTGACAAAGGGCTAATATCCAGAATCTACAACGAACTCAAACAAATTTACAAAAAAAAAAAAAAACAACCCCATCAAAAAGTGGGCAAAGGATATGAACAGACACTTCTCAAAAGAAGACATTTATGCAGCCAAAAGACACATGAGAAAATGTTTATCATCACTGGCCATCAGAGAAATGCAAATCAAAACCACAATGAGATACCATCTCACACCAGTTAGAACGGTGATCATTACAAAGTCAGGAAACAACCGGTGCTGGAGAGGATGTGGAGAAATAGGAACACTTTTACACTGTTGGTGGGACTGTAAACTAGTTCAACCATTGTGGAAGACAGTGTGGCGATTCCTCAAGGATCTAGAACTAGAAATACCATTTGACCCAGCAATCCCATTACTGGGTATATACCCAAAGGATTATAAATCATGCTGCTATAAAGGCACATGCACACGTATGTTTAATGCGGCACTATTCACAATAGCAAAGACTTGGAACCAACCCAAATGTCCATCAATGATAGACTGGATTAAGAAAATGTGGCACATACACACCATGGAATACTATGCAGCCACAAAAAATGATGAGTTCATGTCCTTTGTAGGGACATGGATGAAGCCGGAAACCATCATTCTCAACAAACTATCGCAAGAACAAAAAACCAAACACCGCATGTTCTCACTCATAGGTGGGCATTGAACAATGAGAACACTTGGACACAGGAAGGGGAACATTACACACCAGGGCCTGTTGTGGGGGGGGGGAGGGGGTAGGGAAAGCATTAGGAGATATACCTAATGTAAATGATGAGTTAATGGGTGCAGCACACCAACATGGCACATGTATATATATGTAACAAACCTGCACGTTGTGCACATGTACCCTAGAACTTATAGAACTTAAAGTATAATAAAAAATAAATAATAAATAAAGAGCGGGAGGGAAGTGCCAAAATGCCCAATAAGATCTTAATAAATACAAGTGCTGGCTCAAAGGTAGAGCTTAAGGCTTTCTCCTGCTGGGCCCTCACTCCATCCCAGAAGGAGATAGAATGCCACGGTTGACCAGATGCACCAGCCTGCCTCCTGCAAAGCAGCACCATCCTCTCTGTCTATGCTTTCTGCATCACATCGCTTGGGCTCCCTGAAACCAGTCCAATATTCACCTTGTTGTATTTATTACCAAGCTTGCATTTCATTTTCAAACGTGTCTTGATTTGGATGACAAACTCTACGGCCACCCTAAGAGCCCTGTATCTAGGGGCTGGAAGACTGGATGCTGCACCTGCCAGAAACCCTGGCAGCGGGATTCCAAATGAGATTCTGTCAACCAAAGGCACTTGCATGAGGTCTGGAAATCAGAAGAGAAGTAGGATTTCATTTCTGTCAAACTGACAGTCACAATTGTCACAATTCCACTTGTGGAAATGTATGCTTGTTGTTCTTCTTTAGCTGTGGTGAGTAGATGTGAGGACTTTACACAGAGGCGACTTGAAGCAGCCTCCTTTCTGGGATCTTCCCGGAAACTCCCTGCACCCGGGCTGGAGACAGCTGTAGATGGGCCAGTGGATTCTTCCAGTGCTGGAACTTCTGACTTGTTGAAACCTCCAAGTCAATCTGAACTCAGGAGACTCCTTCAAGCCTGTGCATGCAGGCCTTCAGATTCACAGCTCCCTCACCCTCTGTTTTAAATGCTATTCTGAATAAGTGTCTAGATTTTTTTCCTTCTTCCCGACTAGCCTTTAACTGATACCTCAGGTCTAATACATTGCTAGAGAGGGAAATGTCAGTCAGCCTTGTTGAAAGGGAAACCGAGGTGAATGTGGCCACTGCCTGGGGTTCCCACCCACAGCTCCTCTGCCCACTGCAGGCACACAGTACAGCATATCCTCTTTCCCTGTCCCTCCAGGACGATGCTGCGGCTCTGACAGAGCATCCTCAGGGAAAGGTCCAGAGGCAGAAAAGCACAACCCGTTCCTTCCTGTGAGGCTCCTTCACCAGCAAGAAAAACCTTCACTGCAGACGCTTTCGTGCCTCCTTGGCCAGAACTGATCTCATCTATATCTATTTTACCTGTCACGAAATCACAAACTACCCCAAAGTTTAGTGGCCTACTAGTGGTCCCCAACCTTTTTGGCACCAGGGACCAATTTCGTGGAAGAAAATTTTTCCACAGACCAGGGAGAGGGGATGGTTTCGGGATGATCCAAACACATTACCTTTATTGTGCACTTTATTTCTATTATTATTACGTTGTAATATATAATGAAATAATCATACAACTCACCATAATGTAGAATCAGTGGGAGCCCTGAGCTTGTTTTCCTGCAACTAGACAATCCCATCTGTGGGTGATGGGAGACAGTGACTGATCATCAGGCATTAGATTCTCATAATGAGGCTGCAGCCTAGATCCTTCACACGCAGTTCACAATAGGGTTCGTGCTCCTATGAGAATCTAATGCTGCTGCTGATCTGACAGGAGGCGGAGCTCAGGTGGTAATGTGAGCAACAGCGAGCAGCTGTAAATACAGATGCAGCTTCACTTGCTCTAGCGCCGCTCACATCCTGCTGTGCGGCCTGGTTCCTAAAAGGCCACAGACTGGTATCAGTCAACTGCCTGGGGGCTGGGGACACCTGGCTTAAACAAAAGCAGCTCATAATTTTGCAGGGCAGCTATCTGGGCAGTTCTGCACTGCTCTTATCTCTTTCTCTGTGTCTGTCTTATCTAGCAGTTCCTCGGTTTCTCTCTCTCTCTCTCTGTCTGGCACAATGTAGGTATTAAGAGCTGCTGTATTCATTCTCTACATGCCACTGTAAATTACCACAAATTTAGTAGTTTAAATAAAAATAAATGTTAGGTCAGGAGTCCAGTGTGGGTCTCACAGAGCTCAAATGGAAGTAGCAGCAGGGCTGTGTGCCCTTCTGAAGGCTCCAGGCAAGAGGGAACCTGCTCCCTGCCTCTGCCAGCTTCTGGAGGCAGCTGCTTTCCTTGGCTCATGGCCCCACTCCATCTCTAAGTCCGCAGCATGGCACTGACCTGAACCTTCTTCCCTCTTCACATCTCCTGCTGACTCCACTCTGCCTCCCTCATCCACTTTAAAGACTCTGGGATTACACTAGGCAAATTTGAATAATCTAGGCTAAACTAATCTCTCCACCTCAAGGTCCTTAACCTTAGTCACATGTGCAAAGTCCTTTTTGTCATGAAAAGTCATATATTTACAGGTTCCAGGGATTCGGATATGGATATCCTTGGGAGGGTCATTATTCTGCCTACCACACCAGCCAGATACAAATTAATTTCCTTTCTTCTTCCCAAAAGCATTGACTCAGGCTTATTCCCAAACGCATTGACTCAGGTTTATTCCAAGCCCTAGTGCTTGGCACAGAAACAAGCAGAATTATCTGGGAAAATCCACTCATTCAAGGTGTTCACTGCTCTGGTTTGAGGACTGCTGGGAAGATACTTTGAAGGAAAAGATCATGAAAAATAAAGACAGAAGAAAAAATATTCAACTAAAGTTAAACAAGAATATTCAACTAAAGTTAAACAATACACACACATTTAATATGTTATCAACTAAAGATACCAATCCACTAAAATATTTGTTGTTCAAATGCTTTTAGACTTTTTCCTTTCTAATAGTGGTATTCTGGGCTTCCATGGGTTTCCAAATGTTAGGATCCACAAGCACTATCCAAGAAAACGAGAAATAAGATGAAAACAAAGTTGGGTTAAAGTCCATTATTATATATGCAGAGTGAGTTATGTTTTATACCTTTGGCTTATTTTAAGTCATTTTACTAAGATCATATTTACTTAAATTTTCTCTGCTATGGCAATCACATTTCCTCTTCTCCCATTCTTTAATTTATGCATATTGATTTCCCTAGGGACCTTTTCAATTCTTCCTTCTTGCATTGTTTCTCTTCTTCATTCTGAGCACCAGCATGCCTTTCTCTTGCTTAATTTCCTCTCAGAGGAGCCATTCCTCCACTTCAGTGCCCTCAATAAAAAGCTGCGATGTCCTCAAAGTTCAAAGTTGCATCATGGGCATAATTTTCCTTGTAGTACAACTGTGTAATCAGATTGTTCCTTCGCCAACATTGATCAGGTTTCAGGTGTGTGCATAAATGGGCTGAAACTCTTAATTTTCCTGCATTTATTAAAACCAAAAACTGAAATATCTATCATTTTTAACTAGAACACTAAAATCTTGTCTTACACATTGATATCCAGGACACACATCATTCCTGGAGGCCACTCCCCCAACACAGAGGCTCCATCTTGATGCCATCTTTGGCTTGTCCTCTTTACGTTTCATATTCAACCACCAACTCCTGAAGAGTCTCCATGAAAATATTTGTAAGAGCGACCTCTGCCTCTCCACCTCCATTCTCACTATTCCTAGTTCTCAAAGAATCCATTACGGAGTCAGAGATTCACCTTCTCCTAAATCATCCTACAACAGCCTTCCCTCAGGTCCACATTCCGAATGAATGCTTTCAGAGTAACAGTATTGACAGACAGATGCCTCACAAACCATCTCACTTAATGCTCTGATGATTCACATGCCAGATTGTGACCGCTGGATGGTTGCTATGTGTCTGACACCCTCTAATGCTTTATATGTTTCATTCATTTAACTGTTTTTAAAATATTAGAGAGCAGGAATTGCTACTATTTTCATGCTACATTTGAGGAAACTGAGGCACCGAGTGGTTAAGTAATTTTCCCAATGTCCTCCCTCACCCTCTAGGTAGCAAAGCGAGGATTTCAACCCAGATATCTGACTGTAGACCCACACTTTTAACCTCAACACCTCACAGCCCACCCATGGGAGGTATTTTCCCCCCACTCAACACATAATAAAATAAGCATCACAGCAGTTAGGAAGCCAGCTACAGTTCTGTGGGTCAGTGATTCCCTTTATGATACCCCCTGAGTCCGAGATGTAAATGAACAAACTGCCTAACGCAATGATTCCCAAAGTGCATCCTCCAATTGCCACTGACATCTTGGAAAATGTTCATTACGTGGATAAACAGGATTAGGAAATTCTACAGACTTTATTCCCATTTTGTAGACACAGAAATCACTCAACACAGCACATTAAAAGCTCTGGTAAGTTCAGCAGCAAAGAAGTTTATCGAGCTTAGTTTAACCCACTGTTTCTCAAACTACACCGGTCCACAAGTAATGTCATTTTATTCAATGACATTTCATTGTAATATTGATGAGAAAAAAAAATGGAAGCCTGGCTGGGGCCACTGTCCTTGTGGAGTTAGCATACTGTCTCCACGTCTGCATGGGTTTTCACATATTCCACTTTCCTCCCACATCCCAAAGCTGTGCAGGTTAGCTTCACTGGCGTGTCTAAATGGTCCCAGTCTGGGTGAGTGTCGGTGTGTGTGAGTGCACCCTGTGATGGAACGGCGTCCTGTCCAGGGCTGGTTCCTGCCTTGCACCCTGAGCTGCTGGGATGGAATCTGGCCTCCCAAAACCCTGAACTTAAATAATTGGGTAAATAATTATCTTGCTTGTCTTTATTCATCTTTCTTCAAAGTACGTATAGCTCACATTTATTTCAATGTTTAATATTATAAGTGTTTGGGGTCTTTATTTAGAAGTTTGGTGATGTTTTTGTGACTAGAAATATGCCATCAAAACTTAACTTTTATTTATATCAATTAGCCTATGGTAAAATTAGTTTTGTTACATGCTGTTCTACTTAAAGCCACAGTTTCCAAGAACCTATCAATGATGCTAAGTGAGAACGTACTGAACAATCGCACATCGCTGAACAATAGGAATCCATTCTCAGAAATCTGTCATTAGGCAACCTTCTTATTGTGTGAAGATCCTAGAGTGCACTTACACAAAACTACAAGGTGGAGCCTACCACACACCTAGGCTATATGTTACAGCCTGTTGCTCCCAGGCTATAAACATGTACGGCATGTTACTGTATGGAATACTGTAGGTAATTGTAACACAATGTAAGTATTTGTGTTTCTAAACATATCTGAACATAGAAAAGGTAGAGTTTAAATATGGTATTATAGCCTTATGGAACTTACATCAGTATAGTGTTGTTCCATATAATATTATGGAACCACTGTCATATATATAGTCTGCTGTTTTAGTCTGTCCTTATGCAGCACATGACTATAATTTTACCATGAAATTATATTTTTATATATCATTTATTAGCATACACCACAGGACAGATTTTGGAACATGCTAGGTGATAGATTGAATCTGAACATCTCCATTTCCTTGTCAAAGGTCTATAAAGTCTACTCCCTTTTTTACCTCTCCAATGTCACTTCTCATCTGAAAATCAATCAATGTAATTCAACTATCCACAAGTTAAAGAAGAAAAATCATGTGATTATATCAACTGACAAAGAAAAAGCATTTGACAAAATCTAGCATACACTCCCAGTGAAAACTCTTAGCAAGTTAGTAATAAAAGAGAATCACCTCAACTTGGTAAAGACAACCTATAATCACCCTATAGCTAGAAATACTAAATAGTTTCTCCCTGAGACTGGAAGCAAGGTTAAAAGGTCCTTTCCTACCACTGCTATATAACATAGTATTGGATGTTCTGGCCATTGCAATAAGGCAAGAAAAAGAGATAAAAGCCATACAGATTGGAAAAAAAGAAATAAAATTGTTGCTATTTGCAGGTGACATGATTGTCTATGTAGAACCCCCAAGAAATCGACAAAAACTTCTAAAACTAATAAGTGAGTTCAGCAACTTTGCAGTATACAAGATCAACACCCAAAATTAATTGCATTTCTATATATAAACATGAACATAGAGAAACCAAAAATAACACAATATCATTTATAACCATAAGAAATTATGTACATTTAACAAAATGTGTGTAGTATCTTTATGCTGAAAATTAGAACAATTTGATGAAATAAATCAAAGACCTGAATAAATGGAGACATGTCATGTTCATGGATAGAAAGATTCAAATGGTAAAGATAGCAGCTCTTCCCAAATTTATTTATAATTGTGGCATTATTTATAATATCAAAATATTATGAATGACTTAATACCCATCCCTGGAAAACTGGTTGAATAAACTATGGTACGTCCACATAATACAGTAAGGGAGAAAGATGTAGGATGGGAGGCTAGGCCTGTCTCTCCTTTTCACATTTTTCTACCTGCTTTATATTCACTGGAAGCTGTTTAGATGGTGCCCACCAGATTAAGGGTAGGTCTGCCTTCCCCAGCCCACTGACTCAAATGTTAATCTCCTTTGGCAACACCCTCACAGACATACCCAGGATCAATACTTTGCATCCTTCAATCCAATCAAGTTGACACTCAGTATTGACCATCACAAGTCCACCCCTTGTCAACTTGAACCCATACATGTCTCCTGAGATCACACATAATCTTCAAATAAAGACAATAATAAGGTCATAATTATGCCCAACATAATACAACTATCCTTCGTACAACCAGAAATGCACCAATCCCCAACCTAAATATTACGTAAAGTTAATAATACTTAAATGCTGATATGAAGTCAATAAATCTTATGTCACATGATAAAGGAAAAGGAAATAAATCTTAGTACAAGTGTACACATGCACAAACATGTTTTTAACAAAAGGAGGAAATATGACAATTACAGTCCTTGTTTCTGCAGCTGGTCACGTGGTTGTTGCTGGTGTTGATGACTACCTTCTTCTACTACCCATTCCGTATTCCCTTTGCCTTCAGCAAGGACCTCAGCAGGTCATGGCTTTTTTCCTGGTGAAGTGACCCAAACCTTCAATCCTGAGGAGTCTGGACCATTTGTAGCTCTGCCTGGATTGGGCTGTTGTAGTTTCCCATTGACCTTAATCACAGGGCATGGTAATAATAAGGGATGCCCTAATGGATCTGCTGTACTCCATGCATACTCTTCCTTACCTCCATTGAGGAGAAGTAGACTGATTTGACCTTGATAGTCCGGGTCAGCCACCCCGGCCAACACTGTAATTCTCTTCTTAACCTGTTGACTTAAAGGTAGGAGGAGCCCAAAGTGTTTAGGTGGCAATCTTAACTTCCAGTTTAATGGAATTGTTGTTGTATCTCCCTCTGGAATTAAGACTTCTAGGCTAACAGAATGTAATGTTGTGGGAACAGGAAGCAAAAATTTTGCTAGTGGATCACTAGGGGTGATGGTGAGTGGTGCCACTTCCACTTCCACCCCTTGATTCCTGGACCCACAAATCCTGGCTATAGGAGACACAGTACCACATATTGGATGCTGATTCAGAGCACATACGGCCTTCTGGAGAATTTTGCCCCAGCCCTGCAAAGTATTGTCACCTAGTCGGTATTGTAATTGTGACTTCAAAAGGCCATTCCACCATTCTATCAATCCAGCTGATTCAGGATTATGGGGAACATGGTAAGACCAGTGAATTCCATGAGCATGAGTCCATGCTGCACTTCTTTAGCCGTAAAGTGAGTACCTTGGTCAAGAGACAATGCTGTGTGGAATACGATGACAGTGGATAAGGCATTCTGTGAGTACATGGATGGTAGTCTTGACAGAAGCATTGTGTGCAGGATAGACAAACCCATATGTGGAGTAAGTGTCTATTCCAGTGAGGACCAACCTCTGGCCTTTCCATGATGGAAGAGGTCCAATATAATCAATCTGCCACCAGGTAGCTGGCCGATCACCCCAAGGAATTGTGCCATATCAAGGCCTTGGTGTTGGTCTCTGCTGCTGGCAAACTGGGCACTCAGAAGTGGCCATAGCCAGGTCACCCTTGGTGAGTGGAAGTCCATGTTGCTGATCCCATGTGTAATCTCCATCCCTGACACCATGGCCACTTTGTTCATGGGCCTATTGGGCAATGACAGGGGTGGCTGGAGAAAGAGGCTGAGTGGTGTTCACAGAATGAGTCATCCTATCCACTTCATTATTAAAATCCTCCTCTGATGAGGTCACCTATTGGTGAGCACTCACATGGGACACAAATATCTTCACAGTATTTGACCACTCACAGAGGTCCATCCACATACCTCTTCCCCAAATTTCTTTGTTACCAGTTTTCCAATTATGCTTCTTCCAAGTCCCTGACCATCCAGCCAAACCACTGGCTACAGTCCATGAATCAGTATGTAATTACACATCTGGCCATTTCTCCCTCCATGCAAAGTGCATAACCAGGTGCACTGCTCAAAGTTCTGCCCACTGCGGAGATATTCCTTCACCACTGTCCTTCAGGGATGTCCTAGAAAGGGGCTGTAGTGCTGCAGCTGTGCACTTTTGGGTGGTGCCTGCATATCATGCAGAATCGTCTATGAACCAGGCCCTAGTATTCTCTTCATCTGTCAATTGATCATATGGAACTCCCCATGAGGCCATCGGTGCAGGATGGGGAAGAGAAGGCAGGGTGGCAGAAGTGGAGACCATGGGCATTTGAGCCACTTCCTCATGTAACTTACTTGTGCCTTCAGGACCTGCTCAAGTCTGATCACATATATACCGCTTCCATTTGTTGATGGAATGCTGCTGTGCAAGACCTACTTTATGGCTAGGCACCCAGTTCATGATAGGGGTCCAGGTCACACGGTGACCTGATGACCCATAGTCAAATGTTCAGTTTCCACCAAAGCCCAGTAACAAGCCAAGAGCTGTCTCTCAAAAGGAGACTAGTTATCTGCAGAAGATGGCAGGGCCTTGCTCCAAAGTCCTAGAGGCCTCCACTGTGATTCACCTATGGTGGCCTGCCAAAGGCTCCAAACAGTACCCTTATCTGCCACTGCCACTTCAAGCACCGTTGCATCTGCTGAGTCATATGGGCCACGTGGAACAGCAGCTTGCACAGCAACCTGGACTTGTTGCAGAGCCTTCTCCTGTTCTGGACCCTACTTAAAACTGGCAGCCTTTCGGGTCACTTGACAAATGGGCCTGAGTAACACACCCAAATGAGGAATGTGTTGCCTCCAAAATCCACATAGGCCCACTACGCACTGTGGCTTCTTCTTGGCTGTAGGAGGGGCCAAAGGCAGCAACTTATCCTTCACCTTAGAAGGAATATATTGACAGGCCCCACACCACTGAACCGCTAGAAATTTTACTGAGGTAGAAGATCCCTGAATTTTAGTCGGATTTATTTCCCATCCTGTGGCACGCAAATATCTCACCAATAAGTCTAGTGTGTTTGCTACTTCTTGCTCACTGGATCCAGTCAGCATAATGTCATCAATGTAATGGACCAATGTGATATCTTGTGGAAGCAAAAAGTGATCAACGTCTCTCTGAATGAGATTATGACACAAAGCCAGAGAGTTGGCATACCCCTGAGGTAGGACAGTAAAGGTATATTGCTGGCCTTGCCAGCTGAGGGCAAATTGCTTCTGGTGGACAGGAATGGAGAAAAAGGCATTTGCCAAGTCAATGGCTGCATACCAGGTACCACGAGATGTGTTAATTTGCTCAAGCAATGAAACCACATCCAGCACAGCAGCTGCAATTGGAGTCCCCACTTGGTTAACCTTACGATAATTCACTGTCATTCTCCAAGATCCGTCTTTCTTCTGCACAGGCCAAATGGAAGAGTTGAATGGGTATGTGGTGGGAATCACCACCCCTGCATGTTTCAAGTCCTTGATGGTGGCACTAATCTCCACAATCCCTCCAGGGATGCGATATTGTTTTTTATTTACTGTTTTCCTAGGTAGGGAGTCAAATGGCTTCCATTGGGCCTTTCCCACCATAGTAGCCCTCCCCCTATCAGTCAGGGAGCCAATGCGGGGATTCTGTCAGCTGCTAAGTATGTCTATGCCAATTATGCAAATGACCACAGGATGAGTCTGGGGGCCCACTGGACCCACTGTAAGTCAGACCTGAGCTAAAACTTGGAGAAGGATGGGAGAAAGAGTCACTGCATAAATTGCTGGTAATATAGTGGGGTCCTTCCTCAAGAGCACCCAGCTTCCCTTCATTCAAGGGGTTCTGGGTGTGTAAACTGGCTCAAGTCTGGAAATTGATTGAGGGGCCATGATTTTCTGTTTTTATAATTCGAATTAGTCTTTTGTCCACTCAACCTAGAAGTTTTCTTCCTATGTAGATTAAGTAGAAATGCAGTAGGCTTCCTACCCATTTTACTTCTAGGAACATTGTGATTAATTAGCCAATGCCAGAGCTCTACACAAGTCAGACTGTTCTGATTGCTGCTTTGTCTCTGCTGTCCCTTACAGTATCTATGCCTGCCTTGCCTTTGATGGTTGAGTGCTGCCACTTGGCCCCTGCCACCTCAGGATCCAATTATTCCCACTGTATTTAAATTTTCTAGTTGAGTGACTGTGGTTCCCACTGTTAGATCTGACATACAGAGAAGAGCAATTTCAGGGCTCTTCAAAGATGAAGGTGCTGCACTCACAAATCTATTTTGCAAGGCATTGGTCAAGGGTATATCTTCTGCACCCTCCTAGCCGGGATGAGTAAAACTAAAGTGACTAATCCACTCCACCATCCCGATCTCCCTAAGCCTTTGGATCCCTTCCTCTATATTAAGGGAGATCAGGCATTTCCAGCTTACCCACAGTGGGCCATCTTTTAATCCATATTTCAGCTAACCATGCAAATAAACTATTAGAACCTTTTTAAACTCCCTGAGCTGCAACATTAAATGCAGAGTCCCTACTTAGTGGACCCAAATCAGTAAATTCAGCCTGATCCAACACCATGTTCCTCCCACCATTATCCCATACCGTTAATATCCATTCCCATGCCTGTTCTCCAGATTTCTGTTTATATAGATTAGAAATCTCAAGGAGTTCTTATCGAGTGTAGCACACCTGCTTATGGATTACACTCTCAACCTCACCTCTAGGGGCCTGCGAGAAGTTTAGTTTAGTTATAGGTCTAGAAGCAAACAGGGGTGTTGGGGGTGGCACCTGAGGAGAATCAACATTATTTTGCCTGGCAACTGCTTCAGGGGAGGCCATCACTGTCGCCTCAGGCGGTGAAGGGTTTATCTTCTCAGACAAAGGTGGAAAGGCTGATGGCAGCATGGTAGGGGAGAAGGTGTTGCCACTACTGGGGATGGGGAAGCTGTTCCTTCTGGCAAAAATGGTTCATCAGAGTTTACAAACTCAGGGTTCTCCCACACATCCCCATTCCAAGTTGCAGGGTCCCATTCTTTTCCAATCAAGGCCTTCACTTTAACCGTAGACACCTGGGGAGGCTGTGCATGCACCTTCCATTGCAGGTCAGCCACTCACATGATAAAAGTTTGTGTCTGTTTTACCGTAATTTCAGCTCAGGATAATCTTAGCAGATTTGCAGCTCAGTATCTGCTTCTGAAGCCAGGAGACAGAATCCCTGAGTTCATCATTTTCTTTCATCACGTTGTCCACTGAACTGAGGAGCAACCAACCAGCTTCATTATGTTCCTTGGTTCCCCACATATGGTCAAAGGTATTACGTATAGAGTCACTAAACTCCTTGCCTCTCATGAGCAGTGAAGCAGGAGTGTCATGTCAAATGCATTTATTTTGCATAATTCTCTAAACAGTTCACACCAAGGACTATCAGTGTTTTCCACACTATTAGAAGTAGAGTACTTAGCATTTTATATATATATATATGTAAAATATATAATATTCCTATATAATATAGATCCTATTATATATAATGTATATAGGTGTATATATAATGCCTATGTGTGTGTATATATAATGTATATATGTGTGTGTGTATATATATATGGGAGTTTATTAAGTATTTACTTACATGATCACAAGGTCCCACAATAGGCCATCCGCAAGCTTGAGGAGCAAGGAGAGCCAGTCTGAGTCTCAAGACTGAATAACTTGGAGTCCGATGTTCGAGGGCAGGAAGCATCCAACACGGGAGAAAGATGTAGGCTGGGATGCTAGGCCTGTCTCTCTTTTTCACGTTTTTCCACTTGCTTTATATTCGCTGGCAGCTGATTAGATTGTGCCCACCAGATTAAGGGTGGGTCTGCCTTCCCCAGCCACTGACTCAAATGTTGATCTCCTTTGGCAACACCCTCACAGACACACCCAGGATGGCTACTTCGCATCCTTCAATCCAGTCAGGTTGACAGTCAGTATTAACCATCACAGAACTAAAGTTGTATCTGCTTGTCCTTGGTAATAGCACTCATGTAGTAATTCTGAAAGCACTTTGTTCAAATTGCATATGACAGAGGAAATGAGTAGATACATTTGACTCTGGTATTACAAGGAACCAGGGTTCTCACTATGGGTAAGAGATACAAATATGGAATGGGGAAGGGAGAAGAACTCTGAGTTACTGGACTGAAACTGAAGTCATCGGTGGAAACATATGAATTTTAAAAATGTATTTCTAGTTCTGGTTCTAGTTCCACTAAAAGGGTCTAGAAGTAGCATAGCCCAGTAGCAACACCCACACCTACCTACTTCCCATAACTTAGTTGGTAGATGCCATCTCCTACTAAACAAGCCAGGGCTCCTTGGGGAAATTCTGATTGCAATCTGGCATGGGGAAATACAAGACCACAGTGTAATCCTTTGTGGGCATAGACAAAAACAAAGTCCTTGTGCTACAGCCATCACCAAACACCGCCCTCTCCCAGATAACCTGAGTGACAGCTGCTTCTGCTCAAGCTGCAGCTTTAGCGTCACTCTACTTCCCTACCTCCTCTCACACAGCACCTGATCCAGAACAAACTCCTCACCTCCTCAGCACCCCACTATCTCCTAACACAAGTTAAATCCTCACAACCAGGCCAGGTGCTGCCCCACCCTTTGCCATCGAGAGAGTGTGTGTGTGTGCATGTGTGTGCGCGCGCGCACGCACTCTCCATTGCTGTTGCAAGCATCAAAAAGCCTAACTTTGTTGTGCCTGTGGTCTTGACCGAAGAGTGTAAAGCCTTGTGTATGTACATGAGCTGAGAGGCTTTTTGTCCACAATCGTGCTGAAACTCATTCCTAGAACCTCCTAGAATAATGCAGCCATAACGGCATTTCAGAACCTTACTCCACTCTGCACCTCTCTGCCTTGCATTTCTGCTCCTTAGAAACAACAACTATCAAATCTTTTGGCTGTTTTTCTTACGTCATGTTTCTAAATAATATGCTCATTCTGTTACTTCTGGATTTATCTATTTTATGCATTATTGCTTGCCTTCCTTCAGTATATTATTTCGCTTTCACAGACCAAATAAAAATTTATGCAAACTGAGAGCAAGACAAAATGCTGATTTCCTGATTGTTTTGAAATAAAAAAGGCATTTTCTCCTAAACCTGTTTGACCCTCATCTTATACTCTTGGGGAAGGTTTTACTTTGTTCAAAAAATATTTGATTGGTAATTCACAATAGATGAGGTGTTTCCTTTTACACACATCTACATTCACTTCCTCCTCCCCCCATCTTCCCAATACATGTTAATTGTGATTTTTAAAATACTGATCATCAGTGTTGACATCACTATGGCTATATAAATGCTGATCATTTCTTTCCTGAACAATTTCTTTAGCCAAACACCACCTCTTCTCTTCTCAAACATCAAAAATCCTCTTGTTTGGGCCATGGCGTCCTCACACAATGCACCACGCTCTTGATCCCTCATGAAAATATCTCAACTTGGATTTGCAGTAATGTACCATAGCTGGAAGGGTGTGATTCCCTGCAGACGACAAAGGATCATGGGCTTCCCTATGATGCACATGGCATACAATGAATGGTGTCTCTGCCAAGTGGTCTCAGGTACCCTGGACTGGAGTCTGGTAAAAATCTCTCTCTTATCCATCCATCTTTGTTTGGTGGATTGACTGAGGAGAAGCTGGATTTAGATGATCTGGCCTCATTATTTAAGTACATTTGGTATTAGATAGAATGTCACTCTTCTCTCTTGTATTATCAGTAGGTGAAAGATAAGAGCCGACACCAGTTCCATGTGGGTTATGTAGATAAGATTTTATCTTTATTTTGCAGAGCTCCAAGTATATTAATAGCATCCTGTATTTGATTACATAATTGGGTACTGAGGCTCCTTTTACTTCCACAGGATAAGGTTGAATTCATTTTCTGAGACTAATTAATCTGAGACCTTTGAAGAGGAAGTGCGGTTGAACGTGAAGAAGGAACCATTATTGACAGTATCCCAGGAGCTACGCATTGCCAGGCATATTCAATTATGCTATAATTTTCATAAGGTCAGCAGATATGAGAGCAAAACTGTTGCCCATTTAAGATTTGGAAACATTTCAGAAGAGGGGAAAAACATGAACTTCTAGTGGTATATTTTATTCTTTTTTCCAGCTCAATCATTTATCTCTTCATTGTTCCTTAATTCCCATAACTTCTTTTAAAATATCTGTGACAAGAAGATCCAAAAATTCCTTCAAATTTCATTGAGTGATCTGTTGCAGTCCCTATACCTCCTGCTGTGGCTCTTTGTCAGGAACTGTGGTTGTGTGGTTGCTGCTGTGTCAATTTGAGCAAACTGTACTTTCAGGGATAAAAGAAAATGCTAACACCTGGATAATTCTTAAAGTTATTGCATGGCATGTGGAGGAAACTGAAATCCTTCTGCTGGGAGGGGATTATTTAGATCTAAAAGGGCTTGAGAAGTCAGTCATGGAGGAGGCAGACGGATAGTGGGAAAAAGCAGTGAGGAATTAGACAAACTGTTTCCAAGTAAATCTGGAATCTTCCCAATAGAAGTAATAACTAAAGTCAAAAGAGGTAATGCGACTTCCTGGGGAAAGCACATACAGGAAAAAGAACTGAAGAAATTTACAATAAAACTAAACCAAATATAACAAAAACCAGATCATAAACCTCAAATTTCTAAGGGGTCCTTGAAAGTTCAGAAGACAGGTTTTACAGTGGGTTCAGGTTCTCAGAAATGAGAACTAGTTCATAGCTGAATAGAAGTAAAAGTGAAACATCACATCTTGTCAGAAATGTTTCAATTTAGCTATCATTCTACAATGAACAAGAAATAATAATATTGTTCTTCTATAAGACAGAGTATCAACGAGGTGTGCTAAATAAGATCTGGAGAGTAAATTATAGAAATTTATCCATTCTAAAATGCCAGAATAATATTAAAGCGCCACAAGACAGACAGACAGACAGACACACACACACACATGCACACACACACACACACAAAATACAAATATATGAAATGTCTTACCTATATCCAAGGGAATAGGTAAGCCAAGGGAATGAAATTAGTGGCTGTTTCAGAGTACCTAGAACCTACAATTCTCTAAGTATTAAATAGAAACAGATCTGCAGTCATTTTCTTTTTAATTGAATACTTGCATTGACTTGATCTATGCCCTTAGCTCTAAGTAGGTAGGAGACAGACCTTTAACTCTGATCCAGCTGTAGAATAATGATTCATAATTCAGTTGTTTCAGGAAGTGAGATGGGTGTACGTGTGCAGGTTGTTCTATAGATAAATTGCGTGTCATGGTGGTTTGGTGTACATATTCAACCAAATTATTTCTCAGTTTCTTTCTGTGTTCTGCATGAAACAGTACTTTATTCCTGTGCTATTCATATGTAACTGGAATAACAAACTGGGCAGTGTTCAGTCAAGCAGTATGCTGAAGGGACTTGCAGGCCCTATCAGTATATATTATCAAGGTTTGTTCTGTGAATTTGTGACATGTGAACTTTTTCAAACCCATTACTACACCATTATATAGCTTGAAAAGGTAAACTGAAGGGATTCTACAAAATCAATGAAATAAAAAAACTACAAAATCAATGAAATAAAAAGTACGAGTGACTACTTTTATAGTTCGCAATGCAAAAGGAAAAGAGAAACTTCCACTGTTAGTACACACATATCAACTCTCACCTAGAGACTGAGCAGCTCCTGCAGACAAGGGGATGGGGCACATGATCAGCACATTTGGGCCACAGGCCCACCCCTGTAGCCACTGGAATTACTATGGGAGAAGAGAGAAGGAATTGTTTATACAAAAGGGTGCTGAGACAATCAAAACAAAAGGCGTTCTGCAGACACCTTGTTGTTGGAGGTTAGAATGCTATTCAGTCTTACTGGCCTGGAATTTTCGAAAGGCTAATATTGCAAGTTCTTCCTACAAACCTGTATGCCCCCTGGCTTCCTATTCACCCTACCTACATAGCAGTTCTATTGTCCATCGTAACAATGGCTCACCAAAATTTACCTCTAATTCTCATATGCGTATTTCAATACCTCCCTGCATGGCATAATTAGGCAGCAATTAGAAGAAACTTTGGAATATAAATTGGTACTATTTTCTAACAGCAATTTTACTGAGTTGTATTTTTTCTCTGTTCCTCAGGTGTACAGATATGGTTTACTCACAAGTCTTAAGTGACGACATATTTCCATCACTGATTCATACAGTGTCTGTTTTTTTAATTAATTAATTGATTATTGAAAGTAGTATAATAAGTACCATGAACCCGTCACCCTAAACAAAAACCAGGATCTTGGTGCAACCTACATTTACTTGCGTTCTCCCCATGTCAAAACATCCCACTGCTATTCCCCTGCTAAAGTCACTATCACCCTCTTGATTTGCCTTTTTATGTAGTTTCTGCGTGCATATTTGTGGTGAAATTGTTGTTGTTGTTATTGTTTTAGCTTTCACCTCTATGAAAAGAGTATATAAATATTTAAGACACATTTTTCTTCATTGAATATTCTACTACTGACAGTGATGGGAATGAGATGGCAGAATAGGAAGCCCTAGACCTCCTTTCCTCCCCACTCCCCCACAAGATTCAACAACTATGCATGGATGAATTTGAGAATTCCAGAAATGTGAGAAATAAATTTCCGGGTTTGAATAAATTCCGTAGTCTAAGGTATTTTGTTGGAATACAGATGAACAGAAACACTGAGCACAGGTGAGGGGCTCTGGCAGCTAGTATGTGCTAGTCCAGATGGTGGCTTTGTTCTCAGCAGCCCCAAGCGTCTAGAATATGCCAAACCTGTCCCTCCTCCAGGACAGGGGATGCAGAGCCAGTCCTCCAGGCAGCCCCGGAAAGTCCAGAACATCGAACACTTGCTGCAGCTCTGTCCCACCCCAGGAAGAACTCAGGATTTGGGGGTTCCCTGTCTTGTTCTGTGCTGGGCGGCAGAGTCTAGTTGAGAGGCTCCTGTACCCTGAGCAAGCATGAAACCAGCAGTCTTGAAGCCAGCAGAAAAATTGGTGGCACCCTCGCTCCATAATCCTTTCTCTGGCACCTCTCACATGATTGGGAGGAAACCCCAGGTCATAACTTCTCCCAGGGGAGGGAAGGAGGGGACTTGACCATATGTCCCATGTTCTGACATTCTGGGGGGCTTCCCAAGGGACTGATTTCTGTCTTGCCTGAATCTGAGAGTTGACAGAAACAGCCCTAGGTTGGGAGCCACTGAGAATAAAGGACATAGTTGTCACTAGTATGCACTCACCAGTCATACTTTCAGCAGCCCAGCACTGAACGAGAGGGAGAACCCCCAAATCCTGAGTTCTCCCTGGGGTGGGACAGAGCTGCAGCAAGTGTTCGATGTTCTGGACTTTCCGGGGCTGCCTGGAGGACTGGCTCTGCATCACCTATCCTGGAGGAGGGACAGGTTTGGCATATTCTAGACACCTGGGGCTGCTGAGAACAAAGCCACCATCTGGACTAGCACACACTCGCTGCCAGAGCCCCTCACCTGTGCTCAGTGTTTCTGTTCATCTGTATTGTTCCAACAAAATACCTTAGACTGCGGAATTTATACAAACACAAAAATTTATTTCTCACATTTCTGGAGGCTGTGAAGTCCAAGATGAAGGAACTGGCAGATCCAGTGTCTGGTGAGGCTCGTGTGTTGCTTCCGAGAACTCTGCCTTGTTGCTGGGTCCTTACACGGCAGAAGCCAGGAGGGCAAAATGCACCAGGCACTCCCTTCAACCTCATTTATAAGAGCAGCAATCCATTCATAACAAGCCCTAACGCCTTCATCACTTCTCAAAAGGCCTCACTTCTTAACACTGTTCACATTGGGCATTAGGTTCCAACATGTGAATTTTGGAAGGCCACATATATTGAAACGATAGCACTCCACCTCTGGCTCCCCAAAATTCATGTCCTTCTCACGAAGGACAAAAAAATGCGTTCATTTTATCACAAAAGCCCCCAAAGCCTTAACTTGTTCTAGCACTTAAAGTCTAAAGTCTCATCTAAATATTGTCTAAATCAGATAACGGCTGACACCCTACGTACAATTTATTTTTTTATTTTATTTATTATTTTTTTGAGATGGAGTCTTGCTCTGTCGACCAGGCTGGAATGCAGTGGCGTGATCTCGGCTCACTGCAACCCCCGCCTCTGGGTTCAAGCAATTCTACTGCCTCAGCCTCCCGAGTAGCTGGGATTATAGGTGTAAGCCACCGTGCCCAGCCAACATACCATTTATTCTGAGGCAAATTCCTCTTACGTCGTAAGACTGTGGAACTAAACAAGTTACATTTCCAAAATACAATGGTGGGACAGATGTAGGAGAGATATTCTCATTCCAAAAGCAACGGGTAACTGGTACCAAATTAAGTCCAAAACCCAACAGGGCCAAACCAACATTAAATCTTAAGGCTTCAGAACAATTTTGACTCAGCGTTCTGCCTTCCAGACATACTAGGGCAAGGGTTGGGCCCCCAGGCCTGGGCAGCCCCACTCCCACTGCTTTGCTAGGAGCAGCCCATGTGGCAGCTTTCACACATTGCAGTTGCATGCCTATAGCTCTCCCAAGCTGGAGTCGTCTGCTGGTGGTGCTACAGTTCTGGAGTCTCAGAGGCGGCCCCAACCCCATGGCTCTGCTGGCCATTGCCCTAATAGGGGGATCTCTGTGGCTGTGCATGCCTGTGGCAGTTCTTCTTGTGTGCCCTGAGGTTCTCTGAGGTAACTTTTGAGAGCTAGAAAGCCATGTCTCCACACCTTGTGTACTCTGTGTGCCTACAGAGTCAGCACCATGTGGATGTTGCCAAGGTTTATCACTTACACCCTCCAGAGTGGTGGCCCAAGCTGTACCTGGGCCCACTTGACCACAGCAGGGAGCTAAGGAGCTCTGTGCTGGAATGCATGGAGCAGAGACTTGAGGTGACTCTAGGCAGTGAGCCTGAGGTCCCAAATGTACCTGGGCACTTCCCTTGAAACCATTCTGCCCTCAAGGTCATAGCACTCTGGCCTGTGATGGGAGTGGCCATGATCTCCAGAATGCTTTTGGGGTCATCCTTTCATTGTCCTGATGAATAGCATCCGGCTCCTTTCTATCCATCCTAATCTCCTGAGAGTCACTGGGCCACGCCCCCTGGACAGAACTTCAATTCTCTACAGAACATGTCTTTTTATTCTTTACAAGTTGGCCAGGCTGAGAATTTTTCAACTCTTAAGTTCTGCTTCCTTTTTAGTTAGAAATTCCATCTTTAATTCATTTCTCTCTTCTTACATTTTACTACAGTCAAAAAAGCCATGCCACACCCTCAATACTTTGCTTAGAGATTTCTTCGGTCAGATATCCTAGTTCATTTCTTTTCAGTTCTGCCTTTCACAAAGTACTGGGACACAGAAACAATTCAGGCAAGCTCTTTGCCACTTTGTAACAAGGATGGCCTTCCCACCAGTTTCCATTAACATATCCCTCATTTCGGTCTAAGACCTCATCAGAAGCACCTGTACTTGACTGAGCATGGTGGCTCATGCTTGTAATCCCAGCACTTTAGGAGGCCAAGGCGGGAGAATTGCTTGAGACCAGGAGTTCCAGACCAGCCTGGGCAACAAGGTGAGCCTTCATCTCTACAAAAAACTTTTTAAATTAGCATATATAGTCCCAGCTGCTTGGAAGGCTGAGGCAGGAGGATCACTTAAGCCCAGGAATTCAAGATTAGTCAGCTGTAATCTCACCAATGCACTCCAACCTGGGTGACAGAGTGAGACCCTGTCTCAAATAAATAAATAAATAAACAAACACCTTTACTGTTCATATTTTTACCTATATTCTGATCACAACCACTTAATCTCCAAGAAGACTGAGACTCTTCCTGCAGCTCTCCTTTTCTGAATTCCCTCCAGAATCCCCCTCTATGGTCCACTCATGGCAATATGGGCTTTTTCTAGTCTGCTCCAGCTTCCACCCATTACCCAGTTTCAAAATTGCCTCCACATTTTTGGACATCTGTTATAGCCACACCCTACTTCTCAGTACCAATTTCCAAGTTCATTCAGGCTGTTACAACAAAATGCCTTAGACTGGGTGCCAGCAGATTCAGTGTCTGGTGAGGGCCGGCTCTCTCTGCTTCAAAAATGGTTGTCTTGTTGCTGCGTCCTAACATGGCAGAAGGGGGAAAAGGGACAAATGCTCTCCGAAGCCTCTTTTATATGGGCATTAATCCCATCCATGAGGGCAGAGCTCTTGTGACCTAATAACCTCCTAAAGGCTTCCTCTTCTAAATCCATCACCTTGGTGATGAGGCTTCAACATATGAATTTCGGAGGGCCACGTACATTGAAACCATAGCACTCAGCAAGGCAAGATCATGGAAACACACAGCCCCTGGCTTCTCCCTTAGGATGGAAAGAGAAGACTGAAACATACTTCCAATGTTCAGACTTTTTGGAAGGCTGTTTGAGGGACTAGCTTCTGTTTATCCTGGCTCAGAGCACTGATGAGACTCGGCAAACTTTAGATATCTGAGGGCTTCTGAGATAAACAACAAAAAAAAGAGCTGGGTAGTATGCTAGTGCTTCAGAGGACTGCAGTACAGCAGACAGGCAGCAGAGAGAAAAGAGATTATGAACTTCTAAAAAAAGAAACTGGGAAATCCTTCTAGTTATGATCTATATACAAAAGTCCAAGGAAGTCATACCGACAGAAAAGATTTAAGAGGACCACAGAATCACTAGCAAGGCTGACTGGTGAAGGTCATCACCTATACAAAGCCAGGCTGTAAAGACTGGGAGAGGCAGCTGATTTTTCCAATACACAGACCCTAATATAAAGGGTTAAGAAACATAAAGGAACAGAAAATCATGGCCCAAACAAAGGCACAAAGTAAATCTTCAGAAATGAAGGTGAATACAGAAATGAAGGACCATACACCATGAACAAGTGAGATTTATCTCTGGGATGCAAGGACAGTTTAACACAGGTAAATCACTTAATATGATTACCTGACAAAGAATTCATAATTATCATCATATATATACTCAAGTAGCTTAGAAAAATGGTGCATGAACAAAATAAGTATTTCAACAAGATAGAAAATTGAAGAAAAAAATCCTAAAATTTTGGAGCTGAAGAATACAATAAATGAACAAAAAAAATCACCAGAGGCCTTCAACAGCAGACTTGATGTAGCAGAGGAAAAGAGTCAGCACACTTGAAAATGGGTCATTTGAAATTATTCAGTTAGAGGAGCAAAAACAAAAAGAATAAAAAAAGTAAAAACTTAAGGGGACCAACGGTACATACTATAATATACATGGTACATTGCAATGGCACCTCATAAGGACAGAGAGAAAAATGGCAGAAAGCTTACTTAAAGAAATAATGACTGAAAACTTCCGAAATCTGAAGAAGGAAATAAACAGCCAGATTCAAGGAGTTCAAATGTCTCCAAATAGGATGACCCAAAGAAGTCTACACAGAGACACATTATAATCAGAGTCATGAAGGAACAGAAAATCTGAACATATCTATAGCCAATAGGGAAACTGAACTAGCAACCAAAAACCTCCAGAGAAAGCTCATGACCAGAAGACTTCACTGGTGAATTCTACCAAACATTTAAAGAATTAATTTCAATCTTTCATAAATGCTTCCAGAAAACAAAGTCAAGGAAGAGGGAACATTTTCAAACCTATTTTCTAGGGCCAGCATTACCCTGATACCAAAGCCAGACAAAGATATACACGAAAAGAAAACTATAGTTCAATATCCCTGATAAGCATAGATGCAAAAATCCTCAAAAAAGAAAAAAGAAAAAAAACTTGCAAACCAAGTTCAACAGTATAATAAAAGGACCATACACCACAACAAAGTGGGATTTACCCTGGGATGTAAGGATGGTTTAATGCAGGTAAATCAATTAATGTGATGAATAATGAAAATCACACAAATATCTCAATAGACACAGAAAAAGGATTGGATAAATTCAACACTATTTCTGATAAAAACAATCTCAACAACCTAGGCACAGAGGGAACTTACCTTTACATAATAAAGGTCATGTGTGACAAATCCACAGCTAACATCATACTCAACAGTGAAAAACTGAAAGCTTTTTTTTTTCTTTATTTTTTGAGACGGAGTTTCACTCTGTTGCCTAGGCTGGAGTGCAATGGCATGATCTTGGCTCACTGCAACCTCCACCTCCCAGGTTCAAGCAGTTCTTCTGCCTCAGCCTCCTGAGTAGCTGGGATTACAGGTATGTGCCACCATGCCTGGCTAATTTTTGTATTTTTAGTAGAGACGCAGTTTCGCCATGTTGGCCAGGCTGGTCTCAAACTTCTGACCTCGGGTGATCCACCCGCTTCAGCCCCCCAAACTGCTGGGATTACAAGCATGAGCCACCGCACCTGGCCTGAAAGCTTTTTTTTCTAAGATGAGGAACAAGAAGAATGCCCACTCTCAGTACTTCTATTCAACACAGTACTTGAAGTCCTGACTAGAGAAATTAGGTATGAAAAAGAAATAAAAGGCACTCAAATTAGAAAGGAAGAAGTAAAATTGTCTCTGCAGACTACATAATCTTATACATAGAGAATCCTAAAGACTCCACACACACAAAAACATTAGAACTAATAAATGAATTTAATCCGATTGCAGGATACAAAACAAACACATGAAAATTAGTAGTGTTTCTATACACTAGCAATAAACCATCTAAAGAAGAAATCAAGGAAACAACCCCATTTACAATAGCATCAAAAATAATAAAACACTTAGAAATAAACTTAACCAAGGAGGTAAAATATTTATACACTAAAACTACAAAACATTAATGAAAGAAACTAAAGAAGATAGAAATAAATGGGAAAATATACAGTGTTCATGAATTGGAAGACTTAATTAGTGAAAATTTCCATATTATCCAAAGCAATCTACAGATTCAATGCTATCCCCTTCAATATTCCAATGGCATTTTTTTTTTTTACAGAAAAAAAAAATCCTAAAATTCATATGGAACCCATAAAGGTCCTGAATATTCAAAGCAACCTTGGTAAAGAAGTACAAAGCTGGAGGCACTAAACTTACTGGTTTCAAAATAGATGTATTATAATGTTACAGAATCCATAAAAACAGACATATAGATCAATGGAGCAGAACAAAGAGACCAGAAATAAACCCATACATATCTGGTCAACCAATATTCAAAATGGTGCCAAGAATACACAATGGGGAAAAGTTAGTCCCTTCAACAAATGGTGCTGAAAAACTGGATATCCATACGTAAGAGAATGAAATTGGAATAAATACTTAAAGGTAAGATATGAAAATGTAATGCTTCTAGAAAAAAATCATAAGAGAAAAATTCCATGACATTGGTCTAGGTAATGATTTCTCAGATATGACAACAAAAGCAAAGCGACAAAAGCAAAGAACTAATAATAATAATAAGTGGAATTACATCAAGCTGATAAGCTTCTGAATGGCAAGGAAAAACAACTAACAGTGAAAAGGTAACCTACAGAATGGAAGAAAATATTTGCAAACCATATATCTGTTAAGGAGTTAATATCCAAAATACAGAAGGAATTCCTACAATAGGAAAGAACCAAAAAACCCAATTAAAAAATGGACAAAAAACTGGAACAGACATTTCTTCAAAGAAGACATACAAATGGCCAACAGAAATAGGTGATCAAGCAGCATTAATCAACACGAAAATGCTAATTAAACAATATTACCATTCCATTACGATGACCATTATAAAAAAATAGTGCTGGTGAAAGTGTGGAAAAATTGAAACACTTGTGCACTGTTAGAGGGAATATATAATGATGCAGCTACTACAGAAAACAGTACAGAGATTTCTCAAAAAAATACTAAAATAGAATTATCATATGATCCAGCAATCCTACTTCTGGTGTTTATCCAGAATTGAGATTAGGATCTCTAAGATATTTGCACTCTTATGTTCGGTGCAACATTATTTAAAATACCTAAGATGTGGAAACAATCTAAATGTCCATCTACAAATGAATGGATAAAGAAAATGTGGACCAGATGTGGTGGCTCATGCCTGTAATCCCAGCGCTTTGGTAGGCGGAGGCAGGCAGATTGCTTGAGCTTAGGAGTTTTGAGACCAGCCTGGGCAACAGGACGAAGCTCTGTCTCCACAAAAAATACAAAAATTAGCCACGCATGGTGCCACAGCTACTTGGAAGGCTGAGGTGGGAGGATTGCCTGAGCCCAGGAGGCCAAGGTTGCAGTGAGCTGAGATTACACTACTGCACTCCAGGCTGGGTGACCATAATGGAGTATTATTTGGCTTCAAAAAGGAAGGAAATTCTACTGTATATAACAACATGAATGAACTTTGAGGATATCATGCTAAGTTAAATAAATCAGTTACAGAAGGACAAATACTGAATGATTACACTTTTATGAGGTATCTACAGTCGTTAAATACATAGAAAAAAAAGCAGACTGCTGGATGCTAGGGTCTGGGGGGAGGGAGAAGTGGGGAGTTGCCATTCAATGGGTATAAAATTCTAGAGATCTGCTGTAGAACATTATGCTTATAGTTAACAATACCACACTGCACAATTAATTATTTAAAAGGGAAGGTCTTATATGATTTTTTTTACCACAATAAAAGATTCTACTACTACAGTCCATTCATACTGTTGGATATTGTTATTGTTCATTCATTTTGACTGCTGCATAATGTTCCATTGAGTAAACTGAATCACGTAAACTGCTTATTCATTAACTATCCAATTGATGGGCTTTTGGGATGTTTCCAGGTGGTCATTACTGTAAAGAATACTGCTATTAACACTTTTTTACATGACTCTTGATGCTCATATTCTCTTGAATATTTTGGGGATGCATACCAAGGACTAAAACTACATCATAGTGTATGTTAATGTTGAACTCTAGAAATAATGTCAAATTGTTTTGCAAAGTGGTTGCAACTACTTCCATTTCCACCAGGAATGTATAAAAACTCCCATGAATTTATATGCTCTCCAACATTTTTACCATCAGACTTTTAACTTTTTGTCGTCATTTGAGTGTAAAGGTAACTCACTGTGGTCTTAATTCCTAATTCTTACTTTCCTAAATAAAAATTTCACTGAAGACCTTTTTATACGCTTATTGGTCGATGACTTTCCTTTTCTTGAAAATGCCTGCTCATGATTCCTGTTTTTTCCATTGGGTTATGTTCCACTTATTGATTTGTAGAAGTTCTTTATATGTTGTTGATATTACCTCACTGTCAGTAACATATATTGCAGATATTTTCATCCAGTTCATAACTTAACCTTTTTAAATTTCTTTATGGGTGTTTTCCAATTAACAACGTTCCTAATTTTTATATATTGAAATTTGTCAATCTTGTCTATTATAGTCAATGCATTTTTTAAAATCTAGTTGGAAAAAATCTTTCCTAGCCCATGGTCTAAAATAAGTTTTCTACTAAGAGTGTTAATATTTTGTTTTTGACGTATATGTCCTTAATCGTTTTGAATTGATTTTTGCATATGTTGTAAAGAAGGAATCCAATTTCATCTTTTCTCATATGAATAACACTTTTTCTCACTCTATTGATCAAGTAGTCCCTCCTTTCTTCACTGATTGCATACCATTTGTCATATATTAAATTTCCATGTTTTGCTTATCCCTGCCCCAATATCAGACTGTTTTAATTACCATAACTTAATATTGTTCTAAAACCATTGCTCTTCAAAATTCCTCTTCTAAAATGTCTTGGCTATTCTCAGATATTTCTTCTTTCATATAATGTTCAGAATAATTGCATAAAACTCTATAGTAATATCCTGTTGAAATTTTGACTAGATTTGTGTTAAATCTACCAACCAATTTGGGAAGAATTGACATTCAATGATGTAAAAGAGCAATCATTTTATGATGCTCAATGATTTTGTGGGCCATGATTGAGCAAAAGCCCAGCAGCAATGGTTCTCAATTTACCATGACATCTGGGACCTCAGTGGGAAGACAAAGGCTGGGGTGACTCAATGACTGGGAGCTGGAGTCATCTGAAGGTTCATTCACTCATGTCTGGGGTTGAAACTCAGCCAAGACTGTCATGCAGAACTCACGGCCTCCTCCTGTGGCTTCATGGCTTTCTCACAACATGGTGGCTTGGTTCCAAGGGAACCAGTAGGAAGCTGCATCATCTTTTATCATCTAACCTTGGAAGTTATATCATATCACCTTTGCCATAGAATTACAGACCCCACCTCTAGAGTGGGGAAGCATCAAAGTCACTTTTTAAGAAAAGTAAGTGGGATAGGAAATACTGTCCTGGCTATCTTTGGAAAACAAAATCTAAGTAAGTCTCCCTCTCTATTCACACAAAGCCTAACCATATCAAAAAACAATCTGTCTTGTTTTTAATAGGAAGATTATAATCATGACGTTGATTTCTTTAATAGCTATAGGACTATTGAAGTTTATTTTTGAGGACATATGTAGCAAATTATATTTTCCCAAGAACTCATCCATTTCATTTATGCTTGCAAATATTCTAGTATAGAATTGTTGATAATATCCTAGTGGTATCTCTTTAATCTCTATCTGTATGTATGTCCACATTTACCTTCATTGTATTATTTGTATCTTTTTGCTTTTTTAGTTGATCATTTTTGGCAGAAATTTGTCTAATTACTGCTCTTTTTTCCAAATAACTGATTTTTTTTTTTGTTTGCTTTGTTGATTTCCTACATTATGTCTTTGGTTCTATTTCATTGACTTCAGCTCTTGTTTTTTCATTCTCTCTCAAACTTAATTTAGGTTTAGTCTTTCATTATTTTTCAAACTTCTTAAAATAGACATAATGTAGCTCATTAATTTTGAGACTTTCTTCTTTTATATAGATTTAAAGCTAAAAATTTCCCACAAAAATTTTAAAAAGGGAGAAAATTTTCACTTTTACTGCATCCCACAGGTCTTTAAGTGCGGTGTTTTCATTATCATGCAGTAAATTTCCATTGTGGTTTCTGCTTTAACTTTTGGGTTATTTAGAAGTGTGTCTTAAAAATTTCCAAATATGTAAAGATACTATCTTATTGTTAATTTAATCACATACTGGTAAGACTTCTTCATCTATATGGACCTATTCTTTGGAATGTATTGAGACTCTGTTGCCTAATACCTGATAATTGTAAATTCTTCATATGAAACAAGTAAAAATGTGTTTTCTTTAAATTTTGGTTGCAGAACTCTGTATATACCCATTAGATCAAGGTTATCAATTGTATTATTTAGATTATCTATATCCTTTCTGAGTTTTTAACCTGCTTAACCTATGAGCATGTGCAGAAATCTAGTCCCTGTGATGGCAGGTTTATCAAATTATCCTTGTATTTCTACCACTTTTTCCTTCATATACTTTGAGGTTATTTTATGAGATGCATGCATGTTTAAAATTGTTACATCTTCTTGGTGAACTGAATAGTTTATCATTATAGTGATCTTTCTCATCTCCATTTCAAAAAAATCTTGAAGTCAATTTTATTCATGTTAGTATCAGTTGACAGTAACTTCCAATTTTATCTGGGTTACTTTTTTTCACTCTTTTATTTCACCCTTGTAAATAATACATATTTAGATTTTAAAACTCAATCTTTCAAGTAAGTTTAGTAAATGGACTAAACTCATAAAATCAAGTTCATCTTTCATTTATAAGTTTAGTCCATTTACTTTTACTGATATGCTTTTATGTTTCTGTCATATTTATTCTTTTAATTTGTCCGTTTTTTTCATCTTTTCTTAAAAAAAAAAAACCCACCTCAATAACAAGGTAGCATTTTCTTACATCCTTTGTCCTTCCCTTACCAATGTCCATCATGTTGCTATCATCTAGTTAATTTTCTTTCAGTACCTTATTGAATAATGTACATATAACATGCACAATTTTAAAGACATTTTACATATGCATACACCTGTGTTACCATAACCTGAATCAAGGCATAGAACATTATAAATCAAGGTATAGAAGACATACGGTTGCTTTGTACCTTTGGGTCAATACTCCACCTCTAAGTTACCGTTATTATGATTTCTGTCACCAGAGATTAGTTTTGTCTGTTATTGAACCTCATATAAATGAAGTACGTATAAACTTTAACGTCAAGCTTTTGATCAGTTTCTGATGTTTATACATAATGTTATACAAAATTTCTCAGCATTTTATTTTTCATTGTTGAACAGTATTTCGTTGCTTAAATATATTGCAATTTATCTATCCATTCTTTTATCGATAGGCATTTGGGTTGTTTCCCAAATCTGGGGCTTGGGACTATTATAGTATCATTTCTATTTAGTATACATCTAATTCTCAGAGATTTCCTCAATCTTGTTTTCTAATTCATTAATTCATAACTCAACTGTATCTATTCTTAGTTCTACCTATTGTAGTCTTTCAACTTTTATATTTGTTGCACATATTTTCTGCTCTTTTTATGTTTTCTTGTTTGGGGTTCATATTTTTAATTTCTTTCTTCATCTCTTTCAATGACTTTGACTAATTTTAAATTTTTGTTTCATCTGTTTTAATGTTTCTGCTTCTTTTTGAAAACCTACTTTCAGCATGTTGTTTTCCTCAAATGTCCTGTTATTTTGCCCGATAAGTTCATTTTCCTCTGGAGTATCAGGCAGGTACAGTGGAAGGCCAGCCCTTAGTTGCATGAGTCCAAGACAGATCAAGGGGTGCATAAGCCTATAATGGATAACTAGATCTAGGCTTCAATCAGTCACTCCCGACTCCCAAAGCACCTTCTTCTCTGTCAGGTCCTCGCCCTTTGCTCCCCCAATGAGAAGCATTAGGAAGAAATGTTTTGAGACTGTAGTGCCTATGTCTGTGGGGGACTGAAGTGGCAGAGAATAGAAGAGCCTAACGGAGATCAGGGAGACCCACCCTTTTTCCCAGCTCCTCACAAGCACAGAGGTTGTGTTGCTGCCCAGAGTTTGCTCATGAGCACACTTGGACCAGAAATCTAAACTGCCAGGGGCAGGCACTGTTTTCCCCAAGGCAATGGATGGGAGAAGTAAGAACAGCTCCCACTACTGCCTACCTCCCTTACACCTGTCTTCCCTCTCATAGTCTTGCTGGGCTGTCTGCAGCCCCCGAACAAAAGATACATCCCCCACCCCCAACACAGCAGTTCCAACAGCTCCCCCATGACTCAGTTGGTTTCTTACAATTCTCTCTCCATCCTAAAGGAAATTTTGGGAGCGGGATCAGCAGTCCTGACAGGTCAACGTCTTGGTCAGCACTAGCCCCATCTCCCTAACCACTTCGAGGCTTTAAATCATACCTAGCTCATGCTATACATGTTGGATCTACCAATTGTGAATCATACTTTGTATTTAGAGCTTCTTAATTTGGGTCAAAACTCAGAATCACCAAATGAGAGATGCAGTATCCTCATTCTTCCACATAGCAGCTGCTGCTAAGAAAGATTTAAAGTGATACAATGAGAGATGTTATTCCCTATTGTGATGGTACCAAGAGAATATGCATTTCCACCAGTTTTCATTAAGTCAAGTTACTACGTTCCCTTTCAGCCTTTACTGCTGCCCCCTCCTCTCTTTCTGTGCAAAGAAAATACTGTCACATTTATTTTAGTCAAAGTCAAGTTCTTACAGTGCCTGCTGCTGCACACTAAGAAGCAGGGCCTGGAAGGAAGCTGACAGGTGATCTGTTGATTTGTACCTTTCACACAGCATGGGTAATGCAAATTGCCTGCTTCTGTTTTCCCACACTGCTGGAGTCGCAGCTTACACATTTTTCAGAATTTACTGTTGTTTCAAAAAGCTGATGCCTACACTCTATTCCCCAAAAGAATGTACAAGTAAGATTCCTAGTTAAAAAAAAAAAAAAAAGATCCTTAAAGTTTAGATTGGCATCTGTTTCATGTGGGTGCTAGTTTTCAAATCCTAGCAAAAATATTGTTTTTTTTCTCCCTCTTCACTGAACTAAAAGAGTTTAAGAATTTTAAGTGTTTTAAGCTGTACTTCTTTTTTCAGTAGACAGAAATCTATTCCATAAAAGAAACACTTACGGTTCTGCAAATTTTGAAAAAGTCAATAAATTTTGAACCTAACTTACACGTGAAATTCTGTAGCTTTGCCTAATAAAGTCATATTCATTCATTTGATATATATTGAGCACCTGCTTTGTGCAAGGCGTCATGAGAGGCGGGGAGTTACAAGCTCAATCAAAGGTCATGTCTTTATGGAGATAATGGGTATGAGAATCAACATAATATGAGGGCAAAAGGGCTAAGGGACTTAAAGATTTAAAACAACAACAAAATTAAAATCTAAAAGAGTTGTGGAAACTCAGAGTAAACCATTCCTTCCCAGGTGGGGAATCTGACACAGCTTCATGGGAGAGTTGTGGAAACTCAGAGTGAACCATTTCTTCCCAGGTGGGGAATCTGACACAGCTTCATGGGAGAGGTGACATTTTGGCCTTTTACAACAGGCAGAAAAATGTAAATGTGAAAGTGGGTGGAGGTGCACTCTGGGGGAGGAAAGTTGAAGAATTAAAGAGGTAGGAGAAGAACAGGCATAGGATGAGCAAGCCAGAGAATCTGAAGAGGGCATGAGGGTAAAAGGTGAGTTGAGAACAACGTCCAGGCAAGTACACATATCCTCGGGAAAACTTTGTTCTAACAATAGGGAGCCAGGCAAAGGAGTAACCACGAAAACAAACAAAAGGCAGTTCAAAGTTTGAAGAAATCTCAAAAGGTCATAGAATGGCATAGCCTCTCTTACTTGGCCACCACAGAACAGATTTGCTCAGATTAAAGAATTCTCTCCATTCTCCCAACAAAACATCCTGGCTGATGCCAGAGCACATGAGCAGGGGAGGGACAAAGTGGGTGGGCATTAGTGCCACTCTCTCTGGCTTCCCTTAGGTGAGTTTCATGCTTACGGAGATTTGGCTGTGCTTGTTCCCACACCATTTACATCACTTAGACTTGTTATTGGAATTACAGAATTTGGTGAAATATTAATGACAAGTGATCAGAAAAATAATTGTTACTGTAAGAACTAAGTTGAATGTTTTGCAAATAATTGGTAACAAGGAGTCACTTAAAAATTGCTATTGAATCTGGTGTGGCAAGTCAACTACAAAATAAAGTAAAAAATGGTAGAAATCTGGAAGAATTCTTAAAGGAAAGAAAAAGATCTGGAAGAGGTTAGTTTGGGTTGCTTTAATATGTGCCTTAGTATTTGCTCCACTTTCAGAAACTGAAACTGGAAATTGTCCAAATGCATTAGGTGTGATTTATGATAAAAAAAAAACAGTATTAACACCAATAAGGGAACTATACTCTAAAAATGCCTCAGCCCTTAATCAAAAGTTTGTGGAATGAATATATATTTACATACATAAAATATATATATTTAGATACATATATATGTATGTAATATATATGTAGATACATATATGTAATATATATTTACATACATAAAATAAAATGTTAAAGGTACATATTTAAAATGTTGCAATTAATTTTATTTTTCAATTAGCCAGTTTTAAATTACTGTCTGTGAAAATGCTGGCAATCTGTTCACATCAACCATTCTATTTCCCAGCCTCATTTCTCCCTGAGGAGAAGGTGGATCCTGACAGCTGATGGCTGCATTTCATAGGCATAAACTCCACAGAAGGCATTTGGCTTTACACTGGAAAGGCATCTGACTTCTTTCTCTGACACTAATATTTTTAGCTCTGAATGCAGCTAGAACTAATCACAAAGTCTAAATGCAGACTGAATAAATTCAATAAGCATCTAATCTTATTTACTTGGGAAGATAATCCTTTTTTTTTTTTTACCCCTAATTACATCAGTTTTCTCTCAAATCAAGAACATTGGTGGACACTGGTGGTTGCTGAACCAAACACCACCTCCCCTTCTCTATTAGCAGTGGCCTGTGCTACTGGATCTGGCAATGTGCCCAAATGAGGGACAACAATTCTTGGCCTCTCTTGAAGCTTTGAGTGACCATGTGCTGTTCTGTCTGAGATGTGAGCTCTAGTTATTGGACCTGTCTTTTGGGAAGGCTCCTTAAAGGGAAACACAGCTGAGGAAGTCCTTTTCCAGCCTTTCTCCTTCCTGATGTCCATGAGGTAACTTCCTAAAGGAAACGTGCAAAGACAGAGAGAGCAGAAAAGCAGGCAGTTGAGTCCCTGAGGACACTGTTAGCTATAGACTGCCCATGTGTGCATTTCCTGGGATGCAAACAACAACAACAAAAAACAATAAAAATAAAAAGAAACTCCTCTCTTAGTGAAGCCATTATTATTTTGGAGTTTCTCCTCAGTGAAATGTGGCTATTCCTAGCAGATACAGAATATAACTTTAAACCAGGTATTATACCCATAAACTGATTCTTTGCAATCTGATCTTTATGAATATGACCAGAAAACAATTAAAAACAGTAAGTTCCCATTTTATAATCTGTTTACTTCCATGGTAAGCCAAAGAAAGAATGTTCCAATAAACTGTTTGAAGAAACAATGATTTCAGAATTTACACAGAACTGCAAGCAATCTGCTACCAGACTACCAAGTATCGCTGCCCAGAAGAACCCAAGTGGGTGCAGATACTCCAAAGGCACAAGCATTGGCAGAGGCCAAAGTGAGGTAAGGATGCCACTGAAAAGTAGAAATGTGTCAAAGAACATTACCTTGGAGTCTGTACTAAAACACTTTTTTTTTTTTTTAGCTTTCACGCAAAATTAGTTAAAAAGAAATTTATTGAATGTTACCATATGGGTATTTTGTAAAACATGGATTTAAAGATTTTTTTCTGAAGCAGATTCCTCCAATGTGGAAGGAGCAAACAAAATGCAAAAACGAACGTTGTTGGAAACATTTAAAGTAGGATCACACTGAGCTCCTTCTGTGTTGCTGCCAAACCTCAGACTCCCGGGGTCTTGGCATAGCCTTTCGTACATCTGAGCCTTGAGGCCCGGCGAAGTCCCACACAGCCCTAGGTGCGGGACTTGAGTTGTATAAGGAAACTTGAGTTGTAAAAGAATTTCCTAAGAGAAATTTTAAGTTAGGAAGAATAAACTCTACGTTCCCCAAAACTAAGTTTCCTAATTGACCAAAGCAATAGCATTTTATCATCCATGCCCCTTAGTCTTTGGATAATGATCAATGGGAAGAAAAAAAAAATAGCTACTCCCAAATTGAAGGATTTTTTTTTTAAGCTAAGATTTTGTTTTGGTTACTAAGGTTATAATTTTTTAATCTTCCATTTACACAAGTCAGATGGAAAAAGAGCAAAATTTTGCCAACTGACACTCAATCAAGACAACATGACAAGCAGAACAAAATGTGCACACCCCAGGTGTATATAATGCCTGTATGCAGTGCTTTGTGAGACTCGGGTTCTCAATGGTGCCTTGCCAAGTGTCTGGGCAATCAGTCATCCCAGGACTGTGGACATGCACTCCACCAAGAACCAACAATCCTTTTGGGATGCTGGAACCTTAGTTGTCACAGCCCAACTCACTTTCCAGCACATCCCCTCCCAGAGGGGAGGAAAGTTTGCAAGGACACAAAAGATTTGAAGTTTTTGCTTAAACAGATGTTTTTGAGAATTTTGTAAGAATAAAAAATCACTGATAACATCTAAGGGATAACTATGTACCAGGCTAAGCACTCAGTCCTCTCACCAACTGCACAAGGTAGGTGTCCTCAACCCCAGTTAGCTTGAGCCTGTCCCAGGTTTCCAACAATTGCAGTGGTGAGGCCAGGGTTAATTCCTGGTCCACAGGACTCAAGAGCCCTCTACTCTTAACCGCTCTATTATGCTCTCTCATTCACTGAGATAACTGCAAGCAGATCTTAATGCAGAAGCGGGGATGCCAGTCATTACTCTTACCCATCACTCTGGCAAATCCGAGGAACATCACGGGTCAAGAAGCAGACCTGGGGCTCTGGCAACCTCAAGAAATGGGGAATACACAAGGTGCAGCCCCAAAGACTGATGATGCAAAATGACACGGATGAAGAGTCCATTTAACACTACAAAGGAAAATTGGTGATCTGGAGTTAAATAGGCAAAATTCTGTTTTGTTTTTTTTTTTTTTTTGCTCCATTATTTATAGAACACCAAAAAAAGAGGTACATTCAGCTATTCATTTCTGTAAGTGTTTTTAGGAAGAGTGGCAAAAGGGTCTAGCCAGGTCTGCTAACACCACTTTCCTACTAGCTTCCTGTTTTCAAAACTAATGGCTGCCTCCTCCCTCAAACTGCTCAAGTCTTAAGCCCAGAAGCCTCAGTATCAATGTCTGCACTTCATGTGTGACGTGGCACTACCTTTTTGTGCTTCCATAGCGCACATACACTAACTCAGCCCACCAAAAATGCTAGGATATGGAGAAATTGGACACCATGAAGTATGAACTAGTCCCCTGCACCTATTTCCTGGATCCTTGCTTAAACTTGGGCAGGTGTGAAAGAAAAAATACTTGGTTCACATTCAAGAGACCCAGATTCAAGTCCTGATTTCATCAGGCAGCAGTTAAGTGATATGAAATAATTTTCGTGTTCTAGGCAGTTTTCTGTAATCATGGGGATTAATCAGTGGTTCTCAAACTGTGGTGAGCAGAACCTGGAGAGCTTGCTAAAAATTCTCCTAGACACAAGTCTGCCTCATTGAGCCCAGGAATCTGCATTTCAGTGCACACACCTGAGGATTCTGATGCTGGTCCGCAAGGGAGAGGCAGGGCAGCTGCTACAGCAGTGGGCCAGTCACCTCAAGGCTCCTGCTGAGACGTCTTCCCCACTGGCTGACGGTGCATAATCCCAGGAGACCCAGTTGCAAGGACTGTCCCCCAGGATCTGGACCACAGCGTGCACCCGAGCTTCACATTCCTGGACACCAAGAGAGGCAAACGCAAGTTCCCCTAAAGCCATGGCCCCTCTCCTTTCTCCAAGGTCTGCAGTCCTCCTGGGCTTTGGCAGGTAACATTTCTGGGTGGTTCTGACTACTAGGCTACAAATCTCCCTCTGGTACTACTGTGAACTGCTAGGGAAAATGATCAGTTACAACAATTCTTCCTGGTTCCAAGAAGATGAGGTAGTGCCTACTCTGATATGTGAATCAGTCAATCAATGAACCATAATATAATTTCCCTGAAGAGAACAAATTTTTGTTGAAAAATGGTGTTTATCTATAAGATTCAAACACAAAAAGAGATATTTCAGTGGGGGTGGTAGAGGGGCAGAATAAATGGTTTATAAAGAAAAGTGGTTTATAAAGAAAAGCAAACTTCTTCGCAGTTATCCTGGGTTCCAACCTCCACTTCACTGATAACCAGCCACAGTCAATGAGCACATTACTTAACCGCTCTGCGCCTCCGCTTATTCACCTGGAACACAAAGACATTAGTAGTATTTTAGAAAAAGATAGATTAAATGATAAAAGTTCCGAGAATAATAGCTGGGACATAGAAGGAGGAGTTATAAAGGAGTTATGAAGGGAGTTAGAAATTCATTTCATTTATTTATCAGTGAGGGCTGATTAGAGAATTCCAGAAAAATGGCAAAAAATATAAGATATCGGGAGAAAAGGGAAAAATAATTCCCAAGATTCCTGCTCTCAGAATTGACGAGTTTTCCGCTACACATTAACTTGGGCAGCTCAGAAACTTCTGAGCTTCCTAGATTTATTTTTCAGATCTCGAATCAATTAATTCTCAGACATTACAAACTTAACTGTTACTATTTCTGTATTTAACATAAATTTTGTCATACTTCCAGCTTAAATAACATCATTGCTTATTTTATTGCTGTTAGCAATTTAACAGCACTTAAAATGATATTTTTCTTTCAGTTTTTCTGAAAACATTATCCTAAATGAATATATATGTATACATGTATATGACATATATGTATATACAAACATATATATATTAATACTTCACCTTTTATTTCTCTTACACACAATTTTCTCACTTTCAAAAGTGTTGGGAAAGTTGCTGAAAGTGATTAGTACTTGATTTTGGTTTAAGTGCGGAATTCAAAACTACAGGTTAAGTAAGATTATGTAATAGAGTATAGAGCTTGTTCCTCCTGCATTTTTTTTTTTTTTTTTTTTTTTTGAGACAGAGTCTTGCTTTGTCACCCACGCTGGAATGCAGTGGCATGATCTCAGCTCACTGCAACCTCCCTGCCTCCCAGGTTGAAGAGATTCTCGTGCCTCAGCCACTGGAGTAGCTGAGATTATAGACGCTCAAGACCAGGAATGGCTAATTTTTGTATTTTTAGGAGAGATGGGATTTCACCAAGTTGCCCAAGCTGGTCTCAAACTCCTGGCCTCAAGTGATCCACCTACCTCGGTCTCCCAAAGAGCTGAAAGTATAAGCATGAGCCACCAAGCCCGGCCATCTTCTGCATTTTTCAGTCTTACTCTATTCTTCATGATGTTTTGGGCTGAGCTAAATTTGAACCCAGGCTTATACAGCCCCAACTCTATTTCTTTCTTCTTTATTACACAGCCTTGCAGAAGACAACGGTGAAGATTATACATGTAATGATTTAAGAGTCATCTAGGAAGAAGATAACATCACTAAAACTTGCCTAAGAAAGCTACTTACAAATCATGTACATTTACTTCCACACAGCCCTTTACAAATAATGCACACTTACTTCTACATAGCCCTTTTCCAGTGTGGATGCTCTGGATAACAGAAAGTTTTGAAAATAAGGATTTGCACTGACAGAGCCAAATTTTACATCAGTTAAAATTTAAAAAAAGAGAGAAACAACCAGGACACAGTGTCTTATTTCAACTCCTAAAATTAATATTCATGAGACTGATAAAAGTCTGTAAGCAGCAATTATTAGTCAATTTTTAGTTTCTAAAAATATTGTTTTATTAAATAACTGTTAAATAGGATTTTTACAAAATAAATGGCATAGAAAAGGGTAAAAATGTTTATGTTCCCAGAACTTTCTATGCCTTTTCAACAGAAAGGAAAAGGCACAGAAAGTTGTCAGCTGCTATTACTTCTGGAGAGCTGCCACAACTGGACGGTGTTGGAGTATCACCAGTTCTCTCTCTCATGGGAAAGAAGGGGATCAACACTTTGTAGAGAGGTAGCACGTCTTCAGGTAACAGCTGCTACACACAGCTGGCTTCAACTTTAGCTCCCCTGTTGATGACTGTCAGCTTCAAGGTGTAGCATCCCATGGCACTCAGGAAGAATTAAGGAGCTGCACGAGGTTTTCAAGACATTTCAAATAATAGGCATTTAGAGGGTTTGCTTCTGAGTTTGGGAAAGCTGAGATAGAAAAATAAGAGTACAGAAATACTAGTTTATGAAACTTGGTACTATACTTAGGAGGCACACACATAAACAAATACATATGAACAGGATTTATATATAATTTAAAGCTCTAAGTTCTTGATGTAATAGCATTCCAGAATATTTTGCATTTTTTAAAAAATAAACAAGTTACAAAATCAATATTTTTTTAAATTAACAGCTTACCCAGAGTATTTTTTAAAAAGTACCCCCCATAATGGATACCATTAACTATAATTCCAAATGAATGCCATTAATCTTTTTTTATGTACCATCCTTCCTAAAGCATAATCTTTAACTTCACTAGCTCCAGAAATTCATGGTCGCAGCTAAAACAAACTAAAACCTCCCCTGCTTAAAAAAAAAAATCAGACTATAAAAACACAAATAACCAACAGATATATTACAGTACAGGAAAGACACAATTCAGTGTTTTAGCATAAAAAATGTTCAGAGAATAACGCTCACTGAAATTTGGTGTCACTAAAAATGAATAATGTGCTTTGAAAAGAAAACCGTCTCTAGTATTGTGACCACATCACAGGGAAACGTGGATATAAGGGTAACAGGATCAATTCTTGGAAGACTGTCCTCCAGCTCCCTGATGTTAGATCCAGGTTTTCTGCTCACAGTTAATTCTAATTGGGCCAGTTCTTATCACTAAGAACATACTTCAGCACAGTGGTCACTGTTGGCAAAGAAAATTTAGTACAAAAATAAGACGAAGATCACAGATGCATTTTTAGAAGCAATCACATCTTAAACCTTCATCTATCTATTTTATTATTTTAAAAAATGATATAATTAAAGCACATACTGAATATTGGCACATTTTACAATGCCATTTTGCTGTGGCCTGTCCAAATATCTCATTAATCAGAAAATCCACTTAATAGCTTCTGAGTTTAACTATAATCTCTTTCTTATTGCAACTTACTTTTCTTTGCTAAGGAGTATGCTTCATCCACTCTTCTTTTTACTGATGGGCTTTTCAAAGCTGTTTTTGCCTAGAACAATCCATTAATTAGGTTTCTTGCCATGTGTTATGGATCATGATAGCAAAACACTAATTCTGCCCATTGCTAACTACAGTATTAAACAGAATATTATGAAATATAATAATATAACTAGAGAGTTCCATCTTAGCATAATACATCCTATTGAGCCAATCCCCTTGCACATTCTGAAGTCTTGCCCATATCCTCTTATCTAACTTGATTCTTTCTCTATTCCCATTTTCTTTCTTCCCTTCTCTTTTACTCCTTCTCCCCTAATCTCAATTTGCTATTTTAAACTAGTCATCCTTGGTTTCAGTTTTTCATACTCCCTCAAACCTCAGATTTCTGATCACATATACCAAATATTAGCAGTTGGTCAACAAATATTTACAGAGTGACTACAAAGTGCCAAATCCTGTGCTAAGCTCTGGGGATACCCAGGTGAGAAAGAAAACAACACCCTCTTGTCCTTGTGTACGTGACTCTGGCCAGCAGGGAGAAAACTAGCCCCGGCAGAGACAGTCAGCTGAGAGAACACCATTCTAGGATGGCTGTCTATCCTAACACTGTCACTTGGCTACTACTTAATCACTAGATACTTATGGGTATTTCTCTTGGGAACAACATGTCTGCAATAAAGTGGAAGTCCAAAGGCCAGAGAAAGAGTAGAACACAAATCTCCACGTTGCCTGCCCTTTTCTCAGAGCAGGCTTTGGGCTGCAGTCGTACAAGAACTGAGCTAGATAAAGGGGAATTGTACAATTGGATAAAACTTTTGTTACTCAGTTTTACTTTAAGATGTGTTTTCCCTTGATACGTCTTTTAGAAGAAACAATCTATACTAAAATTGCAATAATAAAGTAAATCAATTTAAATTAAGAGGAAAAAGTCAGTTCAGAGATTCTCTTCTAAACTGAGACATTCTGTTGAAATGATTAAATAAAAAGATTTCAACTGATGGTTTACTAATTGTATGAATCAGCAAAGGGAACATGGATCTTTGATTTTGTCTTTTTTCTTTTGCTGTAACTCTTGACACCTTTGGATGTATCCTAAGAGTTTATACCTGGGTTATACCTTGTTGTTTGCTCCCCAGGTGTAACAATGATTTTTAAAACTGACCTTCTGATAATTGTAAATCAGAGCCCAAAGGGCAGCTGCTCCAATCCTCTGAGCATTTTGATTCTCACTTTCCAGACAGGCAGCAAGCACAGTAATGACTTTTTCTAAAAATGAACATATATTTTTTAAAAGTTCAGTCCCAGACACTGCATTGTATTCTTATCTTGGACTAGTCAGACACCCCCCTCTTTTCCCATTAGAATGCATACATAAAGTTGGTATCACTAGACTATGGCAAAACCAATCTTTTATGCCATGTGGTATATGGGAGGACAACCTCAAAACATTGTTTTCATGTCAGGCATAGAAGGGTCAAAGACACTGAAGCTGCTTCATTTTTTGGCCAGAATTCAAGAAAAGGCACATTCATTTAAAGACCACAAGTGTGTAAAAATAAGTATACAATTAGGTACATTAATGAGTTACTCAATTACAGCTAACATTCTGGCAGGCAGAAAAACAGATCTGCTTTCATGATAAATTATAAAGACTATCATACAAACACATCAGTAGCATGAGCTACTATACAAAAACGATCATCAAATATCACACTGCTTGATGTTTTTTAAAAATGACTAGGGTGGCTGGCAAGATGGCTCAATAGGAAGCTCCGGTCTGCAGCTTCCAGTGAGATCAATGCAGAAGGCGGGTGATTTCTGCATTTCCAACTGAGGTACCCAGCTCATCTCACTGGAGCTGGTTAGACAACGGGTGCAGCCCATGGAGGGCGAGCCAAAGCAGGGTGGGGTGTCGCCTCACCCAGGAATCACAAGGGGTGGGGGAGCTCCCTCCCTTAGCCAAGGGAAGCTCTGAGAAACTGTGCCCTGAGGAACGGTGCATTCCGGCCCAGATACTACGCTTTTCCCATGGTCTTTGCAACCCACAGACCAGGAGATTCCCTTGGGTGCCTACACCACCAGGGCCCAGGGTTTCAAGCACAAAGCTGGGCAGCCATTTGGGCAGTCACCGAGCCAGCTGCAGGAGATTTTTCATACCTCAGTAGTGCCTGGAATGCCAGTGAGACAGAGTTGTTCAGTCCCCTGGAAAGGGGGCTGAAGCCAGGGTGCCAAGTGGCCTAGCTCAACAGATCCCATACCCATGGAGCCCAGCAAACTAAGATCCACTGGCTTAAAATTCTCACTGCCTGCACAGCAGTCTGAAGTCGACCTGGGATGCTCGAGCTTGGTGGGGAGAGGGGTGTCCACCATTAATGAGGCTTAAGTAGCCTGTTTCCCTTCACAGTGCAAACGAAGGCACTGGGAAGTTCAAACTGGGCAGAGCCCACCACAGCTCAGCAAAGACGTTGTACCCAAACTGCCTCTCTAGATTCCTCCTCTCTGGGCAGGCCATCTCTGAAAGAAAGGCAGCAGGCCCAGTCAGGGGCTTATAGATAAAACTCCCATCTCCCTGGGACAGAGCACCTGGGGGAAAGGGCGGCTGTGGGTGCAGCTTCAGCAGACTTAAATGTTCCTGCCTGCTGTCTCTGAAGAGAGCAGTGGACCTCCCAGCACAGTGCTCGAGCTCTGCTAACGGACAGACTGCCTCCTCAAGTGGGTCCCTGACGCTCGTGCCTCCTGACTGGGAGACACCTCCCAACAGGTGTTGACAGACACATCATACAGGAGAGCTCTAGCTGGCATCTGGGGGGTGCCCTCTGGGATGAAGCTTCCAGAGGAAGGAGCAGGCAGCAATCTTTGCTCTTCTGTAGCCTCTGCTGGTGATACCCAGGCAAACAGGGGCAGGAGTGGACCTCCAGCCAACTCCCAAAGACCTGCAGCAGAGAGGCCCGTTAGGAAGAAAACTAACAAACAGAAAGGAATAGCATCAACATCAACCAAAAGGACATCCACACAAAAACCCCATCCAATGGTCACCAACATCAAAAACCAAAGGTAGATAAATCCACGAAAATGAGGAAAACCCAGTGCAAAAAGGATGAAAATTCCCAAAACCAGAATAACTCTTCTCTTCCAAAGGATCACAACTCCTCACCAGCAAGGGAACAAAATTGGATGGAGAATGAGTTTGACGAAGTGACAGAAGCAGGCTTCAGAAGGTGGGTAATAACAAACTCCTCCAAGCTAAAGAAGCATGTTCTAACCCAATGCAAGGAAGCTAAGAACCTTGATAAAAGGTTACAGGAAATGCTAACTAGAATAACCAGTTTAAAGAAGAACATAAATGACCTGATGGGAGCTGAAAAACATAGCATGAGAACTTCGTGAAGCATACACAAGTATCAATAGCGAAATCGATCAAGCAGAAGAAAGGATGTCAGAGATTGAAGATCAACTTAACGAAATAAAGCGTGAAGACAAGATTAGAGAAAAAAAAAAAAGAAAAGGAATGAACAAAGCATCCAAGAAATATGGGACTGTGTGAAAAGAAGCAACCTATGTTTGACTGGTGTACCTGAGAGTGATGGGGAAAAATGGAACCAAGTTGGAAAATACTCTTCAGGATATTAAATGCAAGAGAACTTCCCCAACCTAGCAAGACAGGCCAACATTCAAATTCAGGAAATACAGAGAACACCACAAAGATACTCCTCGAGAAGAGCAACCCCAAGACACATAATCATCAGATTCACCAAGGTTGAAATGAAGGAAAAAATGTTAAGGGCAGCCAGAGAGAAAGGTCGGGTTACCCACCAAGGGAAGCCCATCAGGCTAACAGCAGATCTCTCTGCAGAAATCCTATAAGCCAAAAGAGACTGGGGGCCAATATTCAACATTCTTAAAGAATTTATCTTTTCTTTTTTTGTTGGGGAGGGGGATGCAGTCTTGCTCTGTCTCCCAGGTTTGGAGTGCAGTGGTGAGATCTCGGCTCACTGCAACCTCCGCCTACCAGGTTTAAGCAATTCTTCTGTCTCGGCCTCCTGAGTAGCTGGGACGACAGGTGGGCACCACCACACCTGGCTAATTTTTTTGTATTTTTATTAGAGACGGGGTTTTACCATATGGGCCAGGCTGGTCTCAGACTCTGGATCTCATGGTCCGCCCACCTTGGCCTCCCAAAAGGCTGGGATTACAGGTGAGAGCCACTGCGTATGGCCCAAGAAAATAATTTTCAACCCAGAAATTCATATCCAGCCATACTAAGCTTCATAAGTGAAAAATAAATAAAATCCTTTACAGAAAAGCAAATGCTGAGAGATTTTGTCACCAGCAGCCCTACCTTACAAGAGCTCCTGAAGGAAGCACTAAATATGGAAAGGAAAAACCTGTACCAGCCACTGCAAAAACATATCAAATTGTAAAGAACATTGACACTATGAAGAAACTGCATCAACTAATGGGCAAAACAACCAGCTAGCATCATAATGACAGGATCAAATTCACATGTAACAATATTAACCTTAAATGTAAACGGGCTAAATGCCACAATTAAAAGACACAGACTGGCAAATTGGATGAAGCGTCAAGACCCATCGGTGTGCTGTATTCAGGAGACCCATCTCGTGCAAAGACACACATAGGCTCAAAATAAAGGGATGGAGGAAGATTTACTAAGCAAATGGCAAGCAGGGGAGAAAAAAAAAGCAGAGGTGGCAATCTTAGCCTCTGATAAAAAAGACTTTAAACCAACAAAGATCAAAAAAGAAAAAGAAGGGCATTACATAATGATAAAGGGATCAATGCAACAAATAGAACTAACTATCCTAAATATATATGCACCCAATACAGGAGCACCCAGATTCATAAAGCAAGTTCTTAGAGACCTACAAAGAGACTTAGACTCGCACACAATAATCATGGGAGACTTCAACACCCCACTGTCAATATTAGACACATCAACAAGACAGAAAATTAACAAGGATATTCAGGACTTGAACTCAACTCTGAGCCAAGTGGACCTAACAGACATCTACAGAACACTCCACCCCAAATCAACAGAGTATACATTCTTCTCAGCACCACATCGCACTTATTCTAAAACTGACCACATACTTGGAAGTAAAACACTCCTCAGCAAATGCCAAAGACCTGAAATCATAACAAACAGTCTCTCACAGCACAATGCAATCAAATTAGAACTCAGGATTAAGAAACTCACTCAAAACCACACAACTACATGGAAACTGAACAACTTGCTCCTGAATGACTACTGAGTAAATAACACAATTAAGGCAGAAATAAATTAGTTCTTTGAAACCAAAGAGAGCAAAGACACAATATACCAGAATCTCTGGGACACAGCTAAAGCAGTGTTTAGAGGGAAATTTATAGCACAAAATGCTCACAGGTGAAAGGGGGAAAGATCTAAAATCAACACCCTAACATCACAATTAAAAGAACTAGAGAAGCAACAGCAAACAAATTCAAAAGCTTACAGAAGACAAGAAATAACTAAGATCAGAGCAGAACTGAAGGAGAGAGAGACACGAAAAACCCTTCAAAAAATCAATGAATCCCGGAGCTGGTTTTTGGAAAAGATTAACAAAATAGATAGACCACTAGCCTGACTAATAAAGAAGAAAAGAGAGAAGAATCAAATAGACACAATAAAAAATGATAAAGGGGAGATCAGCACTGATCCCACAGAAATCCAAACTACCATCAGAGAATATTATAAACACCTCTATGCAAATAAACTAGAAAATCTAGAAGAAATGGATGAATTCCTGGACACATACACCCTCCCAAGACTAAACTAGGAAGAAGTCGAATCCCTGAATAGATCAATAACAAGTTCTGAAATTGAGGCAGTAATTAATAGCCTACCAACCAAAAAAAGCCCGGGACCAGATGAATTCACAGCCGAATTCTACCAGGCATACAAAGTGGAGCTGGTACCATTCCTTCTGAAACTATTCCAATCAATAGAAAAAGAGGGAATCCTCTCTAACTCATTTTATGAGGCCAGCATCATCCTGATACAAAAACCTGGCAGAGACACACACAAAAAAAGGAAATTTCAGGCCAATATCCCCGATGAACATCGATGCAAAAATCCTCAATAAAATACTGGCAAACTGAATCCAGCAGCACGTCAAAAAGCTTATTCACCAAGATCAAGTCCGTTTCATCCCTGGGATGCAAGGCTGGTTCAACATACACAAATCAATAAAAGTAATCTATCACATAAACAGAGCCAACGACAAAAACCACATGATTATCTCAACAGATGCAGAAAGGCCTTCAAAAAAATTCAACACCCTTTCATGCTAAAAACTCTCAATAAACTAGGTATTGATGCAACATATCTCAAAATAATAAGAGCTATTTATGACAAACCCACAGCCAATATCACACTGAATGGGCAAAAGCTGGAAACATTCCCTTTGAAAACTGGCACAAGACAAGGATGCCATTTCTTACCACTCCTGTTCAACACAGTATTGGAACTTCTGGCCAGGGCAATCAGGCAAGATAAATAAATAAGGGTACTAAAATAGGAAAAGGTTCAAGGCAGGGTCTGTGAGTGTAGCATCTGCTCACTGGTACTGGTTAGAGGGCAGTGTCTGCTCACTGGTATTGGTTAGAGGGCAGCGTCTGCTCACTGGTGTTAGATAGAGGGTAGCGTCTGCTCCTGGTATTGGTTAGAAGGCAGCGTCTGCTCACTGGTATTGGTTACAGGGCAGCGTCTGCTCACTGGTATTGGTTAGAGGGCAGCGTCTGCTCACTGGTATTGGTTACAGGGCAGCGTCTGCTCACTGGTATTGGTTACAGGGCAGCGTCTGCTCACTGGTATTGGTTACAGGGCAGCATCTGCTCACTGGTATTGGTTACAGGGCAGCGTCTGCTCACTGGTGTTAGACAGAGGGCAGCGTCTGCTCACTGGTATTGGTTAGAGGGCAGGGTCTGCTCACTGGTATTGGTTAGAGGGCAGCATCTGCTCACTGGTATTAGTTACAGCACAGTGTCTGTTCACTGGTACTGGTTAGAGGGCAGCATCTGCTCACTGGTATTAGTTACAGGGCAGCGTCTGCTCACTGGTACTGGTTAGAAGGCAGTGTCTGCTCACTGGTATTGGTTAGAGGGCAGCGTCTGCTCACTGGTGTTAGATAGAGGGCAGCGTCTGCTCCTGGTATTGGTTAGAGGGCAGCGTCTGCTCACTGGTATTGGTTACAGGGCAGCATCTGCTCACTGGTATTGGTTACAGGGCAGTGTCTGCTCACTGGTATTGGTTACAGGGCAGCGTCTGCTCACTGGTGTTAGATAGAGGGCAGCGTCTGCTCACTGGTATTGGTTAGAGGGCAGCGTCTGCTCACTGGTATTGGTTAGAGGGCAGCATCTGCTCACTGGTATTAGTTACAGCACAGTGTCTGCTCACTGGTACTGGTTAGAGGGCAGCGTCTGCTCACTGGTATTAGTTACAGGGCAGCGTCTGCTCACTGGTACTGGTTAGAAGGCAGTGTCTGCTCACTGGTATTAGTTACAGGGCAACGTCTGCTCACTGGTATTAGTTAGATGGCAGTGTCTACTCACTGGTATTAGACCAACCACAATGCTAGTGTATTTTAGGAGCTCAATAAATATTCGTTGTGTGAAAGATTCCAGAATAGAATAAACAAAAATTTTGTCTACATAATTCAATTTTTTTATTTTAAGGGATTTTAAATATTTAACAAAAACAAAACAAAAAAAGCTGCTCCCTAAAGTGAACTGGAAATGTGCATCAGGACAATGTGAAAGGCAGGTGCAGTGATGTTTCGGGCACGCTGCAGCCGACTCCCTGAACACCTCATCTGCACTATCTGATGCCCTTTGGTTGTCGTGTATCATAACCTACCCAGAACCAAGCCATGTACATAGCTTGCAGATGCAATTTATCACGTGAGGTTATGGCTGCAAGTGCTACTCATTAGGGCACATCAAATGTCCCCTTATTAAATGGGAGGGTGACTTCCTTATGTTCCATCTGAGTAGCATCAAGTGATGTTTTTAAATGTTGTCTCAAACACTCAGAATATATAACTCCTCTGATCTAAGTAAGTTTATAACTCCTTCAACCAGCTATCCCTTAAAGCATTTTTAATAAAGTACTGTGTGTGTATGTATATATACATATGTGTGTGTGTGTGTGTGTCTGTGTGTGTGTGTGTGTGTGTGAATTAATGTGGTGGGCCCCTCTGATAATGCAAGTGGATCGACTTTTTTAACAAAACAAATGTTATTGTGAAACATGCATATAACAAAGCAATAAAACAATTTTGAGTTCAACAAGTAGGTCTGAACTCTCATATAAACATTTAAATAACCTAAAGTGAATATACAGTAGTAAAATGTAAATAATGAGACAGTATTTTTGAATATTTGAACTGAATATTACCTTAATATAATAATTGAATGTTACCTTAATATAATAATTGAATATTACCTTCTTAATACAATTGGTTTAAGTATAAGTTTAGGGATGTCAGTTTGGTAATTACAGTGAGTTGTCAGTTATGGTGACATTAATGTCTTAGAAAAGTTCTTAAAGTTTTTACCCATCATTTCTTCAAATATTTCCTCTCCCATTCTCCTAGGACACTTCATTAAACACAAAGACTGTCTTGATATATCTGCTGTGTCACTTACCTTTGATTCTTTTGATCCTTTCTCATCTTTTTAGCTTTCTCTGCTGCATTCTGGATAATATTTTTCTAATCTATCTTCTAATTCCTAAGTTCTCTGCTATACCTAACTTGCTGTCAGACATGTATATTAAGTTTTCAATTTTGGCCACTGAAGTTCTAGATTACTGTTGTAAAACAGAACTTCCTACAATAATGGAAATATTTATATCTTGCTATTTAATAAGATAGCCACTAGCCACATGTAGTGAGTACAACTGAATAATTTTAATTAGTTTAAATTTAAATAGCTACATGTGGCTGATTATCATACTGCACAGTAAAGTTCTTGAAGTTCTGTTTGGTTCTTTTCAAATATTTCAACTTGTCAGTTTCCCATTTCCTAAAATTTTCAAGCTTGTCATTTATTTATCTAAATATGGTATAATTAAAGTTATTTTTAAACCCATGCTTTGTAATTCCCATATTCAAAGTCTGGGCAGATAAGCTGGTATTTTTATTCTTCTGCTGTTTCTTACTACATGTTGCCATGTCTCCTAATGTGCTTGATTATCTCTAACTTTGTACTGGTTAATGCTTTTGAAAAATTATTTGTAGAGGTTCCCTGAGGCCCAGTATGAACTTGTCTTTCATCCATCACCAAGGCAGTTTGCTTTCTGCTAAGTACCCACAGGCACCATCAATCGAAGACACCTCAAGCCAAGTTCACGGCCAACTTTGGGTGCAGAGCCCTATCAGAAGCAGTCTGTAGTACCCATTCTCACATTTTTTTTTTCCTTTTCTTTACAGTCTCCTTCATGAAGTTTGGGAAACCAACTTATTTTTGACCCATCCATCTATTAAGAGAATGGTTCTTTGGAGGTCCAGCTTAATACAAGCAGGATAGCCAGTAAGAATCCCCACTTTGGGGAATCGCGGCTTCTGTCCTCTCACCCCTCGATACTCCTCAACAAAAGCCAAGCATACAACCTTGGCAAATGCACTTGGGGCAAAATAATTTTCTATATACTTCTTACTTGTCTGGGCAAGACTTTCAATCAAAACTGGACTGGGAGTTTCTATCTTTTCAGTTTTTGTGATTATTTTGAGGTGCATTTTAATACAGCCTGTCTAGCATGTTATTGTCGTTTTCAGAAGAGACTTAGTCTGGCATTGCCAGAAACAAGGAATGTTCCAGATCTTTTTTTTTTTTTGGAGATGAAGTCTCACTCTGTTGCCCAGGCTGGAGTGCAGTGGCGCGATCTTGGCTCACTGCAACCTCCGTCTCCCCAGTTCAAGCAATTCTACTACTGGGGACTACAAGGTGCCCGCCACCATGCCTGGCTAATTTTTGTATTTTTAGTAGAGGCGGGGTTTCACCATGTTGGCCAGACTGATCTCAAACTCTTGACCTCAAATGATCCACCCACCACGGTCTCCCAAAGTACTGGGATTACAGTTGTGAGCCACCATGCCAAGCCCCAGATCTATTTTTACCAGCAAGGTCAAGCTCCACTGCACACTCCACTCCTGACCATTTAAACCAGATGTGTGGGTGCTACCGATCAGAGGCAGCCTTTCCTGGGAGACTTTTAAGCTGGCTGACTCTGCTAAGGCCTCCTCCATAAATCCCCAAGTGGAAAGCGAGGCATAGGCTGTGACATCCCTTTATAGTTCCACACAGAAACTGCACAGCTGATGTCTCTTATCTTACCCCTGCCTGAAAAGCCCACTGATCTCTAGTCTGTGGGCTAGGGGAAGCTTCTCACCAAAGTTTATCCATCTGCTTTAAGCTAATGAAGGAGAAAAAGCATTGCTGACTACAAAGAAATGCTAAAAATAATTCTAGAGGGGTCTAGAAGTGGAAAATGCAGACTTCTCTCCTTCACTTCTCAAAAAGCTTGACCTTTTTCCAACTCTCAATAATAAACTGGAGTAAGTAGCCCTCAAAGAAAAAAAAAATCATTCTAAGAAAGGTGAATAAACAATAACAGATGTTACTGAGTAGCTGCTATATACCAAGAATGGTCACAAACACTTCACAGGCTCTCTCATTGCCCTGAGGAGGGATTATCATCACCCTCATTTTACAAATGTGAGGGCTGAAGCAGCTACAGTGGGAGAGGATGGAAATAAAACCAGTGATGTACATCACGCAGCAACAGAGAACGCAGCATCAGCACAGCAGCCACCGGAAGGCAGAGTGCAAAATCCACAGTAAGGTTAGGTCTGCTACAAGCTAACTGAACTTTAAACATCCTTCTATATCATATCTAGCAGTTGATTATCAGAATGCTTATCAGAAAAATAGAATCACAACTATATACACCACAAAATATAAGAAGAATCATTTTCGTACACTTAGAAAACCCTTGATTTCACAGAAAAATGCTTCTGAGAAAAGTTTAAGTGAAAAACATGAAAAAAACAAGAGAATGAATCTATCTTAAACATTTATCATGTACCAGAAATAGCGCTAGGCACTTTATGTGTGTTTATAAACTGATTCTTACCAAACCAAGAAGAGTGGGCTTCTTTTATAGATGAAGAAGCTGGGCCCAGCGAGGCTGCACCAGGCGACGCTGGAGTGATGCCCTAGTGCTGGCATTCAAGACCAGGTGTGTAGGGGTCTGGAGCCCACCTTCTGTTTTTCACTAGAACACATGTCTTTTATAAAACTCACTCCCCACGAAATTCACATACTCCTCACAGAGATAACACATGGTTGCAGAAAAAGATCTTTCCGATTCTTTTTGCTTCAATTTTTTTCTGAATCCTTACCAATCCTCGCCTCCATCTGTCCTACATCTCAGAGAATGAAGTCTCTGCGAGGCTCACTGCACCATCTGATCTCAAGCCCTGAACTCTCTCCGGTCTGCTTGGGATCTCTCTCAATCATCAAATATTTATTGAGTGCTCGCTAGTTGCAGGCACAATTCTAGGTGCTACACATAAACAAAGCAGACAAAAGCCTCCTGACCCCATAAGAGCTTACCTTCTAGTGTGGGAAGACTAGGAATAGACAGATACATGAAACACATAATCTATCAGATGGCGATAATACTACGGAGGGAAACAAAACCAGGAAAGGAAATAGTGAGGAGGAGGAAAGAGAAGGCCCCCTGGGTGCGGGGCTATTATATTAACACATGGTTCCCGAGAGGCTTCATTGACATAGTAGCATTTGCTTGAAGATGCAGAAGAGGGGAGCTGGAGTTAGAGGAAGAGCAAGGAGAGAGGAGAGGGAGCAGAAGGTAAGGCCAGGGAGCCCTCGTCCACGGCTCCCCTTCCTCCAGGTGTCCAGTATGTGCACTGGAATGACATGATTTGCTAACCTCAGGAGACTCCTGGAAGCCCACGGAAGGCTGAAGCCATGCCTGATTCATTCCCATGCCTTCCACAGTGCTTTGAACACAGTGGGTGCTTAATAAATGCCTAGAAAATTATTTATAAAATTATTTGGTGTTGACCTGAACAGTCTATGAATAACTACATATATAAATGTATGTGTGTGTGAAAACTTACCATTAGCCAGGATCTTGGGTTTATTTGCAGGACTGAAGCAAACATTATGAAAGATAAGAAGAGGCAATAAAGGGCTGCTCTTGTGCTTGTATTTGCTCATCTCTGTTAGTAAGTCTAGACAGCCATCAAGCCTCAGAATCATTTGTTGCCCATCTTCTCCAGATGATATATTCAGGAGTAACTTCAACCAAAGAATAGTCAGATTACTTAGATGTTTATTTCCTCCTTTTGGCAATGCTAGAGAGAGGAAGTTCTGTAAGAAGTTACTCTGTGGATAAATAGAGAGAATATTATTTTCTTCTCATCTTTTTCATTATTTTCCTAGTCCCTTGGTGACCAATTAACTAACATTCTGATATACTCTCCCTCTACATTAATTTCTCCTTTCTAATAGCTTCTGAATATTCCATCTATATTATTTCCAAGCATAAGTGAAAAAGGTAAGAAGAACAAAATAGTGCTCAAGTTTTAATTCCTGCTAATTATTTCCTCATGATGGATGAAGTATACTATAGTTAACTCTTAATTATTTAGAATTGGTAATTAAGTTTGGAGATTATTTCAGGGCTCTTGAGTTTTCTCTTCTCTCTGCCTTCTGGTGATTTTGCTATTAAAAGCTACCCTATGGAAGGAAAAAAGGCAAAAATCCAAATCAGTCTTGAATACTAGTTAACAACTCTGGAAGTAGTGAGGGTATTTTGAATCATTATAGCTACAGGTGTTGTTGTTGTTTTTATCAAATCTATAGATACATCTTACATTCACTTTATCCCAGGTACTTATCATTACAAGTAAGAATTTCTGATGGCTACACGTCATTCTATTATGCTTACAGATGAGAAAGCTCTATTATTTGAACTGTAAGAGTCTTTTCAACCTCCAAATAAAGCCCCTTCCAAAAAACCCCACCAAACCCTTCACTATAAGAAAGATAATAAATTATTGCTTAGACTAATCTATATGCAAAGTATAAAAGTGCTGCATCAAGCTGCAGCCCATGGCAGCATGGAAACCACAGTTAGGTGGACATTTTAGAAATGAAATGCAATCACTTAACTTTTATGATTGCACAGAATAACTCTTCTCTCTCTCTGTTTAAATCTACTCCAGTTTATCTCTTAGGTTTTCCTAGACCAAAATCAAGATGTTGGCTTTAATCTATAAAATAAACTTAACGTTTTTATACAAAAGGACTCTGAGTGTTAAGAATGAAATGAGCTACAGAAATATTATCAACATTACCCACACAATAAGTAAACTGTAAAATTACATGCCCACTTTCAGCTGCATGTGCTGTCACTCACACCTACTGTCAGCCAAACTGACAGTTTTTAGATTCAACCCTTGCTGGATTTGGGACTGACAAGGGTGATAAAGCAGATGTCAGTGCTCTCAAATATAAATGTGCTGTGGGCACTCCTTTTTTTTTTTTTTTTTTTTTTTTTTGCTGCTTCTAAAGATGTTTTCAGACAATTTCCTACACCAGGTAGAATATGTAGAGATGTATACCATGGTAGAAAAAAAAACAAACAAGCAGGATATTTCGGAGCCTGAGTTGTACAATACCACCTGCTGCATTTTCTATGTCCTACAGATGAGTAATGAAGAAGTAGAAGTGTTAAGTGTCTGGGCTCATTATTACTTAATGCAGCAGAGGAAGTCTCAGGCATTTCCTAATTAGAGCAGAGGAAAAAGACTTGATTAATCCGTCCCTGGAAAGAGAGTCTGATCACACTTCATCAAAATATTCTTAAGTATAGCACCAGAATAACAGATTAAGAGTTGAACATATCTTAGAGATTATTTTGTTAAACCCAAATGAAGCTGAAAGAGAATAGGTCTCCAGCTCAAAGTCACAGACCAGACTCGAGATTGGCACTTACATTCCTTCTGGGTGCTCCCACTTAGCTTCCCACCAACATGCTCTATAAGGAAGTGGTGGAAAGCACTGCCCCCGCTCTGCTCTCACATATGCAGAATCTCTCATTCTTATGGATGCTAATCACATATATCCAGTTCAAGAGAATGTCTCATTTTGGAAGTGATGCATGTATATGAATACATATATGAAGAAAATATATTCAAATATATATACATATATGACATACATGAACATATACATGAAGAAAATATCCAGCCATGTGCTGGTAAATAAACAACTGATTGTGGTGAGGGTAGAAAAGATCCAAGATTTGTACAGTTCGCTGAATTACGTGGTGTGATATGCCCACTGTGGCTGATTTCAAAATAACAATGTAACATCAACTGGAATTTTTATAAAATTCCTGCAAATTTAAGATGACACTCATGAGTCAGTAGGAGGCTGGCTCCAACGTGCCACTGAAAACATCTTTCCTTGGTAAGATTGATCTTTCCATTTCCTTAGAAAGACCGAACTTTCTATTTATGTGGTGATAACAAAGTATCTTCTGAGGAGTTCAGGGAGAAGAAACAGTAGAGGAAAAGGAGACTCAATTCTTATAAATGCTCTCAACTTCTGCAATTTATCTTGGCCTTCAAGTAAAAGAAATGGAAACACTCAAATTACAATACTAGTAAGTAGTATATAATCTGATTACATTCAAATTTGAAGGGATTTTCCCAATTAGGGATTCTGTTTATACACATCTAAATACAGAATATAAGTGCACATGTGTACTAGAATTTATTTAACTCATTACATCCCTTTTAAATTACCTTAAGTTAAAATCAGTGATGAGAAGTCTAGATTGGGAACTGGAATCCTAGAGAACTCATAAAATTGCTTAACATGCCATAAGGAAGTTAAGTCTAACTGGGGGAAGTGGGCTGTGATTTCATAAACCATTTTGTCAATGAAATTAAACTGAAATTGTTACTGCCCAATTTGGTCTGTTTAAAGACCAATATATTACTTTTATTATTTCCAATAAATGTAAGACGGCTATCTTTCTAAAACCCTCATCTTTGAGAATGATAAAATACAATCCGAAAGCTAAGAAGATAAATGAGAAGGAAATGGTATGACTCTACTCTAGCTCCTGTCCTTCTGCACGTGTCATCTATCAACTGGCTTTAAACAAAGTGAACCTCTTAACCCTTTTATAATCCTTTAAAATAAAATGCCTCAAAATCATAATAATCTTAGAAATTGAGTTGTAAACTTTTGATTGGAAAGATTATTTCACTGAGTACCCTTTTAAGATATGTGGGGAGTTTAAGTGCGTACCTTCTGAATTACTCCTTTACAGTCATGCGACAAGGCCAGGTTTGAAAGAAGCATAAAAACCATCTGCTGAACCGTGGTGTTCTCCAGTGGCATCTGGGAAGCCAACTTTAGGATACACAGCATCAGAGAGTTGCTCACGGCTCCTCTATGTGTAGCTTGAACAGGGTGTTGTCCACAACTTGACCAACAAAGAGAACTGCAACCTTCAAAAATAACAGCCTATCACAATGTCTTCTCAGTTTCCCTGTTTAGTTTTTGAAGACACTAAGTGGCAAAGCATATCTGTCTAACAAAATGACTAGGCCATTAACCTGTGAACTGCAAATTAGCAATGGAGGCTAATGTTGGTGTCTACAGTCAACCTAATAGATATACTGTCCTCACTGAGGGCCTAATTATCTCACTAAAGCACTTTAAGACACCAGGTTTATTTTTAAAAAAAGAATAAAATAAACATACTAGGGTTTTTAATAGTTGCTAAAGAAAACATCTAAATAAAGGCCTGTGTAAAGGAACAGAATTTTAGAAATGGGAGATAACTTGTCTAATGCCTTCATTTTACATAACATACAAATAAGGAACATAATATCCCTGGGAAAGCGGACAAAACAAATACTATTTTCTATATTTGGTCAACAAAGATATGGAGCTCAGAAAAGCCAGTTTGTTGTTCAAGGTCATACAGCTTAGCATAGCAGGAGCCAAAAGTGGCATCTACAGGCTTTCCAGGGTTCAGTGTTTCTCAGGAAATTAAGTAACTGAATGAGACTTATTGAGGGAGAAAAAAAAATTAGAAATATATTTTAATGTTAAATCAATAAGACTGTATTATACATAAACCTAAGGTATAATTGACTTGTGAAAGTTCATACGAGGAGGCCAACTTAAGTATAAACTGATCAGAATCAAATACATTCTGTAAAAGAAACTCATAAAAGATGAGTAAACAAACAAAAGATATACTAGTGGAGCTGGAAAATGCACTGAAAGGAGACATTCCCACCAGACCTAAGGAATGGAGAAAGTTAACAGCACAGAATGAAGGCAAGGACAATCCTGTACACATATGCTTCAATGACAGTTCAAGTTCAAGAGCTTGAAGGTCTGTTTATATCTCTTTGTGCTGACTGGAGACAACCTGAGTTGGGTATCGAAATGGACAGCTCCAGAGGTGTCAGATTATTCAAAGGAATAAGCCATCATCAGCATCTGGCAGATTATTCAAAGGAATAAGCCATCAACAGCATCTGGCAGTAACTAGATGGGCTCCTTAACTGTTGTGAGTTCCAGTCCCTTCTCTGTATAACCTTTGATATTCAGAGACCCCAGTTGCTGGGCTACTGAGTGTTGTTAGAAGAAAGTACAAAAACTTGCTAGTCAAATCTTAAATTTATGACCATAAATTTAATAAAATTTAAATCTTAAATTTATGACCATAAATTATGACCATAAATTCTAATTTATTTTCTTAAATTTATGACCATAAGTGGTACTTAACACTGCCAGCAATCCTACTTTGCTTCTCTGGTGTGTTTACTTTCCTTCCTCTAAAAACAGCTACTTCACACTTTCTCCTCTTCTCACATCACCTCTACTCCTTGTCTTTGCTCATTCTTAGTGGTCAGTGTTCTCTCCTAAATGAAGAAAGCAGAAGTATTCAAAATGGGAATTTTCTCATCATTCCCATCAAGTCTACCAGCCCTCCTAAATCCACATCCTTCCTCTCAGCCTTCCCTCCGCTTCTGTTGTCAGCTGTGCTCTAGCTCTCACCTCTCTTACCCTCTCAGGCTGGGCTCTTACCTGCACTCTTTCCTGCACCTCATTCTCCCAATCCCTTAAGTTAATAAACATGCCTTAAAAACATACATCTTTAAAAACGAGCAAAAACTCCTCCTTTGACTCCACATCTGTCTCTTGCTGTTGCTCCATTTCTTTGTCCTCTTAAGAGTAGTACATTTTGGAAAAGCTGTCTCCTCTACTTCTTCATCTTCTCTCCTCAGCTCACACTAAGTAGGTTTCTGTTCTGGCACTGCACTAAAATTACCCTCAAGGTCCAAAAGAACATCAATACTGCTAAGTCCAACAGCCATTTTTTCTATCCTCACTTTAGCAGAATTTTCAATAGCATTCCACACAACTGAGCATGCCCTTCTCTGACTTTCTGTGACTGTGCACTGTTATCTCATTGGCTGCTCCTTCTCTTTTTTTTCTGCTGGTTTCTCATCTTTTGATTAACTCCAAATGTTGATGTGCCTCAGAACTTGGTCATGGGTTTCTGCTTCTCCATCTACACATTCTCCCTGGGTAATCGCAAACAGCCACGTGGCTTTAAGTACAATCTACATGACAATGACTCCTGTGGTAGCCAGCCTCCAAGATGGTCCCAGTGGCGCCTGCCTCTGTACCAGGGTTGGTATGTGTGACCCACAAGAGCTAGGAGTGCTGTTCAGTTACTTCTGAGACTGGATTATAAGAGACTATAACTTCTGCCCTCAGCCCACTCATTCTGGGTCGTTTGAGACAGCCCTAAGTAGCAAGGAATTGAGGCTCCCATAGTCACACTGGATCCTCTATCCCAGTCAAGACTTCAGATGATTGCAGAGACTCTGAGCGAGGACCACCCAGATTAGCCACGCCCAGATTCCTGAGCCACAGAAGCCGTGGCATAATGAAATGATTAATGTTTGCAGATGCTAAATTTTAGAGTAATTTCTTTTGTAGCAATAAATAACTAATAATATTCCCAACATTTGAAATCTTCAAACTTATCTCTACACTCCATTGAATTCAACTCCAGCTTACTATTTTCACTTGAGTGAACATCAACACCTTAGACTTAACAAGACCAAACAGAACTCTTGATTCCTACTACTTTCTCACTTCAAGTCTGCTTCTTTTAAATCTTCCCCATTTTAGTAAATGGCACTACTGTGCACTCAGGCTCATTTCTCCAAATGAAGTTCACCCCGGACACCTTTTTTTCCTTCCTACCTCCCACAACAGGTATCCTTGACTCTACCTTTGAGCTATATACTGAATCTGTCTACTTCTCTCAATCTCTCCAGCTACCACTCAAGCCCAAGCCACCATTATATCTCCATGACAAGTCTCCCTGCTTCTAGACTTGCTCCCAATCATTCATTCTCCACATACCACCCAGGGCAATTTTTCTTTTCTTTTCTTTGTGAGACAGAGTCTCACTCTGTTGCCCAGGCTGGAGTATAGTGGCGTGATCTCGGCTCACTGTAACCTCCGCTTCCTGGGTTCAAGTGATTCTCCTGCTTCAGCCTCCTGAGTAGCTGGAACTACAGGCATGCACCATCATGCCTGGCTAATTTTTGTGTTTTTAGTAGAGACAGGGTTTCCTCATGTTTGCCAGGCTAGTCTCAAACTCCAGACTTCAAGTGATCCGCCTGCCTGGGTCTCCCAAAGTGCTGGCATTACAGGCATGAGCCACTGCACCCAGCCTAATCCTTCTTAAACACAAATTAAATCATGCCACTCACCAGCTTACAACTGCCAATGTCATCCTGTTACACTCACATAAAAATCCAAACTCCCTACTCTGGCCTCTGAGGCCCTACATGACCTGTCCTCCTATCTCATTTCAGATCACTCTCACCAGAACTCACAATGCATGGCCCACCACAGGCTCTTGATAAAGTGTCTATCAAGTGCATGAGCGAAAGAGGAGCCCTAGTGATATCAAGTATCACCAGACCAACTGTTATGAGAACTTTCAACATGCCAGTCTCCTGCTCTAGAATCTATGAGAAGTTCTAACCTTCACGTGGCTTTTGAGGTCTTACATCATAATTTTTATCCTCTCAATTTTCCTACTAAACTCAATTTCCCATTGCCAGATAATCAGACCAGTCCTCCCTCTCTATTCCCTGCGCTGCCAATGACTCTCTCATGTCAACAAACACACTAAAATATCTGTCTGCTCTCATAATACCTACGAGAAAGCTTGCCTTTGCCCATCATATCCTCAATAAATCAGAGAAATACTTCAAAATATGTATTAGTTTTTCCAGTCCACCTTAACAACATTTATAAAACTAGTATTTTGGTATATTATTGAAAGGCAGTATTGGATCCTATTACCATTTGGAAAATTTGCAGTATAGACACAAAGGAGCTGCAGAGAAATTTGCATCAATGAATCATCCATCAAAATCCAAGGCCAGAGAGAGTGCAAGACAGGGACAAGGTGAGCTTCAAGAGCTGCTTCCTGTTGAAGGAAGGGAAAAAGACAGCATTAGTCTGAATATATGAAAATATAACATTAAAATCAAAACAACAACAGAAAGCCATCAACATAAGACCCAAGGAGAACCCTGTGGATGGCTTCAGCATCCTGCCCCAGCCCCATTGGGCTCCACACATGGCTGCCCTGACCACGAGCCTGACCAATCTCAGGACGTCGCTTCAACACCAGGGTGGTTAAGATGTACCACTAAGTTAGGAAGCATAGAAAATAGCCTGTGTAACATGTAAATTAAACAGCAAAGTGATATCTCACAACACTGAATAAATTCCTGTAAATGCTATGAACTGGCCAAGAAGTGAGAATTTCTGGTTAAGTAAACATTCTGATCAACTCTGAGTCCTCTTTGCCCACCCTCTCTCCCTCTCCTTCTCTCTCTCTGTGTATGTGTGTATATACTCAAAGTAAATTACAGTTTTTGAGTAATTTGAATATATAAAATTCAGTCTAAATATTATGATAAATTGAAAAATTCTGAAGTAACTCAGAGTCTTTATTACAAAGATCAGTTACCCTGGGACAATATTGCAGATAAAATATAGCTGTTTAAGTGCAGCAATATCTATTTTAAATGAACAAGAATTCCGAGGTAATTTGTAGACCCATGATTATGCACGTGAGCATGCACATAAATACACACACCCTATACGATTTCACATAGCATCAAGTGGCAGAAGAGAAGTGATTCCCAATGTTCAACACTCTCCGTAAGCACTGAAGTCATTCCCAGTGCTCTCCCTAAAGTTCTTCCCTTGTTCACCACTCTCTGTGGCACACGGCCCTCCATCTGCAGCAGATGACCTTGTTTACTATTTCACAGAGAAGACAGAAACGATTAAGTACAAACTCCTTTATCTACTCTGCCATTCTGTCCACATAGTTTATCTGTATTTTCATCCATTCATCCTTCCTGTCTGCCCGGTAGTGACAAAGAGGTGTTCCACTTCTTGCCTGCCAGAGATTGATACATCCATCTGTGTTCTGAAACACAGCTCTTCCTGCCTCCTCAGGGATCTTAATCCACCAGTTAGTTCTCCTCTTGCTATCTCTTAAACAACTCGTCCCCAATTTGCTCATTTCTGTGCCTGTATTCAAGTAGTTTACGTGTTAAGAGAAACAAACATACTCATTTCCTTTCATCTTATATGTCCTAAATTATTAATGCCACTATTCATGACCAAACTTCTACATTATTATTGCTGTAATTTCCCTGCCTCACATTTAATCTTTAGCTCATTACCGTTTATTTTCTGCCCTGATGATTCTATTGAGGCCGCTTCTACTTTTGTGGTTGCCAACAACGCTTAAGCACGGTGGCATTTGCTATATGTCTCTTAATTTCCCCGCTGCTGCTCTATCCTGGATCATTTCTGATAAGAGTCTGGATATTTGTCCCTGCCCAAATCTCATGTTGAATTGTAATCCCCAGTGCTAGAGGTGAGGCCTGGTGGGAGGTGTTTATATCTTGGGGGCGGATTCCTCATGGCTTGGTGCTTTCCTCAAGACAGTGAGTGATCTCATGAGATCTGGTCATTTAAAAGTGTGTGGTACCTCCTCGCCAGCTCTCTCACTCTTGCTCCAGTTCTAGTAATGTGATGTGCCTGTTCCCCTTTTGCCTTCTTGTCATGATTGGAAGTTTCCTGAGGCCTCCCCAGAAGCAGACGCCACTGTGCTTCCTCTATACCCTGCAGAACTGTGAGCCAATTAAACCTCTTTTCTTTAATAAATTACCTAGTCTCAGATATTTCTTCATAGCAAGGCAAGAACGGCCTAATGCAATCTCCAAATTCCTTCTCCAGTATTCCCTTCTCAGTTGTTTTCTGCCCCCTCTTAAATGTTCCTGTTTTCCAAAGATATGACCTTGGTTTTCATTACATACTTTCTTGGGAAATTTCAACAATAGTGAGGACCACAAACACCATCTACACATTGATAACTCCTAATATCCCCAGCTTGTATCACTCCTTAGAGTCCCAGACCCATAAAATCTACAGGCCACAAGCCATTTTTCACCTGGATGCCCCAAAGACTCTTGAGGCTAGCACGTGCAAGCATGAATATCGGGTCTCTCACACCTGTGCTCTGCTCTATCATGCACTCTTAATGCATGATAATGCAGTGGCTTAAACTGGAGTTTGGAAGTCATTCTACATTCCTCCTCTTCTCAATGCCTCAAATTTACTCCCTACCCTCCTTCTCCTTTCTACCTGCTCAAGTTAAGGTGTCATCATCTCTTGTCTGGACTATGACAGTCCCCTCCGTCTAACCTTGTCCACTGTTTAATTCATTTACCTCACAGCCACCATGCTCCTTCCAGTATGAAAACCCCTAATGTTATGCATATGCAAACAGCAGGGTGGGGTGGCAGTGGGTGACCTGGTGAATTACCCAATAGTGGCCAACTATTAATAATGAGAACATGCCATACACCTGATAAAAGCTGAAATTGAAATTAACAATCCCTACCTCCATAATATTATATTTATACTCAAGGATAATCTTAATATTCTTTGGATTTACTTCTTATTAAACAACTTAGAAATACAGAAATGCTTTGACTTATTGAGATATCACACTTTTGTAAATGGCTAATGTGATACAAATTGAGCACAATATTTATAACTAGTAGCCAGGTTAGCACTTCATAAATCTTTATAGGTAGATCCCACATGTAAAGTATTCCAGAGTATTTCCCTGAATAAGGTGTCATGAATGAATATTAACTGCACATACACATGAAATTTATATATTTAAATTTACACACAAATACTGACTGTACATCCAGTCACAAGCATAATATCATAAGCATGAAGGAATCATTAAGTTTATTAATGGCACTTTTGTCTTGAGAAAAAGTTCATATAAATTCATATATAGGGAATTTTAATAAATTGTATAAATAAATACTTAATTTCCATCAAACTACTTTGAAATATAAATTGTGAGTCATGTATCTGGCTTTTTAACATCGCTTAAGGAGTAAGTGTGTTCAACATGTCCATTTTCCAGATGTGGTATGGTTTTTCCAGTTGTGCTCTTACCACAAGTAAGAGCAAAACAGGTAAAAATTTATAAGGCAATAAAAGCTTCCATAATTTATCTTTGCTTTCTATATTAAAGCTTTAATTTAGTATTTTTTAAAATTTTTATTTTCGTGGCCAGCTTTTATAAAGAATAATCTAGTATTTCTGCATTAAAGCATCAATCTAGTATTTCAAAAGTGTTGTAAAACTATAGACAAAGCAAATCAGAGTGTTCACAAGATTATATCCTCTATAGTAGTACTGATACAATGGTTTAAAACATCATCAGTGCTTACAGACGAAGCAAAACATCTCAGTGATTTTTAGACAGAAGGGCCATGTAAATGGTCACAGGGAGTCAGCAGAGCTAGAAGAAACTTCCTCTCGGTGGATGTGGCCACACTAGGTAGCAGCTCTAACTATCTTCTCCTTTGAAGCAGGAAACTCTTCATTTTCTTTCCTTATAGATACAGATAGCTTCACTTATTTCCTTGAAGAGTTGTTTTGACAACCCGTTTTGAAAGAATCTACCTTATAAAACACATCCAGCCATTCATTCCATATGTAAAACATTTAAAATACCTAAGAGTACAGAATGAGGCTGAAGTTTGCGAAGAAATGTAATCAGTGTCGATGAATAATGATTAGATACACACATTTCTGACAATTAACACTGAGTTTAAGGACCAATCAACTGTGTGTCTAAAAATTTAAAAGTCAGAGCTTTCCATTTTTCCTACTACATTATCTCACATAAAAATTAAACTGCTTAATACCAGTACTCCTATTAAAATTTTGAAAAGTAGTTCTACTTACTTTACATTCCTCATTTTGATAAAGACAGTTTCTTAGGAGCTGCATGGCAATGCTTAACTCTTTAATAACACCATCCTCCTATTTAAACAAAAAGCAGTTGAAAACTGTGAATGCAACAGCATACTTCACTTTTTGTGTATAGTAATTCCCTCCCCTTTGGGTCACGGGACAATGCAGGTGTGCTCTAATCATGCCCAACCACTGTAACTTTGAGGGAACTGACAGGCTAACGATCTCTGAAAGATGACCATATCTCAAGAAGCACATTCACCATGAAAAAGCTATTTCTGTTCTATCAAGCATGGAGGAACTCGGATATATGATAGCCTCCATGTTTCATCTCAATAAAGTGAGGCAGATACTGAGAGATTTTCAATAATATCAGGTGTTGGCTGACTTTCTCAATGATGAAGGGCCTTTGGCTAGGGAGGAAAAGAGGCAAAAAAAAAAAAAAAAAGAACTGATAAACATACAATCAATCTCCTGCATCAATTACATTATTAAATAAGACTTTGTCTTGGTTTCTTAAATGCAGTAGAAACTAGTTATTACATAGAGTGCTGCTATAACGGCCTTACCTACACACATATATGTATATTTATATATTTATACTATTCACACACTTTCATTTGTTGAATAAGTGGGTGGCAGATCTTGTTAACCACAGTAGTTATTATATAACTATGTTATTTTCAGTTTACCTGAGCATGCAGTTTAAACATGAGTCCAGCAGATTCAATGCTAGAGGAGATATTCAGAAGGCACAGGAGGAGATAAACAGAGATGAGGAATACCAGCTCTGCAACCACCCAGATTTGGGGCAAATATTAGCTCCATCAATTACCAGTTGTGTGACTATGCTGTAATGAGTGTTTGTTCATGAGATAATAAATATGAAATGTTTCAATAGTGGCTGACATATAGAAAACTCTTAATAAATTATAGTTGTTACAGATCTCATTCCTAGTTAACCTATGCTTGTTTTGAGATAAAGATTTTCTTTTTGTAGTATAAAAAATTTATCTGGCATAGTATCATGTATATGTGGATATTTCCAATGTTTATAATAACAACAGTACATAATAGACAGATGTTGTCTAAAGATCTTCAAGTAAGAATTAAGACCAAAAAAAGCCAACAATCTGCTAATGTAGAAGTCTCATTAATTTATCCATCTGTACCTTTCTTCTAAATGAGACACTCATTTCAAGCTCGTGCTCATTTCTAGGCACAAGAGGACTGGAGAATGGTCTCTATATATAGCCATTCATTTATCCCAGAATGTTACCTTTTTTTTCAATGCTGCTTTCCCAGGCCTCAGAGAATCTAGGTTCAGTTGTGCATTTATGTGTTTCATCTGCTCCATGCAATTGTCTATAAGATTGGCTGAAAGACAAAATCTGCAGTAGTCAAAAGGATATTCTATTTCCAAGTAAGTTATAACCACATATACCAATCAGATTCTCAAAAAGGTAACATTTTCTATTTCTGACCCACTTCATTTTAGAATTTTCAGTCAGAGATTAATGAATCAGAGGGGGGATAAGTAAGAGAACTAAAATGCTGAAGTCCACTTGTTTTCAGTTTTTAGTAAGATACTACCCAAATCCAATTTACAACTTGAGGAATACATCATTTGTTGTAGTCGCAAATCACAATTGATATTAATGGACTTGATGTTGCCATTATTCTCTTTTAATTCTCAGATCTACATTCTCCGATTCCCAAATGAGAAATTACAACACTCAAGAGGGAAATTTATACGAAAATATGGAATCATCTGTTGCTGTTTTTACCATCAAAACTATGTGGGTTTTGTTCAGGTATGCAGTGAGTGCTTCTGGATAGTAATATTTAATTATAATGAAACTCAATGTGTTACCTTTTAGCTTCCCTAATATTTACATATAGGTTCTTTAGAGCAAGAACCATCACATATTAAACAAACAAAAACAAACTATGTCTAATCTTTTTATTTGAAAAGTAATGCATATTTACTGCTTCTGTATGGGAAAAAAAATTATTTTTAGTGACACTGAGATTATACTATACGTTTTTTACATTTTGAGTCCAAAGAAAATTAACTTGAACAAGCAACAAAACATATGAATTGATAATGCCATCAAAACAGCTGATGTGTCATGTGGCTCACCTTTCAAAGCATGTTTCTGTGCTCTTCTACTGACAGCCAGCAGTGACATCAATGCATTTGCAGCTACTCTTTTCAGGATATCTTTGGAGGATTTCCCTTCATAGCACTGCAGAGAATATAAATCAAACTGCCTTGAAGAAATATTTAATCTGGAGCAAAACTGTTGTGAATAAAGAACATTTTCTACTTAAAAGATATTGCTAGGTTTCAACTATCATGTGAAATTCACTGGATTTTGATAAATCATTAATATTTGAGAATGTTCTGCGTGGATAAGACTGTATAAGTTGCTTATAATATGGAAAAGAACAACAATCATTCTTAAAGACTCATCATCTACAGAAAAAAGCTTTATTTAGCTTTCACGTAGCAAGCTCATATACTTACTCAAATTCACCAGCGCATATTGTATATATATGTGTGTACCTTATTAAAATGGGTCCTTGTAAAACTGCTGAACAGGAGAACTGTCATCAATTTCCTCCTTTCTCCTTCTGGGGACACATTCCCCTCTCTCCATTTCTATCTAAACTACCCCTATATCTCAGGTGATTTGGTTCTTTCCATCTTTCGTTTCTATGGTAACATGCACCTGTCATATAACATTTTCTCAAAAAATAGTGTGTAACTTTTTTGACTTTCAGAGAAATGGAAAATCATTTGTAATTCCGAAACTACTATTTCTGTATATTTCCTTTATACATTTAAATTTATGAGCTAGAAAAATTTTCACTTAAAAATTTCTAATATGTACAAAAGCAGACACAATAACAGATTCCATACATTTTTATTAAAAATCAAAACTAGAAATTTCTGCTCCAAGATGGCCAACTAGATACAGCCAGGAGGAACATCTCCCACTGAGGGACTGGGACACCAGGAAGACTGGCACACTCCTAGCAGATCTTCAGAGGGAGGGCATCGAGAGCAGATGGAGGGAAAACACAGAGCTGGGGCTGAAGGGGGAGGAAGCTGGGGACCCTGCTCGGGGCTACCAAGCACCACAACTTGTTCCTGGCCCCCAACAACTCCTGCAGAGGGGGAAGTTGAAAAGGCAAGGAACAAAATTCGCTCTCCCCACAGGCCGCTGGAATCCTGGTAGGAAGGAACCCCTGGACCACCATGGACATTTGAGTTGTCAGGGAAAGCTGCTTAGGGAAGCAGTGGAAGCAGAACTCCAGCTGGGGCAGAGCCCAGAGAGTTTGGTATGGGAGTGTCTATAGCGGAGCATGGCCAAGGATGCCCATCCCCTTAGGCTAGACTTGCTCCCATAGGAGACTTTATCCCTAGGGGAACTGTGGGACCTCAACTCTGCAGGGTGGTCTTGCCCATGAGATGGGGCCAATCTGGTCCACCCTTTGGTCTGCTGGCTTCTCCCAGAGCCCGAGCCTAGCCACACCTGCTTGGAGTGAAGCTCCCAGGTACGGGCCCATACGGTAGCTCCTGCACTGGCAGACTGCCTGACTAGCAGAGTGCTCTAGCAGAGTGACCCCAGTGGACACGCACCAGCATTCTTCCCCCACTGCAGCCTCCTTCATGCCGCCTTGCCTGCAGGCACTCACCCATCTCATGCAATGACACACATAGGCTCAAAATAAAGGGATGGAAAAAGGCTACCAAGCAATGAAAAACAGAAAAAAGCAGGGATTGCAATTCTAATTTCAGACAAAATAGACTTTAAACCAACAAAGATAAAAAAGACAAAGAAGGGCATTACAAATAGTAAAGGACTCAATTCAACAAGGCAACCTAGCTATCCTAAATATATATGCACTAAACACAGAAACATCCAGATTCATAAAGCAAGTTCTTAAGAGATCTTCAAAGAGATTTAGACTCCCATAGGGTAACGTGGGAGACTTCAACACCCCATTGACAGTATTAGACAGATAATCCAGGCAAAAAATTAACAAAGATATTCAAGACCTGAACTCAACACTGGACCAAATGGATCTGATAGACATCTACAGAACTCCCCACCAGAATACAACAGAGTATACATTCTTCTCATTGCCACATGGCACATACTCTAAAATCAACCACACAATCAGACACAAAACAAATTTCCGCAAATTCAAAAAAATCAAAATTGTACTGATATGGTTTGGATCTGTGTCCCCACCCAAATCTCATGTTCAACTGTAGTCCCCAATGTTGGGAACTGGATCATTGGGGTAGATCCTTCATGAATGGTTTAGCACCGTCCCTTTGGTTCTGTTCCTGTAACAGAGTTCTCGTGAGATCTGGTTGTTTAAAAGTGTGTGGCATCTTGCCCCTCTCTCTTCCTCCTGCTCCCACCATGTGAGATGCCTCGCTCCCCCTTCTGCCATAATTGAAAGTTTCCTGAGGCCTTCCCAGAAGCTGAGTAGATGCCAGCACTATGCTTCCTTACAGCCTGTGGAACCATGAGCCAATTAAACCTCTTTTCTTTATAAATTACTCCGTGTCAGGTATTTCTTTACAGCAATGTAAGAATGGTCTAATACATATACCATCCACACTCTCAGACCACAGCACAATAAAAACAGAATTCAATACAAAGAAAATTGCACAAAACCATTCATTTACATTGAAATTAAGCATCCTGCTCCTGAATAACTTTTGGGCAAATAATGAAATTAAGGCAGAAATCAGTAAGTTCTTTGAAACTAATGAGAACAATGATAACATACCAGAATCTCTGGGACACAGCTAAGGCAGTGTTAACAGGAAAATTTTGAGCGCTAAATGCCCATATTGAAAAGTTAGGAAGATCTCAAGTTTGCACCTAACATCACAACTAAAAGAACTAGAGAAGAAAGAGCAAACCAACCCCAAAGCTAGTAGAACACAAGAAATAATCAGAATCAGAGCTAAAGGAGACTGAGACATGAAAAACCATTCAAAAGACCAATGAAGTGAGGAGCCAGTTTTTTGAAAAAAATAATAAAATATATGGACCACTAGGCTAGATTAATGAAGAAACGAGAAAAGATCCAAATAAACATAATGAGAAATGACAAAGGGGATATTACCACTGACCCCAGAGAAATAAACATCAGAGACGATTATAAACACTTCTATGCACACAAACTAAAAATCTAGAAGTGGATGAATTCCTGGCCACATATATCCTCCCAAGACTGAACCAGGAAGAAACTGAATCCCTGAACAGACCAACAATGAGCTCTAAAATGGAATCAGAAATAAATAGCCTGCACACCATAAAAGCCATGGATCAGATGGATTGACAGCCAAATTCTACCAGATCTATAAAGAAGAGCTGATACCATTCTTACAGACACTGTTCCCCAAAAAAATGAGAAGTAGGAACTCCTCCTCAATTCATTCTATGAGGCTAGCATCATCCTGACCCAAAACTGGCAGAGACACAACAACAAAAAAAAGGGTCAATATCCTTGATGAACAGCAATGCAAAAACCCTCAACAACATACTAGCAAACTGAATCCAGCAGCACATCAAAAAGCTAATCCACTACGAACAAGAAGGCTTTATCCCTAGGATGCAAGGTTGGTTCAACATACGTGCAAACAAATAAACATGATTCATCACATAAACAGAACTAGAAACAAAAATAACACGATTATCTCAACAGAGGCTTTCAGTAAAATTCAACATCTTTTCATATTAAAAACTCCTAACAAATTAGGTATTGAAGTAACATATATTAAAATAACGAGAGCCATCTATGACAAACCTGCTGTCTACATCATACTGAATGGGCAAAAGCTAGAAGCAATCCCCTTGAAAACTGGCACAAGACAAGGATGCCCTCTTTCACCATTCCTATTCAACACGGTACTGGAAGTTCTGGCCAGGGCAATCAGGCAAGAGAAGGAAATAAAGGGCATCCAAATAGGAAGAGAGGAAGTCAAATTATCCCTGTTTGCAGATGACATGATCCTATATCTAGAAAACCCCATCGTCTCAGCCCAAAAGCTCCTTAAGCTGATAAACAATTTTAGCAAAGTCTCAGGATACAAAATCAATGTGCAAAAGTCACTAACATTCCTATATACCAACAATCAAGCCGAGAGGCAAATCAGGAATGCAATCCCATTCACAACTGCCACCAAAACAAAACAAAATAAAATAAAACAAAATGCAATACCTAGGAATACAGCTAACCAGGGAGGTGAAAGATCTCTACAAGGAGAAATACAAAACACTGCTGAAAGAAATCAGTGGTGACACGAATGAATGGAAAAACATTCCATGAACATGGCTAGGAAGAATCAACATTGCTAAAATGGCCATACTGCCCAAAGCAATTTGTAGATTCAATACTATCCCTATCGAACCACCAATCACATTCTTCATAGAACTAGAAAAAACTTTTAAAATTCATATGGAACCAAAAAAGAGCCCAAATCGCCAAGGCAATTCTAAGCAAAAAGAAAAAAGCTGGAGGCATCAAGCTACTTGACTTCAAACTATACTACAGGGCTACAGTAACCAAAGCATGGTAATGGTATAAAAAATAAACACATAGACCGATGGAACAGAATACAGAGCCTAGAAATAAGGGTGTACACCTAGAACCATCTGACCTTAGACAAACCTGACAAAAACAAACAATGGGGAAAGAACTCCCTGTTCGATAAATGGTGCTGGGATAACTGACTAATTATATACATACATTGAAACTGGACCCCTTCCTTACATATATACAGAAATAAACTGAAGATGGATTAAAGACTTAAATATAAACCCCAAAACTATTAAAACGCTGGAAGACAACCTAGGCAATACCATTCTGGACACAGAAAGTGGCAGAGATTTCATGATGAAAATGTGAAAAGCAACTGCAACAAAAGCAAAAATTGACAAATGAAATCTAATTAAACTAAAGCGTGTCTGCACAGCAAAAGAAACTATCAACAGAGTAAACAGACAACCTACAGAATGGGAGAAAATATCTGCAAACTATGCATCAGACAAAGGTCTAATATCCAGCAACTACAAGGAACTTAAATTTACAAGAAAAAAACAACCCCATTAAGAAGTGGGCAAAGGACACAAACAGACACTTCTCAAAAGAAGACATACACATTGCCAACAAGCACATGAAAAAAAGCTCAACATCACTGATCATTAGAGAAATGCAAATCAAAGCCACAGTAAGATACCATCTCACACCAGTCAGAATGGCTACTAAGAAGTCAAAAAATAACACACGCTGATGAGGTTGTGGAGAAAAGGGAATGCTTATACACAGTGGGAGTGCAAATTAGTTCAACCATTGGGAAGGCAGTGTGGTGATTCCTCAACAAGCTAAAAAAAGGACTGCAATTCAACCCTATAATCTCATTACAGGGTATACACCCAAAGGAATATAAATCATTCTATCATAAAGACACATGAATACAAATGTTCACTGCAGCACTATCTGCAATGGTAAAGACATGGAATCAACTTAAATGCCCATCAATGGAAAACTGGATAAAGAAAATGTGGCACATATACACCATGGAATACTATGCAGCCATAAAAAAGAGTGAGATCATGTCCTCTGCATGAACATGGTTGGAGCTCGAGGCCATGATCCTTAGGAAACAATGCAGGAACAGAAAACCAAATACTGCTTGTTCTCACTTATAAGTAGGAGCTAAATGATGAGAGCACCGGGACACAAAGAGGGGAACAATAGACAATGGGGCCTACCAGTGGGTGAAGGGTAGCAGGAGGGAGAGGATCAGAAAAAATAACTATTGGGTACCAGGCTTAGTACCTGGGTGATGAAATAATCTATACACCAAACCCCCATGATACAAGTTTACCTATATAACAAACCTACACATGTACCCCGAACCTAACAGTTAAAAAAGAATCGGCTGGGTGAGTGCAGCAAGGTGGCAGAATAGAAGCCTATACTGTCTGTCCTCCCCCAACAGGAACACCAAATTTTAACAACTATATGCACACAGAAAAGCACCGTCACGAGAACCAAAAATCAGGTGAGCAATCACAGTACCTGGTTTTAATGTGTACGGCTAAAAGAGGAACTGAAAAGTGTCGGAGATATAGTCTTGAATCACCACCCCTCCCCTATCTATCAGCAGCAGCTGCCTGGTATGGCGAGCTAACTTGCACACTTGGAGGAGGGAGAGAGCAGCGACTGGGGGACTTCACACTGAATTCAGTGCTGCTCTGTCACAGTGGAGAGCAAAGCTGTGCTGGGCTCAGCCAACACCCATGCATGGAGAGATCATTTAGATCAACTGCCCAAACCAGCAGTCAGAAGTGGAGTTTCTTGGCAAGCCTTGCCACCGTAAAGCCAGTGCTCTGGGGTCCTAGGTAAACTTGAAAGGCAGTCTTGGACACAAGGCCTGCAATTCCTAGGCAACTCCTAGTATTAGGCTGGGCTTAGAGCCACTGGACTATGGTGGCATGTGACACAGGGAGACAACAGCCAGGGCAGCTAAGGGAGGCCTTACACCATTTCTCCCTCAATCCCAGGCAGTGCGGCTCGCAGCAACAAAAGTGACTCCTTCCTTCTACTTGAGGAAGAGAGTAAACAAGACTTTGTCTTGCATCTTAGATACCAGCTCAGTCACAATAGAACAGGGCACTGGGCAGAGTTGTGAGACCTCCATTCCAGGCCCATTCCTGGATGACAAAATAGACAAAATGTGGGCCAAGGGAACCCACTGCCTTGAAGGGAAGAAACCAGTCCTGGCAGGATTCATTACTTGCTGACTAAAGAGCCCTCAGGCCCTGAATAACCAGCAGCAATATCCAGATAGTACACCACAGGCCTTGGGCTCTGGGACGTGCTGACTTTAGGTATGACCCAGCACATTCGCAGCTGTGGTGGCTACAACAAAAGACTCCTTTTGTTTGAGAAAAGCAGAGGGGAAAGTAAAGGGGACTTTGTCTTGCATCTTAGGTATCAGCTCAGCCACAGTGGGTAGAGCAACAAGTAGGCTCTTGGGCTCCCTGAATCCAGGCCGAGCCTCTTGGACAGTATTTCTGGACCATCTCTGGGCCAGAGGGGAACTGATTGTCCTGAAGGGTGAGCCCCAGGTCTGGCAACATTCGTCACAGAATGACAGAAGTGCCCTTGGGCTCTAAGTGAACATTGGCAGCAGCGTGGTAGAACTCCCATGGGACCGTGGTATTGGTGGCCAAAAGGAGAGTCTCCTTTTCCTGTGGAAAGGGGAGAGAAGAGCAGAAAGGACCCAGTATTGTGGTTTGAGTGCCAGGTTAGTCACATTAGAATAGAACATCAGGTAAAATTCTAAGGTTTTTGACTCTAATCCCTGGCTCACAGATAGCATCTCTGGACCTGCTCAGGGTCTGGGGGAACTTACTGCTCTGAAGGGAAGGACAGAAACCTGGCTGGCTTTGTCACCTACTGATTATGAAGTCCTAGGGCCTTGAGTGAACACAGGTAAGCAGGTAGCGACTGCAGTGGGCTTGAGAGAAACCCAGTGTTGTGTTGACATCAGGACTAATCCAGTGCAGTTCCAGTGGTGGTAGCCACAGGGATGCTAATATCACCACATCCCCAGTTCCAGGCTGCTCAGTATATAGAGAGAGACTCTGTTTGTTTGGGAGAAAGTAAGGTAAAAGAACAAGAGTCTTTGCCTGGTAATCTGGAGAATTCTTCCAGATCTTATCCAAGACCACCAAGGCAGTACCTCTACAAGTCTGCAAGAAACGAAGTGTTATTGGGCTTAAGGTCCAATTCCCTTGGAATGCCTGGGAAGCCTCCTCAAGGAGGACACACACAAACAAGCCCAGACTGCAAAGACTAAAACAAATACCTAACTCTTCAATGTCCAGATATTGACGAACATCTAAAAGCATCAAGATCATCCAGGAAAAAATGACCCCACCAAATGAACTAAAATAAGGCATCAGAGACCAAGCGTGGAGAAACAAGAGATATGTGAACTTTCAAACAGAGAATTCAAAATTGCTGTGGTAGGGGAGCTCAAAAGAAATTCAAAATAAGAGAAGGAATTCAGAATTTTATCAGATAAATTTAACAGAGAGATTTAAATAATTAAGAAGAATGAAACAGAAATTCTGGAGTTTAAAAATTCAATTGGCATACTGACAAATACATCAGTCTCATATTAGTAGAGCTGACCAAGTAAAAGAAAGAATTAGTAAACTTGAAGGCAAGCTATTTGAAAACACAGAGTCAGGGGAAGGAGATAAAAGAAAAATGAGAATAAAGAAGAATGAAGCATGCCTATAAAACCTAAAAAATAGCCTCGAAAGGGCAAATTTAAGACAAAGAGATAGTGGTAGAAAGTTTATTCAAAGGGATAATATCAGAGAACTTACAAAACTTAGAGAAAGATCAATATTCAAGTACAAGAAGGTTAGAGACCACCAAGCAGATTTAACCCAAAGAAGACATTTAAGATATTTCATAATCAAACTCCTAAAGGTCAAGGATAAAGAAAAGATCCTAAAAGCAGCAAGAGAAAAGAAACAACATACAATGGACCTCCAATATATCTGGAAATGTTACAGGTCACGAGAGAGTGGCATGACATATTTCAAGTGCTGCAGGGAAAAAAAAAAAGAAAAACAACAAAAAAACTTTACCCTAGAATAGTACATACGATGAAACTATCCTTCAAGTATGAAGAGAAATAAAAACCTTAGACAAACAAAAGCTGAAGGATTTCAACAACACTAGACCTGTCCTACAAGAAATAGTAAAGTGAGTTCTTCAATCTGAAATAAAAGGATGTTCGTGAGCAAGAAGAAATCATCTGATGTTACAAAACTCACTGGTAATAGTAAGCACGCAGAAAAACAGAGACTATTGTAACACTGTAATGGTGTTGTGTAAACTACTCTTATCTTAAGTAGAGAGTCTAAATTATGAACCAATCGAAAATAATAACTACAGCAACTTTTTAAGACAAAGACAGTACAATAAGACATAAAGAGAAACAACTAAAAGTTAAAAAGCAGGGGAGATAAAGTTAAAGTGTAGAGTTTTTATTAGTTTTCTTTTGCATGTGTGCTTGTTCATGCCATCAGTACTAAGCTGTCATTAGTTTAAAATAATGGGCTATAAGAAGGTATTTGCAAGCCTCATCATGGTAACCTTTTACCAAAAAGGATACAAATGGAGACACAAAAACTAAGAAGAAATTAACATACCACCAAAGAAAATCATCTTCACTAAAAGAAAGACAGAAGGAATTAAAGAATGAGATCACAAAACAATTAGAAAACAAATAACAAAACGGCAGAAGGCAGTCCCTACTTGTCAATAACAACATTCAATGTAAATGGACTATGGACTAAACTCTACAATAAAAACACACACAGTGGCTGAAGGGATGAAAAAACAATGCCCACTTATCTGTTGCCTACAAGAAACATATTTCACCAATAAAAATATATACAGACTGAAAATAAAGGGATGGAAAAAGACATTCCATGCCAATGAAAACAAAAAAAAAATTGGGAGTAGCTATACTTAGACAAAATAGATGTCAAAACAAAAACTGTAAGGACAGACAAAGAAGATCATTATATAATGATAATGCAGTCAATGCAGCAAGAGGATACAATGATTGTGAGTATATATGTACCCATCACTGGAGCACTGAGATACATAAAGCAAATATTAGAACTAAAGAGAGAGCGAGATCTCAAGACGATAATGGCTGGAGACTTCAACACCCTACTTTCAGCATTGAACAGACAGATCTTCCAGAAAGAAAATCACCAAAGAAACACTGGATTTAATCTGCACTAAAGACCAAACGGACCTAATAGATATTTACCGAACATTTCATCTAATGGCTGCAGAATACACATTCTTCTCCTCAGCATATGGATCATTCTGTAGGATATTCCATATGTTAGGTTCACAAAACAAGTCTTAAAACATTCAAGAAATTGAAATAATATCAAGCATCTTCTATGACCAGAGTAGAATAAAACTGGAAATCAATAACAAGAGGAATTTTGGAAACTATACAAACATATGAAAATTAAACAATATGCTCCTGAATGTCCAGTGGGTTAATGAAAAAATTAAGAAGAAAATTGAAAAATTTCTTGAAACAAATGATAATGGGGCCAGGTGTGGTGGCTCACGCCTTGTAATCCCAGCCCTTCGGGAGGCCAAGGTGGACGGAACACCTGAGGTCAGGAGTTCGAGACCAGTTTGGCCAACAAACATGCGAAAAATATAAAAATTAGCTGGGCACGGTGGCAAGCGCCTGTAATCCCAGCTTCTTGGGAGGCTTGAGGCAGGAGAATCACTTGAACTTGGGAGGCAGAGGTTGCAGTGAGCTGAGATCGGGCCACGCTGCACTCCAGCCTGGGTGACAGAGTGAGACTCTGTCTCAAAAATAAATAAATAAATAAAAATAAAAAATAAAATAAAAATAAAAAATTGCTCACTAGCAATTGGGAGCAGGGTTGGGTCGGAGTTAAGACTCCTAAGGAAATAGTTGTGTGCACAGATATGTCTTTTATTCCCTCCTGAAATCCCATTAAAATGACAAAAATGGGATTGCACACACACACACACACACACAAGCCTGAAAACGAGAAAGCAGATGGATGAGAGGCAAGTGTATTAGGCTTGGGAAACTTGAATTCTAAGTGGTGAGTGGGGAAAGCTGAAAACTACCCCAATCTATCCACTGAAGTGCCCAAGGCTGAAGAAATTTAGCACCAGGCATCCCTGGACGTGAGGATGAAGGATTGCTTCAAGTCTCTAAAATGCAGTTACATGCCCAGATCCTGCCCGCCAGCCACCAGTTTCTATGTAACTAAGCCACTCTTCCTCCCAGCCCTTGCAAAATCCCGGATGCTTAGTCTCTGGAGAGGATAAATTAGGATTCTGAACTGGCAGAGACAGGAAAATTTGTGGGCAAGGGTATTCTACTAAAACCTTTGAAGGATTAAGTGAAATTGTGCAAACTAAATTCTGAGACCTCAGCTGTCGTCTCCTACTTGGCTACATAACATTTGGCAGTTGGGTTTTCACCTCCAGGAAAGAGATCAGAAGACCATTCTCCAGGGAATCTGATAAGCCCCAGAAGACAAGCCTACAAAATAACCCCCATTGGTCCCCTTGGACAGCAATTGACAAGTTGCACTCATATGCTCAGGGATGTCAATCTGCTTTGAGTTTCCCAGTCTTAAATACAGCACATAATCAAGATTACCAGACACCAAGAAAAGCTGCCAAATAGAAAAGAGAGACTAAAATAAATAGAGGAAAAGACAGCAAAGAGAGATTACATAGCGAAAAAAAAAAACTTCACAGGAGTTCCAAATGTACAGAGCATACAAAGTACAGGGAATGTCTCTGAAGTAATTTAGAAAGCATGAGTTTATAGATGGAAAGAATCCCCAAGAGAGCCCAGTACAATGGCTAAAACAGATCCACACCTGGATGCTTCATCTAAACATTTTAGAATACGAGAAAAAATAAAGATTCTAAAAACTTCCAGGAAGAGAAAAACCAGGAATTCTAAGGGCTTTGGAATTTTCTTTTTTTTTTTTTTTTTTTTTTTTTTTGAGACGGAGTCTCGCTCTGTCGCCCAGGATAGAGTGCAGTGGCGTGATCTCTGCTCACTGCAAGCTCCCCGTCCCGGGTTCACACCATTCTCCTGCCTCAGCCTCCCGAGTAGCTGGGACTACAGGTGCCCGCCGCCATGTCTGGCTAATTTTTTTGTGTTTTTAGTAGAGATGGGGTTTCACTGTGTTAGCCAGGATGGTGTCGATCTCCTGACCTCGTGATCCGCCCGCCTCAGCCTCCCAACGTGCTGGGATTACAGGCATGAGCACCGCGCCCAGCCAAGGCTTCAGAATTCTCTATAGTAACATTTGGAATTAAAAAGAACAGACTATGGCTTCTAAATTCTGAAGTAAATGATTTCCAATCCAGAATTCTCACTAGCCTAACTATAAATTATATGTAAGGGCGATAAAAGACTTTCAGTCATTTAGATCTCAAAAGACCTCCTCAGTACCTTTTCTCTGAAAGCTAAGGGAGAAGAGACGCTACGCAAAAATGAAGAGCATTAACCAGGAGAGAAGGCCACAGGAGATGGGAGACAGCATGCAGGATGCAGGAGACTGCACATAGCACAGAGGTAAAGGAATTCCTGGAACCAGGTGAATGGATATCCCAGGATGACAGGAAACTGCACCTAGCACAGAGGTAAAGGAATTCCCAGAAACTGGTGAATGGATATCCCAGGATGAAAACAGGCACCAAGTAGGTTAGAAGGAATTGGGAAGAGATTTCTTCCAAAAGATGAAGCGATGAAGTTCTGACAATTCTGAACACACTGAGAGGATGTTTAATTCTGGCAAAGAGCATGGAGCTTGTAAGTGATAACAGGAAAGTCAGCACGTTTTAAAATAATACAATAATTACCTCTAAGGCAAACAAAAGCTGTGCAAGAAAAGAAAGTTAAACACTCTGCAACACGGTTCAACTGTGTATAACACTGTCATAAATTTAATACCATTCACGCTGCCTATTCTCTAATTGGCATTATGGTATATCAATATTAGGAGAATGAGAAGGGAACCCATTTTGGCAGGGTAGGTGGGTGAGGCATGAAAAAAAAGCTAAAGTCTCATTTTCCATAGTAGGAATTCAACAGATAATATTTAAAACTGAATAATCAAGACAAAAAAATATAAGCATGTTATTTAGAGACATGAAAGAGAAGCTATAAAAAGTAGCTAAATGAGGTATAAGTGGTCACCTCTGAGAATATGAGGAATGAAGGCAGAAATCTCCTACTTTTAGTAAAAACTTACAGATACAACTGTTTGGTTCTCTAAAATGTGTACATGGTAAAACTGAAATCAAAGCCCCAAACCAAAACCAAACAGACAAAAAGGAAACAAACAGAATTAATCTATGGTAAATTCATATACTTTCCAACATATACTGAAGGAAAGGCTGGAGTGAAGAACTGACTTTCTATCAGTTTCCATACAGTACTTACTGCAGACTGAAAAGCAGTCTGAGCATCACTGCAAAGAGCAAGTGGACACGACTGGAAGTGTGAGGAGCCTGGAGGCAGCAAGGCTGAGAATAAACTCAAGCAACAGATAACTAGCAAATACACAAAAAGAGAAAAAGAAATCAAGACGATATACAGAGCAAGACATAATGTCTTTTCATCAACCAAAATTCATTTAAATGTCATGCTCTTTCTAGATTAATCCCTTCTGTACATTTAAGTGATGTAGGGTATTCTAGGTCAAGACTTTCTTGCTTTCTTTCCAAAAGGTACTTAATGTAAAAAATAGGCTTTTTAATTACAGTGAACATTCATCAACACAATGGGATCTTAAATATATAAGCCTTCCTTTCAACAGATTTACCCTTGAATTTTACCATTCACTAAATGTGAGCACAAAATACATCTAAAATAAGGCACAAGAGTTCCTCATTTGCATTACTACTTTTAGATATCAGATCAAATATAAGGAGCAAAATTAATTCATTATCTCAACTGATTAATATATCAATTATAGACAAAATCTACTACATATAGAGAGATTTTTATTGATCTTGTTATCTATATGTATTTGCAAATAAAACATATTGAGCACAGTAGGCCCCTTTATCCTTGAGGGATCCATTCCAACACCCCCAGTGGATACCTAAAACCATGAATAGTACCCAACTCCATATATTCTAAGTTTTATTCCTATAAATATGTAACTACAATAAAGTTTAATTATAAATTAGGCAGGTAGGAGACTAACAATAATAATAACAGAATAGTATAATAAAAATTATGTGATTGTGGCCTCTCTGTCTCTCTCTCTAAAATATCTTACTACAATGCACTCATCCTTCTTCGTCTTGTGATTCATCAGTCTGATAACCAAGATTGCTATACTAAGTGATGAATGGGCACGTATCATATGCAGCATGGGTAAGCTAGACATAGCATGATTCACGTCCTGAGGGGAGACAGAGCATATTTCATCATACTACTCAGAATGGCATGCAATTTAAGACGTTAAGTATTGTGTATTTCTGGAATTTTCCATTTAATATTTCTGGACTACAGTCAACCATGAGTAACTGAAGCTATAAAAGGCAAAACTACAGATAAGAGGAGACTACTGTATCTTCATAAACTAGGGAAGGTAAAATCTCTGCTAAGTCAAATGTGTTCAGTATTTTATGGACAAAAGACAGCTGAATATTTCTTAGAAAATGCTCAAAGTCTGAAACCACCTCAAAATGGACTTAGAAAAAAACACTTACACATGACTTAAGATGTAAGTATGAATACTTTCAACATGTATCCCCTATGGGATACTGCTATAAAGCACCATTTAAAAGATAACTCTGACCAGACATTTAACTGAAGTTCCAATACAGTGATTTGTTAGGAGGATGGAGATTTTAGAGGCAGCTGAAACTTAGTAATAATGTAATAAAAGCCTATCATTTTGCACTTGAAGAACTGAATCCCAAGAAGTTAAGTGATTTGCCTAAGGTCCCATATCAAATGTTTTTTGAGTATGATTTTACAGAAAACTTAGACCTTTGAAAGACATCAATTTTAGAATATAATTTCTTCAGATAATTTAAAGACTGTAATTTACTTTGCTTCATACAGCACCTGGCCCAAACCACAGCCTCCATGGACATATAGTAAGCTACATTTATTACTTATCAAAACGTGTTGCTGTTGAATGTATTCTAATAATATTTTAATTCACATATCCTATTTCTATAAGGCAAAGAAAACAGTGTTTGTAATTTAATAGGCCCATTAACTGTCCCAACTTACATTAGGTACACATTTTGTCATGAGTGTGCCAGGAGTATACTTCCTCTCTTCACTTTCTTTGTCTTAAACTTGCCTGTGCCTTTCTAACAGATGTCATGTATCCAAATTCTACTGCTTACACGAACACAAAGAGTATGATTTATTAGGAAACATGGTTTAAATAATTGGTTAATGTATCCATACCCTCACAAAATACGTGATTTGTAATTTAGAGAAATAAAGAGGAAAATTAGCTAGTCATTAGGAAAATCATTGAGATATTCTGTGACTGTAGGCTATCTCATTTTCTTTGTCCAAAAAGGTAACAAAAAAATTATAAACAAAAGCTTTTATAATGAATAATATTACAAAGTATTAGGTAAAAATAAGGGCAAGGTAAATTTCACAAATTCCTCTAGCACAGATTTTTTTTTTCCTGCGTATACTATTATAAACTGATTCATTACCCTACATGGATCCATATGCATCATGAGTCTCATCAGAGACCCTTCAAACACAGCACCACAAACAACATTAAAGAGTTGGGAAATAAAATAGCCCTGGCTTTGCCTGGCTGGAAGTCTTTAAATTTCCCAGGTCCAGGAGGATTGGTTGCAGGACACCCACAGTCATCCATGCAGAGCCAGGCTCCCACACCTATTGCCATTTTGGCCTCAGCAGGGAGGGCAGGGCCCAGCACACTGCCCTCACTGCACTCAGTCCTCTGAGTGAAGTCACTGAAATTCTCTGACGAGCCAAGTGTGTCAGCAAGAGCAAAAGCCTTTCCCCAAGCAGTACCGTGCTCCAACCAAAGCCAAAGTTGGGAAATTTATAATTAAATTACATAGGGGTTGTGGTTGGGAGACTTTTGAAAAGGTTTGAATTTTCCTCCTTACAACATTCTTTAAAGTGCAAAACTGGAGACTCAGTTAATCATTGGGAAATAAAGTCTGTTGTTCTGATGGGGAATGAGAAAACTGGGACAACGTCCAGTTTTTGTTTTCAACTAAGAAAATTTGAGTGAACTGACAGTGAGGTAGTAGGTACAGGAAAGCTATGGCCTCCCAAGAATAAGAGGCTTTTAGAGAAATGCTTTGAGGAACGCTTCTCCCCTAGAGCTCTATCCAGGCTTCTGAAGGCGCTGCTGGAGATGGATGAGAAAATGGGGGATGCCTTAACAGGCTTCTTATCTATGCTGGAAAGGTAACCAGATTTTGTAGCACAAGGGAGACAAAGTCCCCTGAGGACCCTGTGACACTCTCCACAGGACAGCTCCTGGGTGAACCAGGAAGCATTTTCTTCTTACTGGCAATCCTTTCTGCATCTCAACATCATCAAGCCTTGTGCCCAAAATGCACAAGCAGTCATACCAGAAATATCTGCATGATCATGACTCTCACAGGCAAAGAAGTGGGTAAAAATCTCCAAATTCTAAGCAACAAAGGGACTATAACAAATCAGCACAGGAACAATCTTCTAAGCAACAAAGGAATTATAACAAACCAGCACACAGACAATCTTCTATCTTTGCCAAACGTGGCTGGCTGATTGGGAAGCTGAAGCAAATTCTTCAATCAACAATTCTACTACTTTTCTGCCTTTCAGTGAGAAGACAAAAATCATAAAACCACATGATTAAAAAGAATAATTCTAAATACTGAAAAATCTAAAAATATTCCTATTTGTAAAAAACAATGTACAACTTTAACTTAGTAAACACACAGTTTTTAAAAAATTACTCATCTACTTATAAAATAATACTTTAGTGATTTTAGAATGTTTTCTGATTAACAAAATTCTTGATTCACATTTTAGACTGTAAACATAATTTTATAAGATAAAACAGGCAACAGGGCTTGGAAAGGGGGCATTTTCTTCCAAATGTGCCAGACAAGTCCACTTACCTATACATGTAACCAACCCCAAAAATCTGTGGTCCATTTCTAGAAATCAAATGTCACTTAGAATATATTTTCAGAGACGTAGATATATCTTTAAAATTACAATAAATTTTGAACCATAACTGCATTTCTGAAATATATCCATTTTGGTCATGATATGAAACACTGTTTTGATCAACTGTTAGATTTAGATTAGTAATATTTCACTTCAAATCTTTACATCATATTCACTGAAGAAACTGGTCAACATAAGCGGGTGGGGCTAAGGAGGAGATAGTTAATTTAACTTTATAAACTTTTGTATCATTTAAACAGTCATAATAAGCATTACTATTTCTTAATTTAAATGACTGAGACAGTTTTTAACAAGACCATGACTGAAAGTCAATTTATTTAAACGCTAAATAAAGTTTTTGAAAAACCAAGAAATGACGTACCTGAAGGATTACATCACTAAGTTGTTCTAGAGATTTCTGATTTTCCTGAGAGTCATCAAGAAGTGAAGCCACTGTTGGACTACAGCATAAATGTGTTTTGCTCTTAGCCTGGAGATGCCCTTTTGCTTCTTCGGTCAAGAGAACAGAAAGGAATTGCAAGCTGGCAGTATACAGGGCAGGACACGTGGCAGACAAGCCTGCACATGTGCAGAACATATCTAAAGGAATAATTTCAGATGTGAATGTTTGAAAATTTCTTCAAAATTCAACAAAAAGGAAATCAAGTTGATTTTAAAGTAACTATACTCTGGATCATCTAGATTACCAACTTGTGTGATTGTGTTGCAACTGTTAAAGGAGCTGGTGCCAACCAGAACTTAAAAGCAAGACTTAGTATGCAGTGTTGGCACAATGTACAAACAAATATTTCATAGCAGTTCAGACAGCACATGAGTGGTCATGAACTGATTCACAAACTTAATACAGAGTGGAAAGAACAGACCAAACTGAAAGGAATTTACACTGAAACAGTCATTATTAATTTCCTGTTGTGAGAACTGATTTTGTTTAATCAAAATTACATGTGTTGTTTTACATTTTATAAACTTGAAAAATTGGATTTATAATTTTGTTTGATTTTATATTTTAGATTTATGCTTGTGTGATAATTATAACCATAAAAATTTTTACTTAGATTTTGGCTTGTACAAATTAAAGTTACATAAGAAAAATAAAGTAGTCAGCAGTAGGGTTTCATGAGAATTATGTTCATTTAAATGATGTCCAAATATTAGTCAAGTTCGAGAAAAGACTCTTATAGATAACACAAGTTACGGAGTGACCACGACATGTTTTAAATGTATATGGGCATATGAGATGGCAATTGATTTAAAAAAATAAAAATAAACAAAAATAAAACCATGGCAAAAAAAATGATAATTGTTATTAATGTTTTCATTAACATTACTATTATGAAAACCATTTATGCAGTAAGTTACTTTTGATTAGTACTATTATTACATAAAACTGTACACATATTTTGAAGGAAGGTTTTGAATTTAATATGTATTTATTTTATCACTAAAGAAATAGTGTTAGATAAATAAGTTTAAGTCAGAGGTCAGCAAACTTTTTCTGTAAAGGTCCAAGTAGTAAGTATTTTATACTCTGCAGGTAACTGGCTTTTTCACAACTATTCACCTCAACTTTTGTAGCATGAAAGCAGCCATATGCAATATGTAAGTGAGTGTGGCTATGTTCCAATAAAACTTTATTTACCAAAACAAGCTGCAGGCCAGATTTATCTAATGTGGGTAGCATCATGCTTTCTATTGATATTATTGGTGATTCAGGTGATAAACTAATTTTCCCCCAATAAATACAAGAAGAAAATCCCAATGTCTTAATCAGTCAATCTCTTTCAATTATTATATTTTAAACAAAATAATGATATCCTACGTGGACACTGTACTCCATGGTAGACTCAGAACTCCTACATCCAGAAAATTAACAATTCTGTTCCTTGTTAAACATGCATTTGCCATAATTCTTACTATCGCTTTGGTTAAAAATTGTATCATGCATTTAAGTTTACTGAATGATCAAATGATAAAATAAATGTTAAAAAAAATCGGTCAGTTGAATTAGCAGGTACTTTGGAAGCTTAAAATAACTCAATTTTGAGTACATTTAAGTAGGTTGTTTAAAAAGGTTACATAAATGTCAGTTATGAATATTTATGTTAAAAAACAGCTTTTTTCTATGCTAAAATTTAGGAGGCTTCATGAAAAATTAAAGATTAGTTATTTTAAAATAATCATGTTTATTTTAGTGGGCAACTATCATGAAAAACATAAAAATAATTATACTATACTCTTGGCATTTCTGTACTATAAGAAAATTCTGATGTGATGAGAAAGTTATTTGTATCCTAACTTTCCATGTTATCATGTATACCAGATTTTATATATGAAGATGTATCCACATACAATGTACATATGTCAGAAAGGATACTGGTTTCTATACCAACACAGTAAAATTTATCTCATTGTTTTATAATCATATCATATGTACCTTTATAAAACCACAGGCTTACAACTGACAAATGGGATCTAAACTAAAGAGCGTCTGCATAGCAAAACAAACTATCATCAGAGTGAACAGGCAACCTACACAATGGGAGAAAATTTTTGTAATCTATCCATCTGACAAAGGTCTAACATCCAGAATCTACAAGGAACTTAAACAAATTTACAAGAAAAAAACAAACAACCGCATCAAAAAGTGGGCGAAGGATACGAACAGACACTTCTCAAAAGATGACATTTATGCGGCCGACAAACATGAAAAAAAACCCATCATCACTGGTCATTAGAGAAATGCAAATCAAAACCACAATGAGATACCATCTCAGGCCAGTTAGAATGGTGATTATTCAAAAGTCAGGAAACAACAGATGCTGGCGAGGATGTGGAGAAAATGGGAACACTTTTACACTGCTGGTGGGAGTATAAGTTAGTTTAACCATTGTGGAAGACAGTGTGGCAATTCCTCAAGCATCTAGAACCAGAAATACCATTTGACCCAACAATCCCATTACTGGGTATATACCTAAAGTTTTATAAATCATCCTACTGTAAAGACAAATGCACACATATGTTTACTGTGGCACTGTTCACAATAGCAAAGACTTGGAACCAACCCAATGCCCATCAATGACACAGTGGATAAAGAAAATGCAGCACATATACACCATGGAACATTATGCAGCCATAAAAAAAGAATGAGTTCATGTCCTTTCAGGTACACGGATGAAGCTGGAAGCCATCATTCTCAGCAAACTAACACAGGAACAGAAAACCAAACACTGTGTGTTCTCATTCACAAGTGAGAGATGAACAATGAGAACACATGGACACAGGGTAGGGAACATCACACACCGTGTCGGGGGATGAGAAGCAAGGGGAGGGAGAGCATTAGGACAAATACCTAATGCATGTGGGGCTTAAAACCTAGATGATCGGTTGATAGGTGCAGCAAACCACCATGGCACATGTATTCCTATGTAAAAAACCTGCACGTTCTGCACATGTATCCCAGAACTTAAAGTAAAATTTAAAAAAACCAACAGTGGCCAATATAATGTTCTCAATAAAACAGAGCTTCAGGGATGACATCTTTAAAAAGCTTAAAAAATAATAAAACCACAGGCTTTCCTAACTCGCTTTTATGTTATCTCAAAATGTGTTTCAATTTTTCAAAAATGCATTTTTGGGGGGCTCAAGAACACTGCAAATTTTTCAAAGCAAGCACCCTGATACCTCTTTTATATGCCATGCTATAATTACTTAACTTTAGTGAATTTACATACCTAAACAGGCAGAATCATTATCTCGTTTTATTAGCAGAAAGCCCCCAAGATTATGCAAGTATCTTCTTACCAATCGCCGCTGTCCAGTGCTTGGCCAGGGCCACGGTAACAAACGGGAGTGTGATGGCACCAGCTTTCCTCAGGAGCATGGCCAGAAGATTAAATAAATGTGTCCATGTGTGATAAAAAGCTGATATTAACTCTTTATCTATAAAATTAATCAAAACACTTCAAGTTATTAACACAAAGAAGGAAAAGAACCTTTCAAGATATAAAACTTACCACAGACGCTTCATTACACTTAAAATGAGGGGTGTGCACTTATCAAATGAAGACAAATCTAATTCAGCATTATCCAAAATTTATTTCAATTAACTTCTTTTCCATTGCTTCTTAAGATATCTCCCCTCCACCCTCCTGCATATAAAGCCACACTCACAAACTCTCCTCTTATTAAAGCATACTCAAGAACAATCAGAAGGTGTGACAAACTAAATATTAAGCCATGACTGCAGAACTACATATTGGCACATTATAAAAATATGTCATTGTTTGTGCTACTTTTGTCAGAGTAAGTTTTCCCCTATTTCCTTTATCCCCTCCAGCAGCTTTGGGCAGGGGTGAAAGGAAAGCACAGTGTGCCAAGGTCAAGGTAGAAAAGAAAGAATTTCTTTGAAGAACCAAGAAAAGTATCATCCCACAAAGAAAAGTATGACGCAAAAGAAGATTCTGCAGCTTTTCCTATGGCTAAGGATGTAGCAATTCTAGGATGAGGACCCATTTTCCCTTCTCTCCACTCAGGTAAATGGAAGCTGGAGAGCAGTCGCTGAGGACTCTCTCTGACCATGCCTTCAGGGGGATCTGTCATCTTTTATCTAATTCCACTATAATGTAAACTTTATAGGACGTTAACCCCGAGGAGATCCATCTAGGTGTACTTCAGCACCTATGAGATACTTGAAAACTGCACCTTCCCCAGGGCAATCCTTGGTGTTTCTCAACCCTTTTGTCATTAGTGGCTCTCTAAAGAGTTTATTTCAGAAAATGTTTCCTCATTGCCATCCCCACAAGATTTTAATTCCACACATATACTGTATATCTCTTTATGTACTATATGTATATCTGTACTTTGTACATAAAAAGGCTAAGTATAGAGCTTACTGTTTTTATTCAATACAGGCTTAAGAAGAGCCGAATAAAACATTTAAGCTGAAAATTAAATTAAAAATTAAAGACCTATTAATACCAAATTTAGCTTTGCACCTATACTTGCTGAATAACTTTTCATGTAATTTATTTACTTATATATATATATCATCACAATGTGTCAATTTACATACATAAATTAGCAATTCATATAAAAACAACAGCAATATAATAAATTCTTATAAAATCATTTAAAACTTATTTTTTTCAGAAAAAAATTTTAAAAACTTCTTTAAAAATATTCTTAGTGAACTTTTAAAACTTTTTGCTAGATATGAGAAAACAATTTTTAATTTAACCAGCTAATAGATATACATTCAGATATTGACATTTTTTCCTTTCAGCGCTTGATATAATTAATGATGGGTTAAACAACTTTTATGTAATTAAATATATACTACTTTCAATTAATTTTCAAAGCTCAAATCATACAGAAAAGCAAGAGGATCAATAAAAAGCATTCACAAGGCAGCCAATAGCAGCCAAGATACACAGACCACCTTTTGCTATATGACCTTGGGATCAAACAATCAACCAAAGGTCCTCCAGCTGCTGTCATCTATTCACCACAGTTTTGTGGCACTAGTCTTGCATACATCTTGTGTATCTTCCATGAACTCAACGTCAATGCTTCTCAAGGAATTCTCAAGAAAAACCAGGAAGAGAAATAGTAATAAGATTGTCTCAGGTAGAGTTGAGCTTTGGAAGCCTACAAACTATTTTAATTTCTAAGATGTTTTTGCCTCACCCTCTTCTCCCCAGAATCAATGTTCACTCCTTAGAGACTGGGGGTGATATCACCTTGTTGAGCTTGTCCAGTCTAACCTAATAAGCTTAGTTAGGGTATCACTGCCACTTGTTGAATTTCTAAGGAATTACTATTCCTTTAACATCGAGATCATTTTAACACTGATGAGATGCTGAGAACTGGCTTTGCTGGGTATCATAACACACTTCATTTTCCAGACCTAAAACCAAGTAAATCCATAGTTCAAATAAAACTGAAAGGCAAAGAGAATTACCAAATGGTCAATTACTTCATTATAAATGATTGTTTTCATTTTCAAAACAATTATATTAGATTTTGACAAAGATCCTACTTTGCTTTAATTTTCTCCACTAAGCATTACATTCAACTTTTCATCATAGAATATTTTCCCCTGGAGATAACATTAGATCACAAAATATATATACATTTCAATAATTTAGGACCTTAGGAAATTTGTGATATATTCTAGATTGGCTTATACTTGTTATTGGGAATGTTTTATTAAGCTTTTGGCCTTAGCCATAGTTTATAAGAATAGTTAATACCCAGAACTCACTGTACTTTCTAACATCACACAGAGAGCTTTGCCCTCATTTAAACTGAAAACTCAAGGGTAGTCCTTTATTATACTACACACTTGTCTTAATTGGTACCATTAAAAGGCATCCAAACTATAAAACACATTATCAAAGCCTTCCAAAATACTAGCAAAAAGAAACTCAAAAAGTAACCTTCAAGTGAATATCTGAAACAGAGTAAGTTTTTTTTCCTCAGTATTATTCACTTACATTCTAAACTAAAACAATTAAGCTTACCTAATACATCTTTGGTACATATGGTGAGAATTCCAATGATATTGGTGATAAGAGGTTTCACAAGCTCATCCTGAATCACAAGGTCAGGCTCCACCAATAAACATGACTGCAGAAGCCTGGACAAAGAGGATAGGTATTCCAGGAGAAAGGAAACCTGTTTGAAAAGGAGACAGGGTCAAATCAAACATGCCATATAAAAAGCCCATCTCAGTGATACAGCATTTTACTTTTGTAACACAATAAAAAATAAAATATTAACCATAATTTTTCAAGATCTGAAATTAACACATAGCAGACAAAGCATTATTTTTCTCATAAGCATGTCATTAACAGCCATATTAATACTGTCAACTATACACCAAACAAAGCAATGTTTTCAAAGTCAAGTTTTGAATTCCATTTAAAGAAGTAAAGTCTTGGCCAGGTGTGGTAGCTAACACACCTGTAATGCCAGTCCTTTGAGAGGCCAAGGTGGGCAGATGGCTTGAGCCCAGGAGTTTGAGACCAGCCTGGGCAATACGGTGAGATCCTGTTTCCACAAAAAATATAAAAATTAGCCGGGCCTGCAGTCCCAGCTACTTGGGAGGCTGAGATGGGAGGACCACTTAAGCCCAGAAGGTAGAGGCTATAGTGAGCTGTGATCACACCACTGAACTCCAGCCTGGGTGACAGAGTAAAACCCTGTTTCAAAAGAAAAAAAAAAGTCCCATATTTTTCAAGTAGTCAAATTATGAAATCAATATTATGGAAGAAGTGGAAAAGTGTATAACAAAGCCATAAAGTCTATAATTTTGTAAAGAAAGAAAGATTACAAAAACACCCTTCAAAGTGCATAAGCAGGGGTGGGGGGAAGCTAGCCTAGTTATTGCTACAAATAAAATGCAAATATGTTCTATTTTTGCCCTCAGCATAAAATTACTATTATTAATTATAAAAGAAAAAATTAAATCATCTTCAATATTACCAACAAAACCATCTCTGGAATTTGCCTGATGCTAATATTGTTAAGTATTAACTGGCAAAAGTACTTTTCAGAAAAATAATCCTCTGAATATGTAACAATTAAAGAATGAGCTGTGATGTCTCATTTGTCCACTACCCTCAAGCAATGAGCCAGTTACATATAAGTGAATTTTATAAAGATATTCTGAAATCAGTCATTCTCTCTCTCTGTACACACACACACATACACACACACACACACACTTTTTTTCCTCTCACCTTATTCTGGGGTTGTAAGAGTGTAATGAAGAGTCGAGAGCCTGTTGTAAATTTGTGGAGTATGTGTCTCTGAGGTCAATGGTCTCAGACTATTTACAAATAGTTCTGCCCTACTTCTCCTGATGAATACGTCCTCCCTTTATCTAATCTGCCAACTTACTTTATATAAAAGTGTAGGTGGCTCCAGGCTTCACAAACTCTTCAGTTTGTGAAATTTAATTTGTTTACTGCCGTGAAGTCTTGAGACTTCATATTACATTCATACTCTACACTACTGAAATTATAGCAAGTCTGACCTCTGGATGTATGAAATATTACCATAAATAGATAAACCATGCCAGGTGAGGCAAGAAGAAGTGTTATAGAGAAAACGCTGAATTGCTAAAGATTCTTTTGTATATGATCACATTCAAGATTAAATAAAATATTCATATCTTAAGAGTAGTTGATAAAGTAACTCTTTTTCTATGTATGGCCCTCTTAAAAAAAAATACCAACCAACTGACCACAGACTTTAATCCATCATACCTTTAGCAGAGTATCACCCCACCAGCAGGGCTCTGGCCACCCCATCTGCCGCAGGCACTCGCAGCCTGCTCCCTCACCTCCCCAGCTTTCTGCTTAAGTGTCACCTTCAGGAGGCCCCTCCCCTTTCTGACACACCCTTTTACCCATCCTCAATTGCTTTTTTCCATACCATTTGTGACTATCTGATACAATGCATTTTATTTACTTGTTCACTGTCTGTCTCCTGCATTTATGGCACAGACTCTACGTGAGGAGAGATGCTCATCTGCTTTGTTCAAGGATATATCACTAGCACCTAGAACAGAATCTGGTAAAGCAGAGGCTCAAGAATTTTCTGAAATGAGTGAATGATCTTATATAAATACCAAGAGCCCAGAAGCATTTAATCTACATAAGGCCAGCTGGTGCAGTGGTTAAGAATGTGGGCCCTGGAACTGACCTGCATAGGTTGGAATCTATGTCAGAGACCTTGGACAAGTCACTCATCTCTCTGGGCCTCAGGCATTTCCTTTATAAAATGACATTAATGATAACTTCATGATTCTTGTGAAGATTACATGAATTAACAAAAACAAATGCCCATAAATGTTTGCTACTGCTATTATTCATTCATCCCACAAGTATCAAGTGAGCACCTGTCATGAGACAAGCCCTATGCCAGACACTCAGAACACAATGGAACATAACAGCCAGCAAGGTCCTGACTTCATGGAGCTGACTGTGCCCCTCTGGCCTCATCTTGCCCTCATAGATTCTGCTCCAGCGACTCCACCCTCCTTGCTGTTTCTTGGATAGGCCAAGCATACCCCAACCTCAGGGGTCTTGCAATGACCATAGGACTAGCTTCTTCACTAACTTTGGGTCCCACGACACTGCCTAATCATCCTAAGTGGAATAGCCCTACCCTTCCAACTCTGACATCACTTCCTGTCCCCTGCTTTAGTTTTTCTTCTGAGATGTCTATCATCTTCAGGCATATATGGATTTTCTAATTATCTATTCTCCCAACTTGAGGGAAGGGTCTTTGTTTTATTCACTTGGAGAAGATTCAGGCACACAGCAAGTACTCAACAAAGATTTGCTGGATGGAGAGCAGAAAAATGGAGGAGACAGTCATTATGCAATAGGCATGCTCAGGTGAAAACACTGCACCAGGACAACAGCTTCAAAGACCATGCGTGTAGCATTCCCAAACTTTGTAATGGGGTCTGTCTTATTCAGCTCAAAGAACACATCTCAAAGCAAGAGATATTGGTCTACTTCACCTTTAATTCATCACCTCCTAAATAAATCTTGTAGCCCTTCTTAAAATTTGATTTTGAAATAAAATTTCTGTTAGCAACAGCTACATGAATAATTGTTAAGCATGTTTTATAAATAGATTCTAGCTATAGGCAAGAATTTAAAACTAAATATCTGTGAAGGAACAAGAATAAATCATTTTTATCAAATTGGGTTTTGAAAATACACATAACTTAGCCACCAAATATTTTAACAACTTTAACTTTGGTGTAAATAACAGAGATAGCCTAAAATCACAGAAGCAGGAAGTGAACTATACCAATGTCCCTCTTTATTATTAAAGTGGTGCTCCAAGATATCCAGACACTTGATCATACATTTAAAGCTGGTTAATGATGGAGTCAAGAATAGAATCTAGGTCTTCAAACCCCACCTCTCTTTTCTAACATCCAGACATGTCCCATATTAAAATTTCAAGTAACGTATTTCGAATAATCTCATCATACCATGTATATTTTGAGAGGTTTTCATCCTTTTCCTATGACTAGTATCTCCTCAGCAAGATTTTTATTTTTGACACCTAACGTAAACAAACCCACAAACAGACTTGAGATGCTTACCTGAGCCTGAGTGTGTTCAGCTGGAGGTGATGAAGGCAGCAGGGCTCTGAGTTCCTGGACACATGTCTGTATGAGGGTAGCATCTGCAATGCTGTGACGATCAGAAAAAGAAAATCCTTCAGAAGATTAGTATACTTTTTATTAAAGATTAAGAAATCAGAATTTGAAGTTTAAAGGTAACTCGAATACAATTCAAGAGAAAGGATCTTTATAAGCAAAGAAAATGTTTATAAAAAGATATCTCAAAGAATTTCAAATTGTATCCTGGGTTACCTTCAAACAGGAAAATATCTTGTCAGAGAAAAGTGAGAAGCAAAGAGCTGTGAAGAAAATATCTAAGGAAACCTAATTAAAAGCAGAATAAAATATAATACAGCCCATGAGTAACAGGAAACTTGGTGGTTATTTTCCTAATAAAATAGCAAAAATACTGGCTAAAATAGCAAGAACACTGTTCATATTTAGAAAGTAAAAAACAAAATAAAGTAAAACAGGCCGGGTGCGGTGGCTCACGCCTGTAATCCCAGCACTTTGGGAGGCCAAGGTGGGTGGATCACCTGGGGTCAGGAGTTCAAGACCAGCCTGGTGAACATGGTGAAACCCCGTCTCTACTAAAGGTACCAAAAATTAGCTGGGTGTAGTGGCAGATGCCTGTAATCCCAGCTACTCAGGAGGTTGAGACAGGAGAATCGCTTGAACCCAGGAGGCGGAGGTTGCAGTGAGCCGAGATCGCGCCACTGCATTCCAGCCTGGGCAATAAGAGTGAAACTCCGTCTCAAAATAAATAAAAATAAAAAAATAAAAATAAAGTAAAACAAGTAGGATTTTTTTAAAGTCAAAAATGAAAAACAGGTACGGAAATATGATAAGCCTTTGCCATAAAAGGTCTTTTAATGCCCCTGTGGCCTCAATGCCACATCAGACTCTTAGCTGACTCGTAAGAAGCAAAGAAGATCCTATCCCTAGAGCTCTATTTTGGTCATCTTCAGGCAGGAGCATCCAGGAAGGAAAGCCAACTGACTAGCAGTTACTTTTCCAATCCGAGTAGGTACAGTAAAAAAATGATCAATAAATATTAAAGCCAGAACAAACTCATACTCCATTGCGTATCATACATGTTAAAGGAATAATTACAATTGAATGAGGTGAAACAAGGAATACTTCTTTTAGAGTTTATATTTTCTAGAGTTTTCTTAATATCCCAGAAAGAAAGAGAAGACACTATGATTTGGCAAGAAGATGCAAGACATTTCAGATGGTGTATGTTCAAAGGTAAAGGGACAGAGAGACAGAGAAATGCAAATAAACATGTGGTCAAAAGGAGGTGGGTATGGTTGGCTAGAATAAACTGAACACCAGAAGAAAAGAGAAGTAATACTTAAGGGGGTATCCTAGATACCATCACTTTTAATTCTCACACTAACCCCATTAAATAGGTGTTAATGACACAGTAGGGAGTAATTTCCCAAGGCTGCAAGCTACTGAGTGAATGAACTATAATTAGACCTTAGGTCAACCTGAATTCAATATCTAGTCCTTTTCTACTATACCTTCCTAGAAATTCAGAAAAATTATGTTACAGACTGATTAATATCAAATAAGTAATAAAAATTCAAATAATTTTTCTTTGAATTTAATTTCCCTAAATTTTATCAGAATACTTTTTGATGAAAAGTTTAATTTCCCTTAACAAAATAACTCCAAATGAATTTAACCAATAATTTTTCAACCCAGGGACATTATTCTGATATGACCACTAAAAAGATGAATTCCCAAAGTCCCTCACATCCATTAAGAACAGGGGATAGCACCATATTCCTTAAGTGTGCTGGAGGATAAATAAGGTTTAGAATCCATGAATTTTAGAAAGCAGGAGTTTTTCTTTGGCCTTAATAGTCAAGATAACAAACTAATACAAGTGCTTTAATAGATGTAAAATAAAAACCACCAAGACAATTCTGGCAAAAGCAAAATCCTAGAGTTCAATGAGCCTAAAAAAGAATAAAGCTGTATTTCCAGGTCACAAGAAATCTTGTATCAAGTCATGAATACAGTTTGTGTAAATTTATCTCAACTAACATGCCTCTCTAGGAGTATTTATCTCTTACCTACAGAGAAGTTCTATGAGATGAGCTTGTCGAAAAGCCTTTGCAGTGTCTCTGGGAGCAATCGTCAAGAGGTTGTCCAAGAGGCTGCACATTGCTGAAAGAAGAGATGGAGTAACAAAAACACACAGTTTGGGCAGGGGAGCAGAAAGAGATGAATCATGAGGTGGCCGTGGTGATGTACTTTCCTGGTGACCTATTATTGAAAATAAACATAAGAATTATTATTTACCTTACAGCTATGTACAATACTCAAAAGTTCTTATAATCATAGGAAAGTTCCTGAAAATGATAATGTATAGTTGGGGAATTGCCTTAGCTTCTTGGCTCATCTTAACCTTGAGGTTAGGGGTCAGGCTACCCCTACTACTCCTGACCTCCACCTTCCACCATGTGTGGATGTAGATGTGTAGATGTGTACACACGGACATTGTCGTATGCAGAAGAGACAGGTCAGAAAGGGCAGAACATGACTTCATGCCCCACGTATTCAGACACTGAGAACAAAAAGATGATTTACAATCCTTTTTCTGAAACTCGAGGGGCCAAAGGTGTGTCCAAATTCAAATAATCTTTAGGTTTTCTTCAGAGTAAAATCTTACTATTTTTATTATTTTTAAATTTTTAATTATGGATATATAATCATTGTACATATTTATGGGGTACACATGATATTTTGATACAGGCATACTATGTGCAATGCTCAAATCAAGGTAACTGGGACATCCATCACCTCAAACATTTACCATTTCTTTGTGTTGGGAACATTCCAACTCCATTCTTTTAGTTATTTTGAACTATACAATAAATTATTGTTAACTATAGTTACCCTGTTGTGCTACTGAACACTAGATCTTATTCCTCCTAACTGTATTTTGTACCCACTAACCATCCCTTCTTTATCTCTGGCTCTCCACTCTTTAGCCTCTGGTAACCCTCATTCTACTCTCTATTTTCATGAGTTCAACTTTTTTTTTTTTTAGTTCCCAAATATGAGTTGCAATATTTGTCTTTCTGTGCCTGGCTTATTTCATTTAACACAATGGCCTCCAGTTCCATCCATGTTGCTGCAAATGACAGGACTTCATTCTTTTCTCTGAGTAATATTTCATTGTGTACATATATGGTTCATTTTCTTTATCCATTCATTTGCTGACGGAACTTAGACTGATTCCCTATCTTGGCTATCACGAATGGCGTTGCAATCAACATGGGAGTGCAGCTATCTCGTCGATATACTTTTTTTTTCTTTTAGATATATACTCAGCAGCTGGATTGCTGGATCAGAGGGTAGGTTCTATTTTTAGTTTTTGAGGAACCTGCATACTGTTCTCCACAGTGGTTCCCAACAACACTGTATGAGAGCTCCCTTTTCTCCAAAATACTTTTAGACTTTAGAACAGTAATAAGGTACCTGCACCCTACATTAGTGAACACCTCCATTAACCTTTGAGCATTCCCTTACTTTCTGGCACAGCAAGATGTTCCAGGTTCATCTTGTTCTTTCCTCGTCCAAGCTCTAAAATTGGATATTTGTTCCAAAGTGTCGATTCCCTAAAGTGGAGAATGGAGTTTGGAAAGCAAGATTTGGGCACTAAATGTATACATTGCTATTTAGAGTGTCATTGTTTCTAAGCTAGAAAACGTGTGTGTATATACGTATGCATGCACATACATACCCCTGGGCACATAAACATATTTTATCTACGAATTAAAAATCATTAATTTGCCTGTAATTCCAGAATTTTGTGAGGCTGGGGTAGGAGGATCACTTTAGGCAAGGAGTTCAAGATCAGCCTGAGCAACATACAGAAACCTATCTCTACAAAAAGATTTAAAAATGAACCAGGCATGGCGGCACATTCCTTTAATCCTGGCTACTCGGGATGAGGTGGGAGGATCGCTTGAGCCCAGGAGGTGGCAACTGCAGTGAACTATGATCACAGCACTGTCCTCCAGCCTGGATGACAGAATGAGACCTCATCTCTTAAAAAACAAAATAATTGATTCATACTGAAAGCTCCAAATATAATCCAACACTCCAAATATAATCCAACATTAAACATCTTCCTTCCCTTCCATATTTGTAATTTCCGTTATGTGAAAGTAAAAATTCTGGCTTTCATTGTCTACAATATATTTACTTATTTGCCTTGCCTTATGAACACAATAAGTAGTTTCAGAATTTCTAACTAATAATACTGCAAAAAATAAAACTAGTAACTAGAGTTCAATGCTTGGTTACAGTTCATTTTGCCAATAGTCTGAGGACTAAAGTCCTAAAAATATGTCTGAGAGTTACTGGGGTTACTTCCTCTCTCACTTCAATGCTATTCATGTGAAATGTAGCTGGATTAATTGGTTTGTATTCCATGTTATTGTTTCCCATTTTTGTTGATTTTATTTTTTTCAGCAAGTAAAACATACATGGTTATAAAAGTCAACCTATACAAGAAGATACATGCAGAGAAGGGTCACTATCCCACCCCTCAATCTCTTCTACACTGTTCCCATCCTCTCTTATTTCCTAACTAACTCCCACCCATTCTCATAATTAATCTCATTCATTTCCAGCTGTTCCTTCCTGTTTTCTTTCTACACAAATAGATACACGTATTTTAAATTTCCCCTTCTTTCATATGCAAAAGTAGAAAACTGTAAATATCATAAACTATAAATACTCTTTATCATTGTGCTTCTTTCTTCACTTGACAATATTTCCTAAAATTTGGTCCATATCTGTTTGAAGATATCCTCCCCTCTTTTTTTTTTTTTTTTTTTCGTTTTTGGAGAAATGGTCTCACTGTTGCCCAGGCTGGAGTCTGGTGCAATCATGGCTCACTGAAGCCTCAAAGCCTGGGCTCAAGTGCTCCTCCCACCTCAGCCTCCTGAGTAGCTGAGACCACAGGTGTGTGCCACCATGCCTGGCTAATTTATTTTATATTTTGTAGAGATACAGTCTCACTATCGTGAAAAGTATCTCCCACCTCAGCCTCCAAAAGTTCTAGGATTATTGGTGTGAGCTGCTGTGCCCAGCCCCCTCTTTCTAATAGCTGTAGTTCTCCATTGTTATTTTAAAAATAAATTTTATTTATAAGTAATTTTGTTATATGTTTATCATTATCTATATATTGTTATATATCTATCAAAAACTATCCTTCTACTTACAGGCATTTGTGTTGTTTCCATGTTTTATAATTACAAACAATGCTTGCTAAATTATCAAGTACATATGTATTTTTATATTGCTGGAGATAAATAAAAGAGAATTCCTAGAAGTGGAATTGTTTAATCAAAGGTAAATACATAGTTTTGTTATCTATTGCCAAATTCCCTTCCAAAATTATACTAATTTGCATTTTCTCTAACAATGTATGAAAGTGCTTATTTTCCACAGCCTCGCCAAAAGAATGTACTGCCAATACTTAATTGTTGGCAATTTAATAAATAAAAAAGTATCTTCGGGTAGTATTAATTTGTATAATATTTTTCCAAAGATAAAGGCTACTTTTAGGTCCTTTGTGAATTATCTTTTCATGTTTTCTGCTCATTTTTACATGAGAGTTTGTGTTCTTTTCCCCTCAAATATTACGCCTGTAATCCCAGCCACTTGGGAAACTGAGACAGGAGGATTACTTGAGTCCAGGTGTTCGAGACTACAATGAGCTATGACCATGCCACTGCACTCCAGCCTGGGTGACAGAGCTAGACCCTGTCTCTTAAAAAATAATGATAAATCTTTGGAAATAAAAATGGAAAAAATTAAATTGAGATAATTCTAATGAAAATTGTCCAAACAATTTCAAGGGAAATCTTTCAGTATTCATAAAATATGTATTACATATCTTCAGCACTTCTAGAGCAAGCATATATAGAAACCTTTTTTGAATTTTTCTGTAAAGAGAGCTAGTTCAGAATATAAATTGATACATATTTTTTCAATTTTCTTGCTAATTTATTTTGTAAAACTAAGGAGGACATTTGACACCCTGATCTCTTATTTCCAAGTTTTGAAAAAAAAGGAATATACCTGATAGTGTCATATATCACCAAAAAATTGTGAGGATTCATCCTCTGTTCATGCCTCCCCTTTCTGTGGGTATTCTTTCTTTTATATGCTTTTTTTTTTTTTTTTGGTCATATATATGTGCTGAAATGATTGGCAAAGAGTAAAATTGCATAAATATACATTGAAAGCATACTATTTGTGGACGGGCATGGTGGCTCATGTCTGTAATCCCAGCACTTTGGGAGGCCAAGGCAGGTGGATCATCTGAGGTCAGGGGTTAGAGACCAGCCTGGGCAACATGATGAAACCCAAGCTCTACTAAAAATACAAAAATTAGGCAGGTGTACCGGCACACCTCTGTAATCCCAGCTACTCAGGAGGCTGAGGCAGAAGAATCTCCTGAACCCAGGAGGCAGAGGCTGCACTGAGCCAAGATTGCGCCACTGCACTCCAGCCTGGGCAACAGAGTGAGACTGCCTCCAAAAAAAAAAAAAAAAAAAAAAAGCGTTAATACTTGAAAATAAAATAAATTTAAAATCAAAGGTAATCCAAACAAAAAACAGAAAGCCTGTATATCCACACAAATGCCTATATCACGTGATGAATGGGTAACTGTAATATATTCATACAGTGGAATATTATTTGTCAATAAATAAATGAAGTTCTGATACATGCTAGAACATGGATGAACCTTGAAAACAGCACACTAAGTGAAAGAAGCCAGTCACACAAGACCATGTTATATGATTCCATTCATACAAAATGTCCAAAACGGGCAAATCTATAAAGAAGGAAAGTAGATTAGTGATTCCGTAGAGTGCCAAGAATGGGGGAGACAGGGAGTGACTGCTAATGGGTATAGGGTTTTTTTGCAAGATGATGGAAATATCCTAAAATTGATCGTGGTGACGGTTGCACAACTCTGAATATACTTAAAACCAATAAAGTATACACTTTAAACAAGTGAATTATATGGTATGTGAATTATATCTCAATAAAGATGTTAAAAATCAGAGTAAGGCAACATGCTTTTAGAGATAAATGTTCATGAAATTCATGATCGAATTTCATTTCATGCCCTATGTCCTGAGCCATTTAAATAATCTGAGTTTGCTCCTTTTGTTCTTAAGAAGATCAAATGAGTATTTTCTACAGTTAAATAATTTTATATATAGTGAACATGAATTACTAAAAACCAATATGGAACACTGTTTAGGAAATTATTGGAACAAATATTGTAATGAAAGTTCAAAGTTTTAATTCAGCAAGTTTTTCTAAATGTTTCAGAAAGTATTTTTTCTGCATATACTTATATGTATGCCAGTGTTTAAAATTACTTTCTTTTTAGATAGTATAGTCCTTTCAAGTCAAAAATTTAATGCTACTGAATAAGGCTTATATACTCTCTAGAATTTAAAAAAAAAAAAAAAAAGCAAAGTTGCAAATTTGAAGCACAGCAGGGTTGGAAGCAGTTCCCAGCACAAGGAGCAAAATTTATATATTGCCATTAATAAAAATAAGTCCCAAGTTGTATATTGTGCATTTCTAATAAAATAAAGACTCAATACATTTTATGTGCCTTTAAATGGAAGCATAGCCTTAGAAAATACTTAAAACCAGAATCGCTTTACTTTCAAGTGGATTACTTGTAGCAAAGTGTTTTCTCAAAAGAAGGGAAAAAATAAAGTTAAGTTATACCCATCAGTTCCCAAATTCAAATGTCAAATACCTACGAGCGCCTAATAAGGAGCCACACAGGAATTGGACTATTTATTTAAGAGCCAAATTCCATTTATTAGTTAAGAGCATTTATTTTATTAATTTCTGATATATTGGTTCTAAATGTATTTCATAATGGTCTACAACTTATTTCATTAAAATTTTGTTCTTTAGACATTTACTTTCAAAATATCTGTCTGGACCAACTTGTCATTTTTCTTTTTGAAGGTAGAATGTCTTCACTAAAAGGATACCTTGAGCCACAAACTGGTCATGGGAGGCTTCAGGTAGAAGTGTTGTTGACTGCACAAGTGGCTGAAATTCAGTACTCCCCAATGAAGGTGCCACCTATGAATCAGTAAATTATTTTACTTATTAATGTTACAGTACGGAAAATGAAACACAGGCAACATACACACAAGATATCCTTAAACAAGGAGGTTTAAGACAAAATTATACTAGTTAGGATAACTAGAAAAGATTCCATATCTTGGGAGTTACAGCAGTTTTTTTAAATGGCATTTCCACTTCTTAAAGGAATTGTTATCATTTACATAAATCAGTAACTCAAAGGAGCAGTATTGACTTCAGGCCCATTTAGGAGTTTAAGGTTCCCATAAGGCCAATTCCCTCATTGCCCAAATGTTAGAAAGGCTAAAATATACCACCTTAACTATAATTTATTGTGATATTTTGCATTTCTTGATTGACAATAAAGATATTTTTAATGTTCCAAATGGCACATATAAATTTTAATAGTGCCTAAAAAATTAGAAGTATTAAAAGATTTTTCTCTACCTCACCTCCTATCAAGGAAGAACACTAAAAAATTGTGCCAGTTTGCTGAGATTGCTTCAGAATACAACATTAAATATAACAAAATCCGTGGAAAGCAAGTACAATTTCACCTACAGGTTTATAATGAGCAGACCGACCTTCTAAGACTGAAAAAGCGCAAAGTGATGTGTTTGCGCTAAGAGGTGTTCAACTAAGCACCTCTTAGTTGAAAAACACTTATGTGGTGAGGTCAGATAACTCTTTTCCTTACCATCAATTTCTCTTCTGTGAAGTAACATGAAGTGCCCATACCTGGGTAGCCTCCATATCAGTACATGCAACACAACATTAGCTATCCATAGAAGTTATAAACCATCATTCCAGACTCAGATCCTATATAGCTCACAGTATTTGTACATTGATTGTGTATATATCTTAACACTTAGAGTACCTTAGAATTACCATGATGAAATGAAAGCAAAAACTAAGGTTATTTTCATTTGCAGTTTCTAATAGTAAAGAGAATATAAATTTGAAGAAATTACTAAAAATGGAATATACAGTTTTTTAAATCCCCCTTTTAACTTGAGCCCTTAACCATCTTTCACCACATTAAGTAAGTATAACAGTCATGATGCCAAGAAATAAGTGAGAAAGCTGCAGCTAAAAAATGTAGGCTAAGCACATAATCTAAAAAGTAAATCTGGAAAAAAGTTCAGTCTAAATAAGTCAATCATAAACAAACATCAAATGCCTTATTTTATATAGTATTAGATCCAGATACTAAGTAAAAATAACCTAAAGCTTGTTTATTTTTTTTTTTTTTGAGACGGAGTCTCACTCTGTTGCCCAGGCTGGAGTGCAGTGGCACGATCTCGGCTCACTGCAAGCTCCGCCTCCCGGGTTCACGCCATTCTCCTGCCTCAGCCTCCCGAGTAGCTGGGACTACAGGCGCCCGCCACCACGCCCGGCTAATTTTTTGTATTTTTAGTAGAGGCAGGGTTTCACTGTGTTAGCCAGGATGGTCTCGATCTCCTGACCTCGTGATCCGCCCGCCTCTGCCTCCCAAAGTGCTGGGATTACAGGCGTGAGCCACCGCGCCCAGCAAGCTTGTTTATTTTTAAAAATATATTTGCCTACAATTTGGCAATGAGAGATATGTGAAAAAATGTTCCTGTCAACAGATATCAAGACAACATTTATAGTTCTGTGAAGAAAATAATCCTATGCCAAGACTGATATCACAAACTATGCACAAGCTAATATATCTGGCTCCTGCCACAACTCTTTTGGTTGTATAAGAAAAGTTAAGGGGATAATGATGCTGAAATCCTTTATCATTTCACTGAACATTCTTTCAACTGATAAAGACTCAAGAAGGCCTTATTACTGATATAAATAGAATAGGTACCTGGTTTGCGGTTTCAACGATCGGTGTGGGAAAAGAAAGCTTATAAGGGCCCACTAAATACCTGGCTCATTAGAAGAAAGCAAAGTTGTGATTCATGACAAAGGTCAGGCATTAATAAAGATGTGATTTTCCTTAGTATAGTCCACAGAAGGGATACACAAGTTTAGAAAAGATGCTTTTAGAAAGTACCTTATTGTATTATAACTTACCCCATGTGGTTGGGGAAACACAATGATTGCTTTATATGGTGCTTTAAAATTGATTATGGATGATTTATATTTCTACTAGCCTCTATTTTTTAAGTGTGCTAAACTAATATATTGCTATTTTAATAACTAAAAGCAAAAAAGTATTAAAGCAAATTGTCCCAGTTCTATGCTCAAATCTTTGCTTGTTTAGATATAATCTCCAATCGATAGTATTTGGTTACATTTGATAAAGTACATCGATATGTAAACATGTTACTTTTCACCTTAAAATCCAAGTAATAACTAGACAATTTTGGCATTAAGTATTAGCTACTGGAAGGTGCAGTATGAGCCTACGAAGCTATAGGTACAAAAAGCCTGACCTAGTCCACGTCCTCATTTAGAGAAAAGGACCACAAGTTAAGGGATTTGTCTGAGTTGAGACTAGGATTCTCAGTCCAGAACTGCATTCATGACAGCATAAATTCGTTAGAATCAGAGGAAGTCCTCAGACGTACCTCTTGAGAAAGCTGGCTGGCCTTGTTTGCGAGGAGAGGCTTGCTTCTTTCTCCCTGATCCCCCTGTGTCCCCGCGGAACTTCAGCTAGACTAACTTCAGCTGCCCCATCCCAGGTGAAGGAGGAGGAATTGGCTTAGTTTAAGAGCAAACTTAGTCTGCTGAAGTCATCCGTTCCTGTCAAGCTTCTCGCTGCTCTGCTCTGTACCTCACAGTAAGTAGGATAACTAGGGTTGTCCTCTTACAACAGCGAGAGTCTAATTCTTGTATCTATCACTTGCTCAATTCATTAGAATGGTCTAAGTGCAAAATCACAATCTAGACTTTTCCCTCGCTTTCACATCTGCCACATGACATATCCTGAGATCTTCAATTTATAATCCCTCGGTAAGACAAAAAAATCTGAATTTGAATATATTTCTAGCCTTATTACTTTACAGATATTACAAAAGACAATACAAGCTTTTTAGAGCAGGCTGATGCTACTTAAAGGTACTGTCCTAAAACAGACTCAGATTAGTGTAATGGATGTTGCTAGGGGATAGGAGCTGGGGAAAAGGGGAGATGTTTGGTCAAAGAGTGCAAACTTTCAGATAAGATGAGTATGTTCTGGGGATCTAATGTGTAGCATGGTGAATATGGTTAATATGGTCTAATGTGTAGCATGGTGAATATGGTTAATATGGTTAATAACACTGCACAGTCTACTTGAAAGAGAGTAGTTCTTAAGTGTTCTCACCACAAAAAAAAAAGGTTGACTCTTAGGTGACAGATGTGTTAACTAATTTGACTGTGGTAATCATTTCATCACATATACATATGTCAAGTAATCTCACTGTATATCTCAAATATATACAATTTTATTTGTCATTTTAGCTCAAAACTAGGGGAAAATAAAAAAATAAAATGGACTCAAATCTTGCTTATAAAAACTGAAAAAAATTGTTCTTCAGTGTGTTTGTAAGCAGATTTGGTAACTAAAGAAGGTTTCTAAATTATGCTTCAGTGTAAAATAAGCAGCTAAAATTAAGAAAGTCCCTTTGAAATCACTGAAAATAGCAGAGTCATTTGCCATATCCAAGTAGAACTGGAATGTAAAAAACAATTTCTGTCATATAAGCAAAAATGCATCAATGTACAAAAATGATTTTCTTTGTATCTGCCTTACAGAAGCAAGTGATTTCACTAGACACTTTAACTTTTTTTGAAAGTTAATTCAGAACTTGAATATTGTATTTGCCAAAATGATCTTGTAATAGTTCCATCAACTTCCCTCAAAAGCAGTACTGGTGCCAAAAAAGTTTATTTAATTGTTTTTAAAAAGGTACAAAGGGAGAAAATAAGGATTGTAGTGTGAAAAAAATAAAGTACAAGTCTAGCCACATTTTGAAAACATGGAAAAATATAAGATATGAAGGGTTTCTAAGAGATTCTAAGCTTCATGTGTTCATTTTAATAAATAATACCTTTCTCTATATGCCCAGGAGCAGGAAAGCTTTGGCATGCTTCTCAATTTGTAATCATTAATTCTAACCAAATTATAACAAGAAGTTTAAATTATTTCAACTAATAGATTCATAATTCAAATGGATTATGTACAATATATGTAAAAAAAAGAAAGCTCAGAAAAGTCCTCTGAAGGAATGAGCAGAAGATGATAGACGATTCTTGCATGTCTAACCAAAGGACCACTTAAAGAGACAGATCATCACCACAACACAGTCACAGTTCCTGTGCCATCCTGTGTGTAATCTAAGAGCACAAATTTCCAAGAGCTTGTCTCACTTGTATTTTCCTCCTAACTAAATATAAGAGGTTGTTAGACTCTGGATAATCCACAGGTAGCTGAAATTTATTTAAACAGAGTATAACATTTTCTTTCTCTCTCCATCATCACACAAACTACCACCTCCTCAAGTTTTCCTGGGGTCACCATGCTGGAGGTATTTGTATGTCCTATCAGTGATGCCTATGTCAAAACTATTTTTCTTTTAGAAAGCCTCTTGGATCCATCCCTGCTTAAACTATCCTCTGTCTACTCTTCCTTCTATAAAACAATTTTAACTACCATCAAATGAGTGTCAATACGTTATTTCTCTCATATCAGTTGTAATGTTTCATGCCATTCCATGCTGCTGAAATATCCTTACATCTTTATCTTTATAGCTCTTATATCTTACCTCTTCAAATCCAAAAGCTGATTCAGCTTTCTTAACTAACTCCTATCTGATTAGTCAGGTCATCAAACTTTAGCTTTCCGTCCCACATTCTACTCCAAACAACCTCTTGCATTTTCTGAATGTTAATGCCTTCAGTACAACACAACTTCATATTTAGTTAGAAAGTCTAAGTATGCTTTATGTTCTCAAGTAGACTTTTGTCATTTGTTAAGTGGTCACTGAATCCTAAGGAATATTTGAATCTTTTCAGTCCCTTGCAAATGTTTGTATGCATATAAAAGAGAAGGGGATAATATTGTAAAGCCCATTTCAGTGGCCACTTCCTACACAAAACCACTTTTCATTTCATCTTTCCCTCTAAAGAAACCTCACTGTCCCTTGACTACACCATCTTTTATGGGATCAATCACATCTGGCCTTAGAGTGAAGGAGGAAGCAAACATACTTCTGGACTCAAAAGAATGGTCTACCAGTTACCATGCTAGGAACTTGAACAAGCATGCACTCCATGGAGTGGGACCTCACTCCATGCCCTAATTTCCTCTTTTGCAAAATAGTAACAATGCTTTTCAGTTGTTTTAAGACTATGAAGTGTAAAAATTCTCTTTAAATGTTTAGAAAAACTAAAATCAGTTTTCTTTAAATCTGTGTTCCAGAAAAAAGTTTGAAAGATCACATATTTCACAAAGAAAGGCTCAAAAAGAAAGGAATTATATTTCCCACATATTTTATTTTGACAATTGATAAATTTAAAAAAATACAGACATAGTTCTGCTCAGGAACAACAGAAGAGACCAAATTTTGGTCATAAAGCTGTTGCTGCACACAGGTGTGTAAGAGGCACAAACAGCTATCCATCTTGGATATAAACGTGATTTCGAGAAGAAAAACACCACCTAATGGCTGCATCCTCCTACCCCAGAGGAGGAGAATATTGAGTTCGATAGAGGCCACTCCTGAGGAAGCATTTACAAGGGCGATGCCCCAAAGCTAACAATGACACTCTGCTTACTCTATCTGCAGTTTATCAAACATACAGGACCCAACAATCCTTACGAAGCTTGCCAAACAACGGAACTAATACACATTAGGTAACAGCATGAAAGTCCCTAACTTGGCATTAACAGCACAAAATGGATAGTAACCCAGGAGAGCATGCTGGATGACATGACCCAAATCAAAAGATGATGCTTTCCTTGGAAAGATAAAATGGAAAAACCAGCCAACTAACCAATAAAGGATTGCATTTTTTCTCAATTCTGAGATAAACAAAACAAAGATATAAATAAGCAGATAAGCTGATTAATAAGATTTACATCCACTCAACTTATACCTCAATTTGTAACTTCAACATTTTTTTATACATAAGAAAGTATGCCTTGGTCGAAGTACTGACAGCTTTGGTTTAAAGTAACACTGGCAGAATGAAAACACTCTCCAGATTTTTCTCCTGTTGGGACAAAGATACACATCATCTTGGGTATGGTAAAGAAAATATAACTAGTAGAATTAGGGTACGAAGACTATTTTTGTAACTAAAAGTCACCCATTCTAAAAGTTGTTTGGAAACCTCCCGAAAAAGAAAGTAAAAAGTAAATTCTGTAAAAATTCTAACAGAATACACTAGCCTTTAGAGAAAATAATAAGAAATAAATTTTACACATATTACAAAATTCTTTTAAAAAAACTGAAAAGATTCCATTGGTATATATTTCTAAAAGTCTGTGTTACATTCAAACACAAACAAGTTAAAGACCTTCACTTTAATTGGGGTGCTTCTTTCTTTAATAATGACTACAATTAATAACATATTTCCAAATTTTCTCAGAAAATCTAGTATTCTAACCTGTAAGATTAAATGTTATTACAAAATAGAGAAATTCAAAAGGTTGATATGCTTTTGCTTTTTGTATTTAGGTTTTCTTGTATAGGATAAATATGACTTCAGTGCTCACCACAAAATAGCTAAGATAACTCAAAGTTAATTAGAGCAATTATTATTTACTGAGTACCTACTAAAAGCAAAAAAACTGAAATATGTACAAAGATTTCAAGGCTAGTCTATAGCCCTTTTGACAAATAGGCTAACAAACAAAATTTACTTTTAAGCACACTTTCATGCTGTCCTTCTGTGAACTAAATAACCAATTAAGACAATTCAGTTTGGCATTTATCATATTACTGCTCTTGTTGAGACAAAGGTACACACTATCTCCACCTTGGAAAGGAAAGCATGACATCTAGTGGAACTCGGGTAATTATCTTACTTTTCCATACAAAGGTCCAATGTAGCACTAAACACAAATACTTCTCTTGAATCTAGGGAAAAAAAGACTTAAAACTGTAGCAAAAAGTATCAGTCTTTTGAGAAACTAGGAGATAGATTAAACATAATCTTTACATTATAATGTCTGTATAATTATTATTCTCATATTATTTTTGTTCCTGGAAACAGGTGTATCAAATCTTTCCCTTCCTGATATGTTGTATAATACACTAATTATTTCAAAAACACTTTAAAATTAAAAGTAACATTTCCCAGTTGAGAATAAATGATTCTGTATGTTTGTAAATAACTGAAACCTAGTATCAATCATTCCTTATAAATACTCAGTGTTTCAAACTTTTCTGCAAAAAAAGCAACTAATGCATGAATGAAAGGGGAAGGAAAGAAGGCATGCAAACAGGCATATATAAATTTCAGGTATTCCAGATAAACTTCTATGTGATGCAAGTATTTAGAAGTGTGTTTAAAGCTGTCAGCACCACACTAGAATCATTTGAATGTTCTTCATATTGCCCTGCCCTTAAGCACAATTTCAGGGTAATCAACCATTTTTAACATGTAGGATTTGTTCTCTTCTAATACTAACGAAAAACATATTTTCACACTTTCGTACTATCAAAAAAGGTAGGAAAGAGAGGTTGAAAATTCTCAACTAAAGGGATATTCAGTGTAGCTATACCGTAGCAAGACACACCCTGGTTCAAACTCCAGTTCTGCTACCTATAGCACTAATGATCACAAAGTTACTTTACTTCAGAGTGGCTTGCGCACACAGAAAAGCAAGATAAGTATCTATAATGTATGACTGATGTGCAGCTTGAATACAATAATTTAGCAAAATTCTGCAGAAAGCACTTCGAATAAATCATAGCTGTTATAACCTTACACTTTGTATTCTTAACTCTCCCACTAGGCAAACTCAAATTTTTTCAGAGATTCAAAATAAAGGACTTATGCATTCTTTGCAAGTACCGTTGTTTCTGAGGTGGAGAGAGAACTTGGATCTCGATCCTGACTTGTCCTAGATGGAGCCCTCCAAAACTTGAATGAGTCATCTAAACCTGCAACAACGAGAAAATTGTTAACATGGACACCCTCCTAGGAACTGTAACAATTAATTAAAAGGGTACGCATTACAGGAAACCAATTCAAAACTAAAGAAAGGAAAAAACTTATATGGATCTGGCTTCTGAGATAGACCACTATTTAAAAAAAAAAAAATCTAAGGAGAGTTTTTTTTTAATGTGCATAAGAATCACTGAGAGCTTGCTAAAGCAGCTGCTTCAGCCCCAGCCCCAGAGGCTCCAATACCCCAGGTCAGAGTGGAAGCCCTGAGTGTTCACTTCTAACAAGTTCACAGAAGATGCCAATGCTGTTAGTTTAAGGGCCATGCTCTAAGTAACTGATCCAGAGAAATCTAAACAATTAAGTGAGTCACTTTTCTAAGAGGGATATTTAAAATGTTCAAAACTTCATCAAATCTCATTTTCTTGATTCTTCCAAGAAGTAAACAGAAAAGTGAATCACACATTCACACTTAATAATTCGGGGATAAAGGAACTTCATGTCTTCAACTTACTCTTAAATGGCTCAAAAAGAGTATATATAGATCATACATATCCGTTTATTTATACACACATACACACACATGTGGCAAGATGTAAATACTGTAAAATGTTAACATTTGAGAATTCTTTTGTACTATTCCTGAAGCTTTTCTGTAAGTTTGAAACTATGGCAAGATTCTAAAAAATTATTATAAAAATGAATTTAAAAATAAAAGCTATTTATATTATTAAATTACTATTTATTACAAGATATAATTATTTTTATGTGCTCAGATCTTATACTTAGCAAATCTACAAGAACCTACAAACAAAAGGAATAAAAAGGTTTCAGGAAAATATTGTGACAAATAAGTAACATACTAAAATAAATAACTTTTTGATACATGAGCAAAATGAATTAGAAAATATAGTGGGAAAAAGTCTCATTCACAAGAAGGATAAAAAAACTGTACATTGCCTAGAAGTGAAAGTTCCAAAAAAGTTTGAGACGTTAACAGAGAAAGAAACTATAAAACTGTACTGATGGGCATAACTTATAAAGTATTAATAAGATGTCAAAAATAATTTCCATGAAGAATTTATAACATAGAAAAATGCTTGCAGAATATTTAGTGAAAGAAGGAAATACAAAAATGTACACAAGATATGAACATAATTACATAAAACAAACAAAGGCTATACAGAGAAAGAAGACGGGAAGAAAATACATCTCTCTGGGTGGTAGAACTGGAAATGAATGTTTTCCCTGTATACTTTCATTTTTCAAATTTTTAAAACAAATATATGTATTTTTAACAGTTTTTACAAGTTACATATTACAAAAATAAAAATACAAAGATATCGTACTTACCATTTAAATCATTGCTTTCTGAATTTCTATCAAAAGCAGAAAAATTCAAATCAAACATACACCGTCCTAGGTAACAATGCTTTACCATCTGATTCAAATGTTCATAAAAATGGCAGTGATATAAAAGAGCCTGAAGGGCAGGTTTTCCAATGAGCGATAGGCCAGAGTCCTCATCATGAACACAGGGACCCTGTAGGAAGAGAGGGAAAGAAGGAGGAGACACTGATTTATCCAACAATTTCCTTAAAAAGATCCATTGTCTCCTCTCGAGGAAACAAATGGGTCCCAGATGCTCCCATCTCCTTCCACTCTGCTTTTGTCCTTACACAGTTATAGCAGCCTGACCTAGGACAAATTATTCCATAATACTCTAGGTCTTTGCTGCCTAAACACCCCCGTGAAGGGACAAAGCTGATCTTTCTCTTGAGGGGCCATTTCATTTAAAATGTTTCTATGGAATGATCAGCTTTAACCAAGAAATCATATACTTGCACCAAAAACACAATAAAAGCAGTATTTTTCAACCTACATATAATAGTAAAATAATAGGTGTTAAAATATATGAAATAAGGTGGTCCATATATTATGTTCAGAATTATTTTTTATACCTATCACTAAGCCAGGTAAAATGAAAAGGTCCATCAATATCCATATGGCAAAATCTGTCACATTACTTCCCACTGAATTAATCCTGACAAGGAAAAAAAACACACACATGTATACATACACACACATGAACTGCCACCAGGAGGCTGAAAAGAATCTGCTATTACACAATTTTTCTCTTTGCATTTTTCCCAAACAATTTTTTGCATTGTGACTTACTACTTTTCCTGGAGTATCTAATAGCAAAAAGCAAGCAATGAGGATTGGTTTGAAGTTTGCAAATAATCCTACCATTAGTTTATAAATATTTCTATTTTCTGGGAAATGATAATAAAGTTAAGATTTCAAAACAGGCCATAAGAGAGAGAAAAATAAAAGATAGCAAACAGAAATCTAAGAGCCAACAGGAAAGATACGTTCAAAACATATTGCAAGTTGACCTTTAACCATAAGATTTGTATGTGTGTCTGTTCTCTCACCCTCCCCATCACCAAAAGAAGATGGATATTTTAACTTACTCTTCAGGAAGACAAAGGAATTCACAAGTTAAAGGCACGATTACACTAACAAGGTTATTTCTATTAACACTTCTTTTTAAGGACATTTATATACATCATTATAATTAAACCTCTTCAATATTCAATGTCTTTTATGACTATGAAGTTGTTACTGCTGTGTTGTAATAAATCTACCAACACTGTGAGCTTACTCGTCCTAAACAGAGCAATTTATATAAGAAATAAGACTACTGTAATGAACAGCCAGCACATGGTGGTCACTGTCGTTATTTTAAATGCAGAGGTCTAGAAGAATCAGGTAAAATAGAGAGTAATACAAAGTGAATGGGGTTATGTGGCTCCTGTTTATTAACCAAGGTATATGTTACAGGTACTGGCGCCCTTTAATACATTACCTTATTTTATTATATAGAATGAAGTATTCACCCAAAATCACAGTCAATCTTAACATTCACAGCTTCAAGAAATTCTATCTTTTAAGCAAGTTATAACATACTTAAACGTACAAAACACGCCAAACACCCAAGAGATTTGCAATAAACTGCTTAACATCACAAATTAGAGTCCTCATTATAATAATATAGGGAAGGAATTAACAAATAAGACAAGAATTGTAGAGGGTTTACTAGCTTCACTCCATCTAAAAAATTCAATAAATCAAAAGTGATTAATCAAAGTTGTACAAAAACTAGTTTTCAAAATATATTTTATAATGATACAAAGAACCACTTAAAAATATTTTGCCATACAGATTATATAAAATTATGCAATTTTTCATATTTTTGCAAAATTATGTCTACATGAATGCTTCCTCTATCAGTTACCACAACCCAAAATTCACAAACCTTTAATGAAAATAGAGAAGAGAATGTAAACTGTATAAATCTTAAAAACAGAAAAAAATGACATCTACAGCTCTTTGAGAGATCTTAAATCTGCTGATTCTTTATTCTGTTCAAGGCCTACTGAGGCTGATGGCCATACCAACTGTTAGGAAGACAAGAGTTACAAACCCACTGTCTTCTAAAATCTAACATTTCTTTAGTTTTTAAGTATTTTAGAAGTGAGAAGTTACACATGTAAATATGGTATTAGAACTCTTGCAATTATTCTCTAAATATGTAAAATTGTCACAGTGATAAAGAACCTAGTTTAATCACATTTTCCCTTCAATAAATTAAAAATTCTTTTCTAGTTCCTATTAATATAAACACAGACTTAGAAAATATAGGTAAGAAAGTCATAATAAGAGACACAAATTTATAACTAAATCTATCAAATAAAGTTTAGAATCTGTTCTATTTTTCCTCTGTTTATAAATCATGGTAAAAATTATTTAGCCTACCAAGATTGAAGAAGCTAATTTAGCTTATGAACAAAAAATTTAATATCATAGAAAATAGTGCAAAAAGGTTTAAGATATAGAAATACAAAAGGAAATCAGAGAAAATAAATTCAAGAGGCCTAATAAGGGACTTACAATTTCTGGAAAGATAAAATATAACACACAAAAAAAGGAAATTCATCTTAAAAGAAATAAATATGAAAAGATTTGTCAGAGCCAAAAAAATATATAGAAGATCCAAATCTTCAAATTAAGGAGCTTAATAAATGTCAAGCAAGAAAAATGGAAAAAAGGTACATAATAAAAAAATTCTAAACATTGAGGACAAAGAGATGATAATGAAAGAAAACATCAGCCATAAAGAAGTAAAAAGAGTCAGATGAAAATTCAACTTCTCATCAGTAGCACTGGATGCTAGAATACAGTGAAGCAAAATTCTTGGGAGGAACAATCTTCACCAAACATATGGTAACTAACCACACTATCAATCCAGTGCAATTTAAAGACATTTTCAAATATGCAAGAACTTGTGATATTTATCTCTCATGCACTTGTCACTAGTTACCACTACAATCATTTTGAGAATTATGACTAGGAAAAGAAATTCTAACAGAAGAGAAAGGATGATTAAGAGCTTAGAAAAACTTTAGACATGAGACATGATATGGACCCACAATGTAAGAAAAAACAAACAGGAACCTCAAGGGAAAATAAATCACCCAAATCAATTTTTAAATTATATTTTTATATATACATATATACACACACACATATACATGTATACATACATACAAATACCAGAAAACTTTTCCTCTGAGTATTAGATGAGTTGGTCCTGGAAGCCGAGATAAGAAAGTGTAATCACAGCCCACTAAGTGTCTCTGTAGTGAGTTACGGTTTTCAACTTTTAGAAGCAACCTACAGATAAAATTGAGACTGCAGATGAGAATGTAAACATAATCAACGCTCACAAAGCAAAAAGTAAAAATAAAACTATTAAAGATGGGTATTAGAAACGGCAGAGGAAAGACTGAAGAAAGGACAGGTACAATCTCAGCCATGTCTTACTCATCTCAAAATGGGTTGGGGTCAAAAGATATGATGCATGGGTGACAAAACCAGGAAGAGCAAGTGTGACCAGTGGAGAAATAAGAGCAGTAATACCACTATGGTACTATGAGATACTGTGGTATCTGCAGGAAATTGTGTACATGAGCTAAATCCTTAGGTACTAAAGTAGTGTATGAATAAATATATTATTGCAAACATGCTATTTAGATATACAGTGGTAACTCCCTGAAGAATTAAAATCAGAGGTAAAACTGTCTCAGTGAATGGAGAGGGACAGTGAATTTCACTATAAGCTCTATTAGCTTTTTTTTAACCATATGTATTTATTACTTGAAAAAAAAATTTCTTCTAAAAAGTTCAATTAGTGCATTCAAAATATTCTTGAACTGCTCAAAAGAAAACCGAGTAATCTGAAATAGGCACATATTACATAAAAATTATTTTATTTTTTATTTAACTAAGCATTAAGCCTGAATCCCCATTCTCTACACTTATTAAGAGAGCTTTATAATGGAGCCAAGCCCAGGATATGCACAAAGGATGGCCAGGCTCAGGCTTTCACAGATAACTAATGGTTCAAGGGCCAGAACAATGAAGTCTTTCATGCACACACTAGGCTCTGCTCCATACATCCATCAGTAATTGATGGGGTTATCTTCTAGCATAGTGGGGAAATTAGAGCAATCAGGTCTAATTGCTCTGTCTCAAGACTTCTGTATCATGACTAGCCTTGCCCTCAGGTGAGTTCTGGGGCTGCCAGATCGTCTGCTGAATTGCCAGAGAGAGCTGAGAAGGAAAGTAAGAAAGCTCTTCAAATCACCAGAATGCCATTACAAATACATTTACAAAGAAAACTGCAAATTAATTATGTCATATCAAGCTCCAATTAATTTGAAAACATCTTTATCAAGAATGCAATAAATCAGAATACTAATTTTAAAATGCATATTATACTCCTAGTGTCAGTGCTAATATACCCATTAGCTATAATTGAAAAGGTACTAGAAGCAAAGTAAGAATAACATTTAAGAAGATATAATATTTTCAAGGAGAAAAATGAATTATTGTCATATATAACAAAAATGCTATAATCCAAAGACTGTAAAAATGACCCTAAATACATTAGAAATCCAAAACTACATGTAAAATATGAATATCATTACAATGATATCAGTTTACCAAGTACTCATTGTCTTCTGGAAATACTCATGATGCTTCATAACAAACAAAAGATAAAAATAATACATATTAATCATATCAAATATCAAAATAATATATAACTATAAATGAGCTGACTATTTAAAACATATACACAGACAATTACTAGCTTTGTTCACTCACAGGACATAGAAGCAATGACACCCCAGGAACAATGAATACATCTAGAACGCAGATCTTGGTTTCTAAATACCATTCTCCATGAAAAGAAATCAGAGCCCTTGGAGCAAATATCTGATTCCAGGATGGAGCTGGACAGTCTAGAACACTTTGCTGTACCAGAAGTAAGGAAATGGCTCAAATATTGATAAAGACACAAGAACCATTATGAAGAAATTTCCCCTGGCCAAAGCAAGAATGATTTGAACATTGAAACAAATAATGATAGAAACAGATTATAGCCCATTAAACAAACTTAAGAATCTTCAATCCATGCTGGTGTAAATAAGTGAATCACTAAATAAGCAAGGAAGAATGAAAAGTTCTTCCTTACAGTAGCATGTAATAAACATAGAAAGAAATGATGGAGTTAGGAAATCATTTGGCAACAATTCTGTAATAACTGTTTCAGGTAAGAATCATGAATGGAATTTAAAACTAGGAAAACAGTGTGGAGATTTCTTAAAGAACTAAAAGTAGAACTACCAGTGGGATTCAGCAATCCCACTACTGGGTATCTACCCAGAGGAAAAGAAGTCATTATACAAAAAAGATACTTGCACACACATGTTTATAGCAGCACAATTTGCAATTGCAAAAATGTAGAACCAATTCAAATGCCCATCCACCAATGAGTGGATAAACTGGTGTGTGTGGTATCACACACACACACACACACACACACACACACACACACACACACACTATGGAATACTACTCAGCCATAAAAAGGAATGAATTAATGGTATTCGCAGTGATCTGGATGAGATTGGAGACTATTATTCTAAGTGAAGTAAGTCAGGAATGGAAAACCAAACATCAAATGTTCTCACTCATAAGCGGGAGCTATGCTATGAGGATGCAAGGGCTTAAGAATGACACAACGGACTTTGGGGACTTGAGGGAAAAGGGTGGGAAGGGGTGAGGGATAAAAGATACAAACTGTGTGCAGTGTATACTGCTGAGGTGATGGGTACACCAAAATCTCACAAATCACCACTAAAGAACTTACTCATGTAATCAAACACCACCTGTTCCCCAATAACCTATGGGGGAAAAAAAAGTAAAACAAAACAAAACAAAAAACTAGTGAAAGAAAGTTTGATGAGAAACAGATATTTACAGTCTCAGAGCACCTCCTTCCAAAAGAAAAAACTGTAACTTTACAAAGGACAAAACAGGCAGATTCTATCTTTACTAAGTAATCAAAGTTAGTATCACCAACAATGGGAAAGAGAGATATAATATCTCTTGACATGTTGCACTGAGAACCCATCACTTCTATGGTTTTTCTGCCAAAAATGCGTAACTCAAATCTAAACCTGGGGAAAAGGACAAATCTAATTGAAGTATATTACAACAAATAAGTAGCCTGCATTCTTCAAAAATGTTAAGATCATAAATATTTAAAATTTTGAAACTATTTCAGATGAACGAAAGCAAATATGTAAGACAAGTATATGCAATGTGTATTCCTGAGCTGGATCTTGGATCCAGGATTGGATTTTTTTTTCTTTTTTTTCTATTAAAAACAGCAGTGGGACAACTGAAAATCCTTGAGTAATCTCCTAATTATGATAATTATTATTGTGATTATGTAAGAGGATATCCTTATTTTTAGGAAATCCACACTTAAGTGTTCAGAGGAAAAGAAGCATTATGTCTACAACTCTCCAATAGTTTAGAAAGAAGACACTAGACAGAGCTGAAGTAAATGTGTAAAATAACATTTGGGGAATCTGGGTGAAGAGTACATAAAAATTGTATTGTTTCTACAAATTTCCTATAAATCTAAGTTTTTTCAAAATAAAGTTTAAAAAGTCTGTGTACCAATTCAAAGTCCTGTCACAAACATGGAAAGCAACTAGAGCATGAACAAGTTTATTTAAATCACAAACTGACAACCCATTATGTTATTTAAGTGCATGAAATTACCCTTTACATTTAAATGTGAGATCATTTTCAAGTGGAAAGAACTGAAATATTATTAAAATTATGCATAAGCTACCATCATCATACATAACATGATTATAACAATGTTTCCTGGGTACATGTCATCCCCTGTAGGCCATAAGCCCAAGAATACTAAATTGGATTATCTGTGAATCTCCAATATTTAGACACTCAACAAATGTTTACAGAAATGAACTGAGAAAATTACATCAATAATCCATCTCTAATCAATAGATTTCTTGTTATAATCAACTCTAAAATTGGTTGTTAAAGTTTCAGGGATACGGATTTCTGACACTAGTCTTCAAACTAAACCCAGTTATGAAACCATCCACATTCAGGAGTCTTAACTCCTAGTCAGACTGTGGGAAACTGGTCTGAAAAACACTGGACAGTTGGGAGCCACAATACAGTTTCGTGTCAACTGAATATTGGCTCTGTTTTCTCTTCTTGGCAGAGAATGTAGTATGCAGGGTTTTTGTTTTTAGAGACAGGGTTTTGTTCTGTCACCCAGGCTGCAGCACAGTGACACAATCATAGCTTACTGTGGCCTCAAACTCCTGGGCTCAAGCAATCCTCCTGCCTCAGTCTCCTGAGTAGCTAGGGACTACAGGTGCATGCCACCATTCCAGGCCAATTTTTAAAATTTTTTTTAGAGATGGGGTCTCACTATGTTGCCCAGGCTAGTCTCAAACTCCTGGGCTCAAGTGATCCTCTCACCTCAGCCTCCCCAAGTGTTGGGATTACAGGCATGAGCCACCACACCCAGCTGGGATGTAGCTTTGAATGAGGCTGAGTTTGACTCAAGAACAAGACCAATGTTTGTAAATATCCCTCTGAAAAGTTAGTGTCCTGAATATAAAAGAGCTGTGACACACCAAAGACTGACACAGCAGGAACTGGGTTCTCATATCCAGCAGGGGCCTGGTATCAAGGCCCCTGGTAGGAGTGCTAGATGTCAAGGGAAGACAGGCCGAGATACTTCATCTGCTCCTCCTCTTGGTGACCACCCCACTTCCAGTATGCTTCTGCATCCACAGAAAAATAAAAGGGGACTTATGCTATGAAAATTAAGGCTTTATTTCTAACTGTATTTACTTATGATATTAAGACCAAAAGGATAACTCAAATGTTTTGCACATTTTAATGAATCAGTCAAGACAGATGGAGCACTTACTTTCTCTGTGGTAGGGGTTGGGAGAAACATTTTTTAAAATATAAAAAATGTAGTCCTGTCAGAAACAAACATTCTACACAGGAAGATTAAGTTAAATGGTAAGAAATAATGCAAATATGGAAAATAACCTAATTTAGTGGTAAGACATTAAATGTTAGTGTCTTTAAAAGGAAGATTAAAATGGGAATTGCAGTGGTTGGTAAAATTATTTAATACTTTAAAAAAATAAATTGTTTTAAATTATTTACTTCCTATCTTGTCCGAGAAAAGATTTAAGGCCCATTACAAGGAAAGGTAAATTGTAACATGATAGTAAATGCATATCAGGAATAAAAGAAAGAAAAAAGCCAGAGATATGGAAAAAGTGCAACCATGAATAAAGCTTAGAAGGTAAGCTGGGTGTGGCAGCATGTGCCTGGGGTCCCAGCTACTCAGGAGGCTGAGGCAAGCGTATCACTTGAGCCCAGGAACTCAAGGCCAGCCTGGACAACACAGTGAGACCCCATCTTTTTTTTTTTTTAAGTACATACAGAAAAAGTCACAATTGATAAAAGGGCTCTACTTTCTGGCATCTAACAATAAAAGGGAAACTCAGCTATAATATTATTCATAATTCATATATGCATATTATTACTATTCACAAGTACAACAATTCTATGTCATGACATGAAGTAGGAATTTATGCTACTGTGCAGAGGAAGGAGAGGAAAAGGAGTAGTAATTATAAAGAGAATGCTTCAGAAAGCCTATGAAACAAGAGCACTAGCGGGCATTAATTTAGACTGCAGGCAGGAAAACAAAGTGCAAAGCAATAGAAGCAATTCTCTTTGTTAAAAAAAAAAAATCAAATATTTACCTCAACCAAAATAAAATTTTAACAAAGCTCCTAAACATGCTGTTTCATGCTATATCCTCCACAACACTATGAAAGGGACACTAAAATAAGTAAATGAAACATTTTGTTGAATAAGATTATTATTCATAATTCTACCAAAGACTGTTTGAATTTTAAAATACTGGCTATGTGGCCCCTTTTTCATGGTTGCAAAGGACCATGTGCCCCACTAGCTGCACCCAGAGACAACCATCTTGTTTCCTTCTTGCAGAAGCTGTTTCTACTTTGGAATTTCAGACCCCACTAAACTTTCTTAAAATTGGATGACAGATATACTGAGTTAACTATTTTCACTGCCAAGGAAGGACACTTACACAAACAAAAATAACCAAAAAAAAAAAAAGACTGAAAAGAGAGGAAGAAAATCTGAGTTTATTAAAAAGCATACAAGATTGTCCTTATTTATCTAATTTTTCCTAAGACTAGCAAAAGTTGTAATCAACTATTGTTTGGGACAGCAGTGGCTCTCCAACTTTTTTTATTTTGGCCAACTTAGCAAGGCCAAAACTCCAAAAGCTAACTTAAATCACTATTTTCCACTTTTTAGTAGAAAAGGATTTCCATGATGAAGACTGGAGAATAACAAAACCAATAAACTGCAGTAAGCATGCCACCAGCAACAAACAGGAACTTTACTATTTAATTTCTAAGAGAAAAATATGAACAGCTACATACGGTTCTGTATTACAACATAATGTCCCAGGAACTTTAATATACTCTGCCTTTATACTTATTTCAATAATTAAAAATTCATTGGTAGTACATCACCAAGTATATCCATGTACATGGGTCACTAGTTTAACAATGGGAGTAGAGATTATTTGTATTTGAGCCAAAAACAACATGTTTTAAAATGTAGTCTCCGGATAACAGGTACCAAAACTACTACACTATTAATATAACTATTAATCCTGCATATTCCCTCCAGTTTTGTCTCCTGGTTTTATTACAACATGGAAAGTAGATAAGCAGCCATTATCAGAAGGCAATGTTAAAGAAATTACGAGCAAATTACAAGCCTGGGATTTACAATGACTGGTAGGGTTACCCTGGGTTTGTAAAGTTTGGAGAGGTAAGCCTTCCAAGAGTTAAATGCTACCTGGGCCTTGACAACCACCTGGATTCATGCTTCGGGTCATGTGCGGAAACTTGCCCTTGCTACGGTTCAGCTTGTTTCACTAACTCCTCTAAGAGTATAGTCTAATTAAAACTTAAAAATAAACCTTAGATTTATACAGGATTTTGAGGAGTGAGGTGTAGCAATATGATAAATATATCCCTATAAGGTGAAAATATATGGATAGGTAAAAGGACAGAAACAGCACATCTTATATCCCCAATAAGTGTACTTTTGTATCTTCCAAATTACCTAAAACTGCAGCAACATGGATGGAGGTGGAGGCCATTATCTAAGTGAACTAACTCAAAAATAGAAAATCAAATATTGCGTGTTCTCACGTATAAGTGGGAGCTAACCAATGAATACACATGGACATAAAGACAGACATAACAGACACTGAGACTCCCAAGGAGGGAGTGGGGGAGGCGGCTGAGGTTATAAATTACCTAACTGGGTACAATGTTCAATATTTGGGTAATGAGTACACGAGAACCCCAATCCCCACCACCATTACGCAATATACTTATGTAACAAACATGTACATATATCCCATGAAGCTAGAATTTTTTTAATGTAAGCTATAAAAATGTTAGGTAACCATTTACTGATGTGATATTCAGAACATGAAAAAGAAAGTTAACCCAACAGAAAACAAAGCAAGATACACTATAACCCGCACTGTGCACTAACCTAGAAAAGGAAAAAAAGATGTTAACATCAACACATATTTAACTATCTACAAATTTGTTTATTATTACTAAATTAGAGAAGTAATACAGCAAAGTGGGTAAGAGACTGCCTAGACTCAAAGCAAAGGCGTACCACTGACTAGCTGTGTGATTTAGGACAAACTATTTAAACTCTCTATGCAAAAGTTCCTAAGCTTAGAAAATAAGGATAGTAACAGTTCACAACTCAAACAATTATACAAGTTACTATGTCTTACATTTCTAGAAGGGTGCCTAAAACATAGTAAACATATGTTAACTATTATTATTTGCTTTAAATTATTGTGAACACTATAGAGAAGAATTTTTAAGTCTGGTCGGCATAAGAACAAATTCTACGTTCTATTTTAAGAGGCCCTTGCTGTCTTGTATATAGTTTCATCAATAATGAAATATACTACTTATACTGAAAATTTATCACCAATTAATTTGAAACATCTACTAGGTTGATAATTGTTTAAAATCACCCACCTGCCAAGTATAATCCTTTATAATTTCTGTAGGCATTGGAATTACAAGGAGATTCTGAAGAATAAATGCCGCCTGAAAATGTAAAAAAAAAAAAAAAAAAAAAAAAAAAAAAAAAAAAAAAGGTCAATACTGCCATCTTGTGGTCATCTCTGAAATAACCAATATATTGTAATTAATAGCAAAAGACATCTCTGGTCAACTGCACATGCTGAGAGGTCATTATGAGAATTGTCAAACTGTATTTCTTGTTAGGTGATGACCTTCTTAGGTAATGACCTTGTTAGGTAATGACCTAACAGCATATGAAATTATTTCATCAGGAAATATATCTTTTCCTATTTCAGAATTCAGCTTTATTAAAAAATGATTTGTATAACATAAATTCTTCTGGTAGCATTTAAGAAATATAATTTTAGGTTTCTACTATCCCCTTTCAGATTACACACACACACACACACAAACACACGCACCCCTCTGCCCCGCTTTCTCCCTTCTCTTATACAGACTCCTTTCAATAAAAACTTGCTAACTAGAAATACAAACCACAAATGTCCAACTTGACTAGATCCTGAAGATGATCAAATTAAATAATCATACAAATAGGAGCATTGATTGTCTGCTTAATGAAAGATGAAATAACCATAATGGGAGAATGACAGGATTAACAAGAGGATTCTAAGAAACTGACATTTCCAACCATGATAACTAGAAGTGATGGAAAAGCTTTAAAGTTGATAAATCAAGAAGCAGCCATAAATATAAACATCACTACTTAAAAACATGAAGGCAAACAGCAACAAAACTAGCCTTTTGAGCTTGGAACTGGCGACTGCTAATGGTGGACCCAGGAGCTGCTGTTTTTTTTCATAAGCCTCTAAGTACAATTTGATTATTGTTTTAAAACCATTTACATGAATCATTACTTTAACAAAAGCAGCAATAAAAAAAAACCACAAGCTATTCAGAAAGAATTAAAATAGGGTTTATTTTTCCCTCTCATGTTATATGATAAATACTACAAAGAGTTATTTTGACAGCCTCTTATCTATACTAAAGCTTCATAAATATCAGAGACCCATAAATGCTGAGATAATATAAAAGTAATTTTTCCTGTGAACTACCTTTCAATGCATAATAAAAAAAGTTCACATTAAAATATAGTATATTCCGATTTTATCTTATCGGAAGGAAGGACTCCAGTTTTTCCTGTGCATGAATACCTTTTAAATCCTCTACTGTCATTTTGTTTGGGTGTTCACAGACAGAAGAGATCATGGTCAGTGGTCAGTCCACCATGTTGAGCGGCAGTCAAGTATCGCTTACGGATACCATCACAAAGAATTTCTAAGGAAAAAAAGGAGAAAAGACAGACATACCTCCCGGCGCACCATACTACATTCTGACTGGTCCAGAAGAATGTTCACCACAGTTCCCCAGAGCCCACCGGAAATGTTCTGACAACTGTTTGCTAAGGCCACACAGCCCGTTTCAAGGGTGGTCAGTGCTGATCCTAATCCCAGTGAAGTGAATCTCACCTGTTCAAATTAAAGAGAAAGTTGTTGAATCAAATAAGCCTTTTTCCTAACATGAATTCTTAGTTTTTCTGGTACATAAATATCACACTTTAAAAAAATCCATTGGTTTTATGATCCTAAATTATAAGAGACACCTATAGAAGACAGTGTCCTCCATTCCATGATTCAAGAAAGCAGTAATATAGGAAAAATTAAATATAAGCAAATTTCAAAGCAAAGTAAAACTGGGTATAAAAAGATGCATAAAAATTATAGTTTGCAAGCCTTTTTCTAAGGAAAGCATAGGGCACTTACATTTTATGAACACAATTTCAATTCTTCATTCTTAAAAAAGGTAGCTATTCTTTGTTCTACCTTTCTTAATTTTTTATTGTTTCTTCCAAATAAATGATTTTAACTTTCTTAAAACTTCTAAACAAAGAGGCAATTATCATTTTACAAGGCATTTCGTATTTTCCTCAAAAGTTATTCAAGAGAAAAACGTTCCCAAATAAGATTGATGTGGTATAATATGCTTGCTGTAGAACCACTGCTGTTCAAGCCACACGTTTTGGTAAATTTCTGAATTCGAATCCAAAAATATAGTTTCAATGACAGCTATAGAATTTTTTAAAAATGCAGTCATAAAATTGTCAAGTAGTAAGTCCAAGTTCAATGTGACTAAAAAATGTATTTCAAATATTTCTATAAATAAGATTTTATTGTAATAGCATATTTTACTTGAAAAAAGTAAACTGGCTAAAACTGGAAAGAAATAATACAAAATTTTGTATTGTAATGCAAATGCAATTTTTTGCATTTAATTTAATTTCATTATATGACACTTAAGTGTTGCATGTCTATAATTTCCAGATCCTTTTTATTTTTTTCAAAATTGCTAAGCTTCTCCAATAATTTTCCACTCTTCTGAAGGTAATAGATACTATAACCTTTTCTCTTTTATATTTTCAATCTATACTCGAACAAATTTGATTGAAAATGAGGGTGCTGTGTACTGAACTGTGTCTCCTCAAGACTCGTATGTTGAAGCCCTAATCCCCAACCTGTATTTGGAGACAGAGCTATTAGGTGATTACAGTTAAATGAGGTTATAAGGGTGGGACCCTACTGCACTAGGAATGGTGGCCTCAGGAAGGAGAGAAATCTTTCTCCATGTGCGTGCTCCAAGGAGAGGTCATATGAGCACACAGTGAGAAGGTGGCCCTCTGTAAATCAGGAAGAGTGCCCTACCAGAAACCAACCATGTTGACACTCTGATCTTGGACTTGCAGCCTCTATAACTGTAAGAAATAAATTTCTGTTTTTAAGCCACCCAGACAATGGTATTTTGTTATGGAAGCCTGAGCACACTAATACAGATTTTTGTACCAAGGAGTGGGGATGCTGCTGAAACAAATGCCTAAACACATGAAAGTGACTTTGGCACTGGGTAATGGGTTACAGGCTAGAAGAGTTTTGAGGTGGATGCCAGAAACGTAGACATGGGTAATTCTCATGAGATCTCAGACAAAAATGAGGAAAGTGTTATTTAAAAAAGGTTATTTGAGGAAAGGCAATCCTTGTTATAAAGTAGCAAGAAAACTGGTTAAGCTGTGGTCATGTTCTAGTGTTTTGTGAAAGGCAGAACTTGTGAGCAATGAAATTGGATATTTAGCTGAGAAGATTTCTAAGCAAAGTGTTGAAAAATTGGCTTGGTTCCTCCTGATTGCTTATAGCAAAATGCAAAGGGAGAGAGATGAATTAAAGAAGGAATTAAGAATGGGTAAGCAAAAAGAAACAAGAACAAGATTTGAAAAATTCTCAGCCTATCTGTGCAAAAAAAATGAGAAAGCTTGTTCTAAAGAGAACATGGAGGGTGTGGCTGAATACCCATTTAAGAAAAAGATCACGGGTGCAATTCATGGACTTAATCAGACATCTCAGCAGAAGCCAGGAATAGAGATGGGATTATATCAGCAAAGACATTGCCAGTTTGAACTAAAGAGGACAGAGAAAGATGCAGAGAATGAAGGAAAGCTGTTGGACTTCCTGGATTCTGTAAGCAAATATGTGCTACAGTGGTCCCTCCCTTATCCATGGGGAATACATTCCAAGACCCCCAGTAGATGCCTGAAACCACAGATAGTGCTGAGCCCTATAACTACTATGTTTTCTCCTACACATACATATCTATGGTAAAGTTTACAAATTAGGCACAGTAAGAGATTAACAATAACTAAAAATAAACTAGAACAATTACAACAATATGTTATAATACAAAATACATAAATGTGGTCTCTCTCTCAAAATATCTTATTGTATTGCACTCAGCCTTCTTGTATTGATGTGAGATGATACAATGATTACATAAAGAGATGAGGTGAGGTGAATGATGTAGGCATTGTGAGGGAGGGTTTGGCTACTACTGATCTTCAGGGTGCTTTTGGAAAATGAAACCTCTGATAAGGGAGGACTACTGTATTCTTCAATGAAAAGAATGACCCAAAAAATGATTCAGAGATCCCCAGGCTGCTAATCCCACCACAGGACTCAAGGGTGGCTTTTCCTCCTTGGTTTCAAAGACCTCTGATTTCTGTGGGCCAGAATGATGACCCTGCCCAGTGCTTCAGGAACATGGCTGCCCTTGAAGACAGCTTTATGGGCGGGGCTCTTGAAGACAGCCAAAGGGGTGGGGTCATCCCACAGAGCCATCTAGACAGATGCTGTCACTCTGGTGGGCCTGTAAGGCACACCATCAAGCCAAAGAACATTATCCTTGAGCATTAACATCTAATGAAATTTGCTTTGCTAGGCTTTGGACTTGCTTGGGACCCATCACTTCTTCCTTTTTTTCCTATTTCTCTCTTTTGGAATGGGAATGTCTATTCTACCATCATCTTTTGGAAGCATATAACTTGTATGGGTTCACAGGTTCACACCTGCAGAAGAATTCTGTTTCAGGAGGGTTTATATCTGGAGACTTACCCAGATGTGGTTTAAATGACATTTAGATGAGATTTTGGACTTTAGACTTTACAGTTGATTTGGGAATAAGTTAAGACTTTTGAGGTTGTTGAGGGAGAATAAAAGCATTTTGCATGGAAGAAGAACATGAAGTTCAGGGGCTCAGGGATGGAAAACTATGAACTGAATTGCGTCCCTCCAAAACTCATATGTTGAAGTCTTTATGCTCAAGTGACTACATTTGAAGACAGGGTTTCTAGGAGATAATTAAGGTTTAAAGAGATCATAAGGGAGTGGTCCTATCTCAATAAGACTGGTAACATTATAATAAAAAAAAAAAGACAAATCTGTCTCTATACCACCCCTCCCTCCCCTGCCCCACATGCATGGACCAAGGAAAGGCCACGTGAATACACAGCAAGAAGGCAGCCGTCTACAAGCCAGAAGAAGAGCCCTCACCAGAACTTGACTATGCCGGCACTCTGATCTTGGACTTTCAGCTTCCAAAACTTCTATGAGAAAAGAAGTGTCTGTTGTCTAAGCCACCCAGTCTGTGGTATTTTGTTATGGCAGCCTAAGCTAAAACAGGGCTTAAATAAAACATAAGGTAGAGTCACTACAATAATCCCATAATATAACTATGTATATGTATATATGTTTTGTGTCTTTTTTTTTTTTTTGAGATGGAGTCTTGCTCTGTTGCCCAGGCTGGAGTGCAGTGGCACAATCTCAGCTCACTGCAAGCTTCACCTCCCAAGTTCACAGCATTCTCCTGCTGCAGCCTCCCAAGTAGCTGGGACTACAGGTGCCTGCCACCACACCCAGCTAATTTTTTTATATTTTTAGTAGAGATGGGGTTTCACTGTGTTAGCCAGGATGGTCTCAATCTCCTGACCTCGTGATCTGCCCACCTCAGCCTCCCAACAAGCTGGGATTACAGGCATGAGCCACCGCACCTGGCCCCGTGTCATTTGTTTTTTAATCTAAACACAATACACTTGATTCTCCTTCACACTCACCTCTGGGTCCCGATCAACCCATAATGGAATCAACCAAGCCAATCCTTGTTGAGTAGGAATATGTTCTTCACTATGACTACCCAAAGGCAAGAACCAAAGTGACATCCACTCCTAGAGGGAAAAAAGGGAAACAGAAATATTTGAGGTAAGTTTCTAAAAATAAAATGCAGGAAGGTTAAAACAAGAATTTTTAATGAAAACAACGTGAAAATGTATTTTAGACTTGGTTTTAATCCATTATTCAGCCAAAAAAGGCAAACAAAAAAATTTGTTTCTCTTTAAAAAGTTAAACATAACAATTTTTTGACAGAAGCTATTTTTCCCATAATGTAGACAAAATGTAGTTTTCCAGTGTATGCACATTTGAATCAATTTCAAATAAGATTCAGATTTGTTAATATACAACTTCTAAGAAATATTCTAGTCAAAAATCATTCACGTTACCTAAAAAGAAAAGTCAAAAGAGACATTTTCATGTGGCAAGTTTATATGCTTGAAATGTGTTGGACACAGCACATTCCCTTTCAAGCAAATGTTCAGAAGATAGACAGCTTTAACGCGCTCACCAAGCTCCCAGCCTGGGCCATCATCTCATGGGATAAGTGAAGCAAGCAAAGAATTGTGCTCTTTGTAACACCTTTTCCCATGAAGGACATAGCATTTCCTCCACGCTCCACATAAAAAGAAGTAATGACCTGAAAAACAAATGTAAACAATTTCATGGTGGCTTTATTCTCAATGGTATATAAAGATAAATATATAACTGTCTACTGACTTGTATGAATTGAATCCTTACCTTATAAAGTTGTAATATTTTTAGTTTATATACTTAAAAATGAATAAGATGGTAAATTTTATGTTATGGGTATTTTACCATTGTTAAAAGAAAATATTCTTCAGCCTACATAACATAGCAAGACCCAGTCTACTTTAAAAAAGAAAAAAATTAGCCAGGCATGGCAGTGGACACCTGTAGTCCCAGCTACCGGGGAAGCTGAGGAGGGAGGATCCCTTGAGCCTGGGAGCTGGAGCTTGCGGTGAGCTATGATTGCACCACTGCACTTGGCCTAAGTTACAGAGTGAGATCCTGTAATTTTTCAAAACAAAAACAAAAATTCTTAGTTTCAATATTTTTCCTTTTAAAGTCTGTAAAAAAAAAAAAAAAGATGTGTGGTGCCCTCCTAGTACACAGTTGTAACTTAGAATATGCTTATAATATTTTTAAAAATGTTATAGCATCCTTTTAAAGAGTTTATGAATAATTTGTGCTGGTTTTCAAGGGGAATGCTTCCAGCTTTTGCTCATTCAGTATGATATTGGCTGTGGGTTTGTCACAAATAGGTCTTATTATTTTGAGATATGTCTCATCAATACCTAGTTTATTGAGAATTTTTAGCATGAAGAGATGTTGAATTTTATCGAAAGACTTTTCTGCATCTATTGAGATAATCATGTGGTTTTTCTCACTGGTTCTGTTTATGTGATGGATTACATTTATTGATTTGCATATGTTGAACGGGCCTTGCATCCCAGGGATGAAGCCAACTTGATCATGGTGGATAAGCTTTTTGATGTGCTGCTGGATTCGGTTTGCCAGTCTTTTATTGAGGATTTTGCATTGATGTTCCTCAGTGATAATGACCTGAAATTTTCTTTTTTTGTTGTGTCTCTGCCAGATTTTGGTATCAGGATGATGCTGGCCTCATAAAATGAGTTACGGAGGATTCCCTCTTTTCTATCATTTGGAATAGTTTCAGAAGGAATGGTACCAGATCCTCTTTGTACCTCTAGTAGAATTCGGCTATGAATCCCTCTGGTCCTTTTCTTGGTTGCTAGGCTATTAATTATTGCCTCAATTTCAGAGCCTGTTATTGGTCTATTCAGGAATTCAACTTCTTCCTGGTTTAGTCTTGGGAGGGTGTATGTGTCCAGGAATTTATCCATTTCTTCTAGATTTTCTAGTTTATTTGCGTAGAGGTGTTTATAACACTCTCTGACGGTAGTTTGGATTTCTGTGGGATCAGTGCTGATCTCCCTTTTATCATTTTTTATTGTGTCTATTTGATTCTTCTCTCTTTTCTTCTTTATTAGTCAGGCTAGTGGTCTATCTATTTTGTTGATCTTTTCCAAAACACCAGCTCCTGGATTCATTGATTTTTTTTGAAGGGTTTTTTGTGTCTCTTGTCGCCTTCAGTTCTGCTCTGATCTTAGTTATTTCTTGTCTTCTGCTAGCTTTTGAATTTGTTTGCCATTGCTTCTCTAGTTCTTCTAATTGTGATGTTAGGGTGTCGATTTTAGATCTTTCCCCCTTCCTCCTGTGGGCATTTGGTGAAACACTGCTTTAGCTGTGTCCCAGAGATTCTGGTATATTGTGTCTTTGTTCTCTTTGGTTTCAAAGAACTAATTTATTTCTGCCTTAATTGTGTTATTTACCCAGTAGTCATTCAGGAGCAGGTTGTTCAGTTTCCATGTAGTTGTGCGGTTTGTAGTTAGTTTCTCAATGCTGACTTCTAATTTGATTCCACTGTGGTCTGAGGGGCTGTTTGTTATGATTTCCATTCTTTTGAGTTTGCTGAGGAGTGTTTTACTTCCAATTATGTGGTCAATTTTAGAATAAGTGCGATGTGGTGCTGAGAAGAATGTATATTCTGTTGATTTGGGGTGGAGAGTTCTGTAGATGTCTATTAGGTCCGCTTGGTCCAGAGCTGAGTTCAACTCTTGAATATCCCTTTTTTTTTTTCTGAATATCCTTTTTAATTTTCAGTCTCGTTGATCTAATATTGACAGTGAGGTGTTAAAGTCTCCCACTGTTATTGTGTGGAAATCTAAGTCTCTTTGTAGGTCTCTAAGAACTTGCTTTACGAATCTGGGTGCTCCTGTATTGGGTGCATATATATTTAGGACAGTTAGCTCTTCTTGCTGCATTGATCCCTTTATCATTATGTAATGCCTTGTTTTTTTTTTTATCTTTGTTGGTTTAAAATCTGTTTTATCAGTGATGAAAATTGCAACTCCTGCTTTTTTTTTTCTTTCCATTTGCTTGGTAAATCATCCTCCATCCCTTTATTTCAAACTTATGTGTGTCTTGCATGTGAGATGGGTCTCCTGAATACAGCACACTGATAGGTCTTGCCTCTTTATCCAATTTGCCAGTCTGTGTCTTTTAATTGGGGCATTTAGCCTGTTTACATTTAAGATTAATATTGTTATGTGTGAATTGATCCTGTCATTACGATGTTAGCTGGTTATTTTGCCCATTAGTTGACGCAGTTTCTTCATAGCATCAATGGTCTTTATAATTTGGTATGCTTTTGTAGTGGTTGGTACTGGTTGTTCCTTTCCATATTTAGTGCTTTCTTCAGGAGCTCTTGTAAGGCAGGCCTGGTGGTGACAAAATCTCTCAGCATTTGCTTGTCTGTAAAGGATTTTCTCCTTCGCTTTTGAAGCTTAGTTTGGCTAGATATGAAATTCTGGGTTGAAAATTATTTTCTTTATTAATGAATATAGGCCCCCACTCTCTTCTGGCTTGCAGGGTGTCTGAGAGAGATCCGCTGGTAAGACTAACAGGGATGGGCTTCCCTTTGTGGGTAACCCGACCTCTCTGGCTGCCCTTAATATATTTTCCTTCATTTCAGCCTTGGTAAATCTGACGATTACATGTCTTGGGGTTGCTCTTCTCGGGGAGCATGTTTGTGGTGATCTCTGTATTTCCTGAATTGGAATGCTGGCCTGTCTTGATAGGTTGGGGAAGTTCTCCTAGGTAATATCCTGAAGAGTTTTTTCCAATTTGGTCCATTCTCCCTGTCACTTTCAGGTACATCAATCAAACGTAGGTTCACTCTTTTCACATAGTCCCATATTTCTTGGAGGCTTTGCTCATTCCCTTTTGTTTTTTTTTTTTCTCTAATCTTGTCTTCTTGCTTTATTTCATTAAGTTGATCTTCAATCTCTGATATCCTTTCTTCTGATTCATCGATTCGGCTATTGATACTCATGTATGTGTCACGAAGTTCTGGTGCTGTTTTTTTCAGCTCCATCAGGTCATTTATGTTCTTCTCTAAACTGGTTATTGTAGTTAGCAATTCCTCTACCCTTTATCCAAGGTTATTAGCTTCCTTGCATTGAGTTAGAACATGCTCCTTTAGCTTGGAGGAGTTTGTTATTACCTACCTTCTGAAGCCTACTTCTGTCAATTCACCAAACTCATTCTCTATCCAGTTTTGTTCCCTTGCTGTCAAGGAGTTGTGATCCTTTGGAGGAAAAGAGGCATTCTGGTTTTTGGAACTTTCCGCATTTTTGCACTGGGTTTTCCTCATCTTCATGGATTTATCTACCTTTGGTCTTTGATGTTGGTGACCTTTGGATGGGGTCTCTGAGTGGAAGTCCTTTTTGTTGGTGTTGATGCTATTCCTGTTTGTTAGTTTTCCTTCTAACAGTCAGGCCCCTCTGCTGCTGGTCTGCTGGAGTTGGCTGGAGGTCCACTCCAGACCCTGTTTGCCTGGGTATCACCAGCGGAGGCTGCAGAACAGCAAAGATTGCTGCCTGTTCCTTACTCTGGAAGCTTCGTCCCAGAGGGGCATTGCCAGATGCCAGCAGAGCTCTCCTATATGAGGTGTCTGTCAACCCCTGCTGGGAGGTGTCTCCCAGTCAGGAGGCACGGGGTTCAGGGACCAACTTAAGGAGGTAGTCTGTCCCTTAGCAGAGCTTGAGTGCTGTGCTGGGAGATCCACTGCTCTCTTCAGAGCCGGCAGGCAAGAATATTTAAGTTTGCTGAAGCTGTGCCCACAGCTGCCCCTTCCCCAAGGTCAAAAATTTAAAATTTTAAGTGACTACTTGAAAAATAAAATATCTAAATGATCAGATCCTTATTATCTTCCTCTAAGTCATCTTTGGAGATATCTAACATCTGTGATCTGTGTAATGATTTTTAATTCTAGCTTATAAATGACAAGCCAAGACCTTTGCCAGTATTTTCTTTCAACTTGATATTTTTGTCAGACCTCTGGAATTATACATCATGTATCTGATTTAAAGATTTAATTATCATAGTTTATTCACCTATCATAATTAATCATGCTTAGTTAAAAAGTCTCATTTCACAGCTACAAAAAGCAAATACTCATATTCAAATTTCACTGTGCAGAAACAAGCTAATCTTTTATTAGAAATATGGCTCCCTTCCAAAAAGGAAACAGCTTTAATTACTAAGAAACTATGAAGCAAATCATTTGGACCAACAATGACTTTGTTTCAATGTTCTCTCACATAAGCCTTACTTTATTCTTTAAAAGATGAATTTAGTCATTAGTAGTACAACAGGGATACCTGTTTATGTAATTAATAAACTAAGCAGATAGTCCCAAGATTAAATGTTACCCTGCTACAATTTTTAACAAAAGTGACGGATTCTTTCCTAATATTTGCCTGCCATTTAACATAAAGTCATAAAGATTTTCTGCTCGAGATGTTTTATGAAGCACAAAACGACCTCCTTTTTAAACCAAAGCAAGATTGGCTAATCAAATTTTTTATAACTGCGAAACATTACATAACAGGGACTGTGCTTTTTATGTATCCTTTAGCTAACAAACTGTTACTAAATTTTATTACCTCAAAGACAACTGAACACAGAATGGACTACTGCCTTTTTGCCTACACTTCTTACCTAAAACTAAGCCCTTTTGTTCTCCAATACATTAACAGTTCATTTCAATTTCTGGTATTTGAAACGTAGGTGTGATCTAAAGTCTTTGCACGTAATTTTAAAACAAAAGCACTTCTGATAGTTTCTAAACATAAATGAGGCAACACTTCACTTCTTCTTTAGTTACCGCTGTGGCAGGTCCTCACCTATTCCTGATTTCAAAGAGTAAAACTCATTTTCTAGAGGAGACTGACTCTGTAAAAGGTTGATAAATAGAGTATTTATAAATCACATGACAAAAAATGCTATAAACTAGGTACTTATAGGTTCAATTATATATTTTTTTTAATTTTTAAACTTTTAGGTTCACGGGTAACGTGAATGTTTGTTACACAAGTAAACTCATGAGAACAAAGTTACAACACATCAGAATCTCTGGGACACAGCTAAGGCAGTGTTAAGAGGGAAATTCGTAGCACTAAATGCCTCCATCAAAAAGTTAGAAAGATCTCAAATTAACAACTTAACATCACAACTGAAAGAATTAGAGCAGCAATAACAAATCAACCCCAAACTAGCAGAAGACAAGAAATAACCAAAATCAGAGCTGAACTGAAGGAAATCAAGATATGAAAAACCATTCGAAAGGTCACTAGATCCAGGAGTTGTTTTTTTGAAAAACTTAATGAGATAGATAGGCCACTAGCTAGACTAACTGAATTATATTTTAAATGCACTAGAGGAGCTGACTTTCTAAGAAATATTATCATTAACTCTTTAATATACCTGTTTTTTAAAATTCATACATTTCTAATAGACAGCAGAAAATAACTAATTAGTATACTGACAGTTGAACCTTTTTTAATATTTATAATTAAAAAATGAAGTTTATTTTATTTTTTTAATATACTTAAAGTTCTAGAGTACATGTGCACAACGTACAGGTTTGTTACATATGTATACATGTGCCATGTTGGTGTGCTGCACCTGTTAACTTGTCATTTATATTAGGTATATCTCCTGATGCTATCCCTCCACCCTCCTCCTACCCCATGACAGGCCCTGGTGTGTGATGTTCCCTACCCTGTTTCCAAGTTTTTCATTGTTCAATTCCCACTTATGAGCACGAACATGCAGTGTTCGGTTATCTGTCCTTGCGATAGTTTGCTGAGAACGATGGTTTCCAGCTTCATCCATGTCCCTACAAAGGACATGAACTCATCCTATTTTATGGCTGCATAGTATTACATGGTGTATATGTGCCAAATTTTCTTCACCCAGTCTATTGCTGATGGACATTTGGGCTAGTTCCATGAATATAGCAGCATGATTTATAATCCTTTGGGTATATACCCAGTAATGGAATGGCTGGGTAAAATGGTATTTCTAGTTCTAGATCCTTAAGGAATCACCACACTGTCTGCCACAATGGTTGAACTAGTTTACAGTTCCACCAACAGTGTAAAAATGTTCCTATTTCTCCACATCCTCTCCAGCACCTGTTGTTTCCTGACATTTTAATGTTGCCATTCTGACTGGTGTGAGATGGTTTCTCATTGTCGTTTTGATTTGCATTTCTCCGATGATGAGCATTCTTTCATGTGTCTGTTGGCTGCATAAATGTCTTCTTTTGAGAAGTGTCTGCTCATATCCTTCGCCCACTTTTTGATGGAGTTGTTTTTTTCTTGCAAAATTTCTTTAAGTTCTTTATAGATTCTGGATATTAGCCCTTTGTCAGATGCGTAGATTGCAAAAATTTTCTCCCATTCTGTAGGTTGCCTGTTCACTCTGATGGTAGTTTCTTTTGCTATGCAGAAGCTCTTTAGTTTAATTAGATCCCATTTGTCTATTTTGGCTTTTGTTGCCATTGCTTTTGGTATTTTAGTCATGAAGTCCTTGCCCATGCCTATGTCCTGAATGGTATTGCCTAGGTTTTCTTCTTGGGTTTTTATGGTTTTAGGTCTAACATTTAAGTCTTTAATCCATCTTGAATTAATTTTTGTGTAAGGTGTAAGGAAGGGATCCAGTTTCAGCTTTCTACATATGGCTAGCCAGTTTTCCCAGTACCATTTACTAAATACGGAATGCTTTCCCCATTTCTTCTTTTTGTCAGGTTTGTCAAAGATCAGATGGTTGTAGATGTGTGGTATTATTTCTGAGGGCTCTGTTCTGTTCCATTGGTCTATATCTCTGTTTTGGTACCAGTACCATGCTGTTTTGGTTACTGTAGCCTTGTAGTACAGTTTGAAGTCAGGTAGCGTGATGCCTCCAGCTTTGTTCTTTGGCTTAGGATTGTCTTGGCAATGCAGGCTCTTTTTTATTTCCATTTGAACTTTAAAGTAGTTTTTTCCAATTCTGTGAAGAAAGTCATTGGTAGCTTGATGAAGGTGGCATTGAATCTATAAATTACCTTGGCCAGTATGGCCATTTTCATGATATTGATTCTTCCTATCCACAAGCATGGAATGTTCTTCCATTTGTTTGTGTCCTCTTTTATTTCCTTGAGCAGTGGTTTGCAGTTCTCCTTGAAGACGTCCTTCACATCCCTTGTAAGTTGGATTCCTAGGTATTTTATTCTCTTTGAAGCAATTGTGAATGGGAGTTCACTCATGATTTAGCTGTTTGTCTGTTATTGGTGTATAGGAATGCTTGTGACTTCTGCACATTGATTTTTTGTATCCTGCGACTTTGCTGAAGTTGCTTATCAGCTTAAGGAGATTTTGGGCTGAGACGATGGGGTTTTCTAAATATACAATCATGTCATCTGCAAACAGGGACAATTTGACTTCCTCTTTTCCTAACTGAATACCCTTTCTTTCTTTCTCCTGCCTGATTACCCTGGCCAGAACTTCCAACACTGTTGAATAGGAGTGGTGAGAGAGGGCATCCCTGTCTTGTGCCAGTTTTCAAAGGGAATGCTTCCAGTTTTTGCCCATTCAGTATGATATTGGCTGTGGGTCTGTCATAAATAGCTCTTATTATTGCGAGATACGTCCCATCAATACCTAATTTACTGAGAGTTTTTAGCATGAAGGGCTGTTGAATTTTGTCAATGGCCTTTTCTGCATCTATTGAGATAATCATGTGGTTTTTGTCTTTGGTTCTGTTTATATGATGGGTTACGTTTATTGATCTGTGCATGTTGAACCAGCCTTGCATCCCAGGGATGAAGCCCACTTGATCATGGTGGATAAGCTTTTTCATGTGCTGCTGGATTCAGTTTGCCAGTATTTTATTGAGGATTTTTGCACTGATGTTCATCAGGGATATGGTCTAAAATTCTCTTTTTTTGTTGTCTCTCTGCCAGGCTTTGGTATCAGGATGATGCTGGCCTCATAAAATGAGTTAGGGAGGATTCCCTCTTTTTCTATTGACTGGAATAGTTTCAGAAGGAATGGTACTAGCTCCTCTTCGTACCTCTGGTAGAATTCAGCTGTGAATCCATCTGGTCCTGGACTTTTTTTGGTTGGTAGGCTAATAATTATTGCCTCAATTTCAGAGCCTGTTATTGATCTATTCAGAAATTGAACTTCTTCCTGGTTTAGTCTTCGGAGGGTGTATGTGTCCAGAAATTTATCCATTTCTTCTAGATTTTCTAGTTTATTTGCATAGAGGAGTTTATAGTATTGTCTGATAGTAGTTTGTATTTCTGTGGGATCGGTGTTGATATCCCCTTTATCATTTTTTATTGCATCTATTTGATTCTTCTCTCTTTTCTTCTTTATTAGTCTTGCTAGTGGTGTATCTATTTTGTTGATCTTTTCAAAAAACCAGCTCCTGGATTCACCAATTTTTTTTAAGGGTTTTTGTGTCTGTACCTCCTTCATTTCTGCTCTGTTCTTAGTTATTTCTTGCCTTCTGCTAGCTTTTGAATGTGTTTACTCTTGCTTTTCTACTTCTTTTAACTGTGATGTTAGGGTGTCAATTTTAGATCTTTCCTGCTTTCTCCTGTGGGCATTTAGTGCTATAAATTTCCCTTTACACACTGCTTTAAATGTGTCCCAGAAATTCTGGTATATTGTGTCTTTGTTCTCACTGGTTTCAAAGAGCATCTTTATTTCTGCCTTCATTTCGTTACGTACCCAGTAGTCATTCAGGAGCAGGTTGTTCAGTTTCCATGTAGTTGAGCTGTTCTGAGTGAGTTTCTTAATCCTGAGTTCCAGTTTGATTGCACTGTGGTTTGAGACACAGTTTATCATAACTTCTGTTCTTTTTCATTTGCTGAGGAGTGCTTTAATTCCAACTATGTGGTCAATTTTGGAATAAGTGTGATGTGGTGCTGAGAAGAATGTACATTCTGTTGATTTGGGGTGGAGAGTTCTGTAGATGCCTATTAGGTCCACTTGGTGCAGAGCTGAGTTCAAGTCCTGGATATCCTTGTTAACTTTCTGTCTCACTGATCTGTCTAATGTTGACAGTGGGGTGTTAAAGTCTCCCATTATTATTGTGTGGAGTCCAAGTCTCTTTGTAGGTCTCTAAGGACTTGCTTTATGAATCTGGGTGCTCCTGTACTGGGTGCATATATATTTAGGATAGTTAGCTCTTCTTCTTGAACTGATCCCTTTACCATTATGTAATGGCCTTGTCTCTTTAGATCTTTGTTGGTTTAAAGTCTGTTTTATCGGAGAGAGGATTGCAACCCCTGCCTTTTTTTGTTTTCCATTTGCTTGGTTGATCTTCCTCCATCCCTTTATTTTGAGCCTATGTATGTCTCTGCACGTGAGATGAGTCTCCTGAATATAGCACACTGATGGGTCTTGACTCTTTATCCAACTTCCCAGTCTGTATCTTTTAATTGGAGCATTTAGACCATTTACATTTAAGGTTAATATTGTTATGTGTGAATTCAATCCTGTCATCATGATGTTAGCTGGTTATTTTGCTCGTTAGTTGATACAGTTTCTTCCTAGCATCAATGGTCTTTACAAGTTGGCATGTTTTTGCAGTGGCTGGTACCGCTTGTTCCTTTCCATGTTTAGTGATTCCTTCAGGAGCTCTTGTAAGGCAGGCCTGATGGTGACAAATCTCTCAGCATTTGCTTGTCTGTAAAAGATTTTATTTCTCCTTCACTTATGAAACTTAGTTTGGCAGGATATGAAATTCTGGGTTGAAAATTCTTTTCTTTAAGAATGTTGAGCCTGGCTGCCCCGTCTGGGAAGTGAGGAGCGCCTCTGCCCGGGCGCCCCGTCTGGGAAGTGAGGAGCGCCTCTGCCCAGCTGTCCAGTCTGGGAAGTGGGGAGCGCCTCTGCCCAGGCGCCCCGTCTGGGAAGTGAGGAGCGCCTCTGCCCAGCTGTCCCGTCTGGGAAGTGAGGAGCGCCTCTGCCCGGCTGCCCCGTCTGGGATGTGAGGAGCGCCTCTGCCCAGCCGCCACCCCGTCTGGGAAGTGAGGATCGCCTCTGCCTGGCCGCCTCGTCTGGGAAGTGAGGAGCGCCTCTGCCTGGCCGCTGTGCAATCTTCCAAGCATGAAGTGACAGCCTGTCTGCAGGGGTACCCAACAGCTCTGAAGAGACAGCGACCATCGAGAACGGGCCATGATGACTATGGCAGTTTTGTCAAAAAGAAAAGGGGGAAATGTGGGGAAAAGAAAGAGAGATCAGATTGTTACTGTGTCTGTGTAGAAAGAAGTAGACATAGCAGACTCCATTTTGTTCTGTACTAAGAAAAATTTTTCTGCCTTGGGATGCTGTTAATCTATAACCTTACCCCCAACCACGTGCTCTCTGAAACATGTGCTGTGTCAACTCAGGGTTAAATGGATTAAGGGCGGTGCAAGATGTGCTTTGTTAAACAGATGCTTGAAGGCAGCATGCTGGTCAAGAGTCACCACCACTCCCTAATCTCAAGTACCCAGGGACACAGACACTGCGGAAGGCCACAGGGACCTCTGCCTAGGAAAACCAGAGACCTTTGTTCAAGTGTTTATCTGCTGACCTTCTCTCCACTATTATCCTATGACCCTGCCACATCCCCCTCTCCGAGAAACACCCAAGAATGATCAATAAATACTTCAAAAAAAAAAAAAAAAGCAAATCATAAAAAAAAAAGAATGTTGAATATTGGCCCCCACTCTCTTCTGGCTTATAGAGTTTCTGCCGAGAGATCCGCTGTTAGTCTGACGGGCTTCCCTTTGCGTGTAACGGGACCTTTCTCTCTGGCTGCCCTTAATATTTTTTCTGTCATTTCAACTTTGGTGAATCCGACAATTATGTGCCTTGGAGTTGCTCTTCTCAAGGAGTATCTTTGTGGCGTTCTCTGTATTTCCTGAATTTGAATGTTGGCCTGCCTTGCTAGGTTGGGGAAGTTCTCCTGGATAATATCCTGAAGAGCGTTTTCCAACTTGGTTCCATTCTCCCCGTCACTTTCAGGTACAACAATCAAATGTAGATTTGGTCTTTTCACATAGTCCCGTATTTCTTGGAGGCTTTGTTTGTTTCTTTTTATTCTTTTTTCTCTAAACTTCTCTTCTCGCTTCATTTCATTCATTTGATCTTCAATCACTGATACCCTTTCTTCCACTTGATCAAATCAGCTACTGAAGCTTGTGCATATGTCATGTAGTTCTTGTGCCATGATTTTCAGCTCCATCAGGTCATTTAAGGTCTTCTCTATACTGTTTATTCTAGTTAGCCATTCGTCTAATCTTTCTTCAAGGTTTTTAGCTTCTTTGTGATGGGTTCGAACATCCTCCTTTAGCTTGGAGAAGTTTGTTATTACCAATCTTCTGAAGCCTTCTTCTCTCAACTCGTCAAAGTCATTCTCCGTCCAGCTTTGTTCCGTTGCTGACAAGGAGCTGTGTTCCTCTGCAGGAGAAGAGGTGCTCTGATTTTTAGAATTTTCAGCTTTTCTGCTCTGTTTTTTCCCCATCTTTGTGGTTTTATCTATCTTTGGTCTTTGATGATGGTGACGTACAGATGGGGTTTTGGTGTGGATGTCCTTTCTGTTTGTTAGTTTTCCTTCTAACAGTCAGGACCCTCAGCTGCAGGTCTGCTGGAGTTTGCTGGAGGTCCACTCCAGACCCTGTTTGCCTGGGTATCACCAGCGGAGGCTGCAGAAGAGCAAATGTTACAGAACAGCAAATGTTGCTGCCTGATCCTTCCTCTGGAAGCTTCGTCTCAAGAGGGGCACCCGGCTGTATGAGGTGTCAGTTGGCCCCTACTGGGAAGTGTCTCCCAGTTAGGCTACTCGGGGGTTGGGGACCCACTTGAGGAGGCTGTCTGTCTGTTCTCAGATCTCAAACTCTGTAACGGGAGAACCAGTACTCTCTTCAAAGCTGTCAGACAGGGACGTTTAAGTCTACAGAGGTTTCTGCTGCCTTTTGTTCAGCTATGCCCTGCCCCCAGAAGTGGAGTCTACAGAGGCAGGCAGGCCTCCTTCAGCTGTGGTGGGTTCCACCCAGTTCGAGCTTCCCGGCCGCTTTGATTACCTACTCAAGCCTCAGCAATGGCGGACACCCCTCCCCCAGCCTCGCTGCCACCTTGCAGTTCGATCTCAGACTGCTGTGCTAGCAGTGAGCGAGGCTCTATAGGCGTGGGACCCTCCAAGCCAGGCGTGGGATATAATCTCCTAGTGTATTGTTTGCTAAGACCATTGGAAAAGCACAGTATTAGGGTGGAAGTGTCCCAATTTTCCAGGTACCATGTGTCACGGCTTCCCTTGGCTTGGAAAAGGAATTCCCTGACCTCTTACGCTTCCTGGGTGAGGCGATGCCCCGCCCTGCTTCTGCTCACAGTCCGTGGGCTGCACCCACTGTCCGACAAGCCCCAGTGAGATGAACCCGGTACCTCAGCTGGAAATGCAAAAATCACCCGTCTTCTGCGTCGCTCATGCTGGGAGCTGTAGACTAGAGCTGTTCCTATTTGGCCATCTTGGAACCTCTCCGAAATTTATTTTATTAAAGGGACTCCAGTGAAATTCATATTAAATTTTACAGTACAGCAAAGAGTATTTATGATCTTTAAACTTGTTTTAAAAACAATATGTGCTTTTGGAAAAAAGTTCTAGATAAGACCAGATAAAATATATATATACATTATTTAAATCATTATTTAGTAATAAAAATACAACAATAAAACATATTTTTATAATCATTTATGCTACATTTCCAAAATGTTTTTCAAACTGTATCTTAATTTAAAAACTATACACAATATATATGTATTATGTAGCACATATATTAATTAACTGATTCACTAACCACTATGTAAAAACCATGGTGCTAGGTCAATGCAGTAGCCATGGGATAGTAGAAATAGCCCAAAGATGATACTTATAAGCTCATAGTCTACTAGAGCAATGCAGAAAACAAAATAAAGGTCCAGTTACAGTGGCTCATGCCTGTAATAGCAGCACTTTGGTAGGCCAAAGTGGGAAGATCATTTGCGCCAAAGAATTCAAGACAAACCTGGGCAACATAGTGAGACCCATCTCTACAAAAAAATTAAACCAGCCAGGTGTAGTGGTGCACACCTGTGGCCCCAGCTACTTGGGAGGCTGAGGTGGGAAGATCACTTGGGCTCAGGAGGTTGAGGCTGTAGTGAGCTGTGATTGCACCACTGCATTCCAGCCTGAGCAACACGGTAAACCCTGTCTCAAAGAAATAAAGTAAAATAAATAAAAATATAATGTATTAAGTAATAGCCACATATATAAATTGTTACAGGTATATAACCTACAGGAAAGGCCAAACAGTATTAGGTAAGTATCCAACCTTGGAAGAATAAGAAAAGGTTTACTAAATGAAGGTAAATAAATAAGTTAGATCTTAAATTTTTTGTAGATATTGCCATCCCTAAAAGAGAGGAAACTATGTGAAAGAAGCAGTCTTTTTAAAGTGCATTTTTATTTTGGAAAAACAGCCAGATATAACTGAAAATTCAGAGATGTGGGAAAAAACTACAATGGAGGCAAATCTCTAAATGCAAAATATTGAGTCTTATGCTCTTGAAAAAAAAAGAGGTTTGGATTGAAAAATTTATGTTTCTGAAAAATAATCTGGCAATAGGTAGAGATTATATGATGTCAAGAAGTCACCCACAGCATGAAAAAAAAACAGGAGGTTATAGATACAATTTTATCAGAAAATTCCATGTCTAGAATGTCTATTGCTATCACTATCAATTTACTTATCTTTCAAAATCTAACTCTACAGTGCTTCCTACAAGAATCATTCTTGAGGTCCGAACACAGTTAGCAATCAAAACAAGGCTGACAGATTTGTCCAGTAAGAAAACAATGAGTAATTTTTGGATTCAGACAGTTTATTACCTACATAAACAGCAAAAGCAAGAATAGACAAAGGTGCCAGCTACTAGTATCCCTTGCACAGGATGACATTGAAACAAAGGGGCCAGATGACTATAACAAAGATGTAGGACACTCTGTTGCGGAGAAGCCCATGCCGTGCTGCAGTAAAGCAGTTTTATAAGCTGTAGCTATGCCCCAAGGAGAGCAAGGCAGAAAGCCCAGTGCTCGTCGGAACCTAGGAACCAATAAGAAACGGGCTCCTAACTGACTTCCTAATAGACTGTGAAGTAAGTGAGAATCAATCTTGCATAGTCAGCTGCTCATAAGCCTTTCATATTCTCATGTTCCAGAAGGATCACAGGAAATTCTGCCAAGATTTAGATTGGCTGTAGTTAAGCCTTGTCTATGAAGCCCAAGGGCAGATATGCAAAATTGTCAGGCCACTGTGATGAGGCTGTTCTCATAGAACTATGTACAACCATATCATTGTCGTATTTATTATATCACAGTAGAAATATTTTGACCTAAATTGATGATAAAAACATGGCATAAGGCCATGCTTAGAGGATTAGAGCTAAAAACACACATTTGAGAAAGACTTTTAAAAAAATCAATGACGTAAGCCTCTACCTTAAAATGTTAGAAAAAAGAGCTGTAAACTAAACTAAAAGTAGAAGGAGATAATAAATATTGGCAGAAATAAAACAGGAGAAAAAAGTTAAAGAGAGGCTCAACAAAGCCAAAGGTTCATTCTATTAGAAAGATAAACCAAGAAAAATTGAGAAAGGAATAATTAATGTCTGCAATGAAAGGGGACCTCACTACAGATTCAGCAGACATTAAAAGTGTAAGATGATTTGATGAATACCTTCACAGTAACAAATTTTAAAAATTAGATAAAAAGTTTTTAAGTTCTACAAAAACATAACTTACTAAGGCTGACACACATAAAAAGAAACTCTGAACGATTTTAGATCTATTTAAAAAGTCATTTCAGGCCAGGCGCAGTGGCTCACACCCGTAATCCCAGCACTTTGGGAGGCCAAGACGGGTGTGGATCACCTGAGATCAGGAGTTCGACACCAGCCTGGCCAACCTGGTGAAACCCTGTCTCTACTAAAAAGACAAAAATTAGCTGTGCGTGGTGGCAGGCGCCTGTAATCCCAGCTACTTGGGAGGCTGAGGCAGGAGAATCACTTGAACCCGGGAGGCAGAGGTTGCAGTGAGCTGAGATCATGCCATTGCACTCCAGCCTGGGCAACAGAGCAAGACTCTGTCTCAAAAAAAAAAAAAGTCATTTCATTTCACAATTTACAATCTTCCCAAAAAGAAAACTGCAAACCAAGATTGTTTCACGATCAAATTCTACCTAACATTAGAGAACAAAATCACACCAATGCAAATCAGCTATTCCAAAAAAGAAAGTTATATAAAGGAAAAGATTTAAAATGGTTGAAAAAGTCACGTTCTTACAATCTCACATTCTCCCATTTTAGTCATAAGAACGGAATGATTTTGATTATTAAAAACCTGACAAATTCTTTAAGAGAAAAAAGATGCAAAATTCGAAAAACTTTTTTACATGAGGAAATAGAATAATTCTAAAAACTTCAGAATTCTAAAAAATTGAGAAACGAAATCCACTAACATATAAAAAGAGTAATACATCACAACCTAACTGAAATGTTTCGAGAAATGCAAGGTTGTTTAACATTTTAAAATCAATCAGTAATGGAATATAAGGGAAAAATCATGTGATTATCTTAAAAGATACAGAAAAAAGCAATATACAATTATGAATTAAAAAACAAAGCTCCTAGCAAAACAGGACAAAAGAAAACTTCCTTAACTTGATCTTTCTTAATTGACAAAAAAAAACTATAAACAGCATACTGAAGGGTGAAAAATTAAAGGCTTTTGTTTTGATATTGGAAATAAGAATTGCCTGATACATGGTCAACATATAAAAATTGGCTATATTTACATATTTCAATAACAGAAGATAAAATTTCAAAAAAGATGCTCATTTTCACCAAAAGATAAGAATGTTCATAGCAGTAGCATCTAGAACTGCACAAACTGGAAGAAAAAGAAAAAACAAATATCCTTTAACATTGTACAGCCTGAGTATGCCGTATACAAAATGCTTGGGACCAGAAGTGTTTGAATTTTGGAGTTGTTTGGATTTTGAAATACCTGTATCATATACTTACTGGTTGAGCATTCCTAATCCAAAAATCCAAAATCTGAAATGCTCTAGCGAACACTTCCTTTGAGCATCAAAAGTTTCCATTTATTTCTTTTGAAAATGAGGGTATTTATAAAAGTGACCTTCCTTACTTAACTATTAATAAAAATCACTAAAACATTTCACTATTATGACTTATATAAATAATGTATAATATTCTACATTGAATAGAGTAACGTATAATGCACTTGTGGCCTGGCATAAAGTAAAAGCAACTAATAGTAAATAACTACCATATGCTATTTTTACTTACCTCAAGGAGACCTGACAAGTACTTCACACAGATATCTAGAGGCTTTGTGAGAGGAGAGTGTGAGCTCCATCCCGGAAACGCAGTGAGGTTAGCCATCCCTCGTAAGGTCCGCTCAAGGGACGGCAGGCCATAGAAATGAGGCGCATCCGTCACTTTCAGACACTGGAGCAGTTTCAGAGCCAGCTGCGTTTGAAAAACGTAAAGAAGTTCCGAGCATTTCCTATGTATGCAAAAGAGGGAAAATCAACCACCAAGAAAGTATAATGGGCTTAATGGGCTATCTTACTGGCTATAAAAGGTTACTTAAACTCATAGTAATAGAAAAAAATGAACCAGACAAAATGGCAGAAAATAGTCTCTATCAAAATGAGACTTTTCAAGGAAAGCATAAAATACCAACTAGAGAATGTCATATAAAATACAAGTAACGATTACACTGGGCCAGGGGCTGTGGCTCACCCCTATAATCCCAGTGCCTTGGGAGCCTGAGGTGGGAGGATTGCTTGCGGCCAGCTTGAGCAACACAACACAGTGAGACCTCATTTCTAAAAAAATGAAATAAAATAAAATTAAAGTAAAAAAAATTAGCCAGGTGTGGTGGTGCACACCTATAGTCCCAGCTACTCAGGAAGCTGAGGCAGGAGGATCTCTTAAGCCCTGGAGCTTGAGGTTACAGTGAACTAAGAATGTGTCACTGCACTCCAGCCGGGGTGACATAGTGAGACCCCCATCCCTTTTTAAAAAAAAAAAAAAAAAGGTTGGGGGGATTGCTGGCAAGATGGTCAAATAGGAATAGCTCCAGTCTGCAGCTCCCGGCAAGATCGACGCAGAAGGCGGGTGATTTCTGCATTTCCAACTAAGGTACCCGGTTCATCTCACTGGGACTGGTTGGACAGTGGGTGCAGGGCACAGAGGGCAAGCTGAAGCAGGGTGGAGCATCGCCTCACCTGGGAAGCGCAAGGGGTCGGGGAATTTTCTCCACCACCCAAGGGAAGCCGTGACAGACTGAGCCTGAGGAACTCCTGCACAGATACTGCGCTTGTCCCACGGTTTTCGCAACCTACAAACCAGGAGATTCCCTCGGTTGCCTACCCTACCAGAGCCCTAGGTTTCAAGCACAAAACTGGGCGGCCATTTGGGCAGACACCAAACAAGCTGCAGTAGTTCTTTTTTCCCATACCCCAGTGGCGCCTGGAACAGCAGCGAGACAGAAGTGTTCACTCCGCTGGAAAGGGGTGCTGAAGCCAGGGAGCCAAGTGGTCTGGCTCAGCAGGTCCCACTCCCACGGAGCCCAGCAAACTAAGATTCACTGGCTTGAAATTCTCGTTGCCAGCACAGCAGCAGTCTGAGATTGACCTGGGACGCTAGAGCTTGGTGAGGGGACGGGCGTCCGCCATTGCCGAGGCTTGAGTAGGCAGTTTTACACTCACAGTGTAAACTAAGCCACTGGGAAGTTCGAACTGGGCAGAGCCCACTGCAGCTCAACAAGGCTGCCATGGCCAGATTGCCAGATTTCCCTTGTCTGGGCAGGGCATCTCTGAAAAAGTGGCAGCAACCCCAGACAGGGACTTATAGATAAAACCCCCATCTCCCTGGGACAGAGCACCTGGAGAAAGGGGAGGCTGTGGGCGCAACTTCATCAGATTTAAACATCCCTGCCTGACGACTCTGAAGAGAGCAGTGGACCTCCCAGCACACCGATCAAGCTCTGCTAAGGGTCAGACTGCCTCCTCAAGTGGGTCCCTGACCCCCGTGTATCCTGACGGGGAGACACCTCCTAGTAGGGGCCAACCGACACTTGATACAGAAGAGCTCTGGCTGGCATCTGGCAGGTGCCCCTCTGGAACGAAGCTTCCAGAGGAAAGATCAGGCAGCAATCTTTGCTGTTCTGCAGCCTCCGCTGGCGATACCTAGGCAAACAGGGTCGAGAGTGGACCTCTAGCAAACTCCAGCAGACCGGCAGCACATGGGCCTGTCAGAAGGAAAACTAACAAACAGAAAGGAACAGCACGTCCACTCAAAGATCCCAACCGAAGGTCACCAAGAAAGGATATCAGTGATAGAAGATCAAATTAATGAAATAAAATGTGAAGACAAGATTAGAGAAAAAAGAATAAAAAGGAACAAACAAAGGCTCCAAGAAATATGGGACTATGTGAAAAGACCAAATCTATGTTCGATTGGTGTACCTGAAAGTGACAGAGAGAATGGAACCAACTTGGAAAACACTCTGCAGGATATTATCCAGAAGAACTTCCCCAATCTAGCAAGACAGGCCAACATTCCAATTCAGGAAATACAGAGACCACCACAAAGATACTCCTCAAGAATGCATAATCATCAAGACACATAATCATCAGATTTACCAAAGATTAAATGAAGGAAAAAATGTTAAGGGCAGCCAGAGAGAAAGATCAGGTTACCCACAAAGGGAAGCCCATCAGACTAACAGCAGATCTCTCAGCAGAAACCTACAAGCCAGAAGAGAGTGGGGGCCAATATTCAACCTTTCTAAAGAAAACAATTTTCAACCCAGAATTTCATATCCAGCCAAACTAAGCTTCATAAGCAAAGGAGAAATAAAATCTTTTACAGACAAGCAAATGCTGAGAGATTTTGTCACCACCAGGCCTGCCTTACAAGAGCTCTTGAAGGAAGCACTAAATATGGAAAGGAAAAACCGGTACCAGCCACTGCAAAAGCATACCAAATTGTAAAGAACATCGACGCTATGAAGAAACTGCATCAACTAATGGGCAAAACAACCAGCTAGCATCATAATGACAGGATCAAATTCACACATAACAATATTAACCTTAAATGTAAACGGGCTAAATGCCACAATTAAAAGACACAGACTGGCAAATTGGATAAAGAGTCAAGACCTATCAGTGTGCTATATTCAGGAGACCCATCTCACATGCAAAAAACACACATGGGCTCAAAATAAAGGGATGGAGGATGATTTATCAAGCAAATGGAAAGCAAAAAAAAAAAAAAAAAAGCAAGAGCTACCATCCTTATCTCTGATACAAAAGACTTAAAACCAACAAAGATCAAAAGAGAAAAAGAAGGGCACTACATAATGATAAAGGGATCAATACAGCAAGAAGAGCTAACTATCCTAAATATATATGCACCCAATACAGGAGCACCCAGATTCATAAAGCAAGTTCTTAGAGACCTACAAAGAGACTTAGACTACCACACAATAACAGTGGGAGATTTTAACACCCCACTACCAATATTAGACAGATCAACAAGACAGAAAATTAACAAGGATATTCAGGACTTGAACTCAGCTCTTGACCAAGCGGACCTAATAGGCATCTACAGAACTCTTCACCCCAAATCAACAGAATATACATTCTTCTTAGCACTTCATCGCACTTATTCTAAAATTGACCACATAATTGGAAGTAAAACACTCCTCAGCAAATGCAAAAGAACGCAAATCATAACAAACAGTCTTTCAAACCACAGTGCAATCAAACTGGAACTCAGGATTAAGAAACTCACTCCAAACCGCACAACTATATGGAAACCGAACAACCTGCTCCTAAATGACTACTGAGCAAATAACGAAATGAAGGCAGAAATAAAGATGTTCTTTGAAATCAATGAGAACGAAGACACAATGTACCAGAATCTCTGGGACATATTTAAAGCAAAAAACAAAACAAAACAAAAAAGGAAAATTTCAGGCCAATATCCCTGATGCACACTGATACTAAATCCTCAAAGATGTTGAATAGGTATTTCTCCGAAGAAGATACACAAATAGCCATAAGAACATGAGAAGATGCTCAAAATTATTTTTCATTGGGGAAATGCAAATAAAAACCAAAATGATACCAGTCTACACCCATTAGGATGCTATAATAACAGGTGTTGGTGAGGATATGAAGAAAATGAAACACTCATACATTGCTGGTGGGAATGTAAAATGGTATAGCTGCTGTGGAAAACAGCTTGGCATTTCCTTGAAAAGTCAAACATAGAGTTACCATTACAGTTACCATATGAACCAACAATTCCACTCCTAATTATATACTCAAGAGAACTGAAACACATGTCCACACAAAAATCTGTATATGAGTGTTTACAGCAACACTATTCATAATAGCCAAAAGGTAGAAACAGATCAAATGTCCACCAATGAATGAATGGATAAACAAAACATGGCATATCTATAAATAGAATATTATTCAGTCATAGAAAGAAGTAGTGATATTTGCTACAGTATGCAAGGAGCTTGGAAACATGATGCTAAGTGAAGAAGCTAGACGCTAAAGGTCACATTATTGTTTGATTTCATTTATGTGATATATCCAGAATAGGCAAATCCACAGACATAGAAAGAAGACTAGTGGCTGCCAGGGCCCAGAGGAATGTGTGAATAGGGAGAGACTTTTTCATGGATACAAGGCTTCTCTTGGGGTGATGATAAAGTTCTGGAATTAGGTAGTGGTGACAGTTGCAAACATTGCGGATATACTAAAACCATTCAAATGTACATTTTAAAATGGTTAAAATAGTGACTTTCATCTTAATATTTTTATTTTTAAAAAACAGAATTCATAACTAGAGATATGTATTTGAAAGTCATCAGTGTAAAGATAATCATAAAGTCATAGGCATAGGTATGACTGCTCAAGTAGATTTGTAGATAATTAAGAGAGAACCAGGAATTAAACCCTAGAGAACAAAACTGTGTGTGTGCATATGTGAGTGCATGTGTGTAGTGAAAGAGACCAAGCAGGTACAATCAGGCTGTAACAGATTAAACTGAAACAAAAACAAACAGAACACTATAACTGATTATTATTTAAGTATTTGAAAGAAGTATTTCTTAATTTGAAAGAAGTACAAAGTAAAACTTTGAAAATCAAAGAAAACTTGGGTTCTATATAAATGCACCTAAACCTGCAATATTACAAATGGTACCTGTCAGTAACTTCCATGAAATTGAGCAGCAAGGTATCAAAAAGAGCAATCAGTTCTTTCTGAAGTTGTTGCCTGACAGCAGTCCGGATATCATCTGTTTCTTCTCGTGCCTGTGACTCTGTCAGAACCAAGAGGTCTAACAGTGGGTTTGCACTCTAAAAAATGAAATTTGTAAAAAATGTATTTACTAATTGAACTATATATTGTTTCCTATAAAGGGTTTGGTTGCTAAGCAAGTTCTAGTAAGAGCTATATTACCTAACTAGTAGGTGTGGGCCTTTACTGCATTAGTAGAGATGTTCTAAATTCAAAAGATGTTTAATATATTCTCAACAAAAGAAAAACATATTTATCATATAAAATAGAAAAAAAGGACGAGAAAAACAAAACCACACATAATCATGCCACACAGAAATTGCCACTATTATATATTGATATATAACTCTCCTTTTTGTTTCTGAGAATATAAACAGAATTAAAACAGTACATTTTTCACAAACCCGTATCAAGTGAAAAAAATCACTACTGTAACCATTTTTTCCTACTTCCCGTTATTAACAATATTTCTGCAAAAACATTAGTTTAATATCTGATTGTTTTTCAACAATAAGGATTTACCACACTAACTCCTGGATAATCAATGATGCATAATTTCACTAAGCTGCAACACACAGTGTACTCAAGTTGGATTTTATCTTATGTATGAATTCTGCAATAAAATTACTAAATCAAAATATTATAGTAGTTTTAATTTTTTGATATATATTGCCAAATTGTCCCTGTAAAAAATGTACCAATACATACAATTACACAGGACATGAAAAGACCCACAGCACCCAAGCCAGTGCTATGTGGATTATTACTGCAATAATCTTTGCCACCTTGATAGGCTAGTAAACAAATACTAGTTCTTTCTAAAGTTTTTCCTCTTTTCCCAACTAAAAAAAAAATAGATAAAGGAATATAAGAGGATTATTTCTAATAATATTGACAAAAGAAAACGTTACATTAATCAGAAGCATTAATAGATATATGGGATATTTATTAATCATCTATGATGCCTCAGGCACTGTGCTAAAAAAAAAAGATAGTAAGATTTCATTTGACTTTTTGAATAAACTAGAAGATTTGCATTTTCATTCCTGTTTTACAGATGGGAACATAGATTTATAAAGAGGTTAAATAATTGTCTAAGTCTTAGACAGACAAGGGCAGAGCAAGAAGCATCTTACTCCAAAGCTAGTTAATATTCCATCCTCAGCACAGTGTCACATCACTAGTGCATGTAAAAACATACAAAAAGAGATACAATCAAAATGTAACTATTGTTCTTATAAAATCCTTCACCTAAAAGAGCTCAACTCAAAATTAACTGCATTCTCTTTAGGGAAAAGAAATGAAAATATGTAAAGAAACCTCTAAATTGCTTATAGTATATAGAGATATATACAATTATAAATAATATAACTGAGAGCTTTTGGAAACTAGTAGTGACATTTTGCTCTTATTTTACAGTATTTTAACATCTAAATAGTTTTTTTCCCAACTTTTTCTTTTATCTTAAGCAATATATGTCTTTGGATAAATTAAGATTGAATAAGACATAACTGCAACTTTTATGTTTCATACATGAATAAAAGAATCGAAATACACATTTAGTAAATCATAAAAATAAATAAATTTTCTATAATGTTCTGAGCCCTAAATATCCAAAAGCTGACTCACATTCACGTGCCTTCTGACTCCCAAAACTACTGACAAAATGAACAAACTGTTTATACCAAGACGCAAACTCCATCTTGTAAAACAATTTTATTATTAGGAATTATTAATTCTGATATGCTGATAAAAATTAAGTAGAAGCTACTATTAATACATGAATATACTGAAACAGTATGTGTATACCTAAAAATTAAGATTCTCCCAAAGAATCTCATCCTATTAATAACTTGCTTCCACTTGAAGATTACTGAAGTTTTTTTTTCTCTTTTCACCTTTGATTTACATGTTAACACTGAAATTCAGTGAACCTCAGCAATACCACTTGTAAAATATAGGGTGAATTACCATTTCTCAAGTACAATAGAGTAGAATAAGATGTCTCTACTGATGCCTACAGATGTCAAGTGCTTAATCATATCTGAAGTTTTTGTCTTTAGACGTTAGGATTCAATCCTAATTTTAAACCAACTACTTGGGCCATTATTTTGTCACTGTTGACCTCTAAAAGGCAACCATTTCTATAATGATGGCTCATTTTGTTTACACACACAGTTACCACTCATCATATCCAACTTTACATCCATCAGCAAGCTATGCCAAAAGTAACTGCAAGACCCTCAATAATGTCTGAGTGCACATTGAGCCCGTTACGGGAAAGCCAGCCAAGGAAAATATATATGCTGTGTAGTTCTGCTGAGCTTCACCAAAAGAAGAAAAAAACTAACAGCCCCACATTTGTGAACTTCCATCAAAAAAATGCATTCCAAAAAGAAAGGTATTCAAATTCAGCACTTCTAGGTTACTATAAACAAAATATCATATTAAAAACAGATTAGAGGTGCAATAAACTCCTAAATTGCCTAAGAATTACAATATGTTTGTAATAAGTGAATGTCTTGATAAAACACATGGAAAAAAATTTCACAAGAGAAAGTTCCTAAATCTTCCCTCGGGAAGTTAGCTGATTTTTCTTTTCACTTCCTCTTAGCATTCTTCTGACTAATCAGGCGTTCATATCTGCCTAATTTTGTTTTTGCAACCACAACTTTTGTATATCTTTTCATGTATGTCCATACATTCAAAGCAATTTACTTGGAAATGTTATTTTACTGAGCTTCTTAAATCATTTCTCACTTATTTTACTCACTTCAAAGGATAAACTTTAAAAGGTACTTGATTTTCTATTTCCAGGTTCCCTTTATCCTAAACATTGGTAGTTATATAACATATATTAATTTATCTTGTAGCATAATATTTAGGGAGTAAACCCAACTGATAGTGAACACTTAAGTTCACTTTTGTGCACTCTTAAAAGTAGTATTATTTATAACACTTGTGGTGATAATATATGAGATAAAGTAGAAGCTTTCCGAAGAAAGGTTTAATACCATACAAAACCAAATAAGTAAATGTAACTGTACCAAAAATCCTTTTCAAAAACTGCATTAAAATTATAGTACAATCATCTAGAGTCTTGTAGGAATTTAATTTTAATTTCATAACTATGAATAAATTATAAAATATACATAAACCTTATGACATACTACAAAATTAACAGTACATGTATGGTGTTACAAGTCTTAACAAATATAACAAGACTGAAATCATATCTAATATCATTTCTGACCATAGTGATAAAAAACTAGAAGTCACCAAAAGAAGGAATTCTGGAGTATTCACATATACATAAAAATTAAGCAACATGCTCCTGAACAATCAGTGGGTCAAAGAAAAAGCTAAAAGGGAAATTTTAAAATATCATGAGACAAACAAAAATGGACACCAAACCAACCAAAACTTATGGGATACAGCAAAAGCAGGTCTAAGAAGGACATACATAACAATAAACATCTATGTCAAAAAGAAAGATATCAAGTAAACAACCTCAAGGAACTAGAAAAAGAAGCATAAATGAAGCCAAAACTTAGTAAAAAGAAAACAATGAAGATAAGGGCAGATACAAATGAAATAGAAACTGGAAAAACAATAGAAAACAGTAACAGAATCAAGAATTGAGATTTTGAAAAGATGAACAAAATTGACAAACCTTTAGCTAGACTAATAAAAAAAGAAGACAAAATGAGAAACGAAAAGGGAAGACATTACAACAGATACCACAGAAACACAAGGAATCGTAAGAGACTATTATGAACAATTTCATGTCAACAAATTGGACAACCAAGTGGAAAAAATTCTAGACACATAGAGCTACCAAGATGGAATCATGAAGAAACAGAAAATCTGAACAGACCAATAATAAGGAGATTAAATCAGTAATGCAAAGTCTTTCACCAAAAAAAAGCCCAAGACCTGATTGATGGCTTCACTGCTGAATTCCACCAAACATTTAAAGAATTAATACTAATCTCTGTACTCCTAAAACCAAATGAAGAAGGAATACTTCCAAACTCACTTTATGACGGCAGCATTACACTGATACCAAAGCCAGACGTGGGAACTACAAGAAAAGAAAATTACAGGCTAATATCCCTGATAAACACAGATATAAAAAATCCTTTACCAAATACTGGCAAACTGAAACCAAGAGCACAATAAAAAGATCACTCACTATAATCAAGTGGAATTCATTCCAGGGATGCAAGGATGGTTCAACATACACAAATGCGTAAATGTGATACACCAAATTAACAGAATTAAGAACAAAAACCACATGATTATACCAACAGATGCAGAAAAAGCATTTGACAAAATTCAACATCCTTTCATAATAAAAACTCTCAATAAATTAAGTAGAAAAGGAATCCCAACACAATAAAGGCCATATATGAAAAACCCACAGCTAACATCATTCTCAATGGTGAAAAGTTTAAAGCTTTTTCTCTAAGATCAGGAACAAGACAAGGATGTCTACTCTCACCATGTCTATTCAATATGGTACTGGAAATCCTAGCCAGAGCAATTAGTATATAGAAAGAAATAAAAGGCATCCACATTAGAAAAAAGGCAAGTTAAGCTGTCCCTCTATGCTGATGATATAATCTTAAATCTAGAAAAACCTAGACTCCACCAAAAAACTTTGATCTTAAAAATGAATTCAATAAAGTTGCAGGATACAAAATCAACTTATAAAAAATCAGTAGCATTTCTATACAGTAACCGCGCCCCCCCAAAAAAAAACCTCATTTAAAATAGCTACCAAAAAAAATTAAGATATTTAGGAATAAATTTAATCAAAAGGTGAAAGATCTCTACACTAATGTCCAAGTTGCAGGTACCAGAATGAAATCACGCTCCAAGGAAAGGGGAGGGGAGGGAAGAGGAAAATGGAAGGAAAAAGCAAAGGAGAAAGGGAAGGGAGAAGGGAAGGGAGGAAAAGAAAGGACAGGAAAGAAGAAATGAAAGGAGACTAACAACCCAATTGTGGCGGAGAACCAGCAAGGACATCAAGATACAATTCATGAAAAGACCGAATATGAAAAAATCTCCATCTAATTCAAAATAAGTTATCTATTTATAAAACCACAAAAACCTCAGCACACACGCACCTCTACAATTTGACTCAGCAATTACAATTCTAGAAATTCAGTCTATAAATATACTTGCATATATAAGTAACCTTGAAAGTAATACATGGTTTCCATTTTTGTTAAATCTTAACTAGTGATAAAATTAAGGTTTTGTGTGCTTCTTGTAATTAACTACATAGCTTATTACTGAGTTAATAAATGTTTATTGAGAGCTCACTATGTGCAAGGCACTATAATAAATGCTGGGTATGCAATAATGAACAAAACAGTCCCTACCTTCACCAATCTACAATAAAGGAAAAGATAATTACTATGGTTTGAACATTCCCTCCAAAATTCATGTTGAAATTTAATCCCCAAAGTAACAGTATTGAGAGGTGGGGCCTTTGGAGGTGACTGGATCATGAAGGCCCTACCCTCATGAATAGACTAATCCATTCATGGATAGTGGATTAATGGGTTATCATGGAAGGGGAACTGATGGCTTTGTAAGAAGAGAAAAACCTGAGATAGCACATCAGCATGCTCAGCCCCCTCACCACATATACCCTGCATCACCTCGGGACTCTTCAGAGAGTCCCCACTGCAAGAAGGCTCTCACCAGATATGCCCTCTTAAACCTGGACTTCCTGCACCCCATAACTGTAAGAAATAAATTTTGTTTTTTATAAATTACCCAGCTTCTGATATTATGTTAAAAACAACAGAAAACAGCCTAAGACGATAATAAACCTCTAAATAAGTTTTATATACACACAAACATTCATATCAGTTAGCATTTCTGACAACACAGTAATTCATATTTTTACATAAAATTATCTCTAAGTTTCGCAAATGTGTTAATATATAATGAAACATATTTGCCTTATAAGATCCACTATGTCCTATATCAGTTTAGGCCCTCTTTTCTAGTTTTGTTTTGTTTTTCTTCTTATTTGTGTAAAGCTTTATCTTAGCTAAGTTGAGTAAATTCATACGGTATTTGCAAATAAATACATAAAGAGACAGATAGACCAACAACAGGGACCTGGCTTCTTGGGTTCTTCACACGCTTCTTAGAATAAGAAATCTGAATAGCCAAAATTTTTAGAATAGCTATTTAGAAAAATTTTAGAGCCAGGCACGGTGGCTCACGCCTGTAATCCCAGCACTTTGAGAGGCCAAGGTGGGCGGATCACCTGAGGTCCGGAGTTCAAGACGAGCCTGGCCAACATGGTGAAACCCTGTCTCTACTAAAAATACAAAAATTAGCTGGGCGTGGTGGCAGGCACCTGTAATCCCAGCTACTCAGGAGGCTGAGGCAGGAGAATCATTTGAACCCAGGAGGCAGAGGTTGCAGTGAGCCAAGATCGCACCATTGCATTCCAGCCTGGGTGACAGGGCGAGACGCCGTCTCAAAAAAAATAAAAAAAAAAAATTTAGAATTTTTAGAAGAGCTAAAAATCTGACAGTAGTGGGGGCTAGAAGGGTAAATATTCCAGTAACCGTTATTTAAGGCCTGAACACACTTTATCTTTATAACTGCACCATCACTATACCCCCTCCTGCCTCCATCTGGCTTTGTTAGCTAACTCTCAACATGCCTATCTGGACATCCACCCTGTCCCCTGCCACCTGAACTGAAATCCCCACTTAAAAATACAGTTGCAGCAGAAAGTTCACATGCAGAACAGGTTTTATTAAACACAAGACTGTAGGTCCCATTCACTGTACAGAATTTTAATAAACACATTCACAATCGTATCAGGAAAGCCATGTTGTTATGAGCCATTCATTACATGAAGACTACTTTACCAAGCATAGACAATATAAAATTATCCTTTTCCATAATATAATGTTAATGATTTCTACAAATAAGTTATTTCCCAAACTTAAAATCCAAATTCCTTAACACCACTTACATGTCTAAGAAGTAATTCGAGAATCCAGTTTAGAAGTTCTAGTGAAGAATTTTTTCTTTGTTCCTTTATTAATTTATTTAAAAAATGTATGATATCTATTAGCAGTTTCTCATCTTCAGTGCAAGCAGGAAGCACCTGTAAAAACCTATAATGAAAAGACAATAATCATGGTTTCTGGCGCTTTAAAATACACAATACCACTGTTCATCATAGATATGTGGACTTAACAGATGTCTTGTGAGGATGCTATTTTATGAGACACTGTTTTAAATGCTTTGGAAAATGCAAAGTTGAAACAAACTGGGTATCTGCCTTCAAGAACATGAGCTTATAGTGGAAAAAACATGTGGACAAGTAACTAAAATAACTAGAAGTGACAAATATCATAAGAGAAAAATAACAAATTCAGAAAAAGTACCAAAAAAATACCAAGGGGAAAAACACTGACTCTAATAACCGCCCAGTGAAACTTGCTTTTCATACTGGGAATGTCATGTTTCACTGATGAGAAGAATTAGTACTTCAAACCTAATTCTGACCAACTCGAAAAAATAAGGTAATAAAGTGAGGGGGAAAAAAAGGCCTGCAAGGACGCTACTAGAGTTTGTAACAGGCAAGGAAAACACTGAAGGTAGACTTAGGATGAAATTTCTTTTTAAGTTCAGAGCAAAAGGATATGAGCCAATTTTCTAAGATTTCTTTAAAAAAAAAAACTGGTTTAAGAGAGCTAAAAGATTAGTAGACAATAAAACTTTTATTTAAAAGGGAGAAGTAGTTTGGAAATCGTTTTTTTTAAAAAGCAATCAGCAAGAGATATGAGATCCAATTTTATCTGTAATGTTTTATTTTTTATAAATCTAAAGCCATTGCATCAAAATGTTAATAAGAGTGACAATAATACGAATCTTAATACTCAGCATTTATGGAGCACCAACCTTGTGCCAGCCTATGTTCTAACAGCAGGGTTTCTGTCAAACTTCATAACAACATTATGAAGTAGGCACCTCTATTTCAAAGACAAGAAGACCCAAGCAAAAATATGGTTAAGTCGTTTTTCCACAGTCACACGGCTAGCAAGTTTTAAAACAGGAATACTAAACTAAGCAGTCCAACACCAGGGATATATAATGCTGTATTTCTTAGTAATGTGGTGTTTGTCTCATTATTATTTTTCCTTACTTAAAATTCTCACATCCCCAAAATGACATTCAGCTGAGTAGGATGGCAAGTGCCGGATTATGAAAATTGAGAGGTGATTCTAACAACCATAGATCTTTGGGAGATTTATGATTTAACAATCACAAAGATTATAAGAAGTCTTCTATGATATCCAGTGTAACATTAAAATATCACCTCTGTAACCCCATTTTATAACCACCCTCATATCCCCTAAATCTAAGTGTACTATCCTCTTTTCAATTCCTCTTGAAGACACAAGACACTCTTTCCTAACTCAGGGCCTATCCCTTTGCCTGGCATTTAAAAAAAAAATTAATTTGTATAATATTTGTTGAATATGGCATTTTAGTCTAGAGGAGAAATAATATATTCTGCAAGTGGTTGTGAGTCAACTGACCATCCATTTACGGATTCAAAGTATCAAATTTCTGTCACATAACATGCACCAAACTATATTCCATTTATTTGTTTTATTTTTAACTGACAAATAATAATTGTATGTATCTTTAGGATACAATGTGGTGTTCTGACACATGTATACATTGTGGAATGATCCAATCAGGCTAATTAACATACCAATCACCTCAAATACTTATTTCTCTGTGGTGAGAACATTTAACATCTATTCTTTTAGCTATTTTGAAACATATATTATTATTAACTATAGTCACTATGCTGTAAGAGATCACCAGAACTCATTCCTCTTGTCTAACTGGAATTTTGTAACCTCTCAGCAACGTCTCCCTTTTCCCTACCCATATCCACCTGCCACTTGCCTCTGGTAACAATTCTACTCTACTTCTTTGAATTCGACTTTTTTAGATTCCATATATAAGACAGATCATGTGGTATTTGTTTCTCTGTGTGCCTGGTATCTTTTCGGCTTCCAATCCCATAGACTTTTAACATCCTTCTACCTGTTATGCCTTGGCTTAAGCTTCATTCTCTGAACCACTTTCTCTCTACTGAAGAGGGATAGGGTGCTCCTCTAATGCAGTTTCCTAATAGTCTGCTTGGAAGCATTTCTACTTTTGATTATACTTTTAGCTGTCTTAATTCCAAGTTCCATGAGAGCAGGACCCTATCAGTTTTGCCCACTGCTATATTTCCTACAAGAGTGACACCTAGTAGGTGATCAATAAATGTTTGTTGAATGATGGAAAAGCAGTAGGAAAAGAAAGGCAGTAGCCCCTTTCTTCCTATTCACCCCATGCCACAGCACCACACCCATATAAGGTATCATGTCCAGATCTCAGGGAGAGTCCTAAGAAACACAATACCCTTGTAAAATAGCATGAACAAATGAGAAGTCTGGACACTGTGGCTTTTAAAGTCTATCTAAAAAAAAAAACAAATCATTTAAAGCAGGGTGGGGGGAATAGAGAAGAAATTATAGTTATGTTTAAATGAAGAGCTGTCACATGTGAAGACATTATTTATTCTGTGAGTTTAAAGGACAGAATAACAGGTAGAAATGATCAGGTACAGTCTAAAAGAACAAAAAACTTACGAATAATCACAGCGCAAAAACAGAATGAATATCCTTCAAAGGAGGTGTTCACGCTGAGGCTGCATGGCCAACTGTATACTATGACTTATGCGATATGTGAGGGATATAAAAAGGAATGTAATAAACCCAAGGCACATGAGAAAACAAATATTTAAACAACTGTAGAAGTAATGCAGGAAAGCCACATGACAATCAGGGTAACTAGAATTCCACATACATCACAGAGTAAGAAGACCCTGGAGCTCAAGGAAGAGTAGATATTCACAAGGCAGCCAAGGAGTTAACTATGTAAAAGCAAGGATGTATAAAACAGAAGTGTATGCCCTAAAATATCAAGCAGTTTCATAAAACCCCAATATTTGCACTTCATAGAAACACAGCATATGTTAGAGAGAGAGGAGGAAACTGTAGCTGAAAAGGTAAGCAAGAGCTAGATCAAAAAGAACTTTCTACAGCATGCTAAGGGGTTGGAATTCTATTAATATCTAGCACACCATGGAAGAGAACCCACAGGTGACATGTATTTCAGAAGGATCATTCAGGAAGCAACATAAATGAGTGGCATAAGGTTAAAAGCAGAAAAACCAATTCGCTAGTCAGTCTACAGTCTGGTGAAAAATGGAGAAAAACAGTAGCAATAGGACTTCCAGTAGGAAAGGAGTAGAGAGGCATTAAACATGCAAACTCAACAGAAACTAGTTGAAAGAAGACTCTAGATACCTCTGACAACTTGTAATCCTACTAAACCATGACTATCATCTGTTTTCTTAAAATAAGTTTCCAAAATGATATTAGATTATAATTGTATGCTTGTGTGTTAGCATACACATATAAAAACATACACATAAATTAATGTTGGGCTGTTAAAATAATCATCTTGGAAAGTTATGTTTAGAAGCCACAGTACCGTAAGTAAAAAGATTTTAGAAACCATGTTTTTTGTCAAACTGAAATATACTTTTGTTAATAGTGATAAATAGTCATGGTTTAGGGTGGTGTTCATTTCGGTATACATGTAAAAATCATTTTTACCCTTCTCTGGATAGTTGAGTTTGCTAATATCATTTTTTAGTAAAAAATTAAATATAACTTCAAAATATAATAAGACTTCCTTACATCTGCTGTTTAAATGACCTGAGAGGACAATTTCAAAATATCTGAGCAAAGCCAGAATTATTCTAACATACACACTCACTCCTAAAAGGACCTCTTTTGCGGAACATTCATTTGGATATATCATATATTTGAAAAATTAGCCTCAAAGTATATTTACTGACATGGAAAATGTGTAAAAAATAACATTATTTTTAAAATACAATAAAAAACCATTCACACAGGTATGAACATGCTTCTCTATATTTTGTTTTGTCTAGAATGATATAATTTGAAATAGCTGTATTTTAAAAATATTAAACTAAGCTTATAAAAATGTTCTCAATATCTCAATACTTTATACAGCCATGATTTATGGGAATCTTCTATCTCCAAGCACCCTTTAAGCTGTTGGTTCATCTTAGATAATCAGTCAAAAAGATAATGTTCCTTTCTATCATTAAACTGAATGAAAGCAAAACTAAAGTTTCCCAAAGCCTCATTAGTACATACATTGCTGGAAGTAAAGTTTTTAAAAAGTTTTCATGAAAAAAGGTGGATTCTGTGATATATATTTTTGATACATTCCTTAGTGAAACATAATACAGCAGAAATACATGAATATTTATAAATTAGGCAGTAGTGTCTGTGTTGCCATGATCAAACACAGGCCTAAAAACCAAATACAAGATGAATATTATATATGCATGTGTGTATATATTAAACATATACACAGTCTATACTCTCCACTTACACTAGTCCTGAGGAAACTAACCATAAAAAATGTGATGCTCACATACAGTTACTGCTATTGGGCAATTTGAAATACTCTAAAGGCTTCCACTGACCCACAGTTTGAGAGTCTTTCCTGTAATGTGGTATTGCATACTATTTCTATGGTTTTAATTCACAAGAGAAAGAAAACTTAGTGCAATGAATTCAATCAGCTTTTATGTTAAAATTTCTTTTGACAAATAGGGACATATTACATTTATTTAAAGTGAAGGATTTATGCATTCTTCAACTGGCGAGACTGTTTAAATGCGGGAGTGTGCTGATAAATATGTAACTGAGAGTGCTGACTTATTGTGTTTGTCAATTTCCATGGTGTAAATATACTACTGTAGACAATGTGGAGCTACCATGTAACATGAAGTTGTGAAGAGATGCACAGTGGTACTCCATTGTAGTTATTTCCATAAAATACATACCCCTGTAGTGCATATGTATGCATAACCTCAAGAACAAAGATAACAGTAAAATGTTGCCACATAATTAGAAAGTGATGTTTGCATATTCATTACCTTTTGTCTTCATATAATTTATTTAATTGTAAGTTTATATAATTAAGAATGGCTGTGTTTAACAATCACCTTACAAAAATCCTGAAAATTCAACCATCAGCTCTCTCACAAGGCTGCATTAGTGGGCACCAGCACACCACTGGAAAGCCTAATCAGATAAACTAATTTTTAAAGCTAAACTAATAAAGGAATTCATATTTTGGAAACTCATTTAACCTAGCAGCTTAAAAACTGCACATTTTATGTTAAATAATAAAGTTATACATTTTATACTAAAGTCACATGAAGAATAAAATGAAAACCTGCTTGCAGTGGTTGCTTATCAGTCTTGTTGCAAATGCAACCATCTGCTACAAGTTAAGCATGTTAAATTGACAAGCTAGAGCCTTCTCAATTAACTGCTATAAAGGACCGCCACATGGCAATCAACTTCATGAAATTGAGAGTAAAAAGAAAAATGATATAATTTACTTAAGAACAAAACAAAAGCAAAACAAAACAGCCTGTGGCAGGTGTATCACAGCTATTAATCAATTCACTGATGTCTCAACTCATTTATAACATGGATAGAAATAAACATTCAATTTGTTTCATCCATGTCTTATCCTAATTATTTGCTTTTGTGAGGTAAAATTTTCTAAGAATAAATTGTTACAAGTTTATTAATAATCCCTTCAACAATGCAATAACTAAATTAAAAATTTCTCTTTGGCTATTATTACAGATGATAAAAATCCTGGAGTTTTTCTTTCTATGATAGCAGCAGTAAGGGCATAGACTCTTATCTTCAAAGGTTAGGAGATGAACACAATACAATGCAATCCAGGTCTTTGAAACTGGCAGCCTTGACCTTACACTGACCTGTTTAGTGCGGTGTGCCAAGCCAAGGACTTCAAGGTAACCCCACATGGACCAGGGCAACCCTTTAAAGACAATCTGTCATTCAGAAGATAAAAACTCATCCTGGTGACAGCAGCCCTAACTTCCCTGTGGGTTGCAGCCTGAACAATGGAATGGAGGCAGTCCTGCAGCCCACTAGCCATGTGTGTTATCTTCAGAGTGAGGATGTCCTCTGTAGATAACTTCAATGCATCTAAAATTCTAGACAAAAAGAAAAAAAATGAAGGAGGAACATAAAGCTATTTAAATAAAAGCTCACACTTATTTCTATTATAAACTCTCCCAAAAGCTGTTTTATCTTCATTTTCTTTTAACAAAAGGTTGACTTACAGCCAGAAGAAAAACTGATACATATCTGTCAATATTAGGATTTTACATTGGCATCCCAAATGTTTATATTGACTTTTCCTCCTTATAAAAATTTTTATTCACTTAAGACAGACAGATTAGAATATTAAGATATTCAAAAGTAATCACCATCACACTAATGATAACACTCATGCATATACTTACTGAGATTTTGTTCTAATCCAGGACCCTTTTCCTAGTGATTCATATCTACGAACAAATCAGACTTTAACCTCTAAAACAGTACAGAGTAAAATGCTTTTTCATTTAAAGTTTTCCCATATGATAGATTGTTAAAAGTAATAAACACATGTAATATTTAAAAGAAAGTAAAAATTATAACTGTTAAAAAGCAGAATCAGATGATACCAAGGGAAAAAGCTACTGGACCTAAGGAAAAAGTAAAACTTAACTAATTAATTACAATTAATTAATTGCAAATGCTTTTTAAACTAATATAAGAGCTTACTCTTGCGTTTTAGTTTCAGAGTTCATTTGCTTCAACAGATTATCACTCCCATGATACCATGACAGGTTCCAAGCTATTCTCAGCATATCTGACACCGGCTTCAAGGCCAAACAATCAGCAGATAAGGGCAAAACTATGGAGTAAGGACTCACAGCATGGTGTCCAATTACATGAACAGGTAGATGGTACCTAAAGAAAATGTGTACAAATAATTACAAACTTTCAAATTCTTAAATGCTACTCAAAAAGATGAGCCACAAATGAGGGCTAGTTCAATGCCTCCCAACCCACAATAATGCAAAGGTTTCTCTTAGTCCCTATTTTAAACAATTATCATAATTTATACAGTATTTCAATTATTCTTTTCATCTCCTCTAAACTCCCCAGAACACTTAAATCCTTTCTTGAGGACTTACCACATTCTATGCTATATTAGAGTTGTTGTGGAGATAACTAATGCTCCTTGAAGTCAGGGACCATGAATACAGTGAACCAAACATAAAAGGTGTTCAGCTAAAACACTGATATTTACTTTATGCCAAACACTGCTTATTTTGTATCATTCATTCACAGTTACATGGTATGGCACTATGATACCTATTTTACAAATGATCAAAAATGAGGCTTAAAGCTGATAAATGAATTGCCTATGATCATAGAGGTCACTAAATGACTGAATTCCAGCTTATTGTTTTCACTTGAGAACATGGTTTCATCATCAATAAATTCAACAAGAACCAAGAAATATGTTTAGAAATAAAAACAGATTCAATAGCAGTATCTTTTAAACCAAAGTTAATTTTGTTCTACCGTAAAGACACATGCATGTGTATTTTGTCTCAAGTTTTTCCTTTAACATGGTGAAATAATCTAACATGCATGTAAATTTGCATCCTAAAAGGAACAAAAAGAAATTTTAAAACTCCTAAAATGTATATGGAACAAAACATGGTCCTAAATAGCCAAAACAATCCCGAGCAAAAAGAACAAAGAGGGAGGTATCACACTGCCTAACTCTGAATTATGCTACAAAGCTATAGTAACCAAAACAGCATGATACTAGCATAAAAACAGACACACAGACCAATAAAACAGAATAAAGAATGCACAAATAAATACACACATTTGGTCAATTTTCAACAAAAGCACCGAGAACATAATTTGGGGAAAGAACAGTCTCTTCAATGAATGGTACTCAGAAAACTGGATATCCATATGCAGAAAAATGAAACTAGATCTCTATCTCTCGCCACATATGAAAATCAAATCAAAATGAATTAAAGACTTAATGTAAGACCTGCAACTATGAAACTACTAGAAGAAAACATTAGAGAAATGCTTCAGGACATTAGCCTGGGCAAAGATTTATTAAGTAAGACCTCAAAAACACAGGCAAGCAAAGCAAAAATAAGTAAATGGGATCATATCAAGCTAAAAAGCTTCTGCATAGCAAAGGAAACAGTCAACAAAGTGAAGAGACCACCTATGGAATGAGAGAAAACACTTGCAAACTATTCAACTGGCAAGAGATTAACCATCAAAATATATAAGGAACTCAAACAACTTAACAGCAAAATAATAATAATAATAATCCAATTAAAAGCTGGGCAAAAGATCTGAATAGAAACTTCTTAAAAGACATACAAATGACCAACAGGTATATGAAAAAATTCTCAACATTACCAATCATCAGAGAAATGCAAATCAAAACCACAATGAGATATCTCACCCCAGTTAAAAAGGCTTTTATCAACAAGACAAAAAAAAATAACAGATGCTGGCAAAGATGTGGAGGAAGGAGAATGCTCACACACTGTTAGTGGGAATGTAAATTAGTAGAGTCATTATTGGAAACAGTATGGAGTTCCTCAAAAAACTAAAAACAGAACCTACATATGATCCAACAATCCCACTGCTGGGTATATATCCAAAAGAAAGGAAATTGGTATGTCAAAGAGATATATGCACTCCCATGTTTATTGTAGCACTATTCACAATAACCAAGATATGGAATCTACCTAAGTGTCCATCAATAGATGAATGGATTTTTTAAAATGTGGTATAAATACACAATGGAGTATCATTCAGATGTAAAAAAGAATGAAATCCTGTCACTTGAAACAACATGGATGGAACTGGAAGTCATTACGTTAACTGAAATAATCCAGGCACAGAAAAACAAACATCACATGTTCTCCTTTATATGTGGGAGCTAAAAAAAAAAAAAAATGATCTCATGGAGATAAAGAGTAGAATGATGATTACCACAGGCTGTAAAGGATGGTGGGGAAGGGGGGAATTAAGAAGGGATGGCTAATGGGTACATAAAAATTTAGATAGAAGGAATAAGATCTAGTGTTCAGTAGCACAATAGGGTAAAAATAGTTAACAGTAATTTGTTGTATATTTCAAAATAACTAGAAGAGCAGATCTGAAATGTTCCTAACACAGAGAATCAATAAATGTTAGAGGTAATGGACATCCTAATTACTCTGATTTGATCATTATACATTGTATGCTTATATCAAAATATCACATGTACTCCATAAATATGTACTATTATATACCCATAAAAATAAAATAAACTCCCCCAAATAAATAAGCAAGCAAGCAAAGTGCTGTGGGATATAGCTGAAGGAACTCCTAAGAGAATGGGGAACACAGTTCCTTCAAAGAAGCAACAATAAAACTGACAGCCAATGTTCCTACAAAAAAATGGACTCCAACTGCCAACCTAGAATTCTATACCTAGTGATAACATTTTTTAAAACAGAAAGAATTTTTAGATTAAAAAAAAAAAAAACCTGACAGAAATCATTGCTAATATAAGTGCACTACATTAAATAATAAAAAACTCTTAAAAAAACAAATTCTCAGATGGAGGCAGAAAAACCAAAAAAGCAATAAAAAGTAACAGAAACGACCACGGTATACAAATCTAAATGACTATTTACTGCATAAAATAATTATAATAACATCTTATAGAATTTAAAATATGTATAGAATTTAAATACCTGACAATAAAAGAAAAAAAAAAGAAGAGCAAATAAATGGAATTAATGTGTTCTAAGGTCCTTGCATTGTCTGGGATGTGGTAAAAATACTAGTTCACAGTCAAGGAAGTAAATTATAATCTCTATATTATAAAAGAATAATCATCTGTATAAAATATATAGAAATAATGTATATAGAAGAATACTTAGCTGGGCACAGTGACTCATGCCTGTAATCCCAACACTTTTGGGAGGCTGAGGTGGGAGAATTGCTTGAAGCCAGGAGTTCAAGACTAGCCTGGGCAACAAAGCAAGATCCCAATCGCTACAAATAAATAAATAAATAAAATACTTAATGTATATGTAACTACAAGTTAACAGCTGGAAAACATGGACTAATTTTAAAAATTAATCAAGAAAAGCCAGAGAGGAAAAAGAAAGAAAAAAACCACATTGGACAAATAGAAAATAGCAAGCTAATAATCTGTATCCAAAAATATTAGTAATTATAGTAAATGTAAAATGCATTAAAATATTCCATTAAAACTGTAAATAATGTCAGATTGGACAAAAAAACTCAACTATATACTTCTTAAAAAAAAAAAGTACATTTAAGGACACAGAACAGCTAAAACTACAAGGATGGAAAAATACATATCATGCTAACCACTAACCAAATAAAAGCTGGGGAAGCTACAGTCATAAGAGATCGAGTGAATTCTATATGATGAAGCACTGCTAGAGATAAAGAAATAATTTCATAATGATAGAGACAACCCACCAGCATGTTTACAAACTAAATTACATGGCCTCAAAATACATTGTCAGCCAGAATGACAATGTCATAGTGGAGATTTTAACATGCCTCTCTGCTACCTGAAAGAACTTCACACACATATAATAAAGTAGACACAGGGAAGATCTGAACACTATCAATAAACCTGATATATTTTGAGACTTATAGAACAGTATATCCAACAACTACTACATATACATTATTATTTTCAAGTACACATGGAACATTTTAAAAAGCTGACCATATGCTGGGCCATAAAGTAAAATTCAACAAACTCTAAAGAATTAAAATCATAGAAAATATTTTCTAATGTCAATATTTAGCTAAATATTAATAATAAAATAACTAGAAAACCTAATAAACTAAATCTTCACTAGTTACCCCCAATAACTCTAAACAACCCTTGCATCAATAAAAAAAAATCACAAAACACTTAGAAAATATTTTGAACTAAATAATAAAATATGGCATATCAAATTCGTGGAATATACCAAAAGCCATACTTAGAAACATTGATAGCTTTAAATGAAAGGGCGGCTAATAATCAATGGCCAATCCTCCAGTAAGTTAGAAAATGAACAGAAAATTAAGTTTGAAAAACACAGAAGGAAGAAAATAATAAAAAGCAAAGAGTAATACATCAGGACCACTTTGAGATACACTATACATCCATCAGATGGGCAACAATTTTTTAAATGCCAACATTACTGTGAGTAAAAGAGTAATAAAACCCTTTCTCCTCTTTACGGACAAACATGATATTGAGGTAACTCTCTGTCCCTTTACCCAGTAAAATCAGATAGATATGGAATGTCAAGAATTTACTAAGCTGCTTTGCTTATGATGAAAATGACTCCCCACATCTGGACTGAGACATCTAGGAATAAACTATAAATGCATGATGGGATGTCACAGCTCTGAGCAATCTTGAGTGCTGTGGCTCTTATAAGCAACCTGGAAACTATGCCTACAGCACACTTACTAGAGAACATATTTTCTATTTGGGACATGAGGCTTCCAAGCCAAGACAGCTCCCAGCACCCACAAATGTGATCTCATTCTAAGCATGACTACTGCAGTCGTGTGAGTTTCATTATTTAGCCAAACTAAACACCATTAAGACTGGTAATGCAAATACCAAAGGCTAGTGAGGATGTGGGGCAGCTAGTACTTTTCCACTGATGGTAGGAATGTAAATCAGCACAACAACTTCGTAATACTGTCTGGTAACATCTACTAAAGCTAAACATAAATATCCTATATTCCAACAATGACACGTGTTCAAGAATGTTCTTAGCAGTCATTTCTTCATAATAGCCCAAAACAGAAAACAAATTAAACATCCACAAATAGAATGGTAAATAAAAGTGTTGTATATTCTTAGACAGAATACTACATAGAATAAAAATGAACCAACTATTGATTGCTTCATGCAGCAACATGGACAAATCTCTCCAAGTTGAGCAAAAAGCAATATAATAATGCACTCTATTTATAAAGTTCAAAAACTAGCAAAAATAATGTACAGCAATAGAAATTAAAATAGGATTACATTTTGGGGTGGTAGAAGGTAATGAGAAAGCACAAAAAGGGTTTCCGGTCTGTCAGTAATATTCTATGTCAATCTGTGTGAGATAAATAAGTACGTTTACTCAGAAAAATTCAAGGGCTGTACCCTTATGACTTGTATGCTTTATGTACGATATATGTCAATAAAAACAATTTACTTTTTACAAAAGTCTAAAGAGACATGAAAACCAAATACAATGCAGAACCTTAACTGGTTATTGCATTCTGAAAAAATATACACAAAAGATACTTGGAGATAACTGGAGAAACCACACCATGTTATAGAATTATTTTTAATCTTGTTAGATGGGATCATATTGTAGCAGTTATGTAGAATAATGTCCTTAACTTAAGGATGTGCATGCTGGAATATATAGGAAAGGAGTGAATTTATGTCTGAAACTTATTTCCAATTGGTGGGTGAGGGAGAATTAAATATAAATAAAAATATATATTAGGAGAGAGAAAGCAAAGAGACTCATATGTAAATAATTGATGACTCTAGGCTGAACGACATACAAGTATGCACCGTATAGCTTTCAACTTTCCTGTAAATTTGAACGGTATCAAAATAAAAAATTGGTGGTGGGGAGATATACTTACTGAAATCTTCAAAGCACCATTGTGAAGGAACCATGAAAGCCCAAGTTATGGGATTTAAATGCTAAATGAAAATTGTGACAAATTATAGATTTTGATTTCCCTTTCTGTAACAACATTTCGTCCTTCAAGAAAATCAGAGAAATAAATCCTTTACCTTCTAAAAACGGAAACAGGCAAACTGAAGACCGATGGCAAAGAAGGTTTATTGGAAGGATTAACAGACCTATTTCATAAAAGAAAAACAAAAACAAAGAAACAACTGAGTAGACCAAGTTTTGTCTAACAAATACAACTTACCTCACTTCGTTGACTGCAAATGAAATCAAGCAGTGCAACTGAGTCTATCATTTAGTATAGAAACAACATGTTTGCTACTTCCTAGATTTGCTTATGAAGAGTAAATTATGTTTTAAAAAAAAATTCCACATAACAAATGATTCATACAATGCAGTGGTGGGACTAGCAGGTGGACTTTGTGCGTCTCCTCCCACGGATCCTGCTCAAGATCAGCGCTAATCATATACTATCGTCCTAAATATCTTCCGAGGTTTTTTAAAAATCATGAAATATTAAGAAAAAAACACATAGTTGAAGGTATGTACTAAAAATGTATTAAAGACAAAAATTACTGCAGTAATTTTAAAGTTTATATTTAGTAATGTTTAAAAATAAAATTTGAGATAGACTTTCTGAGCTAATAGGCTTTTGAATACTGTTTATTCAAATCAAAATTCATACCACATATGTGTAGCATGGACAGCATAAGCTTCGTAAATCAGAAATTTCCATGCCTTGCTATAAGATTACATCAGATACCTGAGATAAATAGTTAAGAGTAAAAAACTTATAAATTCTTATATCTCACCACATATCCATTCTCGATACTTCATCAAATAATAGAAGACAAAATAGTGCTCCAACTTCAGTCACGACACTACAATCTTCATGAAATATTAAGGAAACTGAATAAAAAGAAGCACAACTTTATGAAATATTTGTACGTCTAGAAAGAATGAACTTCAAATTTAAAATATCTTGATTTGAAGAGAAAAGAAATGCAACATAAACCCAGATAAGGTGACACTAAAACACAGGCTTTCATCTCAAACTTGTGGATGTACAAGAATCACCTGGAAGGCTGGTTAAAACAGTTTCTGATTGGATAGGTTTAGGGTGGAGCCTGTGAATGTGAATTTCTAATAAGTTCTCAGAGGATGCAGATGCTGCCAGTCCAGGAGCCACACTTGTAGATACACTCACTAGACACTGTCTAGTCTTAGGTAATTAGAGAAACAAACTGATACAGCCTCTAAGAAGGTTATGCCGAGTCAGATAATTCTAGCTAAAGTTTCCTCACCAAGAGATCTTATTTTATAACTTTTGCCCTTTACTACAAACATGTGATCACAGAACTTGGATTTGACTTTAAAATGTTATCCTTGGGCTGTGTCATTGTTTTGGTTCCTTTTAATTATGACAAGATGATGGAAAAGGGAAGTGCTCTGAATGGACAGACTTAACACTAGCTCTACCACTTACTACTTAGCTAAATGCCCTGGTGAGATTCTTTAACATTAAGTCTCAGTTCCCACTTCTGTAATGATCCCAATGCTACAATCTCCTTGAAACCTATGAAATTCTAAACAAAGAAGTACGATGTTATCTCACAGGAATAACAACATAATACACAGTTAGCAAATTCAGGGAAGCAGCAATAAGAAGTTTTGAGAGAAGAGATTTTTCCTAACTGCAGGAAAAGAAAATCATCCTTATGTAATTGGCATGATTAAAAATAGCCATAAACCAAAAAGTAAAGAAACAGAGAACATGTAAAAATTAACTTATAATAAAAGACATTTCACATCAGTGATGAATAGAATGAACCATAATATTTCCAAATAAATAAGAATTACAGCAATGCCTTTGCCTGATTTCAAATTTAATTTTTTTAAACAACACTTGAAACACAGGAAAAGTGTTTTCAATCTGGAACTAGAGAAAGTCCTACTTGAAGAGCATGATAAAAAATTGCCCAACTGCCATAACAGAAAAGTTCTATATGTTTCCATAAAATATTTAAGTTTAAGGTTAAAAATATAATAATAAATAAATTTAAAGGATAGAAAAGTTGAGAGAAAATATTAATCACATAAAATCAAGCATAAGGATTGTGCCTATCTTATAATAAAAAACCCTACAAGTCACTAAAAAGAAAGTAAATACAACAGGAAAATAAGTAATCCATAGATGAAGAAATTTGAATATATATGAAAAGATAACTTCACTAAAACTAAAATAAGAAAATAAAACAATTATATATTTTTACCTATAAGATTAAAAAAAATTAATGAGACATATTCAGTGTTGGCAAAGTTGTAATGAAAATAAGCATTTTTAAACACCTTTGGTGAGAGTGATTTGGAAAGGAACTTAACCATTATCTTATAAAATCTCTTTGACCTAGGAATTCCAACACTGAATGCACAAAGATGATCACACAACATGATTACTGTCATGGTGAAAAATCTAAAACAAATACCCAGTAACATAGCAAACTGAAATTCTGCAACACCAGTGCAGTAGTTTTTAGGGTTTTTTAAAGAATGTATACTCACATGAAATAATATAGAAAGATATTCAAGTTACATTTCCAGTTGAAAAAAGGAAGCAACACAATACTGTAATATACAGAATGAAAACTACATGTGTATGTAGAAAAAATCATTCGGAAAAATATATTCCTAATGATAACCAGAACAGTCTTCTTTGGGGAAATTGAGAACGAGAAGAAAATGAAAACTTTTAGAATTTGTATAGTTCTATATTGCCTGAATTTTTACAATGGGGATGTATAGGTCTGTGATTATTTAAAACAGAAACAAACAAAGGTAAGGAAGTTTCGATTCTCTCTCAGTAGCAAAGTAAATAACCCAATAACCATTTTTTGGTTATAGCCTTGGCCAAGTTGCTAAATCTCTCTAGACCTCACACAGATGGTATAGTAAATGATTTCTAAGTTAATTTCTAACCCTGAAATACACTATAGAATTCTGTCATAACATAAAGTTTATAATTCAAAGCAGTGTTATCTGAGAAGTTATTTATTGTACTCATTTGATCCACTATCCATGCTACAGAAATAATCTTCCTAAAACACATACTCCCCTGTTTAACAACCTTAAACAGCTCTTCACTGCTGTTTAATAAAATCTCCCAGGCCCTGCACGAACTGCCCTCCCTGCCTCATCCCATCATTTCCCCTTCACTCCACACTCCCCAAATCCAGCCAGCTCCATCTCAAACACATCAATTTCTCATACACACAACCACGGCTCCATCTAGAAGTCAATCTTGCCTATTTGAACTCCTACTCATTTCTGAAATTCCATCTTAGATGCCACATTCCCTAGAAACAATCTCTGATACTTTTCACCAACCAATCTGACCAGCATGTCCTCTGGCACCAGGAATCCCCAATTACAAGTATTACTGTGGTGTACTGTATATTTACTTGTCAATGTCTCCAACTCTACTGTAAGCTCCATGAGGGTCATTTACCATGCTCACCAATATAACCCAAGGGCCTAGCATTGCACCTAGCACAAAGCATGTGCTTAATAAACGTTTGCTGAGAAATGGGTTTTCTTGGTTAAGCAGCTGGTTAAAAATTAATTTTTCGGCCAGGCACAGTGGCTCACGACTGTAATCCCAGCACTTTGGGAGGCCAAGGCAGGTGGATCACATGAGGTCAGGAGTTCGAGACCAGCCTGGCCAACATGGAGAAACCTAGCCTCTACTAAAAATACAAAAATTACCCAGGCATGGTGGCAGGCACCTGTAATCCCAGCTACTCAGGAGGCTGAGGCAGGAGAAATGCTTGAACCCAGGAGGCAGAGGTTGCACTGAGCCGAGATTGTGCCACTGCACTCCAGCCTGGGTGATAAGAGTGAAATTCTTTCTCAATAAATAAATAAGTAAGTAAGTAAAATTTTTCCTGAAACTAAATCCATTAATGGAGGATACTATATTCATTCTCAAACTCATTGAAAGTAATTTCCACAAACAGCAATGAAATAGAAAAACTGAAATACTGAAAAGGGTATAGATTATATTGCCTTGAAATGTGCTTTTGAATCCAGTAGGTGTTCATAATAAGTTCCATGCTTGAATAATTTAAATGAAAATTATAAATGAAAAGGTAAACCAGGAACTAAATTCAAGTGAATGAGGTTAATAAGAAGACAATTATTAACAGGATTAAAGAAAACTAAAAATCCGTAACTGCTGCTCTTTCAGATGATCAGTCTATACAATCTTATAAAAACGTTATAGTCCACTCAAAATGTTATGAGCCTAAACACACTGAATCTGTTTAGAGCTTTACCTGGTTTTAGGGCTGCTACTTAAATAAACTGCATCTTACTCACTTGGCAAGCAGAAGCCAACAGGAGGAAAAGATGCTAAAATAAAATGACTACATTATAATAACATATTTTGAACATAAATCTCACTTATCTCCTATATGCCTGATAATAGACAAGATGAAGCACATTCAGATGCTTGTACGTGACTCTTCAGCACATTCAGATGATTCTACATGACTCTTGCAAAATATCAAAAAGCAGTGGCCTAAGTCTCTAAGAAAAAAAATAGTACAAAATGTTACCAAGCTCTCCATTGAGAAAAAAAAAAAAACAGAGAAGACAGGAAGGACAAAACTACATGAAACGTGTTCATCTAACACCTTACTAAATTAGAATCAAATTAAAATGGGTTTTTAAAAACCACATTTTATAGAATGTAATAAATTTAGGCTCAGAGTCATTTAGGATGGTCTAGTTTCTACTCACACAGGTTGAGCCTATACTCTTAACACCTGTCAAATGAAATAATCAGACAAAATGTACCAAGATCCAAAGGTATAAGCAAAACAAGAAAGACGAAAGAGATATTGGAAAGAAGATAGTAATAACAGCAGCTGCAACTTTCTCTCTTTATAGATAATAGTTTACTGTCTGAGCACCAGATGACATCTACATCAAGGCACAAAGAACAATCAGAGGTTTCAGCTTTTCTCAGCTCTAGCCTCCACTCAGCAACAGGATTAGAAAGCAATTTCCACAAAAATATTAAACATTTTCCATTTACATTAGTAGTGTATTCACTAATAAATGCTGTTGTTCTAATAGTAAAATAAAAAGTAAATGTGACTTACAATTAAAGAAGAAACACTTAAAATTTAAGAACAATCTAATTATTAGCAGATTTTCTTTTATTTACCTCTGAATAACACGGTCAAAAGAGAAGACTGTTGCGAGAGCGAAACACGCATGACTGGATCACCACATAAAACCTTCCTCAAGAGTGTGAGGCATGGTTGTACCAAACATTCTACAACCTGGGCCAGGAGGAAAAACACAGCTTTTCATTTTCACCAATTATCAGGTGAGATCAAACAGACCATAATATTATCTTACTCTAAATTTTATGCGTTTTCATCAAAATTATCTGAAACTAAAATGTAAATAAATACTAGGAATTACTTTCCACTGAAAGTAAGTTTCGTATATACTTCTATCACCTATCTTATGGAAATTTTAGGATTAGTTTTCCTTTATAGAGACTCCACTTTTCGAATTTAAAAAAAAAAAATGAATGAGATAGGAGGTGTTACTTAGAATTTAAAATCCAAGTACTCATCCAAATTCTGCTCAGTTCAATTTCAGATCTGATTAATCAAAACAGCCTGTAAAACAATGTCTAGATGCACATTAGCCTTACCTTGCCATCTTGACTCACACATTCATTTAAATACTCAATTATTTTGTCAATTAAGCATAACTTTTTCACCACAGCATGCATTTTAATATCTGTAGATAAAAAAAGTTACTAAAAGTTAAAGCACATTTTTTGTAGTTTAAAACACGTATTTTGAAATACTCAGAACTGATATCCACACAACCTTCAAACTATTAAAAATACTTAGACCTGGGGTTGACATAAGAGTATGAAACTTTTAACTTTTTACTTTACGTACACCTGTCCAATTTGAAAATGTTTAAGTAAAAAGCATATCTTACTTCTGTCACATAAAATACAAAACTATAAAAAAAGAATTATGGAACTAGTTCAGACTCTGAAAACTACGAGAATTTAAGTGTACAAATGAATGCTTATATTTATACATGCAAATTATCTTCTTTATATTATTTCATTGACTCTTCCAAATTTATCACCTTCAAATGTTTATAATTCTCCACAAGCTCATGTGTAAAATATGACTTACAACATGAACATTTTTCTATCTATAAAAAAATCTCTAACCTCAAACTATTAATAGCAAATATAAAAGGAACAAGATTATAATACACTATATATTTCTGGAGAACTTGAGCTTCTTTTTAATAAGCATATATTCACATATTATGTTTGTAATAAAGAAGTTTTTGTATATACATAAAAAAATCTTATATGTATAGACATGTGCACACGCACACACAAATGTTACCGGAACCCAAAACTGTAATTGATTATATATTCGTTACAAGTATTTAACAACTTGCAGACAAATTTTCTCCTATATTCTCATTAGGAAAAACACATACACTCACATACTGATATTGAAGTGGAAGCTATCATTGTAACAATCTTTAGCTGCTACTTAAAAAAAAAAATTTCCATTGCCCCCCAATATAGTGCATACCAAAATTATAAGGCATACTTTTGAAATGTTAACAATATTGAAGGAATACTCTTTAACGAGTTTTTCTTGATCTTTTTTTTAACCAGGGCTTTCCACATTTTCTAGTCTTCTTTTCTGTAGTCTGTGTGATTGTTGTTAAAACTAAAAATATGTGGAATATGTTTTTTCAAATAACTCTCTCATTCCAGTTTCCACTAATGTCAAGACAAGAAGTGCTAACCATAAAAATCTTTTTACATAAACTCAAAGTTATCATTTCTCATAAATATTAAAGTACATACATCACGTATGGGGAAAAATTCAAAACTAACCCAAAGAACAAAAGCCTATGGAATAACAACACTACAAACAAAGCTAACAGTGTATTACACTAGTTGTTTTTAAAAATAAACATTTATACACCATGGAATACTATGCAGCCATAAAAAAGGATGAGTTCACATCCTTTGCAGGGACATGGATGAAGCTGGAAACCATCATTCTCAGCAAACTATCACAAAGACAGAAAACCAAACACCGCATGTTCTCACTCACAGGTGGGAACTGAACAATGAGATCACTTGGACACAGGGCGGGGAACATCACACTCCCGGGCCTGTCACAGAGTTGGGGGTTGGGGGAGGGATAGCATTAGGAGAAATACCTAATATAAATGAGTTGATGGGTGCAGCAAACCAACATGGCACATGTATACCTATGTATCAAACCTGCACATTGTGCACATGTACCCTAGAACTTAAAGTATAATTTAAAAAAATAAAAATAAACGTTTAAAGAAAAGGCATAGCTACAGTGTACTATTTTTCTTTTACCTACCACAAAAGTATTATTTGATTAATTTCCCTAAGCAAGATGGTACAGATTGAAAATATGATGCATGCACTCAGTAAACAGAGGAAGGAACATGCACTTCACTATTGGAAGTACACTAATATTTTAGAAAGAAGATAATTCTATCAAATGGCATTTTACAGGTCAAATAATAATAAGGCATTAGCAAACTTCTTCTGTAAAGAACCAGGTTAGTAAGCATGTTGTTAGGCTTTGCTAGACACACACATATGGTCTCTCGCATATTCTTTGGTTTTGGTTGGATTTTGTTAACAACTCTAAAGATGCAAAAACCATTCTTGAGGGCTGTCAAAAAAAAGGCCACAGGCTGGATCTGGCGCATAAACCATAGTTGCCAACTCCTGCCAGTACCATATGGCAATCTAAAATTCTATTATCAGCAGTACAGCAATCATTTCCCTTAAAAGACATTACCTTGCATAATCACAGCTAACTGTTCAGCAGCTGACTTTCTCAAAACGAGATCAACATCATCTGAGGTGAAGATTTCATATACCTTTTCAACAGTCTCCAACTACAAACCAAAAAAAAAAAAAAACCAAAATTACATTTATCTGCTTCCAATTCTCCAATAAGATTTTATAGTTTGTGCCCTATGAACAAAAGCTCAAAAAGTCAACTTATTTAAATAACCAACATAATTACAGGTAAATTCACACAATGCTGGGTTAAGTAGCAGTTCTGTATTTAGGTCTTCAAGGAATTGCCACACTGCTTTTCACAATGGTTGAACTAATTTACACAGTCATCAACAGTGTGTAAGTATTCCCTTTTCTCCACAACCTCACCAGTATCTGCTATTTTTTGACTTTTAATAATAGCCATTCTGGCCGGGTGCGATGGCTCACGCCTATAATCCCAGCACTCTGGGAAGCTGAGGTGGGCAGATCATCTGAGGTCAGGAGTTCAAGACAAGCCTGGCCAACATGGTGAAACCCCATCTCTACTAGAAACACAAAAGGCCAACATTGTGAAACTCCATCTCTACTAAAAATACAAAAATTAGCTGGGTGTGGTAGTACACACCTGTAATCCCAGCTACTCGGGAGGCTGAGACAGGAGAATCGCTTGAACCCAGGAGGCGGAGGCGGCAGTGATCCAAGATCGCACCACTGCACTCCAACCTGGGCAACAAGAGTGAAACTCTGTCTCACAAAAAAAATAAATAAATAGCCATTCTGACTGGTGTGAGATGGTCCCTCGTAGCAGTTTTGATTTGCATTTCTCCAATGATCAGTGATATTGAGCTCTTTTCCATATGCCTTTTGGCCACATGTATGTCTTCTTTTGAAAAATGTCTGTTCTGTCCTTTGTCCACTTTTTAATGGAGCTGTTTGGTTTTTTTTTGTAAATCTGTTTAAGTTCCTTATAGATGTTGGATACTCAAATACAAATCATTCTACCATAAAGACACATGCATGTGTATGTTCACTGCAGCACTATTCACAACAGCAAACACATGGAATCAACCTACATGCCTATCAATGGCAGATTGGATAAAGAAAATGTGGTACATATACACCATAGAGTACCATGCAGCCCTAAAAAAGGACGAGATCATGTCTTTTGAGGGAACATGGATGAAGCCGGAGGCCATTATCCTTAGCAAAATAACACAGGAACAGAAAACCAAATACTGCATGTTCTCACTTATAAGCAGGAGCTAAATGATGAAAACACAAGGACACAAAGAGGGGAACAACGGACACTGGGGCCTGCCTGAGGGTGGGGGGTAGGAGGCGGGAGAGGATCTGAAAAATAACTATCGGGTACTAGGCTTAGTACCAGGGTGACGAAATAATCTGTACAACAAACCCCCATGACACGAGTTTACCTATATAACAAACCCGCACAGGTACCCCTGAAACTGAAATAAAAGTTTAAAATAAATACATAAATAAATAAAATTTGCAACAATGATGCAGTAGGTCAGGAAGGAACTTAAGATCTAAAATAAAGAGTCATCATGTCAAATAAGTTTTCCTTTTTTTTTTTTGTTTTTTGAGACAGGGTCTCACTCTGGTCACCCAGGCTGGAGTAAAGTGGTGCAATCTCAGCTCACTGCAGACTCGACTTCCTGGGCTCAGGTGATTCTCCTACCTCAGCCTCCCAAGTTGCTGGGACTACAGGCATGCACCACCAACCCCAGCTAATTTTTTGTATTTTTAGTAGAGACAGGGTTTCACCATATTGCCTAGGCTGGGCTCAAGTGGTCCACCCATCTCAGCCTCCCATAGTGCTGGGATTACAGGCAAGAGCCACTGTGCCCGGCCCCTCTCTTCTTAATATACATTTTTGCTAGGAAGTTATTCATAACCCATTAATCCATTAGCAACCTTACAAAGGTAACAGAAAACAACCATGTTCCCTAACATCTTTACAGGTAGTACCAGGCTAACCTGAGAAAAGCGACCCAGACCTATGACTCAAGATTTCCCTGTTGCTCCCAGAAGCCACCAGCTGGTATTCCCGTGGGCCTCTCCATTCTTTCTTTTAGAAGACCCCAGAGCAAACAGCACTCTGGGACTTGCTGTCCAGCACCCCTTCAAAGCTACCCCCCAGACAAGTCCCTTACTGTCACTTCATGCTAGAACAGAATCTGAGGTGGCAAAACCAGCATCAGGAAAAAGGGACAAGAAAATAACAAAGATGAAGCTCCTTTCTCCCACTCACTGCTATCTTCCAGTCCTAACATGGACTCACAGAAGACGTATTAGAATGCCCTCTCCCCGCCTTCCTCCATACATCAGGGCACAGGAGTGACTACCAATGGCTTAGTACTCAGGGAAGTCCCAACCAGACCTGGTATGTGGCCAGTGAAGACTCTCCAATCCCCCTGCCAGCACTGTCATAAAGCCCTGAACATTCAGTTTAGAAGAACATAATGTGTTTCCCCATTAAAAAGCAAACAAACAAACAAAAAAACCGACTGTATTACATGTGGCTCTACCATACTACTACAGGCCTTGGCAAGTTAGTCTAAAATAAAACAGACAGATTGCAAACTTGAGTGAAATGAGAAAGTACAAAACACAGGAATGAATCCATGAAAACAGTGGACTAGTGGACAGCTTTCTTTATAGAATTCTCCATCAGTCCAGTATGCTATAGGTACAGTCCTAGCTAAAGACAGGAAAATGTATTTACAGCCGCTGCCCATTGCTGCCATTACCATCTGAGCTCCACCTCCTGTCAGATCAGTGGCGGCATTCAGTTCTCATAGGAGTGCAAACCGTATTGTGAGCTAGGTGTGTGAGGGATCTTGGCTGGCTGCTCCTTAAGAGAATTTAACTAATGTCTGATGATCTGTCACTGTCTCCCATTACCCCCACATGGGACTGTCTAGTTGCAGAAAAACAAGTTCAGAGCTCCCACTGATTCTACATTATGGTGAGTTGTACAATTATTTCATTATATATTACAATGTAATAACAATAGAAATAAAGTATACAATAAATATAATGCACTTGAATCATCCCAAAACAATACTCCTGCCCTGATCCATGGAAAAATTGTCCTGTGAAACTGGTCCCTAGTGCCAAAAAGGTTGGGACCACTGCAATAAATCAACGTATCTAGAAGCCAGATAAAGCCAGAACACAATTTCAAACCAGCCCTGAATCCCCATACTTCTCTCCCTCCCCAGGACATACACAAACTGAAGAATGTCACATAAAATACATGATATAAAAATGTATCAAATTACCACACAGTAATAAACTCAAAATTTATAGTCACCTTAATAACCAGCTCTCTTCTGTCATCCAGTCTGAGTTCAATAGGTTTCTTCCCAATGAATAAATCAGTAACTCTGGAGAGAACTCTGGCGTCTATTAGAGGACGCTTTGTATCAGCCCCTTCTTCACTGGTAAGATGGAATGCTAAAAGCTTTAATGCTAGCGAACGGACCCTGAGAACACAAAGTACTTAAGTCGAACTTTCGTGATATGCAAATGTCTATTTTAAAAGGGCTTGTAATTACAAGTAATTATATATCAACAAAGTACAATAAGTAGTCACAATTATACTGCCATTACTAGTAATAATTTACTTTTTCTACTAAAAATTCTTCGATATATAATTATAATGATTTATTCAATGTAATAGTTATAAAATAAACATCAGAAACAAAAAATAATAACTACAAATGAGACAGACTCACTGAGATTAAATATCAGTAAACTTCAATAAGTACATCTGCGAATTAAATCAATAACTCCTGTCTTCAAATCTAGTGAACTATTCTCCACCATAAAAAGTATCACAGACCGCTGACCACAGTCCAAATGTTAAGTTGAACCCACAGGAGAGTAATGACGCTCATAATGGAAGTGTGATAACACTACAATGTATCAAAATCTTCTCATATTAGGGGCCAAACAGATTCCTGTCAAATATGAAAATACAAATACTTTTTCCTTATCTGGAAGGGATTAGGAATAAGGTCAGCTGAGTGGGGAGGTGGGAGACCTTTCAAGAAAAGAGTAAATACTGTATGCCACTAAACAATGAAATAGAGAAACAGAAAAACCACTGAGTGGACAAAGGTCACTGAGGCGGCAGATATTGAGACAACCATGTATCTGTCACTCCTCTGATAGGTTCTTGAACTACCTGGAAACTGGACAAATTTTAAGCAATAATACAAGTTGCCAGGTTTTAAGAACTACCTATAAGACAACAATTAAAACATGCATCATTAGGGTGGCCCTCCTACTACAGACTAGAGCAGGTTGCCTTCTGTATGCAGGCCTGCCACCTTGAGCCCCTGTATCATAACTTTTATCTCACTTTATGACAATTAATAATAAAGAATAATTGATAATAAGAGCTATATTCCCGGTTACACACTAAATGCTGAAAGGGCAGGGCCCATGTCTGTGTTGTGTGCTGCTACGTTCCCACAGCTCATAGATACATAGTAAGACACCCAATAAATACTTCCTGAATCAAACACAAAGTAGATATTTACTGCAATATTGTTAACTGATATCATCTCCAGAGGACTAATAAGTCAGGCAAACTTTCTCCCTCTCCATTTCCTGAGTTACCTCAAGAGAGCTTAGAAAGGCTAAACACCTACCTAATAGTTTTCCTTTGTTCCTTACATTCTAAGCCAATGATATCTGTATTCACATCTGGGGTTGTCAGTTGAGAGACAGGTATAACCCCTAGCAAAGGTGGCTAGAGATGAGATATGTAAAGCATGTATTTATGCATCTTGTTCTCTGGTATATACATTTAGCATCTTTTTAGGTTTAGCATAGGATGCCAGAATCCAGTTATTCCTATACATGTATGTCATTCTTTAAAACTTTTGAGTACAGTCATGTACTGCATAACAATGTTACAGTCAACAGTAGATCACATATGCAACAGTGGTGTCATAGGATTATATTACTATATTTTTCTAAACCTTTTCTATGTTTAGATACACAAATGCCACTGTGTTACAACTGCATATGGTATTCAGTACAGTAACATGCTGTACAGGTTTGTAGCCTAGAAGCAATAGGCTATAGGATATAGCCTAGGTTATGTATGTAGTTAAGTTATTATTGCTTAGGTTTGTGTAAGGTACATTCTATGATGTTCACACAAGGACAAAATCACCTAACAAAGCATTTCTCAGGATGCATCCATGTCATTAAGCAACGCATGACTGTGTATTTATGTATAAGGTACGCTATGAAGTTCTGAGAATATAAAGATTAGCCAACGGACAGGGTTCCTGTCTACATGGAGTTTATGGATGGGTTGATGGGATGGGGTAGAATTAATACAATAAGGAAAACAAATATGTCATTTGAATTGTTTCAAATTCTATATAATAGAGACTTATCTTACCCAAAGAAAGATCTGGCCTTTCCTTGCACTATGCTCCTGGGGGTGTCCTGCCTTAGAATGTCTTTATTAAACTGAGGACCTTGGGCCCGAAAAACAAACAAGAAATGCCCCCTATTGTGTTAATTCTCCAAACTGGGGGTTTGTTCAAGTAAGGAGTACCACACTAGCATGTTAATTAACAGGGAACAGCTTTTCTGCATGTGTAGAAGACAACCCCTGAGAACACAAGCACGTTAACTCCCTCTGCCCTACTTCTTCCTGGATCACCCATAACATTACTCTCTACAATACAGAGATATTTTAAAGACTATAATTTTCCTCCTTCCATTCTCTTAATAGTTTAGTTAACTTCCACCTATTTCCTTATCTTTCAGTCCAATGATCTGTCTATAAATAAGCTGCTGTATTTTCCTGATGTAAGGTTTGGGAAACACAAATTATCCATTGTGAAAAGAATGTCTGTCCATTCTTCCTAGCCTTTTCAACCAACTATTCCTCTTTATCCCTGCTTATCCATCTCGACTCAGCATTTTTTTCTTTTTTCAGTAAGGGAAAATCTAACCACTGTTACCTAAAAATAATAATAGAAAAGATTCATGTTGCAATGACAGAGAAGGAAGAAAAACAGTATCATTCTCCTTCTTTTCATTAATTAAAACAATGCTTATATTAATGGCAGTCAAAGAAAGGATATGTTTTCAGTTCCCCAAGTAAGAACACAGCTATATGGGATTAAAATACCTGCATAACTCTGGTATTTGAGACAACTGGCCTACTATACTTATGAAAAACTGAATATTCAGAACAGATGTTTACAAAAGGATCACTCTGGAAGGCTAACAATTTCTAAAGAGAAGATGGGAATGCACTATAATTTTTACCATCTATTTATCTCCATGGCTCTCCAACTTGCCTAGGGCACTACTGAGCGGCACTTAGTAGCAGTCCTGTAACACAGGCTGATCTGGCAAGGAATAACTTGGCTGTAAAGTGGATGAAACGTCAGCAAGTACATACAAGACCTTGTATCTGCTTAGTTTCACGCATTGGTTTCCTCTAGTAATGGAATAACACCCTCCTTAAAAATTCTTTAGTTTTGTTTCAAATTATATATAGTTACTATACTTTCTTAGCATGTTTCCATCAATCTTTGACGTTCACAAGATTACGTTGTACTCACGATGGCTTTTTCACTAGCAAAAGTCGCAGCATGGACTTTAATCGGGTAGTACACGGAAGCATCTCTTCTGTGTCAGAACTTGCTTTGCTTAGAAGGAGAATGCAGTTACCCAGAGGATCTTCTGTGTCGGCATAGCCCTAATAGATTTGTTTTTAAAGAGAAATTATTGTCTAATTGTATACATAACTTTTCAACTTGAAAATAAGAATTGTATTGTCCTATCAGCAACTCATAAATGTCTTTGGATTCAGTTGAATAAAATCATTATTTTTTAAAATAACTTCTATGAGCCAAGGAGCCTAAATAAAACTGTATTTAAAAGAAAATACACATACATACAGGAGAACTTCAGGAAAACATGCCAACCTTCTTGACACTTGCTGATTTTTCTATTTTCTAAGATTCTAATAGTGGCACCTCCCCTCGGTGAAGCACCTCACAGATCCTCAGCCCATCCCCACCCTAAGAAGATGGAGTGCTCTAAATGCTACACGCATGGAATCTGTGAGTCTCAAGGCACAAGGCCCAGGCTCTCTCTTCTAAAAGAGGACTGTGCTTATGATGGCATTTCTGAACTCCACCTTTTCATCCAAAAGAGACAGGAAACTGACTCCTTTAATGTCCAGAAGGATTGCTTTTTTAAAAAAAAAAAAAAAAGCTGTTTCTAGGAGCATGTTAATTACGGTATCACTCTAATCATACATATGCATGGATAGAACTCATGAGGCAAGTTAGTTATGTAAGGTCTCCTTAAAAAGCACTGTTAGCTCTGCCTAAAAGCCTTTATATAAGGTTGAGTTCTATTTTTCACAGTCAATGCTGTGAATGCACCTCACTTTTTAACCTCCCACCCAGATATATAAAATATATACAGACAAATTAGCTATCCTGGTTTAACTTTCTGCCAGAAACAAGACAGCCACCCACTTCCTGTTCACTTATCCCCAGCGCCTTCACAGCTTCTCTTCATTTCTCTCACAACTTGACAGTTTAGCTGTTTGCATGCATTTAAATCAATCACACCCAGCCAAAGATAAATGGTATCATAAAAAGTGAATTTCACAGAATACCTGTAGTATTGGGATGACAGGACAGAGAGATTCAATAAACTTGTTCCAGGTCAATGCTGTCATCATCAATCGTCCCTGAAGCAGGTATAACAGAATGGCCTTGGCAGCAGTGTTCACCTGCTCAACAACACAGACCCGATAAACCAGTCAAATGAGATGTCCCGCTAGGTCACCTGACACACCTGGAACATTTTATAGCATGTGGAAAGATGCTATAATTAACATCTCTTTCTTTCAAATGTTCGTACTTCCACAGCATCATCTTACATTCTGTTCTGTTTTTCTTCCTTAATATTTCTAATTTTTTACCTTTAATGTACATTTGTCCCTTGAGTAAAAATTTCCCTAACTGAAATAATCTGCTTACTACCTGTACTGTATAGTTCTCTACATCTTAGATGAAAAATGTAAGTAAACTGATCTGAATTTTTTGAAATCAAGTGTGTCCTGTATTTTTATTCCCACATTTTATGTAACATTTATTTTTATTTAAATAACACTTCAACTGAACCAATGCACCAAAGACAGGTTTCTTTTTAGTTTCTCACCATGCTATCTAAACTATATTAGAATATCACCTTGATTTAGCTGAGTATCTAAGTTACTGTAATATTTTCACTCATGTTTAATGTCATACCTCACTTTCGGGCTCTTGAATGCCAAATACAGAGATTTCATACAGAACTTTTGGATGAAGTAGAAAATGAATTCCATTGCAAAGTGAAGACACGGGTTTAGTGACATTATGGACACCTAAACATTCCTGTAAAATAATATTAAAAAGTATTTTTAAATTAGCAACACTGATTTTTCCAAAAGATCCATCTTTCTTCTGTTTACAATCCCATTTCTATTTTAGTTTTTACTTCATTGAAACTTTTTTTAACAAGACAGAATGAAAAAGATTCTCCTGTCTAACAGTTTCTTAGTTTGTAGGAGATACATATTATATTACTTTCTGCCACAAGCATAATCATGATAAATTAAGTAAACAAACGGCTGAGACAACCATAATCTCTTAAAGTTAATTCATCATGACAGACACAAAGGACATAAACACAGTAAGAAACTTATCCTAAGGTGTTTGCATTTTACTTACAAAGGTTGGGAAAGAAAAATTCAACATGAAAAGACTTCAAGGACTTCAAGTTATGGGAGACATAACTTTATATACTATATATATTTATATTCTATATATATAGAATATAAAGAATACATATTTTATATATAATATACCTATTATATATAATTTTTTATGCTACATATTTATGTCCTATATATGTGATATATATATGATTATATAAAGTTATCATCAATACAGCTATGTACCTAAAATACAATTACTTTGAACCAACACTTAGAGTAACTATCAGGAATTTTTTTCTCAATATGTGATAGAGAATAGTATTTTGTTAGCAGCTATTTAAGGTGAGAGGGGAAAAAAAGCTACTTGAAATATTAATGGAATTTAAATACAATATAGAAGGTAAAAATACAATAAATAATGAGTTACATGAATACTACTTTTTTTCATTCTGCAAATTTCTACTTCCTATTATCAACAATTCAAAGGTCAAAAAGTTACACACATACACTCACATATGTATTTGCATACATTATTTTTCTTTCAACTGTTAACTTCATGCCACAGACAGCAACTTCGTTCATATTACAAGGTTTTCAAAGATCTAAAGCCTCAGCCCTAAACAATAGCTGTCACCTACTTCCTTAAGATACTTATCTACCATCTAAACTGTGACTATCCCCTTCTGAAACCAAGATTTACTTCCTAAAATTGTCTTATTTTTCTCCAGCACCTTTATTTTTCTTCACATGATTATTCTAATCACCATATGACATATTCTAATGTGTCTATGGCCCTGGCTTTCTCCTCTTGATAACAATTCATTTTTCAGCTCTCCTTCCCACCACGAGTCCTCACAAGAGTTCGCTGTCCTCAGTCAGTACTTCCTCATTTGCCAAACCCTCTTCAATGCACATCAGCAGGACTTAGGTTCCTACCATTCCACAGGAGCTTCTCATAGAGGACACCAACAACCTCAACGATGCCAAATCCAACGTGTTCATCTCTGTTCTCATGTGACTCTTCCTTCTAACCTCTGTCTCCACTTCTGGCTCCCTCTGTTCCCAACTTCTAACTGGTTAGATCCTAGACAGCCTTCTCTTCCCTAGTCTCTCAGTAGTTGATCCTATCAAGGCTTGTGGCTTTAATATCATCTCTAAGCTGATGACTGAAAATTTTATACCTAATCTGGGCTCCACACTCCAAAGGTAGTGTGGTGCAATGCTTAAGAATATGGGCTTTGGAGTGAGCCTATAGGGTTCAAAGCCCAGTTTCACCACTTTTAGTTGAATGACCTTGGACAAATTCAAAGTATCTCCGTTTTCAGAAAGAGGTAGTACCTAGCTCACAGAGCTGTTAGGAGGATTCAATGAGATAATATACTTATAAAAGTACTTGATACATAAGAGTAAATGCTCAATAAATGTTAGCTGCTATCATTATCAATGAAATTATTAGCATTAGCATTATTATATTTAACAGTCTACTTAACATATGCACTTGATATAAAAAGGCATGTCAAACTTAGGTTCAAAACAGAATTCTACCCAATCCACAATCCCATATTTGGGACATCAATCCAACTGCTAGATCCAAAACCTTAAAATTCATCCTTGATCACTCTCTATCTCCTACTCTCATTATCAGCAAGACCAATTAGCTCCACGTCCGTAATACCTCCTAAATTCATTTCCTTCTCTTCATCTCCACTACACCACCACATCTCATCAGGGCTACTACAATGAAACTGGTCTTCTTGCTTCCATCCTGACCCCCTACAATCCATTCCCCACAATGGGAGAGTGATCTTTTCAGAAAGATCATCAGATCACGTTAAAATCATTCATAGCATCTCACTGTACTTAGAATACAATTCATAGCTTTATAATGTTTGGCACCCTGCCTACTTTTCAGACCCAATCTGGTACCATTTTTCTATTATCTCATTATACTGCCCTTCTTTTTGTTCGTGAAACACGCAAAGTACATTCTCACCTGAAAAGCAGAGGCTTTTCACCTGTTGTTTCCTCGGGCTAGAAATTCTCCCTCCCTCCCTAGCCAGCCTACATAAATTTAGTCCACGTTACTAGTCATTCTCTAGTCCTTTATCCTTTCATTGTCTTTACAACACTATTTTATTTAAAACACTATATACATTGAATGTATATGCAGTGTTGTAAACTATATATATATATACATATTCTATACATATAGTGTTATAAAGAAAACTATATATACATATATACACACACACATACACATACATACTTTTTATGTATTTAAGGAATTTTTCTTAATTATTACATACATCTCTCTCTGTCCCCTATCAGAATATAAGCTCTCTGATAAGGCTCTTTTCTGTACTTTATATCACTACAGTCTAGCATATGGTAAAGTGTCCAGTAAATATTGCTAAATGAATGTTAGATGTAGGTAACATGGAAGTGGTGGCCATTTAATCATCCCTAAATTTAAAAGCTATTTTACCTCTTTACCATACCGTCCTCAAAGTTAAGTCTTACAATAAAAAGCTAACTTGCCTCTTCAGAAAAAGTAACCTCCACATTACTAGCACGCTCCTACATTTAGGTAGGTAAAGCTGCAGCAATGCCTTGGAGATTTACCAGAAGACACTGGAATAATATCATCTGACAGACATAGCCAATTAAAGTGAAATGCCTTTACAAATCCTTATATCCAAACCAAGATACTATATCTTTATGACACAGGGGCTAACTACAAGAAATCTCATCATTTGGAGCTTTTGACTTGGATTATTATAACTCCCTGATAGTAAATACACATGAATTTTTTAAAACCACATTGCACTATACAGATGATTATCTTTTGTGACAAAAGAAAAATCACAATATTTTGCAAGAACAGTGTCAACTAATATAAATTTCCAAATAGTTAACAAGAAAATAAAACATTAAATGAAAGTTCACATTCTTTTATTTTATCTCCTTCTACAACTAGGATAATAAGGCGAGTTTTAACAAAAAATATTCTTTCAGTTTAAATTTTGCAACAAAATGTATGACACTTGGTTATAAAAACTATAGTATATTAAAATTTAGAATTTTCAAAATTACTAAAATTCAGTGCATTTTTTTTAAAAACAAATTCGAAACTGACACATACATATTTATTTCTGACATTCCTTTTTTCCTATCATTCTATGACAGGAAAAATTATCTGGATGTTAATTTTTTAGAACTCCTCTAAAAAATTAACATCCAGATTATTCCTACTTGAAATTCATCATATACCAAAATGATCATATACATCAATAACTCAATTTACACCAAATATTTTCCTATCTGCAAAAATTTTTATTTCCAATAATTATTTAAAATCTGCCTCAAGAAAGATATCAAATCGTATTCCACCATTTTAAATTTCGGGGTATAATAACTATCCCAAATACAGTGATCTTAGTTTCTTGACCTATTTATCTCAATGATACTCACCTGCCCTATAACTGAGGACCCCTTCTCTTTTCACTTGTTCTACCTCTAAAATCATAAATGTAGGTTTCTAATCTTCTTACTCAACTTGAAATATGGTCCTTCTTTGACCTCCAGTCCATAAACCCTTCTACTTTCTTCCCTGTAGTCTTTACAGCCTTTGGTTCTACAGTCGACATGTCATTTCAACTACTCAGCTCACTTGCACCACAGGCATTCCCTCCTCCCCGACAGCAATGAAATAACTCAACCCTTGATTGATCGCAAGGTTCACATTCCCAGAAACCACACCAGCTAGCCAAAGATAAACATGCAAAGTAGAAGAGTCTCCCTATTAAGATTATAGACACAATTGACTAAGCTCTTCATGCAGCCCAAAAATGCTACTATTTGATATTATCAAATATCTACTCATATTAGTCATTTCACACATTCAACATCTCACTTTCAATCTCAAAGAAAATACAGACTCAATAGAAGGAGGCTCCTGCAACTTCCTGTGATATCTAAGCCCACCTAACCCCAATTAGCCATCATGTTCAAGGTCCCACCGCCTTCAACTTTCAAAGGCACTAGCTTCTTTTAATTAGCTACTTGCTACCCACTATCTTCAATCTTTCCTCCTCTGATTCTTTTTATTATTTCAACATACACAAATGAAAATGTAACTTCATTACAAACCCCTTCCAAGGTGCATCACCACTAACTGTCAAATCCCTAAAGGCAAGGCAGAAACAAATATACAACCACCATCTAGAGAATACAAGATCACAAGAAAAAGCTACCCTGCCAAAGAAGACCTGAAAATCAAAATAACAGTATCTGCTAAAATAAACAACATAAGGAAGATTCAATAGCCATAACAAGTGGGAGGATTCTAATACCATAATCTAAACAAGATTATAAAATAAATATGTTTAAAATTCACAACAACACAAAAGAAGAAACTAGAGGACTTGTTCCTGGCCTTGAGCAGCTCTTAGGGAAGTGGCAAGTGCAACAGGCATGGAGCAGCCCACTCTTGCAACGATCCTCTAGGATCCTAACTATGGGAGACCCCATGACCTGCACAGACCTTTGAGTTGCAAGGGAGAACTGCCCAATGAGTTGCCAGAGACAGAATGCCAGTCTGCACAGAGCCCAGAGGGTCTGGCGCAGTAATGGCTGCAATGGGGCATGGCCATAGGTGCCTGTTGCGGGAAGTCAGGGACCCCGAACGGAGGGACCGGCTGAAGCCATGGGAGAAGAATGTGGATTGTGAAGATTTCATGGACATTTATTAGTTCTCCAAATTAATACTTTTATAATTTCTTATGCCTGTCTTTACTGCAATCTCTAAACATAAATTGTGAAGATTTCATGGACACTTATCACTTCCCCAATAAATACGCTTGTGATTTCCTATGCCTGTCTTTACTTTAATCTCTTAATCCTGTCATCTCGTAAGCTGAGGAGGATGTATGTCGCCTCAGGACCCTGTGATGATTGCGTTAACTGCACAAATTGTAGAGCATGTGTGTTTGAACAATATGAAATCTGGGATCCTTGAAAAAAGAACAGAATAACAGCAACGTTCAGGGAACAAGAGAGATCACCTTAAACTCTGACTGCCGGTGAGCCGGGTGGAACAGAGCCATATTTCTCTTCTTTCAAAAGCTAATGGGAGAAATATCACTGAATTCTTTTTCTCAGCAAGGAACATCCCTGAGAAAGAGAATGTGCCCTTGAAGGTGGGTCTCTAAAATGGCCCCCTTGGGTGTGGCCGTCTTCTATGGTCGAGACTGTAGGGGTGAAATAAGCCCCAGTCTCCCATAGCGCTCCCAGGCTTACTAGGAAGAGGAAATTCCCATCTAATAAATTTTGGTCAGACCGGTTGCTCTCAAACCCTGTCTACTGATAAGATGTTATCAATGACAATGGTGCCCAAAACTTCATTAGCAATTTTAATTTTGCCTGCGGTCCTGCGGTCCTATGATCTCGCCCTGCCTCCATTTGCCTTGTGATATTCTATTACCTTGTGAAGCACGTGATTTTTGTGACCCACACCCTATTTGTACACTCCCTCCCCTTTTGAAAGTCCCTAATAAAAACTTGCTGGTTTTGCAGCTTGTGGGACATCACGGAACCCACCGACATGTGATGTCTCCCCCGGACGCCCAGCTTTAAAATTTCCCTCTTTTGTACTCTGTCCCTTTATTTCCCAACCCAGCCGACACTTAGGGAAAACAGAAAAGAAACTACGTGACTATTGGGGCAGGTTCCCTGATAGGTGCCCATCACCCAAATCTTGATATACTCCTCTAGGTGGCTTTAGCCTTAGTTCGCTGCCAGAAGTAGAAAGAGCAGGGCTATCTTTCCCACAAGACTGGGCCAACCTGATCTGAATGCCACCCTGTCTGCCAGCCTCTCAAAGGGTCCTGTCTGTCTCACTAGCTTGCAACACAGCCTCAGCTGCCCTGCCGAAATGCTCCCCAACAGCCACCCCATAGGTCTTTTGCCAACAGCCTCTGCCTTCCTGTCAGAGCGCTTTTGCAAGCACACACCCACCCACAGCCAATACCTACTGGTGTGCACTTGCCTGCAGCCTCCCCTGCCAGTGCGCACTTGCCCATGGTTACCCCCACCACAAGTGCACTCTCCCAAAGCACCGCCCCACGCCCCCCCAGAGCACTTTCTCGGGCAGTCACCATCGGAAAGTTGTTGCCAGCAGTCTGGGAACATCTCGGCTCCTCCAGTGCAGCAGATGCTTGACCTCAAGGGACCAGAAATCAAAGCCACTGGCCTGTTCAGTGCACCCCCAGGGTTAGAGCACACAGCCCAGGGGTGCTGAGCTGAGCTCTGGCCCTGAAAGCACACAGAAACCAAGCCAATTGACTAATCCCAACTTATACCACAGTAAAATCCTCAATGGCATCAAATAATATAAAAGCAAAAGGCCCCATCCAAAGTACAGCAACTTCAAAGATTAAAGGAACATCTGCCCACACAGGTAAGAAAAAAACAGTGTAAGAATTCTGGCAATTCTAAAAGCCAGAATGTCTTCTTATTTTCAAATAACCACACTAGCTCCCCAGCAATCGTTCTTAACCAAACTGAAATGGCTAAAATGACAGAATTCAGAAGCTGGAAGGCAAGGAAGCTCGACAAGATATAGAAGAAGGCTGAAGCCCCACCCATGGAAACCAGTAAAATGGTGGTTTGATCCATGATTGGATCTGACACAAACATTTTAAGTAAGAACAAAACTGAACTTCTGGAAACAAAAATTTCATGATAGGAATTTCATAATGCAATTGGAAGCATTAATAACATAACTGAGGAAAAAAATCTCAGAGCTCAAAGACTACTCCTTTGAATCATCACAGGCAAACAGAAATAAAGAAAAAAGAATTAAAAAAAAAAACTTCAAGAAATATGGGATTATGTAAACAAAACGAACCTAACACCCATCAGCATTCCAGAAAGAGAAGGAGAGAGAGCAAGCAACTTGGAAGGCATATTTGTGGATATTTTCCACGAAAATTTCTCCAACCTCACTAGGCAGGTCAATAAGCAAATTCAGGAAACTCAGAGAACCCCAGTGAGATACTATTCAAGATGACCACCCCCAAGACACATAGTCATCAGATTCTCCAAGGTCAACAGGAAAGAAAAAATCTTAAAAGGAAGCTAGAAAGAAAGAGCAGGTCACATATAAAAAGAACTCCATCAGGCTAACAGCAGACCTTTCAGCAGAAACCTTACAAGCCAGAAAAGATTGGGGACCTATAATCAGCATGCTTAAAGAAATTCAAACCAAGTATTTCATATCCAGCCAAGCTAAGCTTCATAAGCAAAGGAAAAACAAAATTATTTTCAGAGAAGCAAACGCTCAGGGAATTCATTACCATGAGACCTGACTTACAAGGGGTCCTCAATGGAGTGCTAAAAAAGGAAGCAAAAGACCATTACCTGCCTCCACAAAAACACACTAAAATACATCTCCCACTGACACTATGATGCAACTATACAATCAAGTCTACGTAACAACCAGCTAGCAACATGGCGACAGAATCAAATCCTCACATATCAATACTGACCTTGAACATAAACGGGCTAAACACCCCACTTAAAAAGCACAGAGTGGCAAGCTGGATAAAGAACCAAGACCCAACTATATGCTGTCAAGAGACCCAACTCACATGCAGTGACACCCACATGCTCAAAGTAATAGAATGGAGATAAAGATCTATCCAGCAAACAGAAAACAAAAAAAGAGCAGGAGTTGCTCTTCTTATTTCAGACAAAACAGACTTTAAACCAACAATGATCAAAAGGATAAAGAAAGGCATTACATAATGATAAAGGGTTCAATTCAACAAGAAGATTTAACTATCCTAAATATAATGCACCCAGCATTGGAGCACCCAGTCATAAAACAAGTTCTTAGAGACCTACAGAGTTTTAGACAACCACAAAATAATAGTGGGAGACTTCAACACCCCACTGACAGTGTTAGACAAATCACTGAGGCAGAAAACTAACAAAAATAGTTGGGACCTAAACTCGACACCTGACCAAATGGACCTAGGAGACTCTACAGAGTACTCCACTCAACAAAAGCAAAACACATTCTTCTCATCTGCACACAGCACACACTCTAAGATCAACCACACACTCAGCTGTAAAGCAATTCTCAACAAATTCAAGAAAACCGAAATCATACCAACCACACTCTCAGGCCACAGTGCAATAAAAATAGAAATTATTACCAAGAAGATCTCTCAAAAATGATACAATTACAGGGAACTTAAACAACCTGCACCTGAATGACTTTTGAGTAAAGAATGAAATTAAGGCAGAAATCATAAAATTCTTTGAAACTAACAAAAACAGAAACACAATATATCAGAATCTTTAGAACACAGCTAAGGCAGTGTTAAGAGGAAACTATACAGCACTAAATGCCTATATGAAGAAGTTAGAAAGATTGCAAACTAACAACCTGACACCACACTTAGAGGAACTAGAAAAGCAGGAGCAAACCAACCTGAAAGCTAGCAGAAGAACCAAAATCAGGGCTGAACTGAATGAAACTGAGACACAAAAATTCACACAAAAGATCGACAAAACCAAATTTTGGTTCTCCAAAAGAATATACAAGATTGATATATCATTAGCTAGATTAATAAAGAAAAAAAGAGACAATCCAAATAAACACAATCAGAAATGACAAAAGTGACATTATCACTGACCCCACAGAAAGACCCTCAGAGACCATTAAGAAAAACTCTATGCATACCAAATAGAAAGCCTAGAAGAAATGGATAAATTTCTGGAAATATACAAACTCCCAAGATTGGACCAGAAAGAAATTAAAACCATGAACAGAACAGTAATGTGTTCCTCCAAAGTTGAATCAGTCATTAAAAAATAAAAAAAGCCTACCAACCAGAAAAAAACACTGGGCCAGACAAACTCACAGCCAAATTCTACCAAATGTAAAAAGAACTGTTACCAATCCTACTGAAATTATTCCAAAAAATGAAGGAGGAGTGACTCCTCCCTAACTCATTCTATGAGGCCAGCATCATCCTGATACCAAACCCTAGCAGAGACACAACAAAAAAAGAAAACTTCAGGCCAATATCTCTGATGGACATAAATGTAAAAATTCTCAACAAAATATTGGTATACTGAAACCAGCAGGACAGCAAAAAGCTAATCCACCACGATCAAGTATGCCTTATCCACTGGATGCAAGGTTGATTCAACATATGCAAATCAATAAATGTGATTCATCACATAAACAGAACCAAAAAGAAAAACCACATGATCATCTCAACAGACACAGAAAAGGCTTTTGATAAAATTCAACATTCCTTCTTGTTAAAAACCCTCATCAAACTAGGCATTGAAGCCTCAAAATAATGAGTTATCCATGACAAAGCCACAGCCAGTATCATACTGAACAAGCAAAAGCTAGAAACAGTCCCCTTGAGAACCAGAACAAGACAAAGATGCCAACTCTCACCACTTCTATTCAATATGCTATTGGAAGGCCTAGCCAGATCAATCAGGCAAGAAAAATAAAAGGCATCCAAATAGGAAGAGGAAGTTAAACTCTCTCTCTTCACAGATGATTCTATACCTGAAAAAAAAAAAAAAAAAAGAAAAAACCATATTCTCTGCCCAAAAGTTCTTAGAACTGATAAATGACTTCGGTGAAGTTCCAAGATATAAAATCAATGTACAAAAATCAGTAGCATTTCTGTACTCCAATAACATCCAAGCTCAGAGCCAAATCACAATGAGAATTGTAAAACACTGCAGAAAGATATCAGAGATGACACAAATGGAAAAACATTCTCTGCTTATGAATAGGAAGAATCAATATTGTTAAAATGGCCATACTTCCCAAAGCAATTTACAGATTCAACACTATTCTTATCAAACTACCAATGTCATTCTTCACAGAATTAGAAAAAACCATTCTAAAATTTATATGGAACCAAAAAAAGAGACCGAATAGCCAAAGCAAACTTAAGCAAAAAGAACAAAGCTGGAGGCATCAGACTGCCTGACTTCAAACTATACTATGGGGCTACAGTAACCAAAACAGCATGGTACTGGTACAAAAACAGATACACAGGCCACTAGAACAGGTTAGAGAACACAAAAATATAGCCAGACACCTACAACCATCTGATCTTTGAAAAGACAACAATAACAAACAACGGGGAAATAACTCCCTACTCAGTAAACAGTGCTGGAATAACTGGTTAGGCGTATTCAAAAGATTGAAACTGGACCCCCTTCCTTTCACCATATATAAAAATCAACTCAAAATGGATTAGACTTAAATGTAAGACTTAAAACTATAACAACCCTAGGAAATACCATTCTGGACACAGGTCTTGGAAAATATTTCATGATGAAGTCTCCAAAAAAAGCAATTGCAACAAAAACAGAAATAGATAAGTGGGACCTAATGAAACTAAAAAGTTTCTGCACAGTAAAAGAAACTATCAACTAAGTAAAAATATCAACTAAGTAAAAAGCCTACAGAATGGGAGAAAATATTTGCAAACTATGCATGTGACAAAGGTCTAATATCCAGAATCTATAAGGAACTTAAATCAACAAGTAAAAAACAAATAACCCCATTACAAATGGGCAAAGGACATAAACAGACACTTCTCAAAAGAAGACATACACACGGTCAACAAACACATGAAAAAATGCTCAATATCACTAATCATTAGAAAAATTCAAATCAAAACCACAATGAGATATCATCTCATACCAGTCAGAATGGCTATTATTAAAAAGTAAAAGAATAACAGGTGTTGGCAAGGTTGGAGAGAAAAGGGAACACAGTACTATAAGCCCTATACACTGCTTGTGGGAATTTAAATTAGTTCAGTCACTGTGGAAAACAGTTTGGAGATGTCTCAAAGAAATTAAAACAGAACTACCATTTGACCTAGCAATCCCTTACTGGGTATAGACCCAAAAAAATATAAATCTTTCTACCAGAAAGACACATGAACCCAGATGTTCACTGCAGCATTACTCACAATAGCAAAGACATGGGATCAACCTAGATGCCCATCAACAGTGGATTGGATAAAGAAACTATGGTACATATACATCATGGAAAACTACTCAGCCATTAAAAAAGAATAAAATAATGTCTTTTGCAGCAACATGGATGCAACCAGAGGCCATTATCCTAAGTGAATTAACACAGAAAAACCAAATACAGCACATTCTCACTTAGAAGTGGGAACTAAACACTGCGTATACACATGGATACAAAGATGGGAACAACAGACAGTGGGGCCTACTTCACAAGGGAAGGTGGGAAGAGAACGTATTAGCCTATTCTCACACTGCTATAAGGACATACCCGAGACTGGGTAATACATAAGGAAAGAAGTTTAATTGACTCACAGTTCTGCATGGCTGAGGAAGTCTCAGGAAATAATCATGTCAGAAGGCACCTCTTCACAGGGCGGCAGGAGAGAGACAGAATGCCAGCAGAGACAATGCCAGATGTTTATAAAACCATCAGATCTCATGAGAACTCACTCACTGTTAGAAGAACAGGATGGGGGAAACTGCCCCCATGATTCCAATTACCTCCTCCCACTGGGTCCCTCCCACGACACGTGGGGATTACAGAATTACAATTCAAGATGAGATTTGGGTGGGGACACAAAGACAAACCATATCAGAGGGTGAGGATCAAAAAACTACCTATTGGGTACTATGCTCACTACCTGGCTGACAAAATCATTTGTACACCAAACCCCAGCAGCACACAATTTACCCATGTAACAAACCTGCACATGTACCCCCAACCCTAAAATAAAAGTTGAAAAAAAAAAAAAAAAAACAGAAACTAATGAAAGATTACATGAAAAAAGAACAAGTCAGTTAAAGAAAGCAAAGAAAAGGTATAGACATGAAAAACAGTATAAGTGATAATCAAAACTTGATAAATTTAAAAAAAACTATGATGGGAAATGACTTTGCACCCATTAGGATGGTTACTATTATTAAAAAAAAAAAAAAAAAAAAAAAAAAAAACAAGGCCAGACACGGTGGCTCACATTTGTAATCCCAGCACTTTGGGAGGCCGAGGTGGGTGGATCATGAGGTCAAGAGATCGAGACCATCCTGGCCAACATGGTGAAACCCCATCTCTACTAAAAATACAAAACTTAGCTGGGCATGGTGATGCACGCCTGTAGTCCCAGCTACTTGGGAGGCTGAGGCAGGAGAATCACTTGAACCCGGGAGGCAGAGGTTGCTGTGAGCCAAGATTGTGCCACTGCACTCCAGCCTGGTGACACAGCGAGACTCCATCTCAAAAAAAAAAAAAATCCAGATAAAAAGTATTGCCAAGGATGAAGAGAAACTGGAATCCTTGGCACTGCCAGTGGGAACATAAAATAGTACAGTCACTGTGGAAAACAGTAGGGCAATTCCTCAAAAATTAAACACAGAATTACTGTGTGATCTACCAATTCCACTTCTGGGTATATAAACAATTGCAAAAAGATGGAAACAACCCAAATGCCTATCAACGGATGAATAAACAAAATGTAGTATAGGATGAGTGTCCCTTATCTGAAATGCTTGGGACCAGAAGTGTTTCAGATTTTGAAATTATTTGGATTTCTTAATATTTGCATTATACTTTCCAGTTGAGCATCCCTAATCTGAAAATTCAAAACTGGAAATGCTCCAACGTGCATTTCCTTTAAGTGTCATTTCGGCACTCGAAAAGTGTCAGATTGTGGAGCCTTTTAGATTTTGGATTTTCAGAATTGGAGTGTTCATATATACAGACAATAGATTATTATTAAGTCTTAAAAAGGAATGAAATGTTGATACATGTTACAACATGGATGAGCCTTGAGAACATTATATTAAGTGAAATAAGCCAGTAACAAAAAGACAAACACTGTATGATTCTACTTATATGAGTTACCTAGGGACCTCAAATTCATAGAGACAGAAAGTAGAAAGGTGGCTGTCAGGGGCTGGGAGAAGGGGAGAATGAGGAGTTATTGTTTAATGACTATAAAGTTTCAATTTGGGAGATGGGTAATGGTGATGATGGTACAACAATACGAATGTACTTATGCCACTGAATTGTACACTCAGAACATAGTTAAAATGGTAAAATTTTTTCCTTTTTTTTTTTTTTTTCCAGAAATGAAGTACTCACTCTGTTGCCTAGGCTTGAGTGCAGTGGCATGATCACAGCTCTCTGTACCTTGACCTCCCAGTCTCAAGCAATCCTCCTGCCTCAGCCTCCCAAGTAGCTGGGACTACAGGCACATGCCACCATGCCCAGCTATTTTTTTTTTTTTTCTTGTACAAACAGGATTTCCCTATGTTGCCCAGGCTGGTCTCAAACTCCTGGGCTCCAGTGATCCTCCTGCTTTGGCCTTCCCAAATGCTGGGATTACAGGCATGAGCCACCACACCTGGCCTAAAATAAATTTTATGTTATATATACATATCACCATCAAAAAAAGTAAATTAGACAAAGCTGAGGAAAGAATTAGTGTACTGAAAGGATAACACTGAGAAATTCTACCCAAATAAAACCTAAAAAGATGTGGAAAATATGAAAGAAGGCTTAAAAGACACAAAGGGTAAACTAAGAAGGTCTAACACAGGTCTAATAAGAGTTCCACTTGGAGAAAACAGCAAGGATAAGAGAAAAGCAATATTCAAAATAAGCATGACCAAGAATTATACAGAAGTGAAGGCAGATGGAGTGTTCAAAGCGAAAAGTCCTAAGCAAGATAAATGGAAAATCATGTATGCATGGAGACATATTTTAATGAAACCGCAGGGCACCACAGAAAAGGAAAATATTTTAAAACAAACTAGAGAAAAAAATTAAAAGAAATCATAATTAACTGATATCAGACTTCTCAACAATGATAGAAGCCGAATAAGAATTAAGCAATACTGGCAAAGTGCTAATAAAAACTAGCAGTCAACCTGTATTTTATATGCAGCCAAATTACTATTCAAAATAAAGTGAAATCATGACATTTTCAAACGTATGCACACAGTCACAGACTGTCACTGAAAATACTGAAAAACTTACTTCAATAAAAAGGAGACTGAACCTAAATATTTATCATTCAATAAAAGGAAGTATATTCAAACTTAATAGCAGTTAAGGTGAATGAACTAGGCAAATCTCAAATCCTGCTATATATACTAATCATGCTATATATAAAATTCTTTAAATTATTTAAAGATAATATTTATATATAAAGATACAGCTTTATAAATAATATACAACAACTGGATGGGAAGAATATACACCAGCTGTGTAAGAGTGGCTAGGCTATGCTGGTGGGAGAAGAGAAAGCAAAGAAGCTTCCTCTATAACTAGTATTTTTCTTTGAATAAAAATGAATCAGAAGTAAAAATGGCAAAATGTAAACACTTATTATAACCAAATAGTACTTACAAGAGTGTTAAATACAAAAGGACACTTTCAAGAGTACGCAGTAATATATATACTTTTAAATATTGTCCTATGTACAGTGTTCTTTTCAATATTGAAATATTTAATATTCTATGCTGAAATATTTTATCATTTAAGAAGACAGAAAAATAAATATTTCAAAAGAAAAGAAAAATAAAAAATAACATTAAAAAAAACAGAATTAAAACCATAAAATCTAGGCCACAACAACCTAAAAGGTTTCCTGGGCATAGAAATCACTTTTGAATACCTGGAAATCAATTTTCCTTATAATTTTTCCATCATTAATACAACATAAATGTAATTCTTAATAAAACTTCAAATAAAGCAATTCAATTGCTGGACTTACTAAGTTAAGAGAATTTAATAGTACAAATTTTCCAGAATTGACTAGTAATTATCATCTACTTTTATGGGATATAGTTCTTATATCTCATACAAAAGGTCAAGTAAATTAAGTTTGAAGGTATAACAAGAGAGTCTACTATTTGTTCTCAAAAACAAAACATACGAAAAAACAAAACCTCACCTTCGTGATTTCCAGACAGCAGTGGTAAGTTTCAGCTTTCACTCGTGGCAATGGGTGAGACAACATATGGAGAAGCACCTTCTGACTTTCTCCTTGTAGTAATGGACTGGCCTGAGCAGATTTCCAGCTGGTGAAAAGGTAAAACAACCAAGACATGTGAGGCAAGTAAGTTAGTAAGCAAAAGACTGCAAAGCATACTGGAAGGGATTTCTTCCTACTCCAACTCCTCAAACTGAGATCTTATTAAAAATAACCAATACTAGCAAGTACTCACCTAAGCACTTATTTGTTTCAGGGCAGAGGAGGTTCTGTCTTAAAGAGTATTTTTAAAAACCCAAAATGTCTTTAAAATCCCCTACTCAGTTAATGATTATCACATCACAGAATTTATTCTTTCCAAAAGCAATAAAGACACTAAGTTCTAAATAGAAATTTGCTGATGTCCTCAAAATAAATTAACCAATACACAGTCTTTTCTAAAAATCCACATAAGAAAAAGGTACAAAGTAATAAAAGTTACAAAACTCTCAGTTTAAGTTATTAATTAAAACTTTAAAGATAAATAAACAATGTGTGTGAATAGTCTGGATGGATACCAAAAACAAATGTATAAAAATCCAAGGATTATTCATTTTGATTGTAGGCATGACATTTTTGAAGTTTAATCTTGAATATAACAGTTAAGTATCCTAATGCAGCTGTACATATACCCTTTAAAAATCAGACACATATAAAAGCAATTAAACTAAAAAATAATAACAAAGATATACAGTCAGTTTCACTTTCACTGTTTCTAAGTTTACACACACCCTAAGTGTCCAATAATAACGTAATCACATTAAGAAAGAAAATATTACATCTTTGAACAAATGCTGATGATTTCCTTTATTAGCGGGAAATGCTGATGATAGGAAAAGCTACGCAAGGCTTGGTCTGCCAGCTCCACTAATTCTAAGAGATTCTTCTCTCCCTACAAAAGAAGCAGAATGGAACAATAAATGTCAAGTTCATGTGCAATGATATTCTCAACAGCTAACTAAGCAGCTTCAAGAAATTAGACCATTCAGAGACCATGAGACTGTTTACATTTGTTTAAGTCCACTTTCTCATCAAGCAACCTAAAAATGTCAGCCGAGGTGGAGAAATGTAGGAAAATTCCCTAGCTAAATGCCACATGAGACTTTCTATTATTTAACTCTGAGTAAGCTTAAAGTTACAATCAAGTTGCCTGGTTCTTTGATTACTTCTTTGTAGCTCTACCTCCCCTAATAAAAGTAGGGCTAATGTATTTATTTTATTATAAACCTGCCTCTTGTAGCAGCCTGACCACTAGGAACACACAGGACATTGAACACATGTGTGATTAACTGACCACACAAAATGCCACAGAGGCCAGACCCAGTGGCTCCCAGCACTTCGGGAGGCCGAGGCGGGCAGATCACTTGAGGTCAGGAGTTCAAGACTAACCTGGCCAACATGGCGAAACCCCGTCTCTACTAAAAATACAAAAAATTAGCTGGTTGTGGTGGCACGAGCCTGTAATCCCAGCTACTTGAGAGGCTGAGGCGGGAGGTGGAGCTTGCAGTGCGCCAAGACTGCACCACTGCACTCCAGCCTGGGAGACAGAGTGAGATTTCGTCTCAAAAAAAAAAAAAAGCCACAGAAATACTTCAACTTAAAGACACAATTCAAAATTCTATCACAGAGAAAACAAGAAGACAGTGGTACTAACATGGCAAAAGGAAAGGGGAAAAAAAACAAACTACAGTGGTAAGTAAGAAAAATCATAAATATCAAGTTCAAGGCCAGGCACGGTGGCTAACACCTTTAATCCTAGCATTTTGGGAGGCCAAGGTGGGAGGACAGCTTGACGCCAGGAGTTCAAGACCAGCCTGGGCAACACAGTGAGACCTCATCTCTACAAAACAATTTAAATATTAGCCAGGTGTGGTAGCATGTGCCTATAGTACTAGTTGCTTAGGAGGCCAAGGCAGATGGATTGCTGGAGCCCAAGAGATCAAGGCTGTAGCCTAGGCAACTGAGAAGGCTGTCAAAAAAAAAAAAAATTCAAAGAAAATAAATAGGTTCAGATAGATTCTACTGTAGGCACCAAAATGAGTAAGAATTTTATCCCTAATTCTTCAAGATCTTCAGGATCCATGTCCTTATTTTCAAACAATAAACAACTCTTGTATCAATGTCTGTCTCTAAGACCCATTAACCCTTTCATTGATAACATACTAATATTCTAATAGTATTTTTAAAAGGGATAAATACCGACACATAATTATTGCTGTAACACTGCCATAAAGTCATCCTAATACATTATAAACAATGTAGTTCATCACTGTACTTAATATATTTCAAAAATCAGCCTTTATATATATGTAAGAACTATCTATAAAATATTGAGGCAAAAATATGTCTACAAGTAAGCACTAAAATAGCCCTTATAATTTTGGTTACATCAACTGTCATTCAGTTCATATCAGTAAGTCACTTAATAGAGGTACTCATTATTAAATATTAAGACATTTGTAATAACCACTGCTTTTTTGTAAATCACTGATGTTAGGAATATACACCATTAATTAAAGTCTTCGTTTTACTTCTATACAAATCATATCCTTACTTTAACCTGTTAAATAACAGGTTATGTATAATTGACCCACTCAGGAATAATGTATCCCACCTGTGACAATTTAATTATATGTCCATCAATTTGAAAAGTATAGATTAAATTTTCAAAATATGTCAAAGGGATTTAAAAGAGATATTAAAAAAGCTTTTTACCTCTTTCCCAATATCAGACAGGAAGTTACAGGTGCATTCAATTGAATAAACGGCCTCTGCAGTTCGTTTATAAATACTGTAGTTTTCAGAATTCAGCTGTTCCAAATAGGCCACAACAGCTTCATGAATATTTGGATATTCCAAAGAAATAGGCATGTCCAAAGAAAGGAGAAATAATGCTGTTGACATAGGCTCTGATAAAAACTCGCTTGCCTTGGTGAATTAAAAAAACAAAAAAATTAAAACTTTGTTTAAAAAAAACTTATTTTAGAGAAACATAGTGGGCTATAGTCTTAATCTAATCCAACTTCCTTTTTAGCAATTCTTTGTCAAAAAACTGAAACTTTTTCCAAAGAAAATCCCATTTCCCAACACATCATCTACCTCTATCTCTGTCTTTTTTCAATACAAAATGTCTCAAGTCCAAATATCAACTCTTTCTCAAAGCCTAAGATACTAACTACTTTCTTCTTCCCCAAACCAACTTCTTCTCTCCTTGAGCCCTGCACCTTGTATATACCTCTGCTATTGAACTAAGGCATGAGGCCTTTTTCTCTAAGTATTTTCTGTACATGTACGCAAATCTCCCCAATAACCTGATAAACTGAAGACAAGAACACTTCCCCATCCCATAGCTGAACATGACAGAGCTTATTAATGACATATTAATAACACGAAATCAAGTATAGCTATAGATTGATTTGAACAGAAACGAATTTTTTTCTTTGGTTTTGTCTTTTAGAGGGGATAGTGGAAATCCAATATAATATTTTAAATAGTTCTAAAATACAGAAGATAGCCCCTTAATTAGTATAAAATCAATATGCCCAAATGAAATATTATACACATTATAACCTTAAATCAATAGATTTAAAACTGAAAGAATTATGGTTTTTAAAAAAATGGTTCTAGTTTTGTGACAGGATTCTAAATATCAATTAAAGGAATAAAAAGGACTAAAAATTTGACGTTCAGAGAAAATCTCTTGACAAGACTCACTATTACGGCTGAAATGCTGTCTTTACAAAAGTGGGTTTGGTCATGATTTATTTCATGGATAACCTATTTCAAGGATAATCATTAACTACCTGAAAGTCTAAGAGCTGAATCAGCTAAACAACGATACCTTTAAATGAATATAGTTGCTAAATGAAGATCAGAAACTACAGAAATCAAAATTTTAGATTACACAGACATGACAAACCTCCAGATTAGTAAAACAGCAGCTATTAGAAAGTAAAGAGAAATTTCATTATTCTGTGAAGAACTTTCCTTTTTTTTGTGGGCGGGGGAGGAAAAAGAGAAACTCAATTATCTGCTCACCTATTATTCACTCACTCGGTGAATATTAATTAGGCCTTACTATGTTCCTCCACTATATGCCAGGTACCTCTCCAGTCCTGGGAACCCAGCAGAGAGCAAAATACAACCTCTGCCCGCATGAAGCTCACATCCCACTGAAGAAAGTAGAGTGTAAATCGATATACTTCCTAAGATGTTAGGTGTGGCTAAAAAGTGTTTTAAAACAGGATAGGAAAGATGAAGAGGAACAGAGAAGTAATGGGGAGTGGAGGCAGGGAACTGCTACTTCTCCAAAGTAGTAGAGGAAGGCCTCGCTAATAAGATGACATTTAAGTAGAACCCTGGAAGGGTCAGGAGCCACGTGGCTATCTGAGGGAAAGCATTTATAGAAGAGGGAAGAGCAATTACAAAAACTATTATTTGGTAGCAAGAAAGCCAGTGGAGCTGGTTCTGAGGGATGGAGTCAGAAAGGAGTGGTGGGCCAGATCAGTTAAGGCTTTGGGTCGTCATAAGGAATTGTCCTCTGCTGAAAGCCACTGGAACATTTTAAACAAGTATCAAAATTGGTCTGTAGAGAACTGATGGTAATGTGCAAAAGTGGAAGCTAAGAGACAGAGGACTTTACTGCAGTAATCCAGGCAGGACAGAATGGTGGGCTTAACTCAGGTATTCAGATTCTGTATAGGTATTCAAGGGAGAAATGACAAATTTTGCTCAGGGATTATATCCACATATGAGCAAAAGAAAGGAATCAAGGCTGACTCTAAGGTTTTTGCCTGATCAACGATCAACTTGAACAACAAAGTTGACATTTACCGAGACAGGCAAGACTATAGGAAGAACATATTTGGAAGGGGAAACAAAGAATGAAGTTTGGGACATGTTCAGTTGGAGACATTTATTGTCACCCAAGTGAAGACATCAAAAAGGACACTGGATACAGGTAAGTTCAGAGTTCAGGTTATATGTCTGGTCTGGAAGTATAAATTTGGCAGGCATCAACAAATAGATGGCATTTAACAATCACAAATGGGATATATTTCATGAGGGCTACTGTCAGTCCTGGGGTTCCACTCCTGAAGAGTTAGGAAGATAAAGAGAAATTAGCAAAGGCGATTTACACTGTGCTAAGAGAGTAAATCCTAATGGATCTAACTCTAAAGGCACTGTGTTCTAGTTTAAGAGAGTTCTCTCTGACTCTAGTCAGAAAAATAACAGCTGCTGTGAGAATTAAACAAGCATTAAGCAGAGCATATGGCATATAGCACTCAATAAATATTAATTTCCTTTTCTCGCTTCACCACAAAGGAATTCCAATGTTTCACCCTGCGTACTTGTATTTGAAACTCTTGCTATCTCAACAACTCAAAGCCCCATGCTAATGTCATTAGCTAATCTTTACATGGCCCAATGGACTAATCACAATTTACACCCCTAATCTAAGATAGCTGTCCTGCATATATAAGCATTAGTCACATGCCATCAGAACTAAAAGTGAAGATGTTTCAGTGCAAATCCATCACCCCATTAGATAAAAAATAATCAGCAACATCACCTCATGTGCATTGGGAGGAGGGGCTATAAATGTTTCCTGTAAACTAGCCACTCAGCAGCCATGGCATAATTCTATGAGTCTGTTAGAAATGCCGGCTCTCAGGCCCTACCCTTTACCTGATGAATCAGAATATGCAAGATGTGATTAACAATATCTCTAAGTGATCTGTTTGAACATTACCGTTTGAAAAGCACTGCTCTCAGTCACTCAACTGGCTTCACCAGGTCATTAGATCTTTTTATATACCTCCCTGAAAAGCTAAAGACCTTGTGTTACAAATTCTTCCTTAGCCTTGGTAAGCATCACTAGCTAAGAGTAACAGCAGTTCCTAGAATGCTCTGTGCTTCTGCTTCCAGAACAGGGCTAGTACTTTTAGCTCTTACTTCCCAGATGTTTCCCCAAATGAAATTACCTTCATTTGTTTTACCAATTTAGTTTACTCAACCACAATATTTTTCAGAAGATTACCAACGTATCATTTTAACCTATACATGAGTATTCTCCAAAATCATTTAATATCAACAAATATCAGTTTCAAAACAGGCATCAGAGGACATTTTGTTAAACTTAGGAAATCTCTACATAGATTCATATTTATTTTCCAACATCCAAACTACCTACTTGGTCAGTGGCAACTCAAAAAAACCACTTTAAAGGCAAAAAGTTTCAGAGTCCAAATTCTACTTCAATTATTAGTGGGCTAGCAACAGACAGAGGGCAGCATAACCTTACATTTATATAAACCAAAGAAGAAATTTAACATCAATGAAATAGCATTTTTGTTTAGATCTCATTTTAAAGTACTTAGTCAATTAATCAAAACAAATATAATCATCTAAAAACAAATACCTTAATTACAATCTCCCACAATGATCAAAATTGTTTTAATAAAGTTCCAAGTTATATATTTAAAATAACTACCAAAAATTAGATAATTGATTTGTTTTTAAAAACGGAAACAATAAAACAATAACTACCTTTAAAAAAAAAAGCATGGAAAATTAACTTTACATTATTCTGGCACTAAGTAAAATAAATTACTGATTTCTTTTTGGTTCCTGTCCAAATAAGCACATAGATGAAAAAATACAATCAAAAACTACATGATGCAACTGATAGGATAAGTTTTCCATCAATACTTCGACCCATAGATAGATTGACCATTTGCAATACTTAATAGCAAGCAATTGTAGCACCACTAATTTTTCATTTATATAATATTAAGGAAGACACCCATATTTTAAATTCAATTCCTTTCTTAAGAGACTGGAATTCTTCCATTCTTGATGCTTATGCCTTGAAAAATTGTCACTCTTCAAAACAGAAAAGGACTTCAGAAACATAATGACTAGTGAATACAAGTTAAAAATTAAAAGTAACACAAGTGATGTTATTTTCCTTAAAGCAAAATACTATATTTAAAATGCAGTGTTTTATCCGTTTTCCTGGATCACCTGATAATACATTGTGTATATAAGTGATACTTAGAAAATGGAGTTTGGGCCAGGCGCGGTGGCTCATGCCTATAATCCCAGCACATTGGGAGGCCAAGGCAGGCAAAACAAGAGGTCAAGAGATCGAGACCATCCTGGCTAACATGGTGAAACACCATCTCTACTAAAAATACAAAAATTAGCCGGGCATGGTGGGGCACACCTGCAATCCCAGCTACTCGGGAGGCTGAGGCAGGAGAATGGCTTGAACCCAGGAGGCGGAGGTTGCAGTGAGCGGAGATCACGCCACTGAACTCCAGCCTGGTGACAGAGCAAGACTCCAACTCAAAAAAAAAAAAAAAAAAAAGAAAATAGAGTTTGGACTATATGCTCTACAGAATTCTAGGAAACAAAGCTGCAAATGTTTAATAACTAAGGGCAACAAAGAGGCATAAGGAATAGTTTTCTAGTTTTCATAATTTCTCCCATACCTGCATTTTAGTGTGTCACTCCTTTGTTTTGGTAATAAGTACACCACGAAACACTGATGTCTGAATGATCTGAGATATTTTTACCACTAACATTCAAATTCAGAGATAACCTCACGTTTAAAAATACAGTCAGTAAGAAGATTTTAAAGAAATATTTACACATATTAAAATCACTTTTAACAGACTTCATACAATGGAATATTTTGTAATAAAAGTTAACAAATTAATGCTATAGGCAACAATAGTTATGAACCTCAAGAAGGAGTTGAGAGAGTACATACTTTATAATTTCATTTAAACAACATTCAAAACAGGCCAATTGATCTATAGTGACAGAAGTCAGAAAGGAGTGTGGCTTGGAGAAGGAGGGAGAGGTAACAGAGAAGGGGTCTTTGGAATGCTGGTAACATTCTATTTTCTGTTATGGGGGTGGTCACTTTTTAAAGACAGATGCATTCACTTAGTAGAAAAAGCACTGAACTATGTACTTTTCTGAATGTATATGAAAGTTTAAAAAAAAAAAAAAAAGCCTTTACAGAATTAATGTTTTTTTCTGATAGCATTTTAAAAATCATTTAAAAATTTAAGTGTTCTAGTTAAACTAACAGTGCACAATTTCAGAAACTGTAATTGGCAAACACACAGAAGAGACACCAGCCTTAGGCACTTTCAAAAAGTGCTTCTTTTTAGTAATTTCCCGGCCATATATTCTCACAATTATCTTTTCCGTGTACTACTCTTTTTATCCATTCTTTAGTTAAAAACAATGAAACTCGTGAAACTATAATATTTTTAAATTATGCTTATAATAAAAACATGTTTAAGCATTCAGCCTTTGAACTAGTAATGCCACTAGGAATTTAAGAATCCAAAATATGAGTAAACATGCGTAAGTAGCAATTCAGCATAGTGTTATTTATCAAAATACCAAAAAAAGAAAAAAAGAAACCTAAAAGCTTAATTTCTGGAATACTTGTGGAAATCATAGAACATCTTGCTGGTAAAATATTAGTACCCATTAAAATTTATGAAGTGTTTAATTAAATGGAAAATGTATGTTAGATAATAAGAAATGGTTAAAAAAAAAAAAAAGAGAATAAACAGGCCAGGTGCAGTGGCTCACGCGAGTACTCCCAGCACTTTGGGAGGCCGAGGCGGGCACATCACCTGAGGTCAGGAGTTCAAGATCAGCCTGGCAAACATGGCGAAATCTGGTCTCTACTAAAAAAAAAAAATACGAAAATTAGCTGGGTGTGGTGGCTCACACCTATAATCCCAGCTACTTGGGAGGCTGAGGAAGGAGAATCACTTGAACCTGGGAGGTGGAGGCTGCAGTGAGCCAAGAAAGTGCCACTGCACTCCAGCCTGGGTGACAGAGTGAGACTCCGTCTCAAAAACAAAACCAAAACCAAAAAAAAAAAAAAAAAAAAAGAATAAATAACTTTTATAGACGCTGTCAATTGGACTTAAAGCAGAAAAGAAAAAAGCCTCAAAACTAACTTGAAATTATAAATGAATTTTTATTCTTCTTTGTACATCAAAATGTTTTTTAAATGAACATTTTATTTTCTGAATAAAAGTTAAAAACTGAAAACACCAAAGCTTAAGAAAAGAAAGGTCTAGGTAAAATAGAAAAGTAGGAAAAAGAAAAGTACTAGAATAAAGACTAGCACAGAAGATAGTTTATTGCTATCATGGGCAGAAAAGCAGCTTTGTGAAAGACACCTAAAGCAACACGTTAATTAAAAAAACAACTTTCAAAAGACATACTAAGGTATGAAATCATATATTACGTAACTCAAACTACAAATATGGTTTAGACATAAAACAAGTTACCAAATATTAACTAGATGAATCAAATAAAAATCAGGATATTTAATCCTACCAAAGATGACTTCTGAAATTCTTTTGATCAGGTGCTAAAATAAAAATATTAAGCAATTAAGTTGCTGACAGAAAGGAAATAGTGGGATACCTTCAAGAGAAATGCATGGGACCAAAAAAAAAAAAAATCCCTTAAGTTACTAAAATATGCAACACACCAGCAATATACATAAAGTACAACAAATACAAGAAATAGGACAGTCCTCAGAAACCAACTTGACCAATACTTAGAAACTAAAGCACTGCTAACAGTATTTTGAATAGATAAAACAAGAAAAAGAAAAGGTTCCATGACATTAAGATATGCTAACTATAAAATAATTTCTGGAGCAGCAATGGAAACTATTGTTTGTATTCTGTGTGTCAAGGAACCTGGGAAATAGTGAATAAGTAAAGAACTCTGACAACACGTACCTAGCTGAAGAGAAGGAAAGGCTACTCTTGATATTAATGATAAGAACCAAGACACACACTGCAGAGATAAGATCAGTAGGCTTTCAATGCCCTCCAATCAATTAAAAGATACAAGTGTACCAATTATATATGTATATATGTATGGAAAAATGTATTCGTATATTAAGACATAATCTCTTCCCTCAAGTGATCCCAAAGTTATTAAAGAAACCAAAGAAGTCAAACATATACATGTATATGTATATGTATACGTAGATGTAGATGTAGATGTATATGTATATGTATATGTATATGTATATGTATATGTATATGTATATGTATATGTATAGATAACAGCCAAGTCTTGTCTTTTACAAAACTAAGTTCCATGAGGCCAGGGACTAATTCTAACCTATTCAGTTTTACATCCAGCAAGTAATACTGTTAGTCCACTGTAAGCAATCAATAAATTATTCACTGAATGAACAAGGAATAAACAAACGTACAGACTGCAATAAAACATATGCAATAAAAGCAACAGCACGATTAAAAAATAATTTCCCATCAAATGATTTGTCAAAATTGTTCAAAATGTTAGCCATTTCTCAATTTCTACATTTCCCATATAACCTGTTACACTTATTTTGAAAATGGCCTAAAGCACAATACCTTCACACCATGAAAAGAGCAGAAGAAATTTACAACAGAGCATTTATTTATAATAGTCTGTAAAGTACAAATGAGCAGCATTGCCTGCCTTACCTTTTCAACAGGGAGAAGCGTTTGTAGCAGTCGAACTGCAAACAGGGAAATGCTGATAAAGGCCATTCTGTGGTGCACAAGCATCACCTCTGGCTGCTCCAAACTGATACTACTTTTATGGTAGCACATGGTTTCTCCAAGGGCTCCCAACACCAGGAGTAGTTTCTCCTTCTGAAAACATTTACACAACATGAAACAGAAGAAAACAACCAATTTTAGGGGCCAGTATACAAAAGCCATGGAGAACAGTTTAAAATATTATCATTTTCATTAAATAGGAAAACAAATCAAAACAGAATTTATTCCTGTGAGAATTACCAATGCCTGCTGACATAATTTAAAAAGCACAAAAGAATGATAAACCACCTACATTTTAAAAATACAATAATCTTTTAAGTATTTAATATGATGAATCTTAACAATGAATAAATACAAACAATAGAATATAAAAGGTAAATGAACCATAATTTCCTCCTAGTTTCTAGTGCCTAATTGTTCCAATTTGGAACGTTAACACGCAAACCCCTCGTCAAGTATTTCTTATGCTTACTATACGCCTAACACAGTGGCAGGCATAATGAAAGAACAATGCATTAGTACAAGAGACATGATGATCTCTGTCCTCAAATTGATACCAACATTTCTAAAGAAATGCATCAAGGAAAGTCAAATAATTAAAAAACAATTAAATATCAAATTTTATAAACTCTCTTTAGATAATAAGGTTTCAAGTGGAAAATGTTATGCCATCATAAATTTAAATAATTTACTACTTCAAGAGAAATCATATCTTTTAAACTAAAAGGTATACATTAAATATGAAGAAGAATCTATGCATAGTAGACTGTCTTGTAAGTCACATCAATATAGACAAAGTATATCCCAGATATACTGATATGCCCCCATAAACTAGCGGGTAAAAGGACACCCTCAGTAAGAAAGAAAAAAAAAACTGAAGTACTTAACTTTCAATTTTCCATTGAAAACATATGAAAAGAAGAATGAGAAATACCTGCAAACTAAGAACAAAAATCTAATATACCAGAATTTCTTCAATTCAAGGATGACTATACAGGGAACAACTAAAAGGTATGAGGCCCAAAAAGCACAAGTCGTTGGCAAGAATATGGAAAAAATGGAAGCCTTGTGCATTGCTGGTGGGAATGTAAAATGGTGCAGCCACTGTGGAAAATATAATGGGCAGTTCCTCAAAAAAACACAGAATTATCATATGATCCAGCAAATTCCACTTCTGGGAATATACCCAAAAGAACTGAAAGCAGGGTCTCCAAAAGAGATGTATACACACCCAGGTTAACAGCAGCACTATTCACAACAGCCAAAAGGTGGAAACAATGAAAGTGGCCACTGACCAATAAATGCAGAAACAAAATGTGGTATGTTGTATATACATGCAAGAAAAGGAGGCCGGACGCGATGGCTCACGCCTGTAATCCCAGCAGGATTGAACTTGAACCCAGGAGGCAGAGGTTGCAGTGAGCCAAGATCACACCACTGCTCTCAGGCCTTGGCGACAGAGCAAGACTCTGTCTCAAAGAAAAAAAGAAAAGGGTGTTGAGCATTCAAAAGGAATTAAATTCTGATACATGCTACAACATGGGTGAACCTTTAAAACATAAAATAAAATAAGCCAAATACAAAAGTAAAATAAGCCAGATACAAAAAGACAAATATAGATTCCACTTATATGAGGTACCAGGAGCTGGGGATAGGCAGAATGAGGGGTTATTGTTTAATGGGTACAGAGATTCCATTTGAGATGATGAAAAAGTTGCATAGATAATGATAATGGTTGTACAACAATGTCACTGCAGAAGTAAAAGGAAGACAAAATGATCTACATAAGCAAAACAAGGCAAAAACTTTTGAGAGTAGACCAAGCATAACTATACTATAAAAAGTTTAAATTTTCCTATAAATGAAACAATTTCATATTGAAGTAAAAAACAAAAATTAAAAATTTATATATAAATCCTTAACTGTCATGGGATTATAAGTAAAAAAAGAAAATAAAATTCTAAAAAAACTTTGTGAATAAAAGGTTAAAAGTTCAATGAGTAGTAGAATTAAAACAAAAATTCTAAGCAATATGAATAGTGAATAATTTAGGGCAAAATAAATTAGAGTAATTTTCTACTGATGACATGTTTAACAATAAAGACTCAATAAAAATGAGTCTGTGATCTGAATAAAACAGGACATCAACAAAACATGTTATTGATATGGACTTATAAATTTTAACTCAGTCTTTTTGAACATAATTAAAATTAATAGACATAAACTTTGAACACTGCAAAGAATATAACTTCTCCTTAAGTTTCCAAGAAACACTGACAAAAATTAACTTTAAACATACTTTACCACAAAGAAAACTTCAGTGTATATTTAAGGCTATATTTCTCTGATCCCCAAGAAATAAAACTAAAAAGCAATAAATATTTAAACCGAAAGTAGAACAATCCTTACAAAATTAAAACAGAAAAAGTAAAACGCCCTCATACAAACAACTACTGGTCTAGAGAAAACAAATTGGAAATACAGTGACAGTCTTATTATATTGACAGGCAATTAATTCCTCCATACAGTATTTCTCCATGAAAACAGTACTAGGAACAACATCTCTATTATTCAAGTCTATTTACTTGTGAAATTGTTTAAAATAATCTTGCTAATTCTAATGATGAATTGAGTACTTCTCAAAATATCATAAAAAGAAAATACTTTAGGAATGAGTTTTACAGTTCTATTTCCAACATTTCTTCTAAGCATAAAAAAAATGGCTTTTTGTATTGTTTTGTTTTGTTTTGTAGGAAAGGATTGAAAAACAATAGTAACTGGCCCACATTTTTTAATTCTTTGGGCTAAAGATGTTTAAGCAACAACCCTAAAGGAGTTGACGGTGGGGGAAAAGACCCGTCCTCACAGGATACTCATAGTTTTTACAACAGAAGGTACAAAATTGAAATACCAGGTTAGCAAAATGTCTTAAATATTACCAATAAAACAGATTTTATAGTGTAAACACAACTTACACACTACCTCTGCAATATACAATGGGTTGTGGATTCTACAAGGCACCTGGAGTAAGAAACTGCAGCAGGCTCTGCCCCTCACATGCTTCCAATGGACCTTCCACACTGCAGCCAGTCACGGTTCCTCCTGCCAGTCTCACAAGGCACTTCTCTGATTAAAAGCAATCTCATCATGCCTTCAGAGGAAAGGCAGGACTACTCAGCATCATGCCAAAAGACCCCTACCAGCAGACCCTCATTTATCCCACCAGTCTCTCTCCACTATTTGCACCTCACATTTCATGGTCTAGGTGCTTGTGTTCCATCTACTACCAGGCCTATCCTTTATCTCCGATCAGAACTATCCATGCCTCTTTGTCATGGCTCATGGTTCATTCTCACGCTCCGCCAGATTAAAAAAAAAAAATGCTATTTTATTTGCTTGGCCAAATCCTACCTATAATTTAAAACTCAGTTCATTCAGATCTACAAAAAGCCCTCACTGAGGCCGGGCACGGTGGCTCATGCCTCTAATCCCAGCACTTTGGGAGGCCAAGGCAGGAGGATCACTTGAGCCCAGGAGTTTGAGACCAGCTTGGCCAACATGGCAAAACCCAGTCTCTGCTAAAAATACAAAAATTAGCCAGGAGTGGTGCCTTGAGCCCAGGAGTTTGAGACCAGCCTGGCCAATCTGGCAAAACCCAGTCTCTGCTAAAAATACAAAAATTAGCCAGGAGTGGTGGTACATGCCTGTAATCCCAGCTACTTGGGAGGCTGAGGCACGAAAATTGCTTCAATCCAGGAGGCGGAGGTTGCAGTGAGTCAAGATCACGCCACTGCCCTCCAGCCTGGACAACAGAGTGAGACTCTGAGTCTGGGGAAGAGAAAAAAAAAAAAAAAAAGCCCTCACTGACATCCCAAGTTCATAGTTCATAGTGTTTTCAAAGCACCATTGGCAATAAAACATAATGGCTATAAATACAAAACCACAAGTGACCCTGAAAAATAAACTGTGCCTCAGTTATGGAGTTTGCAGGGTCATGATAATTAAATGACCTCATAAATAGTGCTTAGTGTCTGACATACAGTAAGTGCTATATTTAAACTATCTTAGTTTACGTGTTATTCCTTTATGCTTATCTCTATTTTACTAATGTCATATTAAAAGTATCTATCACCCATAGGCATAAAAAGCACTACATCTTATTTGATATCCCAAGTGCCTAGCATATATTAATAACGGGCAATCAAGAAATGTGAGTTAAAATAACTGTCTTTGGAATGGTGGCAGCAGCAGGGAAGGTCTATGTAATTAGAGATCCCACTACACCAGTTATCAATTCACAATCTGGTCCAAATATCCTTAATGAGCCCTTACTGGATACAAAGATCTTTAGTTTCTTTCACAATCCTCTTAGCCCCTCTTGAAGTCCTACCAACATTCTACAATTCTACCAACATGCCTTGATGTTGAAGTTACCAGTTCACAGCAGGTCAGATGGGAATTTAGAAGCAATGAGTCATAAAGATGAAAAGACTGCTTTCCAATGACTGCAATGACAGGAATGACACAGAAGAAATGCGGAAAAGAAACAGAATATAGACCTAAGAGTCTAGGTTATCTGGCAGGAGGTGAAAGCTACTTTCTCCTTGCATCTTGAACCTGACTTAGCATGTAAATAGGGAAAAAATAGACCTGATTTGATGATGGAGGACTAGGGGGAATGACATATGACATACTTTAGGTCAGCATAACTAATTTTGGTGAAAATATTTTTTCTTTTATTTACTTCGAGTAATATAAAAATATTCAATTAAGGGGGGAAATTGAAATTCCCTTCCATGCTGAGTTACAGGGTTCCAGACATGATTGATGTTACTGATATTAGTACTGTGTGGAAATACCTAGAGATTTGATTATATATCCTCAGGTACTTAATTTCTAAATTGATAGCAACATTTATTATTTTGTTCCTTTAATGACTCAACAAAAATACTGCTTCCGTCTTTCTTTTGAAAACTGGCAAAAGTATGAACATTAAGAAATTTTACTTGTTTGCTTCTTTTAAAATATAGCCAAAGAAAAGAGACATTTATTCTTTTTAAACAAGTAAAAGTAAATCAAATATAATTTGAAGTACTTCTGTTTTATTTAGCATTTGTAACATACCAACTGGCACTTGTACAACAGAATTAACCTTTAAAGTAAAAATAATTCATTGAATCATAAAGTACCAGCAGCCAAAAGTTAAAAGTGAATGACTAACTTTTACAGATAAATGTTCTGGCCAAGAAAATTTAAGTTAATTTAAGAAACAACTGATAAAGCATTCCTCACACTTCAAAGGAAAAATTTACTTGTTGAAAATCTTCAATATGTGAAAAATCTCCTAAAAGTACTACAAAATAGTGTGATAACCTTAAGGACTAAAGAAAAACCAAGATTCAGAACTATTATCAGAAAATGAAAGACTTGAAAATACACCCATTTTAAAATATGCAGTTTGTTTCTCTTTTTAAGAGGCTCGTGTTATGAAAAAAATAAAAGTTTGGGTTTCTTTCTTACATGGGTATTGTTATTATGTAAATATCTGTAATTTATTTTTTTATATTCAGACCTCTATTCACAAGGATTTCAGACAGCCTGTAACAATGTTTAATTAAATATAGACCGACTTACATCAAAATAGCATAAAGAGAAAAAAAACTGATAAACGTAAGAGTCAATATATATTTTTATGACTAATAAATTTTGATTCTACTGCCCTGACAAGGCAGCAAAAGGGAAGGGAGGAAGGGAGAGGGGAAGGAAGAAAGGGAGAGGAAGGAAGACCAGACATTAGGAATTCACATTAACAGAAGAGATAGAATGCCAAATCTTCAAGGAAGGCAAGGTTATCAGATGACAATTTCAAAATGAAAGATATTAAATGACAAATGATTTATGATATTTTGAAATGTTAAAAAAGATATGTTTTCCAGTTACATGGAGACATACTCTGGTATTCCATAGATCTCTTAAATATTATGTTGTAATATAACATTCTTAAGGCTACTACTGTACACATGTTGATTACTCATGCAAAATATTACTTATCAAAACACTTCTTACAAAAAAAACAAAATTTAATTCCATATTTTCTAAAATTATCTACTCTACTGAAATACAAACAGCAAAAAACAAGGTATCCTGAACTCTCCACACTTTGAATGATTATTCTAAAGTTGATCCAGAATTTTCACTCTAGATAAATGTACATTTAAGCTCCTAATAACTCACAGATAGGCCAGTTGCTTAAATGACATAATTAAAAACTTTACGTAAAACTTCCAATTCTGGCCATGAAATAATAACAAGGACATCTCCTGTCCTTCCCCAGAAATCAACTAGAAAGTGGCATAGTGTCATTGCAGGACTGTGATGCCAGAGAGAAGGAAAATAAGCAATGAGAGTCCTACTATACCTGAAAACAATTACTGTACAGCAAACACAGGCAAGAGAAATCCAAAGAGTCTGACAGTCTCGATGACTTTAGGAGATGAAGATGCCTGTGGAAGCTGACATGGTTAGGAATTGTGGGAGAGCTATGCAAAGAAAGAATTTCAGAGACCTAAACAAGTTTCCACCCAGACCATGCTGAGATTAGGTGGCTTAGATTATAGGTAGATACTCTGTAAATACAGGCCAAAGATGATTACTGAGATTTAAATTGAACAACTCCCAGGGCTCACACAAGACAATAAAACTCAGTCTTCAACCAGGCAGAGTAGACAGTCATCAATCATCACTTTGGACATTCAATAGAGGTCCCAAAGGATCACATCTCAGGAGCAGAGTTTAACCCCAAGCAAAGGTTCTTCTAGATCAGGGTTTCTCAACCTTAACACTTCCTCAAGGTTTTCTGACATCTTGAGCTAAAACATTCTTTGTTGTGGTGAGCTGTTCTGGCTTCTATCTACTAGAAGCCAGCAGCACCACTCCAGGTGTGACAATCAAAAATGGCTCCCGACGTTGCCAAACATCCTCTGGGAAGCAAAATTACCCCCCAGTTGAAAACCACTATTTTAGACCCATTCTAGCAAAATTTTTTAAAGTCTTGAGAAAATGAAACTGCTCTACAAGTAACATAACCACCTGTCAGCCTCAAACTTCTGGGTTCGAGTGATCCTCCTGCCTCAGCTTTCCAAATAGCTGGGACTATAGGTATGCACCTACATGCCCAGCTAATGTTACTAATTTTTGAAGAGACAAGATCTTACTTTGTTGCCCAGGTTCATCTCAAGCTCCTGGCTTCAAGTAATGCTCCCATGCTGGCCTCCCAAAGTGCTTCAGAACCCTCCCAAAGTGCTTCTAAAAGGGTAAAATAAAAAATCAAGACACTCAACATGGTAACATTGAAAAGGTCCAGCATCCAATCAGAAATTACTACACATATCAAATATTAAGATCCATAAAGAGAAAAGTCAGCCAGTGGACAAGACCCAAAACTGAAATACTCAAATGTATAAGACCTATACACTGACAACTTCAAAACAATGCAGAGACAAATTAAAGAGCTAAATAAGGCTGGGCACAGTGGCTCATGCCTGTAGTCCCAGCACTCTGGGAGGCCGAGGCAGGCAGATCACCTGAGGTCAGGAGTTCGAGACCAGCCTGGCCAACATGGTGAAACCCTGTCTCTACTAAAAATACAAAAAAATTAGCTGGGCACATGCCTGTAATCTCAGCTACTTGGGAGGCTGAAGCTGTAGTGACAGTCACTTGAACCCGGGAGGCGGACAGTGCAGTGAGCCAAGATCATGCCACTGCACTCCAGTCTGGGTGACAGAATGAGATTCCATGTTAAAAAAAATAAAAATAAAAATAAATAATGAGCTAAACAAGTGAAGACATATATATGGTATTCATGGATCAGAAGATTCAATACTATTAAGATGTCAATTTTTCCTGAATTGATCTACAAATTCAACTCAATTCCATTCAAAACCACAGCAGGTTTTTTTTTTTTTTGTGTGTGTGTGTGTGTGTGTGTGTGTGTGTGTGTGTGTGTGGTGGCGGGCGCCTGTAGTCCCAGCTACTTGGGAGGCTGAGGCAGGAGAATGGCGTGAACCTGGGAGGTGGAGCTTACAGTGATCCGAGATGGCGCCACTGCACTCCAGCCTGGGCAACAGAGCGAGGACTACATATCAGAAAAAAAAAACAAGAACAAAGTTGAAGGACTTATACTACCTTATTTCAAGACTTACAATAAGCTTCACTATAGCTAACTATAAGCCTTCACTATAAGCTACAATAATTAAGTCAGTTGGGTATTGGCATCATAAGAGAAAACCGATCAAATAGATTCCAGAAGTAAACCCACATATAGTTAGTTGGTAAGGAATTCAGGAAAGAAAGGACAGTCATTTGAACAAATAGTGCTGAGAAAATAATTGTATACCCATAAAAAAAAAAGTTCATTCCTTACCTTGTGCTAGATACAAAAATCAACTCAAAATTAATCAAAGATATAAAACCTAAAACATATGTAATAATTCTAAAAGAAAGCATAGGAAACACTCTTTGTATTCCAAGTTAGGCAAAGATTTCTTAGATAAAATATCAAAAGCATGATCCATAAAAGAAAAACTAAGAAACTGAACCTCATCAAAATTAAGTTTTTCTGCTCTTCAAAAAGCTAAATGATCATCTCAATAGAGACAAAAGATTTGGCAAAATACAATAATCATTCATGATCAAAACTTTCAACAAACTAAGAATACATGGAACTTCCTCAACTTTATAAAGGCATCTACAAAATACAAATGTACTAGAGCTAATCTTGTATTTAATGGTGAAAGATCGAATGCTTCCCTCTAAATCATGAAGAAGGCTCTCACCACATCCATCCAACATTATACTAAGGCTTCTAGCCAGGGCAATTAGGCAATTTAAAAAAATTAAAGGTATCCAGAGTGAATAGAAAGAAATAAAACTGTCTTTATTCACAGATAAGATGATCTTAAAACTGTTTTTATTCACAGATAACAAGATTTTATAGATAGAAAATCCTAAGGGATCTACCAGAAAACAAAACAAAACAAAAAAAACTACCAGAACTAGTAAGTTCAGCAAGGCCACCAAATAGACGATCAATACACAAAAATCAATTGTATTTCTATATACTAACAATGAGCAATCCAAAAACTTTTAAAATTTTCATTCACAATGGCATTGAAAAGAATACTTAAGAATAAGTGTTTTTTTAAAAAAAAACCTAGACTTGCTCTCTAAAAATTACAAAAGATGCTCATAATCATCAGTCACTAGGGAAATGCAAATTAAAACCCACTAAGATACCATTGCACATCTATCAGAATGCCCTCTCCCCCCCAAAAAAAAAAAAAAAACTGAACATAATAGATGTTGAAGATGTGGAACAACTGGAATGTCCATAGGAATGTTATTTGTAATAACTAGAAACAACCCCATTGTCCACCAACAGGTGAATGGATAAACAAATTGTGGTATGTCCACACAATGTAATACTACTCAGAAATAAAATGAATAAACTACAGTAAGCCTTCACTTAACTTGGTCAACAGGTTCTTGGAAACTGACTTTAATGAAACAGCATTACAAGTTCCATGCCATTTCACTAAATGCTGATGAGAAAAAATAACTGGGTTTGTTATAAGTCAGTTTGCTTAAAGTCACAGTTTCCGAAAACCTATCTATGATGCCAAGTGAGGAACTGCTGTACTACTACATAAACAACATGGCTCAGCCGGGCGCGGTGGCTCGCACCTGTAATTCTAGCACTTTCGGAGACCAAGGCAGGCAGATCACTTGAGGCCATTCTACCATAAAGACACATACATGTGTATGTTCACTGCTGCACTATTCACAATAGCAAAGACATGGAATCAACCTAAATGCCTATCAATGGGAGACTGATTAAGGAAAATGTGGTACATACACACCAATGAATACTATGCAGCCATAAAAATGCATGAGATCATATCCTTTGCGGCAACATGGATGGAGCTGGAGGCCATTATCCTATGCAAACTAATCCAGAAACAGAAAACCAAATACACATATTCTCACTTATAAGTGGGAGCTAAACAATGAGAACACATGGACCCAAAGAGGGGAATAACAGACACCAGGGATTACTCGACGGCAGAGAGTGGGAGGAGGACCACAAAAATTACCTATCGGGTACTAGGCTTATTACCTGGGTGACAAAATAATCTGTACACCAAACCCCCATGACACAGTTTACCTACATAACAAACCTGCACACGTACCGCTGAAGCTAAATAAAAGTTTTTTAGAAAAACAGCATGCCCACTTAAATAAATCTACCCTAGAGACATACCTGCACATTTATGAAATAGCATAAGCCCATTATTCTTTGTACATAATTTATATTAACAATAATATCCATCAAGAGACTAGGTTAACAAATACACAACGAAGCATTTGCTACCTATAAAAAAGAACGAGAAAATCTCACGTATAGATAGATAGGGAATAATCCTCATACCTACTATTCTATGCACATAAGACGTATTTTTAAGTTATAAAAACAGGGTGCAAAACAGTGTCTATAATATACCACCTTTTATGCAGGATGGGGAGAGGATAAGAATCTACATACTTAGTTGCTTACATTTGCAAAAATAAAATAAAAATAGAAAAAAATAGCCAGAAAATAAAAATGACTACCAATAAGGAAAACATCTTAAAGGTAACTGGATGGGAGAGAGGCATCTCTGAGCTACATTTTTATGAAGAAAAAACAATTCCCAATAGTGAAAACAAACAAAAAAAAATCTAACTGTATGCTGAATGGGTAACGGTAGCTTTAAGGCACAGTATTTTGACTGTATATCCTTAGTGAGATTAGTCTATCTCAAAAAGAACTGCCAGGAAATCTTGAACTTTTCATTAGAATTGTTCATAGCAATGTTAATATTGCTGTTCTGAAACTATCTTATGTATGTTTAAGGTCAAAGCTAATAAGCAATTATGCTGATATTGCTAGGAACGAAGACTTTCTACAAGCGCAAGGATAAGAAATACAAATTTAAAATAAGAAAAATAGCAATAAACTCACGATCTTTAAAAATACGTATTTCCTAATTGTTCCTGAAAGAAAAGAATGATATCACAGTAGCTATAACCACCTCTAATGGCCTGGTTTTGGTCTTAATATACGTTCCACTATTAGAAGTAACCAGAACCTTTGGAAAAATAGGCCTGTTCCAGGCTATTTATAACATAAGCCTGGGACATATTGAGTCAAAAAGAAAAAAGATTTTGAACACGAATGAGACAATGAAACCGGCTTAAAAGAACCAAAATCTTAAAAAATACTATTCCCTATATCCCAAAGAAAACATTGATTCTTACCATATCTATACCAAAAAGGCTGCTGTCATCCCAGATATCTGTTGAAATTGCTTCACCAATAAGTGTCATATCCTCTGTAAGCAATTCCAGAACTCTTATTATCACTTGTCTGCTACCTAGGAATACAAACAGAAAAAAGTAAAGGAGAAGAAGTTACTTAACTTTAAAATAATCAGCTGAATATCATATTGCTCAATTTTCTAGTTAGTCATGCTCCAACATTTTCTCTTTTTTTCTAATGTTCTTAGAACTGTAGAGAAATCACAATTTACAATCACACTGAAGGCTTCTGTTCCAGTCACAGTACTACTTTACTACATAACAAATCAAATACATTTATAATTGGAAAAGATATTGAAAGTAGCAATAATCTAACAAGTACTGTGAGATAGATTAAAATAATTTTTCGAATTTAGGGACCATCCATTTTACACGTAATATGTGACAAAGCACCAGAAAGGTTTAGAAAACGTATTCCAATAATTTCTACTTAGTACTAGAAGGCGTGAGCCTTCTCATAAATTAGTATTTTCCCACACAGGAGTTGCCTGGGAAGCTAAGCTTGGACTGGAGCAACTAAAGGAATAAATGAACATGCTAACATTTGCTAAAGAAACTATTTGTACTCACCTTAAACTCAAAAAAACTTCCCAAAGTCACACCCACCAGAGCAACCTCCTTTCTCCACAGAGACAGAATAACAAAGACTCCACTTCCATTATCCTGTGTGAGACGAACATTCACACGAGACTTTCCCACCCCGCATCCCAAAGGTTAAGTTCTAATGAATCAAAGTAAAACAAACTACCAGATTGGAAGGATCTAGATTAATTTTTTCACTAGAAGAGCTGGACCAAATTCTCTTACAAATCTCTTACGATATTGAACAGTTACAAATCATGCCATAATTTACCACAAAAGGGCAGGAGAACATTTAGTTTTTATGTACCAAGATATAGCTTTATAATTATCAATCTGACTTTTTAAAGCAAATTAAGGAAAGGTTAAATGCAAAATCATTAAAGTCTAAGACTGTTCTTCTCAGCTTACCAGACAGATAAACATATGTACTTTATGATGCCAAAGTTCAGATCTTTCTTCATTTCACATTATTAGTATATGAATTAATATATAGTTCCAGCTAGTAGAAGCACTTACTGAGTAAAAAGTATGAGTACACAGTTTTCCTCAGGATAAAAACATTTTAAATGTTTTCCAAATATATACCTTCCTGCTTCTTTCTCCTCCATCACCTCCAAGTGGCAAAAAATAGACATGGGACTTAAAGAACCATTAACTTGGAATATATATTTTTACTTTGCCAGTATAAAGTAAAAAGGGCAAAACTTGGTTATCTTATTTATATCCTGATGAGTTTATCAAACGTTGAAAATGTATAGATTTTGAGAATAAAAATCATGACTGTTTTCTTTCTAAAACTTTCTTTACACCTTGCAAAATGCTAAAGTATTTAAAAGCATGGACTTTAGATTCAAAAGAATCGTGGTTCAAGTCCCTGCTTTTAGCCGTTTGACTTCAGGCAAGTTTCTAAACCACTCAAAAACTCAGCTTCATCATTTGTAAAAATGGAGATAAAATTAGTTAACTACCAGTGAAAAAACAAAATGGGTTGATATGAAAAATACACGAAATAATGCACACAAAACCAAGTATGAAGGCAGAACCCAGTAGGGACACGTGCTAACTGTTGTTTCATTACTAGACTCAGCAGACCTCTGTCATATTGTTATTGCTGTTACCATTGTTCAGTACAATTACAATTAAATACCAGTGTATATTTCAGTCAACCTCTTCAAATTTTCCTAGTACATCTGAACAAAAATGGGATCTCAAAATATTTGTGGCTTTTTTAAGAAAAATTACTACAAAGGTAAGAATCCAGTTTTGGAGTTTTGTTTTTAACATGTTAAGTGGCTTAAGTAGCAAGAAATGAATGGGAAGAGTAAACAACTGACAGCTAATCAAAAAGTTTCCAAAGAGCAAAAGCCAAAGATTTTTTTATTCTGGTCTATTCATGCCAGTCCACCTTTTATACCTTATTCCAGTTGCTGAATGTTGTCACTGCTCAAATTTAAAATAGCCATACAGTCCAAAAAAAAAAGAAAAAAATAGATGACAGCAAGAATAAATGCAAAAAATAGATAAAAATTCTAAAAAAAAAATAAGCATGAAAGCCTGTGCCAATAAAAACTCATAAAATGGAAGGGCAAGCTGAATAGCCCTCCAAGGCATCCACATTTAATTTAAAAATAATAAAGACCTTATTAGGTTTTTAGAAATTTATATCCCAAAAGATAAGTAAATACAGATTCCAAAGGCCCTAACATAGAAGAGAAAAAAAGGAAAATCCTAACGAAATACAAAACAGACACAAATTATATCAGAATTACGATTTCTAAAACAACTAACCTGTTCTTAAGAGAGGAACAGCTGATTCCAGAATGGAGACACAAAACTGGGGAAGACTGAGCTGCTGGAATTGTAGTTCCAATGTGTCTTCAGTTTCCAGCTCTGGCAGATCTATGTGTCCCATATCCAAAGGTGAATGAACGGATATCCTGGAGTTTACATGAGCATGACTACTACTTCCACTGCAAGATAAACAAATGATAAACCTTGCATACAGAAACAATCCCCAAACAGATTTACTGCATATCTGCTGCCTCGCATATTAGAAGCCTCATACAAGTCACAACTCTACTGCTTCATTCAACTCTGGTCAGATTTGTAGAAACTTTGACAAATTTACGAAATTAAATTCCATAAAGATGACTCAAGGCCAGGAGTGGTGGCTCATGCCTGTCATCCCAGCACTTTGGGAGGCCAAGGCGGGCAGATCACCTGAGGTCAGGAGTTCAAGACCAGCCTGGCCAACATGGTGAAATCCCACCTCTACTAAAAATACAAAAAAAAAAATTCGCTGGGCATGGTGGCACACACCTGTAATCCCAGCTACTGGGGAGGCTGAGGCGGGAGAATCTTCTGAGCCCAGGAGGTAGACGTTGCAGTGAGCTGAGATAGCGACACTGCACTCCAGCCTGGGCGACAGAGCAAGACTCCATCTCAAAAAAAAAAAAAGACTCTAAATTGTAAATGAAGCCAAAAATGCATCTATATTTTGCTTGTCAGGCTGATATCTCAAAACATGTCAACATTCCTATAGTAGGAATCAATATTAGCACTGATAACCCATTCATTTCCAAAAGGAAATAAGCAGATTTATAGGAAAGCTCTTCTGTAATCAACGTGTAGAGACAAAACCAATAGTTCATACCGTTTCCTAGATTTTCTGAGTTTCACCACTGTTCTGAGTAAGCCAGTGTTAGTAAATGAAGGATGTTTCTAGAAAAACCTCATGGGAAATGTATTACTTCACTTAGTACATTCGACATCATGTAGTGACTTCAAAAATGCACCCAAAAAAACGGAACATCCCATTGTCCTTGGCTTTCTTCATTAAAAAGTTCTTACCTCGGATGTAAAGTGCTGGAGTAAGGATTTAAAAAGTGTAGAAAGGCTAGAGCCTCACACTTACAAAGAGCCTCAAAATTTTGTCTTTTGATGTTATCCACAACCGAAGCTGGATCACAAGAGACATATTAATGCTATGGAACATTTAAATTTGCCCAAATTATAAACCAACTTTGTCGTTTCTTCAATTTCAAGATACCAAGCACCCCAAAATATGGAAACAACTCGGGCTTCTCTGTAACTCTGAAAGGAAGTTTCAGTGAGGAAGCTGTTCACTCAGGAGTGAAAACTTAGAAGCATGAAGCACACAAGAGAATGAGGCAGAAAGGCTTCAGGAGAAAGAGAAAAACATGGCTGAACAACCAACTACAATATAAGGACTAAGAGCATAGACTCTCCTATCATTTTATTTAACCCTAGCTCTGCTCTTTACCAACTGTTATGCTCTTAACCTCTCTAAACCTCAATGAGGATGATAATAATAATACTAATGCTATATATAATATCAATCCTATTCTAGGACAACTAAAGGAGACAAAGTATGCAAAGCACAGGGCATAACACCATACACACAGCAGGTATGAATCAGTATTAGCTTGTTAACAGTAGTAGCAGTATTGCAAGAAAATAATTAAGCCAACAGACCAATGCTTAACTTAGTGAACATTTTTTAGAATGACACTAAAGAGACTAATATGTTTCTAACACATTTGCACCCAAGGATAAGGTAACATACAAATACCACACCAATCCTTTTAAGCAGAGTTGGTGTATGAAAATCTGGGTGCCAAGCACTGGGGGCCAAGCATGGTGACTCATGTCTGTAATCTCAGCACTTTACGAGGCCAAGATGGGAAGATCACTTGAGCCCAGGAGTTCGAGACCAGCCTGGGAAACATAGTGAGACCCCATCTCTACAAAAAATAAAAGGCTTAGCCAAGTATGGTAGTGCACATCTGTGGTCCCAGCCACTCAGGAGGCTGAGGCGAAAGGATCACTTGAGCCCAGAAGTCAAGGCTATAATCGTGCCACTGCACTCCAGCCTAGGCAAGAGAGTGAGACCTTGTCTCAAAAAAAAAAAAAAAAAAAAGAAAAAAATCTGTATTTACACAAACAAATACCATAAATTGTTCACCTTGAAGGAGTCCTTATTTTATAAAATTCTCCAACCATTCCTTTTAACAGTAAACACTTATCCATTTGTTATAAGACTTACAAAAATATGTGTAAAATACTATCAACAATGTATCTATCATTTAAAGCTATTCTTTTAAACTTGATCATATTCCGTTTGCAGCTGGTAAAAACAATTTATTGGGTCAGAATCATTTCTTTTCTAATGAAATCGGAACTGAAAATATAGTTCAGTGTGTCAAACATAGTATCAGAATACTATTATGTGAACATTTTGTTTTGGGGGACACATACACACACATATATATACATAAACAGAGCATATGTTCAAGTACTGAGCACTGAGTTGCGATGTAATATTTATCTGTCCTTACCGTGGATCATGGTCAAAAAAAGTATGAAGCCAGGGTTTAACACAAGGCCTATACCTGTGTTAATGTTTCAAAAAAAAAAAAAAAAAAAAGGACAGAAAAATAATTATCTCCTTCTGAAATTAACACACACACAAGTTAACCGGCATTTCTCATTTCCCCAGAGACACTGCTAGCAGTCACCTAGAGGACGCTGCATCCCAGTCCTGGCCATCTCCTCTGGGTCGCTGGCCTGTGCGCCCAACCACAGAAGGCCGAGGGCTGCTGCTTCCTGGGGAAGGATTCTGGGAATGATGAGTACCTCTTGCTTCATGACAATAAGACAAAGAAGAATTTTGGGAAACTGTGTCTGGGGAAACAAAGAAAAAATAAAATTATTCTTTAGTAGAAACAGACTTCTGACTATGTGGTATTTATGTATCATTCTTCCAAAAACATTAACAAATTAAGATAGTAGGAATCCTTCTACAGGGGTAAAAACAAAAGCAAAGATCAAACTTTTCTATAAGTATTCACTTAGTACATTTAGGTTTATATCTAACTGACTTGATTACATGGGACCTTCTAGTCAATGGCATTCAGTTACAACATTAGAGACTACCAAAGCAGAAAAACACTAGATCATGCACTCGTCTGCTTAAAACTCTCCAAGAATGGCTACCTCATACTGTACATAAAAATTAATTCAAAGTGGATCAACAACCTAAATATAAAAGCTAAAGCCATAAAGCTCTTAGCGGAAAAAATAAATCTTCATGACCTTGAATTTGGCAATCGATTGTTAACTATGACATCGAAAGCACAAACAACCAAGGAACAGACAGATAAGCTGGACTTCATCAAAATCTAAAACTTTGGTACACCAAGGGAACATTACAAGAAAGTGTTAAGATAACTTATAGAGTGGGAGGAAATATTGGCAAACCATATATCTGATAAGGGTTTAATTTTCAGAATATATAAGTAACCTAAAACCCAGCAATAAAGAAACCAGTCCAATTTTTAAAATGGGCAAAGAACTTTAATAAACATTTCTCCAAAGAAGATACATGAACAAACAATAAGCACATAAAAAGTTATTAGAGATTCATTGGTCATTAATTATTAGGTCTTTAGAGAAATGCAAATCAAAACCATGAGATACCACTTCACATCTACTAGGATGACTACGATTATTTTTAAAAAAGAAAAAAATGAACAAGTCAGTGATGATGTGGAAAAACTGGAAGCTTTATATATTGCTGATAGAAATGTAAATGGTACAGCTGCTGTGGAAAATAGTTTGGTGATTCTTCAAAAAGCTAAAGATAGAATTTCCATATGACGCAGCAATTTCACTATTATTCACTGGGTATTACCCAAAAGAATTGAAACCAGGCACTGCACAGATACTTGCATGCCAATGTTCACTGAAGCATTATTCACAACCGCCAAATGTGGGTACAACCCACATGTCCATCGACAAATGCATAGATGAATAAAATGTGGGATATACATGCAAAGGAATATTATTCAGCCATATAAAGGAATGAAGTTCTGATACAAGCTACAATGTGGATGAAGCTTGAAAACATTACAAATAAACCAGACACAAAAGGACAAATACTGTATGATTCCTCTTAGATGAGGTACCTAGAATAGACAAAATCAGAGACAGAAAGTAAATTAGAGTTTACCAGCTTTGGGGAAAGGAAAAATGAGGAATCACTGCTTAATGATTAGAGTTTCTGTTTCAGATAATGAAGAGGTTTAGAAACAGATAGTGGTGATGGCTGCACAACAATGTGAATGTTATTAATGTCACTATATTGTATACTTAAAAATGTTTATAATGGCATATTTTATATTATACCTATTTTACCCCAATTTAAAAAAAGAATTAGGTAATAAAAGCATTTACAGTCAGAGAGAGGGGGAAAAAAAACTCTCCAAGAGCTTCTCACTACACTTCAAAGAAAATATAAAATCTTTAAAAAGATCTGCAAGCCCCAATATACTCTGGCCCCTAACTACCTCTCTGATGTCACCTCATTCTCCTCTTCTGCCCAGCTCACTGCAGTCCACTCTCATGGGCTTTATTTCAGTTGCTCAAGGACATCACCCTCAGTGCTAACCTTGAGGCCTGGCCTTCCCTGGAACACTCTTCTTGCAGCTCTTCGAGTGACGATTCCTTGTCACCCTTCAGGTCACCTCCTCTGAGGGACTTTCTCTGACTATCCTAAATGAAGCTATGTTTACCCAACCACGTTGTGTCACATCACCCTTTTTATTTCCTTCAAGTACTTCTCCTTATCTCAAGCAAACTTGATTGTTTATCACCTGTCCCCAGCCTTTTAAAATAGAAGCTTTCTGAGGGACTTTCCCTGACTATCCTAAATGAAGCTATGTTTACCCAACCACATTCTGTCACATCACCCTTTTTATTTCCTTCAAGTACTTCTCCTTATCTCAAGCAAACTTGATTGTTTATCACCTGTGCCCAGCCTTTTAAAATAGAAGCTCATAAGGGCTTGGATCTTATTCGTTTGTTCAGTGTTATACTTCCCTAGAGGCTAGAATATCAGGGGCATAAAACAGGTAATAAATACATACTTATTAAATACATTAACAATTCTTCAGAGATATCAACTTTTTAAATCAACATTGTAACTCTTTTTCTGTTGAAGTATGGGGTACCCAGACGTTCTCTATTACCAGTCATTTGTACAATGCCATACCCTCTAAGATCTAGAATAAAACCAAGGTAAAGCATAAATATTCAAGTAGCACAGGATCAGTGAAACTCCCAATGAAATAGGGATTAACTATGAAACATGATGACAAATGACTATAATATTTGACTTTCGATGCAGGTTGCATTAAGCTCACAAAAATCCTAAATGGTACTGGTTTTGTCGAAGCCAGGCTGGTACTCTATTTGGCCATTAGGTGGCACTTTTTCTCTGAAGTCTCACATTGCTGCAACACTTGACTACATTGCAAGTTGCATAAAAATACTCTTCATAAAATTCAAATCAATATTTTTCAAACAAAACAATGTATTAACACTATATGTAACTTGCTAAATTGTCCAAAGTCCTACATGAATAGCCATACCAAATATCCGAGTCACTACATCCCAACAACACTATATAGAATCTCTGCAAGTTTGGGAGAAAAAAGAAAAACACCTTGTAAATATCTCTTATCCAGAAAAAAAAAAAAAGGCTCAAGAGATCATGGCAGTTTCTGTCATTCACGCAATCTGTAAAGATAATCATTTGAATACATTTAGGAGTGGGGAGTTTATGTTGTGAAAATGCGTACACAATAAACCCTAACAGTAACTATAATGGAAGGTTCCCAGAAGAATCTACAAATAACACCAGTGGCTAATGAACAGATAAAAATAAATACCGTGTTTATTGGAGAAAAAACCTGGATCTCGGTGAAAGTTAAGTCTGTTTCTTAAATACATGCACAGCTGCTGCAGGCAGGACACCGACTGTAATGCCAGGCGATGCTTTCCATCTCCAAAGGCCAGTTTCAACAGAGATAAAAGGCTCTGAAATCAAGAAGAGCCGTGAAAATTACTAAGGGAACAAAGAGCTCAACTTCAAAGCAGAATGTGGAGCTTAAGTAAGTAAGCCTAAGTGAATAATCAAGAGAAAATAAGTTGCCAAATATTTGTAAGACATAAGAAACTGAAATGGGCAAATATGACTTGGCATAAAGCAAGGAGATGGGTCAAAATAAAATAAGACAACAACATTTAAATAGAATAGTCAGTGTTTCCTATTTCTAAAATCTGTTAGTTGAGTAACCATTCTGAGAGAAGACAGAAATTATTCCCCACTCAGGACATTACATTACAGAGAACATTTTAAAAATCACAGCAAGCCCTTTTCATCTCAAGCATCTAAACCATTTAACCACATTTTAGTAATTAACAGCTTTCCTCTGCGATCATTTGCCAGCTTTGATCCTAGGTATTAACAGTTGGCACCCACTGGAGTCCATTTCAGCCCTGGGAGTGTGGAGCGAGAATGCTGAGCCATTACTGGCTGCTGTGAAGATGTTGCAATTCCCCACCCTGGATCCCTCTCTCTCTACTATACAAGCAATAAACTAGAAAAAAAGAAAAGAATCCATCTGCGTTACTCACCGCTACTGTATTTTCCCAGCATGTAGCACTGTGCGTTAAATAAACGAGATACTCAAGAAGCAATGCTATTCTTACTTTTAATAAGGGCTCCTGCACAATCTCAATGTCCAAAGTCTACTCTACCATTTAGGTGATCCATAAATGGTAACTCAAGGTGGCCAGACTGGACTGCAAGTGTCAAATGAAACTACTACTATTGGAAGAACTATAACTATCCACCCAAGTTAGCGAATAAGTGCTTTAAATAGCCAAATACTTCACTTTTTAAAAACATGAGTACAAAGTTCCTTCCCAAGAACTCCTACTCTGCAAAATTTGCTTTATTGCAAAAAGTTCTCTAGTTCAAAATCTAAAACAATTATAGAGGGCACTGACCTGAACAATTTTTGGCCTTTGAAGGAAAATCTCAGCAGGAAAATCTTGCATGATAACATCCTTCAATAGTTCACAGGTGTTCCAGATTAAAGTGTGGTTACTACTTCTTAAAGAGCTACAAAACATAGCGTTAATCATTTTTAAGAAGAGTTCATCTATTCCAGATTCTAAGTAGCCTACTGACACAATGACTCCATTAACAATCTTTTGGGTCTCAGCTGAGATATCACTTCTCCAGAAAAGCCTTCCTAGATCTTTTCCCTAACCAATAAACAACTCTAGGGCAGTGCTCCTTCCGTTTGTCCATTATTTGTGATATTGTTAACTGCCTGTTGATTTTGCATTCCCCACTAGACCCTCTCAAGAGCAGGAACGACATCATACTAAACACTGTACCCTCAGAGATTATCACAAGTCTGCAAAACGAGTTCAATGAGGTCAAAGAGCACACAATTCTAGGAAATCTGCCAAATAAATTAAGAAATGAGACAGAACAAAAGTACAGAGGCAAATTCTAAGAATTAAAGTCCTTACTGATCTTCCCCACTCAAGGTGAATCAGATTAGGACTCCCCTCTTATCCCATACAGAGGACACCTATCAACTTCTGCCCACCTAGGATTGGCAGTTGTTCACTCCCCACCCCAAAAAAATCACACCCCTTCTCTCAGCCCAGTTCCATTATACTATCCACCATTCACTATCTACAGGCATGCATTAGAAATTATCGCCATCTCTGCCTTTGGGACTGACTCAAAACTGAGAGATCATACAACCTCCTAACCCTTTCCCATGTGCACTTTGCCTCTCGAATATGTTGTTCCAAGAGAATTCATGTCATTATTAAAAATCACTTAATGGCATCCACCTGTAATCTGGACTTAGCCCTAGTAAATTGGTCTTTATTTTCCAGATTTATACCCCAAAAAAGCAGATAACTCGTGTATTGTGGCATTTATGAAACTGCACAAAGTGAATCTGGACATTAAAATACTCTCTAAATCTCTATATATCAGCTATTTACTCTTGTGGGTAGCAATCAATTAACAGTCATTACATTAGATTGGATCAGTGGTACCCAACCTTATCCACATGGTTTAATTTGTCTCCTAATGAAGCCCACATTTTGAAATATATTCTGCCAAAAAGACTACATTTATGTTCAATTTTCCATTTTTATCAATCAAGGGCATAAGCAATGGCCAATAAGAGAATCTGGCCAATAAGAGAAAACTCCTGTCACCAAGGACTACACAAGAGTCCAACCACAAAAAGAAACGTGGGCCAAATGCAGTGGCTCACACCTGGAATCTCAGCACTTTGAGAGGCCAAGAGGGGCGGATCACTTGAGATTAAGAGTTGAAGACCAGCTTGGCCAACGTGGGGAAACCCCATCTCTACTAAAAATACAAAAATTAGCTCAGCGTGGTGGTGCGTGCCTGTAATTCCAGCTACTCAGGAGGCTGTGGCACAAGAATCGCTTGAACCCAGGAGGCGGAGGTTGCATTGAGCCAGATGGTGCCATTGCACTCCAGCCCGGGTGACAGAGTGAGACTCTGTCTCAAAAATAAATAAATAAATAAATAAAAGAAACTTGATGTGTAGATTGATTAAAAGCAAATAGGAATTTTTTTCTGGCTAGCTTTTTGAAAAATAAAAATCATTTAAATATGACCATTACTACCTTTCACTGCCACTAGTATCTTTTCCTGGTAAAACATATTGTAATAACTATCAAACTTAATGACTATAAGTGAACAAAAATACCTGAAAATACATCAAGCACCGTACCTTTCATTAGAGGAGAGGACATGTCTGTCTGTGGTGGTCAGGGGTAGCCAAGGAAATGTAGAAAACTTCAAGCACTTCACAGTCTGATTTACTGTCAGTGAAAGAGCAAATCTTATGGTATCAAAGAATAAAGAGATGACAGATTCACAATGTTAAGAGTAAGTTTTCCCTTTAAAACAAGTCCCAAAATAAAGGCTGCATCTTACAGTAACCTAAAATATACCAAACAAGGTCAGCTGCAAATTTGTTCTATCACAGGATAAATAAGAGAGTTCTCTTTTCATAATTTAAACAGAACTCATATGATATCAAAATAAGTATTAGAAGAAGAGCATTAAACACAATCCAATACAGACTGACATATGAAGTTTCCATTAAATTTTCTATTTTACCCTGTGGCTGACCAGAACATCAAACTTAAATTCAACATAAAAGGAACTGACATTTAGGGAAAACCTTAACTTTTCAAAATTAAAAATGATAAAACATAATGATATACCATATCTAGCCATGTTCAAATATCCTATATGGTGTCAGGTGTTTTAAACCTCTGCGAAGATGACTTGAAGACCGTAAGGTCAAAAAACAAGTATCAGTGTTCGAACAAGATTAAAAGAAATCTGAGAAAGCAACAGTTTTAAACTATCCCCATGCAAGTTATTTTTAACAGATCTTATATAGTACAAGTTAAGGTGGCAACACTGAGAAATAGCATCTACATAAGTCCTTCCAAATGGCAGTCTTTCTGCCAAGTGCTTTGAAAAGAGCATGGAATCGCTAAATGTGGATAGCAGTATTATTAAATTCCCAAACATAGCACAGTTACTTCTTTCAAAATTGCTAACATAAAAGCAGGATTTACTTTCTAAGGAAATAAGGAGAGGTGGGTGGAGGGAAGGACAGGCTTACACCACACAGTAAAAATGTGTCCAAAATAAGCCAGACCCTCAATCAAGACAAACTGCAACTCACATAAAAGTGTAACAATCTCAATCCCCCTTAATGTTTTCATCGGCTTCATTCAGACACCCATCCTTTACCAACCCTAGAGATTCCCCCTCCCTTCAGATGTCTCTCATCTTGATGGAATTAAGCCTCTCAGCCATCTGGCCTCAAAAACAAAGCTTGCTACAAGCCTAACAATGAATGAAAAGGTAAAGTATTCTAATGGCTTAACAAGTTTTCAGTTCTTTCTTGTTATTCCACCTGTGAGTTTCCATGAAAGCTTTTTAATAACAGAGGCTTCCAAATGGAGTTCATTTGAATATGTGACATCAGCAGATATACTCTTGAACATATCCTTTTCAACTTAACTGTGCAGGCAAGAAAATGGTAAGTACGTGATTACTTAACTACTTCCTAACTGCCTCACCAAGGACAAAGTTTTCAACCTTTCTAATCTCAGTGTCTTTATTAGTAAAATGTGGTCACTAATAATACCAATCTCAAAGACACTCCAGGAGGATTCATTCATTCCTTCAAAGAATATATACTGAGTGCCTAATACATTTTTTGGTATTGTTCCAGACACTGAAAATAATGCAATGTTCACGGCTATTATCAAACTTAAAACAAAAATAATAAAAAATAATGTGTTAGGAAGAAAACTACACATAGGAAGTGATCACTGGCTAGAATCACCAGGAAGGTCTCTGATGAGGTGGCATGTGAGCTGAGGCTGAACACAGCCAGATACAAAAAGATGGAGATGAGATTCCAGATTCCAGAAACAGGGTTCTAAATCAGAACTTTTTAATTAACTGGGTGGTGAGGAAATGGGAAAAGAAACTAAAATGATCTTCAGCCTCTGGCTGGCGTAACTGGATAGATGGTGCCATCGTTAAGCTGGAGAACAAATGAGATGACATGTGTAGTGCAGGGCACAATGCCTCAAAAAACTCATGTTCGGCCGGGCGCGGTGGCTCACGCCTGTAATCCCAGCACTTTGGGAGGCCGAGGCGGGCGGATCACGAGGTCAGGAGATCGAGACCATCCCGGCTAAAAAAAAAACGGTGAAACCCCGTCTCTACTAAAAATACAAAAAATTAGCTGGGCGTAGTGGCGGGCGCCTGTAGTCCCAGCTACTTGGGAGGCTGAGGCAGGAGAATGGCGTGAACCCGGGAGGCGGAGCTTGCAGTGAGCCGAGATCCCACCACTGCACTCCAGCCTGGGCGACAGAGCGAGACTCCATCTCAAAAAAAAAAAAAAAAAAAAAAAAAAACTCATGTTCATTCAGTACGACATACTACTGCCATTAATACCATCCATCTACACAGTTGTTCAAATATGGTTAGAATAACACAAAATTTTATCATTTCTACTCGATATCCTAAACTAACTTGAAACAACTAAAACATTTAATGATAGTTTGGTGCTGAAACATTCAAGTTTGGTAAAAATACATCTTCACAATAACGAAAAAAGTACATTAATTTTCAACTTCCCAAGTCAACAGGATTTACTTCCCGACATATACACACCCACTGGTCGTGGCGGCACTTCCATCTGCTGGAAATTACTTTTGTCTTGGGGAAAATATCCTGTTAAGATTTCAGGGTTTTTTGACAATTCTGAAAAGGAAATAAACATTACTGTATTGTCGATTCCTTATTTGCTAAAAGTGAAACTTACTTTCTTTAAGTGGTAATGTTTTCTCTTAAGTATTGGAATCATTTTAAAAATTAAAAAAAAGTCCAGTTTTTTTTCTGAATGATCTATCTTGCTAAAGAGGAAAAAATGTGCACATTGAGCCCACTTCCAGTTAAGAAGCTTTTTCCCTCTCACTTTTACTGTTAGCCAAACACAGTTATTTGTTAGAATGTACACGAAGAATCTGCTACAAAGTATTCAAGGACTATCCCTCTCTACTTCCTAATCCATCTCCCTCTCCCTTGACTCCAATTATATAGTTCCTGATCACTTCAATTTTCATTCATACCTTAAAAAGAAAGTTGTCAAAAACAAAGGAGTCAAATATTATCTTTCAATACCTTTACAATTCCCTATAACATGCGATTATATGTTCAGCAGTTCAGCTGCAATGAAAATGAGGAAAAGGCTAAAACTATAGTTTGTAATTTTAAGTTTTCATGGCAATAGTTCCTAACACTAATAAAGAAAAATAACATTTAGCCCTAAACCATTCCTCTACTTTCACCCGCAAGGAATCAGATTAAAAATTCACAGTGTAAGACTCTACTTTATTTGTGATGTCTTCGAAACTGTAAAATATATTGTTAAAAATCACAGGTTTGGGAGCCAGATAAAGCAATGTTAGAATCCTGCATCTGCTACAGGTTAGAAAACTTGGTACTGTGGGGCAAGTTACTTTATACTTTTATTCTCAGCTATAGAGTAAGACTAATAACATCTCAGTCAAAAGGCTGCTTTAAGATTTAACAAGATGATGTGTTTAAATCAATGTATTCAATGCCCACAACAAAACTCAATAAATGACAGCTGCTATTGTTGTTGTGAACCGCAGTACCCACAGCTGAAGCTGTAACAGTACTGGCAGAGAAGAAAATATGGTCTAACAGGTTAAGCATCAAAACTTTTTTTTTTTTTTTTTACTTTTACTACTCAGTCACATAAATTGCATGAAGATGTTTTTCTTCAAATCAATTCAAATGCATTCCATGTGCAAGGCACTATACTAGGCATTAACAACAACACAACAGCAGCAGCACAGCAGCCAACACAGCCACATTTCATACATGCTGGGCCCTGTGCTAAGCACTTTACAGACATTGTCTCATCTAATCTCATGACGATTCTATGAGAAAGTGTTCTTTTTTTTTTTTCGAGATGGAGTCTTGCTCTGTCACCCAGGCTGGAGTGCAATGGAGTGATCTCAGCTCACCGTTGCAACCTCCGCCCCCCGGGTTCAAGTGATTCTCCTGCCTCAGCCTCCCTACTAGCTGGGATTACAGGCGCCCGCCACTATGTCCGGCTAATTTTTGTATTGTATTTTTAGTAGTGACGGGGCACCATGTTGGTCAGGCTGGTCTTGAACTTCTGACCACCTGCCTCGGCTTCCCAAAGTGCCGGGATTACAGGCGTGAGCCACCATGCCCAGCCCGGTGTTCTTTCTTATTATCCCAGTTTTTGAATGAGAAAACTGAAGCCTGGAAGGGTTAATTACCTTAGCCAAGGTCACACAACTAGCAGCAGAACTGAGACTTAAATCCATGTCTCTTTGACTTGGATTTTAACAAGTATATCATGATGGACTGCAGCATATAAAAATACTTGCATTATGTCGTTTTGATTGGTCCCCACAACAAGATCATGAGCTAGGACAGATATCATTATACTCCAATATGACGAACAAGGTCAAAAATACAAATATAAAGCACTAAGAACAATGAGCACTCATGTGCTCAATAAAAATACATTGTTATTGCCAAAAAAATAATCTGTCAAACTGGCCTCATAAAAGCAAAGTCACTGGCATCGTTTAGGCCTGACCCAAAAAGCAATTAATGCAAATGTACCATCCTTTGACTAACAGTAGAGGAGGGGAAAAAGGTCAAAATCATGTAAGTTAACACAAGAAAAATAAGTTTGGGGGAGGTGGGAGAAATCCTTTTTAAAAAAATCTAATCTCCCTTTCCTTAAAATTTACCATTAGAATTAATATATTTGTATTTAACAGATTCCAAAGAGTTACCAGTTTGATTGGTTTGGTATGAGGCAGAAGATAGTGCAGGAACTTCCGAAGGAAGAAGAAAAAGTCCATCCAGAATGCCATCAATTTCAGCCTGCAGATTTGGCTCCACATTAGACCGAAGCTTAGATAAGAACTCTACTGCACCAACGTCAACCAAATGTTGGACTGCTGGGGGATACTAAAATAAGAAGAGGATGATCTTGAGAATAACTGTATCAAAATCTCTATAACTTACAGCAATCAAAACATAAAATTATTTTTGGTATATCAGATGTTCCTTTTCTGAAAAACAAATCCTTCATGGCTCTGCCCCGAAGTAAGGCACTTCCATGAGGAGCACATACACCTATAGAGACATACATCCAACACTTGATAACATTTATGAAAGATGAGCCAACACACTGAACGCTAGAAATGCACATTATCAATCCCTACTCTTATTTTTTTAATGGGTTACTTTTTTCCACTGACACTCACCTTATGGTCCCAGCCCCAACCGGTCAACAGGATGTCAAAGTAGTTTAAGATTCCTCTACCATTGTACAGTGATTTAGTTTTGAAAGGTTAAACTTACACTTTGATATCTGACCCCGATAACTAACTACTCTTGAGGTAGGCATAAGAATACCAATCTAAAAGCATATGGGCAAGCAACTTAACATTGGTATTTATGAATCACGGTTATGTAACATTATTTTTAAAGTGCTCCCTTTCATACTGACATATCTAGTTTTTAAGATGTAAATGTCAGAAAACAAAAACAGAATACAAATATTAACCTCCAAAGATAACTCAAAAACACAGAACATACCAAAACTCAAAAGAAGTTCTGTGTTACTTCTGAGCACAGCAGAGACCATGTGGGATTCAGTATCACAAATAAAAGATGAACCATATACCCAGATTAATTAAAATTAAACATCTCTGGTTGATTAAAAAAACTTTTAACCCCAATTATTTAACTTTCAATAAACGCTACAATTAAATGACTAAGAAACAAGTCACTCGTCTGATTATTTTCTTTATTTCAAAATGACCCTACCTTAACCAATCTGCTTAACAGGTTCAGAACCTCTTCCTTCATCGGAACGGACGGGAAATTGAACCATTCCAGCAAATGAAGAAAAAGTTGCCTCTCCTGAATGAGATCAGCGTAGCAGATTAAGTTGTGCTCAATCTTGCAGAGAATACTCTTGAGAGCGCGCTCCCTGATCTCGGCCAGCTGATGACCTGTCAACGAACGGCACAAAACTATTTTATTTCCCGACTGCAAAGAGACTACGTTATTTATGCTGTGGGCAGGAGCGGCGTGAAGACGGAATAAACCAGTTTTTTTCAGAAGCAGGCCACTGGTGCCTTCGGGACGCGAACCGCGAAGTTTACACAAAGTCCGAGATGGGTCCCCGGGGGCTATCCTGACAAAGCGGGGGTGAAAGAGGGAGCGGTCGCGGAGCGGCCGGCCGCGGAAACGTGACACGACCATTCTCAGCAAGTGGCCAGAGCGCGGGGGGTGCCTTGGGCGAGGGGCAAGCTGACAGTTACCGAGTTTCCTGATGAGCCCTGCCAGGACCATCTCGTCCCGTCAATCTGCAGCCGCCGGAGAATTAAACTGCCGCGCCACTGCGTCCAGCCACAATTAATGTACCCCCGGAAACACGTCCTGTGGGACGGTGAGTTCCGCAACGCCTGCGCTCACCAGGAGTAGGAGTCATTACGTGAGCCCTTCGCGGCCCCAGCGTCGCCAGGAGAGCTTCCAGCCTCTCTAGAATCACTACTGCGCACTTCCTGGACAGCAGTCTCCGTCGCAAGAAGCGGAGGGAAAAAAAAAAGCAACAAGCAGGGATAGAACCAGCGTTGGCCGCCGCGCACGTCGGGAGTTGTAGTTCTGGCTAGGCCGTGCGTCCTGCACCGATCTCCGGGCCCGCCGCGGCGCCCGCTGGCCTGGGGTTCCGGCTTACAGCGCGGGAATTCGGGAACCCAGCGCGGGCTGCAGAGGCCCCAGCAGGAGCCCCGCCTCCCGGCTCGTCGACGGATTCGTTCTTGGCCCTGCCAATCTGATTCTCAGCTCCCAGAACTTCACGATTTAGAATGTAGACTTTTGCTTTGTGACAGTTCTCCCCATCCCCGACTACTAAATGACGAACCCTCTTTAACTGTGAAATGTACCTGCAAAGTCAAGCAGTGTCTTTGGATACCCAAGTTCAGATATGAACAAGCAAGCTACAAAAGCGGGGTGGGCGGGTATGAGTGAGCAGAAGAGAGAAACCGGGCTGCAAAAAAGGAAAATAAAGGCGGGACGTGGGGGTATGATTTGCTGAATGGTACCAAAGTTGATTTTTTGCACCGTGCACAGTGATCGAGCTGAGCAAATTATTTTTTTTTTAATTATAAGCAGCGGTAAGAACAACAACAAAATTACATTTGGAAAATGATTTGCATTTTCTCGGTCTGATCATTTCACGTTCCCTGGGAAAGGGATGTCAAGGCAGGTAAAGTGGGCCCTCGGTATCCCTAGGTAATTGGTTCCAGGACCCCCGCAGATACCCAAATCCACCCATGCTTAAGTCTCTTTTATAAAATGGTGTAGTATTTGCATATAACCTACACACATCCTCCTATATGCTTTAAATCATCTCTAGATTGCTTACAATACCTAATACACTGTAAATGCTATGTAAATAGTTGTTACACTGTACTTTTATTCATATTATTTTTTAATTGTTGTATTGTTATTTTCAACTGTGGGGTTTTTTCCCGAATATTTTCCATCCCGTGTGTTGAATTCTCTGTGTGCAACCAGTGGACAGCAAAGGCCTACTGTATTCCCATTCCTATTTTGCCAAAGAGGAAACTTAGAATCACAAAAGTACCCCCACACAAAGTCACATTAACTAGTAAGTGACAGATTGAGGAGCTGACCTGATGTTTCTTTGTTCTATTTAGAGTGCCTTGCTGCCTCCTCATGTGTGTCAATAGGAGAGTGATGATATTTGAGTTGGATCTTAAAGAGTAAGTAGGAGTTTGCCACACAAAGAAGTTGGGTAAGGAAATTCCTGCAGGAGAAACCTGTATTTGCAAAGGCAAGAATCCAGACGGAGTGTGTCAAATTCGGGAAAAGAACAAAATTCAAGGTGGCCATATTATCTCTGGGAAGAAGAGAGGAAGGGCAAGATTGCTGCTAGCATGCTGGATATTCTCCATTCCACCTTCTAGTGGTTCCTCCCAGCTCTTCCAGCTCTGCATCAACTGACCTGAACAGGCAAAAAGACTGCACTATCCAGGCTGCCTGGCCCTCTGGCTTCCAGTTGGTTGCCGCCGATAGGAGGCATCAGCAGGAAATTGGAAAGTAGGAGGAAAGAGATACGGATATTAAACCAAGATTCCACTAGCCCATGCCTAAGCCTGCCTGGCCAAGATTGTAACAGTGGCTGAATTCCTTGACCCAAAGACCACATGTCCTGATGGATAGCATACCACAGTGGGCACTGCAGAACCAGTTACACCAACTCAGAAGTGTCTGTAGTTATCCAGGAAGGAAGGTGTTAATTACGGATTTGAAGTGTCAAGGTCAAAAAACACATGACAATACAGAAAAATAATAGAAATAACTTGTCAATGATGTTTCTGAGATGAACAATCTTAGGTGATGAGAGACTGTAGATGCAGTGGGGTAAGGGGCGATAATACTGTAGAAGAAATATAAAAAATCCATTGACTTAAAACAAGCATGTTACAAGTAAAATGGGGGTCAAACTATGAAAGGGTTTTACTTATGTTGCACCCAAGGTCAACATAAACATTTTATTTTATTTTCATTGTTGAGCATATATTGCTCCTGTAATTAGACAAAAATAATTAAATCCCATTCATTACATTCAAAGCAAATAATCTATCATTCTCCTATTAGACTATTGATTCAGCAATTTTTCCTAAAAAAAAATCAACCTTTGATTTATTAATTCTACTATTTAAAAACACACATATATATTCTAGTGTATTGACTGTATTATTTTTTACCAGTTACTTCACTCTGTCGCCCAGGCTGGAGTGCAGTGGTGTGATCTCCGCTCACTGCAACCTCTGCCTCCTGGGTTCAAGTGATTTTCCTGCCTCCACCTCCCACATAGCTGGGATCATAAGCATGAGCCACTATGCCCAGCTAATTTTTGTATGTTTAGTAGAGATGGGTTTTCGCCACAATGACCAGGTTGGTCTCGAACTCCTGACCTCAAATGATCCTCCTGCCTCGGCCTCCCAAAATGCTGGAATTACAGGCGTGAGCCACCGCACCTGGGCTACATCCTTCTTTAAGTGTGTTTTGCTGTTCTTTTTTTAACTTCTTAAGCTAAAGGTCTTGTTTACATTCTTTCTTTATTAGTTATAGAGAATTTTAAGTCCATGAATTTGCATGTAAAAAAAGTTTTAATCATGTATCATGAGTTTCAATTTGTAAGGTTTTGTTCTCAGCCAATCTGAAACTGCTGTTTTGATACTTTCTGTTTCACCCAAGATCCATGTAGGAAGATGGTCTTTAATCACCAAGTCTTTCTTACATACACTTTAGTTATTAATTTCGACTTTTATTATATCAGAGTCAGCAACAATTACAAAAGGTCAGGGCCTTTTGTAATTTGAATGTTAAAGTCAAAGATTTTAGGTGAACTTGAAAAAAATGGGCAATAGATGTCTGCGTGGATGTATAGAAAACTACATAATTTTCTTCTTGTATTTACAGTGGTTTTTGTTGTATTTATTTAAATGCTATGTATAAAAACTTATGTTGAATTTTACACGATGATAAATGATGGTCACTCAACTGGTGATATATACATGGATTGGGAAGGGGTCATGGGTAGAGCTATTATATGTTGAGATTTGCTATGATCACAAGCCACAGGACATTAAGGACACATGAACCCAAAGGCGGAGGTCAAATTCTACTATCTAATTATCTACTGATTCTGCTATTTCCACTTGAATCTGATTCATCTTCAACCTCTTGGTCATACCTGTAAAATCACTGGCAGTCATTGCCTCAGTGTGCTGAATCAGATCACTCAGATTAGATGAGATATTTATACCCAAAGTCACAGGAAATAGTTACTCTCCTAAGAACTCATATTACTATCTGTAGGAATTGATTCTAGGGGGAAATGAAATGCTTTTTTTCCTCTTGGAAAAGACATACATTTTTGCTCTTCCTCACACTTTGGACATGAGTTTTCATATTTGGGGTTATACATGGTGGGTCTGTCAGTTGTGATCATGTGCATTTTATACCCTTTCTTTCTGTTAATATTTGATGAAATCTGGTTCATATCAGTATAAGCTAAAATATTGTATAGAGCACAAGCTTTGGAGGTAGACAGACATGGATTTAAAAGCAGTGTTTTGGCTTCCCTAATCACACAACTGTGGGCAAGCTGATTAACTTTCTCGATTGCAAATAACAAAGCTGTAAGTCAGGCAAGTAAGCAAAAATGGGTTATCTAATATCTCACTCTAGAAGTGGATCTAGCCTCAGAGACTCAAAAGAATACCAGTGTTTTTTATTCATCTCTCGGCTTTGATTTTCTCAGTGTGTTGTATGTTTCTCTTCTATTACAGGCAGAATTTCCTCAAAATGTAGAGGAGGAGAAGATTGTGGTCCAGACTTCCATCTTCCCATATAATGACTCCAGAAGAAAAAGAAAGCTTCTCTCTGAGCATCCAGATATAAAATCTATGATAAGAACCCTAATCAGGATTACCAGTAGGAGATTACCTGATCCTAGGTTATTTGTTCACACTCTCTGAACAGCAGGGCAGGATATTATAATTATTAAAATTAGAGTTACAGAAAGTGGGGCAGAAGACTTCCACTTAAAAAGGTATGTTATTCACAGAAAATGAGGGAAAAGAATCTTGCACAGAGGGAAGAAAAAAAATGATATCTCTATACTCACTAAGCCTCAGCTTCCACAAGTAAAAATTAAGATTAATAATAATACCTACTAATAGGACTGCCTGGGGGCCAAAGAAGATGATTTAGAGAAAGGATTTGTTCCAAGACCTCCCATAATAAGTAGTTACTACAAATAATAGCTCTGTTTTAACACCTGTCAAACTTGGAGGTACCTCCCTTTCCAGGAATCGAATGCAATGTCAAACCATGTTCAAGTACTGTCTGTGAGTGTAACTGCAAGGTAGACGCTGCCTTCATCAAAGGGATCTTATGCCCCAGAAACAACTTTGCTACGTAAGTGATGGAGGCTTGCAGAGTGGAGGTGCCCACAACCTTACTGCATTTATTTGTGCAGCCATATCGAAAACATTTCCAGCAACAGAAAAAGGGGGAAGGAAGCACTCTGATACTTTTTTTCTTATTCTTCGGAGGGGACACATTATTGGCCCAAGAGGGAAATCCTTTTACAACCTACTTTTACATTAACTGGGATCATAATTTATTTATGAAAACATCATATAAAAAGAGCAAGCAAGCAGGATTCCTAAACAAAGGGGGCTCAAACCAATATATGTGTAGAAGTTATTCATTGTCCCCAGGGCAGGCATACGTTTTCGTGTGTCTTTCAGGAAAGTCACTGGCACCCCAGCCTTCCTTCTTTCAGAATAAAGGTCATGATTTATTAATAATTCTGATCTCTAGGAAGGAAAAATGACCCCAGGTTTCATCCCTCACTTACGAATTTTCCTAATCATGCCCCATAACTTTGTCCTATGAATTCACATATTTAATTTTGAAGGGCATCATCAAATTCTAATTTATTCTCTCAATACCAAAATAGAAAGTTAATACATATTTTATGCCATTTTAAAGTGGAAGGATTGAAACAAGGTGTATTCACTTTCCATTTCAATTAGAGCAACGTGATTTGAGCCCTGCTTTCTTTTCACAATTTAATAAATAGTTGTCTTAATTATGAAAGGACAGACGCAGATAAAGTTGTCTACTTTCACCACATCCATTCAGCACTGTACTGGAAGTGTTATCCAGGGTAACTAAACAAGAAAAAGAAATAAAAGGCATCCAGATTAGAAAAAAAAGAAAATTTATATATGTAATTGACATCACCTTATATATAGAAAATCCTGACTGGGCGTGGTGGCTCATGCCTATAATCCCAGCACTTTGGGAGGCCAAGGCGGGTGGATCACCTGAGCTCAGGAGTTTAAGACCAGCCTGGGCAACATGGTGAAACCCCATCTCTACCAAAAATAAAATAAATAAAATAAAATAAAATAAAATAAAATAAAATAAAATAAAATAAAATAAAATAAAATAAATAAAATAAATAAAATAAAATAAAATAAAATAAAATAAAAAAAATAAAATACAATACAATACAATACAATACAATAAAAAAATAAGCCAGGAGTGGTGGCATGTGCCTGTGGTCCCAACTCCTTGGGAGGCTAAGGTGGAAGGTGGGAGGATTACTTGAGCCTGGGAGGCAGAGGTTGAAGTGAGCTGAAATGGCACCACTGCACTCCAACCTGGGTGACAGAATGAGACTCCATCTCAAAAAAAAGAAAAAATAATCCTAAGATATTCACAAAGAAACTATTAGAGCAAAGAAGAGACTTTAGCAAGGTTGCAGAATGCAAGATCAATGTACAAAATCAATTCTTTTTCTATACCCTAGCAATAAACAATCCAGAAGTCCAATTTAGAAAATAATTCAATTTCCAATAATATCAAAAATAATAAAATACTTAGGAATAAGTTTAACACAATAAATGAAAGACTTCTGCATTAAAAATTATAAAACATTATTAAAAGTAATTAAATATTATTTAAATAAATTGAAGACATCCTGTATCATGCACTGGAAGATTTAGTATTGTTAAGATGGCAATACCCCCAAAATTGAACTACAGATTCAAAGCAATTTCTATCAAATACCCACCTGCCTTTCTAGTAGAAATTTTTAAGATTGTCCTCATATTCATGTGGAAATCAAGGGAATCAGACTGACCAAAACAATCTTGAAAAGGAACAAAATCAGATAATTTATACTTCTGAATTTCAAAACATATTTCAAAGCTACAGTATTCAAAACAGTGTGATACTGGTATAAGGACAGACAATGGAATAGAATTGAAAGTCCAGAAATAAACCCTCACACTTCTGGTCAATTGATTATCAACCAGTGCATCAAGGGAAAGAATAGTTTTTCCAACAAATGAGATAACTGGCTACCATATGCAAAAGAAGGAATTTGGATCTGCACCTCACACCATATACAAAATTAATTCAAAATAGATCAAAGACATAACTGCAAGAGCTAAATTAGAAAGTTTTAGAAGAAACATAGTCATAAATCTTTGCGAATTAAGCAACGGTTTCTTTGATCTGACAGCATAAACACAAGCAAAAAAATAGATGAACTGGACATCAACAAAATTAAAAACTTTTGTACTTCTAAGTTTTAGCAGTGGGTCTCTTCCAAGCACACCTTCCTTTCTTTGCTGTTCTGAGGCCTTTTTCAATAAACTTCCATTCCTGCTCTGGAACTTGCCTCCATCTCTTTTTCTTCTTTATGCCCCTCAGTCAAATTCTTTGTTCTGAGGAGGCAAGGACTGAAGTTGCTACGGACCCGTAAGGGTAGGTCGCCAGTAACTTGAGGTCTCTTCTACTGTGCACATAAGGACATGATCAAAAAAATTAAAAGACAATACACAGAATGGGAGAAAATATTTGCAAATCATATATCTAGTAAGAGACTATTATCCAGAATATGTAAAGAACTCTTACAACTCAAAAATAAGAAGGCAACCTACAGCCTGGGAAACACAGTAAGACCCCATCTCTGTAAAAAATAAAAGAATTAGATGGGTGTGGCAGAGCAAACCTGTAGTCCCAGCTACTCAGGAGGCTGAGGTGGGAGGATCACTTGAACTGAACCCAGGAGATTAAGACTGCAGTGAGCCATGTTCACACCACTGCACTCAAGCCTGGGCAACATTGTAAGACCCTGTCTCAAAAAAATAAAAGTACAAAAATACAAAAGACAGCTCAATTTTAAAATGGGCAAAGGATCTAAGTAGTCGTTTCATCAAAGAAGCTACATAAATGGCCAATACACACATAAAAAGGTGTTCAGCATTATTGGTCATCAAGGAAAAGCAAATCCAAAGCCAGAACGAGATATCAATTCATACCTACTAGAACAGCTATAGTCAAAAATAAGGGAAATAACATTATTGATGAGGATTTGGAGAAACTTCAAGTTTCCAATTTGGACAAATTGGAAATCTCATACATTGTTGCTAAGAATTTAAAATAGTGTTGCCACTGTGGAAAATAGTCTTGCAGCTCCTCAAAAAGTTAAACACAGAATTATCATATGACCTAGCAATTCTGCTCCCAGGTATATACTCAAAAGAAATGAAAACAGATGTTCCAACAAATGAATTCATTGCCCATGAATGTTTATAGAGGCACTATTTACAATAGCCAAAGCTGAAAACAACAAAAATGTCTATCGATAGAGGAATATAGTAGTGAGACATGATACAGAAAACATCATGCTAAGTGAAGAAACAAGTCACAAAAGACCACATATTGGATAATTCCATTTACATGTCTATTAGTCTGCTTGGGCTGCAATAACAAAATATGATGGTCTTGTTGGCTTAAACAACAGAAATTTATTTTCTGACAGTTCTGGGGGATGGGAAGTTGAAGATTAAGATGCTGGCAGGTTGAGTGTGTGGGGAGGCCTCTCTTCCCAGCCTTCACATAGCTATTTTCTTGCTGTGTCACGTGGTCTTTCCCCTATGCATGTGCAGAGAGAAAGAGATCTCTGTTGTCTCTTCTTCTTATCAGGACACCAGACCTATCAGATGAGAGTCTCCCCCTTATTACCTCATTTAAACTTAATTAACTCCTGAACACCCTTATCTCTAAATACAATCACACTGGGGGTTAGGGCTTCAACACATGAATTTGGGAGGGTGAGAGGACCACAATTCAGTCCATAACAAAATGAACTAGTCAGAATAGGTAAATTCATAGATGGACAAAGCAGATCATTGGTTGATAGGGACTGGTGGAAGCCGGGAATGGGAAGTGACTCCTTGGCTTTGCTGCCTCCTTTTGGGGATGATGAAAACGTTTTGGAACTAGATAGAAGTGATGGTTGTACTACATCGTGAATGTACTAAATGCTATTGAACTGTACACCTTAAAATGTTAATTTTTTGTTCTGTGAATTTCCCCATTTAAAAAAAATGAAACTCTAAAAAAATAGAAAATAGTAAGTGTTGACAAGGATGCGAAGAAATCAGAAAGCTCATACACTGCTAGTAGGAATATAAAATGTTACAACCACTTTGGAAGACAGTTGGGAGTCCCTCAAAAGTTAACCGAATGTTACTATATGACCAAGCAATTTCACTTCTAGGTACTTGCTCTCCAAAATGAAGACATAAGTACACACAAAAACTTGTCTACTATTGTTCATAGCAGCATTATTATAAGAGCCAAAAGTTAGAAACAAGCCAAATGGCCATCAATTCATGAACAAACAATAGACTTATGGAATAAATAAACCATATCTATACAATGAAATATTATATAGCTAAAAATGGAAGGAAGTACTGATATATGCTGCAATGTGGATGAACTTTCAAAACATCGTGCTAACTGAAAGCTAGCTATGAAAGTACACCTATTACAGTGTATGGTTCCATTCATATGAAATGTCCAGAAAAGGCAAATCTATACAGACAGGAAGTAGCTTAGTGGTTGCTTAGATTTGGGGGTCATTGGGGAAATAGAGTGGTAATATCTGAAGCATAAGGGATTTCTTTTTGAGGTAATGAAAATGTTCTAAAATTGCCTGTGGTGATGGTTACACATATCTGTGAATATATCAAAACCTACTGAATTGTACACTTTAAATTGGTGAATCTTGCAGTACCTGAATAGTATCTTAATAACGTAGTACCCAAAAAAGCAATAGGCTGATATTAAATTAAACACAAGAATTTATTTCGTAAAGAATTTATTTTGTAAAGACACAAAAAGTTTGCTAAGGAAAATCAGTGTCTTTTCCTCGGAATTTATGAGAGCGTTATTTTCCATTTACTGATGACGTTTAGATGTAGTCCTCCTACAGTGACAGATCAGATGGCTGGCCCTTTTGTGAACCTTAGAGCACCATTGCCAGTTATCTACATTATTCAGCAAATGCAAGATGTTTCTGTCCCATTTGCCCTTGTCCTTCAGGTTGGGGTTACTGTTCACTCTACCATTTAACCTCTCAAAAACATTCTTTTTTGGTAAAATGAGGTAAGTATGTACTTTGATTTCCAAATTGTGAGATTTGATTAGCAAGATGAGAAAGTCCTTCCATGAAGAGTGCAGTATAAGTTCAAGGTAAGATTATTATAATGTTAAGAAGTTTTTTCAACAGATAAAGACATATAACTTCATTATTACAGTCAGATATATGATTCTGGGCAGGAAATATTTCCAGGAAAAAGAAAGAAAGAAAAAAACCAGCTCTTTAGATATGTAACACAAAGATCTAGTTTCTTGTGATCTTCAGGCGGCTCCTATGAGCAGCTCCTCTCCACTCAACTTGAACAATAATAGTCTCCTTTGGGGCACCAGCTGAGTCGGATCTATTTAGGTGAAGTTCAGAACCTGACCCTGACTTTCAGCTCTATCTTGGCTAGTGATACATCTATGCTGAATGTGTGTCAGGTCTGTAAATAAAATACTGATTTCAGTCACTTCTGCAGAATGTATTTTGATACTGTGATACTTTTCAGTGGCAGCTCCATTTTAAAGCCAGTTATCACTAAGGGGAAAAGTCAGTTAATCAGTTAATGTAAAAAAGCAGTGGAGGCCTAACACTGGTCATTTTGTTATAAGAGCGTCTGAAGTCCTCCCTTAATTTGGGAAGGTAACCCTGCACAGCACTCAGATTTAAACGTTGTGTCATGTTAACTGTCAAATGAAGACAAAAGCCTTGGAATTCTAAAGAATCTCTTCTCATGAGGCCAGTCTCCACAATCTAATAATAATGCTTTTTATTTATAGCAATTTTTGCACACCTCATGTGGCCCAGGACAGGCTGGCCCTTGAAGGGGCCTACAGCTGGTCACTTGAAGACCTCTCCATCTTTGTTTTTCTATGAGACTTCACCCATGTCATCTGCTTCATAAATTTTTTTTTTTTTTTGAGACAGAGTCTTGCTCCGTTTCCCAGGCTGGAGTGCAATGGCACGATCTCGGCTCACTGCAACCTCTGCCTCCCAGGTTCGAGTGATACTCCTACCTCAGCCTCCTGAGTAGCTAGGATTATAGGTGCATGCCACCACACCCAGCTAACTTTTGTATTTTTAGTAGAGACGGGGTTTTGCCATGTTGGCCAGGCTGGTCTCGAACTTCTGACCTCAGGTGATCTGCCCACCTCGGCCACCCAAAGTGCTGGGATTACAAGCGTGACCCACTGTGCCCAGCCCTGCTTAATAAGTATTCTGATTGAATAAATGAACGAACTTCCAGGTGATGCTTAAGATCATTTCTGTTGGGAAGTGAGTTATTAAGTCATGAATCAGAAGAGACTTAATCTTTTTAAAAGAGATTTTATGAAATTGGAAAATAAGTTGAATTGTTTTAATACGTGTTTTCTCTAAATCCTAGCACTAAGGGTAAATCTCCTTCACAAACCAGTAATCTTGGAAGTTCTGAAATTCTCAAGCCGGGGCCCATGCTATTTGCTCTCACTCCCTAATCTCATTCACATTTTTTGTTTCAGTTAAAAACAAACACAAGCAACTTACACATTTATTTATATCTCCATTTCTTTCTTTTGAGATCCAGACCAGGGTACTCAACTGCCTGCTCAGCATCTTCAGCCTGAAATCTCAGAGGCATCTCAGACTCAACACACAAAAATCTAAACACATGGTCTTCTCTCCCAAACATCATATTCCTTCAGTGTTTCCTATTTCGGTGAACAGCTGTGCTGGCTCCCTGTTTCTGCAAGCTAGATACTGGAGGAACCCTCATGCTTCTCCTTCCTTACTCCTATATAGAAAATATCTCCAAAGCCAACACAGGTTGAACATCCCTAATCCAAAAATCAGAAGCCAAAATGCTCCAAAACCTGAAACGTTTCGAGTGCCAACATGACACTCAAAGGTTTTTGCTCCAAGGAAATGCTCATTGGACCATGTGGGATTTGGGAATTTTAGATTTGGGTTGCAAATATTCCAAAATCTGAAAAAATCTGAAATTTGAAACACTTCTGGTGCCAAACATTTGGGGACTATTTCAGGGATCATCTATCCTTCTAAATTGTTGATTTATGTAAATACACATGTATGTCCCCTCAAATCGATTTTCCGCAGGCAGCCAGAGCAATCTTTTCAAAATGTAAATCTGGTAACATCACCCCTCCCCACTTCACTGCTTGATATACTCTGTGGCTTCCAATTACTTTTAGTGTAAAGAAAACACTAAACATGATGTTCAGGGTGTGGAACAAATCCTCTCTCCACCTCATCTCACGCCACGCTCCCATTCACTCTCAGTGCTCCACCCACTCTGGCCAGATTTACAGCTCTGATGTTTTTTTGTGTTCCTTTAAGCCACGGGGCTTTTGAATATAGTTTTATTTCTGCTTGAAATGTTTTATTCTCCCTTATTTGACTCATAAACTCCTCTCTACCCTTTATATTTTCATAGGCTCAAGCATAACCTCTTTAGAAAGGCCTTCTTTGACTAAGTTCAAAAACCTCTGTTATACACTCCTGAAGCACAATATTCTTCACCTTTGTGACATATTATAATTCCAATTTTACATGTATTTGATTAGTATCCATCATCTCTTCTGGAATGCAGATTCTGTGAGAGGAAGTTTTCTGTTTTTGTTTGCTACTTTATACCTAGAGTGTAGCCAAATTCTTAACTCATAGGAGACAATAATAAGTATATTTAGTGCATGAATGAATAAACTGAATGCTATTGTCCTATAAGAGCACATGGCTACCATATTAGTCTGTTTCCACACAGCTGATAAAGACATACCTGAGACTGGGCAATTTACAAAAGAAGGAGGTTTATTGGACTTACAGTTCCACGTGGCTGGGGAGGCCTCACAATCACAGTGGAAGGTAGAAGTCACATTTCACATGCCAGCAGAAAAGAGAAGAGAGCTTGTGCAGGGAAACTCCCATCTATAAAACCATCAGATCTTATGAGACTTATTCGCTATCATGAGAACAGCACAGGGAAGACCTACCCCCATGATTCAGTTACCTCCCACTGGGTCCGTCCCACAACACATGGGAATTATGGGAGCTACAGGATGGGATTTGGGTGGTGACACAGAGCCAAACTACATCAGCTACCAATGGGTTGCATTCTAATAAGAGAGTTATTTTAAGGGGTATTTTCCCTAAAAAAAAATCAATGATTTTTTCACACCACTTGGAAGAAGAGAGAGTATGGAAATAGTGTGAGCAAGCTGCTAGACTGAGGATGACCTTTCTTCTGGCTTAAAGCTGGCCATCTTCTCTCTGTGTCCTCAGGCGGCAGACAGAGAGAGAAAACTCACTGGTGTCAATTTTTTCTTTTTTTTTTTGAGACAGAGTCTTACCCTGTCACCTAGACTTGAGTGAAGTGGCACAACCATGGCTCACTGCAGCCTCACATTCCTGGGCTCAAGTAATTCTCCTACCTTAGCCTCATGAGTAGCTAAGGCTACAGGCATACACCACTATACCCAGCTAATCCGTTAACTTTTCATAGAGACAGGGTCTTCCTCTGTTGCCCAGGCTAGTCTCAAACTCCTGGCCTCAAACGATCATCCCCCTCAGCCTCCCAAAGCTCCAAGGTTACAAGCATGAGCCACCATGCCTGGTCTGTCTTCTTATAAAACCACCGATCCTATAGGATTAGAGCCCACCCTTGTGACCTCACTTAACCTTACTTACCTCCTAAAAACCCTGTCTCCAAATACAGTAACATTGAGGGTTAGGGCTTCAAAATATGAATTTTGGGAGGACACAAACATTCAGTCCATAGCAAAATGTAAATGTATTAATTGAAAAGAGAGAGGGCAGGGTGCAGTGGCTCACGCCTGTAATCCCAACACTTTGGGAGGCTGAGGCAGGCTCATCACTTGAGGTCAGGAGTTCAAGACCAGTCTGGCCAACATGGTGAAACCCTGCCTCTACTAAAAATACAAAAATTAGCCAGGTGTGGTGGCGCATGCCTGTCATCCCAGCTACTTGGGAGGCTGAGGCAGGAGAATCACTTGAACCTGGGAGGTGGAGGTTGCAGTGAGCAGACATCGCACCACTGCACTCCAGCCTGGGCAACAGAGTGAGACTCCATCTCAAAAATAAAATAAAATAAAAAGAGAAAAAGAACATGAATAGATATTTCTCCAAAGAAGATGTACAAATGACAAATAAGCACATGAAAAGATGCTCAGTGTTCAAATCATTAGGGAAATGGAAATCAAAACCACAATGAGATACCACCTCACACCCATTAGGATGTCTACCATCAGAAAAAACGAAAACAAAAAGTAACAAGTGTTCTCCAAGATGTGGAGAAAGTGCAACTTTTGTGCACTGTTGGTAGGAACGTAAAACAGTGCAGCCATATGGAAAACAATACGATTATTCCTCAAAAAATTAAACCTAGAATTATCATGTGATCCAGTAATTCCACTTCTGAGTATACACCCAAAAGAATCAAAGGCAGAGACTTGAACAGATATTTGTACACCATTGTTCATGGCAGTATTATTCACAGTAGCCAACATGTGGAAGCAGCTCAGGTTTCTATTGACAGATGAATGAATAAACAAGATGTGGTATATACAATTAATGGAATGTTACTTAGCCTTAAAAAGGAACTAAATTCTGACACATGCTACTACAAGAATGAGCCTTGAGGACATTATGCTAAGTAAAATAGGCCAGTCACAATTTTGGTTGGAATCAGACAAATACTGTACGATCGCAGTTATACAAGGTACTTAGAATAGTCAAATTCATAGAGACAGAAAGTAGAATGGTGGTTACCAGGAACTGGAGAAAGGAGGAATGGGAAATTCCTTTTTAATGGGTACAGAGTTTCAGTTTTCCAAGATGAAAAGAGCTCTGGAGATGGATGGTGGTGATGGTTACATAACGATGTGAATGTGCGTGATGCCATTGAACAGTATGCTTAAAAATGGTTAAGATGTGCCAGGCACAGTGGCTCACACCTGTAATCCCAGCACTTTGGGAGGCCAAGGCGGGTGGATCACCTGAGGTTGGGAGTTCGAGACTAGCCTGACCAACATGGTGAAACCCCATCTCTACTAAAAATACAAAATTAGCCGGGCGTGGTGATGCATGCCCGTAATCCCAGTTACTTGGGAGGCTGAGGCGGGAGAATCACTTGAACCCGGGAGGCGCAGGTTGCTGTGAGCCGAGATCACGCCATTGCCCTCCAGCCTAGGCAACAAGAGCAAAACTCTGTCTAAAAAAAAAAAAAGAAAAGAAAGAAAAAGTTAAGATGGTAAATTTTATGTTATGTATATTTTATCACAATTTTTTAATAAGAGAAAAATTTCAAAAGTGTAAAGAAATGCCTAATGGTAGAGGAGTCCTATAGTGTCTCATCGCAGTTTCATGATTTTGCCCAAAGGTGACCTTTTCCAGTTAACTAATAGGAAACCAAACACTTTGACGATGTCACAGGAATGAGGCACGAGGGACTCATCGGTGCTGAGGACTTTCTGAGTCAGGTCAAGAGCCTTGACAGGGAGGTTGGAATCACAGACTATAAGGCTTCAAAATGAATTTGGAGATTGTGTTCATGGATCTGCTTGCTTTTCTGTTTTTGTTTGTAACTCAGTGCATATGGACCTCCAGAGTGTCAGTCAATCCCCAACCTGTTCATAATTGTTTTATATATTTGCACGTGTGCGCTATTCTAAGGAGAATGTCCATGGCTTTCATCAGATTCCCAAAGCATTCTGTCAACCTGCACAAAATAACGAAACGGATCTAGTCTGCTCTCACCTTTTTCAGATCTGGAAACTGAGATTTGAAGAAACGTGGCTTCAAGTCCTAGAACAGAGAGTCAGTTTTAGCGAATTCTGCTTCTCCCTTTCATTGAGGTATTTTAAGTTTCAGGTGGCTTCCCCCACGGGAGTATTTCCGTTTTTAAGAGAGCGATGCTGGAACTAGCTGTCCTTAGAACAATGGGAGGGATTGTATCTCAGCCCCTTTCTCTGCTGACCCTGCCTTTAGTGATTCCAACAGGAGTTCTTTAATAAGGGAAAGAGGAGGGTGACTAGAATAGAAGCAGAGGAAGGGAACGGGATTTGCTGACAGGGCCGGGTGGAGGGGGAGGTGCAGACTGTAACTCTTTGGATGTCCTTGGACCCAAACGACTCCCCTGAGATGGTAGCAGGAACTAGAACCATTGTGTTCGTATCACAGCACAATCTAGATGCAGGGCTGGGCACAGCGCGATCTGGCCTCCAGGAGGGAGAATGGAGAGCGATTCACAGCAGGACCTTCCCAGAACAAAAGAAGAAGGAAGAAATTTGGGCTAAGCACAATGACTACAAAGACCAAACAGGCAGCCTGATAAAGCATCAAGCCAGCCAAAGAAATTTAAGCCCTTTTCTTGGCAAGAACTAGCTATGTTTTAGTAATAAGATCTTTTCACAGGAAAGCAGGTGCTTTGTAGACAACTGGTCTTAATGAGCACACATCAATAGGTTTGGCTGAAAACCTTGTAATACCAAAGAGCAGAATACTTAAATCAAATATGAAAGTACCATAGTTGTTCAGTAAATTAAGGCACACTGCCCGGAAACTGTGCACTTTTCTGTTGTCTTAAAATGTTGTGCCAAGTGGCACAATGCTCAAAAGAAGAGTTAGTTAGGTTAGTAGATTAGAATTATCCACTAATTAAATTGTGGCACATAGTCTTCCAGCATGAAGCAGTAGTCAGCAGCAAAGAGCGTTTTTCAATTAATTAGAGAGCAGTGGCATTTACCAGATCAGACGCCACGTGCTCCAGGCTCTCCACAGCATCAGCTCCACAAATTCACTCAGTGACGACGAGAGACAACTTTTCAGATGTAGAACATTCTAGAAATAAATCATGTTCCAATACAGAACTATAAAGCTATAGTTCTGTAACTATAAAACTATAAAGCTGCCCTTTTTAGGAGATGTGGACAACAAATAGAGATGCTGGTTTGTTCTTTCTTCTATCCATGAGATGGAACAGCCAGGAGATGTGGGGCGTAATAGAGACACCATCCTGATAAAGACTTGTGTGCTGCAGCCAGAATGTGAACTGTTAACCCCATGAAAAATAAAAATCACTTTCAAAAATTATTTAAAATAGCATTAAGAAGAATTTTATCATAAAATTCTTAAGAATAAACTTAACAAAATAAATGTAAAACTTGTACACTGAAAATTACAAAACTTAGTGAAACAAACTTTAAAAGACCCAAATACATAAATGGAAAGATGTCTTCTGTCATGGATTACAAGACTAAATATTGTCAAGATGGCAATACTCCCAAATTGATCTGCAGATTCAATGCAACCCCTATCAGAATTCTAACTGCCCTTTCTACAGAAACAGACAAAGGTGATCCTAAAGTTCATATGAAATGCAAGAGAGCCATAATAGCCAAAACCATCTTGAAAAAGAAGAACAAAGTTGAAGGACTCACACTTTCTGATTTCAAAACTTACCCCAAAGCTACAGTCATCAAGACAGTGTGGTGCTGGCATAAGGAATAGACGAATATAGATTAATCAAATAGTATTCAGAGTCTAGAAATGAATCCATAAATATATCCTCAATTGATCTTTGACAGGCTGCCAAGACCATTCAATGGGGAACAAAATTAGTCGTTTCAATAAATGATGTGAAGACTACTGGATATCCATATGGAAAGAATGAAGTCAGTCCATACCTTATGCCATATACAAAAATTAACTCCATGGCGAGGGAGAATCAAAGACCTAAGCATAAGAACCAAAAAAATAAAACTCTTAGAAGACAACATAGATGTGAATCTTTGTGACCTTGGATGAAGCTGTTTCTTAGCTATGACACCAAAAGCACAAGCATCCAGAGAAAAAAATAAATGTGAAAAATAGGACTTCATCAAAATTTAAAACTTCTTTTGTGTCAAAGGACACCTTCAAGAAATGAAAAGGCAACCCACACAATGTAAAAAAAATTGCAAATTAAATAAAGATCTAGAATCCATAATACATAAAGAACTTTTACAACTCAGCAATAGAAAGATAAATAAACCGACTGAAAAATGGCAACAGATTTGAATAGACACTTCTTGAAAGAAGATATACAAATGACTAATAAACACGTGAAAAGATACCCAACATCACTAGTATTTAGGGAAATGTAAATCAAAACCACAGTGAACACTTGTAGTCCTAGCTACTCTGGAGGCTGAGATGGGAGGGTCACTTAAGTCCAGGAGTTCAATCCAGCCTAGACAACATGTCTCTTAAAAAAAAACACAAAACATAATGAGGTATCACTTCACACTCACTATGAGGTCTATAAAAAATGGAAAACATAGTAGTCCCCCCTTACTCACGGTTTTGCTTTTATTCTTTAACACATTCTGTGAGTTTTGTCTATAACTCATAAGCTACTACTTTAACACTTACACGTTTCATCCACCCATTTTTCTCTCTTGCCTTCTGTAGCAGAATTGAATATTTGTAAATAAGACAGCAAACTTACATTACAAGAACTGAGAAAAGCTGCTGGATTCAGCCAATTTTTAAAGTACTTTCACATTACCTCCCTCTTCTTAAAATATTATAAACAGCCATTTGATCTTCTAAATCAATATGGTTCTTTGTAAAACTCTAACCCTATTATTTGACTAATTTTTGTAGCTGAGTTGTTTTGATCCCTTTTCTCCTATTATAAGTGTATCAGCCAGTAGACAGAAATCATATGAGTTATTTTAACAGACACAATTTAATAAAAAGAATAAATAACTAGGTATGTGAAATTGGTAACTACATTTCAAAGTGCCGAAAAGATAAATAGAACATTAAACAACCACCGCCCTAGAAACTGTGGGAAGCAGAGGGCCCTCGTCTTTGGGGACTAAAGTGAAGATTGGAGCGGGGTGTAGTTCCAGGTACTCAGAAGGCTGAGGTGGGAGGATTGCTTGAGCCCAGAAGGTCGAGACCATCCTGGGTAACATAGCAACACCCTGTCTCTATGGGGAAAAACAACAACAACAAAAAAGCTAGTCATGGTTGCATGTACCTGTAGTTCAAGATACTCAGGAGGCTGAGGACATAGGATTGCCTGAGCCCAGGAGTTGGAGGCTGCAGTGAGCTATGATTGTGCCACTGCACTCCATCCTGGGCAACAGAGAAAGACTCTGTCAAAGAAAGAAAGAGAGAAACAGAGAAACAGAGAAGGAGAAACAGAGAAAGAGGAAAGAAAGAAAGAGAAGAAAGAAATTAAGGCAAGCTTGAAGCCCAGACCTCGGAGAAGGGGATGCTGCTTGGTCCTGGTGACTCTGAGCTCAGAGTTGGGCTTCATGGCACTGGAATCTGGACTTCTGAGAGCTGGCTGATACTGGTGGTTCCTGAGGAGATACATTGAGTCTAGCTCTTCTAGGAGAAGAAAAACTGCAAACTGGATTCAACTGTGCCACAGGAATCAGCTGCTGCTAATGAAGTGCAGCATTACTGCTGAGGTGATGCTCACAGTGACGGGGCAGACACGAAGGAGAAGCCCTTTCCTTGCCCAGCCATGGAGCCTCCCTCCAAGCCTTCCCAAGGACAGGACCAACAGCCGGCAGACCAGAAGTGTGGGTTGTAGACACTCGGCCCCAACATCACCAAGCCCAGTACAAAGGGTGGTTTGAAGCGGAGGAGCAGTGGCTTAGTAACTGGCAGAACAACCCTGACAAATGCAGTGACACCTTTTGTATGTGCTATTATTACTGACAAATGGGTGGCAACTTCTCACTGGCATCAAAGCTCCAGTATGAACCAAAGCCATGAGGGCCAATCTTTATTTCCATATGCAACAAAATGGCATTCTATTCCAGGTGAAGCCTAAGCGGATATCTTTTCTCTCTTGAATGGGGAATCTATTCTGAATTTTCAGCAAATAGTCAATACTTTATTCACCCAAATGTGTAATTTATGGCTCATACTTCTTTCAGCCTTTCAGAATGGTTTACTACCTGGTGGTTCCTGCTAGGGTATAATAATACAATATTTATAAGCATTAGACCTCGGGTAACTGCCTCATTTCCCTACAAATCTATGAAGGGTGACTCGATTGTCCTGTGAACCTTTATCTCTATTCCATAGGATGTAAAACTTGGCTGGAAATTCTTTCTTCAGTCCCATCCCCTACTGAACTTAAACTATAATTGAAAATGAGCTCAATTCAAAGTATATTATACTGGTTATGTTTAGTTATTTCTGAAAAGCAAATCTCAGTTTAACTATCAAGGGAATTATCCCCATATCATTAATCACAGATATACAACTTGAATTGTTTTTAAACATCAGTAGAAATTCAAGCCTATATTGAAATTTTAATAATTAATCAGAAATATGCAATATTAATGAAACCCAGTATATTCTGTATGACTTGTAATAACACAGCATGGGCATAGAAAAGCATATCCCTAAATAAGACCACAGAGTTGAGGGACACCCACTACTTGAAGTAGCATCTTCCCTGTTTTAAGTTTAAGCAGGTTTGCATCATATTATGAAAAGCAAAGTAAAAATCATACATAGGATTGAACACAAAGAGCTATTAATGAGATACTCTAGTTTTTATAAAATGCAACCAAAGTAATATTATTAATATCAATAATTATATTAGTTAATTTTATATATCTGCTAACAAAAAAATTTAAAACGTTTTCGATAATAGAAAATATGCAAGAATGTTAGTCATGGGAAGAGCTTTTTTTTCATGAAGCACAGTTTTAATAATGATATTAAATAATGGTAATTTCTTTTTTTTTTTTTTTTGACAGAGTCTAATTCTGTCACCCAGGCTGGAGTGCAGTGGCATGATCTCAGCTCACTGCAACCTCTGCCTCCTGGATTCAAGCAATTCTTCTGCCTCAGCCTCCCAAGTAGCTAGATTATAGGCACCCACCACCACACCCAGCTAATTTTTGTGTTTTTAGTAGAGACGGGGTTTCACTGTATTGGCCAGGCTGGTCTCGAACTCCTGACCTCATGATCCGCCCGCCTCGGCCTCCCAAAGTGCTGGGATTAAAATGTAAGCCACCACACCCAGCCAATAATGAAAATTTCATTTGTGAAAATATTTTTATGATACATCTGAATGTCCAGATTTAAACTATTTTGTGTGTTTGAATTAATGATCACTCCACACTTATTAGCTCATCCATTCAAAACATCTTTTTGAAGATATACAAAAATAAATAGGTTATTGCCCATGCCCTAATGGAACATAGAGTTTAGTAAAATCTAGGATTTTAGCTCTGTCCCTTTTGTGCATTCCTTTTTTTAATGCCATCCTTGAAAACAATTATTGGCCTGAGAAACTCCTTGATTTCAGATGGAAATGTAATATTTGCTAATTTGTTTTACAATGGCACTCATCTGGTTTTAGCTATAATATGTTATTATTTAAATGACTTGTTTAACCACTATTTATGGAATATACACACAGTTATATAAAAGGTGAAAGTACTTTTTCAGGCAAGTAAAACCAAACAAGAATCTCTTGATCAGACTCTATTATTGATCAAACTCATCAGATCACATCCATCAGATCACATCCACCAGATAATTTATTTGATAATACTACTAAGCCATGGAAAGAAAGAAAGCTTTTCTCCTTTTATCCCTTCATTTTAATTAGCTTTTGGTTATCAAAACCACCTTTGCAAAAATTATGAAAGTGAGAGAAATCTGACATAAATACTCCCATCTTGCTTCCAATAGCACAAACTAACTGACTTTGTTAAAGATGATAACAATTCCTTCCTGAAACTAACTCCTTCCTTGCTCAGGGACTGAAACTGCCTTTGTAAGTCTCATCAAAGTCTACAAGGTTAGGATTATGGGAGGGGCCTGAATTCTGCTAAGATGTAGGCACAGTTAAACAAAAACCAGCCATTATTCCATAGCTTGCCTTTCTATAATTGCTTACTGCTTGAGAATCACATAGCCAGGGATCACAGGATTAGTAACTTCCCCAATTTCTCCTATAAATAATGTCACTATTGTCAAACCTATGATTGATCTTTGAGATGTATTTCAGACCTTTGCATTGGTGCAGACTCACCGACACCACCATGACCCATCCAGACCCATGACTCAATCAGTCCTGTGACATCCCCCACGAGAAACTGACACCTGCCAAATTTCCTAAAAAACCATAGCCTCTGAGCTCTCAAGGAGGTGAATTTAAGAAATATTTCCCATCCTCTCGCTTGGCTGCCTTGCAATAATTAAACACTTTCTCTGCCACAACACCGCTGTCTCAGTGCATTGGCTTTATCTGTGCAGTGGGCAAGAAGCACCAGGCTGGGCAATTACATTATTTCTAGGAACTTCTAAGACTGCAGGTTGCAGTAACTGAGTCTAATTAAGTTTTGGTTTAAAGACATAAACATACACAATGATTGTACCAGCAGTAGAGAAAGATTTATTTTGAATACTTTAAAGACTGTATTTCTCTTACAATCTGAAATTTCTTGCAACTTTTAGACAGCTGATTGTTGTGCAAGTTACTCAATCATAATAACACAGTGAATGCATAAAATATATTCTATTCAGTAGTGGGGCATTAGGATTTCAAGATTATGAAATGATTATTAAATTTGCAAAAAAGAATATCCATTTTGAAAATGCTTATTTTTAATAACTACTATGACTTAAAGTTAGTATATGTGTCAGGTACATCTTTTAATCTCTCACTTAATAGCCAGAATGTTATAAGGAGGTTGTTATTAATCTCCATTTACAAATAAGGAGAATGAATGAAAAGGCTAAAGGCATTTGTCTAGGATCTCACAACTAATAAATGACAGTTTCATTCCTCCCATTGAGTTACCAAAGACCTGGTCTTCCTGAGAACAATTTTATTTTCCCACAGTATCCAGGAGACATTGCATAAAGTTAAAACAGTGTAAAAATCTAGAACCTGAAGGAGCAAGAGAATCTCTTGCTTCAAAGCAGATGAGCCTAAATTCAATAACCTGCAAGACCAAAATAATTCATGCCTTTTATCTGGCATCTCCAGTGGCAAGAAAACTCCATTCATTTCTACCCATAACCTCCTGAGATGTGCAATTCAAGCTCGCACTAAAGGCCTTTCCATATAGTTGTTCCCTTTTATTCTTCTCAAATTCTGAAGCTAACTCTCATATGTCCAATTTCCCTTTCATCTGCTAATATAATCTCTGCTAGGGTTTCAACTGTATTGTCTAGTATTAGTTATTATTGGCTCGGGACATGAACTCATTCAGAGATCTAGAAAGTTACAACCAAAATGGCTGATGAAGGCAGGTTTCTCAATCAATTGAGGTTTATTGAACCAGCTTGAGGGTGTGTCTAGGAAAAGCATGAGTCACAGATGCCCTCTGTGGCTGTTTTCTCCAAAGAGCTTCTTAGAAAGTCTAGTATTTATGCATTTTCATTAAAAGGGAAGTGAGACAAATTGTTACATACTAGTGAGACTTTAGTTAGTCCCCAACAAATCTGTATTTTACATACGTGAACATTTGAAGAAAAAGAGAATAGAAGAGGCAGGTGTCTCAGCTAAGGGTGAAGGAACAATTAATCTCATCTTGTCTTTGTTCTGTGCCTGGGAAGATGAGCTGGTAACTGACATTATCAATGTGAAATCTTTTGAAAAGTCTAGCTTCTGTTTCCCCTTAGGGAAGAGACCCTAATGGCAGTTTTTGAGGGAGTGGGTATAATAAGGTGTGTCTGACCTCCATCCTGTCATGGCTGGAAATTCAGCTTCTAAGGCATTTCTGGGGTCCCTGTGGCCAAGAGGGGGTCCAATCAGTCATTTAGGGGCTGAGAATTTTATTATTTCTCAAAAGTCTAGAAACTGGATAAGCTTTAGATGTATCCTCAGTGTCAACCACTGGCACCTGACCCAAAGCAGAATGTGTTAATGAATAAATAAATGAATAAAAGAAAGTGTGTTACGATGACAAGGGAGAGGTTGATATTTGTAAATTTACTCTAAGTTTGCCCTGGCAATCAAGACTAGAAAAATATTTAAGATGTGTGTGTGTGTGTGTGTGTGTGTGTGTGTGTGTGTGTGTGTGTGTAAATATATATATGTTAAATGACAGGGAGGGCCGGGCACAGTGGCTCACTCCTATAATCACAACACTTTAGGAGGTGAAGGTGGGAGGATTGCTTGAGCGCAGGAGTTTGAGACCAGCCATAGGGAGACCCCCATCTCTACCAAAATAATAATAATAACCATGGTGCATGCCTGTGGTCCCAGCTACTTGGGAGGCAAAGGTGAGAGGATCACTTGAGCCCAGGAGGTTGAGGCTGCAGTGAGCCATGATCCCGCCACTGCAGTCCAGCCTGGGCAACAGAGAAAGATCCTGTCTCAAAACAAACAAACAAACAAGTCAGGAAGAAGGGAAACAGCATTTCTATTGCATTGTTGTAACTGCCCAGTGGGTTCACCTTACCCACTGCCTAGACAGAGCTGATTTCTCAAGACGGGAATTGCAATAGAGAACGAGAAATTCACTCAGAGCTGGCTGTGCAGGAGACTGGAGTTTTATCACTACTGAAATCAGTCTCCCTGAGCATTTGAGGATCAGAGTTTTTAAAGACAATTTGGTAGGAAGTGAGGGGCAGTGAGTCGGGGAGTGCTGATTGGTTGGGTCGGAGATGAAATCATGGGGCATCACAGTCTTCTTGCACTGTCAGTTCCTGGGTAGGGGTCACGAGTCAGATGTGCCCGTTTCTCCATCTGGATGGTGCTGGTTGATCCATCAAGTGCAGGGTCTGCAAAACATCTCGAGCACTGATCTTAGGAGCAGTTAAGGGAGGGGCAGACTCTGGTAGCCTCCAGCCGCGTGACTCCTAAACCATAATTTCTAATCTTGTGGCCAATGTTAGGGCCCTAGTCCCCAGGCAAGAAGGAGGTTTGTTTTGGGAAAGGGCTGTTACCGTCTTTTTTTTAAACTATAAACTAAGTTCCTCCCAAAGTTAGCTCAGCCCATGCCCAGGAATGAACAAGGATGGCTTGGAGGTTAGAGGCAAGATGGAGTCATTTAAATTGGACCTATTTCACTGTCTCAGTCGCACTTTTGCAAAGGTGGTTTCACTGTTACTATTCATCTCCTTTTGGTCATCTGCTCAGTGTTCTGCTGGGAGCCCTAAGACAAATAAATCATCTCCAACTCTCTCTCTTTTGCCCACCTATCCCCACAGACGCATACTTCTAGTATTTAGGGAGTGTCTTAGTTTGATCTGGCTGACATAACAAAATACCGTAGGCTGGGTGGCTTAAACAACAGAAATTCATTTCTCAAGTTCTGGAGGCTAGAAGTCCAAGATGAAAGTGCCAGCCAATTTGGTTTCCGATGGGAGCTGTTTTATGGATTGCCACCTTTTCACTGTGTCCTCACACAGCAGAGAGAGTGAGCTCTCTAGGGTCTCTTCCTACAAAGACACTGATCCAATCAAATCAGTGTTCCAGCCTTATAACCTCCTTTAACTTTAATTACGTCCTTATTCCACATACAGCCACATTGGGGGTTAGGGTTTCAACATAAGAATTTTGTGGAGGACACAATTCAGTCCATAGCAGGGAGTCAGTACAAAAATCAGCAAATCACTTCTAACCAGTGATGGCTAGAAAATGCTTAACAACTGGCAGGGGGTAGTAAGGGCATAGTGAGGGCTGGTGCAGATTGCGGAAGATTCCTGCAGGAATAGAAGAGCCTAAAATTTCAGAACTAAATGCCTTTGGGCATTAGGACACATTTGAGACACAGAAGGTACTTTTCCAGTACCTTCCATGTCTTACAAGAAGAACCTGAGATCCAGCAAGAAGTGACTCCTTTAGGTCATAGAATTAGTGGCAGAGCTAGGACTAGAAACCAGATCTCCTCATGCCTTCTCTTTGTTGGTGGTTCCCAAAGGTTGGTCTGTGGATATTTTACATAAGAGTTATCTTTCCATATTGATATGGTTTGGCTGTGTCCCCACCCAAATATCATCTTGAATTATAACTCCCACAAGTCGTGGAAGGGACCTAGTTGGAAGTGATTGAATTATGGGGGTGAGTCTTTCCTGGACTGTTCTCATGATAGTGAATGAGTCTCATGAGATCTGATCATTTTAAAAATGGGAGTTTCTCTGCACAAGCTCTCTTTGCCTGCTGCCATCCATGTAAGAGGTGTTACTCTTTGTTACTCCTTGCCTTCCACCATGATTGTGAGGCTTCCCCAGCCATGTGGAACTGTAAGTCCACTAAATCTTTTTCTCTTGGAAATTGCCCAGTCTTGGGTATGTCTTCATCAACAGCATGAAAACAGACTAACACATACAGCATACTATAAAAGAAGGTAAGTGTGTTTACTTATTTTAACTTATTTAGGACTTCTTCCCCTCGTGAATAACATCAAATTAAAATGCCCCATTCCTTTCACATTGGAGAATAGTCTAATCCACACCATCATGTACCACGCCTGTCATTATTCTTCTAATTAAAACCAGTAGTAGGTCTGAGAGGAAAATCAATTGCCAAGGTGGAAAAAGAATAAAAATATTCTTTTTCTCATAACCATAACTTCCTTTAACTTTAACTCATCTAAAAGTAGGCCCACATCTGGTATTTTGTTGCTGTTGTTGTAGAGATAGGGACTCCCTATGTTGCCCAGGCTGGTCTCAACCTCCTGGCCTGAATCAATTTTTCCTTCCACCTTGGCCTCAAAGAGTGTTGGGATTAAAGGCATTAGCCACTGTCCCCAGCAGGTATGATAGTTTTTAAAACTCTAAGGTAGTTTTTAGGCCTTCACCAGAGAAGATAAGGATCTGTAGGGGAGACAAAATTTTCCCTCTACCATCATAGGGTTTTTGGCTAGGTCTGAGAATTAAACTGACATAAAACTGATTAACAGAAGAAAAGCATACAAATTTATTTAGTAAAAGGTTTGCATGACACAGGGGCAAAGGAAATGAAGACTCAACAAAGCAGTGAGAGTCAAACATTTAATACTGAGTTGGACAAAGGGTAGTAGATTGTAAAAACATGACAAGGCAAAGGGGCTTGGGGCAGGGTAATTAACTGGGTGGTGAAGTCACTGGGAAGATAAGGGTTAGTTAATTGAACAAGGTTTGTTTGCACGGATTTCTCTTGGCTTTGCCTTCCCATCCTTGATAACAATAACCTTACTTTCTTCCTGGTATAGGGATTTCCTCCTGGTGTAGGGAAAGCATCTTCCACATGAGAATTTTATCTCCTGCTCACAGGAAGAAAGAGGGGGGTCACAGTGACCCTCTTGCACCTGCTGCTTTTTCAAGTATCTTTAGCTCAAAATAATTCTTATGCCTAAGAGACATATTTTAGGGTGGTATGTCCTGAACTCCTTTGGACCAGCAAAGGTAGGTATCTAAGTTCCAGACGTTCTCTCATTGCCTTCCCCATCAATTATTTACAGATTAAGAAAGAAACTCATATATTCACTGTTGTTCTCTTTGTTAACATTCCTTCCGGTCAGAAGCACAGCTGCTTATTTAAAAAGACCAGAATCCAGGTGTGGTGGCTCATGCCTGTAATCCCAGCACTTTGGGAGGCCAAGGCAGGTGGATCACAAGGTCAGGAGTTCGAGACCAGCCTGGCCAACATGGTGAAACCCTGTCTCTACTAAAAATACAAAAATTAGCCAGACATGGTGGCGGACATCTGTAATCCCAGCTACTTGGGAGGCTGAGGCAGGAGAATCTCTTGAACCCGGGAGGGAGAGGTTGCAGTGAGCCAAGATAGCACCTCAGCACTCCAGTTACTGAAGTCAGAAGATCTGAATTCAAGATCCGACCTCTGGCCTGGGAAACAGTACATCTCTGCGCCTCCATATCCATCCATAGAGTGAAAATGATATGAACTCCCCTTGTTTTCCAGTACTCAAAAGGACTGATGCATGAGAAAAGGCCTGGTAAACATAGTGCTTCAGTATTTACCAATGTATCTTCCAGGGAGGAAAAGTAATAGTTTAAAATAGACCAGTAGAAAGAACAAGTCAAGACAGTTTTGTTGATAATCTGCTTGCAAAGTATACTAATTTCCAGTTTTGAGAACTGATCATCACAGAGAAGATAAGCAAAATGTGATATATCTGTCTGAGTCTAAGATCAACATTAGACCGATTCATTTTGATTTTGTCATATATAGGCAAATGGTAGTAACCTCCTTAGATGCTTCTGGATTTCCCACAGATCTTAAGAAAATAAGTTTACCAAAAATTGCATTGTTTTTGACAATGGGATTAATTTACTGCTTTCTCCACAATATTATAGTTTTAGATTTTTTTTAAATCACAGAAAATATCTCAAGAAAGAAAAAATGACTTTAAGAATTTTAAAACTCTGAGTAAATATGTATTGAATAGTGCATAAATTTTTTCATGGCAATATCTATGGTTTGCTCAGTCTCACTTTACATTAAAGAATTGAAACCCATGCATTTTCTACTCACAGTCACTAAAATCCTGTGGCTATTTTCAGATAAGCTTTTCCTGGCTTATTCACATTTCTGCACACAGAGTCATAAGGTAACGAACAAGTGTTATTCTTAATTGAAAAGTTGTCTCTCAAAACAGTATTGAATTCAATACTCTCAAAACAGTATTGAATTCAATTGCAATTAAGTATTTCTTGATGGGTAATGATCTTCTTTTTTAAGTTTCAGTGACCCTATTTGTTTCACTAAAGTAGGTTTTCCACTTGGAAGTATTTATCACTTTGGGTGGGGAAACTATTGTGGTAGTGTGTGTATTTTACTGCAGGAAAACACATTTTTCACTTGGAAATTGTTAGCCTTTTTGCAGTAGTAAGCTAAATTTGGGAACACATGGTAAAAATAAAATAAGTTCATTGTGTGCAGCTGGCTAGGTTTATGCATGCTGTATAAGACTTAATCACTGTATATTTTAATGACCTTCCATATTTTGTCTACTGTAGGACCTTAGCACTACAGTGTTTAGCTAAAAGGACATATCCCATATATATATTTGTTGAATGAATATCAAAGCTGATCGGTCTCTGTTAAAAATATTGATATATTCTTTTTACTGGATGTAGAATTGCATAAACCACTGTGGCAAATGGTGTTCAGGCTGCCCCCTCCCCCATTCACATCCTGCTGCCTGTCCTGCGGTTCTGTTTGGTTCTCAGGAAGATGAGTCCTCCGCGGTCCTAGGTGAGTGGGGCTTGAACCCTGGTAGTCATTCTGCTGGTGGAAAGGCTGTGATGCGGCTCCAGCCCATGAGACAGGAGGAGGAAGGAATCCATAGGGGACTGATTCTAAAACTAGGGCATGAGCAGGAATGTGCTCCTCATTGTCCATCCTGCCTCTGGATATTTTCGTGTGAGCACATGATGTCTGAAGCTGCCGCAGTCAACTTGTGACCACAGGGAGGTGGAAGGAGGTGGCTCACATGCTCTGAGAGAGGCGGAGCAGAAAGAATGGGAAATCTTTTCCCTCGATAATGTCTTGAGCCTTTCACTTAATGACCCACAGACTCACCCTCCCTTCCAGACTGCTTGTTGTAGAAGAATTTCCCCCTGACCTTTCGAGCTGGGTGTTCTGTTATTTTCAAGCAGAAGTGTCATCGCTGATAACTGACACAGACCACAATTAGTTGACGGATTTTTGGAGTTGACTGCATGGTTTTTGGAGTTGACTGTCAGAATGCTCAGAGCCAAATTTAATGATAAATCATTACCTTATGCCAGTCCGAGTTCTAACAGAACATCAAACTGACATTAAGTATGTTCTTTTCTTCTTTCCAGAACCCAGTCTAGACAGACATACACCAGGAACCTTTACCATGCAGTAGAAGTAGAAATGGGTGTCTCTCTTCTGTAGCTTGCCAAGTATCCCCTCCAAACCTCGTCAGTCCTTCATGCAGGTAATTGGGCAACTCATGTGCTACTGACAGTCCCAGTCCTAGACAAGAGGAACTGCAGGCCTCTGTCCCCTGAGCGAGGCTTCCTGCTGGGTGCCGACTCCCCAGGCACACAGCTCACAGCACTAGTCCTGACATTTCGATTTATCTTTGTCTGTTTCCAATGGGAATCCTGGCTCACCTAGCATCTGGTGGACACACAGTTTTCACTCTGCAGTTTCACCTCCTTTATCTGGATTGGCTTTCTCTTCTGACCCTGCTTATTGGACCTACCGATGTAGGTGAAGGAGTTTGGGTTTCATCTAAATGGAGTGAAAAGCCACTGGCGGTTTTCAACAGGAGACCCGGCCCAGAGGATCTGCTGATTTCCAGGGCTCTGCATTCCCCAGCCAGCTGCTTCCATCCTTTACCTGACCGGGGCCTCCACGCCTTGGAGGTTCTGAATCCCAGTGACAAGAAGGCCTGGGCAGTCACACCAGGCTCAAATCAAACATTCATGCTAAAGCACACCAGCAGTAGTAACCTGGGCAAAATTATGGAATGCCTTTCACTCACAGTCCCCATTTAGGCCACATGGGGATGAAAAGGAAGTGTAGGCAGAGGAAGGAAACCAAATCACAGAATTCTCAATAAAAAGTGAGTGGGAAAATTAGTTGAAAGGAAAAAACACACCAGCAGTAATCAAAAAAGACATGACTTCCTGATGAAGAGTACAGTTTAATTCATAAGCAAATCCTGGAGAAACTCCTGATCCCAGCTGGGTCATCCAGTTAGTAGCTGCCTCATTAATTTATCCCAATTGCGGAAACTGTATTCTGGGGTAGCTTTGTCTTTCTGCTGCTGTGTGTTTGTGTGTAAGTGACAATAGCCTTTGGGTGGAATTCATAAAACGATGAAGGAGAACTAGGGGGCTGGCTCTCTCTGCCTGAATCAGAGATGAGAGGGTTTTTTGCTGGTGTGAGGGAACCACCTGAATCCTGAGATGTCTCCCCATGGGCTACAGCACATATCCTGCCCGCCCTCTCGACGTTAAAGGAACAATAGTGTAGCACAGTTCACATTTTAAACCATTCTACTTGGCCATCTTAAATAACCCCAACTTGTTAGTTCATGAGAAACAAAACGGAATCTAAGATTTAAAAAAATATATCTCAGGATTCCTGGGCAAGATGGCCAAACAGGAACAGCTGCAATCTGCAGCTCCCAGCGAGATTAACGCAGAAGGCGGGTGATTTCTGCATTTCCAACTGAGGTACCCAGCTCATCTCATTGGGACTGGTTAGACAGTGGGTGCAGTTCACGGAGGGTGAGCAGAAGCAAGGTGGGCTGTCACCTCACCCGGGAAGTGCAGGGGTCAGGGAACTCCCTCCCCTAGCCAAGGGAAGCCATGAAGGACTGAGCCGGGAGAGACAGTGCATTCCGGCCCAGATACTGCACCTTTCCCACGGTCTTCGCAACCCGCAGACCAGGAGATTCCCTCGGGTGCCCTGGGTTTCAAGCACAAAACTGGGTGGCCATTTGGGGAGACACCCAGCTAGTTGCAGGAGTTTTCTTTTTTTTTTTTTTTTCATACACCAGTGGCGCCTGGAATGTCAGCGTGACAGAACCGTTCACCCCCCTGAAAAGGGGGCTAAAGCCAGGGAGCCGAGTGGCCTTGCTCAGTGGATCCCACTCCCACAGAGCCCAACAAGCTAAGATCCACTGGCTTGAAATTCTCACTGCCAGCACAGCCGTCTGAAGTCGACCTGGGACATTCTAGCTAGGTGGGGGAAGGGGCGTCCACCATTACTGAGGCTTGAGTAGGCAGTTTTCCCCTCACAGTGTAAACAAAGCCTCCTGGAAGTTCAGGTTGGGCAGAGCCGACCGCAGGGCCACAAAGCCACTGTAGCCAGACTGCCTCTCTAGATTCCTCCTCTCTGGGCAGGGCATCACTGAAATAAAGGCAGCAGCTCCAGTCAGGGGCTTATAGGTAAAAGTCCCATCTCGCTGGGACAGAGCACTTGGGGGAAGGGGTGGTGTGGGCTCAGCTTCAGCAGACCTAAACGTTCCCACCTGCTGGCTCTGAAGACAGCAGTAGATCTTCCAGCGCAGTGCCTGAGCTCTGCTAAGGGACAGACTGCCTCCTCAAGTAGGTCCCTGACACGTGTGCCTCCTGATGGGGAGACACCTCCCAGCAGGGGTTGACAGACACCTCATACAGGAGCACTCCGGCTAGCATCTGGCAGGTGCCCCTCTGTGACAAAGCTTCCAGAGGAAGTAGCAGGCAGCAATCTTTGCTGTTCTGCAGCCTCTACTGGTGATACCCAGGCAAACAGGGTCTGGAGTGGACCACCTGCAAACTCCAGCAGACCTGCAGAAGAGGGGTCTGTTAGAAGGTAAACTAACAAACAGGAAGCAATAGCATCAACATCAACAAAAAGGATTACCACTCAAAAACTCCATCCAAAAGTCACCAACATCAAAGACCAAAGGCAGACAAATCCACAAAGATGAGGAGAAACAAGCGGAAAAAAGGCTGAAAATTCCAAAAAGCAGAACACCTCTTCTCCTCCAAACGATCACCGTTCCTTGCCAGCAAGGGAACAAAACTGGATGGAGAATGAGTTTGACAAAGTGACAGAAGTAGGCTTCAGAAGGTGGGTAATAACAAACTTCTCCAAGCTAAAGGAGCATGTTCTAACCCAATTCAAGGAAGCTAAGAACTTTGATAAAAGGTTACGGGAAATGCTAACTAGAATAACTAGTTTAAAGAAGAACATAAATGACCTGATGGGGCTGAAAAACACAGCACGAGAACTTTGCGAAGCATATACAAGTATCAATAGCCAAATTGATCAAGCGGAAGAAAGGATATCAGAGATTGAAAATCAACTTAATGAAATAAAGTGTGAAGACAAGATTAGAGAAAAAAGAATGAAAAGGAACGAACAAAGCCTCCAAGAAATATGGGACTATGTGAAGAGACCAAACCTATGTTTGATTGGTGTACCTGAAAGTCATGGGGAGAATGGAATCAAGTTGGAAAACACTCTTCAGGATATTACCCAGGAGAACTTCCCCAACCTAGCAAGACAGGCCAGCATTCCAATTCAGGAAATACAGAGAACACCACAAAGATACTCCTTGAGAAGAACAACCCCAAGACACACAATCATCAGATTTACCAAGGTTAAAATGAAGGAAAAATTGTTAAGGGCAGCCAGAGAGAAAGGTTGGGTTACCCACAAAGGGAAGCCCATCAGACTAACAGTGGATTCTCTGCAGAAACCCTACAAGCCAGAAGAGAATGGGGACCAACATCCAACATTGTTAAAGAAAAGAATTTTCAACTCAGAATTTCATATCCAGCCAAACTAAGCTTCATAACTGAAGGAAAAATAAAACCCTTTACAGACAAGTAAATGCTGAGGGATTTTGTCACCACCAGGCCTGCCATACAAGAACTCCTGAAGGAAGCACTAAATATGGAAAGGAGAAACTGGTACCAGCCACTGCAAAAACATACCAAAAAGTAAAGACCATCGACACTATGAAAAAACTGCATCAACTGATGGGTAAAATAACCAGCTAGCATCATAATGACAGGATCAAATTCACACATAACAATATTAGCCTTAAATGTAAATGGGCAAATGCCCCAGTTAAAAGACACAGACTGGCAAATAGGATAAAGAGTCAAGACCTATTGGTGTGCTGTATTCAGGAGACCCATCTCAAGTGCAAAGACACACATAGGCTCAAAATAAAGAGATGGAGGAAGATTTACCAATCAAATGGAAAGCAAAAAAAGGCAGGGGTTGCAATCTTAGTCTCTGATAAAACCAACTTTAAACCAACAAAGATCAAAAAATAACAAAGAAGGGCATTACATAATGATAAAAGGATCAATGCAACAAGAAGAGCTAACTATCCTAAATATATATGCCCCCAATACAGGAACACCCAGATTCATAAAGCAAGCTCTTAGAGACCTACAAAGAGACTTAGACTCCCACACAATAACAGTGGGAGACTTTAACACCCCACTGTCGATATTAGATCAACGAGACAGAAAATTAACAAGGATATTCAGGACTTGAGCTCAGCTCTGGACCAAACAGACCTAATAGGCATCTACAGAACTCTCCACCCCAAATCAACAGAATATACATTCTTCTCAGCACCTCATTGCACCTATTCTAAAACTGACCACATAATTGGAAGTGAAACACTCCTCAGCAAATGCAAAAGAATGGAAATCATAAGAAGCAGTCTCTCAGACCACAGTGCAATCAAATTAGAACTCAGGATTAAGAAACTCAGTCAAAACTGCACAACTACATGGAAACTGAATAACCTGCTCCTGAATGACTACTGGGTAAATAATGAAATTAAGGCAGAAATAAATAAGTTCTTTGAAACCAATGAGAACAAAGACATAACGTACCAGAATCTCTGGGACACGGCTAAAGCAGTGTTTGGAGGGAAATTTATCTCACTAAATGCCCACAGGAGAAAGCAGGAAAGATCTAAAATCGACACCCTAACATCACAATTAAAAGAACTAGAGAAGCAAGAGCAAACACATTCAAAAACTAGCAGAAGACAAGAAATAACTAAGATCAGAGCAGAACTGAAGGAGATAGAGACACAAAAACCCCTTCAAAAAAAATCAATGAATCCAGGAGCTGGTTTTTTGGAAAGATTAACAAAATAGATAGACTGCTAACCAGACCAATAAAGAAGAAAAGAGAGAAGAATCAAATAGATGAAATAAAAAATGATAAAGGGGAGATCACCACTGATCCCACAGAAATACAAACTATCATCAGAGAATACTATAAACACCTCTACAAAAATCTAGAAGAAATGGACACATTCCTGGACACATACACCCTCCCAATTGAGGGTGGGTGTTCCTCAATACACAATTGAGGAACATTGATGCGAAAATCCTCAATAAAATACTGGCAAACCAAATCCAGCAGCACAGTAAAAAGCTTATCCACCGTGATCAAGTTGACTTCATCCCTGAAATACAAGGCTGGTTCAACATACGCAAATCAATAAATGTAATCCATCACATAAACAGAATCAATGACAAAAACCACGTGATTATCTCAATAGATGCAGAAAAGGCCTTCGACAAAATTCAACACCCCTTCATTCTAAAAACTTTCAATAAACCAAGTATTGATGGAGCGTATCTCAAAATTATAAGAGCTATTTATGACAAACCCACAGACAATATCATACTGAATGGGCAAAAACTGGAAGCATTCCCTTTGAAAACCAGCCCAAGACAAGGATGCCCTCTCTCACCACTCCTATTCAACATAGAATTGGAAGGGCAATCAGGCAAGATAAGAAATAAAGTGTGTTCAAATAGGAAGAGAGGAAGTCAAATTATCCCTGTTTGTAGATGACATGATTGTATATTTAGAAAACCCCATCATCTCAGCCCCAAAACGTAAGCTGACAAGCACCTTCAGCAAAGTCTCAGGATACAAAATCAATGTGCAAAAATCACAAGCATTCCTATACACAAATACACAGAGAGCCAAATCATGAGTGAACTCCCATTCACAATTGCTATGAAGAGAATAAAATACCTAGGAATCCAGCTTACAAGGGATGTGAAGGACCTCTTCAAGGAGAACTACAAACCACTGCTTAAAGAAATAAGAGAGGACACAAGCAAATGGAAAAACATTCCATGTTCATGGATAGGAAGAATCAATATCATGAAAATGGTCATACTGCCCAAAGTAATTTTTAGATTAAATGCTATTCCCATAAAGCTACCATTGACTTTCTTCACAGAATTAGAAAAAACTACTTTAAATTTCATATGGAACCAAAAAAGAGCCCGTATAGCCAAGACAATCCTAAGCAAAAATATAGAAGCTGGAGGCATCATGCTACCTGACTTCAAACTATACTACAAGGCTATAGTATCCAAAACAGCTTGGTACTGGTACCAAAACAGATATATAGACCAATGGAACAGAACAGAGGGCTCAGAAATAACACCACACATCTACAACCATCTGATCTTTGACAAACCTGACAAAAACAAGCAATGGGGAAAGGATTCCCTATTTAATAAATGGTGTTGGGAAAACTGGCTAGCCATATGCAGAAAACTAAAACTGGACCCCTTCCTTACACCTTATACAAAAATTAAGTCAAGATGAATTAAAGATTTAAATGTAAGACATAAAACCATAAAAACCCTAGAAGAAAACCTGGGCAATACCATTCAGGATATAGGCATGGACAAAGACTTCATTACTAAAACACCAAAAGCAATGGCAACAAAAGCCAAAAATGAAAAATGGGATCTAACTAAACTAAAGAGCTTCTGCACAGCAAAAGAAACTATCATCAGGGTGAACAGGCAACCTACAGAATGGGAGAAAATGTTTGCAATCTATCCTTCTGACAAAGGGCTAATATCCAGAATCTACAAGGAACTTAAACAAATTTACAAGAAAAAAACAACCCCATCAAAAGGTGGGCAAAGGATATGAACAGACACTTTTCAAAGGAAGACTTTCATCATCACTGGTCATTAGAGAAATGCAAATCAAAACCACAGTGAGATACCATCTCACGTCAGTTAGAATGTCAATCATTAAAAAGTCAGGATACAGGCCGGGCACTGGAGCCCAGGAGTTCAAGACCAGCGTGGGAAACACAGGGAGACCCTGTCTCTATTAAAAGTTACCTAAGTGTGGTGGCTTAGCTAATCTGTAGTCCAAGCTACTTGGAAGGCTGAGGCAAAAGGATGGATTGAGCTCAGGAGGTCGAGGTGGTCAAGGCTGCAGTGAGCTGTGATCATGCCACTGCACTCCAGCCTGGTGACAGAGTGAGATCCTGTCACAAAAAAGCAGCCGGGTATGGTGGCTCATGTCTGTAATCCCAGCACTTTGGGAGGCTGAGGCAGGTGGGTCACGAGGTCAGGAGTTTGAGACCAGCCTGGTCAACGTGGCGAAACCCCATCTCTACTAAAAATATAAAAGTTAGCTGGATGTGGTGGCGGACACCTGTAATTCCAGCTACTCGGGAGGCTGAGGCAGGAGAATCACTTGAAACCAGAAGGCGGAGGTTGCAGTGAGCTGAGATCACACCACTGCACTCCAGCAACACTTTTACACTGTTGGTGGGAGTGTAAATTAGTTCAATCATTGTGGAAGACAGTGTGGCAATTCTTCAAGGATCTAGAACTAGAAATACTATTTGACCCAGCAATCCAATTACTGAGTATATACCCAAAGGATTATAAATCATTCCACTATAAAGACACATGCACACGTATTTTTACTGCAGCACTATTCACAATAGCAAAGTCTTGGAACCAGTGCAAATGCCCATCAAGGATAGACTGGATAAAGAAAATGTGGCACATATACACCATGGAATACTATGCAGCCATAAAAAAGAATGAGTTCATGTCCTTTGCAGGGACATAGATGAAGCTGGAAACCATCATTCTCAGCAAACTAACACAGGAACAGAAAACCAAACACTGCATGTTCTCACTCATAAGCGGGAGTTGAACAATGAGAACATATGGGCACAGGGAGGGGAACATCACACACTGGGGCCTGTCGGGGGGTGGAGGGCAAAGGGAGGCATAGCATTAGGAGAAATACCTAATGTAGATGATGGGTTAATGGGTGAGACAAACCACCATGGCACATGTATACCTATGTAAGAAACCTGCATAGTCTGCACATGTATCCCAGAACTTAAGTATAATTAAAAAAAAAGAAGAAAAAAAATCTCTTTGAAGGGCATGTTCAGTAAATAAATGAAGGTATTTGGCAACGTACAACTCCTATTTGAATATTTATAGCCATGCTAGCCATTTTCAACAACTACTCTTTCATTAGAATAAACAAGAAATTATTGTTTATTCACCATTGCTTTACCAATTGCTTAAACAACAAGCGCATCATTTGCTCAGTGGTAAGATTGTACAAGGAGGAAAAAGTGACAGAGCGTGCTGCATACTTTTCAGAGGCGTGCCTTTGTTGTTGAAATGTTGCTAGGGCGTGGCAGGACCCACAGTTGGAGTGAAAGCAAAGGCTTAGAAAAACTCAAGTATCCGAGGGCACCCCATTCACCGACAATGGAAAAACTCACAAATTAGTGTGATGCTTACGCTGATATTCAGACTGGAGCCAGGCACAAACAACAAAAAATAGTCGTATTAAAAGTTTCAGGGTAATTCTTTCTGAAAGGTCTTTTTTTCTCTATTTAACAATGATACATTGCTTTATACAGATTTGCAGAGCACTACAATACAAAACAAAACATTGGCGGGGCTTAAAGGAGCATGGAATTCCAAATAATGCAATTACTTGAATTTGTAGAAAGACTGATAATTAGCAGTGAACAGCAACAAACGACATCGTTCGCTATTTGGACAAGCAGGAAAATGTAATGGAATCTGGCTCATGATTGTAAGAGGAACTGCCCTATTTACCTTTCCCATAGCCAGAAACAAAAGATCCACACACGATTTAAAACTGTGGTTACAAATAAAATAGTTGATGCTTTAGTTGTTTGTTTACTCAAAACTATTTTTTCTCAAAATTTAACTACAAGGGTACATAAGGCCATGATCTACAACATAATATTCCCTCCCCTTTGCCCTAGCAAAGAATTTAAAAAAAAAAAAGAAAGAAAGAAAAGAAAAAGAAAAGACTATCGCATGAATTTCTGACAACGTTTTGAGGGAAAAAAGTGACTTTTTTTCAGTAGCAATGGAATGTTTTTTTAGTGGGTGGAAACAGTAACAGCAGACACTTCGAAACATAATACTACTCTTTTATTTAATGGAAAAAATACTTTCAAACATATTGCAGTTTATAAAAATATCTGTGTACAGAAAAGTGAAATGTATTACTAGTTTTCAGAATTATAAAAATCGGACAAAAACTCAAGAAAATTTACTTACATGAACAATAGAAGATTTGTTTTGAGATCTAATATAAATAAATATTTTTAAATAGTCATTGTGTTGAGGTGGTTAGGTAATTAGTGCTTTGCTTTTACAAACAAATTCTGTAATGTATGTGTGTGTATGAAAAAGAAACAATATAGATCAGTATTTTTTCATATGGCTATTTTAAGTATGGGGGTACATTTAAGACAATATCATTTATTTAACTTAAAGCCATATTGCACCATATGTAGTCCTACTTGTTTGGATTCACAGGTAAAGTATTGATATAATTATCAATATCTATTGGATGTCCACAGTACTCTATAAAACAAATACTCAGGATGGGCACAGTGGCTTATGCCTGTAATCCCAGCACTTTGGGAGGCTGAGGCGGAAGGATCACTTGAGCCCAAGAATTCAAGACCAGCCTGTCTCTACTAAAAATTAAAAAATAAACTGGGTGTGGTAGCATGTACTTGTATTCCCAGCTACTGTGGAGGTTGAGGCAGGAGGATCGCTTGGGCCAGGGTGTTCGAGGGTGCAGTGAGCTGTGATCCAGCCACTGTCCTTGAAGTTGGGTGACAGAGGGAGACCCTATGTCAAACAAACAAGCAACAACAAAAACTGAGACATTTTTGTACCAAAAATGCATTAAATGAAAAACAATCCAAGCTGACCATTTTCTTTGTGCACCACCCATGTTCCCACAACCTCATACAGGAAGACTTCTGTAGAATTCCTATCATTTGGCCATTCAGTCTTCGCTATCATTTTAATTCCAATATTCTGCTGAGAGAGGAACACAGAAATAGACAGTAGCCAGTGATTCCAAGTCTAGCTGAGCATCAGAATTACACCGGGAGCTGTTTGTGAGAAACATTATAAAGTTATATACGGTCATTCAGGGGAAGAGTAGAGAATTGTAAAAATTAAAAATTAGAAGTTCTTTGTTTCTTTCTTTTACCCCACAACCATTTCCTAGAGTTAAATCCTGTTAACAATTGAATGTACAGTTATGCATTACATAACCACATTTTGGTGAGCAATGGATGTAGTACAGGGTGTCCCATAAGATTATAATGGGGCTGAAAAATTCCTGTAGCCTAATGATGTCATAGCTGTCCTAATGTCATAGTGCAATGCATTAATCATGTTTGTGGTGACGCTGGTGTAAACCTACTGTGCTGCCGGTTGTACAAAAGCATAACATGTACAATTATGAATAGTACATAATACTTGATAATGACAATAAAGGACCATTACTTGTTTATGTATTTACTATACTTTTTTTTTATTATTGTTTTAGAGTGTACTCCTTCGGATAGGGACAGGCAGCAGAGAAATTCTAGGCAGAAAAAGGTGAGTCCCTGGCAAAGTCCCATACTCAAGCCAAAAAGCCTAAGACCACAGCCCAAGGTAAAAACTTACATCCCTGTTTCTGCTCAAATGTTGCCTTTTCCTAAACTACCCGTGGCCCACCCCGCCTCCCACCCCACACTCAACCGACAGAGAGAGGAGAAGCAGCTGGACATCGGACTGGGCCCCTTTGGATTGGTTGCTGTTATTCTCCTCCTGTTTTGGAAACACCCATTTCTAAGTTCAGTTTGATTACCTGGCACTTGGCACAAGTGACCCATTCTGGTTTGGTCTGGTCCGTCGGGGTCTAGTGCAGGAGCTCAGTCTAAAACAATAGCCTCCCATAAACTTGATTTCACAAAGCATATAGGAGGCATGTGGAACTGGAATGCACGCACACTATTTTAAATTATGTGAATCATATTATGCATATACTGTTCTGCAACTTTTTTTGGAACATTTGTTTTCTCACTTAATCTGTGGCAAAGACTTGGTGGTTTATTCATTGAATACACTGAACCAGAGGGGCTCTGGACAAGAGATTTCTGGCATAGCCAAAAGCTTATCAGGCAGGTTCTTGGCAGGAAACAGATGGCACACTTTTCTTAAACTGCAACGAGGGAGAAAACTGGAAGTCTTCATCATGGCAAGTGTGTCCCAGTTTCACTCCCAAACACACAGACAGCCACGTATTCATTCCTTTCTAAGGAAACTGACCACCCAAGAAAGAAAAAGCAAATGTAAAGATAGACCTTGTCACAATATCCCCACATGATACTCACAATACAAAAAAAACGCTGCCTGAACACACACAGCTTCCAAATTAGTCTTTCAGAGCCTCATTTTAAAATAGAAACAGACCATGCGGGATCACTGAACATTTGAAGAAACCCAGACATGAAAGAACAAAACAAAGAAACTCACAGGGACAGAGAAAGCTCAGGAAGCAGGAGGAAATATACATATATAGATAGATATTCTTAAAGTTATGAAAAAAAAAAATTTCCTCCATGAAACAACTGATCTTAAAAAAATAGGAGCATTCAGATAACTAAAACTACTCTGGGAAATTAATATTATGATAGCAAAAATAAAACATGCAATAGAAGGATTGGAAGATAAAGTTGGGGACAGCTCTCAAATAATAAGGTTAAAAAGCAAAGAGATGCAAAATAGGAAAAAAAAAGGATACAAAAATAAAGTCAGAAAAGAGATAAAAATTTCCTTGGTAGGAGTTTCAGAAACAAGGAACAGAGAAAATTGAAAGAGAAATATCAAAGACATAATGTAAGAATATCTCTCCAAACTGAAAGGTAAGAATTTTCAGAGCAAAATTTCCTGTTGAGGGCACAGCACAATGAATGGGAAAAGACAAGTATCAAAGAATATCTTTATAACATTTCAAAATAACACAGATACAAAAGAAGACTCTAAATGTTTCTACAAGGAAAAAATAGGTCATATGTTTCCAGAAGGAGAATTCAAATACCTTGAAGACAATGGGGCAAAGCTTTCATGCTTTTGAGGGCAAATTATTTCCATTCTAGAAATATAAACCTAGTCTGAAATTCAATTAGAAATGAAAAGGAGCTAAATGCACTCTTCCCCAGGAGTTCTCTAGGCTTTCACTGCAACCTCACCTGGAGTTGCAAAACCCTGTGTGATTTAGGCTCTGCTTGATGCACTGAGAAGGATGGCAGAAATCTTATCTCAGAAGGCCCTGTGAGCTGTCTAGAGATCAACACCAACTTTGCAAGTCTGAAGTTCATAGATGTTACCTTACATTTTTGAGATGAGAATATTTATACATGCCCAGCTTTCTATTTCTGTGTTCTCCTGATGCTTCAATAGTAAGTCAACATTGCTGTTTAAATATAAACTCATTAGACTAGACCAAGCCCCAGAGGAGACGGGGAGATGTGGCAAGGGGACAGTGCTCCTTCACAGGAACCCAGCACGGAGTCTCACCCACTCAAAAAACGCCTATTGGGCCAGGCATGGTGGCTCACACTTGTAATCCCAGCACTTTGGGAGGCCAAGGCAGGTGGATCACTTGAAGCCAGGAGTTCGAGACCAGGCTGGCCAACGTGGTAAAACCTCGTCTCTACTAAGAATACAAAAATTAGCCGGGCATAGGGGTGCATGCCTGTAATCCCAGCTGCTTGGGAGGCTGAAGCACAAGAATCACTTGAACCTGGGAGGCAGAGGTTGCAGTGAGCTGAGATCGCGCCACCGCACTCCAGTCTGGGCGACAGAATGAGATTCTGTCTCAAAAAAGAAAAAGAAAAGGAAAAAAAAGTCTATTGACTGGCCAAGTTAATAACATATTCAAAAGACTTCTACTCGGGAGGCTGAGGCAGGACAATCGCTTGAACCCGGGAGGTGCAGGTTGCAGTGAGCCGAGATCGTGCCACTGCACTCCAGCCTGGCAACAGAACGAGACTCCATCTCAAAAAAATAAAAATAAAAAAAAAAAGACTTCAGCTTGGTAAGGGCTGTGAAGCGAGCACAAGCTAGATTCTCTAAATTTGCTCTAAAATTCTGATTTAATAATGTATATTTGTCTTATCTTTTCTAGTCTGAGAATCATTCTAAATGATAGGGAAAACATGTACAAACTTCAGTGGATTTTTTTAAAGGAGGGTTTTCTGATATCTTGTCCTATGCTATTTAAAATTCTTCCTTCTTGTATCTCTCTTTTTTGGGGTTTGTTTTTTTTTTTGGCTTTTGTTTTGTTTGAGACAGAGTCTCTCTCTGTCGCCCATGCTGGAATGCAGTGGCATGATCTTGGCTCACTGTAACCTCCACCGGGACCACAGGCATGTGCCAACACACCGGCTAATTTTTGTTTTCTTTTGTAGAGATGAGATTTTGCCATGTTGCCCAGGCTGGTCTCGAACTCCTGGGCTGAAGTGATCCACCTGCTTCAGCCTCCCAAAGTGCTGGGATTACAGGCATGAGCCTCATGCCTGGACTTGCTTCTTGTATCTCTAAAAATGTTTTTTTATTTTGCTTTGTTTTCAGACTTATTGCAATTTAGCACATTCTGAATATTGGCCTTTCTAACAATATTTTTACAGGCCTGGGCTATCCTTCTAAATCTATTTTTGATTAGGCTTCCTTTTTTTTTTTCTTTGTTCTATATTCATGCTTTTAAAATGTGAGCTCACTGAAAACACATTCACAGTTTGGGGGACTTCTGGCTATTCTCTTATCAGAATCACTAATGATTATATTGATGTAATTTTGGCTTCTGAGAGGTTCCCATTCACTGTATTTGTCAGCAGACGTAGAAACAAAGAAATGGTTAATAGCGCTCTGCAGACTCTCTGTAACCTCATGCAGGCTGTAGGATGTAGCAAACCTCCTGATGGCTGGTGACAAGGGCACGTAATTGACCTCCAGAACAACTTTTTTAAAAAATTATATTTATTTATTGAGACAGGGTCTCACTCTGTTGCCCAGGGTGGAGTGCAGTGGCATGATCTCAGCTCACTGCAACTTTCGCCTCCCCAGGTCAAGCGATTCTCATGCCTCGGCCTCCTGAGTAGCTGGGATTACAGGCGTGCACCACCACGCCTAGCTAATTTTTGTATTTTTAGTAGAGACTGGGTTTCACCATGTTGACTAGGCTGGTCTTGAACTCCTGACCTCAACTGATTCACTGCCTCAGCCCCCAAAGTGCTGGGATTACAGGCGTGAGTCACCGAACCCAGCCCAGAACAGTTTCTATTTTTTCTGTTTTTTTCTATGCATCATAGCCTGCTGCTTCCCAGAAGTTTAGGATCTACCCTTTGTGGCAGTGGTTCACAACCCTGCCTGCACATTTTAATCACCCAGGCAGCTTTTAAACTATACTAGTGCTTGGGCCTCACCTCAGGCTAATAAAATCGGTATCTCTGAGGGCTGTGGCTGTACTAGAATGCCAGACAGACCATCATCCTGATGGCTTTGTGACTGAAAGAACAGCACCCTAGGAAACGGGCGTTATTTGTTGTAACTTTAGTTCTGCTGCGTATGAACCATGCAACCGTAGACAAGTTCCTTACTTAATAGAGTGGAATGGTTAATAATATGATTCCCAGAATCCAGTAAGCCCGGTGTGCATCCTGGCTCTGCCACTTACAAGCTGCGTGACCTTGGGCACGTGATTTAACCTCTTCCAAACTGTGAGCGTTAATAACATTGTCTACTCATTAAAGTTTTGAAAGGATTCAATGGGATAATGTATGTAAAGTACTACAGTGACTGAGTAAATACTAAATGTTAAAAATGTCTTAACAATTGTTGCTCATTTACTTTATTTTCACATGGAAGTGAGAATAATAATAAAACCTACCTCATAGGGTGGTTCCAAAAATTAAAGGAAATGAAAGATTCCCAACATTATACGTAGCCCATAGTAAACACTCAAAAGGCTGCAGTTGTGATTACTCATGAGCATATGAAAAGCAGCAAAATGCGGCCGGGCGCGGTGGTTCACGTCTGTAATCCCAGCACTTTCGGAGGCCGAGGCGGGCGGATCAGCAGGTCAGGAGATCGAGACCATCCTAGCTAACATGGTGAAACCCTGTCTCTACTAAAAATACAAAAAAATTAGCTGGGCGTTGTGGCGGGCGCCTGTAGTCCCAGCTACGCGGGAGGCTGAGGCAGGAAAATGGCTTGAACCCAGGAGGCGGAGGTTGCAGTGAGCCGAGATTCTTCCACTGCACTCCAGCCTGGGCGAGAGAGCAAAACTCCGTCTAAAAAATAAAAAAATTAAAAAGAAAAGCAGCACAACAATACCCGTCTGGTCTACAGCACCGTGGTGTTGTGATGTTACAGGCGGTGAATCCATACCGGTCTGCAGCAACCTCCGTCCTTGACTTCTCGGAAGGAAGAATTCTACTGAGGGGCATATAGCAGGAGAGATCTAGGCAAGTTTCAGAGCAGGAGTGAAAGTTTATTAAAAAACTTGAGAGCAGGCCGGGCGCGGTGGCTCACGCCTGTAATCCCAGCACTATGGGAGGCCGAGGCGGGCGGATCACGAGATCAGGAGATCGAGACCATCCTGGCTAACACGGTGAAACCCTGTCCCTACTAAAAATACAAAAAATTAGCCGGGCGTGGCGGCGGGCGCCTGTAGTCCCAGCTGCTTGGGAGGCTGAGGCGGGAGAATGGCGTGAACCCGGGAGGCGGAGCTTGCAGTGAGCCGAGATCGCGCCACTGCACTCCAGCCTGGGCGACAGAGCAAGACTCCGTTTCAAAACAAACAAACAAAAAAACTTGAGAGCAGGAGCAAAAGGAAGTAACGTACACTTGGAAGAGGGCCAAGCAGGCGGCTTGAGAGAATGTATGCAGTTGGACCTTTGACTTGGGGTTGATACGTTGGAGTACTTCAGGGGGTCGCATCCCTTCTGCCCTGATTCTTCCCTTGGGGTGGGCTGTCCGCATGCGCAGTGAGCTGCCAGCCCTTGGGAGGGGCCACACGCGGAGTGTGTTTACCGCAGCTTTGCACATGCTCTCTTGAGGCGTTCTTCTCTTACCAAATGTTCCTACAGGAAGATCATATACAAATTAAACTCTGCCATTTTTCTCGTACTGTTCATGCTTGAGCCCACTCTCCCAACTCCTGAGATCTTATTGGGAAGCGGCTGATCAGGATTTTTCTATCTATTGGGAGATTGCCTTTCCCTGGCGCTGGCTGGGACCAATTATTATTCTAGAAAGACAGTTTAATAACCTCCTGAGCATCTCCTGATGGTTGCCTGACACCCCTGGTGGTGAGGGGCTGTCTCCTGGCCTGTTCATGTCTGCCTCACTACCTACTCTAAGAGTAATACTCAAATTAATTCTTGGAAGTGAAAAGCACTGCTGATAAAAAAAAGACTAACACTCTGTAAATGTAAGGTATGTGTGTACGTATATAATTGATTTATAATACAGATGTAGAAATGTATTGTGAGTTTCAATTTGCCAATCCCTTTCTATGGTAGGTTGAATAATGTTTCCCTAAAGGTTCACATCCTAATTCCCAGAACCTGAGTGTATGTCACTTTATATAGTAAAGGAAACTTTTCAGGTGTGGTAAAGGAAACTTTTCAGGTGTGGTAAAGGAGACGGTGAGATTATTCTGGATTATCTGGGTGAATCCAATATAATCACAGGGGTCACTGTAAGAAGAAGACAGAGTGATCGGAGTAAGTAGTAGGAGATGTAATGATGGAGCACAAAGTTGAATTGGAATAAGGAAGGGGCTTTGAGCCAAGGAATACAAATGGCCTCTACAAGGTGAAAAAGGCAAACAAATGAATTCTCCCTGAAACCTCCAGAAAGAACCAGCCCTGCCAACACTTTGATTTTAGCCCCAAAAGAATCATTTAAGGCTTCTGACATCTAGAACTACAAGAGAATAAATTTGTGTTCTTTTAAGCCACTAAGTTTGTGTACTTTGTTACAAACAGCAATAGGAAATGAATATATTTCCCTTGAAGTCAAGGAAAATGAAAAGTAAAAATCAAGATGGTTGACCTGCTGACTGCTTTGGGGCACAATATGTTCATGACCTTTATTTACTGGTATTTATTTTTTTTCTGAAGTAGAGACATAAATTGATTGAATGGATTTTTAGTTTTTAATTCTTCCAAGAAAGAAAGGAGTTGCAAATTAATTGAATATTTGTTGAAGACTTAGTCTATGCAAAATTGTGTGTACATACTATCTGGTAGAAATAAAATTGGATAGCAAATATTACACATTTTTATACAATGGGAATTTGAATGGATATAACCTGATTATCTCAACACAATGTCAAAAATACAAATCCATATTGTTTCCTGGTACCTACCAATATAGTTATTTAAGAGTACCAAAATCCTCAAAAACATATTTTTAAAAATGATTCATTGTAATAAAGGAGATCTTTGTTGATAGTAGGGAATTATGTGGTTGTTTTGACTTTGTTACTATGTAGGTATGGTTGCCAGATTTAGTACATAAAAACACAGAGCACACAGTTAAATATGAATTTCAAAAAAACAACAAATAATTTTATAAGTATGCATATAATATTTGTAGAATATTTATACTGAGGAAAAATAATTGTTTATCTGAAATTCAAATTTAATGGGGCCTCCTATATTTTATCTGGCAACCCTAGTTGTATAGCTATTGGTAAAACCAGTATGTTAACATTTATGAAAATCACATCAGAAGAGAGAACTGTAAAATAAAGATCACTTTAATCCTACTAAACATAAGCTTCTGCTGAACCAGAAATGACCATTTATATGATCAGATACCACTGTACATTTGGTCAATTAAACTGCAAATTGAGGCTATTTTTCCTGATGAACATACTTCAGAGATGGATGAAACTCATGAATAATGGATTAATGGTGAAAAATGATATATGGGTTTTAATGACACTGTTACATAAGTAAATCAGTGAAATTTGAAGCAGGAAAAAGAATTAATGGTTGTATAATTATAAGATGCTCCATGGATTATGAAACAGCACGACATCTCCTTAGGGGAATTTGGCCCACAGGGTCATTTCTAGGAAGTATTGGGGCACACATAACCATATTATATGCTTCCTTCTCTTCCTAACCGTCCATTTTATACAGCTGAAATCTAGTTAAATAAATTTCCAAGGCTGTCTGGGGAAAAAAGAAAGGTCACAAAAAGGTAAAGGAAGAATAGCCTCCTCATTTGCTTTAGAAATTTGGGGGAGAGAGTGTAGAGTGAGGGTATTGTTGTCCAATGTAGCAATAACCAACAGGGAGAGGAAGAGAAAAAAATTTGAATAAACCCCTTTATTTTCTCTTGCATTTCTCCTGCAACGAGCCCCTCTAAGACAAATGACTGATGCCATCTATGGTCTAGAGATGGCTTCAAACATGAAATCAAGAAACTGTAAAGTATGACCAGCTGTAGTTTTTACCAGATGTCAGAGTTCCAGTAGTTACAGATTTTAGGGAGCAAGAGACCAGTCAATTGGTAATTTGCAAATAATAGATATATCTTGACCATCAACAATGTTCAAAAGAATTATTCCAAGATGTTTCCAAGCATCAGTTCATAAAATGCACTTGTTTTCGTGTGCTTTTTGATGTTCTCTCCTAACCTTCTCCCCCTTCACCCTCAGCACCCTGGACACAGCAAGCACATGTCAGGCCCAAGTCATAGCCCTTTCTCTGGAGAGTGCCTTTTTAAAAGCCAGCCATGCTTCCTACTACTTTCCAATTCACCATCACCAGTACTGAGAACCTAGAGCTAGTCCTCATTTGCATTTTTTAAAATTATTCTTCTCCATAAAAATATAATTTTGCTCAGGTCTGTGGCTCTATGAAACAGATGTCAAGTGAATTAAATGAAAGTTTTGCTCTTAATAAATACATTTGAATGTAATAAACTGTCTTATAATTTTGATATATTGGTCATCAATTTTCAAGTTTGAGAGATAACCATACTTAAATTGTCTCAGATTGATGAAAATAAAATATGCTTTTCATTCACAGAGGAAACATAAAAGATTAATGATTTGAAGGAAAGCTAAAGCATAGAAAAAGCAAAACCCTACAAGTGGTTAAGAGTTAAACAAAACTATGAATGACCGCAGTGTGATTACAGTTTATCATACTTAGTTCTAAAGCTAAAAATGAATGTAAAATTATATAATAGATGCCACGTTATTGATATTTTTCCTTAATGAGGTAGTCTTTTTTTACTATCAAAAATAATCTTGTATTAAAAGCTTGAAATTGTTTTACTTAAACTTCTATGAGAGTAGTTTCTTTGACGTAATCATTTGAGAGGAGGGTGTCTAAGGAGCAAAGAAGTAAGGGTAAGGTTAATATATTATTACTCAAGAAAAGACCAGAAGCCGTAAAGACTTCCCAATGTGTCTCTTAGAACTAATATTTTATACAAACATATTTATAGATATTGTGCTTGTTTTACTTTAACAAGTTCTATGAAAAAGTATTTGCTCAGCCGGGCGTGGTGGCTCATGCCTGTAATCCCAGCACTTTGGGAGGCCGAGGTGGGTGGATCACGAGGTCAGGAGTTCGAGACCAGCCTGGCCAACATGGTGAAACCCTGTCTCTACTAAAAATACAAAAATTAGCCAGGCGTCATGGTGCACACCTGTAATCCCAAGCTACTTGGGAGGCTGAGGCAGGAGAATTGCTTGAACCCAGGAGGTGAAGGTTGCAGTGAGCCAAGATCACGCCACTGCACTCCAGCCTGGGCAATAGAGCGAGACTTCATCTCAAAAAATAATAATAATAACATTAAAAAATTTAAAAAGTATTTGCTCACTTTTTCACAGCAATGCTGTGGTTCCTCAGAATACCCTTCTCACCGTTATAAGTCATTTTATCATCTTAGGCTACACATAAATAAATCATTTCTTTGCTTCATTGCCTTCTATTACAATTCCCTGAAGTTCATTATCCAATGGAGTGCTGCTACATTTTTTAATACCAGGCATTTTAATGTTGAGTTGTCAGCAATTAGTCTATTTTTTTTCCAGTTAACAAATCTGGATATATATCTCATACAAAATTTACACAGATATTTCAAGTAGGAGTAGACCACAAAAATTACATTTAACCTGAAAATATCATTTTACTAATATCCCTTTCCCAACACTCTCATTCACTTTTTAATGATATCTTAATTAATTTTTCAACTATTTATTGATAAATCTTTAAAACTTAATTTTAAAAAAGAATAGTATTGTGAGCACCCCCACTGCACACATTAGGATATTTTACCTTGATTTTAGTAAGCATCTCCTAAGAAAAGGATATTCTTCTGTATGATGATGATACCATTATCATACCTAGGAAAATAAGCAGTAATTCCCTATTATCATCTAATGCTCAATCTATTTTCAGATTTCCTTAATTTTCTGCAAAATTTTTTCATCACCAGTTTTATTTTAATTCTTAGTTTCAAATTTAATGTAATATTTGTGCTAAGTGAAAATTCTGAGCCAATCCTTTATGTGAATATATAAATATATATCCTATTTTGTTTATGTATAAAGTCTTGATTATATCCAACTAAGACATTTCTGGCCGTTTTATAGGTTATGTGTGTACATCATATTGCATCCCGTCAAGAGGCACGTAATGTTAGATTATTGATCATTTCATGTAAGGCAGATACAGCAATATCACTCTATTGTGGGTACTTGTAAACTTTGTGATTAGCAAATACAGTGAGTCCACTATAATTTAGCAGATGTGGTACTAAAAATCATCAGGTATGAAAAATTGCAAAACAAAAACCACAGGTTTTATGGGGAAAATCAGGTTAAAGACACAACACAAAAACTTCACCAATTACACATTTTTTTAAAAAGCAGGAGCCCAATAAAAATGACAGCACAGTTTTACACATGTTAAATGGTAAATAAATACATGTAAACTATATAAATAGGGCACTTTCCCCTGAAGAGACCTGAAGTTTGCACGTAGAAGCGGGTGACAGGATGACTCTTCCGGATTAAATCAGGTATAAGCAAGTGCAAAATCAGCATTGTGTTCAAATTGTTCCCTAATATATTTATATAGAAGTAAATTGTGGTATTAAAACAAGCTGTAGAAGAACATCATCTGTGGGTTAATACTTTGACACCCTATGAATATCCTATTTCTCAACACCCTTTCTCTTATTGGTTTTAGTATCCATTGATTATCCCTGTCTGAGTCAATTACTGCAACGGCAGTTGCAAAATGGTGACTTTCTAATTCCATCAATCCTTCTACATTTATGAGCTGACATTGGTCTGCAGAAAGAGACTTTCCACTTCCGTATGGGCGATGGTCTCAGTATTACCCTTTGTACTAGGCACAAGTCTAGTCCTTCTTCTTTTGGGGCTGTCCTTGAAATGTTTTAAAGCCATGATTTTGGATTCCCTCAGTCTTCTTGACTCCCAATTTCTTTAACTGTCCCTCAGATCACATGCTTTAAAATTATTTCACTGTCCTGATCACTTTCGTTTGAATAACCTCCGATAGCACATAGACAATATAACTTTTCAGATGGGATTTGATGGAATAGATTGAGAAAGCTGCCTTTCTCACTCTGGACATTACCCTTCTTTTCTTGCAGCTCAAGGGCAGCGTAGCTTTGCTAAGAGTCACATCTTGCTGTTGACTCATATTTTCACTACAATTGCTGAGCTACATTTCCTCCAATCTCACTTGTTCATTTTCTTTTAGGACCAAATATCATGAACTTACTGTGTTAAATCTCATCATAGTAGATTCAACCCAATTGTGCAGATCTTTCTGTTACTCAGTTTTCTATGCTGGCTATAAATCTACGGAGCTTCATATTTTCATCTAAGTCATTAATAAATTTGATCAGCAAAGGGCCAAGGACACAGTTTGCCCTTGATTATGGTCATTTTGACATGTGCTGATTATGGTCATTTTCACATGTCCTGATTATGATCATTCACCGAGGGCTCAATCTATCACACTGTTCTTGCCTCCAGCTAACATTTCTTCCTTTAATCCTCAAAGATATGATATGAGAGACGTTGTCACATGCTTTGCTGAAGTTCAAATACCCTGAGTCTACATTTTGCCCCTTAATTACCCCTTTAGTCACACTGTCTAAAAAAGAAATAAGACTACTGTGGCGTCACATGGTTTTGGTGAAGCCATCACACAGCCTGCACAGCCTTGTGATCCCGGCTTCACTTTCAAGGAGCTTACAAACTGCTGAGTATCAACCAACTCATTCATCAATGCAACAAAAGCAACTGTTTTCAAGAAGTGAAAATGAAATATTTTTAGGAAGAATTACCTTAAAATTAAAATAAAATATGAATTTATAATGCTTGCTTATTTAAAATTTTTAAAATTTTGACTGTGCTTTGACCATGGATGAATGTTACAGAATTATGAAAATATAATAAATGGCAGTATGCCTACTTGATTCTAAAAGAAGACTTTTCCTTTAAGTTTTTGATGCACTGTCTTAAGTTTAATTTTTTAACGTATTTTGAACAAATTCCCATTATTGTAAAGGATTTACAGTTTTTTAAAGGATAAAATGTTGAAGTCAGTTTTATTCCCCAAACCTGCTTTTAAAATTTTTACATCATTAGTTTGTAACACTGGCTATGAAGCCTCATTAAATAACATTTCAACATTACTGACTTTATGTGATGTTTGCTAGGTCTATAAATCTACCTAAACAGAGAAAGGAGAAATCAGTTAACAGAGTTCAACCAAAGGGATCAATCAGTAATTTTATGGCAGGCGATCCTGAAAATGGATTGATCTGTGTTAAAATTCTAGCATTTGCAGTTAGGGAGAAATTCGTGCAGTTGAGTCTATGTAGCATTATTTCATAAAACTAAAATATGAGTGAGAAAAAGTGTGATGACTAATTTTGTATAAACTTAGAACTCTAAAGAAGTGTTTTTGGCAATACATTTTACTAGACCTATGACAACACTATCTTTGTCTTTGAATTGATATAGGAAAATCAGTCTGTAGCACAATTCTCAGATTTCTCTGGTGAGTTAGTACTTCTGAAAACCAACAGAAGAAGTTATGTGATTAAAATTTTAGAGACATATATATGTACTCACTCTGATGCATCTAAGTGTTTGTTCTGTTTATTTTAGGATGTTAAGACAGTTAAAGAGCTAACACCCGAGCTTAAGAATCTTGAGACATAATGTGACTATGTAAATCACTTAGTAGTATATCATATGTATAATATATAATCCTTTCATAGTAGAATGTCAGGCATCTAATCCAAGAAAAATAATATGCTTAATGTTATCACAATATGTGGAAGCATAATTTCAATGTTACAAAGTAGAAAACATTGAAATCAACTTACATCAATTCAAGAACTAATAGCATCAACCCTATTTAAAAGAGGATAATTTAATTACTTTGTTTCCTGGAAAGGGAAACAAGCACTTTACCTTTGATTTATTTCATGGAATACCACAAGGGATTCTGAATCTAAATATTACTTGGTAATTTTCTTCTTATGTTGAAATATCAATCTTTTTTCTAAAATGTCCAATACTGTAATTGTTACATTAATCAAGAAATAAAACCCATAAGGCAAATGATTTCCTTCTCTTCACATTGAAAACAGAATATAAATCGTCTGCTTCTTTTCAGTGATTTTTAAAAATCTAGATAATCACTATATATTTTTAAATCGAGATAATATTCTAGTATTATTGTTTATCATGCTAACCTATATTTTAGGGAATTACGGGATATATATTATACAAATGAAACCAATTGGTTAGTAATAAACTACACAAAATATATTTTATTATGGAGAGTTTAACATTAATTTCAGCTGACCTTCCTATGAATTTATTTATTTCTCCTCCCTTCCTTCACTCCATCTAAATAAACTCTATGTTAATTACAAACTGAGCTCTGGCTCAGGAAATTACTGATCCTGCTTTTTATCTATTTGTAGTGAGTTACCTAGAACTATAAAATTAGTGGAATAGAGCACTGTCCAGGTTCCATGCCAATTACTTTTAAAATGAACCTCTTTTAAAATGAACACTGTGCTAATATGTGTATTTGATTTAGAAAATGATTTGTAAAATTAGAAGAAAACCTTGGCTTAGCTTTTGTAATGCCCTAACAATCCAAGTCCATTATCTTCCTCGGATTGATGAGTTCCACTGTGAATGGCATTTAATTAAATAAGGTAATGCATGTTCTTATTAATATGAATGTTCTTATTTATCTTATATGAGGGCGTTCACATAGTAAAGAAAGTCAGATTATAATGGTTACATTAAAAATATTTTTCAGGCTGGTGAATTCAAAAGGGTTTTGAAATGTAATTGCTCTCTATACATTTTTTTCTCATAACTTTTTTCTCATAATTATCTCATAATTATTTTGTTCTAAATTAATTTCATAAATTGATAAATTAAGCTTCTAATTTTTTTCTCATCTATTTTTAGATAAACAAAAGGTATTTGATTCTTAGATATGCTGGTCATGTTTGTTTTACTTACTTTTACAAAAATAAACTTTCCCCCCTTTTTAATATAAACATATTTGTGTATAATTCACAGTATTAAGTGATCATAAAAGCAAAGACATTCCTGGAAAAGAAAATCCTGACATAATTTGTTCTGAATGTTAACATCTAACATTATGTCACATTTTCTATCAGAAATAGATATCAGATAATGCATATACTCTATGAATTAGAGTCTTAGCTTTGACAAGTAAATTCCAAATAAGAAAGAAAATAGGAATGTAGCCATTTCTGGAATATAAAAAACATTTAGATTAATTAGTATCCTTTCACATACACAGACACACACACACACACACATGCAAAATAAATGACATAATAATGGATTTCAAATTATGGAAAAATTTATATTAAGAGAACATGGAAAAAATGTCTATTTGCAATAAATGTTACAATAAAAAAATGGGCTCAGGTGGAGGGTATTTTTATTGGCCCAATGAAAGAAGGTTTTTACTTTCCACTGATAAACAATGGAAAGGAAGTTGCTTACTAGAAGTAGTTTATCAGAAGAATAGATAACAGAAGAAGTTTTCTGACCGATTTAGACATTCATTTAACTAGAAAGAAAAAAGAAGAAAGAGAAAGGGTAGTTAAGGAAAAAAAAGGAAAGAATGGAATTCATGGATCAGTGAAATGTACAGGTCATTTAAAATTATAAGTTAAACAATTTTTAAATATTTTCATAGAAACCTAATAATTATTATACAATAGTTTGAGAAATAACAGAAGAGCCAATTTGATTTTAGTTTAATTTACAAATCATAGCCTCTGTGGGATGCTAATGGCCTCAAAGCAGGCATCCAGATTGATGTTAATTAGTTAATTATGTTCTCAAAGGAATACAATTTCAGAGTGTTATTTCTAAGATATTTTAGAAGGTAATGAGGCTCTGAAATTATAGTTGAAATGGCATTAATAAAGAAGAAAAACCAATGGCAGAAAGTATTAAAACATCTAATGTACATATGTGAAGATAAAAGAATGATGGTATAAGTATGTCAGAGTTTGATGGGAGACACAGACCCACTCTACATATTATTTATTATACAAATATTGTGTGTTACAAGAATTGACCTAATACCACCATGGGAAAGGGTTGGGCAGTCGCTGTAGGACTGTAGTCTTTCTGTCTGGTGTTTGACCTTCAGTCTGCAGGTCCACAGGCAGGAAGGGAAAACAGATGGAAAGTGGAAAAGAATAAAGGAAACTGGAACCCATGGGCATAAGCTGGAGCCCACAGAGACAGACTGGAGCCTGGTGAGTCTTGTCTCTGCCAACGCCGATGACGTGGGTGTCCTGCAGGGGAAGCTGGCATTTTTGTTTTGGAGCTGAACACACATGTGGCCCAAGCATCAGAGAAGCTATGGGAGGATCTGGGGTTGACAGAACAGCTGCAGGCCCAGGTACTTCCCACACCAGTGAGGGCAGCCAGCAGGCAAACGCCAATGGGCACGAGTTGCCACAATATCTGGTGCCTCCACAGATCCTCGAGCCTAAAATTTACTCTACTTCCCCTTTTCAAATATATCTGTGACCCACACTAACTAGAAACATACAGGGACGAGAATTTTGGAAAATGTCGTCCAGCCTAGCCAAGTTAGCATATTGCCAGGCCATCGGAGTATGCTTAGGGATTAACCAGGAAATGAGATGACAGCATGGTTCTAAGATGTAAGCTCCAATTAAATGCCTCCAAGCTACAGACTTGCATCGCATCCACTTGCGTGCCGTATGAAGAAAAGGTGCTGTGTCAATCAGAGTGCTGGCAGAAACAGAAGGCAGTCCTAAAGGGTTTAACCAAAGAAAGCTTGGGAAAGCAGCCGACCACAGAGTGGTGAGCCAAAATAAAGACACTAACTAGGGATAACAAAGCACCCATGAACTGGCAACAGTGGGAAGCCATTACCACCCACAGGCTCCAGGCAGCAAGAGGAAAGAGCAGCTCCAGTGAGCCATGGAGGGTGACAGAGGGAGATCTCAACAAAGCCTAAAGCGGAGGAAGGCAGCCTCTGTCCAACCTGCACCTAGCAAAGAGGGGGCAAAGGGAATCAAACACCCCAAATTCTTTCTGCTCTGGATCTTCCATCACATACTATTTACCATCATTGCTAAACCCACATGGACGCCAGCAGGCAAGGAAGCCCCAGGCAATGCCATCCATAGACAGCAGCCTCCTAGACCACAGAGTAGAGTGGAGATGAGTGAAGGGTGGATTGGAGTGAGAAACAGAGTAAGCAGCACACACAATCCATCTCAAGTAAAATGACCTCCTTTCATAAGCACACACGGTTTTTAAGTGACATTTGCTGCTTCTGCTGAAAATCTTACTAGTCAATAATGCAATTTTGTAAATATTATTTAGGGATCAAATTTCTAGGAAATACTAAATCACTCAAAATGTAGTGTTGTTCCAAAGAGTCTGCTCCACCAGTTTCATTGTTTTTTCTTTGCTGTTTAATGTCATGCTCTCTCAGGCACCAGGATAATACTTGTGAGCAAGTGCGGACTCTACGAGTGCACCCTCCCCACTGCTTGATGGGCTTGCAACTCACCAGCTATAGGGTCCCAGCTCCCTTTCCCACTCTCCAGTCCTCCACCCACCAAACCCATGCCCCCTGCCCTAGCTAAGGATGTTAAGTTGAGGCAACACCTCCTCTTCCCATGGGCCTGGTGACACCACCCACAGTGGACCCGTGATCCCTAAGGCTATTGCAACTTCCATTCAGGAACAAGTGAGTTACCTGGAAAGAGGGTGGGCAGATCTCTCCTCCCCTCCTGTCACCCTGAATGAACCATGAAGCTGACTGTCCAACGTGGGGGCACGATATGGTTTGGCTGTGTCCCCACCCAAATCTCATCTTGAATTGTAGCTCCCATAATTCCCATGTGTCATGGGAGGGAGTCAGTGGGAGGTAATTGAATCATGGGGCAGGTCTTTCTCATGCTATTCTCATGACAGTGAATAAGTCTCATGACATCTGATGGTTTTATAAAGGGGAGCTCCCCTGCACATGTGCTCTTGCCTGCCACCATGTAGGACATGACTTTGCTCCTCATTTGCCTTTAGCCATGGTTGTGAGGCCTCTCAGCCATGTGGAACTGTGAGTCCATTAAACCTCTTTCATTTATAAATTACCCAGTCTCAGGTACGTCTTTATCAGCAGCATGGGAACAGACTAATACAGTAAATTGGTACTAGGTAGTGGGGCACTGCTGTAAAGATACCCAAAAATGTGCAAGCAATCTTGGAACTGGGTGACAGGCAGAGGGTGGAACAGTTTGGAGTGCTCAGCAGAAGACAGAAAAATGTGAGAAAGTGGAACTTCCTAGAGATTTGGAGGGCTCAGGAAACAGGAAGATGTGGGAAAATTTGGAACTTTCTAGAGATTTGTTGAATGGCTTTGACCAAAATGCTGATAGTGATATGGACAATAAAGTCCAGGCTGAGGTGGTCTCAGGCTGAGGAACTTGTTGGGAACTGGAATAAAAGTCACTCTTGCTATGCAAAAAGATTAGCAGCATTTTGATCCTGCCCAGAGATATGTGGAACTTTGAACTTGAGAGAGATTATTTGCGGTATCTGTTAGAAGAAATTTCTAAGCGGCAAAGCATTCAAGAGGTGAGAGTGCATAAAAGTTTGGAAAATTTGCAGCCTGATGATTCAGTAGAAAAGGAAAAACCATTTTCTGGGGAGAAATTCAAGCCAGTGGCAGAAATTTGCGTAAGTAAATAGGAGCCAAATGCAAATCACCAAGACAATGGGGAAAATGTCTCTAGGATATGTCAGAGACCTTCACAGCAGCACCTCCCATCACAGGCCTCAGGCCTAGGAGGGAAAAATGGTTTCGTGCACTAGTCCCAGGGTCCCCCTGCTCTGCACAGCCTTGGGACATAGTGCCCTGCATCCCAGCTGTTTCAGCTCCAGCCATGGCTAAAAGAGGCCAAAGTGTAGCTCAGGCCATGGCTTCAGAGGGTGCAAGCCCCAAGTCTTGGCGGCTTACATGTGGTGTTGGGCCTGTGGGCAACTGTGACAGCCCAGGGTAGGGCTTTAGAGTTGTTGTTTTTTTTTCTAAAAATTCTCTCAGTGATTTTAACCATAAGTAAAATGACGCCAACTTCCTGAAGAGATGCTACCCCTTGTTACTGGAAATTTTTGTGAATATTCATGAAATGGAACATAATTATTGAATATCATAGGCCTTGAGATAAAGATTGTTTTTGGTTTGCTTTTATTTTTCTCTAATTTGGTGATGGGATTTTCTATTTGTTAATTAGGCATTAAATGATGTTTTCTTCTGACTATATTTCCAGTAACAAGATATGTCTAATACTGTCATAGGGTGACAAGGACTCTTGTGAACCAAGCCTGGCTCTGATAAAAAGTTGGAAGATATTTTATGGAGTTAGAGTTTTAATTCCTGTTCTCTAAAAAAGCCACTATTTCACATCTTTCCAGATGTTAAGGTGTGGAACTTTATCCTGACACTGATAATGTGAATTACTCTTAGATAAATGTTAACTTCCCTTGCCTGTTTTGGAGGGATGGGGTCTCACTCTGTCATCCAGGCTGGAATGCAGGGGTGCCATCGCAGCTTCCTGCAGCCTCAACTGTCCAGGCTCAAGCAAACCTCCCACCTTAGACTCCTGAGTAGCTGGGATCATATGTGTGCACCACCATGCCCGGCTAATTTTTTTTTTTATTATTTGTAAAGATGAGGTCTTGCCATGTTGCCCAGGCTGGTCTCGAACTACTGGGCTCAAGCCATCTTCTCACCTGTGTCTCTCAAATTGCTGGGATTCTAGGTGTGAGCCACCGCGCTGAGCCAATCTTTAAAAAAAAAAAAATTTAAAAATTAAAAGTAGAAGAACTCATGTAAGCATTTTTACAACCTACCTATGTTTCTCATAGCTGAGCTACTGGTACCAATTAATTTAATTAGAACTGAATGTCAGTTTTAATGTGTCTATTTCCACTGGTTTGACAGACCGAAAGTCAACAAAATTTTGCCTAGTCACAAAATTTTATTATTTTTGTTAGTTAAAAATTAACAGAAAAGCTCTGCTCTTGGCTTAAAAGTATTAATTAACATAAAATGATTTGAAAATTTTCTTTCTTCCCTTGGAGCAGTTACTTAGGAAATACATCATCTTTTAATAGTCCTGATTTACAAGATGGATTTTTTTTAAATCAGGTGATTGACTTAAAAGGAGAAACTGAAAGATATAAATAAGATTTGGGAGGAAAATAATGTTGGGATTCTTCTATTCCCTGATTTGAAAAAAATAAAAATAAAAATTCAGCCAAAATATTTTGAGACAATGTGTCATTCTGATGTAAACCAAAAATAAAATTCTAAGCTTCTCAACCATCCAAATGGACCACTCCTTTCAGCCAAGGGCATTCCAAAGTTAACCTGAAAAAACTAGTTCAGGCCATGACGGGACGGGGGCAGTTGAGCACGCCTCATTATACACCTTTCTCCTTCTTAGAATTCAGGCCCAGCTTACCAGCATTAACATCAACACAGACCTTAAGACTGATAGAACAGACTCTTTAAGTCTGGTAAGAAACATTTATAATCTAGTCTCTCTGAAGCAGGTTACCTGGAAGCTTCATATGCATGATGAAACCTTGGTCTCCACAAACCCTTATGGTAACCCAGACATTCCTCTTTATTGATTCCATGTCTTTAGACAATAACTCAACCAACTGTCAATCAGAAAAATCTTTTTTTTTTTTTTTTTGAGATGGAGTCCTACTGTGTCACCCAGGATGGAGTGCAGTGGCGCTATCTTGGCTCAGTACAACCTCTGCCTCCTGCATGCAAATGATTCTCCCACCTCGGCCCCCCAAGTAGCTAGGATTACAGATGTGCACCACCACGCCTGGCTAATTTTTGTATTTTTAGTAGAGATGGGGTTTCGCCATGTTGGCCAGGCTGGTCTTGAACTCCTTGCCTCAAGTGATCTGCCTGCCTTGGCCTCCCAAAGTGCTGGGATTACAGGTATGAGCCATTGCACCCAGCAGAAAAATCTTTGAATCTGCCTACGACCTGGAAAATCCCCCACCTTTCAATTGTCCCAGCTTTCTGGACTGAACCAATGTACATCTTACATATATTGATTGATGTGTTATGTCTCCCTGAAATGTATAAAACCAAGTTGTAGCTCAGCTGCCTTGGGCGCATGTTCTCAGGATCTCCTGAGGGCTGCGTTACAGGCCACTGGTCACTCACATTTGGCTCAGAATAAATCTCTTGAAATATTTTACAGAGTTTGACTCTTTTTGTTGAGACTAAATAGGTAGCATTAACATTAAAATGTTTAATAGTAATATTTCTGAAGATTAGCTGTAATTTAAACCTGCTTTCTATTTATTAATTTTACTATATGAACCCTCATCTCTTCTTTCAAAATAACAGTAACCAAAGTGTATACTAACCAAGAAGCATTAAGTTCTAGAAAACATAAAGGGAATGTATTTCATCTCACAGAAAACATCTCCTGTTTTATATTACATCTGCTTTAAAATTTGGAGGGTAAACATTTTTGCATATTCAAGCATGGCTTTGAAATTTGAGACTCGTGTTACTCGTTGGTATGACAGAGCAGAAGTAAAATGTTTGAAGGTATCTTGGCCTTGCTCTCAGAAACATCCTGGGACAACCTGGGGCCAAGCTGAGAATCTCCTATTCAGATCTATCCTTGTCTGGTTCCTCAAGATCTACAAACTTGGCTGGCGTATCCTTGGCCTGCCTGAAAGTTAAACCTATCGCTCTGCACCAACCAGCAATAAAGACTAAATATTTTATATTCCAGCCATTTGTCAGGAATCAAGGGATTTATCTGGGTGCCACTCAATACTTATCGCAACTCAGTTGAGAGACAGTATCATTACAGAGATAACCTGCCTGAAATCCAGTGAGGTAGTCCTCTGAAAAGCTAACTAATTGGACTACAGTTGTTTCCTCCAAGATCCCCCCTGCCCAACCCTAAAATTGTTTTCACACAAAATTGAATCTGCAAATAGCTAACGACAGAAGGAAATCTGAATCACACTAAATAGCTCCCTAATAGTTTCCTAAATAGCTCCCTAGGTCTCTCTTTGTTGTTTTACCTTTTCGAGTTAAATCCTGGGGTTGCCAGATTTTTCCTGAGTTTATGCAGATGCACCAATATTTTTAAAGGAGAATCTTCTAGATTCTATAGAATCTATAGAATAGAAGACTATTCCAGAAGGTACTGGTCAAAATTGCTCATTGGCCATTTTTGATAGATGTTAGTTTGCTATTGTGATGAACTATATACTATATGCCAATAAAATATAATTTTCCAATAGGTATTTACTTATTCCTTTAGGAAATGAAGACTTGTCTTTTGCCAAGTACGTTTCTTAAGTTGGTGCACAGCCTATTCTGTGTCTGGGTCTCATCTGAAGCAAACTTTTTCCTAATGACAATGTAGGGATAATGAAGAGAGTAGAACGAGGTGCATAGGTGGCTGACTTAGCATTGATTGTTGTGACAATTATTAACGAAAACCTTAAAGTTAACTCTACCCTAAAGCTCTCTTGCCTGCCACCATGTAAGACATGCCTTGTTCTTCCTTCACCTTCCGCCATGATTGTGAGGCATAAAGTTTAGGGATGAGACAGCAATAAAAACTGGTTTAGTCCCCCTTTCTCATGTAATTGGTGGGTCACTTCTTCCCTACAAAATATGGACATGGAAAGATGACTATTTTGACGTCAGAAGTAAAGAGAAAACCAAGGAGATAAATTAGAGTGTAGGGGCAAAGAGAAAACATCCCCTTTACTGTGAAGCTGAAACCCCGTCTCTACTAAAAATACAAAAATTAGCTGGGCATGGTGGCGAGCAACTGTAATCCCAGTTACTTGGGAGGCTGAGGCAGGAGAATCACTTGAACCCAGGAGGCGGAGGTTGCATGAGCCGAGATCCCACCGCGGCACTCCAGCCTGGGTGACAGAGCGAGACTCCATCTCAAAATAAATAAAAAATAAAAATAAAAAAATTATCAGCTTCTGAGTAAATTCAAATATATACAAAGGCTTGATGACTAGAAATAATATGTAAATTCTGCCCAATTTTGCTATGAGCCTAAAACTGCTCTGAACTCTATGTAAAATTCTGGAAAACAACATAATAAAATAAAATTCTGCAAATGAGCTACTTATGTACCTATTGGCCACTTAGAAATCCTCTTTGTTCCTCATGCTGAACATCATGCCTCACTCTCTTTAAGCGGCAGAGGCATAGGGTGTGATGGTTCAGGAGGGGAGGCAAACCAGACAATGTGAGTTCAAATCCTGGTTTTGCCACTTTTAGCTCTATGATACTGGGCAAGTTATTTAACCTCTCTGTGACTTATTTTCTTTATCTATAAAATGAAATGTATTGTCTACTACTGCATAACAAATCACCCAAAACACAGTGGTCAAAAACAATAAATACGTATTATCCCACAGTTTCTTTGGGTCATGAATTCAGAAGAGGCTTATCTGGGTAGTTCTGATTTGGATTCTCTTCTGAGGTTGCAGTCAAAATGTGGGCTGGGCTTCAGTCATTTAAAAACTTGTCTGGGGCCAGAGTTTCCAAGGTGGCTGCTATCAGCTTGAATTTCTCCCCAGAAAATGGGGTTTTCTTTTCTACTACATTGTCAGGCTGCAAATTTTTCAAACTTTTATGCTGTCACTCATGTGGTGAGTTTCTAACCACATAAGCTATTCCACGAGCTGCTTGAGTTTCCTCACAAGATGGTGACTGGCTTCTTCCAGAGCAAGTAATTCAAAAGAGCAAGATGGAAGCCACAATGTTTCTTATGGTCTGGCCTCAGAAGTCAGGACACTAAATCACTTCTGTGATATCCTATTGGTTACACAAGTCAGCTCTCCTCACTGTAGGAAGGGATGACACAAATACCAGACGATGGGGATCATTGAGGATCGTCTTAAAGTCAGGCTACCAAATGGGGATAATAATAGTATTTGGACTTCACAGTGTGATGTGTAACATATTCACTAATTTAGTATGTAAGGCATTTAGGGCTTATCTAATATGTAAAGCACTCAGCATCTATGATCTATTATTATAATTTTAACCTTCCCTCATTCTTGCTTTTCCTTTTTCGCAACTAAGCCTGTTCAGTCAGAAACTCAACTATCTTTCCAATTAATTGGCATTATTAGAACAAGAGCATGCTACACTCTTACATATTTTATTCACGTCTAATCAACTGCCTATTTAACATTTTACCTAGAAATGGCAAAAGAACTTAAACTCAACCAAACCAAGATCATGATATTATCCCTGACAAGCCAGTGTCTCCTTTCTTAGCAAAAGGGACCACCATCCATCTACCCAGTTACATGTGTAACCCATCTTCTTCCAATCCCATAACTCCCTTTGTTCATGTAATAATCATCTCATTTGTACTAATGCAGTAACTTTTAACTTCCTGCTTCTGCTTTTGCCTCCTCTTAATCCATTTTTCAGTCTGAAGGCAGCACAATATTTCTTTACTCTATCCTTTCTTGACTAGGTTAAATCTGCTTATTATATGCTCTCATAGTACTTACCACCCACATTTATTTGTGTGATTTTTTTAGGATAGTGACATTGTATTAGTTAGGATTCTCCAGAGAAACAGAACCAATAGGATATGTGTACTTAGGTGCATATATTTGTGTATATTTGTTAAAGAGTATTATAAAGGGTTTACTCACACAATCATGGAGGTTGGAAAATCCCAAGATCCACAGTCAGTAAGCTGGAGACCCAGGAGAGCTGATGGTGTAAGTTCCAGGATGGCAGACTCAAGACCCAAAAGGGTCAATGTTTCAGTTTGAGTCCAACTTTAAAGTCAGGAAGTAAAAAAAAAAAAAAAAAAAAAAAAAAAGATATCCTGGCTCAAGCATTCAGGCATCAACAGTAGTTGTCTTGACTTTTTTGTTTTATGCAGGTCTTCACTTGTGATGTTTATTACTGAGTGTCAACTTGATTGGATCGGGGGATACAAAGTATTAATCCTGGGTTTGTCTGTGTGGGTGTTGCCAAAAGAGATTAACATTTGAGTCAGTGGACTGCAGAAGGCAGATCCACCCTTACTTAATCTGGTGGGTACAATCTAATTAACTTCTAGCAAATATGAAGCAGGCAGAAAAACATGAAAAGGAGAGATGGGCTTAGCCTCGCAGCCTACATCTTTCTCCCATGCTGGATGCTTCCTGCCCTCAAACACTGGACTCCAAGTTCTTCAGTTTTGGGACTCGGACTGGCTGTCCTTTCTCCTCAGCAGGCAGATGGCCTATTGTTGGACCTTGTGATCATGCAAGTTAATACATAATAAACTCCCCTTTATATATATATCCTATTAGTTCTGTCCCTCTAAGAGAACCTTAATACATCACTTGATTGAATGATGCCTACTCACATAGAGAAAGCAAACTGCTTTACTCAATCGATGAATTGAAAAGCTCATCTCACCCAGGAACACCTTCACAGACATAGAATAATGTTTGCACCATTTGTTTCAGTACAAGTTGACAGGTAAAATTAATCATCATAGTCATCTCCCATGATGTCCAGGAAAACATGCCTGTGTATCCCCAGTACCTAACACAAAATAGACTGTCAATACATAGCTGATCAATGGGGGAAAGCTGTATTTTCATCATCTGTAATATATTCATTGTATTAGTCTGTTCTCATGCTGCTAATAAAGACATACCCGAGGCTGGGTAATTTATAAAGGAAAGAGGTTTAATGGAGTCACAGTTCCACATGGCTGGGGAGGCCTTCACAATCATGGCGGAATGTGAAAGAAGAGCAAAGTCACGTTTTACATGGTGACAGGCAAGACAGAATATGCAGGGGAACTCCCTTTTATAAAATCATCAGATCTCATAATACTTATTCACTATCATGAGAACAGCACAGGAAAGACCTACCCCCATGATTCAATTACCTCCCATCCTGTCCCTCCCATGGCACGTGGGAATTATGGCAGCTACAATTCGAGATGAGATTTGGGTGGGGACACAGCCAAACCAGATCATTCACTTTTCTTTTTTTTCTCATTTTAACCACACAAAAAATAGTTGACAATGTGTGGTACTAAGGAATTAATGTATGTAAACTTAGGCATCTGTTAAGAAAGAAAACATTATTCTTTTCCAACATGTCTCATCAAAACCACTCAGTGGACATAAATGTTCCCACTCCTGACTCCAGGCATTATCAGATAGTAAAAAATTATCTCATCACTTCTAGATTTAAAAAAAATATCCAGTCCTTGGTCATATCAAAACTCAGAACCATTATCCAATGTAAAATGTCTCTCTACTCCTCTAAGAATCAGAGCTTCAGGTTTGGAGGACAGGATTGTGGTCAGCTTCTGGGTCATTTCCTCCCTCCATGTCAACCCACATTTTCTAGCTACTGTCTTGAGACCTACTAGTATAAGAAAAGATAATAATTATTATTATTATTGACAGAAAGGTCTCGCCAGAGATAAAGGTGTCACCTGCCATTAGTGAGCTCACTGTAGCAGATCCCCAGTGCTGATTTCTTTTCTCATGAGGTACCTTTGTAAAACTGCCTTTGCAAAAATTATAACAATGAGAAAATTATGACCATGAAAGAGATCTGACTGAACTGCCTTCATCTTGCTTCTAACCTCCAAGCTGTCGTTATTCATTCCCGGGCATAGGCCAAACTATCTTTGAGAGGAACTTAGTTTATAGTTTAACTTTGAAGCAAAGATGATAATGGCCCTTTCCCTAAATAAATCCCCTACTTGTCTGGGGACCAGACTGCCTTTGTAGGAATGACAAACTAGCCACAAGATTAGATGTTATGGTTTCAAAGTCACGCAGCCAGAGGCCACAAGTTTCTAAATCACCCCAGTTGCTCCTAGGGATAACATCACTATTGTAAAAACTAAGATTGGTGCTTAAGATATTTTTGAGACCCTGCACCTGATGGATCAGCTGGCACCACCCAGATAGATAAACTAGCCCTCTGATCTTACAGCCCTCACCCAGGAACCAACTCAACACAAGAGGACAGGCTTACCTTCCTAAGATGATCTCTGACCTGACCAATCAGCACTCCCCACTCCTTGGTCCCCCTGCCCCCAAATTATCCTTAAAAAACTCCAGTCTCCAAATTTTCAACTTTGGGGGAGACTGAGTTGAGTAATAATAAAACTCCAGTCTCCCATTCACCTGGCTCTGCAGGAATTAAACTCTTTCTCTATTGCAATTCCCCTGTCTTGATAAATTGGCTCTATCTGGGCAGCAGGCTAAACGAACTCTTTGGGTGGTTACATTTGTGGTTCTTTAGAGACATTTCTTCCTCTTCCCTTATTCAACTGGGTTCGCTCACCTACAGTTCTCCTGATTCATTCAGAGCGTGTCTCTACCAACTGACCTACAGACTTGCACTCAGCTCCTGTCTTTCCAGACATGCACTGAACTGCTCCCCATCTGATACAGCTATTTCAAGTCCTGGCAAATAAAAAAGAGATCCAGACTTAGTGAAGAAAGACTTTATTCAAAAACATTATTGAGAATGTGGGAGTATTACTGGGAAGTGTGGGGGTCCTTGATTCTTACCTTCTTGAAGGAAAGAATTCAGCCAAGAAACCAATTAGTAAAGTAAGCAAAGAGGTGTATTAAGGACAAAAAGAGTACACTCCAAGAGAGAAGCGGGCTGACCTTCCCAGGAACAAACCTGAGAGTTCTGTGTTGCAGTTTTTAAGAGGTCAGACGTTTCCTTTAAGTTCCTGCCTCTGTCTTAAGTCTTTGTCTAGTTTCCTGCTTCTGTGTTAAGTCTCTGCCTTTGACCCCGCCTAATTCCCTGCTCAGGTTTGTGGGATTCTCCCTTACTGTCAGTTGATGCACATGTGTGGGACCACATAATCAATATTAATCCTACCTACTGGTGGTATTGCTCATTACCACCACCCCAGGAAGGTTGTATAGTGGTCAGATCTGTACTTATTGCGCCCACGTATCTCTCATTAATTTCCCTTTTTGCCCTTTTGCCCTTCTTATCAACATGTAGCTAGCTAGATTCTGACAATTTTATCTGCAGAATGAGCATTGACTGGACATCCTAAGGGGTGTTTCAGGGTATTTCTCTCTGTGTAGATATTTCTCCTCTTCTCTGCTCATACTTAGTATGCAGGTTTCAGATGGTCTCTGGAGCTTGAGATTTCCCAGAGCTTCCTCCCCCACGGGCTTCCTTTCCTGTTCATGTCTAACTATCTGCCTACTCTAACAGGGGGAGTGACTATTGCTCCATGGGAGACCAACTATTACAATGGATTTAGATATCTAACATCAGTCTCTGCACCACTCAAACACCAAGGGCATAGGTCAAGCTCTCAAATTTGTTTCTCTGTAGCCTTCTCATCACTTGCCTTAAAATGGGGAGGAAACAGTTCCACCTCTCCCTCATTACAGGATGAAACACACAACTTCTGTTTTCTATGGGAAGCTAGGCGGGTGGGCCAATTCAGGCAGAACAGGTTGTTGAGCAAGCCTTCTGCAAAGTCTGGCAAAGATAGCCAAGCACTTAATATAAAGGTACTTAGCACCTATTATTCCCAACCTCAGCCAAAACTCTGAGCCAACTCTGACAATAAAATGGGTCCTGGCAGGGGAAAGTCACACACACTGAAACCTCTTGTACAGTACTTAGTTCAAAGAGAGTGACTTTTGATCTTAAGTCATTTGGTGAGCCACTACTAAAATGTGACTCAGGATGGGAAATTTATATATACCAATGTCTAAGGTATGTTTATTATTGTACAAAACACTGAAATGACCAGCACTTTTACCTGACCTAGCACAAATGTCATACTTCTTAGATACGGATGCTGTTAATTGAAGAGAGTAAAGTTACTTCTACATAAATTATACTATTAATCTAAGTGCCTCAGTAATCATTGATTGGCCTATGTATCACTATTTACATCCTATATGTTTGTTCTGGGTTGCTCACAAAGTGAAATAACACCACATTGCTCCATTTTCAATATCTGCTCCTTTCAATAGTTCTTCTTTCCTCTCTTAATGAAATAAATCTGACTTTCATCAGATTTAAAGTACTTCATAATCTATGACTGACTAATTTCATTCTCAAGAATGTGTCTGAGGCTGGGTGCGGTGGCTCATGCCTGTAATCCCAGCACTTTGGGAGGTCAAGGTGGGCAGATCACGAGGTCAGGAGATTGAGACCATCCTGGCTAACACAGTGAAACCCCGTCTCTACTAAAAATACAAAAAAATTAGCCTGGCGTGGTGGCGCATGCCTGTAGTCCCAACTATTCAGGAGGCTGAGGCAGGAGAATCGCTTGCACCTGGGAGGCGGAGGTTGCAGTGAGCCGAGATCACGTCACTGCACTCCAGCCTGGGCGACAGAGAGAGACTCTGTCTCAAAAAAAAAAAAAAAAAACCCACAAATCAAAACAAAACAAAAAAAGAATGTGTCTGAATTGCAAATCGTAGGACAACTACTTTAAAATAATTATTGACAATGTGGGAGACCGGAATATAACACCCCAAAATATGAAAGATTGTTGAGCTAAAGGCAATTAAAAAGAAGCCCATGTAGCAAAGCTCCCTATGCTCCCCGTATTCACCTAAAAGCAGGACATAGGCTTATGAAGACAAAGGGTATCCCGCCTTCCTTTCTACCAGGGAGAATGAAGATTAACCACTGAACTCAACCATCTGGAGATGGTATAAGAGGAATCTACAAGAATAAGCTTTTCTAACTAGCTTTTATCTATCATTTATTTTCACTCATCCCCGTTTGCCACCCCTACAGACTAACAGTGCTTTTCCTTTGTCCTGTCACTTCTCTCAAAATTTACTGTGTTTTGGTGAAGATGCTGAAGGAGTTGGAATTCAAAGCCACCTCTTTGAGAAGTACTCACTCCCTGGGTTTCCCACATGTAGATGTGAATTATACCTGTAAATAAAACTGCTTTTTTCTTCTTAACCTGTCTTTTGTTACAGGGGTCCATTCCAACTAAGAACCTAGAACGGTTGAAGAAAAAAGTATTTTTCTTTTACCTACACCATTCTAGCAATTTGTAACTTTGGGTTAATACCTTCTGAAAAATAATAGTGGAAAAATAAAAGGTTTGTTAGTGATGGAAACTCTCCTCTTGACCAAACTTTAGTGGAGCTCCCCTAAATTCTGTTCTTGACAAGCCTCCATCCTTGTCAAACCTGCATAGCCCAGTTTAAAAACTCCCGTTAAGTCAATTTAGAGAGAATTTCCACCCTTGATATCTGATCACTTCCCATATCTAATCCACTTCCTCATCCCCACCATCCCGCAAGTCATGTCTGATCACCTGGGCCCGTCTTCAGCAAGAATTCTATCAAGTCTGTTTAGCCAGAATCTCCCCTTACCCCTTATGTTTCCTCTTAGCAATTTTCTATCCACTGGCCCCACCCTGCTCTTTGCTATAAATCTCCACTGATCCATGCTGTACTTGGAATTGAACCCGGCTCTATACTGAGGTCTCTTTTCCTCTATTGCAATAGCTCCTGAGTAAAATCTGTTTCATCACTTGCTATGGTCTGAATGTTTGTGTCTTCTCAAAATTCTTATGTTCAAATCCTAATCCCCAATGTGACAGTGTTGGGAGGTAGAGCCTTTGGCAGATGATTAGCGCAAGAAGGCGCCTTCACGAATGGGATTTGTGCACATATAAAAGAGGCGCTGAAGAGCTCGCTCACTTTTTCTGCCATGTGGGGACAGAGCAAAAAGATGGTTGTTCACAAACCAGTGAGGACCCAACCAGACACTGAATTTGCCGACGCCACAATCACAAACTTTCAGCCTCCAGAACTCTAAGAAATACATTTCCATTGTTTATACACTACCCAGTTTATGGTATTTTGTTATAGCAGCCTGAACAAAGACGCTACTTGAACTACTGTCACTTTCTAGTTCTCTTTAACATAAGGAACTAGGCTTTGTAAAAGTCATTAGCCTTAGGCCATGTGTGGTGGCTCATGCCTGTAATGTCGGCACTTTGGGAGGCTGAGGTGGGAAGATAACTTGAGGCCAGGAGTTTGAGGCCAGCCTGGGCAACATTGCAAGACCATGTCTCCACAGAAAATATTGAGCCTGTCATGGTGGCACCACCTATAGTCCCACTACTTGGGAGGCTGAGGCAGGAGGATCACTTGAGCCCAGGAATATGAGACTGTAGTGAGCTATGATTGTGCCACTGCACTCTAGCCCGGGTGACAGAGGAAGACCCTCTCTAAATAAATAAATAAATAAATAAATAAATAAAAGTAAGTCATTAACCTTGAACATATGTTCTTGTTCTAATTAAAACCTTATTTATATCTAGAACCTAAAAATCTTTCTGAGTGGGACTTTACACATGACTTGAGATAAATAAACAAAAATCTGATTTGAAAATGTGTTATAAAGTTTGTTAAAGAGTGACTAAATTAAAAGCAACTGAAAAGTTTGGCAAACTTAGTGACTCTTATATAATTAGTTCCATGTATGATCTTCGAATAAATTACTCATCCAGATTCTCATTCACAAGCTGGCAATAATTTTACTAAGCACATCTGGAAATTTTGTGAACGGAAATAAAAACACTGTGAAATAAATTTATCATCAGTCTTTTTCTATCATCCATGTGGTCCCACACAAAATTAGTATTTTCACATATATTTTTTAAAAACCAAATACGATGACATCATTAAATCCTTCATTTATTCAGCAATGTTTCACTAAACACCCACTGAGTACCAGCCCACTTTCAGGTGCTGAAGATACAGTGGTGAATGAAGAAACCTCTGTCCTTTAGGATTTTGAAGTCTCCCATGAGAGAAAGACTTTACCAAACAATCATGTGAACAATTACATGATTACAGTCATAATAAGGCCCATGAAAGAAAAGTAATAACAGCTGCCATTTATTAAGGATTTACTCTCAGCCCGCCTCTGTGCTAAGGGTATTCTATAATCATTTAATCCCCTGAGAAACCCTTGGAGGTAAGATCTATTATGTCTGTTGACAAATACTCTCTCCACCTAACTCTAGTCAGGCTTCTCTTAGCCCTCTAGCCCTCAACAATCAGTGGACATCCTTGGTTTCTGTCAGTCTGCATCACTCAGTTGTAGCAAGAATCCTGTTAAGTCAGTTTACAAACGACATTCATCCTGAATATCTGGTCAAATTCCTTATCCCCACCATCCCCCAGGTGATGTCTGATCAGCCTGGCCCGCCTTCAGCAAGAATCCTGTCAAGTTGGTTTAGCCAGAATCCCCCTTACGTCTGATGTTTCCTCTCAGTACTTTTCCAACCACTGACCCCACCCTGCTTTTTGGCTATAAATGACCACTTGTCCATGCTGTATTTAGAATTGAGCCTGGTTCTATACTGAGGTCTCTTTCCACTATTGCAATAGTTCCTGAATAAAATCTGCACTCACAGCATTAACTCCTGCCCAGCTCCGGTTTTATTTAACTGTGACTGGCTTCCTTTTTTTTTTTTTTTTTTTGGCTTGCCCTGTGCCACTGCCATCTTTACCTTATGGGAAACTCATTCCCTAGAGTTTAAGTGGACCGCTCCATGCCTAATTCCACAGACATGCGTGGACACAGGACCCAGCCTGGTCAGCCAGAGAACCGCATTTCCCTGACGACATTTATTATTCAAGTCAGCCAGTTAGAACCTTCCCTGCGGGAAAATTTCCCTCTCTCCTCTGGCATCACAAACAGAGAGAGTCAAAAGCAGAAATGGCTTCTGGTCTCTGAATGCAGGTGTGGGTTTGAATCCCAGTTCTGACAGAAATGACTAAAGACAAGTGCAACGCTTCAAAAGGCAAGAAAAGAGTGGGCTGGACCTCAAGCTCCCAACACAGCAAAGAATCCCACCTCCAAGCCTGCTCTTTAGGGACCACTTAGACCTGATTAATAGGATGTCAGGGGAACCACAAGGAGAGGAAGATGAGAAGGCCCTGGGTCTGCAGGAATCACATTAGCAGATTCATGTGTAAACCTAGAGAAGTAAAACAAACCCCATTTTCTTTTTTTTTTTTGAGATGGAGTTTCGCTCTTGTTGCCCAGGCTGGAGTGTGATGGCGCGATCTCAGCTCACTGCAACCTCCACCTCCCAGGTTCAAGTGATTCTCCTGCCTCAGCCTCCAGAAAGTAGCTGGGATTACAGGCGCCCGCCACCACGCCTAGCTAATTTTTGTATTTTTAGTAGAGATGGGGTTTCACCATGTTGGCCAGGCTGGTCTCAAACTTCTGACCTCGTGATCCACCCGCCTCGGCCTCCCAAAGTGCTGGGATTATAGCCATGAGCCACCATGCCCGGCTCAAACCCCATTTTCAATAATAGTTAAGTGTTGAATGTTTCTGCCAAGCCAGTAAGATAAAAGCTCTGGGCTGTATTTCACCTGATTTAAAGCAAATAAAGAAAAAGGGCCGGGCATGGTGGCTCACGCCTATAATCCTAGCACTTTGGGAAGTCGAGAGGGGCAAATCATTTGAGGTCAGGAGTTTGGAACCAGCCTGGCCAACATGGTGAAACCCCGTCTCTACTAAAATACAAAAATTAGCCGGGCATGGTGGCACATGCCTGTAATCCCAGCTACTTGGGAGTCAGAGGCAAAAAAATCACTTGAACCTGGGAGGTAGAGGTTGCAGTGAGCTGAGATTGCACCACTGCACTCCAGCACTCCAGCCTGGGTGACAGAGCAAGACTCTTTCTTAAAAAAAAAAAAAAAAAAAAAAAAAAAAAGAAAAAAAAAGAAATAGGACTTTCCCCACTCACGTGTATGTGGTTGCCAATTCGTAACTTCTTTAGCGGCAGAATGGTATTTGAGTACTAGGAGCAGTAGAGAAGGGGTTTGAATTTGGGTTTGACTTCAGAATCCTCATATAAATTTTTTTTTTAATTTCAAACATGCTGAAAAAACACAGACTAATAGAATGCGCAGCCACGTACCCACCACTGAAATTTAACAAATGTTCACATTTCACTTTGTTTTCTTTTGGGTTATTTCTTGAAGGAAGAATACGTCCTTCCCTTTTTAAGGAAAAATCCCCTTTGTATGCCTCTCTGATGATTCTCCTGTCTCTGTCCCAAGGATAACACCTACCTTAAAGTGTGTATCTTTCCAATTCATGTTTATATACTTTTGCTTTTTTTAGACAGAGTGTTACTCTGTCACCCAGGCTGGAGTGCAGTGGTGCTATCTGGGCTCTCTGCAACCTCTGCCTCCCAGGTTCAAGAGACTCTCCTGCCTCAGCCTTTCTAGTGAATGGAATTACAGGTGCCCGCCACCACACCCAGCTAATTTTGTATTTTTAGTAGAGACAGAGTTTCACCATGTTAGCCAGGCTGGTCTCGAATTCCCCACTCCAGGTGATCCACCTGCCTCAGCCTCCCAAAGTGCTGGGATTACAGGCCTGAGCCACCACACTCAGCCTTGTACTTTTTCTATATATGCATGTACCCATAACATTGTATATTATTAGTTTGAATGCTTCAAACCTTACATATATGGTTTGGTTTTGTATGTATCCTTCTAGAACTAGTTTTTTGTTTCACTAAATAATGTCTTTAATATATATACATGTTGATACATATAATCTAGTTTACTCATGTTTTTGTTGAAATGGAAGTCATTTGGTTTATCCCATTATCCAGCTGTAGACATTTGCATTGTCGTCACTGTGTTGTTTTGAGGTTTTCACTACCACAAACAGTGCTTCATTGAACAGTTCTTGTTTTCTTTATTATCTTTTTTAAAACAGGGTCTCTCTCTTTTGACCAGGCTGGAGTGCAGTGGCATTACCATAGCTTACCACAGTCTCCAATTCCTCTAATTCCTGGGCTAAAGTAATAATCCTGCCTGAACCTCCCAAGTAACTGGGACTACAGGCATGCGCCACCATGCCTGGCTAGTTTTTAAATATTTTATAGGGATGGGCTATCACTATGTTGCCAAGGCAGGTCTTGAACTCCTAGGCTCAGATGATCCTCCTGCCTTGGAGTGGGATTACGGGTATGAGTCACCATGCCTGACTCATTTCTTGTTTTCAGATCTTGATGGCATACATCTAAAAGTGTCAGTGCTTGGTCAAAGTGTATTTACCCTTCAAATTTACTAATATTTCAAGATTACTCTCTAAAGTAGTTAAACCATTTTGTAATTCCATCAGCATTTTTTAAGTTGTAATCCCACCACTAATTTTAATATGAGCCCTCATCTTTTCCTTACATCCTCACAAACACTTGGTATTATCTGACTCTGGGTTGTATCAATTTTATTCCCAGTTCCCTAGTTAGGTTGAGGATATTCTTATAAGATTTTTATCATGTTGAGTTTCTGTAAGTTGCCACTCAAGTGATTTTCCGGTTTCCTAAATAAGTTTTTTGTCTTTTGTATTTTGTGTGTGTATGTGTGTGTGTGTACGCACATTTGTCTTTTGATATACAGTTTAGGTGTCTATGGCAGCCTCAAGCCATTTGGATGCGTGGCTTACATGTCAGTTTAGGGATCCAGAAAGAGTGATCAGGCAAAATAGGTAGCAGTCACATCCCCTTTTATGACCTAACCTCACAAGTCATGGAGTATCATTTTTACAGCATTTTATTGGTTAAAAGTGAGTCACAACAGTAATCCTAGATTCAAGGGAAAGGGACATAGGGTATCAAAGAACTTGTGGGCTGCTTAGCTTCTTCCACCTATTGTTACTTCTTGATGATTATATGTTAAACAAGGGGTGGATTATTCATGAGTTTTCCAGGAAATGGGTGAGCAATTCCTGGAACTGAGGGTTCCTCTCCCTTTTTAGACCATATAGGGTAACTTCCTGACTTTGCCATGGTATTTGTAAATTGTCATGGTGCTGGTGAGAGTGTCTCTTAGCATGCTAATGCGTTATAATTAGCATATAATCAGCAGTGACAACGACCAGCAGCCACTTTTGTTGCCATCTTGGTTTTGGTGAGTTTTGGCCTGCTTCTTTACTGCAACCTATTTTATCAGCAAGGCCTTTATAACCTGTATCTTGTGCCAACCTCCTATCTCATCCTGTGACTAAGAACATCTTAACCTCCTGGAATGCAGCCCAGTAGGTCTCAGCCTTACTTCACCTAGCCCCTATTCAAGATAGAGTCACTCTGGTTTGAATGCCTCTGATAGTCTCACTGGGAGGGAAAGCAGTGGTGGCAGTTCAAGACCCTGAGCTGGTCATAGGAATCCTTGTGTCTGGTTATTGCAGAGAAGAATTCTAATACATTCTTCCATTGTTGGGTTAATAGGGGGAATTGTAGATGATATTATTCTCTATCATAGGACATACCTTCTACATTTTCTAAAGTGGAAAATACATGCTGTTGAGTCATAATAATGAGTATTTGCTAGATTTTTGCACTAAATCTATAGGGTTACTGACATGGTTTGGCTGTGTCCCCACCCAAATCTCATCTTGAATTGTAGTTCCCGTAATCCCCATGTGTTGGAGCAGGGACCTTGTGAGAGGTGATTAGATCATGGAAGCGGTTTCCCCATGCTGTTCTTGTAGTAGAGAGTCAGTTCTCATAAGACCTGATGGTTTTATAAGGGGCTTTTATTCTCTTTGCTCTGTACTTCTGTCTCCTGCTGCCACATGAAGAAGGACATGTTTGCTTCCCCTTCTGCCATAATTGTAAGTTTCCTGAGGCCTCCCCAGCCCTATGGAACTGTGAGTCAATTAAACCTGTTTCCTTTATAAATACCCAGTCTCTAGTATTTCTTCATAGCAGCATGAGAACCAACTAATACATTACCCTATAGTGAAAGGTTGAGTAAGCAGTCAGATGGGAACCTGAATCCTAGAAGTAAAGAGGGCAGCCAAGAGTAAATTAAAGCACTTTGGGAGGCCGAGGTGGGTGGATTGCTTGAGGCCAGGAGTTCAAAACCAGCCTGGCCAACATGGCAAAACCCTGTCTCTACTAAAAATACAAAAATCAGCTTGTTGTGGTGGCGGGTGCCTGTAATCCCAGCTACTCAGGCAGCCGAGGCAGGAGAATCACTTGAACCCAGAAGACAGAGGGTACAGTGAGCCGAGATCGCACCACTGCACTCCAGCTTGGGCAACAGAGTGAGAACCTGTCCGAAAAAAATAAAATAAATAAAATAAAATAAACTTATCTATAAGTGAGAGACTTTGATCTGAAATAGAGAAGAATGTTAAGCTCAGCTAACTGTACCAGGGACTAAGTGGGAAAAATAGTTTGCTAAATACCTTTGTTTACCTTTCTGAGTAAACAAACAGGTACCCACACAAACAGCACCACATATTTTCTGCCAGGTCTTAAAAATCCTCAGAGCTCATTGTTCAGGGTGGTAGACATTCCTTTGACTCTGGCTTGTTCCCATCTAGCAGAATCTAGCTGATTGAAACAACAAAGACGCTTTCCCTCAATAATTATGCTCTGGAAAGCAGGCATTTGTCACTGCCCGAAGGACAAACCAGCCACACCTATATCTTGAAGTGGAGCTTTTAAAGGATTTGAGAGTCCATTTCTCACAGGGATGCTCTTAAATAGATGCAGAGAGGAATGGTATACTCATATTTATTCATCAAATATTTCTTGAGTGTCCATTGTGTGAAAAATTATCTTTCAAGGTACTAATACAAATAATATAAAGAGAAATAAGACAAAACATCTGCATTCAAAGGAGGAGACATAAGAAATATTGCGGCCGGGCGCGGTGGCTCACGCCTGTAATCCCAGCACTTTGGGAGGCCGAGGCGGGTGGATCACGAGGTCAGGAGATCAGATCGAGACCATCCTGGCTAACACGGTGAAACCCCGTCTCTACTAAAAATACAAAAAATTAGCCGGGCGTGGTGGCGGGCGCCTGTAGTCCCAGCTACTCGGGAGGCTGAGGCAGGAGAATGGCGTGAACCCAGGAGGCGGAGCTTGCAGTGAGCCGAGATCGCGCCACTGCACTCCAGCCTGGGCGACAGAGCGAGACTCCGTCTCAAAAAAAAAAAAAAAAAAAAAAAAAAAAAGAAATATTGCAATTCAGGGTAGAGTGTGAAGTGGACTCTAAAAAGGACTGAACCCAAGTGAGGTTCACAAATGGGATTACATCATTTCTGATGGGACAAATCTGAACCTTGACTGATGATGAGTAAGATTTTCTATTTATAAACATAATTAGGTGGTAGGGAGTGAGAAGGAAGAAAATTCTAGGCAGACAGAAAAGTATATATTAAGATACATGGCTGGATCTGTCTAGAGATTGAGTTACCCATCTTGGCCTGGCAAAGTGAAGCAGAAAGAAGCAGTGAATTGTGAGCCTGGAGAAGCAGGAGGGGGCCACTTCTCCAAGAGCTTTGGATGTCAGGTCAATGTGTCATGATCTTACCCTGAGGTGGAATTTGCTACATGAACTGGGATGATTTTGAGATGAAAGGTGGCATGATTAACAGTTGTGCCAGAACAACAGTTATGACCTGGTATTGTCCTGAACAAACTGGGATCTATGGTCACCCAATCATTGGAAAATTCTTCAAAGAGAAGTTTTGGTTGGGAAGTGCCATGGCTTGAATATGGTCTGTCTGCACCAAAACTCATGTTGGGACAGCAAGTTCTCGCTCTGGGAGGACTGGTCTAGTAATAAAGTGAGGCTGCCCATCATGTTGGGTCTTTCTTACATGCACTAGCCTCCTCTTCTGCTTCTCCGCCATGTTACAATACAGCATGAAGTCCTTACCGGAAGCTGACCAAATGCAGCTGCCTGATATTGGACCTTCAGCCTCCAGAATCATGGGCTAAATAGGCCTCTCATTTATGTTTTTATTTTATTTTATTTTTCCCAAGATGGAGTCTTGCTCTGATGCCCAGGCTGGAGTGCAGCAATGCCATCTCGGCTCACTGCACCCTCTGTCTCCCAGGTTCAAGCAATTCTCCTACCTCAGCTTCCTGAGTAGCTAGGATTACAGGCATGTGCCACCATGCCCGGCTGATTTTTGTATTTTTAGTAGAGACAGGGTTTCACCATCTTGGCCAGGTTGGTTTCAAACTCCTGACCTCAGGTGGTCTGCCCATCTCAGCCTCCCAAAGTGCTGGGATTACAAGCATGAGCCACCACACCCGGCTGCCTGTCGTTTATGAATTACCTAGTCTCACATATTCTGTTATAGCAACAGAAAAGGGACTAAGACAGGAGGGGACTGCAGTGAGTTCATTACAGAGAACAGGCACCAAAGGTGGGCAGGCCTAGGAGCACTGTGGTCATTTCCTAGAGCTACCACAATAAAATACCTTCAGCTGGAAATGGTGGCTCACACCTGTAACCCCAGCACTTTGGGAGGTTCAGGCGGGCAGATCGCTTGAGTCCAGGAGTTTGAGAGCAGCCTGGGCAACACAGTGAGACCCCATCTCTTAAAAAAAATGAAAAACAAAACTAGACAGGCATGGTGGTGTGCCTGCAGTCCCAGCTACTCAGGAGGCTGAGGTGGGAGGATCGCTTGAGCCCAGGACGTGGAGGTTGCAGTGAGCTGAGATCCTGCCACTGGGCATCAGAGTGAGACCCTGTCTCTAAAATAAAATAAAATAAAATAAAACAATAAAATAATAAAGTACCTCCAACTAGGTGGCTTAACACAGTAGAAATTTATGGTTTCACAGTTCTGGATGTAGGAATTACAAAATCCAGGTGACACCAGGGCCATGCTGCCTCGGAAGGCTCTGATGAAATCCTTCCTTTCCTCTTCCCAGTTTCTGGTGTTGACAGCAATTCTTGGTGTTCCTTGACTTGCAGATGCATTGGTCTAGTCTCTGCCTCCCCAGAGTTCTCTCTATGTGTCTTTACCGCCTCTCCTCTCCTTGTGTGTCTGTCTCTGTGTCTCTTGTCCTCTTATAAAGACACCAATCACATTGGATTTAAGGGCCCACTCTATCCCAGCAGGACCTCATTTCAACTTAACAGTGGCAAAGATCCCACTTCCAACAAAGTCACATTCTAAGGTTCTGGAAAGGACACGCTTCTTTGGAGGACATTATGTAACCCAGGACAAGTACCATGCAAGGGAAATTTGTGTGTGTGGAGTATGGCGCCTAAACCATCAAGACAGGAAGGCAGGAACAGCAGAACGGCAATGGGAGGGAGGGAAGGAAGTGGAGGGTGGTAAATTTTGCTTGCTTTGCAGCTTTTCACAGGGCCCCGAGAGTGCTTTTAGCACTAAGGATGTACAGTCACGCACCGAATAATGGTTTGGTCAATGGCATACATGACTGTGATCCCATTGTAAGATTATAATGCTGTATCTTTACTGAACCTTTTCTATGTTTAAATATGTTTAGATACACAAATACCATTGGGTTACCATTTGCTTACATAATTCAGTACAGTAGCATGCAGTACAGGTCTGTAGCCTAGAAGCAACAGGCTATACCCTATTATTCTAGGTGTGTAGTAGGCTACCTCTAGGTTTGTGTAAATACAGTCTATCATGTTAGCACAAGGACGAAATCACCTAGTAATGCTTGTCTCAGAACATAGCACTTTCGTTAAGTGAGGTATGACTGTACTTGAATCACCAGGACTAGGATGGAAGGCTGCACACTGTAACCCACCCAGCTTCCACCCAGTTTTCTCAAGTCTAGACTTCTCTTTTTCCCCTTTTAGATGAAGGGAAGAGGTTTAATATTAGAAATCAAACAAGACTCAAAATTGGGAAATGTCAAAACTTTGTCACTTTGGGCAAATCATTTGATCTCTCAGTCTGTTTCCTCCTCCTTAAAATGAGGATGTTGGACTGTTTTCATGTCTGTAAAAAGAGGATGTTGAGGATGATCATTAAGGGTGCTTCTGGCTCTATAAGCTATTGCTCTAGGAGGAAGCAGTGGAACTGTGCTCCCCTGTCACTGTTAAGAGGATAGATTTTCAATATGACCAGTGGCTATCCCCATTTTTTAACAAGCATATCTATCAGACAGCATTTGTAACGGTAAACAACAGAAATTGGTTATCTTGAGCAAAACAGGGATTTATTAGAAGGCTTTGGGGACTGGCACCAGGATCAATTTGGTGCAGGTACCTTATTACAGTAGATGTGATCCCATCCTCTTCCAGGAGCTTTCCATGATTATATCACTTGCACAACAGTAAGCATCTGGACAAGAGTTTCTTTTCTTTTCTTTTCTTTTCTTTCTTTTCTGGTTTCTTTTCCTTTCTTGCTTGCTTGCTTGCTTGTTTATTGAGATAGAGTTTCGCACTGTTGCTCAGAATGGAGTGCAGTAGCATGATAGTGGCTCACTGCAACCTCTGCCTCCTGGGCTCAAGCAATCCTCCAGCCTCAGCCTCCTGAACAGCTGGAACTATAGGCATGCGCCATCACGCCCAGCTAATTGTTGTATTTTTAGTAGAGACAGGGTTTTGCCACGTTGCCCAGGCTGGTCTCAAATTCCCTGGCTCAAGTAATCCACTGGCTTTGGCCTCCCAAAGTGCTGGGATTACAGGTGTGAGCCACTGCGCCCAGCCTGGTTCTTTTTGTAGACAGAGTCTTGCTCTATTGCCCAGGCTGGAGTGTAGTGGCATGTTCATAGCTCACTGCAACCTGGAACTCTTGGGCTTAAGTGATCCTCCCACCTCCATGCCACTACGCCCTGCTAATATTTTAATTTTTTGTAGAGATGACATCTGGCCATGTTGCCCAGGCTGGTCTCGAATCGCTGGCCTCAAGTGAACCTCCCGCCTTGGCCTCCCAAAGTGCTGGGATTACAGGTGTAAGCCTCCCTGTCTGGCCTAGGCAAGAGTTTAAGTAGGTGAGTCATGGGCACATATCTTAGCTGTGCTGGGTGTTGTTAGGGCAAAGATAAGATTTCCTCCAAACGGAGAGTGAGTGCTGATGGAAAAAAGGGTTCATTGGCAGACAGCCAAGAAGATATCACATGTTTATGGCCAAGAAGTGTTTGGAATTCAGCCATGCATGGAGATTTTAATAGTATATCTAGACACTAATATCTCTACCCTGAAGTTGTTGCTATGTTATTGTTATCACTATGTAGTGGTAAAGGGCTCATATTCTGAAATCACAGAGGCCTAAGCCTGAATTCCAACTCTGCCCCACAGTAGCTGTGACTTTGGGAGAGTAAATTACTACTATCACACTGCAAGTCTCAGTTTCCTCATCAGAAATATGGCGGTGATGTTAATACTGACCTTATAGGATTGATATGAAAATTGAAGGATATGACATATTCAAAAGAGCTGAATGCAAGGCCGGACTCATGAAGTTTTATTACCTAGATTAGGCCCCTAGGGGTTTTTGTGCATTATTTCATGTAATCTTACAACTATTTGACATAATTAATATCGAGCCCCCTCACTCACCCTTTACAAAAGTAGAAACTGAGGTTCCAACTGAGAAACTTGTTTGAGGTCACACAGCTGTATGACCTGTCAAAACTGTGCTTCTGCACCAGCTCTGCCAGACTCAGAACCCCAGGGTCTTAACCATACATTTAAGTGTCTCCTAAAAGAGTCAACACTTCCCCATCCTGCACAGCCCCATTGCTGCGTGAAAGGCTCACTAACCCCCTGCTGCACAGCTCCTACTGGTTGTCATTTTAGAAAATATAGGGAGACACTGGAACTCCGAGGCAGTAGGATTGAAACGTTTGCTTCTTTTCTTTTTTTTTTTTTTGAGACGGCATCTAGCTCTGTCACCCAGGCTGGAGTGCAGTGGTGCGATCTCGGCTTACTGCAACCTCCGCCTCCCGGGTTCAAACGATTCTCCTGCCTCAGCCTCCTGAGTAGCTGGGATTACAGGCAGCTGCCACCACGCCCAGCTACTTTTTGTATTTTTAGTAGAGATGGGGTTTCACTGTGTTGGCCAGGCAGGTCTCGATCTCCTGATCTTGTGATCCGCCCGCCTCGGCCTCCCAAAGTGCTGGGATTACAGGCATGAGCCACCGTTAATTACTGTTTGTTGTGTTTCCCACTAACTTCTCTGACAATTCTATTTCAACCTACATTCTCCAATCACTGTAATTAGATATTTGAGAATTGTGTTGCATTTCAATCACGGTAACAATAATGGTAGTATTTTATTAATAAATTCAAGTAAAAACTGAAGATGACAATGATAGTGTATGATACATGACATCAACTTTGCATCACCTAAAGATCCAACTTTTCTGTTATGAATCTAGATTTCTTGGGGAAATCCAGATTGTATATTGGACATAGGAATTAAGATTACTGGACTTGAACTTTTTTGTAACTAACAACTTTATTGAGATATAATTCGGGTACCAACTCATACCTGAACAGCTTTTTAGACTTTTTTTCTAGCCCTTTTTTCTCTGTCCTTTCGGTTTTCTTTTAAAAAGGTCCATACTATTCAAGAAACACAACTTTTAAAGTCCACAATAATTCTCATTAGATTTTAATATTTATCTCCCCCCAAGCTTTACTGAAATACTAATGATATTCATTTTTTTAACCACTTTTCATCGTAAGAGAAATACAAATTTTCCTATTGATTCTTATGCACAAAAATCAAGTTTTTGTGGTACTGCTATACATTAGTAGTATGTTCAGCCAGTTTCCAAAGAAATTAGTCAAGATCCCAACATGCAACTTGTATACCACACTACCTTGGAATTCGGCGGCACAAACAACTATTCCTTGTACAAAACCTCCCTGAAAACGACTAAATGGAAAAGTGGATGGCTTGAAACAAGGAATGTTTGGTTTTTTAAAAAGCATTTTTCACAATTTAGTCGAGGTGTGGGGAGGGTTTCCCCACTTGTGGCTCTGCACAGCGTGCGCGCGCGTCTGTCCTGGGGTCCCCTCCCTGCGGGGACGAGGCCGGGGTCCCCGCGCGAGCCCAGCGGACCTGGGCAGTGCGGGGGTCCGACCGCCCGCCACAGGGGGACAGGGACCGCAGCCGCCAAATCCGCGGGGCCGGGGAACGAGGAGACTTTCCTTTCCGCGTTAGCCGGGGCCACCCCCGCCAGAGGGAAAGCACCAAAGGAAAAACCAGGACAGGGACTCTGGGGGCCGGAGGAGCGGCCTCCTGCAGGCACCAGCGGAGGGGCGCGGGGGTGGGGGAAGGGATCAGGGCTCCGCGCTCCGTCCGCCCCACGACCCCGGCCCGGCGCCCCTCCCCTCGGAACCCCCACTTAGTGCCCGGCCCCCGCCCCGCCCCGCGCGGCCCCCGGCCTCAGCCCCGCGCGCCCCGACGCCCCGCCTGCGCCGCGGGCCCGAGTAGTGGACGGGGGGCGGCCCGCTCGGCTCCTCCGCACCCGCTCCCCGCTCGGGCCGAGGCGCCGCGGCCGCGCGCCCCTCCTGGAGGAGGAGGAGGAAGGAGGCGGGAGGAGGAGTTGCCGAGAGGAGAAGGCGAGCGCGGCAGTCGCGCCGGCGCTGGGCGAGGAAGCGGAGCCGGGCCGCCTCCGGGTAAGCGTCCGGGGAGCTCGGGCGGGAGGCAGGGGCAGGGCTTCGCCGTCCGCCTCCGGGTCGCCCGCGGTCCGGGACACGGCTGGTTTTCGCCTCGGAGTGCAGGGGGCGGATCCGGCGCGGGCCGGGCCAGGGAGGCCGCCGGGCGCGGGGCTGCAGCGACGGGTCTGGGTCAGCGCGAGGCCCTGCGCCGTCTCGGCGGGTGCGCGGGCGGGGGCCAGGGCCGGGGAACGGGGGCCGGGGCCAGTCCCGGGAGCGGGGACGCGGAAACCGGGAAGCCGGGGCCGGGGCGCGGCGGCCCCTGAAGGGCCGAGGCCTGCGCGGCCGCGGACGGCTCTTCTCGACCCCTCGGCCTCTTCGGCCGCGGCGCGCCGGCCTGGGCCGCCGCCTTTGTTGCCCGCAGCTCGCCGGGGAGAGGCCGGGGCTCCGCGAGGCCTGGGCAGCGGCGCGGGGCCTGCGCGGCTCTGCGCCCCGGCCGGGTCCCTCCTCGGACCTCCGCGGGCTCGGGCTCGGGCTCGGGGTCGGGGCGCGGCGAGGCCGCAGGCGCGAGGGCGGGCCTGGGGCGCGGCGCTGGGACTCGGGGACGCCCCCGCCCCACCGCGAGGTCGCGCCGGCGCTGGTGGAGGTGCAGGCCGGGGCTGCTCTGCGGCTGAAGGTGCCGCCGGCCGGCTGCGCACTCACCCGGGTGTAGGGACCGGACGATTGTGGAATTTAAACCGCTCCTGGGACCGACACGGGCCTGAATTTTCAGTTTGCTTCGGGAGTTGGCAACTTCAGGTACACCCTTGTGGCTCACGGAGCAGAATTATGGACGTTTCTCAGGGGCAGATCCTGGCACAAAACTTGGGATATGTGCAGTAGTGTGTGTGCCAACTTAACGTTCAGTTGGAATGTGAAATTGGGGTTCCCATCCCCACTGTTTGGAATGAAGGGCCAGGTGGGAATATGTGGCGGGACTCAGTCTTCCGGTAGCAAAATAAATAATGTTGAATTCATTTCAACAAATGTTTCTGCAACGTCTGCCCGGATAAGGCAGCATGCACTGTGCATGAGGACAGAGAACACAGTAATGACAGAAATAACGTGAATTACACACTGAACGTCTCCCAGAGACATTTTAAATTTACTGTGTTCCTTGGGATAAAGATACATTTGGAATCAAACAAAAGTAAACGTTCTACTTCAAGATAAAATATCTGACATCTTCTCAACCACTGAAGGTAGCAATTTATCTTGACTTGTTTTTAACCAACTACCACAACATTAAATCCATTTAGCTTACTTGAATGAACGAATCTTAATTGTAATATTTAATGCTGTGGACAGCCTTACTTAAAAACACGAATGGCATTGCTCACCAGGTTTCACAAAAACCGGAAAAAAAGTCTGTAATACTTTTCCGTGGGCTTTCTAATTTCTCCTCCTAGTGGGTTTTGTGCACGCGTGGATATGGTAAGGTCTAGGATCCATTCAGCTCTAAATTAAATATGTGGCCTTAACCCTTTGGTTCAAACACCCTCCCTAAGCCTGCCTTGGTGCCTTGGAGGAACCTGGTTCGTGGACAGTGGATTTGATAAGGATTCCTAGAAGAACTTCTATCTGGAGTTTGGCCAGGGCTTTCCGCTTGTGCCTGGGTAAGGGTCAGCCAGGTATTCACCCGAATCTATACTTTTTTAGAACTCCATTCAGCATCTCTTTTGAAACACTGTTTCTCTCTTACCTTTATCGTTATCTTCTAAATTACCCTCTAAATTGGTAGTCTTGCCCCTTTCTCTTCAGCAGGGCCTCCCACCCAAGCGCACACCCTCGGGTCATCCCATGACCCCCTCTCTTGGTGGGCCCCCCACCCCGCAGGGAGTGGCAGGGAAGGAATTTGAGAGCCATTGACTGGGCGTAGGGTGGAAAATGGTGCTGTACTGACTGGGTTTCTAGTCATTTTGCCTTCCAGTGTTTTTCTTCATTCTTGCATTAGAACTGGAAAAGGTGTTCTTTTAATGGCCCCCCTTTTTTTAGGAAACAGAAAGCAAGTATCTTCTTTTTTGTTTTTCCTCTGTCACCCAGGGTGGAGTGCAGTGGTGCAATCATGGCTCACTGCAGCCTTGAACTCCTGGGCTCAAGTGATCCACCTCCCTCAGCCTCCTGAGTAGCTTGGACCACAGACATGTGCCACCACACCTGGCTGATTGTTTTTTGGAGAGGTGGGGTCTTGCTGTGTTGCCGAGGCTGGTCTCAAACTCTAGGCCTCAAGATCCTCTCACCTCAGCCTCCCAAAGCCCTGGGATTACAGGCACGAACCACCACACCCAGCCTGCAAGTGTCCTCTTAAGCCTTCTTGTGTAACTACACTCCTTAGAGAAAAATCTTGCTAGTTTTCTCCATTATGGCCAGTTTTCAGGAAACTTTTGGGTTATTGATCATATCTTTTATTTTGCTCATAGAGGTGTGATCTTATTTAAAAGTCCAAACATATAGATGGTCCCCAATTTTGGACTTTTTGACTTTTTGATGGAGCAAAAACGATACACATTTAGTATGCACTTCGACTTACATCCAGATAAACCCACTGTGAGTTTTGACTTTAAGATATTTTCAATTTATCATGGGCTTATTGGGACTCAATTATTGTTATTCTCTTAAAAATATGCACTCGTGACCTCTTCCAATTCTGGAAATTATATTTACATCTGTGGTGCCGAAGTACTTTTGTAAAATTATTCATTTTACAAGGGAGAAATTCCAAATACTAGTATATGTCATAAAAAGGAGAAACTTTCTTATATGGCTAGATTGATAGAAATAATTGTTCAGCTGTTAAAAGAGGAACAACGTAAGATGTGTTTGATATTGTTTTGAAGTGAAATTGTCATTAATGTTTTTATGGGTAATTTATTATGCTGTTTGGCGTGTTGGTTTAGCTAATAAGTCGTGATGGCTTTAGGGCTGAGGACACAGTTTACTTAAACTGATTTCAGGTCTTTACCCACCCATACAAACCTTACATTTTACTTCGTTGGGGCAGTTGTTTTTAGGTGGCCGTTGGTCTTGATGTTTCGAGAACAGACATACTTAGATAAAGTCACGTAAGATTTCAGTTCTCACCTTGCACACTCTGGACATGTTGGGGCATCCATTTACCCGCTCTGTCACGTTGAACACGTTCTGTATGCCCTCTGAGTCTTATCTGGGGCTAAAGTGGGGACAATAATTTATCTCACAGTTATAATGAATATGTATTTATGGTAACATCCAAACTCTTGTTTTGTTTTGAAATGGGGATCTCGCTCTGGTTGCCCAGGCTGGAGTGCAGTGGCACGGTTAGGACTCACTGCAGCCTCGACCTCCCAGGCTCAAGCGATCTTCTTGCCTCAGCACCCCCTCCGCCAGTTGTTGGGACCACAAGTGCATGCCACCATGCCCAGCTGATTTTTTTTAATTTTTGGTAGAGATGGGGTTTCCTTATGTTGCCCAGTTGGTCTTGAAATCACGGGCTCAAGTGATCCTCCCACCTTTGCCTCCCAAAGTGTTGGGATTGCAGGCACGAGCCACTGTGCCCAGCCAAAAATCCAAACTCTTCCTCATCGACTATAACATTTCTGCCTAGTTCTGAAATGTGTTTTCATTTCTCCCTAATTCTCATCTTGAGCAACCATCTCTGCCTTACCAGGGTTCTGCCCTAGCCTTTCCGTTCCTCAACAATCTAAGCTGCTTCCTGCTCCGCCACCTTTGACACAGTAGTTCTGTTTGCCTACAGTGCCTTCGGTGGCTCCTGTGGTTGGTTCATTCTCAGATCTTAATGCCAGTGGCACCACCTCAGAGCATCACCACCTCAGAGAAGACTTCCTTGACTACCTTATGGCTCCTTCAGTAATCCCAAGTAATTGACTTGTGTGGTTCCTTCATAACCTCTATTATTGTCTGTAATTACTTTGTTTACTTGTTTCTGCTGTTCCCCCGCCACCCCCCCCAAATAAGTTCTATGAGGGCAGAGTGTCTACTGTGGTCCTTCTTTTCTGTGTCCCTGACACATCCCAGGGGGCCTGGCCACTGAGTAGGAGGGGTGTGGGTATACAGAAAGTAGTTGCGGTTTTCATGTTGTTATCTACACCTTAAAGGCAGAGATGTGCTGTGTACATGTTAGAAAGTTGTTGGTATTTCATGTCGTTTGTCCTTTTCTGAGCTGGTCTGCTTGCCTGGCTGAGTAAATCATAGCACTAATAAAACCAAAGTCCTTATCATTACATGGCCCCAACAGCCCCACAGAGAGACAACTGTCACTGCCTGTAGAGCTATGATGTGTGTCTGAGTGACTCAAGTACCAGACTGACTGGCAGTGTAGACGCCCAGATCTCTTTCACTTCTGGAAGTATAGTCATGTATAGTGTATAGAAAGTCACCATCCCAAAACCCATTTCTCCTGCTTACATAGCTTAGTGAAGTGAAACCTCAGTTATCTGAAATCTCCTGGTATCCTCAGTTTTCTGGTGTAGAATTAAGCCAGAAGGAAAATCTCCTTTGGAATTAGAAAAGCCAGAGACTTAGAAGCCCTCCATGCTAACTAAGGAAGACAGTCTCTCATGGGGATGCAGATCTAGGTTTGAATTTCAGCACTTCAATTTTATAGGGTAGATTAAAACAAAAAAAAAAACTTAAGGTTTTGTTCCTTTACGTATATAATAATGATGATGTTTCTCTCAGAGCTGGTGTGATAATGGAATGAGATAGCCGGGCGCGGTGGCTCGCGCCTGTAATCCCACCACTTTGCGGGGCTGAGGCGGGTGGAGCAGGAGGTCAGGAGTTCGAGACCAGCCTGGCCAACATAGTGAAACCCCGTCTCTACTAAAAATACAAAAATTAGCTGGGCATGGTGGCACACACCTGTAGTCCCAGCTACTCGGGAGGCTGAGACAGGAGAATTGCTTGAACCTGGGAGGTGGAGGTTGTGGTGAGCCGAGATTGTGCCACTGCACTCCAGCCTGGGCAACAGAGCGAGACTCCGTTTAAAAAAAAAAAAAAAGAAAGAAAATGGAATGAGATAATGCATGTTAGTGTATTAAGTGCCTGAAATATAACAAGTGCTAATACTTTAACACTAGTATTCTACTCCTTTATCTGACTGCTTTTGACTAGTTAGATTATGTTTTAAAGTAATAGTAATAATTCCTATTTAAAGTAATTATTACTATTAATTCTTTTCTGTGTCCCTGACACATCCCAGGGGGCCTGGCCACTGAGTAGGAGTCCGTTTTTCTTGTCAGTTTTTTTTGTTGTTGTTCTTTGGAGGGGAGTTCCCTCAATTTTTCTTTTATTGGATGTTTACTTTTTGGCTGTGGGAGTTTTGTTTTCTAACTGTTCTCCTCACCCCCTCTTTTATAATATATAATAATGGTAATAATTCCTATTTAAAGTAATTATTACTATTAATTTAAAACATAATCTGACTAGTCAAAAGTAGTATTCTGATTAATCAGCCACACCTGTGTTAGACTTGAATGTTTTTGTTAAGGAAGCCTAATGTGGGAAAAGTGTTTGAGACCAAAAGAGCAAGAGAAATGGAAATGAAAGCAGTAAGTGAATGGGCGCCTTCAGAAGGATTGCTAGTGCAAGCTGCTAGACTGGTAAGGATTACAGGTGGTCACAGTGTTAGCAGCAATTGCCTGACCTGGCTGTGGGGTCATTGCAGTTCATTGGTGGGAGACCGAGAACAAAAAAGATGCCGCACTTGCCTTCTCTGCAGAGCCTTCTGCTCTGATTATGTTTGTTCTGATACTGTTTTATCACTCCTAACAGCGAACACACTAAAATACTTTCTAAAATTGTTAAAAGGGCATCACACTTGGAGACTGGGGAGTGATGATTATCTTATTTTCCATAGCATCGGACTCTTGAGTATAGAGAAGAAAAGAAAGAAGACAGGATATATCTGAAGGCCTGGAAGGCAGGCAGTAATCTGAACATCAGTAAGTCCTAATGGTGTCATTATGCCATCCTGAAATTTTCCAGCAGATAAATTTGGTCATCTGGAGAGGCATCCATTTATATACAGCAGTTTGTGACAGTCTGAGATTATACTTAATATACACACTTGTGCTTAAAATACCTTTTTGAAGACAGGAATGTATGGCTCCTATTAGATAAGATTTCCATCAAAAACAATTTCAATAGTTCAGTGTTAATCTTTAGACAAGGTATTTTTACCCAGCGCTCTGGGTAGCTGATTATTTGGTGCTGTTTATGGTGGCACTTACAGTGATTTTTGTGGTACACATTGTTCTGACCATATCAATAATATGCTAGATGGTTGAAGCAGCTGGGTTAGCATGCTTTGAAAGTCAGATGAATTCTTACTGGTAGATTTTTACTGTATCTGTATGTTACTTGTTTAAAGTTTGTTGTGATGTGTATAATAATGGTGTTTGTTTTTAAAGCTTAATTTTGGTTTTCAGTAATGTATTACCATCCCTCAGACAATAGTCATTTTTGTTTGTTGACATTGCTTTTAAAGTTAAAAAAGAAAAGTGACATATTTAGGAAATAACATTATTGCCAAATATCACAGACTGGCAGAAAATGTAAGCAAATACCAGTGCAGAGAATTTCAGTAGGATTTTAGTGATTTTATATATTTGCAGCAGAATTACTGCATTTTAGAGCTAGAAGGAACTGCTCTGATTATAGATTATCTTCGTCCTTGCACAGATGAGGAAATTGGGTCTAAGCAGGGTGTCATCTGCCCAGAGTCACACACCACATTAGTAGTCGATTTCAGAGTGGACTCTGGTGTATGCAGCCCTTCTTGCTGTTGATGCTTAAGGTTTTAATTTAATCCTGGGAACTGGGGAGTTTGGATTCGTGTCTTCCTGGAGGATGTTACAGTTGAGCTGGCTCTTGCAGGGTGACGTGTGTTTGATTGGAGAAAGATACAGAAGGCAGGAACAGTATCTAAAACAGGACGAATCACAGGAGCCTCTACCGTCAACTTAGAAATTCTTTTCTCCTTCCCAAGTGGGGTTCCTTGTTTTCAGTTCCTTAGTTTACCGCCTTGATATGATGAAGCTCATCCTCATAGTGACTTCCTGTGAAAGGTGATGGGGAAGATGACTTTTTTTTTGAGCCTTGTGTGTCAGAAAATGTCTATGTTCTAAGTATTTGGTGTATGCCTGGCTGTGTATAAAATTTCAGGTTAATATTTTAGTTCAGATCAAATAAGTTATTTGGCAGTGACAAATTAACTCTGAAATCTCAGTGCATGAATAGAGGTCTGTGTCTTGCTTTCACAAAGTCTGCTGTGGACGCCGCCTCCCTTGGCCTCTTCCTTTGGGTCCAATCTGCTTTCACCTACAGTTCCTGTCTGTTGTCCCCATGGCGGATGTGGGTGTATCTGCAGGTCGCACGCTGGTCACCATAGGCCAGAACCAGGCCTAGTCCCTGCAAGAATTCCAGACGCATGCAAGGGCACAAGGAGAGTCATTGAACTGTCAGTGGGGGTCATAGTTGTAAGTGTGTTTCCTCTTGGAATATTGCAGGCATTGCTCCGTTGTCGTCCGGTTTTCAGTGTTACTGTTAAGTCACATGCCGCCAGTTTCCCAGGCAGTTGTAAGCCATTTCTTTTCCCCCTGGAAGCTTTTGGGGGACTTTTGTGTTATTGCCTAAATACTAACATTTTACCATGGTGGGTCTGGTGATTGTTCTTTTCTACTTTGGATGTGCTGAGCATTCCACAGAGCTTTTCAGTCTATAAACTTATGTTTTTCAGTTCTAGAAAAACTATTAAAATGACTTTTATAATTTCTTCCCTTTCATTTTCTCATTTTCTTTCTTTTTTTTTTTTCTGTCTTAAGCTCTTCTTCATTGGACATAGGAACTCCTAAATCCGTCTACTTATTTTCTTAGCTTTTTTCTCCATTTTTCTTGTCTGTTGTTGTTGTTGTTGTTGTTGTTCTTTGGAGGGGAGTTCCCTCAATTTTTCTTTTATTGAATGTTTACTTTTTGGCTGTGGGAGTTTTGTTTTCTAACTGTTCTCCTCACCCCCTCTTTTTTAAACAAATAGCATCCGCCTCTCAGTTCAGATTTGTGAAACCTTTTCTCAGGCTGGTTTTTCGTCGTCTTCCTTTCCAGCAGTCTTAGATTTTGGTTTACTCCAGTTTGTTTTAGCCACTTAACACTGTTGTCATCTGCCGTAATTCGCTTTGTGATTTTCTTCGTTCCTGTGTTTTTGGGGAATGATGGAGATAAAGAAGTGTATGTTTAATCAGGAGGGTTTTTTTTTCCCTTCTTTTCAACAGTTTTTGTTTGTTTTGCTAGCATCAGTGAATATTAAACCCTTCGTTTTTGGGAAAACCAGATCTATTTTTTTCTTTAAATAAAAGTAGTGTTTTCAGTTAGTGCTCTCATGAAGCCACATCTGTGTCACTGAGTTCAATTAACTTAGTCGATGAAATGCCTGCTGATCTGTAGTGGGTGGTAACATAATTATTTTAATTTGGACTATTTTAAAAGCATCAAGAGATCGCATCTTTGGGAACCCACAATAAATGGTTACTTTTGGCAATCAGATTATTGTTTTATAATACAAGTAATCTTTTCATTTTGTAAGATTTTTATATTGTTTGCTTAATAGGGATATATTATTAAATTGAATAATTATTGCTTTCCAAGATTCCCTTCAGCGCTAATGATCAATGAATGAAGTTTATGTTGGCTCTTAATGTACATTTAATAACAAATTTCATGTGGATTACTTTTTGTTCCCCAAATCTGCTATTTAAAACTCCATTCTTCATTTGGATGTACTTTAGAAATGGGGAAAAGATTATTTTAACTGAAAACTCAAATTCTCTACTGCAAATTGAATGACAAAATCTTGTATGTTCTATGTGAAAGCATTTGAATAATGGGCAAATTGCTCTTTAAATTAGAGCTTTTGTGTTGATCTGAAGGCTCTGAGAGCAGTCATAACAGTTGTGTTATTTTTCAGTTAGTTTTACATGCATGTTGCCTTTCACAAGTTAGATATTTTTGCTTTAGTAGTTCATTACATTTAAGATATTTTAATATATAAACAAATTACTTTTAATCTTAAAGCAATGAAGAAACTATTAAAACACTTTGCTACAGTACAGAATAAAAACAAAACATCTTTGTTCATAATTTGTCAAATTCTGAAAGAATCTTACCTACTTGGTAGTTTATAATTCATGAGGTCATTCTTTTTCATAGACAATTAATGTGGTGAGATTTTTAGGGAATTTGCTATATTTTTAGTTAAAATAATTTTGTTTACATTAAAATGTTAAATAATTGTTTTTTAATTTGTCATTGTCAGCTATAATCATATATAGGTGAATGGTATTAAAAGAACTATATATAAGATAGTATTTTACATTTATCATTCTGGAGGTCAGGATGTATTATATATATATCAGAAAGTATTACAATAGCTGTTTCTAAGCCACCAACTGTAATTATACCTTAGCCAATAAGGTTGCAGATGTGGACATCATTAAGGATCTTACTAGTAGTAAGTTGGGGTGCTGTCTTTTCAGTGTGCAAATGATTTCCATTATCAATGTTGCCCAGGTCTCCACTGATTTAGAGTTAAGATACCTATATTAATTTGTTGAAAAGTGTCATAGTTATTTCATAGGAGTCTCAGGCCTGATACACACAGTGGTAAAGATAAAAGGCTGATTTATTTCTTGTGATGTGTTTCCAACACCAACAACCACTTCTTCAGTGTGAAAACTGAGTGTCCAGGCTGGGTGCGGTGGCTCACACCTGTAATCCCAACACTTTGGGAGGCCGAGGTGGGCGGATCACTTGAGGTCAGGAGTTCGAGACCAGCCTGACCAACGTGGCAAAACCCCGTGTCTACTAAAAATACAAAAATTAGCCAGGCACGGTGGCACATGCTGTAATCCCAGCTACTTGGGAGGCTGGAAGGAGAATCGCTTGAACCCGGGAGGTGGAGCTTACAGCGAGCCAAGATCATGCCATTGCACTCCAGCCTGGGCAACAAGAGCGACCCTCCGTCTTAAAAACAAAAAAAGAAAACTGAGTCCAACATTTCAGTTAATTCAGACCCTACCCAGAGTAAGTACAGTCCCCACAGGCAACGGGCTGAGTCCCATGAGACTGCCCCGTCCTCAGATGCCAGTCACAAGTCCCAGGCCTCTCATACTTCTGACCGACTGGCTACAAATCAGGGGTTCCCACTACCTCCTCAGATTAGATAATTTGCTGGATAAAACTCAGGAAAACATTATTATTAAGGGCACAACTCAGCAACAGCCCAGTAGAAGAGGTGCACGGAGCAAGCACGGGGGGACGTGGAGTTTCTGTGCCCTCCTAGGGTGGCCTCCTGCCCAGCTCACCCTTGTGTGTGCAAGGTCCCCGAATCTTGTAGTTAGAGTTTCTGTAGAACTCAATCTCTAATCCTTTCCTTTTCTCTTCATTTCTCTTCAGGATAGGGACGGGGGGTCGGTGCTGAAAGTTCCACACTCTAGGCACTGGGTCTCTGGGTGACCAGCCCCATCCAGAGGCCATCTAGGAGGGCCGCTTTTAATCACAGCGTTAGCATTAACAGTTGTGATTGAAAGGGGCTTGTTTTGAACAATAAAAAATATTTCTATCTCAGGAAATCCCAAAGATATAGGAACTGTGCCAGGAACTAGAGACAAAGATGAAATATGTCTTATATCACATTTCTTTGAATTGGTTAAGTGCAAATAAGACAACAAAAAATAATATAACCATTTATATAACACTTGTGTTAGGTGTTATAAATAATCTAGAGATGATTTAAAGTATGGGGAGGATGTACATAGGTTATATGCAAATACTATGACGTTTTATATAAGGGACTTGAGCATTCATAGCTTCTGTTATTCCTGGAGCCAATCCCCCATGAATACCGAGGGATGACCGTATACGTATAAAGACAGTGATGAATTGGCATATATATTTACTACTTCTTAAATGCAACTTGTTAAAATCTGAACTAAAAAATTAAGGAGAGGTGTGCAGTCATTTAATCAATTCTTTATTTTTTTTTTTCCTTAAGACTTAGTCTCTCTCTCGCCCAAGCTGGAGTGCAGTGGCATGATCTTGACTCACTGCAACCTCTGTCTCCTGGGTTCAGGTGATTCTCCTGCCTCAGACTCCCAAGTAGCTGGGATTACAGGCACCCACCACCACACCTGGTTAGTTTTTGTATTTTTTTAGTAGAGACAAAGTTTCACCACGTGGGCCAGGCTAGTCTCGAACACCTGACCTCAAGTGATCTGCCAGCCTCAGCCTCCCAAAGTGCTGGGATTACAGGTGTGAGCCACCGCGCCCAGCCTCATTAATCAATTCTTATAAGCCAACACAAAAAGCATTTTTACATGATTGACGTTATGAATATTTGTTTCATATTCAGTTTAATAATTGAATAAGAATGCATTGAATACAATTACAGTGAAGGATGCTTAGAAATGCTCATGGGAAAGTTGTTCATTGCTGGTTAGATATCTAAGTCCGTACATATTTTTATTTTCATTGAGTCAGAAGCTTTTAGAACTGGACATGATTTAGAGATTATCATGTATTTTATATGGAGATTCACTTAGTATCCCCCTGCAAATTTAAGCTAGTGCTACCCCATACTTTTGTGTCAATAGCCTATAAAGTAGGAGTGAATCACTTGAAAATTTATTAGAACTTTTGTTGTAAATATAAATTTATTCTTAATTTAAGTTAAAATTATTTGTCAACTTTAAGTTCATTTTTCTCAATTTGGCTATATTTAACTTTTTTAAATCTACCTTTGTAGCCATGCAGTGTTCCTGTTGCATTTCAATTAGAGGTTATTGTGGTAAGAGCTAAGGGCCCTGAAAGAAGTCAAAGCAACTGTATTCCATTTATTATGCAAATGTAATTCTGTTTTTATGTAGTTGTAAATATTTATTATGTTTGAATGCAGTTGCCGAGAAGTGTGAAATGTCTGAGATTTTTGCCTTCAACACAAGCTCAAAGGCAGGCTCACCAGTTAGCCAGCTACCAGTTGGATGCTGGCAGAAGACATAAGACTCTTGGGTTAGAGATAAAGGACCTTATTACAGTAGTAGCCACAGTGTCAGCATCTGTCCCAGTTTGCTGAGACATGTTGAGAATAGAATGGGGCAGGGGAAAGAAAGCAAGGAAACTTATTAGGAGGTATTGCCATAATGCAGGAGAAAGAGGATGGTAGCTTGGACTAGTATAGTGGCAAAAAGTAGTTGGATTCTGCATATGTTTTGGAGGTAGCTGAAATTGGGATTTCATGACATACTGGATGAGGAATGAGAGAAAGAAAGGAGCCAAGGGTGATTCTGAATGTTCTGATCTGATCATTGGAAGAATGTAGAGTAGCCGGAAATGGAAGTATAGAGAAGATTTAAACCTGCAAGTGGGGCTGGGGTGGGGGTGGGGTGGGGAACAACCCGAGTTTAGTTTTGAACTTGTGAAGTTTCAGATATCTGCAAGACATCAAAGTGGCAGTGTCCTGAAGGGAGCTGAATATAACTGGTCTGTAAATGAAGAGAGAGAATTTGGGAGTGTAGGGCACATCGATGCTATGCAGTGTCATGAGCATGAGTGAAATCACAGGTGGAGAAGAGGGGACCAAAGTCTTGAGTGCTGGGGCACTCCTGTTAAGACTCCAGAGGGAGACTAGCAAAGGAGTCAGACTGAGGGACCGTGAGAGTGTGGTGTGCTGAGCAAAGAGGTAAAATGATATGAAAGGAAAAGGAGTGGTCAGTGGTCACACACAGTGCCTCTAAGATTAGGACTGTGAATTCACGCTAGGCAAAGGCTGCTCTGTGCGATGATTGGTAGAGAAGGCTTTGGTGTGGGTGTCAGAGAAGATTGGAGAGGAATCGTGGGCATCAGTAGACTCAGTTCTCCTAAGGCATTTTGCTGCAAAGGGAATCAGAGAGATGGGGCTGCAGCTGGTGAGGAAGGTGGGGTCCCCACAAGTTTGTTTATATATGAGAAATAACATTTTCAGGAATGAGCCAGTGGAGTGGGGAAATTGTTGGGAGATTAAGTGTGCCAGCTGACGGTGGGGGCCCTTGAGCAAGGTAGCAGAATGGAGTAGATGGAAACATGGTGCTGAGTGGGTAGATGGGAGCCGAGTCCAAGGTCTTCTGATGTCGTTCCTTTTCTTGGTGAAATAGGAAGTTGGGCCATCTGCTGCGATATTAAATGAGGGAGTGTTCCAGGGGTAATGAGAGTGTTCCAGGGGTGGAGAAAAGAGAGGGAAGGTGTGAAATGGTAGGCCGGGAAGGAGAAGAATGGACCAGGGAAAAGTAGTTTGATTTCCAGACAGCATTAAGGACCCACCTGCGGGTCATGGCCTTGACTACAAAGTGAGACCCATCAGACCAGTTCTCTTTTTCTCCAGCCTTATTTAGCTCTATGGGTGCAGGCATGACATAAGCGGAGTTGAATTTACTAATATGGTTTTACCAAGAGAGTTTTTCAGGAGAGTAGTGGAAGGGAATAGAAGTATACACAAGGAAATGATTACAGTGATGAATTGTGGAATATAAGCTGAGTAGGAAGGGAAGAGGGTCTTGAAAAGCTGGTAGGCTTATCACTCTTGTCATTTAGACTTTGAATATTCAAAGCCGGTTCCTAACTGTATATATATATACACCAGTATAAAAAAAAAATTTAAGTCAGATTTGCAAAAAGTTATTTTGAGCAGGTAAAGAGGAGGAGGCTGTCTAGGTTCTACCAAAGCCAAAGAATAATAGTAAAAACAAAAAGCTACAAAAAAACCCAATAGTCTCATCTTTTGATTTATTTTTTGTTTGGCAGTCATGGTATAACTGAAAGCCAAGAAAAGGCCCTGCATTTTTAATGGATTTACTCAACCATTTCCTTTAAAAAAAAGTAAGAACAAACAAGCTCACAGGTTTTATTCTTATAAAAACACTGCATGTTCATTATAGGATGTTTTGAAAATAATGTTTACAAAAGTTCTGCCATCCAGTTAACAGTTCTGCTGTACTTTGTGGTCCAGTTTTCCTCCCTATTCTTTCTATGTAATTGAACCACATACATATAATTTTGTTTCCTGTGTTTTTGCACTTAACAAACGAACAATATGAATTTTCCCCTCATGTTATTTATAACTCTGTATAAATATCAATTTCACTGGTTCTCTAAAGTTCCATTGTGTAAATGTGCCAGGATTTTCTTTACTCATACTGTTGGAAATTAGGATGTTTCCAATTTTTTTAATTTAAATTTACTTTTTGTCATAAATAATGATCCAGGGAATATTTTTATGTTTTTTTCTTTAATATTTATAAAAACAGCATTATTGGGTCAAGGAGTATCGTTACTTTTCAGTTGCATATTGCCAAATTAATTTTTATGGCTGTATTAAGATCCTTCAGCTGGGTGCGGTGGCTCACACCTGTAATCCCAGCACTTTGGGAGGCTGAGTCAGGTGGATCATCTGAGGTCAGGAGTTTGACACCAGCCTGGCTAACGTGGTGAAACCCATGTCTATTAAAAATACAAAAATTAGCTGGGAGTGGTGGCATGTACTTGTATTTCCAGCTACAGGAGGCTGAGGCAGGAGAATCGCTTGAACCCGGGAAGCAGAGGTTGCTGTGAGCTGAGATTGCACTACTGCACTCCAGCCTGGGTGACAGACTGAGACTCTCAAAAAACTAATAATAATAAATTTTTTAAAAAAGACACTTTCAGGCAATCAATACAACCATTTAGAAAAATCTTTGCTGATTTGACTTTTGGAAAATCATAGTGTTAATAGTTTAATTTGTATATCTCTGATTCTTGTGAGGGTTAATATTTTTCCATAAATGTGTTGAGTGAATTGGTTGTATGTGTGGAAAAATGTAAATCTTTACCTACCTCACACATAAATCGTACTAGATTTAATCAAGGACTTAAATATGAAAACCAAAACTTCTTTACAGCAAATACAGGAGGATATATGATCTCAATGTCAGATGAATTTTTTTAAGACAATAGAAGGGGCAGATAGTAAAGGTAAACTGATAAATTTGACTAAAATAAAATGGAGAAACTTCTGATCCTCAGGTACTAGAAAAAGAATAAAAAGTCAAGATACAAGGTCAATGCAACAGTAAAGAAAAAGAAAAGACACAGGATGATCTGGATGAACTGATACAGAATGATTTCTAGGGGTCTGAAGTTTACCTGCCGTGTGATAAATTTTTTTGTTCTCTATATTTAGCCACACACTTCAATCATCGCTTTCCTGCAATCGGGGAAAAAAAAAACTTTGCTTAAAAGCCAACCCATCTTACATTCCCACCAGCAGTGTATAAGGTTTCTGGTTTCTCTGCATCCCTCCCTTTGTCATGATATTGTCATGATAGTGGTTGTGCAGTGGTATCTTTTTGTGGCTTTAATTTACATTTTGAATGACTAATACTATTAAGCACCTTTTCGTGTGCTTATTAGCCATTTGTGTGTTGTCTTTGGTCAAAGGTTTGTTCACATCTTTTGCTCATTTAAAAAATTAGGTTTTATTTATATCTTGGTATCATCTCTTGTCAGTTACGATACACAGATATTCTAGCCTGTGGCTTAGAAGATATGATACACAGATATTTTCTTCTAGCCTGTGGCTTATCTTTCTTTTAATGGTTTGTTTTGAAACACAAACACTTTTAAATTTTAGTTATTAAATTTTAATGATGTTTAACTTAGCAGAGTTTTTCTCTTATATATTGTGCTTTTGGTATTGTGTCCAGGAACTCTTTGTCCAAACTAGAGTCACAAAGTTTTTTTAAAGAAGTTTTATAGTTTCATGGCCGAGCGCGGTGGCTCACGCCTGTAATCCCAGCACTTTGGGATGCCGAGGTGGGCGGATCTGAAGGTCAGGAGTTCGAGACCAGTCTGGCCAACATGGTGAAACCCAGTCTCTACTAAGAAAATACAAAAATTTGCCGGGCATGGTGGCATGCACCTGTAATCCCAGCTATTGGGGAGGCCGACGCAGGAGAATTGTTTGAAGCCGGGAGGTGGGAGGTTGCAGTGAGCCGAGATCGCGCCACTGCACTCCAACCTGAGCAACAGAGCAAGACGCCGTCTCAAAAAGAAAAAAAAAAAAGTTTTATAGTTTTAGTTCATACATTTAGGTATATGACCCATTTTGACTTAATTCTTACCTATGGTGTGAAGTAAGGGTTTACATTTTTGTTTTTAGTTATTCATTTGTCCCAGCACCATTTGTCAAGAAGACTTTCCTCATTGACTCGTCTTGGGACGTTTCTTGAAAATCAGTCGACTATAAATGTAAGGATTTATTTCCAGACTCCTTTATTCTGTGATGTGTATGCCAGTCTCTGTGTCAGCAGCACACTGTCTTGATTCCTATAGTTTTATAAGCACTTTCGAAATTGGATAGTGTAACTTTGTTCTTTTTCAAAATTGCATTTCAATATAAATTTTAGGAATATTGTATCAATTAATATAAAAAAGAGCTTACTAAGCTTTTGATAGGGATTGTTTGAATCTATAGATCAATTTTGGAAGAATTGCCATATTAATAATATTGAATCTTCCAGTTCAAAAACATGGAATCTCTAATTATTTAGAATCTCTATATTCTCTTAGCAGTGTTTTGTAGTTTTGACTGTATGAATCTTGTACTACATGTGTTAAATTTATTCCTCAGTCATTTTATATTTTGTGAACAGAATTGTTTTCTTAATTCACTTTTGGTGTGCTAGTCGTTTTATTGTTGCTAGGTTTGTAGGCTTGTAGGGTGGGTGTGTGGGGGTGTGTGTGTGTGTTGTGTGAGTTCCTTGGGTTTTTCTACGTATAAGATTTTGTCAGCTGGCCAGGCGTGGGGGCTTATGCCTATAATCTCAGCACTTTGGGAGGCCAAGGCTGGAGGATCGCTTGAGCCTAGGAGTTTAAGACCAGCCTGGGAAACATAGGGAGACCCTGTCTCTATTAAAAGTTAGCTAAGTGTGGTGGCATGCATCTGTAGTCCAAGCTCCTTGGAAGGCTGAGGCAAGAAGATTGGTTGAGCTCAGGAGGTCGAGGCTGCAGTGAGCTGTGATCATGCCACTGCACCCCAGCCTGGTGACAGAGTGACATCCTGTCACAAAAAAGCAGCCGAAGTGGGTGGATCACGAGGTCAGGAGATCAAGACCATCCTGGCCAACATGGTGAAACCCTGTCTCTACTAAGAATACAAAAAATTAGCTGGGTGTGGTGGCGCACGCTACTGGGGAGGCTACTGGGGAGGCTACTGGGAGCTGAGGCAGGAGAATCTCTTGAACCTGGGAGGCGGAGATTGCAGTGAGCTGAGATCGTGCCATTGCACTCCAGCCTGGTGACAGAGACTCCATCTCAAAAAAAAAAAAAAAAAAAAAAGAAAGAAAGCCAAAAACTAAGATTGTGTCAATTATGAATAAAGATGGTTTTATTTCTTCCTTTCCAATTTGTATGCATTTTTTTTCTTGTTCCACTGGCTCAAACCTTCAGTACAGTGTTGAGTAGAGGGGGTGAGCGCAAATGTCCTTGTCTTGCCCCCAGTCTTAGTGGCAAAGCATTCAGCCCTTCAGCATTAAGTATGATGTTAGCTGTAGGTTTTTCATAGTTGCCCTTAATTAGTTTGAGCAAGTTTCCTTCTGTTCTTAGCTTATAAAAAGTTTTTATCAATAGGTGTTGTCAATGCCTTTCTGCAACTATTAAGATGATCATGTGTGTTTTTTTCCATCTTTATTAGTATGCTGTAGTGCATCAATTGGTTATTGATGTTAAACCAACCTGGATAAATCTCATTTGGTCAAGGTATATAATGCTTTTTATATGTTGCTGAATTCAGTTTGCTGATGTTTTGTTAAGAAGTTTTGGCCAAGCATGGTGGCTTACGCCTGTAATCCCAACACTTTGGGAGGTCTAGGCAGGAGGACTCTTTGAGCCCAGGAGTTCTAGACAAGCTTGGGCAACATAGGGAGACCCCAGCTTTACAAAAAATAAAAAAATTAGCCGGGTGTGCTGGTGCGTGCCTGTAGTCCCAGCTATTTGGGAGGCCATGATGGGAGGATCACTTGAGCCTGAAGATGGAGGTTGCAGCGAGCCATGATTGCATCACTGCACTCCAGCCTGGGCAACAGAATGAGACCCTGTCTCTAAAAATAATAAAGAATTTTTCTATCAGTGTTCATGATGGATATTGATTTGTAGTTTTCTTGTGATGTCTTTGCCTTTGTTATCAGGGTAATACTGGCCTCACAGAATGGCTTGTGAAGTGTTCCTTTCTTCTCTGTTAGCTGAAAGAGTTTGTGAAGATTTGTATTAATTGTTTAAATCTTTAGTGGAATTTACCAGTGAAGCCACCCGAGCCTGACCTTTCTTTATAGGAAGGTTTTTAATTATCAATTCATTCCTTACTCGTTATAGGTCTATTTAGATTCTCTGTTTCCTTTTGAGTCAGATTTGGTAATTTGTGTCTTTCTAGGATTTTGTCCATTTTCTCTTAAGTTTTCTAATTTGTTGGTAAAAGGTGATTTATAGTATTCCCATATAGTCCTTTAAATTTCCATAGGCTTGATAGTGATAGCCTTTCTTTCATTTCTGATTTTGCTAATTTATGTCTTCTCTCTTAATTTCTTTGTCAGTCTAGCCTAAAGCTTTGTCTGTTTTTTATCTTTTCAAATGACTCACTTTTGGTTTTATTTGTTTTTTCCCTCTTGTTTTTCTGTTTTCTATTTTATTAATTTCTACTCTAACATTTACTATTTTATTCTACTTTCATTGGGTTTAGTTATTTTCTAATTTCTTAAGGGTGAAAGCTTAGGTTATTGATTTGAGATATAGGCATTTAAAGCTGTACATTTTTTCCTAAGCACTACTTTAGCCACATCCCATAAATTTGTGTATGTTTTGTTTTTATTCTGTTCAAAATATTTACTAACTTTTCCTTGTGATTTTTTAGTCTTTGGCCCATTGGTTATTTAGAAGTGTTTTGTTTCATTTAGAAATATTCGGTGTTTTTCCAGATTTATTTCTGTTGTAGATATATCATTAATTTACTTCCATTGTGGTCAGAGAACATACTTGGTATAATTATAGTATCAGTCTTTTTAAATTTATTGAGGCTTTTGGAGACAGTCTTGCTCTGTCACCCAGACTGGAGTGCAGTGGCGTAATCATGGACAAGATGCAGCCTCAGCACTCCTGGGCTCAAGTGATCCTCCTGCCCCAGCTTCCCATGTAGCTGGGGCTACAGGCATGCGCCACCATACCTGGCTAATTTTTTTTTTAATTTTTTGCAACAACTAGGTCTCACTATGCTGTCCAGGCTGGTTTTGAATTCCTGGGCTCATGTGATCCTCCTGCCTTTTCCTCCCAAAATTCTGGGATTACAGGTGTGAGTCACCACACCTGGCTATTGAGGCTTGTTGTGGTCTATCCGGAAAAATGAAGCCTTGAAAAAATATTAATTAGGTCAAGTTAGTTGATAGTGTTGAAGTATTATATACCTTGCTATTTCATCTTTATTTGTTCCATCATTTATGAAATTGGCTTTTTGAAATCTTCAGGTATTATTGTTGAATTGTCTGTGTCTCCTTTCAGTTCTCTCAGGCTTTGCTTTATGTATTTTGGGGTTTTGTTAAGTGCATATGTGTTTACAATTGCTGTGTCTTCGTTATGTATTGACCCTTTTATCATTTTGAAATGCCCCTTTTTGCCCCTGGTAATACTAAAAGTCTATTTTGTCTGATATTAATATTGCTATTCTAGCTCTCATGATTATTATTTACATGGAAATTTTTTCCTGTCCTTTTTAAGTGGTTTGTGTCTTTCTGTGCTAGGGGAGTCTGTTGTAGCCAGCACATAGTTGTTTCTTTTTTAAAAAAGATTTAGTCTGACAATTTCTACTTTTTGAGTAGAGTGACATCAGCAAACTTTTTCTGTAAGGGTCAGATTGTAAATGTGTTAGGCTTTGCATGCTTTATGGCCTCTTAACAATGCAACTTTGTTGCAGTGAGAAAGCAGCCATAAAAGATATGTAACAAAGTAGGAGTGGCTTTATTCCAAACTTTTATTTATGAACATTGAAATTTGAATTTCATATAATTTCCATTTGTCACTTTTTTGTTTTTTTATCATTAAATAATAAAAAAACTTTTTAGCTTATGAAATACACAAAAAGGATGATATGCTGAATTTTGCCTGTGAACTAAAGTTTGCTGACTCCTGGAGTAAGGGTTTATTAGTCCATTCACACTTAATGTGATTATTGATTCCATTGGATTTATGTTTGTCATTTTGCTATTCTTTTTAAAATTTATTTTTGTTTATTTGTTCCTCTGTTACTGCATTCTTTTGTGTTAAGTGCATATTTTTTGGTGTGCCAATTTAATTCCTCTCTTGACGTTTTATTTTTTAAATAATATTGTCTAAGTAATTTTATTTGTGATTGCTCCACAAATCACTCCATGTATCTTTACTTACCACAATCTGCTTCAAAATAATGCTACCTTAATACTGATAAAATACAGACACTTGGCTTCATGTCTCCTTTTCCTCCCCTAACTTTATGCCTTTATTTTTATTTTTATTTTTGAGACAAGAGTCTTGCTCTGTTGCCTAGGCTGGAGTGCAGTGGCATGATCTCAGCTCACTGCAACTTCCACCTCCCAGGTTCAAGTGATTCTCCTACCTTGGCCTCCCGATTAGCTGGGATTACAGGCATGTGCCACCTCACGCAGCTAATTGTTTTGTGTTTTTAGTAGAGACAGGATTTCACCATGTTGGCCAGGCTGGTCTCGAACTCCTGACCTCAAGTGATCCTCCTGCCTCAGCCTCCCAGAATGCTGGGTTTACAGGCGTGAGCCACCACGCCCAGCCTGTGCTATTATTTACATAAATTACTATATGTTGTATGTTATAACCTCAACACTACTGTTAACAGTTATTAACTTAAACAGTCTCATGCCCTTTGAAGAAGAAATGAAAAAAATATATTTATAGTATTTTAAATTGACGTACACACTTACCATTTCCAGTTGTCACCAAATGTGATGAATTCAAAGTACTGAAATGGTTGCTATTGACAGTTTAGTCCAGCTTCATAGTTACTTTTGGGGAAGGAGATTTATTGGCCTCCTCATTCCTTTTTTTAAAATATAGTTTTCATAAATGGTTTTTTTTTTTTTTGAGACAGGGTCTCACTCTGTTGCCCAGGCTGGAGTGCAGTGGTGCAGTCACAGGTCGCTGCAGCCTTGACCTTCCTTTCCAGGCTTGGGTGATCCTCCCACCTCAGCCTCTTTAGTAGCTGGGACTATAGGTATTCGTCACCATGCCTGGCTAATTTTCTAATTTTTTGTGGGGTTTTTTTTTTTTTTTTTTTTGCAGAGACAGGATCTTCCTGTGTTGCCCAGGCTGGTCTTGAACTCCTGGGCTCAAGCAGTCTGCACACCTCGGCCTCCCAAAGTGCTAGGATTATAGGCGTGAGCCACCAAGCCCGGCCAACCACCTCATTCCATCATGCCAGAAGTGAATCCCCTAGGTATATACTGCTTTTATCCCCATTTTCACATGAGGAGACTGAGACATGGATGTCCAAGGTCATTAGGAAATAGTAGTTGCAATGTGGACTCTCGTCTCCCGTCTCCTGTCTATGCTCTTAATCATGAGGTTCTGTGTTGCCATGCCTGATGTTAAGTGAGTGCACATTCAAGTAACATGGCAGTTTCTGAATTATGCACCAAGGGTTCAGCACTTGTATCCATTCCTTGGTAACTTCTTTTGTGACTTTGGGCAAATTATTAAACTAAGGTTCAGTTTGCTCTTCTATAAAACGGAGATAAAAATAGTGTCTTCCAAGTAGAGCTCTTATGAGGATTCAAGAAGTTAAACATAACATTTGTTAGTGCATAACCTCCAAGTGAGTGGCGGTTGGAGCAGCAGCAGAAGTAGCAGCCTTAATGTTAGAAAGCCTTCCCTCATTCCTCCTGGTCTGAGTTAGGTGTGGCTCTGAGTGCTGATGGCATTCTGAAATATGTTTCTCTTAGAGCACTTCTCACAGTCTCCTGCAGATGTTCCCCAATGTATTCTACACTAGAATCTAAGATCCTAGAAGGTAATGAGTTCATCTTTCATCCTTGTGTTTTTGCTATTGCTTGAAGAGGGAAGCAAAAGGCTGAAATGAGGTACTTGGAATGAGGCAAGGCATGAGGCTGATACTTTGCTTCATGAGATTAAAAGCGAGGAACAATTCCAACAGTTTGGGAAGGCTTATGGGAGATGGATTAAGGAAAGTTGTTTATACCTTTGGCCCTGAGAGCATCACGGACCTGCTTTTCATGATACCAAGTAACTGAAACACAGAGACAGGGTTTTTTTACTTAGAGTGCCTTATTTTACCTTAAATTGTACCTGAACACTTGATGGGGTGGAGTGGTCATTTTGTAGTAATGTAAAATCGGCTCGATGGTTACAGAAAAGTCTAATACAGAAAATAAAAGTCAACTTCCTGATCCTTTTTACTGTTCACTAGAGATGTAATCGCTGTTACTTGTATATATTTTGAAACATTTACTATGCACTTTAGGCATATAAATATATATACAAATGAGATGATCTTTGCATTTAGTTTTATAGCTTCTTTCCCCAATAATGTGTAGTGGGCATCTCGCTTTATCTCTACAACATTCCCTTGTATTGATTATCATTTATTAAACTAGTCTGATGATTTTTTTTTATGGTTATTGTTGCTTCCTGACATTTAGGTTCCACATTTTTGCCAAAATGAATTATGCAGTAAATGTTTCGTGTAGGGAAGTGAGCTCTAAAATCAGTTGTGTGACTTTAGGCAAGTTCCTTAACCTCTCTGTATTTCAGCTTCCCCATCTATACATTGAGAATATTAGTACTACTACTTTTGCTAGCTGCAAACATCTGTGTAGCCTAATATAAGCCAGACATTGTTTTAAAAACATCACATATATTAATGCATTTAAACCTCACAACTAGCCTGAGTGATGGGTGCTGATATGTCTAAGATCACAAAATTATTCAGTGGTGGAGCCAGAATATAGTACGTGAACTTACGCAGTCTGGTTCCACAGTGCACAGTACCAAACTTAACAGGGTTATAACAAAGACTTGGCACATAGTAGGCCAATATGTGGTCTGTATTTACCAATATTAGGTCAATGATCAAGTAATGTTTGCTTTTTGTTTTGTTTTTTTTTCAATTAATGCAATAAGGAACATTGTTGTCCATATGTCTTTGTTTTTGGCATGAGTATATATCCAAAGAACAAATCATTAGTAGCATAATTACTTGGTTAGGTGTATATCAATTTAAATTTTTGATAAATATTTTCAAATCATCTTTTACAAAGTTTTACCAATTTACTTCAATCATGAGTTATGAGTGCTCAGTTCAGGATGCTTTTCCCAACATTAAGTGTTACTAATTTAAGTTTTTCAGACTCAGATGAAGAGGTTATCTTGTTTTGGTTTGAATTTCCTTTTCAATGAATTTTAAAAATTGAGATATAATTTGCATACAGTGAAATCACCTTTTTTAGTTGTATTTTGTTGAGTTTTGACAAATGCATTCAGTTACGTAAACACCACCACAATCAAGATATAGAACAATTTCCATTACGCCAAAATTCTTTGGATTTTTTTTTTTTTTTTTTTTGAGATGGAGTCTTCCTCTGTTGCCCAGGCTGGAGTGCAGTGGCGTGATCTTGGCTCACTGCAAACTCCGCCTCCCGGGTTCAAGCAATTCTCCTGCCTCAGCCCTCCTGAGTAGCTGGGATTACAGGCAAGTGCCACGCGCCACCATGCCTGGCTAATTTTTGTATTCTTAGTAGAGACAGGCTTTCACCATGTTGGCCGGGCTGGTCTCGAACTCTTGACCTCGTGATCCACCTGCTTCAGCCTCCCAAAGTGCTGGGATTACAGGCGTGAGCCACCACACCGGGTCCATGGATTTTTTAATGATGAATGAATTGAGAATATTTTAGGTTATTGATTGGCCGCTTGAATTTGTGTTCTCCCTCTTGCTTTTGTGATTTCTTTCTTATTACCTTTCTTCTTCCTTTTCATCATTCTTTTTGTGTGATGTTTGTTTCTGTGCTTTGCCCGTTTGCTTATAGAATTGTTTGCCTTTCTCTTACTGATTTCTAACAGCACAGTTTATGTTACAACATTAATCCTTTGTCATATATATTTGCAGTTTTTCTCTATTTTTTGCTTTCTTTATGCCATTTTTTGGTTATCAAGAAATTTGTACATTTTGCATTGTCAGATTTATTCTTTTATGGATTCAAGGTTTTATGTTATGTATTAGAAGGCCTTCTGCAGTGCAAGCCTTCTAAAAAATATTTTTCTCCAACTTTTATATTTTTTAAAAATAAATATTTATATATTTGATGTTTCTGGATTTCATTTTGATACAAGAAATTAAGTAAGAGCCCTGCTGGACCCACTAGTCCCGAAAGTTTCTCCCACCTACTCATCATCATTCATTGATAGTTCACCTATCCCTGGTGGTCTTAAGATGTCTTCTTGATGACAGACTCTTCCCATATGTCTCTTGGTCTATTTCTTGACTTTCTATTCTGTCATTTCCCTCCTCTAGCGTTAAGCTGTTGCAGCATGTTTTAATATGTCATGTAGCTCATTCTCCTTCAGTTAGTCTTTTAGAATTTTTCTCTTTTCGTTGTTTGCATAACAAAGTTCACTGTCATTTTGTTGACTTTCTTGAAAAAGCATTATTGATGTTTTCTTGGGATCTCGAGTCAATATTTTGACAGGATTGGATTGTTTTACCTGAGAACAAGATGTGTCTATGTATATTTGATCTATTATGATTCTCTGAGGAGTTTTAAAGTGTTTCATGTAGTTTTACATTTGCTATTATTTCACCTTTTTTGAAGCTGTTATAAATAGGATCTAGTCTTTTATTATGTTTTCTTATCTGCTTCTTAAAATTATAGAATCCACAAAAATTAGCCGGGTGTGGTGGCACACACCTGTAATGCCAGCTACTCGGGAGGCTGAGGCAGGAGAATCGCTTGAACCCGGGAGTCAGAGGTTGCAGTGAGCTGAGATGGCACCACCACACTCCAGCCTGGGCGACAGAGTGAGACCCCATCTCAAAACTAAAAATAAAAAAGTTATAGAATTTCTAGTGACTTGTACGTATGAATTTTGTAATTGGTCACTTGACTGAGTTCCTTTTTTTTCCCCCTGATACAGTCATGCCCTGCAAAATGACAGTTTAGTCTATGATGAACCGAGTGTGTAATGTGGTCCTATAGGATTATAATACCATATTTTTACTCTACCCTTTCTTTCTTTAGATATGTTTAGATACACAAATACTTACCACTGTGTTACATTGCCTACAATATTTAGAACAGTAACATGCTTTACAGGTTTGTGGCCTAGAAGCAATAGGCTATACCATAAAGCCTAGGTAAGCTATACAATCACAGTTTGTGTAAATCCACTCTATGTTTGCTCAGTGACAAAATCACCTAACGACATATTTCTCAGAACATACCTGTTGTTCAGCTGCATCTATTGAATTTTCAGATGTTTAATCATTTCATAAGGATAATTTTGTCCTCTCCTTTCCAATATTTATATTTATTTCTTGTCTAATTCATTGGCTAATATGTTGGGAATAATTCTAATTAATAATACAATTGATGTCCTCGTTGCTGGCTTTCAGCATTTCTTCATTACAGCTCTGATTTTGTGTGTATATATATATATATATATATGTCTATTCCTATTTTACAATGGGTTTGGGGTGTCAGGAATTGATGTTTAGTATTTTTTCAGATCCTTCTTGTGACTCATAGCTATGATCATATTATTTTACTCCTTTGATCTAAGGTAATATATATTAATAAACTTCCAAATTAGAGCCACGTTAGCAATCCCAGGATATACCTTATCTAGTTGAATTGTTTTCTCCCTACCACTCCCAATGTTTGCTGGTATTTACGGTTTGTACTTCAATGTTCATAAGTGAGATCAGTTTGATTTTTCTTTTTTTTGGTCGTCTTTGTCAAATTTTGGTATCAGTATACTTTTGACCTCAACAATAAATTTGGGAGCTTTCTGTTTTCTGTGTGCTCTGAAGTGTGTTGTGAATTTTGGACCTATGTCTTTATTGTCCTCCCCTTTTTTCTTTCTCCTGAAGGAAAAAGAGCCATGGTAGCTCCTTGATCACTTTCTCAGTTTCCTTGACAATTATTAGCTTCTTTTGGATTTCTGTGTCTTCTGCTGCAAATTTTGATGATATATATTTTGCTATAAAATTATCCTTTTCATCTGAGTTTCAAATTAATTTTCATAGAATTTTCAAAGTAGTTTTACACATTTTGATTCCTCATGCATGTGTGGTTATTGCTCTATTTCTGATTTTGTATAAGCACATTCCCTTTCTTGATTATGCCAGCTAGTTGTTTACCAATTGAGTTTTCTCTTGCATAATCAAAGAATCAACTCTTGTAATGTTTAATGCTGTTACTTTTTATTTTCTAATTCATTAATTTGTGCTTTTATCTTTATTTTTTCTGATTTTTCTTTTGCTGGCTGGGGGTTTATAATTAGCGACTTCTTGAATTGAATGCATAATTTATTTCTTTTAATTCCTTACCAGGTAGTTTTGTAAGTGTTTAAATCTTTGAATTTTTCTGTGGACCCAGTTTTAGGGTCTTGCAGAATCACATATATTTTGATATGTTTTTTTGTTTTTGTTTTTGTGGTTTTTTTTGAGATGGAGTTTCGCTTTTGTTGCCCAGGCTGGAGTGCAGTGGCGCGATCTTGGCTCACTGCAACCTCCGTCTCCTGGGTTTAAGCGATTCTCTTGCCTCAGCCTCACTCCTGCCACCACGCCCAGCGAATTTTTTATTTTTAGTAGAGACAGGGTTTCAGCATGTTGGCCAGGCTGGTCTTGAGCTCCTAACCTCAAGTGATCCGCCCGCCTCGACCTCCCAAAGTGCTGGGATTACAGGCATGAGCCACCTCGCCCGGCTGATATGTAGCATTTTCATTATGTTAGTATACATTTGTGTTCACTTTGAGATTTTGTCTCTGACTTGAGTCATTTAAAGATGTTTGATTTTAATTTAATTAATTTTTTTTTGTTTGTCCTATTTACTTTTATTGCCTTGTGGTTAATTAAGGAGTTCTCTCTGACTTTTAAAATTTATGAAGGTTTTCATTGGGGCCTTTAGTAACTATTCCATAAGTTCTTGAAAAGGAGATGTGTTCTCAGTTTTTAGGGTACAGAATCCCATATGTCTAAAAGATAAATTAATTTTGTAATTTAAATTTGCTATATTCTTCATTTTTGTTTACTTCATTTTCCTGGGCTGAAAGAGACATTTTAATGCTGTTCCATTTTATGTTCAAAGATTTTTGGCAGATTTTTTTCTTCATTATATTATGAATTATACTTTTCATAATGTGCCCCTTTTCATTTTGTTTGACCAGTTTATCTTGAATGCAGTGCCATCTTACCATTGTTACTCTAGCTTCCTTGTTGCCAGCCTATGCCTTTTTCCATTTTTTTCTGTTAGAGGACTCTTTTTTTTCTTCAAAATTTTTCAGAATTGAATTTTTCAGTTAATTGAAAAACTTCACTAAACTAGGGACTCGTGTACTTTAAACATTTTATTTTAAATTAAAACAAGTAAATACACTCTTTCATTAATTTCTAAATGTAGGACCAGTGTGTTTTCTTTAAATGTCTATTGACTGAACTCTGTATCAGTCTAAATGATACACTCTATATCCTTACATAATATGTCTAGGATTTCTAGTTTAGCACTTCTTTTAAGTATAATTAGAAGTTTAATTGCCTTTGCAAAGCAATCTTTATACAAAGGCCCAGTTATTTTTTTCAAGGTAGCATAGTGGAATTTACTTATTTTTTATAATGTATTTTTTATTTCAATAAGTTTTTGGGGAACAGGTGGTTTTTGGTTACATGGAAGTTCTTTAGTGGTGATTTCTGAGATTTGGGTTCAGCCATCACCTGAGCAGTGTACATTGTACCGAGTGTGTAGTCTTTTATCCCTCACCCCCTCCCACACTTTCCCCTGAGTCTGCAAAGTCCATTGTATCATTCTTATGCCTTTGCATCCTCATAACTTAGCTCGCACTTATAAGTGAGAACATACGATGTTTGATTTTCCATTCCAGAGTTAGTTACTTCACTTAGAATGGAAGTTAGTTACTTCCATTCAGGTTGTTGTGAATGCCATTCTTTCATTCCTTTTTATAGCTAAGTAGTATTCCATGGTGTGTGTGTGTGTGTGTGTGTATACACATACATATATAGATACATATATACACATATATACATACATATATACACATATATACATACATATATACATACATATATACGTATATATACACACTTCATATATACATACACACACACACACACACACACACACACCACATTTTCTTTATCCACTCATTGGTTGATGGACGTTGGGCTCATTCCATATTTTTGCAGTTGTGAATCGTGCTGCTATGTGTGTGCCAGTACAATTTTTTTTTTTTCCCTCTGGGTAGATACCTAGTAGTGGGATTGCTGGATGAAATGGTAGAGCTACTTTTAGTTCTTTACGGAATTTCCAGTTTTCCGTAGTGGTTCTAGTTTACATTCCCGCCAACAGTGTAGAACTGTTCCCTTTTTACCACATTCACACCAACATCGTTTTGTTTGTTTGTTTGAGACAGGGCCCTACACTCGGTCACCCAGGTTGGTGTGTGGGTGTGCATGGTGTGATCTTGGCTCACTGCAACCTCTGCCTCCAGGGTTCAAGCAGTCCTCCCACCTTAGCCTCCTGAGTAGCTTGAACTGCAAGCACACACTATCACACCCAGCTAATTTTTGTAATTTTTGGTAGAGATGGAGTTTCAGCATGTTGGCCGGACTGGCCCTCGAACGCCTGACCTCAAGTGATCCACCTGCCTCAGCATCCCAAAGTGCTGGGATGACAGGCGTGAACCACTGTACCTGGCCTATTATTTATTATATAGTTTTTTTTTAAAGGAATGTTTCCCTAGTCTTTTTGCCTGTACGTGATTCTGCAGAAAACATTTTTAGCCACCTGCATTTATTTATTATTTCTAAATCAATTTGCACTATTTTTATATAAATAATTTTCAAAAATATTCTTATTTGTTCATATGTTTAAATTGCATAATGAATTTAAATACAAAAAAAAGTTTGCATCTGAGCATCACCCATGCCCGGGAGCTGTCTTTGGTGTTGGAGATACAGTCATGACCACTACTGAAAACATTCCTGATCTCAAGTAGAACACACTTAGTACAACTAGCTGGTAGCATAAGAAAATCGCAGGCACAGTGAAGAAGAGAATAGTTGGAAAGAGTGGAAATACTGGAGAGATTTTATGATATTTTGAAACTTTCTGAGATAATTTTAGTGTGTCCTTTCCATATATAACATATTATTGTTGTTTTTTTTTTTTAATCAGATCTTAAAATGTTTTTCTTCTAGGCCGGACGTGGTGGCTCACGCCTGTAATCCCAGCACTTTGGGAGGCCAAAGCGGGTGGATCACAAGGTCAGGAGTTTGAGACCAGCCTGGCCAACATGGCAAAACCCTGTCTCTACTAAAAATAGAATAATTAGCCAGGTGTGGTGGTGGGCGCCTATAATCCCAGCTACTCAGGAGGCTGAGGCAGGAGAATCACTTGAAACTGAGAGACAGAGGTTTCAGTGAGCCGAGATGGTGCCATTGCACTCCAGCCTGGGCGACGCGAGCAAGATTCCGTCTCACAAAAAAAAGAAAAGAAAAGAAAAAAGAGAAGAGAAAAGAAGAAAGAAAGAAAGGAAATTTTGTCTAATAGTTGAATTTACTCCATTTATATGTATTGGTATAACAAACATTTTGGAGCCTACATCTTACCATATTTCATGTTGTATTTGTATTGTAATTCTTTTTTATTATATGGTCTGTTCTATTCTTTCTTTTTCTATTCTCCCTTTCTGGGAAGACTTTGGTATCTCTTTTTTATTTTTCCTTTTTTTCCTAAGGGAATGGCAAATAGTGTTCTCACAGGTTTAGGAGCGGTGGAGTAGAATCTAAGAAACTGAGATGAAAGTACATGAACCATGCAGGTTCAGAAATTGACAATGCAGCTTATGGTGTAGAGAGAGATTTACAACGCTATTAACTTTTTATGTGGATTCTTTGCTTTATGTTAAAGTCTTTCTTTTTGTTCTCTTAAATTGCCTTCACAGATAATTTAAGCCTGTGGCTCTGGTCTGTGGATCCTCTTTCATCATAATCCTGAAACATCATTTGTCTTTTTTACTGATGGTACAGAAAGCAATGATGGATGATAAAACTGATGATGCCTTACCATGAGTCAAGGCAGCGGCACCAAACTGTAATAGTAAATGTAGTAATAGTCGTATGTTCTTTAGTAAGAACCAAGCACTTCAGTAAAAAAAAAAAAAAAAAAAAAAAATTGGTTATACTTACGGATGCCATTGATGAAGCTATAAAAATTAATTTTATGAAATCTTCACCCTGAGCTTACATCTTTCTAAAATTCTTTTTATGAAATGTGAATATTTCAAAGACACTTTCCAGTACATACTGAAGAAGGAAGAGTGTCTCCAGGGGAAGCGCTTGTTTGAATTGCTGGCTACACTAGCTAACTAGCTCCTTTTTTTCTGTGAAATAACCACTTTTACTAAAAACAACGATCGACAGACACACATGATTATTCCATGTGTTTTAACAGATATTTTCCCATAAATAATCAACATGAGTCTGTCACTTCATTAAAAACAAATGACAGTATTATTGCCAGTGATAAAATTCAAAGTTTCTTTTTTTTTTTGAGATGGAGTCTTGCTTGTTGCCCAGGCTGGAGTGCAGTGGTGTGATCTCAGCTCACTGCAGTCTCTGCTTCCTGGGCTCAAGTGATTCTCCTTCAGCCTCCAGAGTAGCTGGGATTATAGGTGTGAGCCATAATGCCTGGCTAATGTTGATATTTTTAGTAGAGACGGGGTTTCACCATGTTGGCCAGGCTGGTCTCGAACTCCTGGCCTCAAGTGTTCCACCCACCTCAGCTTCCCAGAGTGCTGGGATTATAGGCATGACCAATGGGTTTGAATGTTATAGAGTAAAAAAATTTTGTGTTATGGTTTTAGATTTTACAGGGCAATTTATCATTAAGAAACTATTATTCATTGAGTTTTGATATAGTATCAAAGAAAAATATCCATAGTTATATGAAAAGGTTATTAAATAAAATATATTGTTCCTTTTTCCAACTATGTATCTGGAGGAGGCTGAATTTTCTTCTTACAGGTAGTCCCCTATGCACAGTTTCAATTACCACAGTCGATAGTCATCTGAAGACAGCTAAGTGCAGTACAGTAAGATATTTTGCGAGAGAGAGAGTCCACATTCTCATAGCTTTTATTACAATATTTTGCTATAATTGTTTAATTTTATTATTAGTTATAGTTATTAATCTCTTACTGTACCTAACTTAAAAATTAAACTTTATCATAGGTATGTGTGTATAGGAAAAAAGCAAAGTATACTTGATATAGGGTTCTGTACTATATGTGGTTTCAGGAATCCACAGGGGATCCTGGGATGTATCCCTTGCAGATAAGAGAGGGCTACTGTACTGTAACAGATTCAGTGCAGAAGTAGATATGAGAGTCTAGCTGTCTTCCTTTAGTCAGGCAGAAGAGATTTACAGTAATGTCATGTGGTACCACTTTCACTGATTTTTATTATCATTCATGAAAATGTTATTTATGTTAACATGTAATGAGTATATTGTCATTTTAAAATAAATATAAAATTAGGCTGGGCATAGTGGCTCATACCTGTAATCCCAGCACTTTGGGAAGCTGAGGTAGGAGGATTGCTTGAGGCCAGGAGTTCAAGACCAGCCCGGGCAACATAGACCTCATCTCTACAAAAAGTAGACAAAATTAGCCAGGCGTGGTGGTGCGTGCCTATAGTACCAACTGCTCAGGAGGCTGAGGTGGGAGGATCTCTTGAACCCAGGAGGTTGAGGCTGCAGTGAGCCGAGATCATACCACTGCACTCTAGCCTGGCCAACACAGCGAGACTCTGATTCTGTGTCTTCAATAAATAAATAAATAACAAATTTTCTCAGTTTTTTTTTTTTTTTTTTTTTTTTTTGACAGAGTTTTCGCTCTTGTTGCCCAGGCTGGAGTGCAGTGGCGCAATCTTGGCTCACTGCAACCTCTGCCTCCCAGTCTCAAGCAATTCTTCTGCCTCAGCCTCCTGAGTAGCTGGGATTACAGGCACACGCCACCATGCCTGGCTATTTTTTTTTTTTTTTTTTTGTATTTTTAGTAGAGATGGGGTTTCACCACGTTGGCCAGGCTGGTCTCCAACTCCTGACCTCAGGTGATCCGCCTCGGCCTCCCAAAGTGCTGGGATTACAGAAGTGAGCCATCATGCCCCGCCTCTCGGTTTTATTTTCTAGTAGGGTACATTTCAAGAGATGCAACCCACATAAACAATGCTTCTTCCTGTCTTCCAATAATTTTTAAGAGAATAAAGGGGTTCTGAGACCAGAATGTTTGAGAACCACTGATGTAAGCAGTAGAATGACAGGTAGGACAGGTTGGCATAGGGGAAGAATGTGAGCTTTGCAAATAAACAGCCAGGTTCAGATTCTGGATCTGCTGTTGCTAGTAGCAAATTGTTTAACTTTGTTGGGCAAATTCCAGTCTCTCTGATAACCAGTTTCCTCATTTTATAAAATGGGGATAATAAAGCTGTTTTGTTTATTGAAGGTTAAGTAGTTGTTTGATCTTTTTAATTTTTTCATTATGTGTTATGATGACTGACAGACATGACTACCTCAAGTCATTTAAGAAAAGGTTGAAATTATTTGAAGAAGTTATCCTTTACCCATATGGATAAAGTTTATGTCTAAAGCTTTTTCCCTTGAAACTTTATATACATTTTCAAGTATATGTATAAACTTAAAATTTTACAATTAGAAAAGCAGTAAAACTAATTCAGAACATTTACTTAGGCACGAGACAGATGGTAATCCTATAAAAAGATGGCATATATTTTTGGATGTGCAAACAGAAAAACAGATACTCTTAAAAATTTTAGAGTAATCTTTGCCTAGAATATGAAGGGAAGAGATAAAAGACCATATGGCCTAATAGAACTTTTATAGTTTGTAATGTCTAGGATTGAATTTTGTTTCTTTAATATTAGTATTGATTAATAGCTTACTAATATGGATTGGTAGTTGAAAAAGGAATAATTTTCAAGCAGGTAATTGCCAAGTACTTTTACCGTGGTTGCTAGTCTCTCGTGTTTTGGGGTATGGGTGTGATAGTGGGAAGCACAACTATTTGAATCTCACATTTAGTAGGGTTAATCAGTTACTGATTCTGGCAGTTATAATAGTTCATTATGCTTGGGTAGAAGACATGCTACTAAGACACTGAGTTCACCTAATATACAACTTCATTTATTATTTAAAAGTAACTGGTGCTTCAAATATTTTAAGTTTTTTATTTTTTACAACTTATTCAGAAACATAGTACATGACAGTAGACTTTTAAAAATTGCTTCTTCCTTTTGGGGACATGATAGTACTGATCCCCTGATAGGTTGTCTAATCTGAGTGGTTTTTAGTAAGAATGATTCCATCTGCACACCACCCGAATCCTATCTGTAACTAAAAGGGGACAATTGTCAGGTTCTCTCTCTCCTGTCAGTTCCCACCTTGTGTACCATTATATTACTGAAGGGTTGATACTACAGTTTATCTGTTCATACATCTGTCTCTCCTACTGGATTAGGTGACCATCAGTTATTCATCAATCTGTGTATTGCCACACAGGGCTGAGCCAAGCTGACTCAGCAGAGGCCGAGTAGGGGCTTAGTAAAGGCAGAGTGAATTCATGAATGGGATCAAAGCTAGAGCCATAGTCTTGTGCCAAGAAACTGAGTGGCGCTAAACTGCTGATTTGGGAGGTCAGAATCTTGTTCTGGGCTTTATTAGCATTTCGCTCAAGTCAAGCGAATCACCTTGTCAAGTCATATGCAGAGAAGGCAGAACATGACGTTGGAGGAAAGAAAACATTCTACACAGTTTAAACACAGGGCCTTTGTAAAGTAGTGTTAGGATCACTTAACGTGGTTTATGGAACCAAGATTTTTTGCTGTGAAATGACTTTCAGAAAGTCTTTACAGAATTGAAATCCTGTCATTTCAGTGTAGAACAATGTACAAAAAAAGTTTAGAAAATATATTTCTGGATATAGAAGTAAAAATTTGCCATGGGAAATTGCAAAAAAAGAAGAGTAAGCAATAATAATTCTGGAAATATGTTTCATAATCTTCCAAATAGATCAAAACTAGACACATGGGTTTTTATGGGTGTACTTCAGAGATGAAGCTTTTCAACCTGCGCGCATTGAGCTTCTTCCTCCTCTGTGCATTGGGAACTTGAAGGTAAATGATTCTTGTTCTCAAGGAATTCTCGAGTATAGAGGAACATCTCTAGATAGTTTATTACAGATAATGAAATTCTTTTTGTTTATTTTGACACAAGCTTAAGTATTTAAAATATGCATCAGTTGTTGAGTTGACTAGGCTTGTTATTGCAGTTCTATGGAACGCCTTTACTGTCGTGCCAGGACACAGGCTGGGACATGGCAGGCAGCGGAGGAGCAGTCGGAGTCAGTGCTGAAGGAGTGCACAGGTCTAGCTAGAGTCCAGCTGGGAAGGATGTGGACACTGGCCCACACGTTAGAGTTTATACCAAAAAGCAAGGTGCCAAAAGAACAAAAGGTAGATGCAGGCTTGTTCTTTATAAACATCATCGGGCGGGGCATGGTAGCTCAGCCTGTAATCCCAGCACTTTGGGAGGCCGAGGCGGGCGGATCATAAGGTCAAGAGATCGAGACCATCCTGGCTAACACGATGAAACCCCGTCTCTATTAAAATACAAAAAACTTAGCTGAGTGTGGTGGTGGGCGTCTGTAGTCCCAGCTACTTGGGAGGCTGAGGCAGGAGAATGGCGTGAACCCAGGAGGCAGAGCTTGCAGTGAGCCGAGATCACGCCACTGCACTCCAGCCTGGGCGAAAGAGTGAGACTCATCTCAAAATAATAATAATAATAATAATAAAGTAAACATCATCAAATACTTGCCAAATGCTCATTGTGTAGTAGGCAGTGATCTGCTCTGCTGGGTGCAATAGAAAGAAAGCCCGGTCCTAACAGAGCTGACATTAAGAAAAGACTGGGGTGTTCTCGTTCAGAAGTTAAAGGATTAAAACTGACTAAAACAAAACTTTTGTGGAAATATTTTTTAATATGACTCTTTTTATATTTTTATTTTTTAGAAAATGGCTCCAAAGGTTAAATGAAGCAGGAAAAATACATAGATGCAGCCTTGCAGCCTCTCCAGATGTTTGGGGATAATATTCCAGATAGAAATATTGATCCCTTGGATTAGGTAACTAGTCATAATGAAGAAAATTAGTCTTAAAACCTTACGGAAATCTTTTAACTTGAATAAAAGTAAAGAAGAAACTGATTTCATGGTAGTACAACAACCATCGCTAGCCAGTGACTTTGGAAAAGATGATTCCTTATTTGGTAGCTGCTATGGTAAAGATATGGCCAGCTGCGATATCAACGGTGAAGATGAAAAAGGCGGAAAAAACAGATCAAAAAGCGAGAGCCTGATGGGTACGCTAAAAAGGCGGCTTTCTGCAAAACAGAAGTCAAAAGGCAAGGCGGGCACACCCTCTGGGAGCTCTGCCGACGAGGACACCTTCTCCTCCTCCTCAGCACCCATAGTCTTTAAAGACGTGAGAGCTCAGAGGCCGATAAGGTCCACGTCGCTCCGCAGCCATCACTACAGTCCCGCGCCGTGGCCTCTGCGGCCCACAAACTCCGAGGAGACCTGCATCAAGATGGAGGTGAGAGTCAAGGCCTTGGTTCACTCTTCCAGCCCGAGTCCAGCCCTGAATGGCGTCCGGAAGGATTTCCACGACCTCCAGTCTGAGACCACGTGCCAGGAGCAAGCCAATTCACTGAAGAGCTCGGCTTCTCATAATGGAGACCTGCATCTTCACCTGGATGAACATGTGCCTGTCGTTATTGGACTTATGCCTCAGGACTACATTCAGTATACTGTGCCTTTAGATGAGGGGATGTATCCTTTGGAAGGATCACGGAGCTATTGTCTGGACAGCTCTTCTCCCATGGAAGTCTCTGCGGTTCCTCCTCAAGTGGGAGGGCGCGCTTTCCCCGAGGATGAGAGTCAGGTAGACCAGGACCTAGTTGTCGCCCCAGAGATCTTCGTGGATCAGTCCGTGAATGGCTTGTTGATTGGCACCACGGGAGTCATGTTGCAGAGCCCGAGAGCGGGTCACGATGATGTCCCTCCACTCTCACCATTGCTACCTCCAATGCAGAATAATCAAATCCAAAGGAACTTCAGTGGACTCACTGGCACAGAAGCCCACGTGGCTGAAAGTATGCGCTGTCATTTGAATTTTGATCCGAACTCTGCTCCTGGGGTTGCAAGAGTTTATGACTCAGTGCAAAGTAGTGGTCCCATGGTTGTGACAAGCCTTACAGAGGAGCTGAAAAAACTTGCAAAGCAAGGATGGTACTGGGGACCAATCACACGTTGGGAGGCAGAAGGGAAGCTAGCAAACGTGCCAGATGGTTCTTTTCTTGTTCGGGACAGTTCTGACGACCGTTACCTTTTAAGCTTGAGCTTTCGCTCCCATGGTAAAACACTTCACACTAGAATTGAGCACTCAAATGGTAGGTTTAGCTTTTATGAACAGCCAGATGTGGAAGGACATACGTCCATAGTTGATCTAATTGAGCATTCAATCAGGGACTCTGAAAATGGAGCTTTTTGTTATTCAAGGTCTCGGCTGCCTGGATCTGCAACTTACCCCGTCAGACTGACCAACCCAGTGTCCCGGTTCATGCAGGTGCGCTCGTTGCAGTACCTGTGTCGTTTTGTTATACGTCAGTATACCAGAATAGACTTAATTCAGAAACTGCCTTTGCCAAACAAAATGAAGGATTATTTACAGGAGAAGCACTACTGAAAGATTGAGAACCCTGCATCTTGCACTTTGGGAATAAGAACAAGAGATTGAAATACAGTTTACAAACTTTCATTGCCATCAAAATCTTTTGCTGCCATAACTATTTCAGTTTTATGTGTAAAAGAGTCATCAGTTTGTTTAGGGGTGGGGAAGTGTCAGCAAGGTGTCTTGGGTTTATTTTGGTTCTTTAAAAAAGGGAAGTCTTGAGGTTTTAGAGGTGTGAATTATGTTTCATCAATGTGCAGAATAATCACAATGTGAATTATCAAATTCTCCTCAATGCCCCCCCCGCCCAGTCCTTTGCTGCTATCCACTGTGATTTTTATGCATTAAAAGCACATTTCATGTGTATTCAACCCTAAGTAAAGTTGAATGAAACTTAACAGAATGGAAATTGCTATGTCTTTTTAAATGGTCCATTTTCAAAAGACAGTGTTGAATAAACATACCTGTGTGATAAAACACAGAATTTACATATACACTGAAGATGAGTTTTTAATCTCTTACTTTAAAAAGATTTATTTAGAATCGTGAATTGACATAATCTTGGGTAATGGAACGGAGATCTGCAACATATCTTTTAACAACACTTTTTTCTAAATTATTTCTAAGGTTGTGCTAATTCTTTTGGTTGTGAAAAGTTGAATTTTTCTGTTGCCTTCGTTTTCATCTTCTAGTTTGTCTATTTTAATAAATGGCCTTACATTAAAAAATTGTAAAGAAATGTATACCACCAATTTAGAAATTGTTGCCTTTTCTGTAATTAAACTCGGGTACAAATTGGCATAACATGAAAACCTATGGAACTAGAATTATTATTAAAGAAATATTAGATGATCATAGCTTCCTGTGATAGCATTTTTTTGTGTGTTACCTATCCTTTTGGTAAAATGTTTTATCTGTGATTTCTTTAGCTTAGTCAACATTTTCTTGGGTGAACTTGATTGTCAACTAATTTTCATAAATGGACTGGATTCTCTTGCAACATTAATGTTTATAAAAAGTTTTAAATTGATTTGAATAGAAAGAAAACATTGTTTTAAAGTTGGATTTATATTTTTCTTCTATGTAGTTACTATAAAAGTGTGCTGGATTTGACCAATCCTTACCCCCACTATAAAGAGAACCCGTGATGACTTTAGTTTAAAAATTGTGGAAATTGTGGAGCAATTTTTCTCACAATGTGAGAAAAATTCTAAACCATATTAGATAATGTGGAAGTCATATTGTCTATCATATATACTGCCATTTAAAAATAGGTTTTTAAAATTTAGCTAAGTCTTAAGTAATTTGCCGTTGCTAATAATTTTATCTCCTTGAGTCGGTTGTTGGGGAGAGATGTTATATTCAATAATTTTTAGTTATTTTGTAATGCAGAGTGTTTATTCATTTCACAGTTCTGCAATGGATGTAGTATTTTGGGATTGCCCTGTCCAGAAAATTTTCAGCTACACACCTTTAAAGGAAAATGTTTCTATCTCAGATGAAACATGTAATTTGGGATGGTTCTTCCTTTGTCACTTAAAGGAAGAGATAGGAAAAGTCTCTTACCCACTTTAAACATGAGGGTAAAGGTTTAGGTCAAACTTACTGGCTTTGTCATTCAAGCATATCTGAATCCTCACTTTTTTCTCTTTGCTTTTTAGGGTCAGAACTGAGATATTACCAAGAAAAGGCACAATGCCATAATATTATGGTGTTATGGTATTTTGACTTAAAGGGGAAAAGGTACTTAATTTTGGTGGGATGTTGATTGTACCTTGTTAAAAAGACTCTCATTTTCTCATATGTTTTCTCCTAATAAGATGGAATATGGAGTATACTGTAATAATATAAGTGTTCATTATAAGCTATTTGGATTAAGAACTATTGCAGAGTTGTAAGCTTGTTATCAAATTAATGCAAGACATTTAAACTATTTTTTTGCAAAACTATTTATTTTTAAAACAACTTAAAGTATATCTAGGGTGAGTTAAAAGTCCCTGTGCATCTATATTAGATGGCAGGTTTTGTCACAGAGTCACTGTGTATTAATAATAAATGTTGAAATGGCTTCTCCGTGTCTCCAGAAGCATTTACATGTCCTCCTTGTGAGATCATGGTGCACAGAGGTCTTTGGACTGCCCTGAACCCGTCTTATGTGGACATAACCTATTCCCTTCGTTTTCTCATCATGCCATGTGTTTAAGATCTACCCGCTTAGTGTCAAGATTATTGAGATTTTCATCTAAATGTTTTTAAAATTGTATTTTGTGTTTTAGTGGAGGACAGTCTTGATACTGTTCTAATTCAGAAAGCCAAATTTTGATGCGCTTTTGTATATTCATAATATATACTTTAATATGCCCTATTCTAATCTAGTTTGAAATTGTTAGATTCTGATAGTATAATGATAAAATCAAACTATTTGCCAAAAAGTTAAATTTACAAGCAGAAAGATGTTTTGCGATATTTTCTACTTTTGTGTAGAAAGATAACCATTTGGGGTAGGCAGCACAACAGAATGTGAAAGATTGGCTTTATATGATACTAACACAGTCCAGTTAAAAGTGGAAACAGGGAAAAGAGAGAGAGAAAACTCATCATTTAGTTTGGTCTAGACACAATTTGGTTAAATTTTAGGATTCTATTGGCAGTTAACATAGATGACATGGACACAGCCTATGAGTGCTTTTTAAATACGTGCTTCTAAAAATCTGAGCTCAAAGCAAGAAAAAGAAAACAGGAAAGCTGTATCCATTTGCCATAATAGATGAATCAGAATTGTTTTCTATTAAATATTTCATCACGAAATATGATGGAGGCCAGAAGCTATTTTTAGGCTTACTATAACACTATTATGCATTTTTATAAATAAGAAGAAGGCTGTAGAAAGTACTTGAAAAATATCTAATTCTCTTTCTGTCTAAGGAAAACTCTTTCTACTTGGTGCAATAATCTGAAAATTTAGAAGGTCAAAATATGTCACAGGAAATGATCATAGACCTAAAAATAGTTTTTAAGGAAACCAGCTACACGGGGCAACCAACCATCTTGCTGTTGAAGAAAACAGTTCCAAAAGGCTAAATCATTGGCATAAAGGAAACAAAACCCAAAGTATGCGTTGTAATTCTTGAGCCAGTATTACTGAAACAGGATAAAAGTTATAAAATCTAACATAGGTTAATGCAATGTCTCTGCTAGTGCTACAAGTCTAAAATATCTTTGTAACAATGCTTTCAGAAATGCCAGTTTTAATTACATTTCACATTGTATATGAGAGATACTGCTTTATGAATGAATCGGAATAATACATTTTCATTTAAATCTTAATTGCTTTTCATTAAATGCGAAGTCTTAATTTCAAAATGAAATCACACTACCAGCAATAGACAGTTTTCTTGAAAACTCTAATAAGGAACAATAGCCAGTTCCGTAAATAACTTTAAAATTCTAAAAGTGTTGGTACACTAGCAATCACAAATATGGTTTCTTTTAATACTTTTTTAATCCTGTAAAGAAGGGTTTTTATAAACATTCTTTTTATTAATCAGTCATAACATGGCGAAGTGTGTAGTTGCTGTTTCTGAAAAGTGATCCAAACTCTACATCCAGAGATTATGAAAAATTCTTATAGAATTTTGTAACAAGTATTTACATGTTGGGTGAAAGAAATTTCATAGTCGTTGGAGTGCCATGAAATTAATACTTGCAATTCAGATTGCGGTAGTTTACACTTTTTCTGTATGTTTCAAATCAGGTGTGTACCATTTGTACTGAGAACACCACAGAATGAATTATCCAAAGTCCATTGATTTTAATACGTGTTTTGGTTTGTAAACAAATTATAGTAATTTCTTGCACATTTTTGGAAATTAATTGTATAAGAATTTATGTATCTGCTTCTAGATACAGTGTGTAAATAAAAAATTTCGTTCACAAGACCTGCCTTGTAGTCTACTTAATACCCTGAGAGGTGCCTGATTTTAATTAGTATGGGGTTAACGAGAAAATTTCTGGGTGTCCCAGGAACTGCGCAGGGGCTGGAGGATGAGAACCAGCAAATTTTAGTAAAAATGGGAAAGCAGAATCATGTCCCTAATAGAAGATATCAGCTAGTGGTGCTAATCTATGAAAGCCTTCCCGGTGAAGGCTGGAGTGAGTTTGGAGAACTTGTACTAAGCAAAAAGACTAAAAACTGACACAGTAATGAAACCTCACTGAAAGAAGGCTAGGCTAAATGATACAATGTTTGGATTGTGACATTAAAAAAGCATATCACTGTTAATATTTCATTGAAATACAACCAGGTCATTAAAGTGTATATAGGGGTCATTTAGAAATTTTTTCATAGATAAGAAAGAGTTCTTATATCCACTGTATTTAATTGTGTCAGAGTTCTTAAATCTGGGATTAAACACCCACTTTATTTTGTTTGAATACTTTGTAAACAAATTCTTTTTTAAAAAAACCATGGCTAATTCAAAGATGAATTTTAAACTGATCTTGTTTAGAATGTATCACAAATTTTCACTTCAGTGAAACCCAATTTGGAATCTGTGATGATAACGTCATACTTTGCTGATGATGGTGCTAACGAAATACTATGAGATTATCGTGGGATCAAGAATTGTGCAAAAGAACAGACTTCACAAACGTACACCATTACCAGGTAAACAGACTTTTAACTTTTTTAGAAAATGTTTCATATTCATCTACCTCTTCTCTAGGGGTATTCATTTAACAAGATAGAGGAACAGGGAAGTTTGTTGAGGCCAAGCTGTGTTCCCTGTAGTTGCTCGTGGTCCTGAAAGGCCACCTGTGAGGAGGGCGAGGGTGAGAGCAGGCAGACGCTCTCAGAAGATGAAAGACCTGCTGCTAGGCTGCCAGATAACACAGAAAATACTGGCCCTGCGTCAGAACTTCAATAATAACGTAATTTTGTTTGCTATAGCCAATTTTTTTTTTACTCCCACCTTTAAATTTTTACCTTTTTTTTTTTTTTTTAAGCCTCACAGATTTTACTTATGCTTTTCCTAGGCTTTCAGCTTTCTGGATCAAAAATAGTTTAACCTTTATTTCTGTTGAATTTAGCTTTCATGTCTGCTGTTTTGGCCTAGTGGCTTTTCTGCTTTCAAATCTTCAGCTTCATTTACAATTCATTGTTGTTGTTGTTGTTTTAATGGTTGTTTAATTCTTTTAACTTTTTTTGTATTTCAGTTTCTAGTTTTGGGATTACCTAACCTTTTGAATCCTCTTTTTAGCAAAATGTGACTCTTCTCTTCCTTCCCTTTGTGTATGGCTCATTTTGCTGATGGATTTACAGCTGCTTTGACCCTTGCGGCTCTAGTCAGGCTCCCCCTCATGTTGGAATTTTCCAGGACAGTTTTCCTAGACCTTCACCTGTGAGACTTTATGGTTCCATAGGGTCTTTGTGTTCCTTTGTGGAAACGGCAGATTGGATGGAGAAGTGTTGGTTTATGACGTTACATAATTCAGTCCTAGTAGGAAGATCAGTCATAAACCCCAGGAAACAACCAGTGGATTTGAGAGTGAAAAGGACCTTTTGCTTGTTAAGATTTGATTACAGAAGTCAAATCCAGAGACCCCTGGGAGTGTCCCAGGACTGATGCTGGCAAAGAACCAATAATAGTGAATATCTGGGTGGGCATTCATCTCGGAGCACAGCTGAGTTTTGTAGCCAGATTCCTAGAACACTTTAATGCCAGCCTATATTCTTCCCTCCTTAATACCAGGCAGTCTCACCTTGACCAGTTTTGGAGGAGTCGTAGGAGGGAAAGGCTCCCTTCCATAGTAAGAGCCAAGCAGAGCTTGCTAGATCAGGGTTTATGAATAGGGCCAATTGTCTTGCCTAGAGAGAACTGTGGGCTGTCAAATCCTGTCCTTGGTTAACTATGGCTTACAAACAGGGTAAATATTAAATTGAGCCAGGCACAGTGGCTCATGCCTGTAATCCCAACACTTTGGGAGGCTGAGGTGGGCAGATCACAAGGTCAGGAGTTCGAGACAAGCCTGAGCAACATGGTGAAACCCCGTCTGTACTAAAAATACGAAAACTAGCCAGGCATGGTGTTGTGCACCTGTAATCCCAGCTACTCAGAAGGCTGAGGCAAGAGAATCACTTGAACCCGGGAGGCAGAGGTTGCAGTGAGCCGAGATTGCGCCACTGCTCTCCAAACTGGGCGAAAGAGCGAGACTCCATCTCAAAAACAAAAATTAAATTGAAAAGGAAGACTCACTTTGTAATCACAAGCAATGGATTTCCCCACACCAAGAAAGCTCTAGGAAGCACAGATAAGGATATAAGGGTTTTTCCGGATCTCTCACTCGGTTTCATGGGTCTAGTATGGTGGCATCCAGGGACACTAGGATTTAATTACACTAGGTCACAAGGTGAATATATAGGCGTCCCTGGGTATCTGCAGGGGATTGGTTCTAGGACCACCCTCTACCCTCCCCACCCCCAACCACCACCTGTGGATACAAAAATCTAGCGATGTTCAAGCCCCTGAAAGGCCTCTAGCTCTGTGGATTCAAACCAGCAGATACAGAGTCAATAGTAACAAATGCTTTGCCTTCCCCAAAGTAAGGGATAAAGAAGTATGAACACTAGTGGCTGCCTGTAGGCTGCATATTTACTTTGCATAATAGTGGCTTGAGTAATCATGACTTAGCCACCCAAGCAGAGTCAAGAAAAATTATTGCATTTATTCATCTGTCTTTATTCAATCTTTCCCATCCCACCCAACCAGACACTCAATACTCATTCTCCAAAGGTAATTCAAGCCTTATCTCACAATGTCTTCTCTCCTTATCCCAAATCAAATTGATTAACCGCTCCTCCTTGAAATTCTCATAAGCCTTAGAAAGAAGAAAGGAAGGGAGGAGATACAACCTGTTTCACTGTTGAAAATGAGGAAGAATATGTTCAGTGATCCCTATAAGGATGTATGTCCTCATAGGACAATTTAATTTTAAAGGTGACAGAAACGCACATGACACTGTTCAGTTTTTTCTTTTTCACACCCCATGAAAACCTTCAGGTTTTACACAGAATTGTTGCTATGCTTCTTACACAGTTCTCCAAATTTTCTAATAGAGACTCTTAAGCTATCCCATAATTCTGAATTAATAAAGCTGATGCAAAAGGGATGAGCCAGCAATGTAATACCCACTCAGTGCGTCAGGTTTTTTGGTCATTTTGTTAAATAGGATTTTAGAGTTTCCCTGTGGGTATGAGATTATGAAATCTTCCAGTTGAAGCTATCAGTGTAATAATAAGAAATACCTTTCTTACATGTTACTCAAAACTGGCAGATTTGTGAGATAATGATTGTCTCAGCTTTAGGTGTCCACATTTGAAAAATGTGGATGTGGTGCCCTAGGATTCCTGCAGGTGGGGAGCTGGAAAAGGTCTTTTTAAAGTCTTTCCAACTTGAAATTTCTAATAAGATTTCTAAGACAAAACCTAAATAGAGGAAAAGAATAAAAGATTTGAAGGAAAAAAAAACTAGAAGGAAAAAAAAGTTCAAATTTGTAACATAGTTGCAATAGGCTGAGTCCACAATGAGTCCATCGGTTTGGTATGCCCATTTCATTTAAGTTCCTGGGATAAGAGCCTTGGAGTCATGATGTAACCAGGCAGTGCATAGAGCACTTCTCCAGCTCTGTTTAAATACACCATTGACTTGTTGCCTATGACGCCATCAAGAGTGTTCCTACAGACACAGCCAGACAGCTAAGTCAGGCAGAGCCCAAAATAGGCCACCCATTGACTCAGAAGCTGTTTTTCAGCCTTGAGTTCAAATTGTTTCCAGGTTTAGTCAGGGTTGAGGGGCCTTGGTTCTAAAGGGTAAAGCCAAGGTGCTCAGACAGTGTAGCAGGGAAACACAGCAGTCCCAAGGTGAATCCAAGACCCCTTTGACAATCCAGTGAGTTTTGTCCCTCTCAAGCTCACTTTACTATCCAAATGGACTGAATGTTTAACACCTTCCAAAACTCAAAAGATGAAATCCTAATACCCAAAGTGATGGTATTAGGAAATGGGGCCTTTGAGAGGTAATTAGGTCATGAGGGCTTTGCCTTCATGAATGGGATTAGCACCCTTATGAAACAGGCCCCCGAGAGCTCATTGGCCCCTAGAGAAGGTGCCATCTATGAAGCAAGAAGTGGGTTCTCAATGGACACCAGATTTCTGGTGCCTTGATCTTGGACTTCCCAGCCTCCAGAACTATTAGAAAGAAATTTCTGTTGTTTATAAGCTACCTAGTGTATGGCTTTGGGTTACAGCAGCCCAAACAAAGACACAGATCTTTACTTACTCCCACACCCCAAAATAGAAATACATGTAAAATTGTGCCTATAAAATAAACTTCTTCTCAAAGGTGAATGAGTAAGGCTGCTATTACTTATTGGAAAAACAAAATAATATGGTAGATCAGTTTTTGATATCTAATCATTTTGGCTTATGTTTACTATGGCAATAGATGTTGAAAGTGATGACTAACAAATGAAATCATGACACTACACTTTGCCTGGCGATGATGGGTGTGGTGTACACTGCTAGTTGCTGAGGCAACATCATGTCTCTATTTCGTCCTCATTAAGAAAATTGTAATTTTTACAGGAATGGCAGTGTGCCCAGTGAAAAAACTACAGTTACCAGACTCTCTTGCAGCTAAAGATGGTTGTGAGATGTAGTTCAGGCAAGATATACATTTATTGGGGTTTCTGGAAATGTTCCACTTCCTGCTATAGCCACTTATCCTCCCTTCTTCATCTTTCTTCTTCTTCTCCTGGCTTGCTAATGTAACTCTCCGATGCTCAGCAGTTACACATGCAGGACAGAAAAGCTGAAAGGTCAAATGAGCTGGCCCTGGAGCAGCTGCACTGGGCCCTGAAATGAATACCTTCATAGTGTTTGCAAGATAAATAAACCTCTTATTTGTTTAAGCAGCGTCAACGTTTCTGTTACTCTCAGTTAAATCAATCCCAATCAGAGAGTGCAGATTGAGAAACATCAAAATTTTCCAAAATTCTATGGGTTTTATTCATATCAAGTTGTCATCTTTACTTTCAGATGAAGGAGAGCTTTAGAAAGATGTGTTTGTTGTCTGTGTGCTTCATTGCAACAGCCCTGCCACACTAGGAGGAAGACAGGTTTTGGGTCCTGTCTTGGTGATAAAGATAAAACTAAAGGACAATCAAATCTCATCAAACTTCTCTCTGAGGTAAGCTGTTGAATACAATATTTTATTGAATATAATAAAAGCAAAGAGAAATGTCAACAATAATGATACCAGAATGCATCCTGTATTTCCATTAATGAGGAAACTGTTCTGGAATTAATACATGGAATTGATTGTATGGTATATTGCCTATTTGCAGTGTCATCCCATGCCATTATCTAACTATTTACAGAAAAAAAAAAGAAAAAACTTCTATGTAAAAGCAAGGAAAATGAGAGAAAGAATAATTTCAAAGGGGGATCTAATTTCAGATGATGAATGCCAGCTGTCAATGAACCTATACCGACTGTGTTTTTGATAAAACTAATAGTCCAAGCACCTAGAACTGTTACCCCTTTAATTGTTGATCCCTCATTTTTTAAATCATAAATATGAGTGGCTACCTGCCTCCTTCACAAGGTCGTGGTGAGAAGCAAATTGATGCCAGTGCCATTTTTTCCACCTCAATTCCTTGGGTTGCACAATTTTGTGGGAATTTCCTGGGAAAACTTCAAAGCAATTTAAATAGATCTGTCCCAACCATGCAATTACAGGAGCTGATGACGTTTCAGAAACAGTGACAAAGTTCAGAATCCCATTCTTCCATCCTAGATGGGAAACATCAACTTTCCTGATGGTGAGTTTGTCAGAGTCCATTCCCAAGAGTGGGGGTGGGGAGGTGGGGGTGGAGGCTGTTGACAGGCAATGATTTCTGTGGAGTAGAAGAGAGGAAAAGAGAAAAAGAATTTGTTAGTTGTAACAGACACTTCGGTTAATTGGTCTTCATCCACCTTTTCCTTGCCTGCCTCTCAATATAGATGCTGAAAAAGCAAGATACTCATTTTTTCCAGCCACCCTTGCAGAGCCAGAAAGCCCATGAGATTCAATAGATGTAAGACTGAGAGAGATTTTCATTCCTGGATGAAAGGAGACAGGCCTGGGAGAAGAGTTTTCTCTTGCCATCTTTGCAGTCTCTCCACTCCTGACGTGTACAGGGTCAGGTAAAGACTTGCTGTCTAGAAGTGTGGCAATGATTGGGTGGCCATGAATCATGAAACTTAAAGACAAAAACTAAACATGCTGCAGATTTGGAGTGGAAGGAAAGAAAGAGCATGGGACCCATGACCAGTCTGGGAAAATCTACCTCTGAACATCTTATTAAGTACACATTGAATGTCCTTCCTTAGCAAGTAGGTTGTTCCTGCCAGGTCTCGTATCCCTCAGTCTTGAAGAACATACACTGACACAGATGAGTGGGATGCACAAAATCATAGGGATTCAAGAAAGGTAACCCCAAAGAAACTCAAAGACAATACAACTCTTAACAGTTATATTATGAATAACCAGTCTCAAACTTAGCATGTTAGTTCTTGGAAATATTTACCTGGCAGAGTAAGAACCCGCTGGGACAATTACAGGGTTCTTCAGCCACTGAATCGATTTTAAATCAGTTTCTGTCTGGGAGAAATTTGGAATATCTCCTTCATTGAGAAGGGGCACAATAAGCACAGCTATAAAAATCAAGGAAACCATGAAAATAGTTTCTTATATTAATACAGCAAACATATTCCTGAAGGGATTGATAATTTCATTTTGTTTTTAATAATAATTAATCTTTGCAATATCCTGGTGGAGAGATGGAGAGATAAAGGATGATTACTACCACTTTAGAGGGGGAAAGATAGAAAGGACATGACATTAAATGATTACCTGTAAGCCATAGTTAAAATGTAGCCCCATGTAGACAGCCAGTAAGACAGCAGAGGTAAGATTCCAGATAGCTTAAGTTGCAGTCTGGCCTCTGTCCCTCAGGCACTCTCTCTAATGACTCAGCAGGTCCCAATGAGTCACTCAGTGCCTTGCACCTCCCAGAAACTAGGCTAGGATATAAAGAGAACACAGATTTAAAAAGAAAACCAAACTAACTCATTCAAACCATTGTAATTAAGGCAATCTAGTCATTTTTTGACTCTTAAACCTTTAGAATAAAAAGGCAGCAAAGGAGAAAAAACGAAATAAGGAAATCACCAATATAAAGAAATATACAAGAATACTTAAATGTCAGCAATATTGTCAAACAACTTCTACAAAGTAAGCAAAAATGGAGTAACTAGAAGTAGCAGAGGAGAGAAATATCATAAATATGTTAAGCATTGAGAGTTAGCTAGGGTTGTCAGCAAATAAAACTTTTTGTTTGTTAATATGGCATGCTATAACTCTTTCAAAATAACGTAAGTGGCTTGAAATAAAGTCTACATAAGCCACATGGCCTTTAGAATATAAATAACACTGCCTGAGTGTAAACCCTTGCCTTGCCACTTACTAGCAGTGCCATTTAGCTTCTCACTGCCTTAACTTTACTGATTAAGTTTATTGCGGTAGTAGTAACAGCTCCAGCCTCAGAGGGCTCTCACTTAAGAGTTAATTTATCTAAAATTTCTGAAACGGCACCTGGCCCAGAGTGAATACTATGCAAGTGTTTATTATTACAAGAATTGAATAATGTAATTAACAGGTATTTTAAAACATATTCATATATATATTTAATATAAACATTTGGAAGACGTAAAGAACTGATCATATCTTAGGACTTTAAGAATATCTCAGGCCGGGTGCGGTGGCTCATGCCTGTAATCCTAGCATTTTGGGAGGCTGAGGTGGGCGGATCACCTGAAGTCGGGAGTTTGAGACCAGCCTGTTCAACATGGAGAAACTCCATCTCTACTAAAAATACAAAAAAATTAGCCGGGCGTGGTGGCAGGTGCGTGTAATCCCAGCTACTCAGGAGGCTGAGGCAGGAGAATCACTTGAACCTGGGAGGCAGAGGTTGCAGTGAGCCGAGATCGCACCATTGCACTCCAGCCCGGGCAACGAGAGAAACTCTGTCTCAAAGAAAAAGAATATCTCAGCAGATTCTAAAAATTACAAAATATGAAACCCACATTCTCTGGCTACACTACAATAAGTAACCAATAATTATTTTTTTAACGGTAACATTTAAACACCCCCTCTTTGCCTCAACCCTCCACCACTGAATAAGGCATGTTGTTTTACAGGGGTGAGAAGTTGGTTGATTATTGGTGGTAGCATTTTTCCTACCATGGAACCACGAGAAATTTCCCCTTTTTCTTTGTTAAGCAAGATAGCTGGTCTCGAAGTCCTTGAGTTCTGGATATCCCTGACCTAGAGGAAAGCTAATATTGTTTTATGAGGCACATTAGGGGAAACAAGTTTTGTTCTGGGGGTGCAAAAAGAAAGTGGCCCTTCCTGGGGAGATAGTTGGATTTTATGAGACCAAGAGTTGGGAGTGTCTTCAGGTACAGGACCTTGGTTGGGGACTGGCTCCTGTCCTCCAATAGAGAACCAAATACCATGGCTTTTGGAGCTCAGCCAAGATCCCCAAGGCCAGATTTGATGTTAAGGGTGTGAAAGCCATGATCAGAACCTGTCCTCTAATAAAATTATATTGTAGGCATCTATTGTTACATAGCAAACTGTCCCAAAACTTTAAATTGTTGACTTACAACAATTTATTACATCTCCTGATTTTGTGGGTCTGGAATTTGGATAGGGATCAGCTGGGTGGTTCTTCTGTTCTAAGAAGGGTTGGCAAAGATCATTCAGTGTTATTCAGCTGACAGGTGGGCTGGGCTGGAGGGTTCTAAGATAGTTTCCTACACAGGAAGGCTTTGTGCATGTGTCTGGTCAAAGATGGCTGAAGAATCCACTTAGGAGGGTTGGTTGAGCAGAGCACCTACATGTGGCTTGTGCAGCATGATGATCTCAGTGCAGCCAGACATTGTAGATGGTGGCTCAGGACTCCAAGAGTGAATGAGACAGAGCACCATGGTCTTTTATAACCTACAACAGAAGTCCTCTACGGTCACAGGTACTATTTACTGGTCAACTCAGTCACAAGCCAGCCCAGATAAAAGGGAAGGGCTCATAACCCCCTTAGTAGTAGGAATGTCAAAAACTTTGCAACCACAACTTTAAACCACAACAGCTATGTCAGTATAAGCTTAGGGGAACATCAAAATGAACTGGGAATCAGGGTCCTTTCTCCCATTTCATGGACTACATAAGCCACCAGAATTCATGTGTAAATGTACCTGATGGAAGAGAAGCCAGAAGGAGGCTGATGGTTTTAATTAAATATTTTTAATCGCATCAAGAAAATATCCATAAATTCTTACTTTACTGAAGTTTTAAAACTGTTACATATTTAAAACAAATGTATTCATGTAAAAAGTACCACAAAATTTAAAATATCTCTTCTTCACTGTACCTCAACAGATTTCTGTTGGCTGCTGTGGCAAATGTCACACACTTAGTGACTTCAAATAACCCAGATGTATCATCTGACAGGGTGGAGATGGTAAGTGCAGCATAGGTCTCATTGAGCTAAAATGTACATGTTCAAAGCACTGAGTTCCTTCCTAGAGACTCTTGTAGAGAATCTGTTTACTTGCTCATTTAGGTTGCTGGCAGAATTTAGTTCTTGGAGGTTGTAGAACTGAGATCCTCATTTCCCCATTCCTAAGTTCCAAAGGCCATCCACATTCTTTGGCTCAGGGCCTCTCCTTCATCTTCAAAGCCAGCAATGGCAGGTCCAACTCTTGTCAGACTTTGCATCTTTCTCCCTCTTCCTGACTTCAGCCAGAAAAGATAACCTGCTGTGAAAGATTCAGGTGATTAGATTGTCTGCATTTAGATAAATCCAGGATAATCTCCCCATCTCAAGATCCTTAACTTAATCACACCTGCAAAGTTCCTTTTGTCAGAAAAGGCAATATACTCACAGTTTCTGGGGATTAAGATGTGGATATGTTTGGGGGCCATTATTCTGCCTATCACACTCAAAGCTCCCTATCTGATTTCTAAAATCTTCTTGCTCTATTACCAGTGTAAACTACTATTTCTGGATTTTCTTGTTTAGGTTAGACCTTAGCATTAGGGCATTAACTGTTGACTAACTTTCATAAATGTAATGCTTTAATTCTTTTATATAACCACACACTCACACACATACATATTGTTTCTTCTCTCATTCTCCCAAAAGTGTTATATCCCAATTCTTGGAGGTATTCAAATTATTATAAGCCAGTAAATATTTTTATAACTAAAACATATATTGTGCTATGATTATTTTTTCCTGTATAACTTTTCTTGTACAACTGCAGTCTCATTATTTGTCACATGTTTTTCATTCACTTAATTTTCTATGTATTGGTCATCTTTGAAGTTTTCATCAGAATTGGAAATTATTTCTCAGTACATTGAAACACAACAGATAATCTATCCATTTTTCTTTCTTCTTGAAACATCCCTACTTGTCCTCATGCTTTTTCCTTTGAACTTGGATGGATTTCTCTCTAGTCTACTATAGCTACTAACCTTAAGATATCCTTAAGTTACTCTTTGTATCACTCCCGGTGATACTTAGTGAGTTATCTTATTATCACTCCCAGGATTCCCTTCATATTTCTCCTATGTTGGGGATCACCTGTCTCTGGGTTTACTCCCTCTTTTTGTTGGAGCACATCCTCCAATAGGTCCCTGAGAAAAAGTGCATGATTATTTTTTCTTTTTTAGTTTGAATGCTTTAAAATCTCTTTATTCCACTCATTTGTATGTCTATTTGTTTACTGGTTAGGCTGTGTGTAGTATTCTGGGTTGGAAATCTGTCTCCAGAACAAAGCTGAGATTTGTGGGGGTATGGTGTGGCCAGTGGCCTACATGGCATGTCATAGCAATGGAGTGACAGAGAAGGATACTTGTGAAGAGAGAGTTAACCAGAATGATGTCTCCCCAAGAACATTCTCAGGAAGATCACTTTCAGAAGAGAATAGACATGGTACTTGAGGATCTGAGAACTAATTCTTTTAAACTATCCATACCTGCTTACTTAAGAGAACTTTACATGTATTTAACCTCTAGACTTTCATGTACTTACCCCAGTTTGCATACTGCTGTTCTAAAACATCAAATCTTCCTGGAAATGTGGGAACCAAGAGGTAGAGAGACATAAATACCAGACTCCCTTTCTTCTTTACTTATCTCCCAAAACCAGAGACAAAAAGCTTTAGCTATTTTTTTCTTCTGTATCACATCCTTTTCCCACCCTATAGAACACCAGTAAAAGTGGTTAGGTGGCCTCTTTGTGATTTTGATGTTCAGTAACCTAAATTTCTCTAGATTATAGAATCCAGAATACTCAGATATGGCCATGAGTGATGACAATTGTCCTTTATTATTGTTCGTTTTAAAATTTATATTAGAGGCCAGGTGCAGTAGCTCATGCCTATAAGCCCAGTACTTTGGGAGGCCGAGGCAGAAGGTTCACTTGAGCCCAGGAGTTCGAGACCAGCGTGGGCAACATGGCCAGACCCCAACTCCATTAAAAAATATATAAATTAGCCAGGTTTGGTGGTACTACTTGGGAGGCTGAGATGGGAGGATTGCTTGAGCCTGGGAGGTTGAGGCTACAGTGAGCTGGGATCACACCATTGCATTCCAGCCTGGGAGACAGAGCGAGACCTTATCTCAAAAAAATATATATATATATATACACACACACACATATATATGTGTGTGTGTGTATATATATGTGTGTGTGTGTATATACATATACATATATACATATACATATACATATATACATGTATATATGTATACATATACGTATACATATACATATATACATGTATATATGTATACATATATGTATACATATACATATATACATGTATATATGTATACATATATGTATACATATACATATATACATGTATATATATATTAGAAACTTGCATGGTTCCCTTTGAAAGATATGAATTTAAGATATATATGCATTTTAGATTTTTAAAAAGACATCTTTTTTTTGTTTTGAGACAGAGTTTTGCTTTTGTCCCCCAGGCTGGAGTGCAATGGCACAATCTCAGCTCACTGCAACCTCTGCCTCCCGGGTTCAAGCAATTCTCCTGCCTCAGCCTCCCGAGTAGCTGGGATTACAGGCACGTGCTACCACACCTGGCTACTTTTTGTATTTTTAGTAGAGATGGGGTTTCACCATGTTGGTCAGGCTGGTCTTGAACTCCTGACCTCAGGTGATCCATCTGCCTCGGCTTCCCAAAGTGCTGGGATTACAGGCATGAGCCACCGCACCCAGCCAAAAGACATCATTTTTAAGAATTCAAGTTAAGGAAAAGAAAGACTTCAATAATTTTCTAATCACCTGTATCTTTGTTGTGAGCAATTTTGGCATATGTGCCTGCTAACGTCATACTAAAAATTATGATTAATTTTAGAAACATTTTAAAGGAAGTAATTAAGTCCTAGAGACTAGGTATTATGGCAGTGTTATAACCTTACGCTAAGTTTTTTATTTTTTTTTTAATGTTGGCTACCACTTATTTGTGTGTGTGTGTATGTTTTCTTTTTTTATTATTGTTATACTTTAAGTCCTGGGGTACATGTGCACAACGTGCAGGTTTGTTACATATGTATATATGTGCCATGTTGATGTGCTGCACCCATTAACTCGTCATTTACATTAGGTATATCTCTTAATGCTATCCCTCCCCCTGCCCCCACCCCACAACAGGCCCCAGTGTGTGATGTTCCCCTTCCTGTGTCCAAGTGTTCTCATTGTTCAATTCCCACCTATGAGTGAGAACATGCAGTGTTTGGTTTTTTGTCCTTGCGATAGTTTGCTGAGAATGATGGTTGCCAGCTTCATCCATGTGCCTACAAAGGACATGATCTCATCCTTTTTTATGGCTGCATAGTATTCCATGGTGTATATGTGCCACATTTTCTTAATCCAGTCTATCGTTGATGGACATTTGGGTTGGTTCCAAGTCTTTGCTATTGTGAATAGTGCTGCAATAAACATACGTGTGCATGTGTCTTTATAGCAGCATGATTTATAATCCTTTGGGTATATACCCAGTAATGGGATGGCTGGGTCAAATGGTATTTTTAGTTCTAGATCCTTGAGGAATCACCACACTGTCTTCCACAATGGCTGAACTAGTTTACAGTCCCACCAACAGTGTAAAAGTGTTCCTATTTCTCCACATCCTCTCCAGCACCTGCTGTTTCCTGACTTTTTAATGATGGCCATTCTAACTGGTGTGAGATGGTATCTCATTGTGGTTTTGATTTGCATTTCTCTGATGGCCAGTGATGATGAGCATTTTTTCATGTGTCTGTTGGCTGCATAAATGTCTTCTTTTGAGAAGTGTCTGTTCATATCCTTTGCCCACTTTTTGATGGGGTTGTTTGTTTTTTTCTTGTAAATTTGTTTGAGTTCTTTGTAGATTCTGGATATTAGCTCTTTGTCAGATGAGTAGATTACAAAAATTTTCTCCCATTCTGTAGGTTGCCTGTTCACTCTGATGGTAGTTTCTTTTGCTGTGCAGAAGCTCTTTAGTTTAATTAGATCCCATTTATCAATATTGGCTTTTGTTGCCATTGCTTTTGGTGTTTTAGACATGAAGTCCTTGCCCATGCCTATGTCCTGAATGATATTGCCTAGGTTTTCTTCTAGGGTTTTTATGGTTTTAGGTCTAACATTTAAGTCTTTAATCCATCTTGAATTAATTTTTGTATAAGGTGTAAGGAAGGGATCCAGTTTCAGCTTTCTGCATATGGCTAGCCAGTTTTCTCGGCACCATTTATTAAATAGGGAATCCTTTCCCCATTTCTTGTTTTTGTCAGGTTTCTCAAAGATCAGATGGTTGTAGATGTGTGGTATTATTTCTGAGGGCTCTGTTCTGTTCCATTGGTCTATATCTCTGTTTTGGTACCAGTACCATGCTGTTTTGGTTACTGTAGCCTTGTAGTATAGTTTGAAGTCAGGTAGCATGATGCCTCCAGCTTCTATATTTTTGCTTAGGATTGTCTTGGCAATGTGGGCTCTTTTTTTGTTCCATATGAACTTTAAAGTAGTTTATTTTCCAGTTCTGTGAAGAAAATCACTGGTAGCTTGATGGGGATGGCACTGAATCTATAAATTACCTTGGGCAGTATGGCCATTTTCATGATATTAATTCTTCCTATCCATGAGCATGGAATGTTCTTCCATTTGTTTGTGTCCTCTTTTATTTTGTTGAGCAGTGGTTTGTAGTTCTCCTTGAAAAGGTCCTTCACATCCCTTGTAAGTTGGATTCCTAGGTATTTTATTCTCTTTGAAGCAATTGTGAATGGGAGTTCACTCATAATTTGGCTCTCTGTCTGTTACTGGTGTATAAGAATGCATGTGATTTTTGCACATTGATTTTGTATCCTGAGACTTTGCTGAAGTGGCTTATCAGCTTAAGGAGATTTTGGGCTGAGATGATGGGGTTTTCTAAATATACAATCATGTCATCTGCAAACAGGGACAATTTGACTTCCTCTTTTCCTAATTGAATACCCTTTATTTCTTTCTCCTGCCCGATTGCCCTGGCCAGAACTTCCAACACTATGTTGAATAGGAGTGGTGAGAGAGGGTATCCCTGTCTTGTGCCAGTTTTCAAAGGGAATGCTTCTAGTTTTTACCCATTCAGTATGATATTGGCTGTGGGTTTGTCATAAATAGCTCTTATTATTGTGAGATACGTCCCATCAATACCTAATTTATTGAGAGTTTTTAGCATGAAGGACTGTTGAATTTTGTCAAAGGCCTTTTCTGCATCTATTGAGATAATCATGTGGTTTTTGTCTTTGGTTCTATTTATATGCTGGATTACGTTTATTGATTTTCGCATGTTGAACCAGCCTTGCATCCCAGGGATGAAGCCCACTTGATCATGGTGGATAAGCTTTTTGATGTGCTGCTGGATTTGGTTTGCCAGTATTTTATTGAGGATTTTTGCATCGATGTTCATCAGGGATATTGGTCTAAGATTCTCTTTTTTTGTTGTATCTCTGCCCGGCTTTGGTATCAGGATGATGCTGGCCTCATAAAATGAGTTAGGGAGGATTCCCTTTTTTTCTGTTGATTGGAGTAATTTCAGAAAGAATTGTACCAGCTCCTCCCTGTACCTCTGGTAGAATTCGGCTGTGAATCTGTCTGGTCCTGGACTTTTTTTGGTTGGTAGGCTATTAATTATTGCCACAATTTCAGAGCCTGTTATTGGTCTATTCAGGGATTCAGCTTCTTCCTGGTTTAGTCTTGGGAGGGTGTATGTGTCCAGGAATTTATCCATTTCTTCTAGATTTTCTAGTTTATTTGCATAGAGGTGTTTATAGTATTCTCTGATGGTAGTTTATATTTCTGTGGGATTGGTGGTGATATCCCCTTTATCATTTTTTATTGCATCTATTTGATTCTTCTCTCTTTTCTTCTTTATTAGTCTCGCTAGTGGTCTATCAATTTTGTTGATCTTTTCAAAAAACCACCTCCTGGATTCATTGATTTTTTGAAGGGTTTTTTTTGTGTCTCTATCTCCTTCAGTTCTGCTCTGACCTTAGTTATTTCTTGCCTTCTGCTAGCTTTTGAATGTGTTTGCTCTTGCTTCTCTAGTTCTTTTAATTGTGATGTTAGGGTGTCAATTTTAGGTCTTTCCTGCTTTCTCTTGTGGGCATTTAGGGCTATACATTTCCCTCTACACACTGCTTTAAATGTGTCCCAGAGATACTGGTATGTTGTGTCTTTGTTCTCATTGGTTTCAAAGAACATCTTTACTTCTGCCTTCATTTCATTATGTACCCAGTAGTCATTCAGGAGCAGGTTGTTCAGTTTCCATGTAGTTGAGCGGTTTTGAGTGAGTTTCTTAATCCTGAGTTCTAGTTTGATTGCACTGTGGTCTGAGAGACAGTTTGTTATAATTTCTGTTTTTTACATTTGCTGAGGAGTGCTTTACTTCCAACTATGTGGTCAGTTTTGGAATAAGTGTGATGTGGTGTGAGAAGAATGTATATTCTGTTGATTTGGGGTGGAGAGTTCTGTATATGCCTATTAGGTCTGCTTGGTGCAGAGCTGAGTTCAATTCCTGGATATCCTTGTTAACTTTCTGTCTTGTTCATCTGTCTGATGTTGACAGTGGGGTGTTAAAGTCTCCCATTATTATTGTGTGGGAGTCTAAGTCTCTTTGTAGGTCTCTAAGGACTTGCTTTATGAATCTGGGTGCTCCTGTATTGGGAGCATGTATATTTAGGATAGTTAGCTCTTCTTGTTGAATTGATCCCTTTACCATTATGTAATGACCTTCTTTGTCTCTTTTGACCTTTGTTGGTTTAAAGTCTGTTTTATCAGAGACTAGGATTGCAACCCCTGCCTTTTTTTGTTTTCCATTTACTTGGTAGATCTTCCTCCATCCGTTTATTTTGAGCCTGTGTGTGTCTGTGCATGTGAGATGGGTCTCCTGAACACAGCACACTGATGGGTCTTGACTCTATCCAGTTTGCCAGTCTGTGTCTTTTAATTGGAGCATTTAGCCCATTTACATTTAAGGTTAATATTGTTATGTGTGAATTTGATCCTGTCATTATGATGTTAGCTGGTTATTTTGCTCGTTAGTTGATGCGGTTTCTTCCTAGCATTGATTATCTTTACAATTTGGCATGTTTTTGCAGTGGTTGGTACCGGTGATCCTTTCCATGTTTAGTGCTTCCTTCAGGAGCTCTTGTAGGGTAGGCCTACAAGAGCTTGGGGGTGACAAAATCTCTCAGCATTTGCTTGTCTGTAAAGGATTTTATTTCTCCTTCACTTATGAAGCTTAGTTTGCCTGGATCAGAAATTCTGGGTTGAAAATTCTTTTCTTTAAGAATGTTGAATATTGGCCCCCACTCTCTTCTGGCTTGTAGAGTTTGTGCCGAGAGATCTGCTGTTAGTCTGATGGGCTTCCCTTTGTGTGTAACCCGACCTTTCTCTCTGGCTGCCTTTAACATTTTTTCCTTTATTTCAACTTTGGTGAATCTGACAATTATGTGTCTTGGGGTTGCTCTTCTCGAGGAGTATCTTTGTGGCATTCTCTATTTCCTGAATTTGAATGTTGGTCTGCCTTGCTAGGTTGGGGAAGTTCTCCTGGATAATATCCTGCAGAGTGTTTTCCAACTTGGTTCCATTCTCCCCGTCACTTTCAGGTACACCAATCAGATGTAGGTTTGGTCTTTTCATAGTCCCATATTTCTTGGAGGCTTTGTTCATTTCTTTTTACTCTTTTTTCTCTAAACGTCTCTTCTCGCTTCGTTTCATTCATTTGATCTTCAATCACTGATACCCTTTCTTCCACTTGATCAAATCGGCTACTGAAGCTTGTGCATTTGTCACGTAGTTCTCGTGCCATGGTTTTCAGCTCCATTAGGCCATTTAAGGACTTCTCTACACTGGTTATTCTAGTTAGCCATTTGTCTAATCTTTTTTCAAGGTTTTTAGCTTCTTTGTGATGGGTTCAAACTTCCTCCTTTAGCTCGAAGAAGTTTGATCATCTGAAGCCTTCTTCTCTCAACTTGTCAAAGTTATTCTCCGTCCAGCTTTGTTCCATTGCTGGTGAGGAGCTGTGTTCCTTTGGAGGGGGAGAGGCGCTCTGATTTTTAGAATTTCTAGCTTTTCTGCTCTGTTTTTCCCCATCTTTGTGGTTTTATCTACCTTTGATCTTTGATGATGGTGACGTACAGATGGCGTTTTGGTGTGGATATCCTTTCTGTTTGTTAGTTTTCCTTCTAACAGTCAGGACCTTCAGCTGCAGGTCTGTTGGAGTTTGCTGGAGGTCCACTCCAGACCCTGTTTGCCTGGGTATCAACAGCAGAGGCTGCGGAACAGCAAATATTGCTGAACAGCAAATGTTGCTGCCTGATCATTCCTCTGGAAGCTTCATCTCAGAGGGGTATCTGCCCATGTGAGGTGTCAGTCTGCCCCTACTGGGGGGTGCCTCCAAATTAGGCTACTCGGGGGTCAGGGACCCACTTGAAGAGGCAGTCTGTCTGTTCTCAGATCTCAAACTCCATGCTGGGAGAACCACTACTCTCTTCAAAGCTGTCAGACAGGGACATTTAAGTCTGCAGAAGTTTCTGCTGCCTTTTGTTCAGCTATGCCCTGCCCCCAGAGGTGGAGTCTACAGAGGCAGGCAGGCCTCCTTGAGCTGAGATGGGCTCCACCCAGTTTGAGCTTCCTGGCCACTTTGTTTACCTTCTTAAGCCTCAGCAATGGCAGGCGCCCCTCCCCCAGCCTTGCTGCTGCCTTGCAGTTAGAACTCAGACTGTTGTGCTAGCAATGAAAGAGGCTCCGTGGGCGTGGCACCCTCCAAGCCAGGCACAGGGTATAATCTCCTGATGTGCCATTTGCTAGTATCATTGGAAAAGCACAGTATTAGGATGGGAGTGGCCCAATTTTCCAGGTGCCATCTGTCCCAGCTTCCCTTGGCTAGAAAAGAGAATTCCCTGACCCCTTGTGCTTCCGGGGTGAGGCGATGCCTCGCCCTGCTTCGGCTCATGCTCGGTGGGCTGCACCCACTGTCCTGCACCCACTGTCCTACAGGCCCCAGTGAGATGAACCTGGTATCTCAGTTGGAAATGCAGAAATCACCCGTCTTCTGCGTCGCTCACGCTGGGAGCTGTAGACTGGAGCTGTTCCTATTCGGCCATCTTCCGCTTTAAGTTTTTTATAATCTTTTTGGGAAGGTAAGACAGTTATACAGTGAACAGTTAAGCAGTCTATGATTAATTGCCAAAATGAGTGCTATAAAGTTATAATCTCTGATTCAGTATCAGGAAAGACCAGGGCTGTTAGGGAATTTGCCCCAGAACTTTATTTTATAATCTATTTAGATTTTTTTAAAAATCCTAAACTGTCAGGTAGTGAGAAATGCAACCGAAAATTTCATACTAAAATTTATATTTACCTTAGTTATATTCTTAACCTCTGGGTCCAGACATATTCATTTCTACAAGTTCTGAATAGAAATAAACATTAAGATATTAAAATTGAATTTTCACCCTAAGGCTAATATGGAAATGAAATTGAAAAAAATACATCTATTGCTTTTACACAGAGCTTCCTAAGAGATTTTAGTCATATGAACATTTATATGTCTTGCATTTTAACTTCCTGAGGGAACAATAGAAATATATTCCCACCCTGCTAAGGGCTTACCACCCAGTTCCTATAGAGAGGGAAATCCTTTCAACTCAAATAGTTTAACAACAGTGTTACAGTTTAAGGCTCTATCAATTAGTGATGAAGGATAACAATTTAGTAGTTGATAAATATTACATATTTGATGTCTGTAGATGAACTCTTTCGTGCCCTTGAGCTAATAACACATATTAATTAAGTTAAATGCAGATTTCACACTTAATCTTCGCATTACATGGCAAATGTAGATAGCTTGAAAAGTCACAAATGACTTGAAACACTATAAATGTGTAGGTATTTCAGTATATAAGTCACAAAACAAAAAAATATTCAGTTCAAATTGTTCTAAAGCTCAAGTTCAAATTTCCCTTTCTAGTTGACATTTGCTGAATTTCTGGAATCCACCAATTGTCTTTAAATTCTAAACAGGGAAAAACTACTTCCTTAGGAGTAAGGAAAAAAAAAACTGATGAAAATTAAATCACTTTTTAAAGCAATCACAAACCAGCCATCAACTATCATTACTAGGGAAATATGTAGTTAGGATTAGGAAGTGAGAACTCTTTGAGTGGGACCCTGAAGGCATATATATAAATATAAACTACACACCACACCTTGGCTGTACTTGCCAGCTGAGGCTTCAAAAATTACATGGTTTCTAATAAGTAAATTACATTCATATTTTTCCCATAATCAAAGGATATAGATCAAAGTTTGGATTCACAATCTTGTTGCCTTCTGAAGAGGCATTCTCATATGAAAAAGAGGCCATTGCCTAGGTAAATCAAGAGACCAGCTTAGAAAGTGATCAAAGCCATGAAAAACCCATTTTGTTAATTATTCAGGGATATGCAGACACACTTATTGAGAGCTCCAAGGTCACAGCAAAGCAAAGTATTGGTGTACATTTCAGCTTTGTGCCTTGGCATTTTTTTTTCATTAAAATGGCTTCATTTGGAAACCCATAAGAAAAAGCACTGCTGTACCAGAAGAAGAAAAAGAGGCTGTAGATTTTAAACTTCAGTAGAATTCGTTTCAGCAACTTATATATATTTTTTACCTTTAACCTATTTGAATGTGACAGCTGTAGGAAATACGTTGGAATTGAATCTTTAACAACTACAAAAGTCTTGTTTTTGAAAGAAAATTTTGTTAGATACTGGAACAACCTGAATGAATGCAACACAGAATTATTAAAAATGCTATTTCTGGAGATAGAAAAAAGCTGTGCTAGGTTTGGAGGACTTCTGGATTTAAGGTGGCAAGAGCAGAGCAAAAACAAATTAACTGCAGGAATGTTTTCCATTCCAGAGTAAGTCTGCCTGCTCAGATAATAAAGGAAAACCAAAATTCTCTTGGTTATGGTTGGGTTTGTACACATTTTGTTGTTGTTGTTGTTGTTGTTGTTGTTGAGATGGAGTCTTGCTCTGTTGCCCAGGCTGGAGCATGGTGGTGTGATCTCAGCTCACAGCAGCCTCTGCCTCCCGAGTTCAAGCAATTCTCCTGCCTCAGCCTCCTGAGTATCTGGGATTACAGGCGCGTGCCAATGCACCCTACTAATTTTTTATATTTTTAGTAGAGATGGGGTTTCACCATGTTGGCCAGGCTAGTCTTGAACTCCTGACCTTAGGTAATACGCCCACCTTGGCCTCCCAAAGTGTGCACAGTTTTTAAACCACTAAAACATCATATACACCATGCAGAAATACTACAACTAAATATCTAACTGAATGGGAAAAAAGAGAGGAGTCGGGGGCTACACAAATAGGACAAGAGACCTCAGGTTAAAAAGCTGAGGTGGCCCACCCAACCACCAGCTGGGATCTGATCCACCCTCACTGTTATGAACTGAATGTTTGTGTCCCTCTAAAATTCATATATTGAAGCGCTAACACACCCATGTGATGGTATTTGGGGCTGGGGCCTTTCGGGGGTAATTAGGGTTTGATGAGGTCATGAGGGTAGGGCCCCCAATAGGATTAGTGCCCTTACAAGAAGAGCACGGGCCAGGTGCAGTGGCTCACACTTGTAATCCCAGCCCTTTGGGATCCCAGGCCAAGACAGGAGTATCACTTGAGGCCAGGAGTTCAAGACCAGCCTGGGCAACATAGTGAGACCCTGTCTCTATTAAAAATAATAATAAAAAATAGCCGGGCATGGTGGTGTGTGCCTGTAGTCCCAGCTACTTGGGAGGCTGAGGTGAGAGGATTGCTTGAGCCCAGGAGGTCAAGGCTGCAATGAGCTATGGTCATGTCACTGTGTTCCAGCCTGGGTTTTAGTGCAACACCCTATCTTTAAAAATAATAATAATAGTAATAAGAAAAGACACCAGAGTGCACTCATGTTTGTGCATGGGTGTTCTCTCTCTCACTTGCTTTCTCTCTCTCTCTCTCTACCTGTATACACTAAGGAAAGGCCATGTGAAAACATGGCGAGAAGACAGTCATCTGCAACCCAAGGAGAGAGACTTCACCAGACACTGACCCTGCTGGCACCTTGATCTTGGACTTCCAGTGTTCAGAACTATAAGAAATAAATTCCTGTTATGTAAGGTGCCCAGTCCATGGTATTTTGTTGTAACAGCCTGAGCTGTTGAAGATGGATTTTCCTTTCAAGATCAGATCTTGGGCCTCAGAGTCAGCCTCACTATAGAAAGCAAGGGCTAGTCTCAGCTTCCCACAGAAGACTTGGTTTTATTGGAGGCAAGTTTTGTCTTGCTTACAATGAGGTTATACAAAGCATAACAAAATTCACATTTTGTTAAGTGACTACCATATGATCACTCTGAATTTTATTTTACCTGTCATTTCTCGGTATCAATAGGTTTTACTTCCCCTTGTTCTGGATTTCAGTGATTGATGACTGAATACAATAAATATTTATTGAGCGCCTTTTATGAGGAGATATTAATTGAACAAAATGCCTGTCCTCACAGAGTCGACATTCTGATGGAGGGTGCTAGGAGAAGAGAGGGAAAGACAATAAACATGTAAACAAATAAACATGGCATATCAAACGTCAGATTATGACTTCCACTTCTGGCTGTGAAAAGCCATCTTGTAGCTGATTAACCATCCCACCTAAAACACTACATCTGAAACATAAAGAAAACACTGGGGAGCAGCCAACTTAGGCAGGCGGGACTTGATGGGTTACAGTGCTCCAGACAGAAAACCCAGGGAGGAAGCTCCACGATTACCCTGGTTTTTCCCCGAGCACATTTTCCAAACTGCAGCATGCATGAAAAGACTTGAAGCTGAAAGTGGCAGTCTTAGCAAGTAAAGGGACAACAGCCAGTGTGTAGAGCTATCAAAGTATCTTGAACTTGAGGGACAAAACCTTAGAAAGTGAGGAATCACAAACAAACAACAACAACAAAAAATAACAAAAAACAAGGAATTTCATACAATTTCCCTCAAGCCATTGTTGGACTCTTTTTTTTTTTTTTTTTGAGACAGAGTCTTGCTCCCATCGCCCAGGCTGGAGTGCAGTGGCGAGATCTCGGCTCACTGCAACCTCCGCCTCCTGGGTTCAAGCAATTCTCCTGCCTCAGCCTCCCGAGTAGCTGAGACTACAGGCGCCCAACACCACGCCCGACTAATATTTGGTATTTTTAGTAGAGACGGGGTTTCACCGTGTTAGCCAGGATGGTCTCAATCTCCTGACCTCAATCTGCCCGCCTCAGCCTCCCAAAGTGCTGGGATTATAGGCGTGAGCCACCGCGCCTGGCCATTGTTGGACCCTTAAAATATTCATGCAAAGAGTAAAACTTCAAGAACCTTAGAAAGAAAAAAAGCCTAAAAAAAGAATCTTAGAAGAAAACAACAGCAGGGAGGCTGAAGAGCCAAACAGAGACATTAGCAGCTATGAAATGCTGGGGAGACAGTTGCTGGAGTTCAAGTAGAGTGGGGTTGGTAAGCACTTAAGCTTTAAATCAAGACCTCAGGGTGGCTGTGCCAGAAGAGTAAGGAAAACTTAAATAGGCCAGACTTAACAATGCCTACAACCAAGTTTCAAAGGAATCCGTTACCTAGCCTTCCTTCAACAAGAAAACTTAACCCTCTTTGAAGGAAGGTAATAATAGTTCAGAGCTTCTAAAATTTTTCATCCACAATGTTCAGCATCTAGTAAAAAATTATCAGTAATGCTAAAAAGCTGGAACAAGGGACCCCAGGCCAGACTGTAGGAAAAAAGAAGACAATAGAAGTGTGCCCAGATGGGAAATCTCAGCTGAGAAATGGAAACTCCCAAAAAGAATCAAGTGGAAACTCTACAACCAAAAAATACTCTATCTGAAATTTAAAACTTGATTGCATAGGTTTAACAGCAAATTGGAGACTGAAACTGTCAGAGTTGGTCAACTTGAAGGTAGATCAATAGAAATTATATTCTGAAGACCTACAGAAGAAATGGTTGGAAAAAATTAGGAGCCTCAGTAATACTTAGGAAGTTATCAAACAGTCTAACAAAACTCAAATAGGAGTCCTACAGGAAGAGGAGAGCAAGAAAAGGATAAAATATTTGAAAAAAGATAAAAAATTACCTAAAATTGGTGAAATAATAATTTACAAATCCCAGACAGCCAACAAACCCCAAGCAGGATAAATGCAGAGAACTATACCTAGGGACATCATAATCAGACTATTTAAAGAGAAAAACCTTATAAGCTTCTGGGAATGAGAGGATGACACATAATTTCCAGAGGAACAACAATACAATGACAGCTAACTTCTCATCAGAAACAATAGAGTCCAAAAGACAATGGACTTTTTTTTTTTTTTTTTTTTTTTTTTGTGATGGAGTCTCACTCTTGTCGTCCAGGCTGGAATGCAATGGCACAACATCGGCTCACTGCAACCTCCACCTCCCCAGTTTAAGAGCTTCTCCAGCCTCGGCCTCCCGAGTAGCTGGAATTACAGGTGGGCGCCACCAGGCCTGGCTAATTTTTGTATTTTTAGTAGAGACAGGGTTTTGCCATGTTGGCCAGGCTGGTCTCAAACTCCTGACTTCAGGTGATCCTCCCACCTCAGCCTCCCAAAGTCCTGGGGTTACAGGCGTGAGCCACCGTGCCCAGCTGACAACGGACTATCTTTAATGAGCTTAAAGAGAAAAAGTCAACCCAGAATTCTATTTCCATTAAAAATAACTTTCCAAAAGAGGGTAAAATAGTTAAACAAAAGGTGAGAAAACTTATTTATCCTCAGACCTGCATTATGAGAAACATTAACATGTATTTTAAGTAGCAGTTAGACACCTTCAGTTTTCCTTAGTTGCCCTAATTCCGTAAGCTGTCCAGGCCTATCACATGTGCTGATAAGGGCTTAAGACAACTATTTCAAGGTTCCTAATAAAATGATTGCCTCTGTTTTAATGATGTTGAGCTAGGTATAAAATAAATTGCCATTTTCCAGAATAGAAATGGGGAGGGACATTCTCTTTACATTTATTATGACAACTAGCCATATGAACACAGGTGGTTAACTTTTCTACCCCTTAAGATGTAGGTAGAGAAGCCAGTACATCCAGTATATTTAGTGCAGCTAGGCCTGCTTCTATATGGAAGTTCTTGCTCAGCGTGTGCTTACCACTAAATGACAGAAAGTGGAAAATAATTGGCTGAGCAGGAAAGTTAGAGGAAAAGGGCAGAGTCTTTGATCTGCTATAAAGCATAAAAACTTTGCTCCTCGTGAAACAGAGCACAATGACTATCTCAGGAATTGACCAAATACATTAGCAAAAAAGCAGAATTGGCACTTTTCCTTCTGTGCCAATCATGTGGAGAAGTCTGTGTCCCAAGAGTTATGATTGAACTTTACCAAATCTTATTCCGATATTAGTATATGAAGCAGTTTTCTTTTTAAGTAAATCTTTATAAGGCCATACAAAGGAAAGCAGTGTTCCCCTTCCATATTAATAAAAGATGAAGCCCCACAGCCAGGCTACCAGTCAGGCATTCATAAATGGTTACCTTGTCATTGCTTATGTAGGGTATCTTATTTTTTTTAAGCTACAGAATAGTCCCATTGAGGAGAGAGTAGTTGGTAATTTTTTTATGCTAATGTTTTTTCCCCTGACATTCATAGAAATAAATGCCTTAAATAATATAAAACCCTAAGTAGAGGAAGTGTAGCATATTGGATAAGAGCATAGATTTTGGAAGCTGACTGTCTGAGTTTGTAACCTGGTTCTGTCACTTGCCTTTGTGACCTTGGGGGAAGTTCACTTTTGTGCCTCTGTTTTCTTATCTGTAAAATGAGGATAATGTTGCCTGCTTTGCCTGGGGCTGTTGTGAATATGTGAGTTATTTCTGTTAAGTATCAGTGGCATATATTAAGCACAATTCATGTATTTGCTGTCCTTGTTAAGAGACAAGTGGTGTAAAATCCAGCTCTCTAGTTTCATCTGTTGATCTCACTAACTAGATTCCAGGAGAAACTCAGTTTATCGCAGAGCAATTGATTCTATTTTGTTCAAAATATAGGCACCAACCCATAGATGCGTCAAGTTGAATACTCAGTGGTCCTCAACATTTTTCGCCTGGAAAATCACAGTATAGATGACCTTCTCGAACAAGGAGGCACAGTGGGTTATATGCCATTCTAGGCAAGCTACCTGTAACTTGATCCCCTTCCCTGTTAGAAGCAGACTGCAGTACAAAGGAGTATGGAATTATAGAGAAAAGAAATGTAGGCACCGTATTTGTTTTTGAAGAGTTGTCACAACTGATTTCAATTAAACATGTAGATGACTATAGTTGAGGAATATCAAAAGGATGAAGATGCCTGTTGAGTTCATCAATGGCTACTTATTCAGAGCTTACTGTAGCAAAGGAGTGAGCTGCAATTGCAAGGAAGGAAACTGGTAGAGACTCAAAGAGATTTGAAAGGACAGTGGGTTTTGCAGAATAAAATGAGGAAGCCTTAGGCCAATATTTGGTTGGTCAGTGTTCTATTGGGTGGTATGCCCTCTTCGGGTAGGACTTTTGGAAGTGATGTGGAGGATATGGGAGTGGGTAATGGAGCTTTCTGATTGGCTTTTCAATCATTTGTTCAAAGTCTTCGATTGGCTCACTATCAACAGGCACATAACTGGGGACCCTCACCCCTGTAGGCTGGGTAGGCTCAGAGGGGTTTTCCTGTTTCAACTAAAAGAATATATGGGCAAGGCATGGTGGCTTACGCCTGTAATCCCAGCACTTTGGGAGGCTGAGGTGGGAGGATCACCTGAGGTTGGGAGTTTGAGACCAGCATGACCAACATGGAGAAACTCTGTCTCTACTAAAAATACAAAATTAGCTGGGCGTGGTGGTTCATGCCTGTAATCCCAGCTACTTGGGAGGCTGAGGCAGGAGAATCACTTGAACTCGGGAGGCAGAGATTGCAGTGAGCCAAGATCACGCCATTGTACTCCAGTCTGGGCAACAAGAGCAAAGCTCCGTCTCAAAAAAAAAAAGACAAAGAATATTTGTTCCTCAGCTTTGGGTTCCAAGTTCAACATAAGCCAGTTCTGCAGGATTGTTGCCTTAAACTGTAAGCTCCTTTCCCATCATATACCAGTGCCTGGTATACAGCAGGAGTTAATAAATATCTGTAGAATATATGATAAATATTTTACAAAGGAGATTTTAAACATTTTACTTTAAAAACGTTCAAATTTAAAAAGTTGAAAGAACTATACAGTGAATATTCATATGCCCATCACCAAGATCTACAATTAAAAATTACTATATGTGCTTTATCAAATATCTGTTCATCCCACAAGAATAATTTTCACATGGCACATTTGATTAAGCTAATAAGAAAAAAATAAAATTAAACTGTTTATAGCCTTAATACTTACATGAGGACAGATCTAGTCTGAGGGAATAATGAAAATAGTTCCGGAGATTTCTCAATTACCCTATAAGCCAGGATTGTTTGGCAAACATAGGCGGGACTCAGATTCTATCTGAGGCTGTTAGCATCCAAGGGCTGTAGGCATTTGAAGAATGGATATGCTAAAGGTTCATTTGTAGATATTATTATGGAGCCTGTATTTACCCACACCTTTAAAAAATACATTATTAAACTTGTAAGGAGAAATGTAGGAAGTTTAAGCTTAACAGAGCTACAACAATCAGTGTTTATAATATGATTTTTTTAAAGATTCAGTGGAAGTCATCTTCATTCACAGATGAAAGTCAATCCTGTAGGTGAAATGAGGCAAGTTAAAGTTGAATGAATATGCCTGCTGCATCAGAAACTATTTAAGAGATTAGTCATCAAAATAGCTTTGCTTGGCCAGGCGCGGTGGCACATGCTTGTAATCTCAGCACTTTGGGAGGCCGAGGTGGGCGGATTACTTGAGGTCAGGAGTTTGGGACCAGCCTAGCCAACATGGTGAAACCCCATCTCTATTAAAGATACAAAAATTAGCTGGGCGTGGTGGTGCATGCCTGTAATCCCAGCTACTTGGGAGGCTGAGGCAGGAGAATTGCTTGAGCCCGGGAGGCAGAGGTTGCAGTGAGCTGAGATTGTGCCACTGCACTCCAGCCTGGGGGACAAAGACTCTGTCTCAAAAAAAAAAAAAAAGAAAAGAAAAGAAAAGTAAAGTTGAATGACTACGCCTGCTGCATCAGAAACTATTTACGAGATTAGTCATCAGAATATTTTTGCTTGGCTAGGCGTGGTGACTCAGTCTTGTAATCCCAGCACTTTGGGAGGCCGAGGTGGGCAGATCACTTAAGGTCAGGAGTTGGAAACCATCCTGGCCAACATGGTGAAACCCCATCTCTACTTAAAATACAAAAATTAGCTGGGTGTGGTAGAGCGCACCTGTAATCCTACCTACTTGGGAGGCTAAAGCCAGAGAATCACCTGAACCTGGGAGGCAGAGGTTGCAGTGAGCAGAGATCGTGCCACTGCACTCCAGCCTGGGTGACAGAGCAAGACTCCGTCTCAAAAAAATAAATAAATGAAAAATCTTTGCTTGTTTTTTTCGTTTTTTTCTTGAGTGTTAATATATTTTCACATTATTACTGGCTAGTGTCTTATAATCCTACCAGCTGAGGTGTTCTAAGATTGAATGAGATGATAAGAATAAAACACAGTACATAAAGCTGCAGCATATAAGTTCCCCATTCCCATTATGGTAGCTACTCTTAATAAGATAGGAAAAGGAAGTGGAGAAGGAGGCAGGAAAGGAATTTTAAAGGAAGAATACTTTCCCTAATTCTCAATAGATCATGAAAAGCTTGAATGCTGAAAAGACCATGGTACCACGTTCAGGTCTAAAATGATGATGAAGTTAGAAAAAAAGAAGAAACAAAGTAGAAGAATGGAAGATGTAAAGAAGAGGAGTAGAAAGAAAAAATGCTGATGGAAAGAAATTGATGGTCATCAAGATTTCCTTTTACTTCTGGGGGTTTATTGGCTTTGGCTAGGTGTAGAAGACCACAAACATGGTGCAACTGGACTGCACGCAAGGTCTGGCTTGTCCACACTCAGTTTTCTGCCCTCTGCCTCACACCTGTGCCTGTGGTCGCTCTCTCTTGTCTCCTACCTGAGTTTAACTTTGGGCGTACTCTGATATAAAATCATTGTCCCAGAGGGGTCACTGTTACAGAGCATCAGAGCCAGGAAGTATGTAGGAGGTATTTGGGTTCCATGATTTCATTTCACATCTAGTGAAAAGGTCCTGTAATATAGCAAACAATACAGTGCTTCAGGTGAGTCACAGATTACTTACACAGGCTCTGGTCAGATGAAATAGATTGAGCCATGATGTGGGTCAGTGATTCTGCGGGAGAAATGTAAAGTCGTAAGCCATAAGAGTGCAAGAGAATATTTGGAAAGTAATTTTTTAGTAGTTAAATTTGCCTGTAATAATCATGTCTTTCTACGATCTCGTGGATTTGTTCCACTGGAATAGAGCATCACCCCATTGTGGCAGGCACCAGAGAATTCACTCACATTATTCAAGTAGATTCTCAATTTTTAATGGCAGGGAACGTGTTTCCTGTCTGCCACCTTTGGTATGTTGTATTGAATAGGGGGGTAAAATGTAGGCCTTAAGTAAACTACTTGTTCAATAGAAGAATGAAAAATTTTTTGAATTTGTTTTGAATTCAAGGGAAACTATGACAATAGACAGGCAAAGTAGGTACACTGCTAGAGTCCACGAGGCAGTAAAGTGTCATGGTTAGGAGCACAGACAACAAGGCTTTGTCTATGCCACTGCCGTCCAATAGGACTCTCTGTGATGATGGAAGTGTTCTATATCTGTTCTGTACAATAGAAGCCACAGGCCTCATGTGGCTATTGATCTCTTGAACTGTGGCTAGTGCAACTGAAGAAGTGAGTTTGTAATTTTATTTAATTTTAATTAAGCTAATTCAAATTTTAAATATGGGCACATGTGACTAGTGGCTCCCATATTGGGCCATGCTGAACATGGAATGTAATAGCAGAACACAGACACTGTACACATGGCCAGGGTTTGCATCCCAATCCTGTCATGTTGCTACTCTTGACTGTTCATTGCATGGTGCTGTCCTCTGTAAGAGCTGTCATCAATACTATGAGTCAATATATGGAGTCCATATATGGAAATTCATATATCAAGCCAATATATGGAATAAGTAAATACATGGAAAAGAGAATCACTATGTGGAAAGTACTTAGAACAGTGCCTGGAAAATACATACAACTTTTAATGGCAAAAATTGCAATTACTTTTAAGTAGCAAAAACTGCAATTGTGCACTAACCTAACATATAGGTGTGTGTGTATATATATATATATATATACACACACACACATATACACAAACACACACATATATATATAATGTATATGTTGTCAACTGAAGAATCATGAGATTTATAAATTTGGAAAGGAGAGCTTTATTCTTTTTTTTTTTTTTTTTTTTTTTGAGACGGAGTCTCACTCTGTCACCCAGGCTGGGGTGCAGTGGTGTAATCTCAGCTCACTGCCACCTCCGCCTCCTGGGTTCAAGCGATTCTCCTGCCTCAGCCTCTGAGTAGCCGGGATTACAAGCGTGTGCCACCATACCTGGCTAATTTTTGTGTTTTAGTAGAGACGGGGTTTCACCATGTTTGCCAGGCTGGTCTTGAACTCCTGACCTCTGGTGATCCACCTGCCTTGGCCTCCCAAAGTGCTGGGATTACAGGTGTGACCCACTGCGCCCGGATGTTGTAAGTTGCAGGCTGACCATCTGGGAAGCGAAGTCTCCCACAGAAGCCAAAAGCAAGCACTTCAAAGAAGGGAAGGATGAGACAGGACTTTATGCTGAATGGGCTGACCACGTGTGCATATTCAACAGGTTACTGGGGAAGATATGAATATTCATGAAGGGGGTACACACGTGTAGTAAGCAAATAAGCATGTTACCTGCATCCCATGTTGATTTTGGGATGGAGACTTAACACTTAAATGTATTATGATTAGGCCCTATGTGTCCAAAGGTGAAGCAGGTACAGGAAGGCATTTAGTGCGCTCACTGGTCTCTGATCAGGAAAGAATGCTGGTCAGTTGCTGTGCCAGAGTTCAGCAAGTCTTTAGAAAGGGCTGGTTTCTGTTGAACCCTTAGGAAAGAAAGTATAATGGTAGTTACTGAGGAACTGGATATAACTAGGCATGTCCTACCTCCTACCCAGTCATAGCTGGGAACTCAGTTTTTAAATTTTTTCTGGAGTCCCATTGTCCAAGAGGGGGTCTGTTCAGTCAGTCGAGGGACTTAGGATTTTATTTTTGTTTCTCAATGTATATACATGCTTGCTATTATTATTGCTTTTATGAAGAGGCTATGAGATCTGTTTTAAATAACTAGGTCAGTAAATAAATATTTGGCCTGATGTTCGGCCTCTGTTGACTTTCTGGGCCTTAATAGTTGTGTCAGTTACACACTGGGGTTAGTCAGTGTGTTCTCTTTTGGCTCTGAGAATTAATGTTCCTATGAATTGTCACTTTTAGCTTGTCTAGACAATTGATACAAGGGAATTTGGATTTTCTTTTTTTTTTTTTTTTTGAGACAGAGTCTCACTCTGTCGCCCAAGCTGGAGCGTGGTGGCACTGTGTCGGCTCACTGCAACCTCTGCCTCCTAGGTTCAAGCAATTCTCCTGCCTCAGCCTCCCGAGTAGCTGGGATTACAGGTGTCCACTACCACGCCCGGCTAATTTTTTTATATTTTTAGTAGAGACAGGATTTCACCATGTTGTCCAGGCTGGTCTCGAACTCCTGACCTCAGGTGACCCACCCACCTTGGCCTCCCAAAGTGCTGGGATTACAGGCCTGAGCCACTGCACCAGGCAGGAATTTGGATTTTCTTTTGCCATAGTGTTACCTGTATTGGTATGTTGTCTTCTATTCTCAGTTTTTGCATTTGATAAATGAGGAAGGTTCTACCTCAGTTCTCAGCTATATACATTTAGAGTCATGTGGGGGTATTCAGTAACTAATGGCTGCATTTCAAGTATTTGGAACACATTTTCTATGAATTGTTACAACAATAGCAACAATTTTTTTTTGTTGTTTTTTGTTTGTTTGTTTGTTTTTGAGATGGAGTCTCACCCTGTCACCCAGGCTGGAGTACAGTGGCGCTATCTCGGCTCACTGCAACCTCCACCTCCTGGGTTCAAGCAATTCTCCTGCCTCAGCCTCCTGAGTAGCTGAGATAGGTGGCATGTGCCACCATGCCCGGCTAATTTTTGTATTTTTAGTAGAGACGGAGTTTCACCATGTTGGCTAGGCTGGAACAAATATTTATTGAATGATTTTTCCAGACACTGGACTAAGTGTGTTACAGGCATTGCTATTTCAGTTGATCTTCATGGGAACCCTTTTAGGAAGATATTGTCACCAGCATTTTAAGGGAACAGGACAGAGGTTAGGCAGTTAGCTCCAGCCTTATAGCCAATGAGCAGCAAAGACAAGATTCGTTATCTGATTCTGAAGCTTGGTGAATGGCCTTCTCTCACAGTATGAGAACATACTTGTTAACTCTCAGCGTGTCTGCCACATGCTATAAAAAATTTAATAATTGAGAAATCAGTTTTAAACTTGGAACAATTTTGGAAACAGGAGGCAAGATAGCTGTTGTAGAATCTGGAGATGGAAGATTTGGGTTGTTTATACTCCTTTGGTGGTGAAGCTCTATTCATTTGGAATTTGCTCTGGACAATTTTCCCTGAGAAAGTCTCTTGCTTTAGGATGTCTTATGCTGTTGCCAACACAAAGAATTTTTCCTATGAAAATGAACTCTTGATTATCCTGATTTAACAAATAAAGAATTTCTTGTTGACTTGACAGCATTTCAATATATATTTTTTTAAGTTGTTGATCTGTACATGTAGAAAGTAAAGTGCTTGTGGTGGTGGGGGAGGGGGTGAATATATTACTGAATAAATTATTTCAGGTAAAACTGGCACATTTTAGCTGGGTGAAGTGGCTCATACCTGTAATCCCAGCACTTTAGGAGGCCAAGGCAGGCGGATCACTTGAGGTCAGGAGTTTGAGGCCAGCCTGACCAACATGGTGGAACCCCATCTCTACTAAAAATACAAAAATTAGCTGGGCGTGGTGGTGGGTGCCTGTAGTCCCAGCTACTCAGGAGGCTGAGGCAGAAGAATGGCTTGAACCCAGGAGGCGGAGGTTGCAGTGAGCAGAGATCATGCCACTGCACTCCAGCCTGGGCGACAAAGCTAAACTCTGTCTCAAAAAAGAGAAGAAGGAAAAAAAAACCTGGCACATTTTATAGTTGTCTTTTGCCAAGAAAACCCTCTCCAAGAGGCCTGGGGGTTTTCACACAATCCTAGTGTCTTTAGTACTTTCTCCCTTAGAACGTGTTGTCAAGGTGGTCCTTATTGTCTTACTGTCTTTCTGAGTAAATGCTGCAAAGCCCTCACAGAGAGTGCGGTGCGTGTGGCCACCTCTCCAACAATCATCTCTTCATTCTTTCTTCTCACAGAGAGCCATGATGGTGGGATTGGCCCCACCCAGTACCCAAGGATGGACCCTCACTGGTTTAGAACAATATGTGTTTATCATTGTAAAAAAAGAAAACTGCTAAGCCCTAAGCTTGCACATGGTAAAGTGCCACATGAGCCAAACAGAGCCTGAAATATCTCACCTGAGATCTCTTTGAAAACCAGTCTCTTTGATGTGGCACTTTGTCACATCAGTTTTAAAAATGGATCACATCAAAAAGAGGAATTTTCAATGTTCTCCTCTACCCTTCCAAAAAATGATCGGTACTTAAAGCCTAGAATCCTTTCTAATGTAGAATAAATACCCTCTTGGTTCTGTAGATCCATTCTTTTTTCTTTTAGCCATGCTTGAATGAGGGACTCTCTTTTGCCTGGCAAGGAAATAAATTTAGCTTTGCTCCTTAACTTTTTTTTTTTTTTTTTTTTTTACATTCTCCTCCTGGATTCAGTGATTCATTTTATTATGGTGAAATACCAAAGTCAGCACAGTAAAGGTCATCGGTTATCACTTCCTGGACTTTGAGTAGGCTACCAGGGACTTAAATGAGGAAGTTTGTAGCTCTAGAAATTACTGGAAATCATCTTAGGAACAAGAAGAAATCAAGTCATGGGTCAAAGTTTTATAAGAAGAACAGAATTGAGGCATGAAAAGAAATTGGGTCCTTGCAGACCGATCTTTACCTGAAGTAAAATCTGCACTTTTTCAGTCAAATGGACCAATAATTCCTTTATTAGTTAGGTGAGTCTGAGTCTCATTTTTCTTAATTGATAATATGAACCTTCCTAACAGAAGCAGTATATGGGCTAGGAAGCATAATAATTACTGTTCTTACAAGGATGAATAACACATAATCCATGCCCTCAAAATCTAGGAGTTCATAATTTAAGAACTTTCTTTTCCCCATCCAATGCTTCCTCCATAGCATGGGCAGGCAGGAGTTTTTCTTTTTTTATCATGCTATTAAAATTTTTTAATGTATGTATTTAATTGAGATGTTCACATGCCATAATATTTACCCTTTCAAGGTGTATAATTTAGTGGTTTTAGTATATCGTAAGATTGTACAAACATATGCACTAATTTTAAAGCCTTTTTATCACCCCAAAAAGAAACCCCATAGCTATGAGCAGCCATTACCCATTCTGTCTTCCCCACAACCCCTAGTAACCACTAATCTCCTTTCTTTCTAATGGATTTGCCCCTTCTGGACACTCCATATAAGTGGAATCATTAATATGTGGGCTTTTGTGACTTTCTTCTTTTATTTAATGTAATATTTCAAGGTTCATCCATGTTACAGCATCTATCAGCATCTATCAGTACCTTCTTATGGCGGAATGATATTCCATTGCGTGGATATACAACACTTTGTTGACTGATTCAACAGTTGAGGGACACTTGAGTTCTTTCCTCTTTTTGGTTATGAATAATGCTGATATGAACACTTATATACAAAGTTTTGTGTGGACATGTGTTTTTATTTTTCTTAGGTGTATGCTGTGAGTGGAATTGCTAGGTCATATGAAAACTCCATATTTAACTCATTGAGGAACTGCTAAACTGTTTTCCAAAGTAGCTACACTATTTTGCATTCCCACCACCAATGTTTGAGGTATCCAGTTTCTCCACATCTTTGCCAATACTCGTTATTACCCGTCGTGTTCGTGAGGCCATCCTGTGGGTATGAAATGCTATCTCGCTGTGGTTAATGGGCAGGGTTTTGAGAAGATCTAGCCTGAACTCAGCCAATCCTCAGATAATGTGCTGGAATCACAGCTCCAGGAAAGTGGTCATGGCATTCTTCCTGTTCCGTTTCCCCCATCTGGCCTGTTTTTGTTCCTCAACCTACCCACTCTTGCTTAGTGAAAAATCAAAAAGTATAGGGATGGAAAGGAGATTCCTGGTAGAGTAGGTCTGCGTGGATTCTTTGGAGACTTTCTTTTTGTGAAGCTCTGTGACAATTCTGATGAGAAGCCAAGTTCTGGAACTATTGCTCTGGACTTAAGCTCCCTTTGGGCAAGCAGTGTTTTCTGCTCATTACTCATATCTAGAACAATTTCCAGTCCAGTGGATGCTAAATGTGTACTTATTAAATGAATGAATGAAACATTAGGATACTGAGGATTATGATAGAAAGATCTAAAACTCCGGAGAAGTCCTTCTATTTTGTTCACTAACAAACTGGTTATAAAATGAGCAGAAAGCATTTGTTCAGAGTTGCAAAGAACTTGAAAACACTCCGTAAAATCACAAAAACCTCCCTCTTAAATATTTATGCCTCATGATATGCATGAGAAATACTGGCCTTTTATTTTTAAAATCAGGGCTCTGAGGGTTGGCACTTGGACATCTTCAGCGATCAGGCATTTGAGGAGGAAGCTAAAGAATTGGAACCCAGTTGGCATTTGAGGTCACTCTGCCTTCCAGATGTTGATAAAATAAGCTGTGATTCCCTATCCCAATTTATTAAAAGGCCAAGTTTTCTGCCAAATCCTGGATGTTTACATTATCAAGACCACTCTGCCTCACAGGTCCTGCTCACCTGATTGCGGATCATTTTACATTTATGACTCATTTTTCGATGCCTTGGCTGTTCTCTTTTTCTACCACCCCACCTATAGAACTTAGCCCCTGCCTCTATTCTTTGCTTTATTTTTTAACTCCATCATCCTGCATTTGGTAGTTCATTTCCTTGAGGGTACATGACCCAAGGCAGGCAAGTTTCTTTGCAGCCGACCACTGAAGGTTTGGGGATGCAGTGGGGAGGCTTATGCCACAGCAAACCATGGGGATTAAAGCTGAATAGTAGACATTCTTTCCAAAGGCTTTCAGCCTTCCTGCTGTTTGGAATTTCTCACAGGAAGCTCCCTCCAGCCTCCTGCATGTTGGCTAGACTTTCCTCTCTCTTCCTTTCTCGGTCATTCCTTCTACTTATCCACATGCCTCTTTCTTTCTTGTGCAGAAAAAGTTGGCAACCCATTTGTTTCTCCTTCTTTGTTTTAACCCAGCTATCTGGGCCCACCTTTCACATCCTAAACTTGTTTATATTCAGCAAAGATAGTACTCTGTGACTAGTGATTTATCTCTGTCTCTCTCTCTCTCTCTCACACACACACGCACACACATGTACACACACATACACATGCATGTATACACACACGCACACAGAGTTTTCTTCATTGTGCAGCTAACTGGTAAGTGCTTAGAATCCAGATTCCTCAACTTACATGTAATATTCTGCTTTCAAAGTTCACACAAAGATGTAAGTACATTCCAGCTGCCATGGTCAAGCCAATTTGTAATTGGTTGCCCGTAAAATGCAAGTAGCTGGACTTGAGATAATCACAGTCTCCACTCACGTGCCGCCTCCTTGTCTTGTCCCTCTCTTCTCTGGCTCTTACCCACCGATGCCTAACAATCAGTGAGCCAACCAATGTTCATCGCATACCTACTATGACCAAGCCCTGTGTTAAGCACTGAATAAGATAAAACACTAAACAAGAAAATTATGACTTCTGTTTTCAGGAAGTTTATAGTTGAGGACTAAACTCTGATTTTTTTTATTTTGCTCAGATTTCTATTTAAGGGGTCTGGAGACTCATGCCCTCCAAACCATAAATTCTCATCAGATGGGTTTTATTTAACCCTATATATCATGACTTTACTTTCCAATCTGACTCTGGCATAACATTATGTGACAAAGAAGAAAATAAAATTATTTTAGCCCAAAACATGTTGCTTTGCCATATTTTGAAGTGGTCCTGCAAAGCCATCCTTTGTGAGGGAAAATGTGCACCTGTAAAGAATCTCTATTAACATAGCTAGATCTTTTTCTTCCAGGCCCTCCCAATCCTGAAGAGATTAACTGAGAGTCTAACACCTTTTAAAGGTCTGATTAGGAAACATTTGTCATCTATTCTCTAAGGGCAGCCAGTATGAGACTTCAAAAGAAACTTGATCTCCACAATCTTTTATTTATTTATTTTTTTTGAGACAGAGTCTCACTCTATTGCCCAAGCTGGAGTGCAATGGTGTGATCTCAGCCTCCTGGGTTCAAGGGATTCTCCTGCCTCAGCCTCCTGAGTAGCTGGGATTACAGGCGCCTGCCACCATGCCCGGCTAGTTTTTGTATTTTTAGTAGAGACAGGGTTTCACCATATTTTCCAGGCTGGTCTCGAACTCCTGACCTTGTGATCTGCCCACCTCAGCCTCCCCAAGTGCTGGGATTACAGGTGTGAGCCAACGTGCCCAGCCTGTCTCCCCCTCTTAGCCTGAACTTTTCCTTTCTATTAATCCCAGGTCTTTAGACACTCAACCAATCGTCAACCAGAAAATATTTATTGAATTTACCTACAGCCTGGAAGCCCCCACTTCCCTCAAATTGTTCTGCCTTTCTGGACCAAACCAGTGTATTTTTCAAATGTATTTGTTTGATGGCTCCTGCCTCCCTAAAATGTATGAAACCAAGCTGCACCGCAACCACCTTCGGCACATGTTCTCAGGACCTCGTGAGGGCTGTGTCACGGGCCATGGCCACTTACATTTGCCTCAGAATAAATCTCTTCAGGCATTTTACAGAGTTTGACTCTTTTCATCGACATAGGTAATAATGTGTAATAGATTGCGAGTATCACCTTTGTGTAAAACTAGAATAGAAATCTGTACAGCATTCTGTGCACAGTAGCCTTTAATACAATAAAAACTTCCTCCAGAAATCTTCCTATAAAATAGAGATTTGGTCCCCTAGTAGCCCCTGGGTAAATAGTGATGTGTAGTGTGTTTTTCCCATTATGACACTAAAAGCCTTTAAATTGGGTGTTTTTTATTCTATCACAGCTAAAAAGTTAGACTTTTATAAATCCTGCTAAGCCCCTAAACAAGGGTGTATGTATTATTACAGTGGAACACTGCGGAGTTATTAGGTCAATAAAAACCTTAAAATTCTTTTAAAATTTTCATAGAATCAGAAATGAAAAATATTAGCAGCATTCTTTGGATTACAGGAACCAGAAAGTGTAATTAGTGGAAATACAATATGTAAAATGACTAATACTGCTCAAGGAGAATATAAAATAAAAGCTCCAGAAAGCATATGTGACCCAATTCACATTTACTGTTTACAAAAAAGTTTTTATTGCAATAGCTAAGGTGTGTTAGCTTATCTGTGGTACCTCATACATAGTGATTATCACAGGGTAGACATTAAAAACACAACAAACAAAACACAACTTACCTTCACAGCTTCATTTTATGATAGCTATGCCTTTCCTAAAAGATAGTTGAAGTCATTTTATGATAATTCAATTGTGACAATTAAAAAAAGACTTGAGGAAATGCTAAGGAAATTTTTGTACATGCTATAGACTCCTTCATCCATTCACTGTCTTACTATAGTTAGGATACAAAGGGGTATGGAAGAATTACCCTCATCTTACAGAAGCTAATAGCTTCATTAGACACACAACACATTATTTCATAACAAGTTAAACCAAAGGCAGTAATTACGCCAGTAAGTGATGCTTTGGTTAGGCAAAGATGGGTTACATCACTGGGCTGTAATGAACTGGATGGCCTTGTGGAGGAAGTAGTAGGATTTGAATCAGGTCCAGGAAAATGAATGAGTTTGAGACAGGCATAGAGGGATGAAGAGTCAGCTGAGGTGAAGGCACAACATGAACAAAATTAGGAAGTAAAGGCACCATAATGAACATTGGGTTAATTTCCTTTCCTGTGGCAGAAGATTTGGGTTGGAATTATACAAAAATAAAGGATTGTAAATCGGATAGGAATGTATGGTGGAGAAATCTGACAACCGGGGAAGGAGATTGGGTTTTATCTTGTAGATCGAGCATTCTCACCCTCGTAGTATATATGAGGATCCTGAAGGGAGCCCGATAGGAATGCAGACTTCTGGGCTTCTCAGTGACTACATCAGAAACTCCATGAGGTTTGAAGCCCTAGAACCTGCCATATTTTAAAGTTCTTGAGATGGTCCAGCCTGTGGACCAAAGTGTGGGAGCCACTATTGCAGATGATAAAGAAATGCAGGATGTTTTTGAGGCAGAAGTTTTAATGTGAATTCCAGGAAGCTTCGTTTTGCAGAAGGGAGCGTCTAAGATGACTTACTGGAGAAAAATATACCTGAGTTCAGGAGGCTAGCTGAGAAGCTGTTTCCCAGGCCCATTCATTAATATTTCCCAACAATTATTTATTAAGTACCTTCTATATGTGAGACATTGCTTTATAATATAGTCTCGAGGCTTCCATCCTTGGTGCCCATCAGAATTATCTGAGGTTTCTTAAGAGCCCAGTACCCCAGGCTGCACTCAAGGCCAATTCTCTAGGGGTGGACCCAGACATCATGATTTGTAAAAGCTGCCAAGTGATTCCAGTGCAGAGAGACCCTCTGCTGAGAGGAAACAGATGAATAAGAATTAGCGCTTCTTCCCTTCAAAACTTGCAGTCTTGTAGGGAAAATTAAACATGTGCAGCAAAGTGAACATATTTATCTGCAACAAAATGTAATCATTAGAGGAAGATTGAGATTCTGAGTACCACTTGGAAATTTGATAGACTTCATCTCTGGGTCAAAGTACTTGTCTGGATCTAGGGGGAAAAAGGAATCAAAATAGAAGTGGGAAGAATTGTTGCCCTAACAGCCCACACTGGGGTCCAAAAAATATTCTCTGAGTGCTCTGCAGGATCTTACACCCTCAGACTCCTTACTGCTCTCCCTTCTTTGTTCCATCTTAGCAAATCCAAACCTCCACTTACTTCTACCTACACATTTACAGCTGGCCATGGCTGGAGAAAAACCTGCAACCAGTTGATGGGTCTTATTTCACATTCTTGAGCACACAGTGCAAGTGGTATTGCACTCCTGCCTGGAAAGTCATCCTATTTATTTAATTTATTTATTATTTATTTTGGAGACAGTGTCTCACTCTGTCACCCAGGCTGGAGTGCAGTGGCGCGATCTGGGCTCACTGCAACCTCCGCCTCCCAGGTTGAAGCAATTCTGCCTCAGTCTCCCGAGTAGATGGGATTACAGGCACCCGCCACCACACCTAGCTACTTTTTGTATTTTAAGTAGAAACAGGGTTTTACCATGTTGGCCGGGCTGGTCTCGAACTCCTGACCTCAACTGATCCACCCTCCTCAGCCTCCCAAAGTGCTGGGATTCCTTTTAAAACTTAGGTCCTGTTACTCCTGTCCTTGAAACCCTACAATGACTACCTAGTTAACTTGGAGCAGCAGTTCTTCCAGGGTGCACATGGCCATACTGTTCTCCACTGTCCCTATGTCCCCGGCCTCCACCACACCCAGGGGCTCCCTTGCAGGGCTTGGCATCAGCTCTTCCCTTTCCCTGGAGCATATCCACTTGGCCAGCTCTCTCACTTCCTGCCACTCCTGCTTAAATATCTCAGAGAGGTCCACCCTGACCACTGACTTAAAATTGCAACTCCTCCTACCCCCAAAGGCATTTCCATCCTCTTACCCTGGTTTACTACTCTTCATAGCACTTACGTCTTTTAACATACTACGTATTTTCTTTATTCTTATATTTATTACCTGACTCTTTACTAAATGAAAGCTCTTCAGGTAGGAATTTTCTTCTGGTTGTGATCACAAATGTATCCCCAGGGCCAGAGTAGCAAGTGGTACAGGGTTAGCCCCTGGATGAATGGATCAAAGGGGAAGTGCTTCTTCTGGCCACTTTGATGCAGCCGCCTGGGGACAGAGCAAGGAACCCTGAGCCAAGAAGAGTCCTGCTTTAGGTGGGGAGGGGGTGCCTTGCCTGAGGGAGCTGCTGACAGTAGGCTCCATTGTAAGTACAAGTGGTTCCTTTTTTGAGAACACCTAGAAACACCTGGAGGTACCTCCAGGGCTGGAGGATAGGAGTAGGTTATACCAGACTGAAAGTAAGAAGTACTCTAAGAGATAAATTGCTACAGGAGTTCAGATGATCAAAGAGAGAGTGAGTCATCACTTCTGAATGACGTCTGGATGTGGAGGCAGGTGAACAAGGTAGCCCAGAAGTAGGGGAGATGGAGGATGTTAAAAGAAAAGCTTCAGCCAGGTGCGGTGGCTCACGCCTGTAATCCCAGCATTTTGGGAGGCCAAGACGGGTGGATCACTTGAGGTCGGGAGTTCAAGACCAGCCTGACCAACATGGAGAAACCCCGTCTCTACTAAAAATACAAAAAATTAGCTGAGCGTCATGGCACATGCCTGTAATCCCAGCTACTCGGGAGGCTGAGGCAGGAGAATTGCTTGAACCTTGGAGGCGGAGGTTGCGGTGAGCTGAGATCGTGACATTGCACTCCAGCCTGGGCAACAAGAGTTGAAACTCTGTCTCAAAAAAGAAAAGAAAAGAAAAGCTTCAGCCAAATTAAATTTAACAGAGTTTAATTGAGCAAAGAACAATTGGTGAATCAGGCAGCCTCCTGAGCCAGAAGTAGGCTCAGGGACTCCAGCACAACCACGTGGCAGAAGACTTATGGACAGAAAAAGGAAAGTGACATACACAAAATGGAAGTGAGGAACAGAAACAGTGGGATTGGTTACAGCTTGGTGTTTGCCTTATTTGAAGATGGTTTGAACAGTTGACCACATTTGATTGGCCAAAACTCAGTGACTGGCACAAGAGTAGGCTACAGTCTGTCTGTTTACAACTCCACTTGTTATAGTTTGCAATGTACAGAAAAACCTTTAGGCCAAACTTAAAATATGTACGGAGGCAGCTTTAGGCTAAACTTGATTTAACAAGGAAGAGAGGAGGCTGCAGGAGAGTCATGTAAATTTCAGGAACTAGCGCAATAATAGAATGATACTTGGGTGCTGGGCTCAGGACTTGAAACGCAGGTTTTTGGCTCAAATTCTAGTTTTATTTTTATCAGCTGTGTGATCACAGGTGACTTTTTAAGCTTCTTGCTCCTTGGTTTCCTCATCTGTGAAATAAGAATAGTAACAGTGCCTTCCTTATAGGGGCTTTTTGAGGATTAATGAGCTAATATATAGCAAATTTAGAACAATGCCAAACACATTGTAAACACTCAAAAAAAAATTGCTTAAAAAAGACACTCAATTTATGTTGCGCAAAAGCACTGATGGAGACAAACTATCCTGCTTCAGACAGAACGTTCCAGGATCAATTTGGTCCCAGTCAATTTACAAGGGAGTTTGTCTCATTTTTCCCCCTCATTTTCCTTCCCTCTTCTCCCCTTGTCTTCTTATGGAGCCAGTTAAAATACATATCAGGCAAAATGCAGACTCAGATGAGCAAAGGAGGAGGCTGTGCAAAGGAGAAGGCTGGGTTGTGAGCTCTGGGTCTATTTTGGAGTTCTCTGCAATAATTGCCTCTTTCTGACTTCCAGAGTCATTATATAGAAGCAGCCACCCCTTCAAATTTGTTTAAAACTTAGAGAAGTTTTGGTAACAGTAGGAGTTGAAATAAAGAACCTTATTATGAAAGAACAGACAGCCAGGCTTTGACGAGAGGCTGAAAGAGGATGAAGCAAGGAGGAGCTGAGAGCCAAGAGCGATTCTGAGGTTTTGAGCCTTTGTGACTAAGAGCATGATATATGTGGCCACTGACGCAGATTAGGAAGTCCAAGGGACAAACGATTCCCTGAGGATAATGACAAGCTTGTTTCCAGATGTGTTAACTATGAAATTCAGGTGGGTAATACAAATGGCCCGGGGTCATTGTGCAATAAGAAACTAGATGTGAATGGAGAGAACAGAGGAGACAGCAGTCTCTTAACAGTTCCTCCTCCTCTCTAGTTTATTCCCTATGCTGCATCCAGCCTCATCTTTGTAAATCACCAATCTGGTCAGGTGACACCTGTGTTTATCTAGAAAATGTACTACTCTATCTGGCTTTGTTTCTTTGGTGGATTACTCACAGTTCCCTGCAAGTCACAGTATGGATGAGCCTGAGTTTGCTTTCCTTTTTCCCCCTAATCCAGATAGGCTGCAGGTTTATCAGAGAAGATGAATTTAATTCATTCTCAACATGATGAGTGTAGATGGATGTCACAAAAACAGGTTAACAAACTCCTTGTTAGGGTAATTGTGAGGATTAAATGAATTGAAGTGACATGATAACATAATGGGATTCTACAAATTATATCTTTTATTATTTATAGCTTCCCTAGAATAAGACAGTTGCTCAGCAGAACAAACACAGCCTGGTTTTTGTCTCCTGGTAGATTCAAACCCAGTGCTGTTTGGGTCACACAGAAAAGCAGAATCTCAGAGTGTCTAATCATGTCCAGAGGAACTTTTGTATATGTACTCATCCACCTCGAAGCTTTAGTACCCTAAGTTCTATCTGATACTGAGGCTTCTCTCTTCCTTCCTTCTTCCTGATTCACTGGAGATAAACAATCAAGACGGCCTTTTCAAAATGTCCTATTTTGCCCAGAGATAGTGCAGGTCCATAGTGGGCCTATGAAGCTTAGACATCAACTTAGTTCATCATCTAGGATGTTGTGTCTGAAATGCCTAGTAGAGGTGTCCTTTTTTGTTTGTTTGTTTTTGTCTTTTCTGATAGCGAGAGTAGCTTGTGCTCTGATTTTGTCTTCATGATCCTGGAATCCTTGCTATCCCTGATTTTGAACAATTCTATTGTAAATATCACTGGTTTGAACATCAGTTGTCTGATTGGTATCTAAGTGAGATCACTTGAGGTTTTTCTGATGATGGAGGGAATCATGGAATTTAAGGATAGAAGGGATATTAAAATTTTTTCAGAGTAACATCACACACACACACATAAACACACAATTACTGGAGTGACAGCTTTGTGACAAGGTTAATCTCTGGTTAAACATTTCTGTTCTGGCCAGGCAAGGTGGCTCATGCCTGTAATTCCAGCACTTTGGTGGGAGGCTGAGGCAGGAGATCAAGGCTAGCCTGGCCAGCATAGTGAAACCCCATCTCTACTAAAATTACAAAAATTAGCTCGGTGTGGTGGCACGTGCCTGTAATTCCAGCTATTAGGGAGGCTGAGGCAGGAGAATTGCTTGAACCTGGGAGGCAGAGGTTGCACTGAGCCAAGATCATGCCACTGCACTCCAGCCTGGGTGACAGCAAGACAAGACTCCATCTCGAAAAAACAACAGCAAACGCAACAAAATATTTCTGTTCTGTAAGCATAAAGATATAATAATTACAGCCCTATGTGCAATACCAAAACCTCAGGAGTAAACAAAATATCTAGTAGAGAAATAAGTCACCATTATACAAGAAGTAGAAATTATATCTGTGGATATTTGTGAAAATATTTGTTATGATTTCAAATGAAAAAAAGCAGAATATAAACTTGCATTTATATGACTCTTGAAACTAACCATGGACAAGAAGATGGGAAAACATGGAAAATAAAAACATTGTTATGCTTGGGCTATGAGGGTAATTTTTATTCTCCTTTAAACATTTATAAATAATCTATAATTGTACATATTCAGGGTTTGTATATCAAACTAATAAAAATAATAAGTTGGTTTTATATTTTCTTTTTTTTCTGCTTGAAAACAGAAAAAGTAAAAAGGAGATATTAATTTACAGTGGAATTCTCCAGGGGTCAGAGGCGATGATAAAAAAAAAAAAAAAAGTTTTAAGTGATTGGCTTTTTGCTTTTTTTTTTTTTTTTTTTTTTTTTTTTGAGACGGAGTCTCGCTCTGTCGCCCAGGCTGGAGTGCAGTGGTGTGATCTCCGCTCACTGCAAGCTTCGCCTCCCAGGTTCATGCCATTCTCCTGCCTCAGCCTCCCGAGTAGCTGGGACTACAGGCGCCCGCCACCGCGCCTGGCTAATTTTTTTTCGTATTTTTAGTAGAGATGGGGTTCCGCCATGTTGGTCAGGCTGGTCTCAAACTCCTGACCTCAAGTGATCTGCCCACCTTGGCCTCCCAAAGTGCTGGGATTACAGGTGTGAGCCACCGCGTCTGACCTCTGGTATTTCTTAAGTAGCAAATGTACATCCTATTTAGGTGCTGAATTAAGTAAAGTGCAAGTAAAAAAAAAATTAGTTTTAGTCTAAATTGGTTGTAAACCTAGGCATCTAGGGAAAGTTGTACCAGAGAGTACAACTCTGTACCCTTCAGAATAATTCAACGTAATTTTATTAACACCCTCTTGGCACTTGGTTAATTGGATAAATGAAAAGAACTTGTAATCTCCACTGTAAAGTAAAGTTGTAACCAATGATTTGGCTTTTCCATTTGGTTAAACTTTGCTCTCATCTTAGTGCAAATTGTCACTCTGCTGCGTATTCCTGTTTCCTCTTTGCTGACATTTTCCTTGCTAATGATACAAGAGTTAAAAAGAAATCACTTAGGCAGATAACGAAGGTATGGGAGTCTTCAGTAAGGCTTTGTTTTCTTTTTCATGAAAAGCAGCCCAGATCATTTTTTAATAAAGAGCAGCCTATGAAGTCGAGCTCAGGGTATAGACCCCAGACAACGTAGCCACTTCACTAGGGAGGTGACCAGTTCATGGGACTGCTGACTTTACCATTTGGCCCAGAGGGACAGGCAAGTGAATGCCTGCAGGAACTAGGGAGTAGACATGTTCAAGATGGCGGCGCCATCCTCCCTTCCCTTTGTCAGTCACATGTGCAGTAAAGACCAGATAAGATGGCACCCATCAACTGGAAAGCCCATTTGCATAATAAAATTATCGTGGCGCGACCAGCCTTCCCCACACACTATCTAAACGTCATACCTGATCAAACCAATCTGTGAACCCTATGTAAATCAGACACGGCTTCCTCAAACCTGACTGGTCCTTTCCACTGGGAGACCCCCTTGTCTATGGAGAGATCTGTTTTTCTTTCTCTTCTGCCTATTAAACATTTGCTCCTAAACTCCTTGTGTGTGTCCATGTCCTACATTTTCCTGTCGTGCAATGACGAACCTCGGGGTATAGACCCCAGACAACGTAGCCGCTTCACTAGGGAGGTGACCAGTTCATGGGACTGGTGACTTTACCATTGGGCCCAGAGGGACAGTAACTGAAAGGGCTCTTTTATTCAGTGTCAGCTGGTGGATACATCTGCCTACAAAAAATGTGAAGTCAAACTGAATCTCTTTGAGGTGACTAGAGCAGAGCTGGGAACAGAGAAGTAGAGCATGAAACGTTTTGAAATAATTTGAAATTTTGCCACTATGTTTTTTAATAAAACTATTTTAATAAAGACTGTTTTTAAGTAAAAAACCCAACAATCAAATAGGCTTAAAAATATCAATTCATTCTCTAAAGGCAAATTAATTCGATACTTAAGGAAATGCAAAGGAAAGGGCACTTCAGACTACACAGATATCCAAGCATATAGGTGGCTGCATGTTACGTTATAGCTTAATGGCCTGGTTTAAACAGTCCTGGATAATGATTAACCAAGAAAATGGACTTTGGGCCTGAACCTAACTCTCCTAAGGTTGTGGGCATTTGTACCGATGTAACAGTGTTGCTAGATCAACGGGAAAAACATTTCCAACGAGACAGAAAAACACATTTACTGCTGTCTCCACCCTCTCACTCCAGGGTCCATCTGTGTGTTTGGAGAATGGAAACACTTAGATTGGTTGCTACGGTCTTGAACATGTCATTTAGATTTCCTTGATAAAAGAAAACTCATTCCTCTTTTATTTTCTCTTCCCAAAGTGCATGATCCATGTGCTTGCTCTTCCTCCCTCCCCACCACACCTACTCCTTTTGATTTGTTCATTTATTTTTATTTATTAATTTTTTTAACTTCCATACTTGGTATCTGGGACAGCTCATGCAACTACACTGCAACATAGCTGCACGGTGTGGCTGACACATCTTCCCAGTGAAGCCCCTTCTACGGCTTCAGTCCTGATCTTTTAAGTGTTTGGTAAATGAGGCAGCCTGGCATAAGGTCCTAATGTCGAAAGAGTTCAAAAGGAAAGTTATTCGTGCAAACATCCTCCCTCTCGCAGAGGATTCTCCATAGCCCGCCAGAGCCCTGGCATGTAGGGATGATGAATGTGATGTCAACAGGCCTCAGGGCCGGAAGAACCCCTGTGCCACTTTGTGGACTGTGTATCGCCTTTTGCTTGTCTCCTGCCAGATTCCTTCCCTGGTCCTCTGAGACTCCAGAGAGTGTGTGGGAAGCAATTTTTGTACACAGACCCAGATTAATGTGTCTGTCTGATAAAAGCATGAGGCTTAAGGTGACTCTAGCATTTTCCTTCCCCAAAGTTAGCAGTTTTGTTAGTGGAAATACATCTATACCTATCAATTAAGTTATAGCCTGGAAGATACGTGATGAAATGCTTCTGAGTGAGAATAGCCTCAAATTTGACTGGAGAAAACCAGAGATCCCATTCATGATTAGGAAGCACCAAGCCAGGTCAGCTTGGAGGTGAATTGATTTCACCACGTCTATTAGTTTACTAGGCTGCTGTAACAAAGTACCATGAACTGGAAGGCTTACAACAACAAAAACTTTTTTTCACATTGCTGGAAGCTGGGAAGTCCAAGATCAAGGCAGATCTGGCGCCTGGTGAGGGCCTGCTTCCTGTTTCATAGACGGTGCCTTCTGATTATAACCTCATGTGGTGCTAGCAAGGAGCTCTCCGTGGGCTCTGTTATAATAAGGGCACTAAGCCCATTCACAAAGGCTTCACCCCCATGACCTAATTACCTCCCAAAGGCCCACCTCGTAATACCATCACCTTGAGGGGTTAGGATTTCAGTATGGGAAGAACTAAACATTCAGACATTCAGGCCACAGCAATAAGATGTCTATAGCAATCCACGCCTTCATTCTCCAACCCCCACTGCTCCCTGAGTGCATGTACGTCTGGGCATCAGTGCTCTTTGGAAGTGTTTAGCTGAATGTAAAGGTTAATGGCACCTTATCCAGGGAACAGCTGTTGTAGTCCCTGTCAGCCCGATTCTGGAGAGAACAGATAACAGATAGTGTTTAAGAAGTAGGATGGTCTCTAAGTTAAATGACTGTCCCTGTCCCACAGCATCCGTGTGTGACCAGGGCTCACACCCTTTTTTTTTTTTTGAAACGGAGTTTCACTCTTTTTGCCCAGGCTGGAGTGCAATGGCACGGTCTTGACTCACTGCAACCTCCGCCTCTCGGGTTCAAGCAATTATCCTGCCTCAGCCTCCAAAGTAGCTGGGATTACAGGCGCCCGCCACCCTGCCCGGCTAAGCGTACACCCTTTGAATTTCCCCCTTTCCCTCTGCTTCTATGAGAACTTGGCTAACTCCTGGTAGATTCCATCATCCCTGCACCAGTTCGTAACTTCTGACAGATTCCACAATGCCAGGTCTTGAGAAATGGGAACCTGTATCTCATCAGGTTTCCTCCTTTAAAAGTTCAGATCGGCATTTTATCTTACTTTTTAAAAAGATCGAATTTGGTAATGTTCAAGAAATAAAAAACTTTTAGCCAATTTATGCTGATCAGTATAAAGTTGTGTTTGACTTACAATAAATGTTAAGTTAAAACATGCTATCAAGCTTAAATATAATCATAAAGGTTTTAAATAGGAGAGAATACATATATTTTGTAGAATAGAAAGTTATCTTTGTATACCAAGTCCGGCTTCATACATATTTGAATATATATTTATGTGCGCGTGTGTATAGATGTTTATATACATCTACATATTATAATGATATTTTGGGCAGGGTGAAAGTTATCTCTGTACACTAAGTCCAGCTTCATATATATATATACACACACACACACACACACATATTCGAACATATATAGATGTATACACACACACACACAGACAAATATATAGAGAGAGTCTACCTGACCTGTCAGTTTGAGAGAAGTATATAATACAATACTGTAGACCAGGGCTTCTCAGTCCTGGCACCGTTGGCATTTTGCATCATGTACTTCTCTGTGTGGGTTGTGGGGCTGTCCTGGCATTTCAGGGGTTTAGCGGCACCCCTGGCTTCTACCCACCAGCTGCCAGTAGCACCTTCCTCCACCCTGTCCAATTTGTGAGGACCAAAAATGTCTCCAGTTGTTGCCAATGTCTCATGGGAGGACAAAATTGCTCAGAGTAAGAACTACCAGTCTGCAGTGATCACAGTTACACTAAATTATCTGTGTATTCTCAGAGTTGTTTTTTTTTTTTTTTTTTTTTTTTTTGAGACACGGTTTCACTCTGTCGCCCAGGCTGGAGTGCAGTGGCATGATCTCAGCTTACTGCAACCTCCGCCTCCCAGATTCAAGCGATTCTCCCACCTCAACCTCCCAAGTAGCTGGGATTACAGGCATGTGCCACCACACCTGGCTCATTTTTGTATTTTTAGTAGAGATGGGGTTTCACCATATTGGCCAGGCTGGTCTCGAACTCCTGGCCCCAAGTGATCCACCCACCTCGGCCTCCCAAAATGTTAGGATTACAGGCGTGAGCCACCAGGCCAGACCAGAGTTTTTGTCATATATATTTACCACTATGCTATTTAGTACCTAAAGGTTCATCACGATAATATTTTTTTCATGGCTTTTTTTTTATCATTACCAAGTCACTCTCTGACTTTTTAAATTAAACGCCATATTATCTTTTCATGAATATTGCTATTTCCACTACTTTTATTTGCGTTTTCCTGAATAAATTATGGCTCATCCCTTTACTTTCAACCCCTTAATACAGTTCCTAGTTCAACATTTCCACCACTACTGCCGCACGTAACTTAGCCTTCTGCAGATGTTGTAAAGCTGAATCCATTTCAACCACAGTTCTTTGTAAGCACGGGCAGAGTCGTGCTGTTAATAGGGAAAGCACCTTTTTTGGCCTCTCATCTTAGTCAGTTTTGGCTGCTACAACAAAGTACCCCAGCGTGGTTTATAAACAATAGAAATATATTTCTCCGATTTTGGAGGCTGGAATTCTGAGATTGGGGTGCAGCAATGTCAGGTTCTGATAAGGGTCCTCTTCTGGCTTGCCGGCTAGTTGTGCACTCACAAGAGGAAGGAGGGCATAAGAGCTCTTTAGGGTCCCTTTGGCAAGGTCACTAGTCCCATTGACAAGGGCTTCTCTCTCATGACCTAATCATCTTCCAGGGGCTTCACCTCCTCATACCATCGCAGTGGGGGGTTAGGGCTTCAACATATGAATTTTGGGTGGACACAACCCTTCAGTCCATAAGGCCTCACCTTGTGTACTGATATTGAGCTGTATTACTGAAAATTTGAGAATCTTGTATCCTACAATTTTCTGCTCTTAATGTATTTGTTGGACTTTAAGTAGAATACATTAGGTATAATATTCTTTTCAGTGGAATTATTTCTGATGTTTGATGCTGCCAAAGGAAAAAAATAGATTCTTTCTAACCCCAGTGAATAAGACACTTGATTTTTGAATCTGCTTGTCTGGGAAACAGGATGGGTACAGCAATGCTGCACTCAGGTGCAGCCCCACTCCTCCTACTTGCCTCTGATTTTGTGCTTAGGGCGAAAAGCTTCTGAGAATGCAGTCTCTAGAAATGAACACGGCTTCCGTGCACTGAAAATCTTACTGAAAAGCTCCTTTTGTTTCTGGGATATACCAGATGGAGTGTTCTCTGTACAAACAAACATTCAAAATCCTTGAGAAGAGATATGTAGGTTACAGTTTAACATTCACTATCTCCACTAGGAAGGGGACAAATTCCTGAGGCAAAGGAGTTGCAATAGAAATTCTTGAAATTTAGGTCGGGCATGGTGGTTCACGCCTGTAATCCCAGCACTTTGGGAGACTAAGGCGGGCGGATCACCTGAGTTCAGGAGTTTGAGACCAGCCTGACCAACATGGAGAAACCTCATCTCTACTAAAAATACAAAATTAGCCGGGCGTGGTGGCTCATGCCTGCAATCCCAGCTACTCGGGAGACTGAGGCAGAAGAATAGCTTGAACCAGGAGGCGGAGGTTGCGGTGAGCCGAGATTGCGCCATTGCACTCCAGCCTGGGCGACAAGAGCAAAATTCCGTCTCAAAAAAGAAAGAAAGAAAGAAAAGAAATTCTTGAAATTTAAAGAGTACGGCGAATGTTCCATTCATTTAATCTTGGGTAATGAATTGGAGGTGCCCTTCCTGGTCCCGCCCCAAGGGTCCACCCCTTCTGCTAGGACTGGTTTCCGCCCACTCATCTGTCATCTTGCTCAGTTGTCACCTACACAAAGCCTTCCTTTCTTCTCCGCAGGCAGCGCTGACGGCTTCCTCTTCACTGTCCCCAGCTCTTTTTGTGTGCTACATTTAGAATGAAACAAATTGTTCTGTAATGATTTGTTTACATATCTGTCTCTCCCAGTAGGTGATGAGCTCTTTGGAGTCAGGGACCACATCTTCATCATTTTCAGACACCCATCTCCTTTTGTTGAAGAAATCTTTGAGTCTATTTTCAGATCTTTCTGAACTCCTTTTAGAGATTCCCATTGTCGGTAGCATAAACTCCAAACTTCGCTTCTGTGCCTTGACAGAATATTTACAGCTCTCCGAAGACTCTGGGCTCTCAATCCCCTTTCTTCTTTTACCAATAATGTTCCCTTTGCTTGGAATACATCTGCCCAAACACTAAACATCAACTACCCTTTCTTTGTTCTGGGTTAACTCTTCCTCATTCTCAAGATGGGTGAGAGCACACCCTGGGTGTTGCGACAGTATTCTGTGATTTTCCCAATATATCATTTAGCACTCGCTGTTATGATCACCCACTTACGAGTCTGCCTCGCCCTCGAGGCTGGATGGTGCTGGAGTTGCTGTATGCAGTTTCCCTGCCTCCTAGCAGAGGGCCTGGTACTCAGTCAATGTTAGTAGGATTATGTTTCTTACAAAAGCCGCATAAAATATCTTGAAGCTTCATAGTAATATAGAAAGAGTGTGTAATCTGAAATAGAAATATTGAGTTCTTGTCCAGATTCTGCTATTTACAACTGGGGAGGAAAATAAAATATAAAAGTTTGTCTACGTTTAGAAGAGCAGACATAAGTAAAGAAAACAGTGAAGAAACAGACAGGCTAGCTTAGCAGCAACTGGGGTTGACAAGGTACAACAGGAGAGGCCAGGCGCGGTGGCTCACGCCTGTAATCCCAGCATTTTGAGAGGCCGAGGCGGCGGGTGGATGGTTTGAGTTCAGGAGTTCCAGACCAGCCTGGCCCACATGGTGAAACCCCATCTCTATTAAGAATACAAAATTAGCCAGGAGTGATGGTGCACGCCTGTAATCCCAGATACTCGGGAGGCTGAGGCAGGAAAATCGCTTGAGCCTGGGAGGTGGAGGTTGCAGTGAGCCAAGATCGTGCCACTGCACTCCAGCCTGGGTGACAGAATGAGACTCTGTCTCAAAAAAAAAAAAAACAAAAAAAAAACACAAAAAACAAAAAACAACAGGAGGGAAAGGGGCATCAGCTCCTCGTGTTACCAAATGGCCTGGCAATGCAGGAACAAGTACGGGCCTCTGGCCCAGGCAGATGGGCGACACCAAGATGGCCCCAGGGAAGAAAGGAAAGAAAAGAATTGGAGTTTGATTTTGGATAAAGAGAGGATCTCAAGCCTGAGGTTTATTTATTTGTACCTATGCCTGCTGTTTATTCCCTGGTGAAGCTGCTGGAACAAATCTGCGTCCGCCTCGTGTGGCCTCGCTGCATGGAAGGGAGACAGCAGAGCTCATGCTTTGGCGAGGCTTTCCACATGTTGGAAATGTGACAGCTGCCTGGACTGCTCGTCCTGGTCTTTGGCAACACTGACCACCTGTGTGTGAAGCAGCAGGTCATTCAGTGTCTTTGAGCCTCAGGATTTCTCTGTAAAAATGAGGATATATATTCACAATATGAATCTCAGACAATATTAGCTTTGAAGTTTTTAGATATAAAATTGTTTATGCCATCTGTCCATGGCCACTCATAGAATTAAATGAAGATCTAGGAGGGCAGGCGTGTGTCTGAGGCCCTCTGTGTCCCCATGGAGCTGTCCAACCTTGCTGTCACACACAGTCAGTGTTTTAAAATGGAATTGACTCCTTGACGATGTGCTGCCGTTTCTCTTTCAGTCTCTCTCTCATGGTTTAGATACCTCGAGCCTAGATGGCCAGGGCAGTGCATTGCGTGCAGTGCAGACAGATGAGCATTCAAAAGGTGGCACGGTGGGGGCTCCTGGACATTGCATGGGCTCTGGAGTCAGAATGAATTCTGTCCTTGCTCTGTGTGACCTTCAGCAAGCCTTGTATTACTTCTCCAAACCTCGGATTACTATCTGCAGTATGAAACTAACAAAGCACCAGGCGGAGTGCTGTGGCTCATGCCTGTAATCCCAGCACTTTGGGAGGCCGAGGTGGGCAGATCACGAGGTGAGGAGATCAAGACCATCCTGGCCAACATGGTGAAACCCCGTCTCTATTAAAAATACAAAAATTAGCTGGGCATGGTGGCAGGCACCTGTAATCCCAGCTACTCGGGAGGCTGAGGCAGGAGAATCGCTTGAACCCGGGGGGGCGGAGCTTGCAGTGAGCCGAGATCGTGCCACTGCACTCCAGCCTCCAGCCTGGTAACAGAGCGAGACTCCGTCTCAAAAAAAAAAAAAAAAAAAAAAAAAGAAGAAAAAAAAGAAAAGAACAAAGCGCCTACCTCCTGCATGATGTGGGGAGTCTCTGGGCCGATGCATGTAAAGCACTTCCCTGCAGGCAACACCCCAGCATAATCAGCAGGCAGTGGATGCCGGTAACCCTGGCTCCTCAGTGAGTCCTGATGTGCACATGGGAAGTGGTTATTGTTATCCCTGCTTTGCATGTGAGGAGAATGAGCCTTTTCATTAAGTGGCTGATTTGGGATTTTTTTTTTTTTTCTCAAGACAAGGTCTCACTCTGTCGCCCAGGCTGGAATGCAGTGGTACAATCATGACTCACTGCAACTGTAACCACCCAAGGGGCTCACCTTGCCCGCTGCCTAGACAGAGCTGATTCATCAAGCCAGGGGAATTGCAATAGAGAAAGAGTAATTCATGCAGAGCTGGCTGTGCAGAAGACTGGAGTGTTATTATTACTCAGATCAGTCTCCCTGAGCATTCGGGGAGCAGAGTTTTTAAGGATAACTTGGTGGATGGGGGAAAGCCAGTGAGCCAGGAGTGCTGATTGGTCAGAGATGAAACCACAGGGAGTTGGAGCTGTCTTCTTGCGCTGAGTCAGTTCCTGGGTGGGGCAGAGGGGCACAAGATCAGATGAGCCAGTTTATTGATCTGGGTGGTGCCAGCTGATCCATCAAGTGCAGTGTCTGCAAAATATCTCAAGCACTGATCTTAGGAGCAGTTTAGGGAGGGTCAGAATCTTGTAGCCTCCAGCTGCATGGCTTCGAAACCATAATTTCTAATCTTGTGGCTAATGTTAGTCTTACAATCTTGTCCCCACACAAGAAGGAGGTCTGCTTTAGGAAAGGGCTGCTACCGTCTTTGTTTAAACTATAAACTAAATTTCTCCCAAAGTTAGTTCAGCCTACACCCAGGAATGAACAAGGACAGCTTGGAGGTTAGAAGCAAGGTGGAGTCAGTTAAGTTAGATCTCTTTCAGTGTCTCAGTGTCTCAGTCATAATTTTGCAAAGGCGGTTTCAATACCTCAGCTTCCCAGGCTCAAGTGATCCTCCTGCCTCAACCTCTCGCATAGCTGGGACTAGACATGTGGACAACCACACCCGGCAATGTTTTATTTTTTGCGGACATGGGGTTTCACTATATTGCCCGGGCTGCTCTCGAATTTCTGGGCTCAAAGGATCTTCCTGCCTCAGCCTCCCGAAGTGGTGGGATTATAGGCATGAACCACTGCGCCCAGCTTGATTTGGGTTTTGAACACAGTTCTGTCCGACCCCTTGAGAGGAGCACTTTTCACAGTGCCATACTGAATGAGAAGTAATCCTTAAACTTAAGGGAATTCCTTTCGACTGTGGAGAAGCCATTGCCCTTCTTTTCTTCTTCCTTGCCTTCAAGGAAGTTCTTCTTTTGTACTAGAACCCCAATGTGATCAGGGCCTTTTTTCCTATCCATGGCCAGGCTCTCAGGGACAGTGATCCTATTTCCCCCAAGCATAAGTCCTGGTGAGTCTAAGTCAGCTGTAATGATAATGATCACATTGTCTCTGGGGAACAGGCTCATGGCAGTTCTGGGGGAGTTGAGAGGAGGAGTCTTTGGGTCAAAAAATAAACACAGCTGGTAATGACCCAACAGAATGGTGGAGAGAATCTGAGTCCTTGAAGTTGCTGTGGATTTGTTTAATAAAACCATTCTGCAACCCACTACCCCACCTATTTTTATGTCACATAATAGGACTTTTTGTTAGGTGAGATAATACGATTCACTTAAAGTTATTTTATTATTATTATTATTATTTTTTTTTTTGAGACAAAGTTTCGCTCTTGTTGCCCAGGCTGGAGTGCAATGGTGCGATCTTGGCTCACCGCAACCTCTGCCTCCCTGGTTCAAGGATTCTCCTGCCTCAGCCTCCCGTGTACCTGGGATTACAGGCATACACCACCATGCCCGGCTAATTTTGTATTTTTAGGAGAGACGGGGTTTCTCCATCTTGGTCAGGCTGGTCTTGAACTCCTAACCTCAGGTGATCTGCTCACCTCAGCCTCCCAAAGTGCTGGGATTATAAGGTGTGAGCCACCACACCCGGCCAAAGTTATTTTTAATTAGGATTTATTTTATATTTATTTGTCTGTCAGTATCCACGGGGGATTGGTTTCAGGACCTCCCTCGGATTCCAAAATCCGCAGATGCTCAAGTCCCTGGTATAAAATGGTGCAGTATTTGCACATAACAACCTACGCACATCCTCCTGTATACTTTAAATCATCTTTAGATTATTTACAATGCCTAATACAATATAATTGCTATGTAAATAGTTGTTATACTGTATTGTTACGGAATAATGATTAAGGAAAAAAAGTCTGTACATGTTCAGTACTGTCACAACCATGCATTTTCTTTCGCAAATATTTTTGATCTGTGGTTGTTTGAATCTGTGGATGCAGAACCCAAGAATATGGAGGGCTAACTGTATTTACAGCCAAAAGTATCTCAATGGATTGATCATCACAGGAATCAGTCAGGAGGGCTGATTAATGTCGTCAAATCTTTGAGGGATTTGTGAACACCAGAATCACCATTTCAGATCTGCAATAGGCGATCTGTGAGTGAATTATGACCTTTTGGGCTTGGAGGAATGAGAGGTCATCAAGCCTAGTGTTTACCAAATCTTTTTTTTTTTTTTTTTTTTTTTAATGACCTAGACTCAGAAGTCATAGAGCCTCCATTGAGCCATGCTTTATTGGTAAAGACAGTCATAAAGCTCTATTCAGGCTGAACGCAAAGAACACAGACCCTGCCACTCTATGGGAGGAGAGTTCATGTCACACTGTAGAAGAGTGTCTGCCACAGTGAACAAATTTTTACCAATTTATGGTTGGATGACAACAATCAAATCAAATTATTTCTATTCGGAGGACAATTTAGAGGACAGTCCATTATTCTGAGCTGAAGTTCTGGTGCTAAAATATCTATATTTAGTGAAATGGTGATAATTGTATATCATTTTGTGATTCATTTTGTAAATGTACTTACTGTGCAAACATAAAATGCTGGTGACTTAAGGTCAGTCCCCAGGGTTTTGTGAAATTCAGAATTTGCCAATTTGATTGCATCCACTTTTCTACTGAGTGTTGTGAGGACATTTGCAGCATTCCCCGTAGTGATCATTTATTCTCTGGACACTCCTGGTGACCTCAGTCTCTCCCTCATTGAAAGATTTATCACTCTCATTGCCAACAATCCTTACCAGTGTAAAGTTCTTACTGTCTGCCCTGCTGATCTGAAATCTTTCCTCTATTCATTTAACAGGCTTTCTACTTTCAGCACCCCACCATTAGGTCTTCCTTTTTTAGGTTGAACAATCTTAATTCCTATACATATTCTTTATGTGACCCAGTCAGTATATTGGGTTCCAGGTAAGCTTGTGTATAATGGTGATTATATAGCTTGAATGTTCGTCCCCTCAAAAGCTCGTGTTAAAATGTCATCCCCAGTGTTGGAGGTGGGGCCTGGTGGGAAGTGTTTGGTTAGAGGGGTGGGTCCCTCACAGATGGCTTGGTGTCTTCCCCCTGGTAATAAGTGAGTTCTTACTCTGTTAGTTCACGGGAGAGCTGGTGGTTTAAAAGAGCCTGGCATCTCTCTTTGGCTCCTCTCTCACCATGTGACATACATGCTCCCCCATTGCCTGCTGCCATGTTTGGAAGCTTCCTGAGGCCTCACCAGAAGCAAATGCCGGCACCACATTTCTTGTACAGTGTGAAGAACCATGAGCCAAATAAACCTCTTTTTTAAATAAATTACCCAGTCCCACGTATTCCTTTTTAGCAACAAACGCCAATAAATACAGGTAGTATTACTCCAGTCTTATAGGATCTCAATAGTCTCAATTTGTTTATCCTGGAATTATGATCTTCAAGGTATCTGTTGGCTGTAAATCTGTGTTTTTCAATGCTGTCGATGCACTTCTAGAGACACTACAGTTTGGTAGTGTTCTTCCTTAACAGGTGATTACAACAGAAAACATGTTCTGAGGAATACTGAACATAATGACTCTATACTACCTTTAACAAATATACCATACTTCTTCTTCTTTTTTTTTTTTTTTGTGATGGAGTCTCAATCTGTCACCCAGGCTGAAGTGCAATGGTGCGATCTTGGCTCACTGCAACCTCCGCCTCCTGGGTTCAAGCAATTCTCCTGCCTCAGCCTTGTGAGTAGCTGGGATTACAGGCACCCACCACCACACCCGGCTTATTTTTGTATTTTTAGGAGAGACGGGGTTTCGCCATGTTGGTCAGGCTGGTCTCGAACTCTTGACCTCATGATCCGCCCACCTCAGCCTCCCAAAGTGCTGGGATTACAGGCATGAGCCACCGCGCCCAGCCAATAAATAAACTATACTTCTATGAATATATCCTAAAACTCTTACTTCGAAAAAAACTATGTATGACATGGAGATGGTACATATTAAATAGGTAATTAATTTTTTAAATAGCAAAATGAATAGCACATATTTTTATTTAATATAAAAATTAGAGCTTCCCATTATTCTGCTGTTTTCTGAGGAGTCTTCACATTAAGCTAAAGGTAGATTTTTTTTTTCCATAAATTATTGGGGTACAGGTGGCATTTGGTGACATGAGTAAATTCTTTAGTGGTGATTTGTGAGATCCTGGTGCACCCATCACCTGAGCAGTGTATACTGCATCGTATGTGTTGTCTTTTATCCCTTGCCTCCCTCCCACTCTTCCCGCCAAGTCCCCCAAGTCCATTGTATCATTTTTTTTTTTTTGAGACAGAATTTCACTCTTGTTGCCCAGGCTGGAGTGCAATGGCGCGATCTTGGCTCACCGCAACCTCCACCTCCCGAGTTCAAGTGATTCTCCTGCCTCAGCCTCCCTAGTAGCTGGGATTACAGGCATGTGCCACCCACGCCCAGCTAATTTTGTATTTTTAGTAGAGATGGGGTTTCTCCATGTTGGTCATGTTGGTCTCGAACTCCCGACCTCAGGTGATCCACCCACCTTGGCCTCCCAAAGTGCTGGGATTACTGGCATGAGCCACCGTGCCCGGCCCATTGTATCTTTCTTATGCCTTTTTGTCCTCATAGCTTAGCTCCCACATATCAGTGAGGACACACTATGGGGTTTTCCATTCCTGAGTAATATGTAGTTAATTTTAAACCTACATTAAAAAAATGTAAGTTTTTAGTTTTCTTCAAGTTTTGTCTTTATGCAATTGAATATTTTTACCTTAAATTTTCTACTTTACCTTTATTCCTATTTTAATCACTAATATTTACTATTCTTATCACTACTATTGCTGCTAAATATTAATAATAATGCATTTCTATTGCTAGTTTTTGTCCCTCAGTTTCTTCTCTCCAGGTACAGTTGGTTCGGGTGCCTTCCTCTATACTTCTCTCTCTTTTTTTTTTTTTTTTTGAGATGGAGTCTTGCTCTGTCACCCAGGCTGGAGTGCAATGGCATGATCTCGGCTCACTGCAAGCTCCATCTCCTAGGTTCAAGCGATTCTCCCGCCTTAGCCTCCTGAGTAGCTGGGATTATAGGCACCCACCATCATGCCTGGCTAATTTTTGTATTTTTAATAGAGACAGGGTTTTACCATGTTGGCCAGGCTGGTCTTGAACTCCTGACCTCATGTGATCTGCCTGTCTCAGCCTCCCGAAGTGCTGGGATTGCAGGTGTGACCCACCGCGCCTGGCCTTTTTTTTTTTTTTTTTTTTTTGAGATTGAGTTTCACTCATGTTGCCTAGGCTGGACTGCAATGGTGCGATCTCGGCTCACTTCAGCCTTGCAACCTCTGCCTCTTGGGTTCAAGAGATTCTCCTGCCTCAGCCTCCCAAGTAGCTGGAATTAAAAGTATGTGCCACCACACCCAGCTAATTTTGTATTTTTAGTAGAGATGGGGTTTCACTATGTTGGTCAGGCTGGTCTCGAAATCTTGACCTCAGGTAATCCACCCGCCTTGGTCTCAAAGTGCTAGGATTACAGGCGTGAACCACTGCGCCAGGCCTTGATTTTTGCTTCCTTTGCAAATTTGACATAATCATCCTGTAAATCTTCATCTAAGTCATTAACTGAAATTCTGAGCAGGATGGGCTTGAGTACAGAATTCTGGCTCACTTCTCTGGCTGATTAACACTAACTGGGTGGATTTGTCCATGTGGCTTTAAGTGCACCTTAATGCATTACCATGTTAAATACCTTTTTGAAATTAAGACGTCCTAGGCTGGACATCCTCCAGATTCTACCTGTCTATCTTTTCGTTGCCCAGAAGCCATAATATGTGAACTGGCTGACTTGTTTTTGGTGGTGATTTAAGGTTGCCAAGCAGGAGTTTCAGAGCCAAATGTTGCACATGTAATTCTAGAGTTTGGACAGCTAAAAATTATCGGCAAATGTTTAACAACACATTTAACCACCAAACATGAAATGAAGTCATGGATGTTTGGGTGACAAGTGAATCAACCCATGGAACAGCTTGAAAAAAGAAAGAACCTAGTAATCCTAGTAATGTCAAGGGCAGGAGACAGAGGTGGGGACAGCTGAATTTTATTATTCCTGTGCCTCCATGAATGTCCATGCTGATATGGTCTAGGGAGACATAAAGACTTAAGTAGCTCTAGTTTAAACTGTGATATTCTGATATGACATTTTCACATTCATCTTAGTATTCCACCATGTTCATAGTCCCAACTAGTTCTGAGTCACTCAGAATTAATTCCAGATTGATGATGGCTTTACTATGTTTTCAAACATTTAATTGATGAATTATCTTCACGGTATTTCTTAAGGCATGTCAAGTATTTATCAGAGGTTTTGCTTTTAGAAAAAAATGAATCTAATGGTTAAAATTTTTTTTCCGTGAATTGTATCTTGGCACTTTATACCCTTTTTTTTTTTTTTTTTTTTTTTTTTTGTAGAGACAGGGTCTCACTATGTTGCCCAGGCCAGTCTCAAAATCCTGCCTCAAGCAGTCCTCCTGCCTTGGCCTTCCAAAATGCTCGGATTATAGGCGTAAGTCACTGCAGCTGGCCCAGCCATTTTTGTGATTTATTGGAAAAATATTGTTATGTATTTATAATAATAAGGTAAGAGGTCTGTCAGACACTGCTACAGTCACTTCTCTGTCTCTCTTTAGCACTAGCCCAATATTCTGCATTGTTTTTGCACGCACCTGCACGTTAGAATATTGCTCTCTCTGTACTTTAGCACACAGTATTACTTTAAAATTCTTTCTTCTTCTTTTTTTTTTTTTTTTTTGAGACGGAGTCTTGCTCTGTCACCCAGGCTGGAGTGCAGTGGCGCATCTCGGCTCACTGCAAGCTCTGCCTCCCGGGTTCACGCCATTCTCCTGCCTCAGCCTCCCGAGTAGCTGGGACTACAGGCGCCCGCCACCACGCCCGGCTAATTTTTTCCATTTTTTTTTTCTAGTAGAGACGGGGTTTCATGTTCTAGCCAGGGTGGTCTCCATCTCCTGACCTCGTGATCCGCCCGCCTCGGCCCCCCAAAGTGCTGGGATTACAGGCGTGAGCCACGGCGCCCAGCCTCTTTCTTCCTTTTTAAAAAATTGAGTATATACGCTTCCATTTCTACATTCCAGAAAGAAGTAGCAGATACTCAGTAAATTTCTGTTAGCAATTCTCTATTGTTTAGCAAAACTATAGTTTCATTATATAGCTTTATATAATTTTAATAAGACTGCATTAGTTTTGGCCGGGCGCGGTGGCTCACGCCTGTAATCCCAGCACTTTGGGAGGCCGAGGCGGGCGGATCACGAGGTCAGGAGATCGAGACCACCCTGGCTAACATGGTGAAACACCCTCTCTACTAAAAACACAAAAAATTAGCCGGGCATGGTGGCGGGCGCCTGTAGTCCCAGCTACTCGGGAGGCTGAGGCAGGAGAATGGCGTGAACCCGGGAGGCGGAGCTTGCAGTGAGCAGAGATCGCGCCACTGCACTCCAGCCTGGGCGACAGAGCAAGACTCCGTCTCAAAAAAAAAAAAAAAAAAAAAAAGACTGCATTAGTTTTTAATGTAGTTTGCTATAGTTGCAAATTTTTTTTTGCTGACTTAATGTGTACTTGAGTTTAGGCGAGGAAGAGCTCTTTTTTGGTACCACCCTGGAGTTTTTTATTTATTGTTTAAATTTTTTTTATTTTTTGCACAATTTGTTTTTCCTACTTTGGATAAATTCACATCTACATGAATTTTTCATTTTTGTTTGTGTGATTTTCACGGTTTTTTCTGCTATTTGGATATTTCTAAGAGTTGAGTCATGTCCCTTAGGTTTTAAAAATTTATTTTTGAGGTTAAGTGTTTTCTTTCAAAAACACTTTATTTAATTTTAATCAGTCTCACGTGGGTTATCTCTATGGGCCATTCTCAGACCTAATGCCATAACAAAGTTCCATCAGCTTGGTGGCTTAATACAACAGAAATGTATTGTCTCACCATTATGGAGTCCAGAAATGTGAAATGAAGGCGTTGGTGGGGGCATGCTCCCACTATAGCCTCCAGGGAAGAAGCTTTCTTTGCCTTCTGTAGCTTCTGGTGAATCCTGGTGATTCCTGGTGTTCCTGGCCTGTAGCTTCATCACACTGATCTCTGCCTCCATCTTCACAGGGCCATCTTCTTCATGCCTCCTCCATATCTCTGCATCCAGTTCTCCCTTTTTTTTCTCTTCTGAAGATGTCAGTCATTGGATTTAAGGCCCACCCTAACCAGTATGACCTCATCTTGATTACATCTGCAAAGACCCTATTTCTAGATAGGGTCACATTCACTGGCACAGGGGTTAGGACTTCAACATCTTATCAGGGGACACAGGTCAAGTCACTACACTAAGTTACTTCATGCTAACTTAGTCACTACACTGTTATTTCATTAAAAAAAAAAAATATATATATATATATATGTATATATGTATGTATTTGTTTTTTGAGACAGAGTTTCGCTCTTGTTGCCCAGGCTGGAGTGCAATGGCGTGATCTTGGCTCACTGCAACCTCCTTCTCTCAGGTTCAAGTGATTCTGCTGCCTCAGCTTCTGAGTAGCTGGGATTACAGGCATGCACCACCACGCCTGGCTAATTTTTTATATTTTTAGTAGAGATGGAGTTTCTTCATGTTGGTCAGGCTGGTCTTGAACTCCTGACCTCAGGTAATTCGCCCACCTTGGCCTCCCAAAGTGCTGGGATTACAGGCTTGAGCCACCGCTCCCTGCCTGAAAGTATTTTTACATAAGCTTTTAATGAGTTTAATGAAGTAAGCTTGATGATGAGACTATACTAAAAACAAAAACAAAATAAGAAACAAAGCAAAATGAAAACACACAATGCGGATGTAATCGATCGTATCCCCCTGCGTAGTTGCTGCCACAGTTAGGGCCCTAAGTATGTCATACGTCATATGACTTTTCATGTTAGTTTTACCTCTTATGTGGGTTTTTTGAGGGTAGAGGCTCCATCTTCCATTTCTTTTGTGACCTTTTAAGGATTCTTGCCCACTGCTTAGCACAGAGTAAATTCTGAGAAAAAACACCCACATTTTGATTAGTGGGTTGATATTTTAAAAAATGGGTGACCATATTCTTTGTGCTGCAGGGCAAGGGATTTATGTTTCCTGATATTGAAAACAGTCCAGTGCTTAGCTTAGGGATGCATTCTATGCTAACTCACTGACCCTGAGAAGTCTCCATTGTAAAACACATTGTAATTATACGTATCACTAAGAAGGAAAAAATGTTTTCAATTATACTTGCAAGGCATTATGAACATAAGATGCATTGTAATTTCAATTAAAAATAAAAACAAAGCCAGGCACAGTGGTGCATGCCTTAATCACAGCACTTTGTGGCACTGAGCTGAGGCAGGTGGACTGCTTTGCCCAGGAGTTTGAGACCAGCCTGGGCAATGTGGTGAAATACTCACTCTACAGAAAGTACAAAAATTAGCCAGACATGGTGATGCACACTTGTTGTCCCAGCTACTTGGGAGGCTGAGGTGGGAGAATCGCTTGAGCCCGGGAGGCAGAGGTTGCAGTGAGCTGAGATTGCACCACTTGCACTCCAGCCTGGGTGACAGTGTGAGGTCCTCCCTCAAAAGAAAAAAAAAAGGAGACAGAAAAGAGGGTTATATTAGGCTGTTCTTGCATTGCTGTAAAGAAATACCTGAGGCTGGGTGCAGTGGCTCACGCCTGTAATCCCAGCACTTTGGGAGGCCGAGGCAGGCAGATCACAAGGTCAAGAGATCGAGACCATCCTGGCCAACATGGTGTAGCCCCGTCTATACTAAAAATACAAAAATTAGCTGGGCATGGTGGTGCATTCCTATAGTCCCAGCTACTCAGGAGGCTGTGGCAGGAGAATAGCTTGAACCCGGGAGGCAGAGGTTGCAGTGAGCCGACTTCGTGCCGCTGCACTCCAGCCTGGCGACAGAGTGAGACTCCATCTCAAAAAAAAAAAAAAAAAGAAAAGAAAAGAAAAGAAAAGAAAAAAGAAAAGAAAAAATCCTGAGACTGAGTAATTTATAAAGAAACGAGGTTTGATTGGCTCACATTCCTGCAGCCTGTACAGGAAGCATGGCACCGGTAGATACTTCTGGTCAGAGCCTCAGGAAGCTTCCAATCATAGCAGAAAGCAAAGGGGGATCAGGCTCATCACATGGGGGAGTAGGCACCTCACATGGCAAGAGCGGGAGTGAGAGAGAGTGGGGGAGAGGTGCCACACATTTAAACAACCCGACCTCATGAGAACCTACTCACTACGGTGAGGACAGCACCAATAGGATAGTGCTAAACCATTCATGGGAAATCCATCCACCCCCATGATCCAATCACCTCCCACCAGGCCCCACCTCCAACAATGGGGATGACATTTCAACATGAGATTTGGGGAGACAAGTATCCAAACTGTATTAATCTGTTCTCACACTGCTATGAAGAATTGCCTGAGACTGGGTAATTTATAAAGAAAAGGGGATTAATTGACTCACAGTTCAGCATGGCTGGGGAGGCCTCAGGAAACTTACAATCATGGCGGAAGGCAAAAGGGAAGCAAGGCACCTTCTTCACAAGTCGGCAGGAAGAAGTGCCGAGTGAAAAGGGAAGAGCTTCTTATAAAACCATCAGATCTTGTGAGAACTCACTCACTATCATGAGAACAGCATGGGAGAAACCACCCCCATGTTTCAGTTACCTCCACCTGGTCTCTCCTTTGACATGTGGGGATTACGGGGATTACCATTCAAGATGAGATTTGGGTGGGAACACACAGTTTAACCATATCACAAACTATGTCAAAGGTGAATCCTAGTATTGATGAGATATGGTATTTAAATAGAAAATAGTCTCTTTTTGTCTTTGCTACCAAAAGACTGAGGAGGCCTTTGGGCAGGATGGTGGTCTTTCCTAGGCCCCTGAGCCCACGGTGTGTTGGAGCCTAGGATTTTATTTGCAGTAGCCTGGCGTATTGATTGAGCAAGGGCTTTGCAGTCTGAGAGAAGTGTATCAGCATTGTATCTTTAATGCTCGGAATCTCCATTTCTTTATCTGTGAAGATGGGACAATAAAATCATCGTTCCAGGACTTTCTGTGAGGATCCAATGAGATAATCTAGGGGAAGAGTCCCATCTCAGCACTCAGTACTTAGGACACACGTATGAGTTTCTCCTTCCCTTCCCCATGCTCTCCTTGCTTCCTTCAAAAGCTCACAATGAAAAAGGTGAAAAAGAACTTAGAGTAGATCATGACCTCAGAAATTTTAAATTCAGAAAACTTCTTAGGATGCTAAATAGAATCCTGTAGATCTCATCCCTCTTGGGTATTGTGTTGGTTTCCTGCTGCTGCTGTCATAAATTACTGTAAGTTTAGTGTTTAAAAACAACACACATCTGGCCGGGCGTGGTGGCTCACACCTGTTATCCCAGCATTTTGGGAGGCTGAGGCGGGCAGATCACTTGAGGCCAGGAGTTTGAGGCCAGCCTGGCCAACTTGGTGAAACCCTGTCTCTACTAAAAAAATACAAAAATTAGCCGGACATGGTGGTGTACACCTGTAATCCCAGCTACTCAGAAGCCTGAGACAGGAGAATCGCCTGAACCTGGGAGGTGGAGGTTGCGGTGAGCCGAGACCGTGTCACTGCCCTCCAGCCTGGGTGACAGAATGAGACCCTGTCTCCAAAACAAAGCAAAACAAAAACAAAAGAACCCCACACATTTATTATCAAACTGATCTTGAGGACAGAAGTCCAGGCCACGTTCATTTCTGGGGGCTATAGGGGAGACTCTGTCTCCACTGTGTTTCCAGCTTCTGCATGCTGCCTGCATTCCTTGGCTCGTGGTCCTTTTCTCCATTTCGAAGGCCAGCAGTGCTACCTCTCTTTGTGCCTTTCTTTCATAGTCATAACCCTCTGGCTGACTCTGACTCCTTCTGTCTTTCTCTTTCATTTTTAAAGATTTTAAGGATGTTTACATGGGCCTAGCTGGATAATTCAAGATAGTCTTCCTAATTTAAGCAATCTGATTGGCATCCTTAATTCATCTGCAACTCCCCTCCGCCGTGTACCCTCACATATTCACAGCTTCCAGAGATTAGGACATGGACATTTTGGAAGCCATTGTTCAGTCTATTACAAGTACTTAAAAAAAACCACTATATATCTCCCTTGCTTCTTGTTTGATTGAAAATGTGTTGTGTATGGATTTTTAAAATTCCATTATTTGAATACTTACAATTTCAACTGATGCCTCTATCGTAGCACTTGTGCATTACATAGAAATGTTTATTTATTTTACATGTCTGTTTACCCACTAATACATATGCTTCTAGAGGGAATATATCGTATTCATCTTAGAATTCTGTGAACACAGTACAATGCCTAGTGCAAAACAGATACTTGATCAGTGATTATGCACTGGAACTGAATGAACTTGGTTGATTTTTGTAGCAATTTCTTATTTTGTCCTCTTTTAAACTTTCACAAATAACTTCCAAAACCTGAATGCCTTTGATATCAACAACATGTAGTCTTTCCTTTTATATGAGATAACAATTGGTCGTCTCACGTCTATTGAGAAGTAAATGATTTGTTTCATTCAGCTTAGTGGAAATTCACACAAGAAATGCAGAAAAATGAAAATAATAAAGTTATTTTCAGGTTATTCAAAAGAGAATGAAGGTCTGAGAAGTTTCTTAATATATACAAGTAGGATTTTATTGCAAAGGGAATTGGAAGTTATTTTCCTGGGAAGCTTTGGTTCTGCTAACAATGAAGCATTTATACAATGCATAATCCATGAATGTGAGTCGGTTACATCTTATTACGCAACTTTCTATTGTATTTAGTATACATCAGTATCTATATCAGTACAAACAATTGATCCAGTTTTTGGTGAAAGCCAAACTAATATTTTATTACATAATTCTGTAAATTTGACAATACGCAGATTTCTGGGTGAATGTCTGCTGCTTCTTTTGCTTTTGTTTCTTTATTCTTATTTCTCTGAGTACAGTCATCTGAGTATAGATGAGTGAATTAAAGCTGTCCTTTGACTCATTCTCGGATCATCCATTAAAACTGAGTTTTGGGGCCAGGCATGGTGTCTCATGCCTGTAACCCCAGCACTTTGGGAGGCCAATGCGGGATGATCACTTGAGGCCAGGAATTTGAGACCAGCCTGGGCAACATTGTGAGACTCTGTCTGTACAAAAAACTTTTTAAAACTAGCTGACTGTGGTGGCATATGCTTGTAGTCCTAGCCACTTGGGAGTCTGAGGTGGGAGTATCATTTGAGACCAGGAGATCAAGGCTGAGCTATGATCACACCACTGTACTCCAGCCTGAATGACAGAGTGAGACCCTGTTCCCCCTCCCCAAAAATCAAAAACACAAAAAACTATTTTTTGGGGCCAATCTAAGAGATGATCCACTAATTGGTCCACTTACCACATACTTTTAGATTTGATACCTTTCATTAATAGCCTTTACTTTGCACTCTTTTCTTCCATTGTTTTTTTTTTCATTGACTTTTCTGCTCCTAGCAATCAACATTCTTCATTTCCACAATCCTTGCCAAAGTAGCATTCCCTTTCCCTTGGGAAAAGTAGGCATAGACCTGCCTCTAAATCAAAGGCTTCAAGTACCAAAGGTAACCTCATGGCTTTTTGTGGGCCAGTGAAAACACACAGTCATTACCACAAATTGAATTCTATTCTCAGAAGAAAGATTTACCTATTCCCAGCGATCTGCTTCTAGTTATACCAGCCTGTGTTCAGTGACTTTATATGAGCTAAAACTGGTCAATGGGATAGGTCCCTAAAGCATGTGCTTCTCTGGTAGAAAATTCTATTATTTCTAGTGATACTACAAATTTGAAATAAAATTGGAGTAAATATTAGAACTGTGCTTTCCTCTAATGTACAAAAAGGGAAAGGAGATGTAGAAATATATTTCTCTGTTTTAAAAGCATTATTTCATTCTTTATTTCAAAAAGAAGCCATACAAATACAGATTTACAAAAGAAAAAATATCTATAATCTCACCAACCAGGGGAGAGAGTTAACATCTTAGTTGTTGTTCTTTCCAATTTTTATATAAATATGATGTATGTGCTTTTCTACGTATGTACCCTTTTATTTTTAAATAACAAAAATGTCATCATATACACAATCTGTCCCCCTCCTAGAATGAACTCACTTTGGGGGCAGGGACTGCCTTTCTAATCTTATTATCTGCTCTATTCTCATTCCTAGAAGAGTGTCTGGCATACTATATGCTAATCCAACAGGACTGTGGTCTTATAAGAAGAGGAAGACTCTCTCTCCACCATGAGAAGACACAATGAGAAGGCTGCCATCTGCAAGCCAGAAGGAGAGCCCTCGCTGGGAGGTCAGCCATGCTGGCACCCTGATCTCAGACTTCCGGCCTCCAGAGTTGGAAGAAAATAAACGTCTGTTGTTTATAAGCCACCTAGTCTCTGGTATTTTGTTATGGCAGCCCAAGCTAATACAGATGAATAGCCTTGTTCAAACATTTTTCTTCCTCACTTATTTACTTAGGGTATATGTCTAGAAGAAAAATCGTGTTGGTTAGAGAGGATGAACAGTTTTAAGGCTTTTGATACCAGATGGTAAATCGACCCTAGAAAGGTTAGATAATTTAAATGTTAATGGCAGTGTATGATGATGGTCCCTTTATCTCCCTACCTTCTTGCTATCGCTGGGAACATTTGTTGATTTATTTTTAATTTTGATCAACTTTATGGGGAGAAAAAGGTTTATTATTGCTTTCACGTTTGTGGCACATTGATAACTGCTAACATTCAACATGTTTTCATATCCCTATGGAATATTTGACTTTCCTCTTTTGTTAATTTTTTATTGCAGTCCTATGCCAATCTTTCTTTTGAGGGTTATAAATTAATAGAAAGAAAGTCTAATTGTGTGTAGAGAACCACAAAAATATAAATGTAGAGAAATATTTATATTTTTGTGGTTAAATCTGTCAAATTTATCAATCTTCTGTATAAAGTTTGCATTTTGGAGTTATGCTTATAAAGTTCCTTTGTATCCCTTGAGCGTACAACCATTTAGCTAAATATTTTTTCGAATGCTTTTTAATACAAAAGATGTTAACCTATTTGGAATTTATTTTGCCACCAAATAGATAATGTAAACTGGTGGCCTAGATCGGATTGGGCCTGCAGATTGTTCTGCTTGCATAGTGGGTTCGCGAGCCCCAAAAGAATATGTTTAAGTCCTAACCCCTGGTACTTGTGAATGTGACCTTATTTGGGAATAAGGTCTTCGCAAGTGTAATCAAGTTAAAATAAGGTCATACTGGAATAGGGTGGGCCGTAACCCAAGGACCACTGTCTTCATAAGAAGAGGGAAATTTGAACACAGATGACACAGAGAGGAGAATGCCACAGGATGAAGCAGGTAGAGACTGGACTGACGCGTCTACAGGCCAGGGCTACCGGCAACCACGAGAAGCTAGGAGAGAAGCAGGTAACCGATTCTCCCCCAGTCTCCAGGAGGAACCAACCCTGCCAATACCTTGACTTCTGACTTCTTGACTTCAGACCATAAGAGAAGAAGTTTCTGCTGTTTGAAACCACCCAGTTTTTGGTCATTCCCTATGGCAGTGCTGGGAAACTAAATACAGCTCATTTCACACATTGTTTTAAAAATATTTGACATAGTTGCCAACAGCTAAAATTTGGAAGACTTCATATAAAAATAGAGATTTCTCTTAAAAGCATCCAAAATTATGAGCCCTCATGTTATTGTGGCCCCTGCCTAGTCCTCCTATTTATTTTCTCTGTATGGAGCAGAATTACCATGTTCCCCTACGCCTGCAGGAAGGTGGGGGACCGATACCTTTTAATTGTTTTTCTTTTTGTATCTTAACGGTAAACATATCCCAACACCATTTATTAAGCAACCCGACAAATCTGTACAGATATGCTTTTTATCTTCTACTATTTGCTCATATAGCACTTGAGTCTATTTTGGGTCTTTCTATTCTGATGCTCTAATCTGTCTAAAGAGTCTCTCATCACACTGCACAGTTGGTCTTATGACAGTTTAAAAATATGATGTTAAATCTCATCGAACTAGTAGGTAACCAGAGTTCCTTTAACACTCAAATTCTATCAATTAGGATAAGTGAGCTTAACAGCAGTGAATACAGATTCTGCTTAATAGGCTTAAAAGGGTGACTCCAACCGCTTAAATAGGACTTCCCACTGAACATGTCAGCCATTGGTTTTCTGACCACAAGTTGGTTTTCCACTTCTGATTTGTCTGATAAAAATAATTTGAGTAAGAGCCATATGATTATTTTTGCAATGGTGAACATCACTTCTCATCTGAAAAAAATGAGGCATTAAAATATGGAAGACATTTCTCAGTCTTGTAAACTTCATTAAAATTCATATGAATGTCCTTTTTCTTGAAGCACAGTGTCACCTTCTTGAATTTTGTGTGTGTAAAATGTGAATTAGTAGAAAAAGGAATACCTAAGAGAATGATGTCTGTAGAATCCATAAAGGTGTGCTTAGAGTGATTAGCTTATAATACTTAGAAAATCCTTTTATTAAATTTTTCATATTTTAAAAAAATGATTATAGATTCACAGGAGGTTTTCCAAAGAAGTGAATAGGAAGGTCCTCTGAACCCTTCCCCCCAGCCTCTCCCAGTGTTAACATTGAATGTAAGTACACCAGTACCATTCATAGAATTTACTTGGATTTCTCCATTATATATATATTTATTTGTATGTTCGTGATGGTGAATTTTAGGTGTCAGCTTGACTGGGTTAAGGGTTATCCAGATAGCGGTAAAGTATTATTTCTGGGTAGGTTTGAGAGGATGTTTCCAGAAGAGACTGGCCTTTGAATCAAAGGACTGAGTAAGGAAGAACTGTACTCACCAATGTGGGTGGGCACCATCCAATCTGCTGTGGACCCAGGTAGAACAAAAAGGCAGAGATAAGCCGAATTCATCTCTCTCTCTCCTGGAGTTCGGACGCCTACTTCTTCTGCCCTTGGACAGCAGAATTCCAGGTTCTCCCACCTTTGGGACTTGCACCAGTGGCCCCCTGGATTCTCAGGCCTTCTGCCTCAAACTGAGAATTATACCATCAGTCTCCCTGTTTCTCAGGCCTTCAGATTTGAACTGAGCCATGCTACCTGCTTCCCTGGTTCTGCAGCTTGTACAAAACCTATTTTGGGACTTCTTAGTCTCCATAATCACATGGATCAATTCCCCTAATAAATTTCCTCTCTCTCTCTCTCTCTCTCTCTCTCTGTCTTTTTCTCTCTCTGTTTGCAAGCCAGGAAGCAGTCCCTCACCAGACACCAGATCTTCAGGGGCCTTGATCTTGGACCTCCCAGACTCCAGAACTGTGAGAAAGAAATGTGTGTTGCTTAAAGGGCCAGCCTATGTTAATTTCTTTGTTTGTTTGTTTGTTTTTGAGACGCAGCCTTGCTCTGTCGCCAGGCTGGAGTGCGGTGGTATGATCTCGGCTCACTGCAACCTCCGCCTCCCGGGTTCAAGTGATTCTCCTGCCTCAGCCTCCCGAGTAGCTGGGACTACAGGTGTGCGCCAACACGCCAAGCTAATATTTGTATTTTTAGTAGAGACGGGGTTTCACCATATTGGCCAGGATGGTCTCAATCTCTTGACCTTGTGATCCTTCCGCCTCGGCCTCCCAAAGTGCTGGGATTCTGTTAATTTTGTATAGCATCCTGAAGTAAGATACATTTAGCATGAATGCTTGTTTATTGTCCTATGTCACTTTGTTTTTTATTGCACTTCAATTTCTCCCTTCTCTTGTCTTTCCACATTTTTTCCTTTATGTAGCCATAACTTGTACCCATTCTTTTCACTCAATTTTGCTTTCTTTTAACATTTACATATACATGTTCCTGTTTCTTTTCTCTCTCTGTCTCTCTTTCTTTCTTTCTTTTTTTTTTTTGTCTCTGTCGCCCAGGCTGGAGTGCAGTGGTGTGATCTTGGCTAATTGCAACCTCTACCTCCTGGGTTCAAGTGCTGGGATTACAGGTGTGAGCCACCGCACCCGGCAGGAGTAATTTTATTTGTGAAAATTATTTGTGTAAAATGCGGATTCCTCTTTTGAAACGTGCTGTAATTAGATACATGTTAACTGTCAAAATATTCCTTCACATTTTTGAGGTTCCTTTCTTCCAAAGAGACCCAGCATTAATTTTGAACACTCCTCTGGTGACTCTTCTAGGAGGCAGTTTTGCTTTTTCTTACATTATTTCTAACTAGGTAATTTATTTCAAAAAGTGTGGGCCTTGCAAATACCAGCCAAGAGGCACTGATGCCGTGTCTGTAGAGAATCCCAGTGGTAATCTCATGTCTTAAAAAGTTTTCCAACATCATGGGAGTAAACTACTTCTTTTTGGGTAGGTTCTCCACACTTCTACTCCAGAGACTGTTCAGCTTTTGAGTTTCTCAGTTAGACCTCAAATGGCCTGGAGGTGAGTACTGATGGACAGCTGCAGCAAGGAGCTTAACGCTTTCTGTGTCTTTGGAAGAATTTCTGCAGAGAAGCTGGGTTAAACTCAAGCCAAAGGTCCAGTCAGCCTGGGCCTGGAACAAAAAAATTCCTCACAGGGGTTTTAGCCTTGGAGGTAATCTTTCAGGTAGTCATAGGCAGTTTAGTAAAATTGAAGAGGCTATTAAACTCACTGGTGTGCTTCCTAAGGGTTCCTTGGCCATGCAGTGATTCTGTTTTGGATGAAAGGCAAGTGTTCTAGAATATTTAAATTAGCCTGACCTCCCAGAGTAAGCTGCAGATGAAGGCATTTTAGGAAATTTCATTAAAGTGGGAATTAACTTCAGGTTCATGATAGGGTTGAGGCATTTATGAAACCATGTTCACATACATCCTGCAAAGTTTGCAGTTTTCTGGGATAAGGGGCATATGACTTCTAAGAAAAATAATAATTAACCTGCTTTTCAAATTGAAAGTTATGTTTTTAAGGGATATGCAACATTATGTTTATTTGTATAATAATTGGATGTCGAATTAATATTCAAATACTTGAATAATTTATTTGGATAATGTTTAAAAACCCATAGACTTGTTCATGATTATCTGGGTGACCTCTTTATGTCCCATTACTACTATTCAGTTTTAGCTTCTGTGTTTTTTATTTTTATTTTTTTGAGACAGGGTCTTGCACTGTCACCCAGATTAGAGCTCAGACACCATCACAGCTCACTGAATCTCCCAGGTACAAGTTATCCTCCCACCTCAGCCTCCCGAGTAGCTGGGACCACAGGCACATGCCACCACTCCTGGCTAATTTTTAAATTGTTTTTTGTAGAGTTCGGGTCTTGCTATGTTGCTCAGGCTGACCTCAAACTCCTGGTCTCACGTGATTCTCCCAACTCAGCCTCCTAGAGTGCTAGGATTGCAGGTGTCAGCCACCACACTAGGCCCTGTGTTCATATTTTTTTTGCGGGGGGAGGGGGACAGAATCTCGCTCTGTTGCCCAGGCTGGAGTGCAGTGGTGTGATCTCGGCTCACTGCAACCTCTGCCTCCCGCGTTCAAGCGATTCTCCTGCCTTAGTTTCCCGAGGAGCTGGGATTACAGTCATGCACCACCATGCCCAGCTAATTTTTGTATTTTTAGTAGAGGCGGGGTTTCACCACGTTGGTCAGGCTGGTCTCGAACTTCTGACCTCATGATCCGCCCCCGCCTCGGCTTCCCAAATTGCTGGGATTACAGGCGTGAACCACCGCGCCCAGCCTTTTTGTGTTTGTATTTTTAAACAATTGAACTAATGCTCACTGATCATTTAAAGTGATGCTATGTAACTTGAAGGTAGTATTTCCCACACTAGGTATAGAGAACAGCAGTACTCTACATTGGCCTGTGAATTCTCAGGTATGAAAATAACTGCTCTAGAGATTGATTAATTAGCTCAATAATTGTTTTAAAAGTTGACTATGTCACCCCAATTGTTTCTATTATTGAAATACAAATATGAACAAGGTCCAGTCTTTGTTCTCAAGGAGTTTATGTTCTAATGGGGCAGAGGGATGAAAAACCAATGTTTGGGATATAATAGTTCCCCTCTATTCTCGAGGGAGACGTTCCAAGACCCCCAGTGAATGCCTGCAACTGTGGATAGTACCCAAACACATATATACTATGTTTTCTCCTACACATACATTACATACTTATGAAAAAGTTTAATTTATAAATTAGACACAGTAAAGGATTAACAATAAATAAAAGTAAAATAGAACAATTATAACAATATGCTGTAATAAAAGTTATGTTAATGTGTTTCCAAAATATCTCATTGTACTATATCACCTGTTTTTGGACCAGGGTTGACTGCAAGTAACTGAAACTGAGGGAAGCAGAGCCATGGATAAGGTGAGACTACTGTATTTGGGAATTACAGCAGGGTAGTAAGGAAATCCAGAAATGAACTATGAAGGAGGGTCATCTGCTCAGTTTAGGGCGGGCAGAGAGAGACATGGGAGGGCTTCTCCTAGATTCTCCTAGAAGTGTTACTAGCATGAGCTGAGAGCAATGCATACGTGAGTGACTCAGAGCAGAGCAGGCATGGGGCAGAGAAAACTGTGTGCAAAGCCACAGAGGCATGAAGAGCCCGGTGCACTGGGAAAGGATTCTCTTTTTTTTGAGACAGAGTCTTGCTCTGTCACCTAGGCTGGAGTGCAGTGGCTCAATCTCAGCTAATTGCAACCTCCACCTCTTGGGTTCAAGCAATTCTGATGCCTCAGCCTCCCAACATACCTAGGATTACAGGTGTGCACCATCATGCCTATTTTTTTTTTTTTAAAGTAGAGACAGGGTTTCGCCATGTTGCTCAGGCTGATCTCGAACTCCTGGCCTCAAGTGATCTGACTGCCTTGGCCTCCCAAAGAACTGGGATTACATGTGTAAACCGCCATGCCTGGCCATCAGGGATTCTATTTGGATGAAATCTCGGGGAGGTCATATAGGTAGATTGGGAGGGAAAGTGGAAGACAAAGCCAAGGGCTGGGTGATGAAGGATTTAAGAAGTTTGTAAATGGTGGAACACTGATGAATAATCTCAGACACAAGACTGGCTGGATCAAATTTTTTATTTTATTTTATTTTATTTGAGACAGAATTCTCACTCTGTTGCCCAGGCTGGAGTGCGGTGGCGTGATCTCGGCTCACTGCAACCTCCGCCTCCCAGGTTCAAGCCATTCTCCTGCCTCACCATCCCGAGTAGCTGGAACTGCAGCCGCGTGCCACCACGCCCAGCTAATTTTTTTGTATTTTTAGTAGAGACGGGGTTTCGCCGTGTTAGCCAGGATCCTGTCGATCTCCTGACCTCGTCATCTGCCCGCTTTGGCCTCCCAAAGTGTTGGGATTACAAGCGTGAGCTGCCGCGCCCAGCCTTAGGGTCAAATTTTTAATCTAGGAAGATAATTTAGAGCAATATGGAAGATGGATTCTTGAGTCATGAAGATGAGTTAAGAAATTGTTATTTGTTTTTAAATGTTTTCAAAGACAATAGAATAAAAATAGAAATAAATATTCTTGTGAGAAATGGGGAGATGGAGGGATGGGAGTTGATAATTGGTGTGAAATCAGCAAACTAAAAAGGAGTAATTTTAGAAGGACACAGCTGAGTCAGCTTGTCTTGATTTCAAGTCTTTTATTGGGGCTCTGGATCAAAATTAAGTTCAGCTGTGACTGATTGAAAGCACCAACTAACAAATCCTAAACAAGAGCCACTTTCCCATGAATGTAGGTTTGTCTAGGGCTCCATGGTTGCTCCATACCATCCTTAGAGACCCAGATTTTTCCATTTTGTTACTCCAGCATCCTCAGCACAGCGTCTACGTTACAGGCAGGATGGCTATTCCAGCTCCACCTTCATATGCTCAGCCTGGAGGAAGAGAGTGGAGGGGGCCTACCTCCTGTCTTTAAGGCCCTCTCCTAGCCTTAGTACTTTCCACTTTTACTTAAACCCTGTGCTCTAGCATTTAGCCTAAAGGTCATACTTACCTACAAGCAAGCTTGCAAAGCAGTTTTAATTCTGGTTGTCTATACACCCAGCTAAAACATAGGAGCTGCATTACAGTTTTCTAACTGACAAATCATTATTATATGCATTTCTAGGGTACAATGTGTTGTTCTGATATATGTATTCGATGTGGCATGATTAAATCAAACCAATTCACATATCCATCACCTTGATTACTGATTTTTTTTCTTACAGTGAGACATTTGAAATGTACTCTCTTAGGTATTTTGAAATAGATAATACATTATTATTGACTATAATCAGTGTATTGTCCAATAGATCTCAAAACCTATTCTTCCTTTCTATCTGAAACTTTATACCCTTTGATGGGACATGAGGAACAAATGGCAGTTTTTATCACAGTCCCTCAGTAGCATTTAAATTTGTTTTATTTTTATTTTATTTTATTTTATTTTATTTGAGACTGAGTTTTGCTCCTGTCACCCAGGCTGGAGTGCAATGGTGTGATCTCGGCTCACTGCAACTCTGGCTCTCAGATCAAGTGATTCTCCTGCCTCAGCCTCCCGAGTAGCTGGGATTACAGGCATGCACCACCACACCTGGGTAATTTTGTACTTTTAGTGGAGACAGGGTTTCACCATGTTGGTCAGGTTGGTCTCAAACTCCTGACCTCACGTGATCCACCCGCCTCGGCCTCCCAAAGTGTTGGGATTACAGGGGTAAGCCACCACAACTGGCACATTTAAATTTTAAAAAAGAATAGGCCTTGTATATATCTTGTTAGGTTTATCACTAGATCTTTCATCTTTTTTTGCTGCTGTTGCAGAAGTGAGTCTCTTCTTCCATCATCTTTTTTTTTTTTTGGAGACAGAGTCTCACTCTGTTGCCCAGGCTAGAATGCAGTGGCACTATCTCAGCTCACTGCAACCTCCGCCTCCCAGGTTCAAGTGATTCTCCTGCCTTAGCCTCCCGAGTAACTGGGATTACAGTCGTGCGCCACCACACCTGGCTAATTTTTGTGTTTTTAGTAGAGACGGGGTTTCACCACGCTGGTCAGGCTGGTCTCGAACTCCTGACCTCAAGTGATCTGCCCACCTCAGCCTCCCAAAGTGCTGGGATTACAGGTGTGAGCCACCTCGCCTGGCCCATCATCTTTTTTAACTTGGTGTTGTTTACTTGCGGGTAAATGACTTTTAAAAAAATTAATTCTATGTCTTTTCTTATTGCTTGTGATAATTCTTAGTCAGTTCTGTCAGTTCTCTAGGTTTTATTTGTATACAAGCCCATCATCGGAAGATAATTTTGAATGTAATTTATTTAAAATTTTTATATTTTATATTTCATTCACTTGCCTACTTTCATTGGTTAATAACTCCAGGACAATTTTAGTAATATTTATACTACTGATATCCTTGCTTCTTTTTTTAATGCATTAATTTATTTTTTAATTGGCAAATTAAAATTATATATTTATAGTACACACGTTTTGAAATATGTACACATTGTAGAATGATTAAATTGAGCTAATTAAGATATAGTTTACTTACATACTTATTTTTTGTGATGAAAACATTAAAATCTATTCTCGGCCAGGCGCGGTGGCTCACGACCGTAATCCCAGCACTTTGGGAGGCTGAGGCAGGCAGATCACCTGAGGTCAGGGGTTCGAGACCAGCCTGGCCAACACGGCAAAACCCCGTCTGTACTAAAAATACAAAAATTAGCTGGGTGTGGTGGCATGCGCCTGTAATCCCAGCTACTTGGGAGGCTGAGGCAGGAGAATTGCTTGAACTCGGGAGGCAGAGGTTGCAGTGAGATGAGATTGTGCCATTGCACTCCAGCCTGGGTGACAAGAGCAAAACGCTCTCTCTAAATAAATAAATAAATAATCCATTCCTCTGTTTTTGGACACTTAGGTTGATTCCATGTCTTAGCTATTGTGAATAGTGCTGTAGTGAACTTGGGGGTGCAGACATCTCTATGACAGACTGATATGGATGTACTCCCAGTAGTGGGATTGCTGGATCAGATGGTAGCTCTGATTTTAATTCTAATTTTTTAATGAGCTTCCATACTGTTTTCCATAATGGCTATGCTAATTTACATTCCCATTAACAGTGTACAGGAGTTCCCCTTTCTCCGCATCCTTGCCAACATTTATCTTTTGATTTTCAAGTAATGGCCCTTCTTACAGGTGTGAGATGGTATCTCATTGTGGTTCTAATTTGGATTTCTCTGATGATTAGTGAGATTGAGCATTTTTCATACATCTGTTGGTCATTTCTATGTCTTCCTTTGAAAAATGTCTATTCCGCCCGGCATGGTGGCTCACGCCTGTAATCCCAGCACTTTGGGAGGCTGAGGTGGGCGGATCATGAGGTCAGGAGATCTAGACCATCCTGGCTAACACAATGAAACCCCATCTCTACTAAAAATACAAAAAATTAGCTGGGCGTGGTAGCATGCACGTGTTGTCCCAGCTACTGGGGAGGCTGAGGCAGGAGAATGGCGTGAACCCGGGAGGAGGAGCTTGCAGTGAGCTGAGATTGCGCCACTGCACTCCAGCCTGGGCGACAGAGCCAGACTCTGTCTGAAAAAAAAAAAAAAAAAGAAAGAAAAGAAAAAGAAAAATGTCTATTCAGGACCTCTGCCTATTTTTTAAGGAGGTGGTATTATTGCTATGAGTTGCTTGAGTTCCTACTTTGTTCTTCATTCCCACCTTGTTAGTGGGTCTTCAGGTCAGAGAAAGAATGTGCTAGATGACTAGACACAAAAGTGCATGAAGTCAAGGGGATATGTTGACTCCTTTAATCCTTACAAGACTCTTGAGGAAACAGGCACAGAGAGGTTCAGAACTCCTTCAGGGTCACATAGCTAGTGAGGGAGAGCTAGGATTTGAACACACATTCCTAACTCCTTCATTGCTGACACCCCTTGTCCTGAAGTGCAAAGTATGTGTTATTAACTACCATTATTATCACCTTGATCTGAAGAGAATGTAGACAGCTCAAGTTTCTCTTCTTGATTGTAAGAATAATCTTTCCACAGGAAACTGATTCTAACTCCCAAATATCTCCCCCTTGCATTTGCTTATTTCTCTGTCAGTCATCGGGCAACACTGCAGTCCAGGCTACCATTATTTCTGACCAGGATTGCAACAGAACGCTCTCACTCTCCATCCTGCCTCCAATCCTGCCTCATCCCATCCTTGCCCCAGGGTGCAGACAGCCATCTTGCTAGCCTGATTTCATTTGCCTAATTAATCAAGCACCAACAGACAATCAATAAATAATTATGAAATGAACGAATGAAATGTAAGGCTTCATTGGCCATATTCCCTCCATGTAAGCAGTGCGTGAATGAACACTACCACATTCCACTGTCTCATTTTTCCCCCAGCTTCCTTTGCTCACAGTTCCTCTTTTAAGCAGTTAATTCTTTCAATATTTTTTTCAATCCATCAAGTGATGCCATGCGACTTAAAAAGTACAATCAAGAGTAATAATAATAGCGTGGTTTAACTGGGTGAGGGTACTTTATACTCTTCCTTTTCAAATTGCACTACAACTTTAAGTAAATGACTATTCTTAATACTGGTTTTAATTTCACATGGCGAGATCAAAGCTGTAATTTTTTCCTCTCAATTTTGTTGCTTAGCTAATATCTGTGAATTTTCACCATGACCATCATCATTGCCCTCAGCATCCTCCTCATTGTAGTCATTGCGTGTTAAAGTGAAAGTTTCAAGAATCTGACTCCTGAACCCGTGGTGCCTTGCCCAGAACCTCTCCAGTTCGCTCACTGTTAGGGGTGGAATGTTTCTGTTCCCCCGAATTCATATATTCAATCTCTAACTCTTTTGTTGTTGTTGTTGTTGTTTTTGAGATGGAGTCTCGCTCTGTTGCCCAGCTGGAGTGCAGTGGCAAGATCTCGGCTCACTGCAAGCTCCACCTACTGGGTTCACGCCATTCTCCTGCCTCAGCCTCCTGAGTATCTGGGACTACAGGTGCCCGCCACCACGCCTGGCTAACTTCTTTTGTATTTTTAGTAGAGACGGGGTTTCACTCTGTTAGCCAGGATGGTCTCGATCTCCTGACCTCGTGATCTGCCCGCCTCGGCCTCCCAAAGTGCTGAGATTACAGGCATGAGCCACCGGGCCCCGCCTCAACCTCTAACTCTTAATGTGACTGTATTTGGAGATAGGATTTTTAGGGAGGCAATTAAGGTCACATTAAGTCATAAGGGTGGGACCCTAATCTGATAGGACCACTCTCCTTAAGAGAAGAAAAAAAGGCCAGGTGAGGTGGCTCATGCCTGTAATCCTAACACTTTGGGAGGCTGAGGCTGGTGGATCACCTGAGGTCAGGAGTTCGAGACCAGTCTGGCCAACATGGCAAAACCCCATCTCTACCAAAAATACAAAAAATAGCCAGGCGTGGTGGTGCGCACCTGTAATCCCAGCTACTCGGGAGGCTGAGGCAGGAGAATCGCTTGAACCCTGGAGGTGAGCTGAGATAGTGCCACTGCACTCCAGCCTGGGCAACAGACTCCATCTCAAAAAAAAAAAAAAAGACTACCAGAGAGCCTGCTTGCACCCTCTGGTGTACTCTCATGCTCTCCCCATCTCTCTCTTTCTCTCTCTCCCGCTTCCACCCTCCCTCTGTGCAAGCTCAGAGGAAAGGCCCTATGAGGACGGAAGTAAGAAGGCAGCTGTCTGCAAACCACAAAAAGAGGCCTCACCAGAAACCAGCCCTGGCACCTTGATCTGGGACTTCCAGCTTCCAGATCTGTGTGAAAATGGATGTCCAGCCACCAGTCTGTGGTGTTTTGTTATAGCAGCCAGAATAGACTAAGGCACTCATGGTGCTGGGAGGATCAGCAATCCAGCATCTTTCTCTTTCTTCTTCCTAGGACCCAGGGCTGTTTCCTGGAGCCTGGCATTGTAATTGCTGGGCTTGAAGGGGAGGAAAGGGACAAGAAGACAAAAATGATGCCTGGATATCCAGCACCTGGAGACCTTGGGCTTTCCAGTATTGAAGAGGGAAGAAGGTTAAGTTAATGGAGGAATGTGAAGGAAAAAAGCAGATAGTTTAGTCTGGAAACAGGAGGAAGGGCCACCCATCCTCGGACATGCTGCCCTGCGTGCAGGCTTCTCAAGACCATGGGCTGCGGCATCCCTCCCTGGGAGGGTCTCCTGAGCAAAAGACTGGCTGCAACTCTTCTTTCAGATATTTCTTCTGATTGCCTTAAAACACACACAGAGAAAGTGAGAGCTCTTGAACTGTTTAGGAACTTAAGCTTTATGTAGGTTTGATGAAACGTTTTCATGAGTTGCAAAAAGTTGAACGATTTTTACACGAATTTTAAGTCAGGAGTGATTTTGTACAGAATACTTGGCAGTGATCCCAGAAGTTGTTTATGTTGATTTCTAGAAGGAGATACAGAATGCCATGCTAGGTTTAAAACTCCTGAGAATGTTCAAGCAGTAATAAATGCACACGCAGAAATTAAACAGAAACACTGCTTGAAACTCAAGGTCCTTTCTGGTGGTCAGAACAGGCATCACCGGGAGATTTCAGCTGATAGACAGGCCCGACTTGATCAGCCTCAGGAAAAGCTTGCCAAAAGGCACTGAAAGTTAATCACCAAAGCCAAAAAGATTAGACTGGCAAAGACTCAACAAGCAAGTAAACACATTAGATTTTCTGAATATGACTAAAAACAATTACAGTTCACTTGTTAATATTTCACTGGATACTCAAACTTTTCTTAGGAAATTCACTTTTGTTGTGGCAGGACTGCATAAGAAATGTTTCTGTCTCTCTTTTTTTTTTTTGAGATGGAGTTTTGCTCTTGTCACCCAGTCTAGAGTGCAATGGCACGATCTTGGCTCACTGCAACCTCCGCCTCCCGGGTTCAAGCAATTCTCCTGTCTCAGCCTCCCAAGTAGCTGGGATTACAGGCCCCCACCACCATGCCTGGCTAATTTTTGTGTTTTTTAGTAGCAAGGGGGTTTCACCATGTTGGCCAGGCTGGTCTCGAACTCCTGACCTCAGGTAATCCACCCGCCTCGGCCTCCCAAAGTGCTTAGATTACAGGCATGAGCCACCGTACCTGGCCAAGAAATATTTTTCTAAAACCTACATTTAACTAAAAGGAATACTTTTGTTCCTCAACTGATAATTAAGACTTATTTTTTTTTCTAGAGACAGGTCCATTGTATACTATAATTTTTCACTATACGTTTTATTTGTTGAAATTGTCTTATATAAGTCAATTGAAAGTGATTTAGTAAATCAATGTGTTTTGAACATTAAAATCAAACAAACAAAAGAACGCACAGACAGATATTCCTTTAGAGCCAGTTTTAAGCCTATGATAATATCAGTAATAAGCTTGGCTTACCAGTAAGCTTGGTTTATACTTCTAAACAAGAGGCAAAGGGAGAATTTTGCATACAAACAAGTTTCATTCAAAGGTCATAAAATGTATCTGTTTTTTCAAAGCGCAGGGTTTAGTAAACAGGAGTGACTGGTGAAGATGAAGGAGTTGACGCCAGTAAAATGGTAAAAGGAGGCCCGGCATAGTGGCTCATGCCTGCAATCCCAGCACTTTGGGAGGCCGAGATGGGTGGATCTCTTGAGGTCAGGAGTTCGAGACCAGCTTGGCCAATATGGTGAACCCCCTTCTCTACTAAAAATAAAATTAGCTGGGTGTGGTAGTGCATGACTGTAATCCCAGCTACTCAGGAGGCTGAGGCAGGAGAATCACTTGAACCCGGGAGGCGGGCTAAGTGAGCTGAGATCATGCCACTGCACTCCAGCCTGGGGTGACAGAGCAAGAGTCCATCTCAAAAAAACAAAAAACAAAAAACAAAAAAAAAACGGTAAAAGGAGCAGAAAGTGGAGGCTTTGTCCAAGCTCCCACACTTACATTCACTGGGACATGAACAAATACAGATGGGGTAACAAGGAATTCCTGTCTTCTTGGTCAATCAGAGCTGCAATCATTAGTTGGGAGAAGAAAAAAAGAAGTGGACACATTTTCTTCATTCTTCATGTTCTCCCTGGATTTGACAAAGGGTGTCCCCAGACTCGCATACCTAAGGCCCTGGTCACACAGCACATCCTGGCTTTTCAGGCCAGCCATTGACCAGGGCCACCTTTTGAATGGACAGCCACTTGGGCTCCAACTCAGTGTTTCAGGATCATCCTCCTAGCCTTCAACTCACAACCCTTTAACCCTCCTCTTAGCTTTAGGCTCCAATTCTAAAAAACTTTAAGCCACCACCTAAAGACATACATGTGGACTAGGTCTTCAACATGTTTTCATGTAAAGTCGAGAAAATGGGAGCTTGTCCCTGAAAGGTAAGGTTGGGGTCTCTGGAGCCTATAAAATTCTATTGGTAAAGCAGTAATGATCATTCCTTTTTCTCAAGAGCTCTAGGAACTCAGGGTTGTCTCTGGTGTTTTCTACCCAAACTCCATCAGGGTCTTGAGTTATTCACCACGGTCCCTGGTTGTTCTAGATTTGGCAGCAGATTGCCTCAGATATGTGGGAACCAAGGAACTTTCCAGAGTCTATGGATGCTGATGTGAGTTTCCTCCCATCCTCTGCTTGGCATCTCTTCCATCCGTCTAGACTGAGCCCCTGCCATCGGGGCAGGATGGATTGCACTCGTGTTGGTGTCAGGGGTGCCTCGCATTGGTGTTAGGGGTGCAAAGGTCGCTGCTGCCCAGCCTGCAGTGGTTGATTTCTCCCACAGAAATATTCAATAGGCGTCACTGACTGAGCCTTTCAGTGCTGCTCTCCTAGACAACTAAAGGGCTGCAAGAACTTTTTTTCCTTGGAGTTGCCAGAGAGCAAATCCTGCACTTCTTTTATCTCTTGACATCATTTCCTAATCAGGTTTAGCTTCATTTTGTGCCCAGGCTTTGAATAAAAATAGCACACTTGCTAGTGCTCTGCAGGCTTTGTGTGTGTGTGTGGGAAAAAAAAGTTTATTAGAAAAAACGAGTTGTTTCCAAATTCAATTAAGATGGTATGTTAGCTGCCAAGTATATATCTTAGATTAACTGAAAAATGGCATTTGTTTCAGTCAAGATATTGAAACATTCACAAATCCCTCATTTAAAGACACCAAACTACTTAAAACTTTAACTCATTCATTAACACATTGCTTCTCATAAATATGTGAACTAAAGTATATGAATGAAAGTGGCTTTTCAAATATGCAAAGAATATTATATTGGTTTTCAGCAGATGTGAGCAATACAAGTTGGTCTAACTAGAAAAAAAGAGAAGTTTAGGGGGCAGAATGGTTTTGTACCTACCATAGTATAAACAGTTTTTTTTTTTTTTTTTTTTTGAGATGGAGTCTTGCTCTGTCTCCCAGGCTGGAGTGCAATGGCGCAATATCGGTTCACTGCAACCTCAGCCTCCTGGGCTCAAGTGATTCTCGTGCCTCAGCCTCCCAAGTAGCTGGCATTACAGGCACGTGCCACTGTGCCCAGCTAATTTTTGTATTTTTAGTAGACACAGGGTTTCACCATGTTGCCCAGGCTGGTCTTGAACTCCTCACCTCAGGTCATCCACCCGTCCTGGCCTCCCAAAGTGCTGGGATTACAGGTGTGAGCCACCGTGCCCGCATAAACAGGATTTTCTTCAAAACACTGAAACATTAGTAGACATGCCTCATGAGCTCTTGGAATGCTAATTAAAATCTAGTCAAAAAGGAATTGAAATAGAAAAATATTATCTTCTGAAAATACCATTTAAAAGTTTTTAGTTCATATGTCTTGTTTTGTGTATTTATGTGCATATTTTTATTTGCAAAACAGCCAGAGATCAATCCAGTATTCAGCGTTGCAAAGTATGTGGGTGAAATTAATGAAAGGATTAATGAAAGCTATTGCTATAAAGTTTACATATATGAAAACAAAGTCATGTTTCTAAGTCACATGTAAAGACAATCATGATAAATACATTTAAAAATCAGCAACCAATTCTAAATTAGCTAATTTCAAGGTTAAGAAGTGATGTAGCAGAACTTAGAGCACCCCAAAATAAAATTATTTTCACTTTACTTTCAAATTTTAATACATTTAATGAGTTGCCTAATCAAGTCAAGCAGAATAATAAACATTGAGCAGAAAAAGTACACCTGTTACTAGAATACTTATTAGTCTGTATTCAGAGTACTTATAAAATAGAAAGCTGAAAGCATCAGGGTAACAACTCAGCTTCATTTTGTTATTTTTCCCTGCTTAGGTCTTCAGCAAACTCTTCAACAAAGCAGTCAGGCTGAGGAGGTGAGCCTCTCCCTAGAGGGTGACTCAGGCTGGCGAAGCTCCTGCCCAGGTAACCACACCCCGCAGGAGGCGGGTCTCATCCTGGGCGATGGGGAGCAGGAGGTGATGGTGGTGGTGGTATTTGAAGTGGTGCTTCATTCCACTCCAGGTGTGACAGTGACAGTGATGGTGACAGTGAAGCAAGGGTAGAAGCGTGTTTTATAATCAGGGCTGCCAGGTGATCAGGGAACGGGGAGGGAGACAGGGCTGTACAGGGCGGTAGCAGTGAGAAAGGCAAGGGCTTAGGCCGAGGCGGATTTAAAGGAGAACAACCAGGCCAGGCCAGATGGCTCACATCTGTGATCCCAGCACTTTGGGAGGCTGACGCGGGAGTATTGCTTGAGGCCGGGAGTTCAGCCCAGGCAACGTAGTAAGACCTATCTCTACCAAAAAAAAAAAAAAAAAAAAAAAAAATTGGCAGGTGCAATGGTGTGGCCTGTAGTCCCAGCTACTTGGGAGGCTGAGGCAGGAGGATTACTTGAACCCAGGAGGTCAAGCCTGCAGTGAGCTATGATCACGCTACTGTACTCCAGCCTGGGCAGCAAAGCAAGAGCCTGTCTAAAAAAAAATAAGATAAAACAAAAGAAAGAAACAAACACCAGAAGGCACTCTCAGGCACAGCCTTCCAGTGTGACCTAGTTAGTGCTGGGCTGTGGGATGTGAGGGGCGGAGGCTCGGCACAGCCCTCGGAGACTCCAATACTGTAGTTTCTCCTCTCTTCACTTTCATTTGTTTTAGCTGCGTTCAGCTATGCAATGATGATCAGACAATGACGGCCAGACCTACCCTACACACGATGCTCCTGGTGACAGGCACATGCTGCTTCCTTCTTGAGTATTTGATTCGACTAATATTTATGAAGCATTTATCAGCGCATGGCATCACGGTGTAGGCAAAAATATATGTGATGCACATTCACTGAGAGCTTGCTTTACATAGAACAGGAATTGGAAGTTTGCAACCTGCGAAAATTACTTTTTCTGGTTGCAAAAAATGTATGTGTACTATGAGAAAGTATATTATCTCTGAAAGAAATTCAAACATACAAAATATAGAAAATAAAAAAGTAGAACTAATCCCATAATCTCTCCCTCCGGATGTAGCCGCAGTTAGAATTTATCTTCAAAACTTTTTAAATATCCTTAAGTCTCTGGGAGTGTTTTATTTTTGAAAATTAAGATAACAGGGCCAGGCGTGGTGGCTTTGGGCTGGGCACAGTGGTTTATGCCTGTAATCCCAGCACTTCAGGAGCCTGAGGTGGGTGGAACACCTGAGGTCAGGAGTTCGAGACCAGCCTGGCCAACATGGTGAAACCCCGTTTCTACTAAAAATACAAAAATTAGCTGGGTGTGGTGGCATGCACCTGTAATCCCAGCTACTTGGGAGGCTAAGGCAGGAGAATCGCTTGAACCCGCGAGGCGGAGGTTGCAGTGAGCCGAGATCATGCCACTGCACTCTAGCCTGGGCGACAGAGTGAGGTTCCATCTCAAACAAAACAAAACAAAACAAAAAAACTAAAATAATAATACTACTAAAAAAAGACAATTAAGAGAACATTAAAATTATACAGTATATGAAAGTATTGGAATACTGGTTAAAGAAAATAATCTCAAAAACCTTCCCCAATTTTATTTTGTTATTTCATTAAAATGATTTTATTTTACTGGAAAAAATGTTATTGGTCAATTCATCGATGAAAGTCCCATGGAGCGGAGGCTCGCGAGATGTCAGAGGTGACACCTGCTGTCCTGCTACCGTGGAGCTGTTGCCTGAGCTGAGTTCTGGAGACTCTGCTGGCCCCACCTTCCTCTGAGATTACGGATTCAGGTTCAATGCAACACAGTGCAACATATCTTTCTAGAACACGACTCTGCCCAGGACCCTTAAGCTTGAAATTGAAGAGCTAATTTTCCCCAGACAAATAAAGCAAATACTTGACGTGATAGCATCTCATTTCCTGCAGGTCTGAGAGATGGATCGTGATGCTGGGATCTAAAGGCAACACACTTATCAGAGGAGGCAATGTGTTTGCTCATCCATTGAGTTGGCTAAAAAGGATGCTTAGGATACAAGGGGTGCGTTTACTCAAGATGCTATCTAAGTAATTGTCTATTGGTAATAAAAAAATAGCTAGAAAGAAATTAAAATTAATTCCTCCAGGAATATCTTTGGTCTGAGAGCAATAAATGTGTCAAATTACCATCTGTAGTACAAATGTCAGCGATCTGTTTGTACTGTTATTGGTGGATACTATAATTCCCAGACCCAAGTAGAAATAGGGATTTTGCAGCTGGCTAGGTGCAATGTATTTAAATTTGTTTTGGGGGTTAATCTGGAGAATAGGTGTATTGTTCTTTGTAAAACAATTTAATGGTAATAGGCAAAATGGCAGTGATAAAGTAAGGAACACAAGAGGACACAAATAAAAATAGGGAGACCTCAGTCAGGCATCTTTGCTGGGATGACTCCACATTACAAGTATAGAGTTACACACACACACACACACACACACACACACACACACACACACACACAGAGTTGCCTGATGTGGCAAAGAAAAATCCAGAACGTCCTTCCCTCTCTGAATTGTTCCTCCTATGTGCTCCCTGGGCTCTCATCACTCTGTCTGACCCTGTTCAGTTCTCTTCATCCGTCAATGGACTGTAAGTTCATTCCACCAGTTTATCCCCAGTGTGTTTCACTGCGCCTGGCTTAAGTCAGATATTCAGTTAATATCTGTTGACTGAATGGATGAAAGAGTGAGTGGCACAGAAAACACACTCACGCTTGAGGATCGCACAGCCGTGTGAAGCTGACTGTGGATTGCACTGAAGAACGAGGCTGGGATAGTAGAGATGCCCAAAGGAGGAGACTGTGAAGGCAAGCCTGGATTCTGCCCTGCAGCCCCTAGATACCAGGGCTGGTCCTGGGCACAGGAGAGACAGGTGAGCATTGATGTTTCAGAAAGAATATTCTTCCAGCAGCATGAAGGGCAGCTTATGGATAGGTGAGGCGGGAGGCACGTGGGAGATGAGACAGAAGGGTTTGTGCTTTATAATCTGAGTTGGAAGTGTGGGTGTTTCTTCTCTGTGGTCTGTGGGTTTCAGTATTAGTTATATTCTGCAGTTGAAGATGACAGTGATTTAGAGCAGGGTTGACCCTAAGTCTCCCCTGCCACCTCCCACACCAGAGCCATATTGTCACTGCTATGACCCCGACCATAGGAGGGGCAGAAAGACTTCGCAGGGTCTCAGCTGAAGGAGGTTTTGGGTGGAAGCGGCCAGAAGGCACCTGTGTTAGAGCAGTTAATCATTAAAAACACACACTAATGCTCCCTTAGAATATAAATGGTGTATGTTAGTGTGAACAGCTAGGAGGGCAGAGGGTGAGTTACCTGAAGAAGAGGAGGACACAGAGGAAAGAGCTGTGACCCCAGTGACTGAGAAAAAAGGTGCCGAGACAGCTGCGGCCGGCAGAGCCCGCGGGTTCTAAGATTCCTCTCCACTCAGTTGCTAACTCCTGCCCCACTCCCCACCTCCCACAACAAGAAAACATTCTTCAAGAGTAGCTGGTGCCTGTGATTTCTTTCATAAGAAGCAGAGTCTTTAATTCTGCATTGGAGATTAGAGGTTTACTCTAAAAGGTCAGCTCAGGAGACTCTTGAAAACAGCTCCAATCTAAATGCAACCAGTTCATAAATTCCTGTCCTATGGAGATAAGTTATCGCAGCAAATCCAACCACAGGCAGTACAGCTCCTGAATCATCAGGGAGAATTAAAAGGAGATGATGAAATGGGTAGCTTTTAGATTAATACAACGGTATAAAACCCAGGGAATGAGAGAATCTTGAGACTGTTATTTTCTGTATCTGCCATGACAAACGTTCCTTAATTCTTTAAACACTCATTAAAGAAATGAAAATTACTTTCTCATTCTCTAAAAACAATTAACAAACTTGTAGAGGGGAGAGAGTCTGGGGGAATGGGAATTGAAGATGAAGGGATGGGGGAAACGTCCGCTGGAGAAAAGCGAGAGACACACGTTTTACCAGAAATTGAGCGCTTAGGATTTTTGGCATTGCTGTTATGAAGACAGGAAGTTCTGATGGACATTTATTAGGATTGCCAGATAGAACACAGGACGCTCAGTTAAATTTGAATTTCAATTAAACAACCAATAGTACATGAGACAGTTGCATTCCATATATTTCTTGGGACTAAAAACATCATTCCCTTCCAGGAGAGAGTGATGTTGCACCATAGCAGGGGTTAGCAAACTATGACCTGTGGGCCAAATCCAATCCTCTTCCTGTTTTTGTAAATAAAGTTATATTGCAACACGGCCTGCTCATTCATTTAAATATTGTTCATGGCTATTTTCACAGCATAACAGCAAAATTGAATAGTTGTGAGTCAGACCGCATAGTCTTCAAAGCCTGAAATAATTACTTTCTATTCTAGTGGAAATCAGGAGTTTTCTAGGTATAGAAGTTTAGGAAAAAACTGTTTCTGGTCCTGAGGTTTCAGAAAACATGACAAATAGGAGGATGCAGGAAGTTTGGTGAGTGGGGAGAATTATAAGCAGGAAATTTAAGTGGGGATCAGCTTTTTTTGTGTGTCTGAGACAGATTCTTGTTCTGCCACCCAGGCTGAAGTACAGTGGTGAGATTATGGCTCACTGTAGCCTCGACCTCCCAGGCTCAAGCAGTCCTCCCACCTTAGCCTCCCAAAGTGCTGGGATTACAGACAATGAGGCACTGTGAGTGGTGGGGTCAACTTTGGAAGGGTTTTGTAAACCATTTTAAGGAATACCTTTGCTCTTTCTGTTTAATCTTCCTAGAATAGTTTTCCTCTCAACATGCCTGTTAAAATCTTATCCGTTCTTTGAAGCAAGCTTTAATCTCACCTTGAGCATAAGATTTTTGGTAAGAATATTTTTGCTCATTGTTCTTTTTATTTATCAGTGCAATAGTACTTATAGTGGGTTATCATTAGCTGTTGCCCTTACGTAACAGAAAAGTTCTTTTTTTTTTCTTTTGAGACAGAGTCTCACTCTTTCACCCAGGCTGGAGTGCAGTGGCATGACCTCGGCTCACTGCAACCTCTGCCTCCCATGTTCAAGCAATTCTTCTGCCTTAGCCTCCCGAGTAGCTGGGATTACAGGTGCCCGCCACCACGCCCAGTTAATTTTTGTATTTTTCGTAGAGACGGGGTTTCTCCATGTTGGCCAGGCTGGTCTTGAACTCCTGACCTCAGGCGATCCACCTTAGCCCCCCAAAGTGCTGAGATTACAGGCATGAGCCACCATGCCTAGCCAGAAAAGTTCTTAAATGCAGAAATTATTCGTCTCCATAGGTACTAAAGTGATTAAGGTAGTTATATATAAGTAGATGTTCAATAAATAAATATTGAATAAATATATATAGTGATGGGCCTACAAGAGTGTAAGAATAATTACAACATTGTTTGACTACAACAGTTGAATGCTTCCGCAGGGACAATTTCTCCGGCATGGTCCACATCTTCCAATGTTCAGTGCTATCATTTACACCTGCTTCTTTACACTGCTGACTAATGGGGCAAATCTTTTCTACTTTATTATTGTTTTTGCCTTTCTTTATTATGACTAATAACCCACTGGCCAACCTAAATGTCAGTCGTCATCTTCTTTGCTCATTTCCTTCTCCTTCAAATTGTGCTGTCAAGCATTCTAATTTTGGCTGGCTTAGGTGGGATTAATGCTCCTGACTGTAAGGCTATTTTCCCCGCTTTGCACAAATATTTCTTTAAGCAATGATCATACTTCTTTGGTAGCTTTGTTACAATCCGGTAATACCTGGGCATCTATCTTCTGTATTGAAAAAAGAGCATGGTCAAAGGATTCAGTATCGAGCTCCACATTTAATGACTAAAGAAGACATTTAATTTGAAATACCATTTGTCTCCAAACTGACATTTTATATATGAGAAACCTGAGATCCACACAGAGATCAAATGACAGACAGCTGGTTTTCATGGAAGTCCAGAGAAGCACCTTCCAGCAGGTTGCAAACTTCTCCCTTTAGAAGATAACAGCTAAAATCTTTCTGTCTCCCACTCTTGGCTCTAATTTGTTTATCAGACAACCAGCAGTTTTGTCATTGTTTCTTCATTTGGAGACAGAGCTAGTAAGTCTTGGTCAAGCCCAGTGATTCATTTCCTTATTTTTTTTCACTGCAGTTCCCATTCAGGGTTCTGCCAAGTGCTCTTTTGCATGGGGGAGGAGGGGGGGCCGCAGCCTGTGCCCTCTTGACCTAAAAGAGCTCTGGTTGGGCGGTGAGTCATTAATTCCCTGATGTCTTTTCCAACTGTAGATAAAAATCACAGTTGATTAAATGATGGGGCAAGGTGTGGAATGAAGGTTGGCATGGGTGTAGGAAAAAAAGTACATTTCCTTTTCCAAAGTACAGTATTTATTTTAATTGGCTCACAATAAATAGTAGGGGTAATTGTAACTCACAAAAGAGAAGTGCCCTTTGGAGAACTGGCATCACATAGAAAAGAACAAAAGGACATAGAAAAGTTTTACAGCAATCCTGATATTTGTGACTTAGAGTGATTTTTATAGGATTATAAAATTTGCTGGAATTAGTAGCTCTGTAGAGAAAATAGGAATCACAGAATTTCAGAGCCAGAAGGTATTTTACAAAGTGAGTCAACCTCAACCTCCTTAGATTGCTGATAAGAAAAATGAGGCAATGAAGTGCTCAGAGGTAGGATTTGTCTTGCAAGTCCTTGGGGTACCTCCATTTGCAAAGCTGCAGGTGAATCACAAGTTCTGATGACCTCTGACCTCTAGAATCACCTAAACACAGTGGAGAAACTACAGCTGGCTACAGGGTATCCAAGGTGGGTTAACGGGACAGCCCTCTTTCAGACATGCTGTACTCCCAAAGTCTCATCACATTTAGCAGGACTTCTCCCATATATGTGGGGGTTCAGGCTTCCCAGACCCCTCTGTGTCTCTCCATTAACATTTCAGTTTGGTATTGGGCTTCCTGGGGCTCTAACAATGCTCTGAGAATTCAAAATGTAGTATAGAGAGGATGTGTGAGATGAATATTTCTAAAACATAATGATGTTACTCTTTTGCTTAAACGTCTTTGAAAGTCCTTTCTTGCCAACACCAGTATTTTAAATTGTAGTTTTATTGTTACTGAGCTATGGTAAGGCCAACAGGTTGGGAGATGATTGGTATGGAAAAGACAGTTTGTTACTAACAGTTCCCAAGAGGAGGGGGCAAGTGTCCTGCTGGGCCCCACGAGGAAGCACCAGGGTGTGTCGGGAGGCAGGAGAGAGGTGGGGCAGAGTGTGGGCAGGAAGTTTTATTGTGGCTTCCACAGGAAAGGCAAGGCTAGGCAGGCTTAGGATTGGTAAGCCTGAATAATTTCAGTGGGTTCTGGGCTAGAGAGGCTGTCCCTAGTTGTCCGGTACCTGGCTCTTGGATGATGAGCGCAGATGAACATTGTCTCCGGGGTATGTGTGCCAGGTGGAAGATGTGGTGGGTGTTGGCTCTGGATTGTTAGTTTCCATATGAAGGATGGGCTCCCAGGTGAGTTGTTTGCTATCTCTAAGAATTGTCAAGCCCCCAGAGAGGCAGTCTGTCCCCTGTCAGCAAGGCCCCAGATGCCAGAGCATCAAGAATGCAGAAAATATAGATAATACAAGCTTCATTTGCAGGAGTGTGCACCTCGGAACAGTTTTCCTGGGAGATGCTCTGAAGCCAGAGGATTCTGTCCTCTATTTTGGGAACTGCTGCCTGTGGGTCCCCTCTGGCAGTGTGTTAGCAGATTAAGGTCATTGGGGGAAATCCTGCTTGAAAGAAACCTGTTAGTCTTTATTTAACCCTGTTTTCCAAACTTGTTTAACCATAAAATCCTTTTGAAAAACATGAACTGTCATTTTTAAGATTAACTTGAATATGTGGTTTAGAGGTAGAATCCAGGCTTTGCTTTGTTCAAAATCTGGCCCTCACCTTCTCTCCTGGGGATTCTAGTAAGAACCATTCACGGCAGGCAGGCTGGTTTAATTAGGGTTACTATCACAAGCTTTCTTCCTTCCTGCCTCCAAGCTTCGCTCAACCGGTTTGCCCATGATTCAGGATAGTACCTCGTGCTCCCTCCCCAATCCAAGTCTTTCTAGCATCTCCTCCTCTGTGAAGTCCTTGCCAGCTTCCCCAGCCCACAAAATAGATGTTGCATACCACATGTGAGACTATTCTAAGCACTTTGGAAACCTTAACTAACTTAACAATCACTGTGGTCCTACAAGGCTGGCACAATTTGTAACCCTATTTTACAGAGAAGGAACCTGAGATGTGGAGGTGTTGAATGACACGCAGAGTCATTGATTTGGTTTGGATCTGTGTCCCCACCCTAATCTCATGTTTACTTGTAATCCCCAATGTTGGAGGCTGGGCCTAATGGGAGGTGATTGACTTATGGGTGTGAATTTCCCCTTTGGTGCTGTTCTCCTGAGAGTGAGTGCGTTCCGGTGAGATCTGGTCATTTAAAAGTGTGTGGCACCTCCCCTCCCTCTCTCTCCCTCCTGCCCCACCATGCGAAATGCTTGCTCCCCCTTTGCCTTCCGCCATGATTGTAAGTTTTCTGAGGCTTCCCCAGAGGCAGAAGACACTGCTTCCTAGAGTCTGCAGAACTGTGAGCCAATTAAACCTCTTTTCTTTATAAATCACCCAGTCTCAGCTATTTCTTTATAGCAGTGCAAGAAAGGATTAATATAGTCATAAAGCTGAAAGGTGTTCAGGATGTCATTGGCATTCAGTGAATGCTGTTAGAATAAATGAAAACATGGGAATCATGTAGGTCTCTTCTAAAATGTGTGTGTGTGTGTGTGTGTGTGTGAATACATGCTTTAAATCAAAGAGAAGGTGCATCTTTCACTCTCTCCTCTCTCATTTAACATTCTGCAACTTTATTAAGACTCCACTCATTCATAATTTGTTCAGATGGAATTTACATTTAGAGTTTACTTGGGCTTACCAAGATGATTTTCTGAGTCCTTCCTCTGAGACAGTGTAAGTTCATAGGTAAATGGGAACACAGGGAAAAATTTAAAACCACTTAAATGTACTAGCTTTTATACCAGCACAATATACTACTAATTCATCCTTATACATTAATTACAATAACATTTTAACAACTGTATCAGGGTTCAACCAGAGAAGCAGAACCAGTAGAAGACAGATATTAAGAGGCTTATTGCAGGGAATTGGATATGTAACCATGGGGCTGGATAGGCTAGTCTGAAATTTGCAGGGCAGTCTCCAGAAGGGGCTGGAGTTGCTATGCACTGGCAGAATTTCTTCAGAGAAGCCTCATTTCTGCTTTTAAGATCCTTCAACTGACAGAATCGGGCTGCCCCAGATTATCTCGGATAATCTCCCTTAACAAATAAAGTCAACTGACTACGGAATTGACTGACATCTACAAAATACCTTCCCAGCAACCCCTAGAGTAGGGTTTGACTGAAACACTGGAGCCTGTAGCCTCACCAAATTCACACATCCAAAGGCAGTTACAAGAACCTTTACTAATTACCATGTTTTTAGTCTATTTTATGTTTCTATTTGTATTTTAAAATAAAAAATAATTTATCTAGAAATAAGCTATTGAATACCTAAGATGTTTTAATCATCCGAATGGACTTCCCTTCAGTTGGCAGGGAGGTAATATGACACTAGTTACTGGTATTTCCTTGCTTTTCTGTTATCTTCAGATCTCTATTTATTTCTGTTTCTCTCTCCCTTCATGTTCCAGGTGTAAGTATCTCCGGTTGACATTAACCTTGAGCCTCAGTCACCTTACCGGAAAATGAGGATGATTACAAAGTACTGACGTCATAGGGTGGACTGGAGGATGAGATGAATTAATGAAAGCACTTGGATGAGGGTCTGGTAGGCAATGAGTGGTGCCCTCTTTGTAGCAGTAGGAATTGCTCATTACCCTCTGGTTAATTTCCTCTGGCCATGACCATGCGTATGAGTGACAGAGGTCTTTCCAGAAGACATCCAGAGACTGTGGCATCACGTGTTGAAGAATTAAAACATTAGTATATACCAATGCCTTTCTAATGTAAAATGTGTCATTTTCAAAGACCTGTTTTCCATTACCTTTCTGGGCTGCTAGAGACTCATGCATTCCTCCCGGCTGTCAGCTGGACTGGCTTTTGAAAATTCATGGCAGCTTTGCTGTCAGGCCAGGTGGATGGTCTTTCACAGGGAGGGACTTTCTTGCCACAAAATTTGACATGGTCACACTGCTCCTCAACACTGAATGCGTTCAAAGACCCTGATAGGCAGCAAGACAGTTTTACTAGGTAGCTCCCTTTTGAGGTGGAACTCACTATCAGGAGAACAGCAAGGAAGAAATTCACCCCCATGATCCAATCACCTCCCATTAGGCCCCACCTCCAACACTGGGGATTACTATTCAACATGAGATTTGGGCAGATCCAAACTATGTAAATAAGTAAGTGTGTTTTATTGTCATCTTGGGTTGGAGGAAGATACTAAGACGCAGAGAAAGGGCCTTTTCCTCTAGCCTCAGCTCTAGAATTAGACAAAGCAGGCCAGACATCTAGGCCTTTGCCCACCAGCTCTGGGTAAAACATGACTGTTACTGAGCACTAAACTCACTCTTCTTTCTAGGTGGATACCAACACTCAAGCATAGGTGAGGTTGTGGGGAAAAACCCTGATTTTCTTCCCCAATTCTTTTTCCCTGGCACTGCTGGCAATGGCAGGAAGACACATTCAATTTGCCAGCGGGAATGCTTTCCTAATTTGCTTTTCGAAGAGTACAGCAAAATTTCTTCTGGGGAAAAGAGTGACAGTCGCTGCCATGTAAACAGGAGGCAAGGGCTTGCGGCACTACCAGAGCCTCCTCTTTGCAGAACGCTCTGAGCTGCTTTGAGGCTTGTGAGGGGAGGGGTGTGAGTGGTGAGGAGGATGTTTTCTTTACACATCCACCTCCATAAACTGTCCGTGCCATCTGGTAGAGACTGTATATGCTGTTGTCCCAGACGCAGGAAGAATCATCTCTTCTGCGATGATGTCTTGACGGAGAGCTCCCATGTCAGAGCTGCTGACTGTGTACCTGCAGCCAGCAAAGCAGGTCCCCTTCCTTTATCTGCTTCTTCCTGTCCGCAGCCCCTTGCATTTCCACCTCAACCTGAGACGGTGAAGCCCTCACTCACATGGGAGAATGCAGACTTGCCCCTGCGTGCATTGCCATACTTCCTAGAGGAGAGCTCAAAGCAGAGCAGGGGCTCAGCAAATGTTGGTTGAATAAATGAATTAATGGATCTACTAAGGTGTTTCTAGGTTCACCCAAATGAATAGTTTACGAAGTTTCTAAGGGCCAGGTGTGGTGGCTCACGCCTATAATTCCAGCACTTTGGGAGGCCAAGGTAGGAGGATAACTTGAGCCAAGGAGTTCTAGGTTAGATTGAGCTGTGATTGAGCCACTGCACTCCAGCCTGGGTCACAGAATGAGACCCTGTCTCTAAACAAGCAAACAAACAAACAAACAGAAGTTTCTTAGGACCCAAAGCCACTAGGAACAAGAATTCAGCCAGGTGCAGTGGCTCACGCCTGCAATCCCAGCCCTCTGGGAGGCTGGGACAGGTGGATTTTTTGAGCCCAGGAGTTCAAGACCAGCCTGGGTAACATGCTGAAACCTCACGTCTACAAAAAAAAAAAAAAATTAGCCTGGCATGGTGGTGCACACCTGTTGTCCCAGCTACTCAAGAGGCTGAAGTGGGCAGACTGCTTGAGCCCAGGAGGTCCAGGCTGCAGTGAGCTGAGATCATACCATTGCACTCCAGCCTGGGTGACAGAGCAAGACCTTGTCTCCAAAAAACAAACAAACAAACAAAACCTGAATTCAGAAATGGTTGTCACAGATGAAGTATGTAATAATGGAAGAGCATTTCTGACTTAGAAGAACAAGTACCTAGAAACAATGTCCATGTTACAAGGGAAAGGCACTGCTACTGTGGTGATGGATTTTGGTGGCATTAAAACCAAATGATTTATGTATTTAGATAATGAGACTGTATCATCCTGCTTTTCATTTAAAGGCTGTTATTTAGTTTAATGATAACTTCAAGCTAGAAGGTAGGACTAGGAGTGCGGATTAAGTATTGAGCAATGGTTAAGAAAAGAGTTGATGGTAGGTACCATGAAGAGTAATCATGAGATGAAATTTTCAAAGGTCACTCTGTTTAATTCTAATCTGAACAATCAATGCGTTAAATTATCTCAATAATTTATTTAAATCAACACTCATATAAATAGGGGTGAGTACATCGATTTTGACCATTTCCTGAGTTCCAATTCACATAAGTGCTTGTGGCCAGAGGTAGGTAGATGGAGAAAATATTTTACCCTCTTCAAGAGCTTTAGCCTGAATACTAGCACAGGTGTTTCAGTGGTGTCTGAAAGTCAAAGTGAAACTGTATTGCTTGTGGCTATCTAGTTCCTGAATTATAAAAGAAACTGCTGATCTTCATTGCTGTCTTTTGAATATTTTGTTACTGACAGATCAAATATTCACTAGGCTTTATCAAGTATGCCTGTGTGTGTATTCACATCATTAAACTAATATTTACTGCACACTCCTCTAAGTACTATATGTGTGTTGACTTATTTAATTCTCTCAACAGTCTGTGAGGAAGTCCTTATCATTCTTTATGTTAAGATAAGGACCAGCCTGGCCAACATGGCGAAACCCTGTCTCTACTAAAAATACAAAAAATTAGGCCCAGCGCAGTGGCTCACGCCTGTAATCCCAGCACTTTGGGAGGCCGAGGCGGGCGGATCACCTGACATCAGGAGTTTGAGACCAGCCTGGCCAACGTGGTGAAACCCCGTCTCTATTAAAAACACAAAACAAAATTAACCAGGTATGGTGGCGGGTGCCTGTAATCCCAGCTACTCAGGAGGCTGGGCAGGAGAATCGCCTGAACCCGGGAGGTGGAGGTTGCAGTGAGCCGAGATCACACCACTGCACTCCAGCCTGGGCGACAGAGCGAGACTGTCTAAAAAAAAAAAAAAAAAAAAAAAAAAAAAAAAAAGATAAGGAAAGGGAAGTACCGGGAGGTGATCACACAGTCCTAGTTCCACACTCAACACTGACTGCCACAGCCACTGCTGTACAGGGAGGGCCACTGGCTGGCCTGTCTACACGTGTTCTTCCAGGGAAATGATGCAACTGTCAGACGACATTCAGACCCTGATAGGGTATCATCCACAAACATAACCTGGAGGCACAGTGTACCCGCTTCAGCTTTTGAACTCTGCTTACAGTATTATTGGAGTGGTCAAAATGGGGATGGCTTCTACAACAAAACCTCTAAAAGCAAAGGAACAGGATTTGTCACAACTCCTGGTGTCCTCAGGGACAAATGCACCGTGGTGATGCTGAGGGCTGGAACCCCGGCTGCGCCTGTTCCGCTGCTGCAGTCTCACTTTGTCCCGTCCCTGACTGGGAATGAAACACTTGCCTCCAGCTGGGATGTAAACATTTTGGAGTCTTTCGATATTTGTTCCAATTTAGCCAGTCATCATTGACATTTTCCTGGAAATTTGCACAATATTCTTTCATTTAACACTGGGATGAATTCCAAATGAAGAAGGCTCACTATTCTTGTGTGTTTTTTAAAAAAATTTTGAACCTCTCCCTCCATTTTTAGATGAATAAATGTGAAGAAAGAGACGAAAGAACATAGAATTTAGAAAAATGATGTGGATGTATTAACTATGCCTAAGTTACCAAACCGAGCCTCCTGAAGACTCTACGTTGGTCACACCCATCCATGTCATATTCAGGCAGGGCGGCCGCAAGTGGATGCCGGCGTGCTTCTGACTTCGGGTTTTCTCTGAAAGCCATTAAGAACAGGAAACGAAGGATGTTACGTCGTGATGACGAACCTAGAACAGCTTCTAAAACAAACAAGTTACATAGTGATGAGGAACATAGCAGAGCTTCTAAAACAAAGGAAGTTACCTAGTGATGAGGAACATAGAAGAGCTTCTAAAACAAAGGAAGTTACGTAGCGATGAGGAACATAGAAAAGCTTCTAAAACAAAGGATGTTACGTAGTGATGACGAACAAGAACAGCTTCTACGTCTTCTCTGAGAAAACACCAAATGGCGGATAACGCCGGTGCAGCGGGGGCCGGAAGCCCCGGGGGACCCTGGGATGGGGAACTGCGGTGGTTTCCGCTGAGGTTTCCGCAGTGGCATGCGGGCCGGGGTCGCGGCCGTGGATCTGGCCGTGGACCGGGCCAGGGCCGAGGCTGCGGAGCTCGCGGAGTCAAGGCCAAGGATAAGGGGTGGACACCCATTACCAAGCTGGGCCTCCTGGTCAAGGACATGAAGATCAAGTCCCTGGAGGAGACCTATCTCTTCTCCCTGCCCATCAAGGAATCTGAGATCATTGGCTTTTTCCTGGGGGCCTCTCTCAAGGACGAGGTTTTGAAGATTATGCCGGTGCAGAAGCAGACCCGCGCCGGCCAGCGCACCAGGTTCAAGGCATTTGTTGCCATCGGGGACTATAATTGCCACGTCGGTCTGCGTGTTAAGTGCTCCAAAGAGGTGGCCACTGCCATCCGCGGGGCCATTATCCTGGCCAAGCTCTCCATTGTCCCCGTGCGCAGAGGCTACTGGGGGAACAAGATCGGCAAGCCCCACACCGTCCCTTGCAAGGTGACAGGCCACTGCGGCTCTGTGCTGGTCGGCTTCATCCCCACGCCCAGGGGCACTGGCACCGTCTCGGCGCCTGTGCCCAAGAAGCTGCTCATGATGGCTGGTATGGATGTCTGCTACACCTCAGCCAGGGGCTGCACTGCCACCCTGGGCAACTGCGCCAAGGCCATCTTTGACCTTACAGCTCTAAGACCTACAGCTACCTGACCCCCCGACCTTTGGAAGGAGCCTGTATTCACCAAGTCTTCCTATCAGGAATTCACTGACCACACCTGGTCAAGGCCGACCCAGAGTCTCCGTGCAGAGGACCCAGGCTCCAGCTGTGGCTACAACACAGGGTTTTATACACAAAAAATAAAGTGAATTAAGCCTGTGGGGGAAAAAAAGAAAAAAGAACAGCTTCTAAAATAAAGATTGATTATAATAGGCTGGGTGAGACTTCTGACAAATCCAGACATGAGGCAATAGGAATTCTCCCTGAGTTGAGAAATACAGTCCTAACTGTTTATTCAGTCAAGGAGGATTACACAGCAACACGCTAGAAGAAGATTTAAGGATGAAAAGTCCACATGATGAAAGAGGAAGTGTCACCTTGGAGGGTCTGGCATTCAACATTGGATTAAACTGAAGCCCAGGAATTCCTACAAAACATCCCCCCACCTAGTACTAAGTAATCTTCACTATCTGCCTGACAATGGAATGTAGGAATTGTGTCACACCCAGAGGGTGCAGGTGGAGTTTTCTCAGGATGCCGCAGTGCAGGGTCAGTGTGGGATTTAATAATATTTTGAGAATAAGAAGAATCAAGTTGGGAGGTTTTAGGAATAGTGAAGTTACCTCCCATAAAGTCCCTTTCCCAAGATTGCAGATATCATCATGTACTTAACAAAACCCTACTAATCAGAGATATGTATTGTACAAATGAAACCTTGGGTGGACAACAAGAAGTGTGAAAAAAGTTGAACTCAGGTCAGGCACGGTGGTTTACGCCTGTTATCCCAGCACTCTGGGAGGCCAAGGCAGGCAGATCATGAGGACAAGAGATCAAGACCATCTTGGCCAACATGGTGAAACCCTGTCTCTACTAAAAATACAAAAATTAGCCAGACTTGGTGGCGGGTGCCTGTAGACCCGGCTACTTGGGAAGTTGAGGCAGGAGAATTGCTTGAACCCGGGAGGTGGAGGTTGCAGTGAGCCGAGATCGTGCCACTGCACTGCAGTCTGGCAACAGAGCAAGACTCCGTCTTAAAAAAAAAAAAAAAAAAAAAAAGTTGAACTCAATAGAAACCAAAGAAAGGCAATGTTAAGTAATTTTCCACTTGCCAATTTGGCAGAGAGTAAAAAGGAACAATAATGACCAGTATTTGTGAGGGTATCAGGAAATGGCAGCTCATATGGTAAAAGTATAAACTGATGTGATCTGTCATTCATTGCCTTTTCAAAAAGTATAATATATAAATATATATAGCAGTGTTTAAAACTGTAACATTATTTTTATTGCCCAGGAAGTTCAAATAAAAATAAACATCTTCATAGTAAGAAAATGGTACAATGGGCCAGGTACAGTGGCTCATACCTGTAATCCCAGCACTTTGGGAGGCCGAGGTAGGCAGATCACCTGAGGTCAGGAGTTTGAGATTAGCATGGCCAACATGGTGAAACCTCGTCTCTACTAAAAATACAAAAATTAGGCGGGCGTGGTGGCGGGTGCCTCTAATCCCAGCTACTCAGAGGCTGAGGCAGAAACCTGAACAAACATCTTTCATTAAAGGATATTCTTAGGTAAGCACTTAAAACTTTTTAGTATATTACAGGGACATAGTTTTTACTATTCCAACTGTAAAACATTAAGACATGACAGTGGTGATTGTAACTATTTTGTAGGAGCGTTGAAATGATTATGCTTTGTTTCATGAGAAAGCAGAGTGAAAAATTCCACATACCTCTAATTACATAACTTAATAAAGTTATTTATTTTGGTTACACCTATCAATATAATTTTCATGCAGTGCAAGTTATGCCATAGGGATTATGGTTGTCAACTGAAGAATGACAAGGCTTATAAATTTGGAAAGGGTTGCAGCCTGCAGGGTGGCCATCTGACAGGGTGGGAAGCCAGAAACAGACATTTTGAGGGAGGGGCAACAGGAACAGGAATATATGCTGAACGAAGTGGCTGAATATATGTGTTTAATAAGCTACAGGAGAAGTCATGAATCTTTGTGAAAGAGGAAACATGTGCATGAGCAATAAAGCTTCCTGCTTCTCCAAGGGATCCATGTTCAGAAAATGGCCATGTTAGCATGATCGGAGAGTGGAGTGTTTGGCCTTCTGACTTCAAAAGGTGAACCAGAGGACACAAAAATTCCAACTGCACATTCCTTGTAGACTCCATGGTCCGTGGTCTCTTATCAGGCAAAAAGGAGGGGTGGGCAGTGTCAGGTTGGTCAATAGCGGTGGAATCATTTGAAAGACTGGTTTCTGTTTTGCTCTTAGGGAAGAAAGCTTAATGGTGGCCAGCAGGGGAAGGGCACATTGAGGTGTGTCTGACCCCATTCCATCATGGTCAAGAACTCAGTTTCCAAGGTTACTCTGGGGTCCCCTGGACCAAGAGGGGGTCCATTCAGTGAGTTGAGGAGCTTAGCATTTCATTTTTATTTCTCATGGGTTTTTCTGTCAGGCCAATAAAAAACAACAAACACGCATGGAAGAAGTACTGTGGCTGCCTTTTTTTTTTTTTTTTTGAAATGGAGTTTTGCTCTTGTTGTCCAGGCTGGAGTGCAATGGCACAATCTCAGCTCACCACAACCTCTACCTCCCGGGTTCAAGCGATTCTCCTGCCTCTGCCTCCCTAGTAGCTGAGATTACAGGCATGCGCCACCACGCCTGGCTAATTTTGTATTTTTAGTAGAGACGGGGTTTCTCCGTGTTGGTCAGGCTGGTCTTGAGCTCCCTACCTCAGGTGATCTGCCCGCCTCGGCCTCCCAAAGTGCTGGGATTACAGGCCACTGCGCCCAGTCCTGTGGCTGCCTTAAAATATCTGATACTAATATTACCTAGGTATTACAGACTGAACTGTGTCTCCCCCAAATTGATATGTTGAAGTCTTAACCCCCAACTGTGACTATAATTGAAGATAGGGCCTATAAGGAGGTAAATAAGGTTAAATGAGGTCAGAAGGGTGGGGCTCTGGATAGATACAGTATCCTTACACCAAGAGACACTGGAGAGCCCTCTCTCTTTCCCCACAGGCATATAAGAGGCCATGTGAGCCCACAGCGAGAAGGCTGCCATCTGCTGGCCAAGAGAATTGGTCTCGGAATGAAACCACCTTGTGGCCACCTTGATCTTGGACTTCCAGCTTACAGAACTGTGAGAAATACATTTTTGTTGTTTAAGTCACCCTGTCTATGATATTTTGTATGGCAGCCTGAGCTATGATATATGGAATGCCTATTTATTATTTTTTAATATCTATTTCAATCTTATCAGGTAGCTACTTCATTAGCCCAACGTTGCACATTGAGGTTTACGGAACTAACTTGTCCAATGTCACACAGCTGATCACTGGAAGAACCAGGAATTAAAGTCTTCTGATTCTAAATTCTAAATTCGTTTCTTTTCTTTTTCTTTCTTTCTTTTTTTTTTTTTTTTTGAGACAGAATCTTGCTCTGTCACCCAGGCTGGAGTGCAGTGGCGTGATCTCAGCTCACTGCAACCTCCACTGCCAGAGTTCAAATGATTCTCCTGCCTTAGCCTCCCGAGTAGCTGAGATTACAGGTGAGTGCCACCATGCACAGCTAATTTTTATATTTTTAGTAAAGACATGGTTTGGCCATGTTGGCCAGGCTGGTCTCAAACTCCTGACCTCAAGTGATCTGCCCACCTCGGCCTCCCGAAGTGCTGGGATAACAAGCGTGAGCCACCTCACCCTGCCTCTAATTTTAAATTCCATACTATCATGATTACTCAGATTAATTTTTTAAATAATGTGTTACTTTCATCATTGAACCTCATAAATAGTTGTATAACTTTTGGTTTTCCCATCACCTAAAATAAAACAGCACATTACTAAAACTGCTGTAGCTTTACTTTAGCTGTTTATTTTTCAAAACATGAGTAATTATATTTCAGTGGATTGTCTTAATTTTATATGGCTGGGTATAGAAAGAAGAGTAACTCCACTTTAGAGATGGCAGTGGCCAGGAATAATCATGATTCCCATCATTTTTGGCTGGAGAATTTTAAAAGAATATTGAAAAAAAGTAGTGCTTTAGAGGGGACTGTGCTAATGATTCTGCTATTGGCAGGTCACCCCAGGAGAAATAAGTCTCAGCCCATCAATTTGCTGATGCTACTTCTCTGGGAGAGGTGAGGATGTTCTCAAAGAAGGCAAGAGTACTCATTATTGTAAAGATAAAACATGATTTAAAAGACTCATGAGAAAAGTTGTTTTCTAGAAGCACAGCAAACATCACGAGGAAGCCATGTTGCTTATCTGCAGTCTTTGCTTTGATATTTCTGTGTTGGATTAGTCTTTGACATTTGGAAATCAGTTCATCATTATTGGAGCAGTGGTGTTCTTAATAAGAAAAAAAAACATCTAAAGCAAACTAAATGGTGGAGAGGAAAGGCTGTATATGTTAAGAGGTGAGTTAGGAAAGCACGGAGGAACTCTGACTTGGAGCCGATTCAAATAGGACTGAGAGAAGTAGTGGATAATACCATAGATGTTTAATAACAGCTTGCAGACAAGGTTCAACAAGGACCTGTCAAAAGTAACTCTTCCAAATACCATGATAGAGTTAAGGCAGAGGACATCTTTGCATTGTTTCATTATGAAATATTTCTTAATTATAAAAAGTTACAGAGAAAATCAGCCAGGCACAGTGGCTCACACCTGTAATCCCAGCACTTTGAGAGGTCAAGGTGGGTGGATCACCTGAGGTCAGGAGTTCGAGACTAGCCTGGCTAACATGGTGAAACCCTGTCTCTACTAAAAATACAAAAGTTAGCCAGACACGGTGTCAGGCACCTGTAATCCCAGCTACTCGGAGGCTGAGGAAAGAGAATCACTTGAAGCCGGGAGATGGAGGCTGCAGTGAACCGAGATCACACCACTGCACTTCAGCCTGGGCAACAGAGCGAGACTCTGTCACAAAAAAAAAAAAAAAAAAAAAAAGAAAAAGAAAATTTCAGAGAAAATCATGGCCAACAGGTGTGTGTGTGCCCCTCAGCCCTATCAAAGCTCAACATGTTGCTATATTAACTGTAGATTTAAAATGCCATATTTGCTCCAGGATTTAAATGAGAACAAATTACAGAGACACTTACCCCCTCTGTAATACCTTCCTCTCCTGTTACTCTCTCTCTCCTTTCTTTCCCAGGGGAGGGTTTAGTGTTTATTATTTCCATGAGATTTTTTTAAAATGGCTTTTCATTACTTAGGTAAATACCTGTAAATTACCGCCAATATTTGTAGAGGGTTGAATGCTTGTCCTCCCAAAGGGTATGTCCACATCCTGACCCTCTGCAACCTGTGAGTGTGCCCTTATTTGGGAAGTGTCTTGGTGGATATAGAAAAGACATGATCCTCCACCATCCGGTGGACCCTAAATCCAACAAGTGTCCTTACAAGACAGAAAAGAGAAGACCATGTGAAGATGGAGGCAGAGACTGGAGTGATACGGCCACAAGCCGAGGACGTCCTGGAGCCACCGGAAGCTGGAAAGGGCCAGGCAGGAACCCCTAGGGCCTTTGAAGGAGTGCTGCCCTGATGGTCCCTTGGATTCCAACTTCCGGCCTCCAAAAGGGTGAGAGGATACATTTCTGTTGTCAGCTACCCAGTTCATGCTTATTTGTGATGGCAGCCCTAGGAAACTCATGCAGTATTGATTTGCATCTTTCAGACTAATGTAATGGTATGTTACTGTATCAGTCTACAACCTACTTTTTCTCACGGTTTGATATTTATCCATAATGCTACATATAATTTTATTTCATTCCTTTCCTTTGTTCTGTAGTGTTCCACTGCATGACTTTATTTCTAATCAGCTGAGTGACCTTGGGCTTATTTCTGTGTGTCTTCATATCCTAATCTATAAAATGGGGAAAATAATCACTAAAAATAGTGGAAGTATTAAAATTCATAAAAACCTATCTATCTTATAGAGTTCTTTTGAAAGTCAAATAATTTAATATTTTTAACGTTCTTACAATAGAACATTCCTGGCCAGGCGCGGTGGCTCACGCCTGTAATCCCAGCACTTTGGGAGGCCGAGGCGGGTGGATCATGAGGTCAGGAGATCGAGACCATCCTGGCTAACAAGGTGAAACCCCGTCTCTACTAAAAATACAAAAAATTAGCCGGGCGCGGTGGCGGGCGCCTGTAGTCCCAGCTACTCGGGAGGCTGAGGCAGGAGAATGGCGTGAACCCGGGAAGCGGAGCTTGCAGTGAGCCGAGATTGCGCCACTGCAGTCCGCAGTCCGGCCTGGGCGACAGAGCGAGACTCCGTCTCAAAAAAAAAAACACAAAAAAACAAAAACAAAACAAAACAACAAAAAAAAATAGAACATTCCTGAAACATAGTAATTGCCCTGTGTTAATTAAAAAATCTATTTATCTATTTGATTGTTGATGGATTTTTAGGATGGTTATGCTTTGCCATCATCATAAACAACAGAGCTATGAGCTGTATGTATCTTCTGGTCTACATATGCAAGAATTTCTCCGTGGTCTAGGCCTAGAGGTAGAATTTCTGAGTGTTTTGGAATTTCTGAGTATACCTTTAACTTTATGAGATCTTACCCAATTGTTCTCCAGAGTGGTTGTAACCATGGTCTTTCCTCTTGAAATAAATGAAGTTTGTCCATGTCTTTGTCAATGCTTATTGTTATTAGAGTTCGGATTTTTTGCTTCTCTGATGGATACAAAGTGGTTTAATTTCAGTATTCCATTTAACTATTATTTTTCATATTACTAGTGAAATTGAGCATCTTGTCAAATGTTTCTTGACTCTGTTTCCTATCTGTGAACTGTGGGTTTGTACCCCCATCTCTCTTTATATTGGATAGTTTATCTCTTTCTTATTTATGTATCACCCTTTGTGGATTCTGGACACTCTCTTTAAGTATTGCATATATATATATATTTTTTGAGATGGAATCTCACTCTGTTATTGCCCAGGTTAGAGTGTAGTGGTGCAATCTCGGCTCACTGCAACCTCCGCCTCCCAGGTTCAAGTGATTCTCCTGCCTCAGCCTCCCAAGTAGCTGGGATTACAGGCACCCACCACCAGGCCTGGCCTTGCATATATATACATATATATATATTTTTTTTTTGTAGAGATGGGGTTTCACCATGTTGGCCAGGCTTGTCTCAAGCTCCTGACCTTGGATTAGCCCCCTACCTCAGCCTCCCAAAGTGCTGGGATTATAGGCGTGAGCCACCGCACCTGGCCAACGCTTGCCTTTCTTTAAGTATTGCAAATCTTTTGTACCAGTTTGTGCTTTTATTTTCACTTTGTTTGTGGTGTCTTTTGTTTCATGAAAGTTTTAAAAATTTTTTATGTTGTCAAATACACCTTTTTTATCATTTGTTGTTTTAAAGAAATCTTGTTTGAAAAATCATTTTCTACCATAGTCATAAAATCTTGCTCTTATAATTCTTTTAAATGTTTTAATGGATTTGATTTTCATGCCTGGCATTTTAGTAGGCTTTGAATTATTTCTTTATATGATGTAAGTGAGGGATACAATATTTTCCATATGGATGACCAATTTTCTCAGATTTATTGAAAAGACTGGTATGTCTCCAGCCTCTCTGAAACACTGATCTACTTAGTACTGCCTAGTACTGCAACAAACTCCCTCTCCTAATTGACTATGGTTTTGTAATAATCCTTATTATCTAATAGGCAAGATCTTATCCTTCCCCGCCATGTTTTGTCTTTAGAAATGTCTTTGCTCTTCTATATTAAGAATAGACATGTTCAGTTATAAGAAAAACCTTGCTTACAATTTTTAAAATTGGAGTTTCACTGATTTTTTAGTAAAATTCTAATGTATCTATGTGTCTTACCATTGAATAACATGGATTACATCTCTACTATTCACAATCCTTTATTGTGTGTCCTTCAATGATATTTTTAGTTTTTTCTATAAAGGTCTTGTCCACTTTTAAAGAGATTTATTCATTTGAATCTTATAGTTTATGTTATTTCTTTTTCCTCCTTTTTTTCCTATTATAGTTCAGGCTTAGTTATAAAATAATTGTAAGTTTAAAAAATAAGCTTAAAATAAGCTTAATTATAAAATAATTTATTTTGTTATTTATTGATTTTTCATTTTTGCTTTTTTGAGACAGAGTCTTGCTTTGTTGCCCAGGCTAAAATGCAGTGGTGCAATCATGGCTCACTGTAACCTCGATCTCCCAGGCTCCCAAAATCCTCCCACCTCAGCCTCCCGAATAGCCAGGAGTACAGGCATGTACGACCATGCCCAGCTAATTTTTGTATTTTTTATAGAGATGGGGGTCTCGCTATGTTACCCAGGTTGGTCTTGAACTCCTGGGCTCCAGTGTTCCACCTGCCTCGCCTCCCAAAGTGCCAGGATTACAGGTTGAGTCACCGCACCTGGACTATTTGTTTAAAGTAGTTGCTGAACTCTTTGAATTGTTTTGCTTGCATTTTTCATGGTGACACATTTTCTACAAATTAGGAATTTTATAGAAATATTATCTCCAATCTTCTACTTTTTGTACCACTTATTTCTTTTTCTCACTTTAATTGCATTAGTGAGGTTAAGTAGAAATGTTATTAGGTATCCTTCATATGGGGCGTTCTTGCCCCTGAATTAAGTGGGAATGTGAATTAATCTCTTTCGTAGTGACGACTGAATGGGAAGGATCTTTGTACTCTTCCCATCCTTGCACTGTGGTGGTTAGAGATGTAGGAAGATATTGGAGAGACAAATAGAAAACATACCGTGAATAGGGCTTCTGGCAAAATTCCTCTTGGCTCCACCTGAGCTGGTGATCTCAGGCTTCCTGTATAGGACAACACATATTTTTTCATACTCACTAGTTGTTCATTCATTCATGATTTTATAAGATTAATAAATGAGCAGTTTACCTACAAAAAATGGCAGGCAGTGTTCATGAACTTGGAGGGAGGGGAATGACTACAGCCTACCCTGTGGGGAGGGAAGCAGAAGCTCCTGTGTCTCACAGCTGAAGGGAGCTTGGGATGTAACGAGGGATACTTGCTTCTCTCTCCTGGCTTAGTGGCCAGAGGTAGCAGTGTGTAAGTGGTTAAGCTCATGGCAGTTTAGGGTGCTCAAAGCTTCTCCTTTATATTTGAAGCTGAGTTAAACTCAGATAAACTGCACTCTATTGCCTAGGCCAGAGTGCAGTGTTGTGATCATAGCTCACTGCAGCCTCAGACTCCTGGGCTGAAGGAATCCTTTTACCTCAGCCTCCTGAGTAGCTGAGATTACAGGTGCATGACACTACACCTGGCTAATGCTTTATTTTTTGTAGAGACAGGGTCTCACCATGTTGCTTAGGCTGGACTTAAGTGATCCTCCCGTCTCGGCCTCCCAAAGTGCTGGGATTACAGGAGTAAGCCACGGTAAGAAGTAAGCCTTGGATCTTAAATGTAGTTTTAAAAAGCTGAACTCCGTGTACCTTTCCAAACTTCACAAGGAGCATCTTTCAAAATATGCTGATCTAAGTCCCTAATATAATTTGAATATTTACAATAGAAAATTATTCAATTAGGCTACTATAGTCATTTTTCAGGAGAAGTTAGTGATAGTATGATCAATAAAATTTTTGTACAGGATGCAATGTCCTGCTGAATCTATTATGCATTACTGTCTTTCCTTTGAATATGCAAAAAGTAAACAAATAGCATCTCTTTATGTCAGAAATTTAGACGTCCACAAAACCGCGTGGCTTCCTGGGGAGCTCTGCAATTTTTGCTTCATGAATGGGCAGGAGCCCAGCAAGTCCTGCCTCTTTGCTTCTGTCCACACTTAACAGACTGGCACCCTGAGGAGTTATTTAATTTAGAAAAGTGCTCCCAGTACTGCCTTCTACTCTTTATCTTAAATAGGCAAGTCTTCCTCCTAAGAAAAGACATCAGAAAAAGCTCCCTGGTGAAAAGAAAGCTTATCAACCACCGAGTCCCCGGGAGAAGCTGTCTCCTGCCTAATGGTAGGAATTATCTGTCTGAGCTTTCTGCTGTTACTGCAAGGACCCTTGGGCACACTCAAGCTTTCAAGAAGCTGTGCATCCTCTGCCCTGTCATGGGAACCTGATTTGGCTGTTTTGCTGAGTCAAAGCATTGGACACTGCAGTCAGCTCCTTCAAGTCGCTGGCTTTCCCCTTTGGATTGTTTCTTTCATCTTTACCCTCAAAGTCTCATCCATTCTTCAGTCTGTGCTCAAATATACCTTTGTCCTTGAGACCTGGGAAGCCTTCCTGTGTCCCCACTTCTCTCTTCTCACATTTGCTCTGTGTTATCTGTTTATACCTCTTGTTTTCATGGAACAAAGCTTGGGCTTTGGAGGTCAACCTTGGTTCAGATCCTGGCTCTGTGTCTCACTGCATGAAGATTTCTTCATTTTTATGATCCTGTATTTCCTCATTTATAAAATAGAGATAATAATGCCAAATGTCATTAAAAATGACACCATATTTGTGTAAAAAATAAATAAGTATATAAATCGTTTGACATGTTGTCTGTCAAACACTCGACCATATATTGTATTCTTCCTTCTTCCTGTTACAGGTAGTTACATATGAGCAGGGCAGGAGAGGGCTCTCCTTCGCCCCTACCCACTGGGAATGTCAGGCGATGGTTTGGCAATTATCACATTGCTTCTTTAAAAATGATAATTTGGCAGCCAGGGAGAGGCCATTTCCTGATGGTCCACACCTGTTAACATCAAAATGTTAACTGAATGCAGACCCCAGGAAGAAGCTACTGGGCATGCCTGTTAAAAGACAATAATGGCGAAGTACCATGTTCTGGGTGGGGTACACACCATTGGAAAAGGGAAGAGAGCCTCAGATGGGCATGCGCATAAATCCCTAAACACACTGGGGTGTGCTCAAGTCCAAAGGGTGAGGAAAACACTGCGCATGCAGGAAGCCCACCCTAAGGGGAGAATCATGGGAAAGAGGCGAGTCTATAAAGTCCCAGGATCAAGGTTAAAGTGCTGTTTGTTGTTCTATTTTTTTTTTTTTTCCCCTCGAGACTGAGTCTTGCTCTGTCGCCCAAGCTGGAGTGCAGTGGTGCGATCTCGGCTCACTGCAACCTCTGGCTCCTGGGTTCAAGCGATTCTTGTGCCTCAGCCTCCCGAGTAGCTGGGATTACAGGTACATGCCACCACGCCCAGCTAATTTTTGTATTTTTAGTAGAGACAGGGTTTCACCATGTTGGCCGGGCTTGTCTCGAACTTCTGACCTCAGGTGATCTGCCTGCCTCGGCCTCCCGAAGTGCTGGGATTACAGAGATGAACCACCATGCCCAGCCTTTTGTTCTTTTCTCTCTTGGACTTTCAGGGGCTTACTTGGGTCTCTTCCAAGTGAATTTTCCTTTCTTTCCTGTTCTAAAGCCTTTTTATGTTTAAAATTTATTTATTTATTTACTCATTTTATTTTTTATTTATTTTTTCTATTTTCAACAATGTTGCATTTTTATTGGTGACAGTTAATTTGGAATATTATATAATTACAGTCTTGAATTACATAATAAACCACTCTAATAATATAGTGCAGTCATTCAGTCAGAACTTTCCAGAAAACCTGAAATTCATTTCTCATAGATTTCTTTTCAGCATAGTTACTATTCTTAGTCTTCTTGCTTTTTCTTTTTTAAAAAATTCTTATTTCCATAGGTTTTTGGGGAACAGGTGGGATTTAGTTACATGAGTAAGTTTTATAGTGGTGATTTGTGAGATTTTGGTGCATTCATCACCCAAGCAGTATGCACTACACCCAGTTTGTAGTCTTTTATCTCTCGCCCCCTTTCTACCCATCCCCCTGCCCTGGTCTCCAAAGTCCATTGTATCATTCATAAAGCCTTTTTAAATAAACTTCCATTCCTGCTCTGAAAATTGCCTCAGTCTTTTTTTCTGCCTCATGCCCCTCGGCCAGTTTCTTTCTTCTGAGGAGACAAGGGCTGAAGTTGCTGAGGACCTGTATAGATTCGCTGCTGGTAACTTGGGGTAACTTGGTTCTCTGCCACCATTAACCTTACTACTGTTAGAAACAGGTGCTCAGTGCCACAAGGAAAAACCAGCACTTAGAGAATTTCTCAGCAAGGCACATTTATTTCTGCAGAAGGGTGCTGCTCGCATCTGTCCTGACCACAAGAGCACACCGAACAAAGGAAGGAAGGGATTTTTAACCCTAACACAGTTCCTGTCCCTGTGTCATTCCCTTATAGGCTAGGGTTGGACTACACAATCTAAACTGATCCCGGTTGGCTAAGACTTAAACTTTTCTAAATAGGGTAAGTGTGTGATTTGTAAGAGAAGGAGGGGGTAGGAGTGGTCTGTCCATTATAGTAAAAGGCATGTCTGGACATGTCTGGGTATGTCAGGGTGCAACAAGAGTGGGAGGATGGTTTGCAGGCTAGAAACGAGACGACAAGGAGGTTGGGCTTTTCAACAAAGAACAAAAACATTAGACAATTAAACCTTTTGAAGAGGAATTTATCATTCCTAACACTACTATTTCATTTCTGTTTAGTTACTGATTATTTAATAACATTTTGATTCACAGGGGTGTTGGAACCACATCTTATACAACTCTCTATCCCCCAGAACTAAAGATATTTGTTGGGTGTATCAGGCAGTCTGTGAGGAGTTGCTGCATTAAAATAAGTTGGTCAAAAGAGAAACAGAGAAAAAAACAAAAGGCATATAACCAACATTCTATGTCCTCAATTTCTCTCTTCAGTTTAGAAAAGATCAGCAGATGTCCATGTCCTAAATACCAAAGGGCATTTTAGATCAGGACTGTGGCAGACTGGGTCCTAACAGTTCTTGTGGTCCCTGTTACTGGACAAGGTCTCAGAGCCATTGTGACTCCACTCAAAAGCCTTAAAACACTGTGTTTTCTTCCTTTTGCTACACAGGACATTTGTGGGACAATTGGCATAAGATCTACCTGCTAGGTAATAGTAGTATATCAATGCTAACTTCTGATTTTGATGATTGTACTGTGGTTAGTAAGACAGAAATATTTAGGAATAGGAAAGCATTATTATGTCTGCAACTTACTCCTCAGCTGTTCAGAAAAAGACCCATTAAGATACAGAGAGAATGATGGAGCAAACATGATACAATGTCAATATTTAGGAATCCAGTTGAAGTTTGTATGGGTATTCATGGTACTTTTTTTGCAACTTTTCTGTAAGTCTGAAATTATCTCAAAATAAATATGTTTTTTTGTAAACTGTTTGAGATCACGCTTGCATCTTCTCTGACTTGTAGCCAGATGGAGGAGTTACCAGACCAATTTATAGTCCTCTTTCCCTTCTCTGTAAATTAAGACGTATGCTTGCATACATGTCACAGCCTGGGAAATGACACCAATTACCTAATGGGGTAAGCCTGATGGAGAGCTTTTGGGACAGTCAGAGCTGCAAGGTTAGAGGCATTTCTGATGCTTATCTGCAACTGGAAGCCTCACACTCCCCAACTCTGCATTCATTAATGAGATGTTAGCCCAGAGTTTCCCTCTCCCACAGAGATCAGGAATAAGTACAGATGTTGCTTGACCAATAATGTCTGACATGGGTGCCTACTATACTACAGAGCCAGGAGACATGCCACTGACAAAGAAGGCTTTATTGACACCCTTTCTTTCTTTTTTTTTTTTTGCTTTTTGAGGTGGAGTCTCGCTCTGTCGCCCAGGCTGGAGTGCCGCGGTGCAATCTTGGCTCACTGCAACCTCTGCCTCCCAGGTTCAAATGATTCTCCTGTCTCAGCCTCCCAAGTAGCAGACACCACAGGTGCGTGCCACCATGCCTGGCTAATTTTTTGCATTTTTATTAGAGACAGGGTTTCACTGTTTTAGCCAGGATGGTCTTGATCTCCTGACCTCGTGATCTGCCCACCTTGGTCTCCCAAAGTGTTGGGATTACAGGTGTGAGCCACCGCACCTGGCCTGACACACTTTTGTGTTTTTTTTTTTTTTTTTTTTTTTTTTTTGAGATGGAGTTTTGTTCTTGTTGCCCAGGCTGGAGTGCAATGGCGTGATATTGGCTCACCGCGACCTTCACCTCCCGGGTTCAAGTGATTCTTCTGCCTCAGCCTACCTAGTAGCTATGATTACAGCATGCGCCACCATGCCTGGCTATTTTTATATTTTTAGTAGAGATGGGATTTCTCCATGTTGGTCAAGCTGGTCTCGAACACCTAACCTCAGGTGATCCACCTGCCTTGGCCTCCTAAAGTGCTAGGATTATAGGTGTGAGCCACTGCGCCCGGCCCACACTTTGTTAACAGACCTGCATAGTGGTCAGAATTTTTTAACTCCATAACAAAGTTGTCGTTGAGTAGAAGAAGAAGGGGAAAAGAATACCAGTATAGATTTATCACATGTTTATGAAAACTGAAAGATAAATATTGGAACAGTTCTTTGTATGTAAGGGCTAAATTATATGCTTAATTGTAAATAAAACAGGTTTTCCCATAATTTTTCTTATGATGTTACTGGCCTGTCAGATTTCTCTCCCACAGCAAATCAGGGACAAATCCCACATCTGCAAGGGTAGGTTTGTCAGAGGCATGTGAACCAGAGCAAGTCCATCGTGAATAGGAGCTGGGTAAAATGATGCTGAGACCTACCAGCCTGCATTCCCAGATGGTTAAGGTATTCTAAGTCACAGGATGAGATAGAAGGTTGGCACAAGGTACAGGTCATAAAGACCTTGCTGATAAAACACGTTGCAGTAAAGAAGCCGGACAAAACCCACCAAAACCAAGATGGCCACGAGAGTGACCTCTGGTCGTCCTCACTGCTACACTCCCACCAGCACCATGAGAGTTTACAAATGCCATGGCAACGTCAGGAAGTTACCCTATATGGTCTAAAAAGGGGAGACATGAATAATCCACCCCTTGTTTAGCATATCATCAAAAATAACTATAAAAATGGGCAACCAGCAGCCTTTAGGGCTGCTCTGTCTATGGAGTAGCCATTCTTTATTCCTCGACTTTCTTAATAAACTTGCTTTCACTTTACTCTATGGACTCACCCTGGATTCCTTCTTGAGAGAGATCCAAGAACCCTCTCTTGGGGTCTGGATTGAGACCCCTTTCCTAACAGGGTCACAGCCTAAACTCATGTTGGGGTCACACTAGAACTCAAGCATTTCTGCCAGGCCCAGGGAGCAGCCCTTTCTAAGGAGCAGCTCCTGACAATAGGGAGGAGCAGACGGAGCCAAACGAGGCAAGACAGAAACGCCCCAGGTGTCAGCTGTCCCTCAGCCCTTCTCACCCTCTTAGCCTCAGATCTTCTCCCTCTGTCTACACACTCATCCTTCACATGAGGTTTTCAAGTCTGGGGACTAAAAACAGATACAGCTAATTTTATAAAAATCTTGGAGAGGCACTGGGAGTGTAAAGAAGCACTTTTGGGAAACCAACACAGAAGTGAAGCCTAGACGGGGAGGTGTGTGTGGCGGAGGGGGTGGGAGATTCTCTCCACGTCACTGCGTAACACAGGATGTCGCAGCGCTGTGTGCACCCAGGGGCCAGCACGCAGATCTCAGTGACCTTAGGGCCAGTGCAGTGCAGTGGCTTTGGCTCCAAGCGAGGACTCCGTGCCCTGCAGCACTGGCACTGGGATCTTAACTGGCATGGATGGGTGATGGCGCTAGTGACAGCCAGGAGCGCTCACACACAGCAGAGGCATTGGAAGGGGGCAGAGATACAGAAGTTGCCACACTGGTAGATGGGAATGTGTTTTTGATTACCTTTGAGATGCCTTCTGGAGAGAGTTCCAGTTTTAGGGGGGAAGCAGAGATACAGAGGTACTATAGTAGTGAGTGACAGGTGAAGCAGAGAAGCACAATCTATATATGGCACAGCTTTTTTTTTTTAATCCATAGAGAGGTATAGATTAATTGATATCATTTGCATTTCTTAGCTTGATAATTTAGAAAGATTGTTATCTTTTTAGAATATCAATGTATATGTGCACATTAAAATAAGTTATATCCATTTAACCACTACCTTTGTACTCTTACCTAATATTCACAAAAGTAATGCAGTGATGTTTTTAAGCTGAGGTGCACATCGGAATTACTAGGGAGTTGTAAAAACACATATGCCTCTATCCCACCCTTAGAAAGTCAGATTTAAAGATTTGGGATAAAGCCAAAATAGCTATAGTTAAAAAAAAATCTTTTAAGGAGATTTTAGTATTCATTTCTTTGTTGAGGACTAAGAATAAACAATCTGTACTGTTACACAATATAAAACATAGTTATATACCTATTCTATATTTAGATAATAAGGTCGATAGTCATAATAAAATGTAATAGATGAATCACAAAAAATCATAATTAATTATAACGTCTTGCATTTCTGTTGCACTTTTCATCTTTTCAAAGCACTTTAAAACCATTATCCCGATTTACTCGTATAACAATCAAGAAAGAGAGGCGTGAAGAATTATTGGGCTGTTCCTTAGAATAGAGACAGTGATGTGGACAAGGCAGTATACAAAGTATGGGCATAGAGAGAGTCTTATGGGACCAGATCCAGGTAAGTGTTATGTGAACCAGGCTTAAAGCTTAAACCAAGTTTAGAACCAGGGGTTCTAAACGCACCCCTGGCATTCAACAGAGACTGCTCAGTGCCTTGTTTGCTTTTTGTGCTCAACTCTTCTACAGGAAAATTGCAGTCATTATAGTTAACTGCCTTGTTATCCTTATGTTCTATAGTTTAAAAGTGCCCCAAACCCCCACACATTGAAGTCTCCACCTGGCACCTGCCAGGAACACCTTTGGAAATCTATTCACTTGGGTTGGACGTGGTGGGTCATGCCTGTAATCCCAGCACTTTGGGAGGCCGAGGCAGGTGGATCACGAGGTCAGGAGATCGAGACCATCCTGGCTAACACAGTGAAACCCCGTCTCTACTAAAAAAAATACAAAAAAATTAGCTGGGTGTGGTGGCAGGCACCTCTAGTCCCAGCTACTCGGGAGGCTGAGGCAGGAGAATCCCTTGAACCTGGGAGGCGGAGGTTGTAGTGAGCCGAGATCACCACTGCACTCCAGCCTGGACAACAGCAAGACTCTGTCTTAAAAAAAAAAAAAAAATCTATTCACTTGGCCGAGCATGGTGGCTCACACCTGTATTCACAGCACTTTCGGAGGCCGAGGTGGGCAGATCACCTGAGGTCAGGAGTTTGAGACCAGCCTGGCCAACATGGTGAAACCCCGTTTCTACTAAAAATAAAAAAACTGGCTGGGTGGTAGTGACTCACGCCTGTAATCCCAGCACTTTGGGAGGCTGAGGCAGGTGGATTGCTTCAGGCCAGGAGTTCAAAACCAGCCTGGTCCACATGGTGAAACCCCGTCTCTACTAAAAATACAAAAATTAGATGGGAGTCGTGGCCTGTGTCTGTGGTCCCAGCTACTTGGGAGGCTGAGGCAGGAGAATTGCTTGAACCCGGGAGATGGAGGTTGCAGCGAGCCAAGATTGTGCCACTGCACTCTAGCCTGGGCAACAGAGGGAGACTGTGTCTCAAAAAAAAAAAAAAAAAAGAAATCTATTCACTTAAGATTCCAGGCATAAGAGTTGACAATCTGGTTCTGCTTAGTGAAAACCAGCTTGCCCAGGTAACTTCCATTTTCACTAGAAAGTCCAGAACTAATTTAGGAGAGCAGCTTTGCCCACGTGAAGCATCTTAGTTCTTGTACTTTAGATAAGATTTAGAAGCATCCACAGACACATCATCTCCCATGTTAGTCGCCTGGCTGAGGAAGATACTCTTATCACAGTGCTTGCACGTTGTTGAAAATGCTCTTGTAGGATGGAAATGAAATGTGACTGTACAGATTTTGAGGTGAATATTTTTGAACTCAATATATTCATTTTCTATGAATATTTCTAAGAGAAAAAATCAACAGAGACTTTGAACAATGGATATAAAATCAGAATGTCAAAGGAATAATCATCTTTTAATCTTTTCTTTATTAAACTTTAATTGTAAAAGCATTTGGCTGAATATAATTTTGTTTTCATTATCATTAAAAAGTCATAGCATTCAATTGATATTATTTTATGTACATAAATCAACACAATCACTGATTTATTATTTGATACTTCTTTGTATAAACTGATCATTTAATAATTTTACTTCTAAGAGGAAAGGTTAATATTTCTGTAGGTTTCAGCAGTAGAGGCAGAAATGCATACACTCATATGGGGTGAGTAAAAATATGGCTTCTCTCATCTGTCCCACCAATAAGAGTTTCTGGTTCTGCTTTTAAATGCCAGGAATCTGTTTGCTTTCTTCTTCCCAGGCATCATCTTCCTGGACAACCGCACTAGCTTCCTAAGCACATTTGCGTTTCTCCATTTCCATTCTTGCTGAATCCCCTTCCCATTCACACACACAGCAGCCAAAATACTTTGACATTTAATTAATTTATTTATTTGAGATGAAGTCTTGCTCTGTCACCCAGGCTAGAGTGCAGTGGCAAGATCTTGGCTCATTGCAACCTCTGCCTCCCTGGTTCAAGTGACTCTCCTGCCTCAGCTTCCTGAGTAGCTGGGACTACAGGTGCCCGCCACCACACCCAGCTAATTTTGTATTTTTAGTGGAGACAGGGTTTTACCATGTTGGCCAGGCTGGTCTTGAACTCCTGACCTCATGTGCTCTGCCCACCTTGGCCTCCCAAAGTGCTGGGATTATAGGCATGAGCCACGGTGCCTGGCCCAAAATACTTCTTAAAAAGTGTGTAAATTAGATCACATGATTCCAGTTTCATCCAGTGGTTTCCCATTGCATTTGGGATAAGATCGAAACTCCTTGAGACCCAGAATTCTCTCTCCCTCTAATTCACTGTGCATCAGTCACGCTGGCCTTGGGGTTTCAAGACCTGCAGTCTGATCCCCATCTCTTGGCCTGAACGTCCTCAGGTCTCAGCTTAAATGGCATTTCTTTGAAGAAGCCTTCTCTGATCACTCTGCCCTGTTCTTTCAGAGCCTTTATCACAAGGTAGAGAATTGCATATCCAGGAATTTGTCTACTCACTTAACACAGCTCCATGATGGCTGGGCTTTGTTTGCTTTTGTCCAAACTTTGTCTAGAGCAATGAATGAATGAATGAATATCAGAACGTTTCAAATAAGGCTGGAACTTGGGCAATGTGTGTGATTCCGTCTTACACAACATCCCCAAATGCTGGTCCAATCATCCCCACAAGATCTCAACAGGCTACTTATAATTTTTCACCCGTATGTTCATGGTGATCCAACTCTCCTTCCCTCTGTCATGTCTTTACTTCTCATTTCTCTCAATCTTATAATGAGGACATTGCAACGATTCAGTCAATACTATTCTCTACCATCACTGTCTACAGCACAGCATTTATTTTTCATTTTTGTATTTTTACCAAAAGATGTCATGAGTGTGTATCTGACCTCTTCAGTTACAAAGTGAGAAATTGAAGACATGGTTCTCATTTTTCCTTGGCACTGAGCTCTGTGTTGAATTGAACACATGCATCCTCTCTGACATATATATAATTTTCTCCCTTCTCTTAATTTCTAGGATTGCTTTTAAATGAGGAGGCTCCAAGTTCAATTTTGCATGAAATACATATTTTTAACAAGTTGATTTTTTAACAAGTTGATATTTTTTCACATGCTGTAACCATCTGTCACTCAGTAAAGCCTAGAAATCAGACATATCAAAAACTAACCTTTTTTTTTTAAGAAGAAAATATAACCATTTTTTAAAAGACCATTATGCCCCCAGAGATTTAGGGTAATTTTGTTTTGAAGCAATACTGACCTCCTGTGGCCAGGAGAATCCTTCACTTTTTTTTTTTTTTTTTTTTTTTAAAGCAAGAGGGTTTTATTTTTTACATCCATAGAGAGGTATGGATTGACTTATTTGCATTTCTTAGCTTGCTAATTTACAAAGATTGTTATCTTTTTGGTATATCAATTTACATATGTACATTAAAATAAGTTATATCCGTTTGACCACTCTACCTTTTTACTCTTACCTAATATTCATCAAAGTGATGCAATGACTTTTTCAGCTGAGGTGCACATCGTAATTACCTAGGGAGTTGTAAAAATACATATGCCAAGAGTTTTTCTTGTAATACTTTCCCTATCATGACAGTATTTATTTTTGGCCCACAAAATTTACTGTAATTTAGTAGTGTTGATATTTTCAGTCTGTAATTCTAGTCACAAAGGCAGTACTTAGCAAAGTAACGTCTTGTTCTCTATCAATTGTGGGGCGGGGGTGGAAATGCAACCCGATGTTGTAAGACCCCGAAGTCCAGAAGATACAGTATTTCAGGTGCATTCACTCTAAGTATGCGGTTATTTCTTCCATTTGGGGCACCTTTCTCCTGTTCCTCCCATTTCTATAAACAACGCCATTTTATTAACGTCACATTTTATTTGGGGTCAGCTGCTCCTTATTTAGCTATAGCTCATTGTCCTCACCATCAATTTACATTTCAAAATACCTTACGTGTGACTCTCTCCGCCATCTGCATTTCACCACCTTTGTCTTCTGCTTCCCTGAAGATGGCGGTGGCCTCCTGGGCACCTTTTCTGCTCCTCTCCTCCTCTGCCCTCCCTGCTAGGCTCGCCCTCTCCTCTTCAGAAGCCCTCTGCCACGGATTGTCTTCTGACCAGTGGCTCCTCGTGGGTCTGTGATGATCAGGCAGAAATTGGGATAAGAGTTCAAAAATGTTTATGACAATTAGAGCAATGTTATGTATGTTTGGATCTAAGAATACAAATTTTGGCTTGTATTTTTGTAGTTGGTCTTGTTTCCACTTCGTGTTCTAGAAATTTATTTCTACCATCTATTACAGCAGCACTGGTCAGTGATGGATTGGAAGAAAACTCGCCCTTCACGACGGAAGGTTTGAGGAGCACAGCTTTACTCCTTCCTGCTGGGTTCATCCTTCCTAAGCATCCTTGTTTTGTGAATTATTCCCTTACTCAACGATTTTAATGTCTTCTCGTTTTCCATTGTATCACGTTGTATTAGTCCGTTCTCATGCTGCTAGGAAGAAATACCTGAGACTGGGTAATTTATAAAGAAAAGAGGTTTAATTGACTCAAATTCCGCGGGGCTGGGGAGACCTCAGGAAACTTACAATCATGGCAGAAGGCACCTGTTCACAGGGCTGCAGGAGAGAGGATGAGTGCCAGCAGGGGAAATGCCAGGTGCTTATAAAACCATCAGATCTCACTCACTATCATGAAAACAGCTTAGGGGAAACCACCCCCATGATTCAATTACCTCCCACAGGGTCCCTCTTGTGACACTTGGGGATTACGGGGATTACAATTCAAGGTGTGATTTTGGTGGGGACACAGCCAAACCATATCCCATGTCTAAACTCGCTGTGGAGTTTCTAGTGAATTTAACTTCAGCCCAGCTGTCCAGCCTTCTTCTTAATTCAGCTCACCAGGCTCTCCAGGGCCTTTGCTTAGGTGGAGAGGTCCGCGCATGCATGCACACAGCGTCTCCCACTCCTTTCTTAGGTTCCTGAGCCAACCCCGCCCCAGATGCCGATCCCTCTCTGTGACCCATCCAAATGGAACCATTGCTTCAACGTCCACTTCAGGTTTTTTCTCCTACGGAAGCTTCCTGCTCATCCCAAACCTTACTGGTCTTCCGGTCAGCTCAGTTCCCACGGTGGTCACCATGACAACAGGTCAGCACAGGCAGCTTGCATGGGCCGAGGGCCTCATGTGCCCCGCCCCTGTGGTCTCTGGGCAGCATCTCCGGTACTTCTCACGCCAGCCTACGAGGTAGCTGCTATTTTCACCTCCATTTTATGGATGAGGAAACTGAGACACAAGATGTTAAGTCTCATGCCATTGGTCAAAGAGGCTGTAAGGGGTGTGGAGGGGATCACAGCAGTCTTGACTGTTTTTTTGATTTCTCTGCGAGGTAGCTAATAGGAACTCTAGTTTACAGAGGAGGACATTTAAAGTTCGATGCCCTGGGCCACAGGCTGGGGAAGCATTGATTTGAACCCAGGTCACTTGTGTTAGTGTCCTTAGGCTGTGGTAACAAATCACTACAATCCAGGTGGCTTCATACAGCAGATTTATCATCTCACGGTGCTGGAGGCCAGAAGTCTGAAATCAAGGTGTTGGCAGGGTTGGTTCCATCTGGTGGCTCAGCGAGAGAATCTGTTCCACGCTTCTCCCTCTTGGAACAGCTTCTGGTGGCTGCCAGCAAGCCTCAGCATTCCTGGCCTTGTAGCTGATTCACACCCATCTCTGTGTCTGTGTTCACAGAGGTCTCCCTCTGTGACGATCTGTGCCTAAACTCCCTCTCCTTTTCGTTTATAAGGAATGCATTTAGGGCCCACTCTAAACAGAGTGATCTCATCCTCGAGATCCTTAATTACATCTGCAAAGACCCTATTTCCAAGTAATGTCACACTCACAAGCCATGGAAGTTAGGACTTGAACGTATCTTTCTGGAGGGTGTTACTCAATTTACATCAGTCTCGCTATCAAGTCCACATCCTTTCCACACTGTGCTGTTGTGCAATCACTTTGTGCCATTAAGTTTCCTATTTGATCACATACTCTCTATGCGTAGACTCAGTGTTTGACAGGCTCAGGATTTATTTAAGCTGTTGTAGTTAAGAACCATGCTTTATCCATCATCGGCAGTCCCTCAGTGCGATAAGGCATCCTCGGATGGGAGAACCTTCCAGAATTCTCCATCACAGCAAGTAGACAGTTAGGTAACATCATCTATGGATAAAGCCATTCTTATGTGTAGGCAAAAGAAAATGTATTCCTCCACACAAAAAAGGATGCCTATTGGGAGTACCGGGAAGGAACTAATAATTATTTAGCTTCCACTACATGCTAGGCCCTGTCATGCATTTTGCTTTATTCTTATTTAATTAACATTTTGTCCATTAAAGTTCAGAGCAGCAAGAAAAGAAATGAAGTACCCCAAATAGCTAAATTGTAGTTGGTTTGGGCATAGCAGGTTAGGCTAGCAAGATGGAAGAAAACAACTTTTGTGATTCATTATGAAAAACAATTATTGAAAAATAATTGAATCTTAAGGTATTGTGGGTCTTACTAATTGAATATGCTTTCATTGAAAAGACAAAAACCCAGTGCTGTGAGAGAACCTTTGTTTTTGTATTGCCATTCACCGGAAAAGCTTTTTAAACTCAATAATAAAACTGTGAATAACTTTTAGTACTAAAGTTTCAGTCATTCTTTCTTTGGTGACTTCACTTGAGGGAAGTTAAAAAAAGTGGCAGTAATTCTGAGCACAACAAAGACTTAGAATTTCAAAACTCGATTTGCATTTTAAACATTCAGGAGTAAGGACTTTTGTTTGTTTGCTTATGGTTTTTTTTACGTAGCCCTTGAGGATGCAATGTTAAAAGACAGCACTTTTAGATGAAAATGATGGGTCATGTAATTGGAGGCTGGCTGGGTTGGTGGTGGGGGTCCGCAGGAAGGACTCCCCCGGGATATTCCGCTTCGGAGTTGTTTTTAAGTGGATTGTTCCTCAAAGAGAATGAAGAGTAAATATACTTCAAGTTTAATGCTCTCTTGAAAAGCAGCAAAGATTGCTTTTTAAAATAACTAAATCTGTGATGAGGGATAAGGGAAAAGGCCTGGTATTCTCTTCTGTTTGCCCTTTGATAACTTGTTTTTGTTTGAAGCTCTGTTTTGTGGATCTATGTTCTTGAACACATTTCTGTTTTAAAATCTCTCCTCTCCTGCTGTGAATTGTCTGACTTGGTTTTGATAGTGCACTAGGCTGGAGGTTTGAGGACTATTTAGTCATGAGAATGGCCAAGGAAGGGCTGTTGTTGGTTTATCAGTAGCACCCCCTTGTGGCGATTCTATGCATTTCCTAATTCTAAGTAGCTGAAACGTTTCAAGGACAAGTTTAATTTGATTTATACACAATATTTTCTTCTATTTTTCATGTTGTTAGTTTAATTACTTTTCTCTCTTACTCTAACATTTAGTCCAGCCTAAGATCCATTCTTTCCACTTTAAATTTAGGGATGAAGCCTGTGGCTTGGAACAGACCGGGGTTCATATGAGGATTGAAGGCATTTTAATAACACTGAACACCAAGTCACTGCCAAAAGTCTGTGCCAAATCTTCGCACTTGCTTGATTTTAAACACTTGAATATTTAATTCTAAAATACACTTTTCTCAAAACAAAAGTATTTTAAATTGCTGTTATTGTTACTTAATGGTACAGTATTCCCTTTATCTTTATTCGTACTCAGAAAATAAATTCTGAGGGCTTTCTTATTAACCACTAAAACGTATACTGTGTGCAACACCTTATACAGTCTACTCAAATGCTGGATGAGATTATTTGGAAATTAAGTTGCTTGAGTGAAAATCCCATATGGGAGAGCTGCGGATACCTTAGAGCAAATTGGAGCTGCATTGGCTTTACATTTCTTTTAAAACCTCCGTATTTCAATCAGAGAACTAAAACTGAGCATTAATGCATTTCACATGGGCTGAATATCTGGTTTTGAGCTTTGCTATAACTCTAGATATTTTGGTATGGTAATTAAACTAATGTTAAAAGTGCATCTTGACAACTTCTTACTTTTTTGCCATTATAGTCTCCTATTTCTGTAACCACTTTTCCACACGCCCCTCGAGGTTTTGCCTTGTTTGAATAATTTAGATTAGGAGGTCATTCAGAGATCATTTAAAATACAATTTTGCCCAGACTACATTACATATTACTTTTGGAGGACACTAAATGAATGCTTACTTGTAGAAATAATCAGGGCGATTGGTTTAGAGGCTCAGGGCCTCATTCTTTATGAGCCTCAAATACTGCGAGTACCAGGGTTGGGGGAGTAGGGCAGTGACTCACAAGGCAGCTTCTGGGAGGAAAGAAGGAAGTCAGGTGGTGCCCACAAAAGTACTTTGCATTATACTCAATCTATTGTACTCAACTATTCTCCATGCAGAGCACATTGATCCTATGCCACTGATTGATATAGCTTCATGATTTTTATGAATGCTCCTTCCCTTATATTCCCACAGGACTGATTTTGTTGACTTTTTAAAAATTCAATTTCATACATTGGGGAAGTCCATAGTGTGATTTGTGCTAGTGGGCTTTGATTATTTTCAAAACTTAAATCCTATATTTAAAAGAACTTTCTACGAGTGTTTTTGAAAAGTATATGTATATATATATATATATATATATATATATATATATATATACACACACACATTTAATACATATGTATATATGTATTACGTATACATATACATATATACATATGTATATATGTATTACGTATACATATACATATATACATATGTATATATGTATTACGTATACATATACATATATACATATGTATTAAATCCTGGGGCCTGATAAAATAAATTTAGGTATTTTTAACTAATTAGAAGAGGAAGGTATCTGAGGCAGGAAAATAGGGTATAGAGGCGGGGAACATAAGGGCGATTCACACTTCAGCTATGACAGGAAATATTCTATCCAGTTACATAAGGCGTAGGCTGAGTAAATGACTTTATTACTTTACTTCATCCTCTTCATTTACATAGGGCGAACACCAAGTAACCAGTGGAAACCTCTAGAGGGCATTTAAACCCCCCACAATTTTGTAACGGGGCCCTTGAGCCTCTGTGCTTGGGCCCACTCCTGCACTGTGGAGTGTACTTTCATGTTCAATAGATCTCTGCTTTTGTTGCTTCATTCTTTCCTTGCTTTGTTTGTGCGTTTTGTCCAATTCTTTGTTCAAGACGCCAAGAACCTGGACATCCTCCACTGATAACAGTATCAGGGACATGGGCTGTGCTTATTCATATACATTTGTCAATGGTTGGAGGCTACTGCCCACCTCTGTGATCACTCTGGAGAAGAGAATCTTGAAGATAATTGTAATTTGGATTCCCTTCACTCCAAAGTACTGTCTTGTCTTGAATTGGGACTTTAAAGAGGCAATGGAGAGGATGCATTGAGAATGACCAAACTGTAATCACATAAGGAGCTTAACAGCACTCTGCTCTATACCTTTCTCTCTTTTTAGGCAGGTTCTGGCATCAAAATGTCTGGATTTTAATTCAGCGTGCCGTTTACTACCTCGATCAGTTATGTTGCTATGTAACAAATTACCCCAAAACTTAACAGCCCAAAACAGCATACTGTTTTGGAGAGAGAGGATTCCTGTGGCTCAGGAATCCAGGTGTAGTTTCCTTGGGTCCTCTTCTGGCTCAGGGTGTCTCACAAGGCTGCAGTCAAAGTGTCAGCTTGGGCTCTGGCTTCATCTGACGGCTCAGCAGGGGGAGAATCCACTGAGAGACTCACTCAAGTGGCTGTTGGCAGGCCTCAGGTCAGGTTGGCCAGAGACATCAGTTTCTTGTCACATGGGGTGCTCCACTGAGCAGCTCTCAACATGGTAGCTGGCTTCTCCCAGAGTGCGTGAGAAAGGGAGTGAGGGTGAACAAAGACCGTCAGAAAGGTAGAAGTTAGAGCCTTTTTGTAACCTAATCTTAAAAGTGATATCCCATTACTTTTACCACATTTCATTTGTTAAACGTGCGGCACTAGGTCCAGCTCACATTCAACAGAAGGCAATAGCGGGATGCCGGGGGTCCTGAGGACACCTCAGAGGCTGCCGACCACACTACCAGGGTCATTGTCTCTGTCACTAATGTCTCTGGTATTGGGTTCTCTTGTGTCAAATGACTAAAATAATGATTCCTACTTTAGTGAGCACTGAATAACCTAATAAGACACTTAGAGCTGTACCTGGCCTATAGTTAGAGGCCAATTAAATTGTGGTGTTAACAACATCCCCATTTTATAAAGGAAGAAGTAAGATTACACTGAATTTACGGGACTTATCTGGAGTCCTGCAACTCAGAAGGAAGGAGGCTGCTGGGATGTGAACCCAGGGCTGCCTGACTCCAAAGCCCATTGCCTTAACCACTGTTCTGTCCTAATCACCACGGAGGCTTGGATGCGATTCCATCTCCATATGTGTAACAGGTAGTCAGAGTTGCATTCCTACTTGAATATTGTTTTCATCAATGACTTCTGTGTGGATAAGGCCACCAGCCAACTTCCTTTCTTTATCAAATTTGAGAGGCTGGGCGCAGTGGCTCAGGCCTGTAATCCCAGCACTTTGGGAGGCTGAGATGGGTGGATCACCCGAGGTCAGGGGTTCAAGACTAGCCTGGCCAACATGCCAAAACTCCGTCTCTACTAAAAAAATACAAAAATTAGCCGAGTGTGGTGGTGGGCGCCTGTAGTCCCAGCTACTCAGGAGGCAGAGGCAGGGTGAATTGCTTGAACCCAGGAGGCGGGGCTTGCAGTGAGCCGAGATCGCACCATTGCACTCCAGTCTGGGCAACAGAGCGAGACTCTGTCTCAAAAAAAAAAAAAAAATTTGATTTGATTTGTCAGTGTTAATTAGCGCAGCTGACTTACCTGCTGCCTTGGGAAACATTTCGGTTTTCCTAGTACTGTCTTTTTCTTCATCTCTCTGGCCTCTAAATGTTGAAGTACTTTTGGCTCAATCCTTGGGCTTCCCTTTTTTAAAATCTGTGCTCCTTCTTGCTGCTGCGATACAGTCTCACGGATTTAAATATAATCTTTCTGAAAATGACTCCCAAGTTTATAATTTAAGTCCAGGTCTATCTCTTGATTTTCATACATGCTTATCCAGCTGCCTACTAGGATCTCTGCTCGGGTGATCTCCACTCGTCTAACGTGTCTAAATCGTGTCATGTTCAAAATGAATTCCTGGTCTTCCTGCTGAAAGCTTTCAGTTTATTTTTCCATGTTTTTTATTTTTTTCTTCATTGCTTTTAGCACCTTCTCACATATTACATATTTTGCATTTAAACAAATTTTTAACTTATTTTTATTAATATATTTCACTCATGTTTACTATTGCTTGTCTCTACTCCTGGAATACAAGCCCCATGAGGGCCAGGAGTTTGTTTGTTTGTTTTCCTGTTTTGAGCAATATTATGTCTTATTTAAGTACCTGGATATGGCTGACCATATAGCACCAGTCAATAAATATTTGTTAAATGATTAAATGCAGAAACAAAAAAGATGAGTTCCATAACATCAGTGAAATGTGCTTTGGAGAAAGAAATCATAGCCCCGTTCTTGTTTTTGGTGCATAATCGGAAGCTGGAACTCCGTGTCTCCTCTCTCACCCCATTTTAAAACAATAGCTCTAAACAATATATCTGAATATGCCACTGAAGAAATGTCACTAGGTGGAGTAACTCTAAAAATTGGGGGCCTCTCAGTGGGTGGCCGAAAACCATCAACAGGTGGGAAGGTAAGTCCTGCTTCCCATGCACCAGGCTGGCTCTAGTAACTTCCATAAACAGAGGACGTGGGAAGGGGAGGTGGGCAGGAAATTGGGAGCAGAGCAAGAGATGACAGGAAAGTGAGAAAAAGATTGGTTTTTATTGATTGAAGAACTAGAATTATTGAATAAATGTACAGAGCAACGTGAGAATCAGGCTTCTTGGTGGTGCTCATTTAAAAATAAGAGTAAATTACTCCATTCAACAAAAATGCTTTACATATAGAAAAAAAGTCCAGCAAATTGAACAGAGCTTTTTTCATTCTTCTTGTGAAAGGTCAGGGCAGTTCTAATTCCAATGTCCAATTACCAGGCATAATCAGCACAGCAAAGTAGAATCAACTCAATTTCAATCTCAGGCATTTGTCTCACCTTTAGCTGGCTTTGGTATGACTCACTGCAATTTTCTCATCAAAAAGCTAATTTTAGGAGCAAAATGTCAAGAAAAGATGAAAAAGGAGAGCCTGGTTTTACAGAGCCTGGGATTTTAAAAAAAATCAGGGCTGCACTCATAAGCTACTTGTCAAATCAGTCACCCACCGAGGCCTCTATGATGCGATGGCCGGGATCCAAGGGAATAGAAAGTAAGGCAGAAAGAGAAACAAGTTTGTCCCATTCTCTAGTCTCAAATGTAGGAGGACGTTCTGTTCCAGACGGTCCTAAATTTTAACCTGACTTGATGATTTTTGAACAAATTCCAGTTGCGTGAGCAGACTTGACAAAATGAACAGCGAGTTGGTGGCCCCTTGGGCAGCTGCAGTTGTCTCCTTAAAAACAACAACAACAGCAACAAAAACCAAAAAACAAAGCCATTATTCCAAGTGAAGTAACTCAGGAGTGGAAAACCAAGCATGGTATGTTCTCACTTATAAGAGGCGGCTAAGCTATAAGGATGCAAAGGCATAAGAATGATATAATGGATTTTGGGGACTTGTGGGGAAAGGATAGGATGGGGTGAGGGATAAAAGACTACATTTTCGGTACAGTGTACACTGCTTGGGTGACGGGTGCACCAAAATCTCAGAGATCACCACTGAAAAACTTATTCACATAACAAAAAACCACCTATACCCCCCAAAACTATTGAAATTAAAATAGAAATTAGGCCGGGCGTGGTGGCACATGCTTGTAATCCCAGCACTCTGGGAGGCCGAGGCGGGCAGATCACTTGAGGTCAGGAGTTCGAGACCAGCCTGGTGAACATGGTGAAACCCCATGTCTACTAAAAATACAGAAATTAGCCAGGCGTGGTGGCACATGCCTGTAATCCCAGCTACTCGGGAGGTTGAGGAGGAGAACCTCTTGAATCCAAGAGGCAGAGGTTGCAGTGAGCTGAGATCGTGCCACTGCACTCCAGCCTGGGTGACAGAGTGACATCTGTCTCCAAAAAAAAAAAAAGGAAATTAAAATAAAACTTTTATTTTTATTTTATAAAAATAAAACTTTTATTTTTATTTTATAAAAATAAAACTTTTATTTTTAAAAATAAAACTTTTATTTTTAAAAATAAAACTTTTATTTTTATTTTATAAAAATAAAAGTTTTATTTTCATTTTATAAAAATAAAACTTTTATTTTCATTTTATAAAAATAAAACTTTTATTTTCATTTTATAAAAATAAAACTTTTATTTTTATTTTATAAAAATAAAACTTTTATTTTTATTTTATAAAAATAAAACTTTTATTTTTATTTTATAAAAATAAAACTTTTATTTTTATTTTATAAAAATAAAACCCAAAATTCTTTGTAAGGGAAACCTATGAAAGGAGGGAAAAAATAGATTTTTCTAGGCTATTTCCACTTTTTTTTTTTTTTTTGTAGAGCTAGGGTCTCATGTTGTCACCCAGGCTGGAGTGAAAGGCAGTGGCACCATCAGAACTCACTGCAGACTCGACCTCCCAGGCTGAACCAGGCTCTCACCTCAGCCTTCTGGGTAGCTAGGACCACAGCCGTGTGCCACCATGCACAGTTAATTTTAAAACAATTTTTTTTTGTAGAGATGGGGTCTCACTATGTTGTCCAGGCTGATCTCAAATTCCTGGACTCAAGTGATCTTCCTGCCCTGGACTCGCAAAAGTGCTGGGATTATAGTCAGGAGCCACCGTGCCCAAGCATTTTTCTATTTTTTGCTACAAGAAAAGGAGTGCCTGTTTAGTTCCCTGAGTGATTATAATGAAACTGTCAACAAGTTCTGTGTCCATTCAACGTTGCCGGGTCTCCAGTGTGGGGTGGCCTCCCCGAGGCTCTTCGCCTGTGCTCTGGCGTCAGCAGCACTCTTTCTGGTAACATATTCTCTGGGTCCACACCAACTCCCTTCTGCTGCAATTCTGGAAAAGCCTATTTATGAAATCCATATGAAAATTACAGAACAGTTAGTTATCCCATCACCTTTCATGGTCTTGAAAAGTCAGACTTCTAATCTAGGAGCCACAGGGCCTATCCTTTGAGTGCTTGTGTCTTTCTGGTCTTTCACCACATTTGCTCTCCTGCCTGACTCTGTGTTGCGTCTGCCCTTGACTATGAGCAAGGATAGGAGCTGCCCTCGACTGTTACGTATTTTTGCCACATTATTTCACAAAATGATTTTTACTTACCACTAATCTATTCTGTGGAGGTGCCAGAGAATGGCAATTTTTAAAAAATCCAAACATTTAATTTTAAAAGCATTTGAGACATTTAAAATTCATGTTATTTCTTTGGCAAAGTCTTTCCCTTTGCAAAGGTGATCCCAAACCCAGGATGTGGTCAGCAGAGCTCTTACTGATTCCTTTTCCTGGAAAAGGCTTTCTCCTCTAGGAAGGCGTGTTCATGTGTGCCTATGTGGGTGGCTGTGTTGATTTTGGGGTCGGGTGGTGTGTGGGGAGGAGATTGCCTGTGTACTTTGCCTTTCTGAGTTTCTCCAGAGTGTGTGAGACAATAATCAGACAAGGGGATTCACCATAGCTTTCAGTCCTTTAAAATTATCTATATAACAGAATACGTTTATAGTCTATGAATTCATTGTTTCTTTGAGGAAAAGGGAAGCAGCCAGTCCCATGGCTTATTGTTTTAGAGAATGTTTTACTGCCATGACAAAGCTAAACGGAAAAGAAATTTGTCTTTTGTGAAGAGATGAAACTTATACCTTAAACACAAACACCCAACCTTGCCAGCTTTATATTCTTATTGCTCAGACATTTTCTCATAGAGTTGGGGATGTTTCACTTTGAAATGGAAACTTATATAATCCCCCCTCCCAAGAATTGTTTCCCTGAACCTCACACCATGATGCATTATTTACGATATGGGTTAAGAAATGAATGCCATTCATCCTGCTTCAATGAGTTCAACATGTTTTAGCATAAAGTGCCAAGGACAGAGATACTTTTGGTGGGAGAAAATCTGAAAGCATACTGAGCTATTTTGCCAATTATTTCCCCAAACTCATTTGTTTTCCATGAATTCAAGGATATTTTGAGTTAGAAATAAAATAAAACAACATCGGAGTAATATACTAAATGGATTAAAAAACCAAACAAAAAGTGAGAAAGTATTTGACACCAATTTAATAGACCAAGTGTGGGTTGCCTCAATATGGAAAAACTCGTATAAATTGACTAAAACTTCACCTTAGTCTTACTGCTCTTTCTACAATGATAAATTGCATAACTGGATCAAGTTGTGGATTCTCTCACCCCCAAATATTAGATGTTTTTGCAGATGAGCAAACTAAGACCTGGACGCCTTTTCTCACCATCACCAGATTAGTTAGTGGCCGTTTAGGGGGACCTCAGACATGTGGCTGCATAGTGTCATTGTCATCGGAGAGCTGCAACTCTCCCTGCGCCTTAACGGTCCTCTCCTGCTCATGACTGAAATGCTATTGTCCTCATTGTTCATGCCAAGCATGACCTTGTCTGGCCCCTTCTTTTCCCATGCAACTATCGGGATGCCCAACAGCATTTTAAGAGGATTTGTGTGAATCAGTGGGTGAGGCCAAGAAGGCTAGAAAATATTAGAGTGCCAGCTGTGAGTAGTGGCTAGATGTAAGAAGAAGGAGAACAATTTTTAAAACTTGAGAATATAAAAATGAATTGCCGCCATTCATAACTTTGATTATAGATGGGCCTTGCACTATTGATGTCAATGACAAGTCATGTCTAAAGTGTCAAAATCTCTCATGAAGGAAAAAGCGAGAGGTAATAATTATTTTTTTTTGGTCTCAGAAAAGTTTAAAGATGTGACCATTTGAGGCAGATTGATTTCAATTGTTGTTTTTCAATCCACTCTTAATTTAAAATGAAGACTCCTTCCAAGGGTGGTGTGAGAAATCCACTGAATAAATTGTAGGATCAGAGCAGCTTTCTTTTAGCGTATTATTCCTAGTTAACAAATTAGGAGATCTTGGCCATATTAACGCTCAAACATTATTCTAATGAAAACGTTCAGATAGTTCTTAGTACTAAGAACCTACAAATAAATAAAGAATCCCCAGCTTGTTGCCTTGGAAAATTTGATTTTAATGAACAGACGTAGCTCAGAATGTCTGTTATTAGCATACAAACACTCCTAGGTTCTTTTCTTTTGAAATATGCCTTCATTTACAAAAGTTTAATGTTTTAATATGAAAATCCTACATTAAATCTTCATCAGCATTAATAAATCACTAGATCTTTTAATACCAGGCAAGGCACTGAAGAAATGCAGCATATAATACTTACAAGATTTTTCTTCTTTTTGTGTGCTTTTGAAAAATTCCTGTGAAAAGTATATTCAAAATAAAATGTTATACATCTGTATGACGCTTTTTAGTAACCCAAATATTTGCATTATATTACATCACTTGGTCCTTACAACACCACCATATGTCTTGGAAGGAAAAAGGGGTATATCGCTTTACAGGTGAGGACTTGGTCAAGGGTACGTGAGTAGAAAGTGGACATTCAAGGTTTTGCATGAAGGTTTTTATAGAGCCTCGTTCCGTATTCTTCCCATGACATTATGGTGATGCTTTTACACTTTTATCCATAAACTCTCTTTATTTGTTTGCAAAGTATTCATGGTGTTGGAGTGCTTGTCCCTCTTGGGGATATATGTTGTGGCTTCCCCTTGGATCTCAAACCGTGTAAGTACAAACAATACCACGTGTTCTGTTCTCTTGTCCCCGTCCCTGTGTTCAAGGTAGCAATCAATCACTGTGAATTAGTAGTAATTCCAATTTTATCTGGAACATTTTTACAGTACTGCGAGCCTATGAAAAAAGTAAAATAGTAAAAAAAAAAAAAAAATTAGAGACTGGTAAAGTTTTATTTTATCTGCAAGTCTGTCATAAAAAGTGTACTTTGGCTTCCGGTACTCCCTTCTCCCAGGAATGAGCAATTTACGTGCATTCAGTTTTTGTGGAGGTGACCATTTTCCTTTGAAAACGGCCCAGTCTATTTATTTTAGCACTTGGTTTGGGGACGGGTATTAAATTCCGTTGCTGGCATCGCGCCAAGACAGTAGGCCAGCAGAGGCCGCTGGGCTGAAGCCTGCAGGGGTGCCTCCTCTGCCGGATCTGGCCAAGCCTCCTGCCAGTCGAGGCCCTTTACCTTCCAGTCACACCAAGAACTAAAACAGGATCAGCCAAAGGTACAATGTTTTCCCAAAGCGTTAAAAATCGATGCTTGGCTTGAAATACAGTCTGGTCTTTGATATGGTGTGTGTGTATGTGTGTATGTGGTGTGTGGGTGTGTATGTGTAGGCTGTGTGTGGGGTGTGTGGTGTGTGTGTATGTGTGTTTGTGGTGTGTATGTGGTGTGTGGCTGTGTGTGTGTGTACATGGGGTGTGTGTGTGTGTGTGTGTGAGAGGGAGAGAGTAAATGAGGAAGAGTCTCCACTTATTCTTTATGCCTTTATTCATAAGCTGAAGTTAGGCTCGGACTAATGATGATTATTATAATAGATCCCGCTATTTTTATACTGCTTTATGGTTTAAAACACATACGGGTTGAGCATCCCTAATTCAAAGCTCTGAAATCTGAAATGCTTCAGAATTGGAAAGGTTTTGGGCCCCGACATGTTGCCACAAGTGGAAAATTCCACGCTTGCTTCCTTTACTTTCCAGTGATTCAAAGGACACAAACTTTGTTGTATGAACAAAATTATTTAAAAATACTGTATAAAGTTATCTTCAGCCTATGTATACAAAATGTATATGTATTTTATTTTTATACTTGGGTCCCATCCCCAAGATATCTCATTGTATATATGCAGATATTCCAAAATCCAAAACAGTTCTCATCCCAAGCATTTCAGATAAGGGATATTCAGCCTATGGTAATGTGTGAGATCTGTGTAACTAGTTTGGGTGGCCAGGTTGGTCACTTAATTATAGGACTGACTGGAGACCTGGAACAAGGTCCCCTATATCAGGGGTCCCCAAGTCCCGGGCCACAGACCGGTACCGGTCCATGGGCCGTTAGGAACAGGCTGCACAGCAGGAGGTGAGCAACGGGTGAGTGAGCATTACCACCCGAGCTCCATCTCCCGTCAGATCAGCGATGGCACTAGACTCTCACAGCAGTGCGAACCCTATTGTGAACTGGACATGCGAGGGATCTAGGCTGGGTGCTCCTTATGAGAGTCTAATTAATGCTTGATGATCTGAGGTGGAACAGTTTCATTCCTAAATCATCCCCCTCAACCCCTGTCTATGGAAAAATTGTCTTCCATAAACCTGGTCCCTGGTACCAAAAAGGTTGGGGACCACTGCCCTATATGAAATCACATTCCTTTCTGGCCCCGACCAACTCCCTCCTGCATTCCTAGTCCTTCTAAATTTGTTCTACATTTTGTTTCTTCCCTAGCACTTACCACCTTCTGGTATGCTGTATAATTTATTGATGTGTTATGTAGGTTGTCTGTCTCTCCCTCACAAGGATGTAAGATCCACAAGAGCAGGGGTCTTGCTTTGTTTTATTCACTGATGTATGTCAAGCACTCTGACCAGTGCTTGCCACAGGACACTCAATAGGCAATTGATTGAATGAGTAAAAACCCAACAGAAAAGAAAAGAAGGATTCTTAGCCCAGTATGGAAGTAAAGGGTTATAACTTCTTAAGACGGATGTGAGGCAGAGAAGGGAGGTGGGAGTTGTCCCAGCAGTCCACAGACCTCTGGAAAAACTGGATCTTTCCTGCATGGATCAAGAGAGAAGCAACTCTTTGAACAGTGGGTCTTAATAGTTCAACTGCTACAACATAGACTGGGACAATCCATGTGCAACTCCATAATTTGGTGAGCAGGCCTGAGCTGGGTGTTTTTTTTTTTTTTTGTATGTTTTTGTTTTAAAAGAATATATAGGCATTGGCCGGGCTCAGTGGCTCACACCTGTAATCCCAGCACTTTGGGAGGCTGAGGCGGGCAGATCACAAGGTCAGGAGATCGAGACCATCCTGGCTAACATGGTGAAACACCGTCTCTGCTAAAAATACAAAAAAAAATAGCCGGGCGTGGTGGCGGGTGCCTATAGTCCCACCTACTTGGGAGGCTGAGGCAGGAGAATGGTACGAACCCGGGAGGCAGAGCTTGCAGTGAGCTGAGATCGTGCCACGGCACTCCAGCCTGAGCGACAGAGCAAGACTCCATCTCAAAAAAAAAAAAAAAAAAAAAAAAAATATATATATATATATATATATATACACATACAGGCATTAAGGGACTGGAAGGGGAATCCAAGAAGGAATAATCCATCTATCCTTTCACAATATATTGCTAAAACCCAGTCACAATGCTAGCTTTAACCATAGCATTTATTCTTATTTCCAAACTTCTAAATTATAACAAAGTTCATTTTGCCAGGTCTATATTTAAAATCTATAGGTTTTAAATAATTTAAGAAAAGGTAAAAAAAAGAGTGGCAAGTGTAAAGTAGATCTATATATCAAAAGGGCATGATTCTGGAAAGCCCTAGTGCTATATAAGTGGGCTTGTTAATAATAGATATGTGTTTCGCTTGGAAACTAAGGATCAGAGGATGCTGGTAATTTATTCAAAGACACAGTTACTAGTTGGTAAAACACTGAACTTCTAGTTCAAAGGTTTTTCCAAAGAAGTGGTTTGAATCAGAGGTGCAGTCATTATTCAAATGTCATTGACTATACAAATAAAAGGGATCTTGATGATCAACTGATGTTATTTCCTTATTTTACAAATTAGGACACCTGATCACTGATACGATTTTGCCATGTCCCCACCCAAATCTCACTTTGAATTCTTTTTTTTTTTTTACCTTTTTTTCTTTTCTGTTTGTTCCCATAATCCTCATGTGTTGTGGGAGGGAACCAGTGGGAGGTGATTGAATCATGAGGGTAGTTACCCCCTTACTGTTCTCATGACAGTGAGTGAGTTCTCACGAGATCTGATGGTTTTGTAAGGGGCTTCTCCCCCTTTGCTTGGCACTTCTCTCTCCTGCTGCTATGTGAACAAGGACGTATTTACTTCCCATTCCGCCATGATTGTAAGTTTCCTGAGGCCTTCCCAGCCATATGGAACTGTGAGTCAATTAAACCTCTTTCCTTTATAAATTACCCAGTCTTGGGTATTTCTTCGTAGCAGCATGAGAACCAAGTAATACAGTCGCTGTATTAGTCTGGGTTCTCCAGAGAAAAAAAAGAATGCTTACGTTTTACTTCATTTTGATGGAAATAGTCATCCTTAACTTTTATATATCTAATTCCTCTAGCAGAGTATACTTAATATAATTTTTATATGAAGAAAATATACTGCAGCGTATGTAAAATTCCTGAAATCAAAACAGTTAAAGCCAGTTAAGGAAGGGCCTTCTAATCTAGCGGGCCTTAACCATGGCTGCACGTTGCAGTCACCTGGGGGCTGTGAAAACTACTGATGCCTGGGTCTCACCTTCAGAGGGTCTGATTTAATTGGTCTGTCATGTGGCCAGGGCATAGTGGGTTTTAAATGCTCCCCAGGTGATTGTAATGTACAGCCAAGATTGAAAACCGCTGTTCTAAATAGAAGGCCCGAAACAAAGACTAGGGATCGTCAATGTTAAAATGCAAAATATAATTAGGAGCAGCCCCTTGGAGAATGACTTCTTTTCTTAATTCAATACTTTTGATGTACACATGACTTCTATTAGTATGAGTTTTGTTAGAAATCAACCAACCCAACCACAATGAAACACCCCTATATGCAGGGAGATTGTCTTTCCAAAGGTGTAGCTGTCGGGTTGTGAGAGAGTGAGAATTTCCTCGAGGTCTGAAACTACACCTGTGTGTTTTTTCTACTTCTCTGGGCTGTGTCAGACACAAGCTTGAAAGATGTGTGAGCATACTCCCTTTTCACTGCATGAACTGAGGGGAAAAGGCACTGGGCCTCGGTGGAGAAGGAAGGAGAAGGCAGGGGGTGGCTCATCTGCTAAGGCCAAGTATTAACTGGGCGTAGATAAGAAATTAGTACATGATGAAAGAAGAATTGGAATAGGGATGGGAGAGGGTGGCTCTTGGATCAATCCAGTGGTACAAGACATCAATGATGCCAATCTCAGATTGCAAGCCAAGCTCTTGTGGAGGTCTATGTTCAAGTGGACCGTGTGAGCCTCCAGCTCTACTACCTTCTCCTTGGAAGTGGCTCGAGTTAGTTACCAGACAGGCAGGCTCCACGTTAACTGGAATCCTTAGGCATGATTTGTATCCAGTTCTGACAATGGGGGTAAATAGGACAAAGGAAAGTTTCCGGGTCCTTTAGATGGGGCAACCCTCTGAGAGGCTCAGGCCTATTTTCCTTAGGTGGAGGACAAATGCAACTAATTATACATCTGGTCACAAAACTTTTAGAGATTGAGTTATACCCTCACAGTGGTGTACATTTATGACCGTTTACTTGAGGATGTGGAGAGGGGGAGGGTGAAAGTGCTCTTCCTAATACCATGTGCATGAAAGGGCCACTGATAACTGGCATCTGCTCCCATACACATTGTTCAAGGGACTGCCTCCCTGCAAGCTCTCAAACTGGGCAGAGACATTTCATCATTCCCTGGTGATCCTAAGAAGAATAGCTCTTTGTTCTTTAACAGAGTCAGAATAAAGTAAAATGATGGAGATTCAAAACTACAATTTTGTAAGTATACATTAGCATGCATACTAATGATAAAGATAAGTTATCTTTATTTAAAATCCATTTTGCAGGCTGAGATGTTTTCCCCAATTTCCCATAAGAATTTTTATTGAAATTTGGTCTGAATGATAAAGCAGGAAAGATTTTATTTTCTCTCCAGCTGATTCTGATGGAGGTAAAACAAAATGCCTATATGTTTATACCTGACATGAACTGAGAATTCCCCTGAGAGTCATAGATGGTTTGCTAAACTTTGGTCGTCAGGAAATCCTAGAATGCCACCTTATTCCGAAATAGTTTGCTATTGATGACCACTATAATATCATAAGAGTTGGTGATAGTGAATGGTCAGTTTGTCAAGAGGTCCTGGCCAATGGAAGGGAAGCTGCTTCCCTTATTTAAGTCCCCACTGTAAGATACAGATGGAGTCTGGCACAGCTCCAGGTGTAATTACAAGACTTGATTCAGTTAGGGGCCTGAATGGAAGAGAAGGTGAAGCTTGTCTGCGGTCTGGAGTCAAAGTAGCGAATTCCCAGAAAGCTCTGATTCAATTAAGTGGGGGAGGCCTCTGCCAGTTCCTGTTCTGTTATTGCATTTTTAAGGCTCCTGTCCACAGCAGAATGCCTGCTGGCAGTTACAGTTGATAAACTAAGTAGGAGTTTCCTGCTCCAGAGGGAGTGAAGGCACTGGCAGCCACCACTGGCAGCTGGAACTCCCAAGCTACTCCACGACGCGGGAGGTTGCCTGGCAGTCAGTTTTGATGACCAGGCCTAGGAGCCACTCTCAAATCCAATTCTCCCTACTTTTGAACCGATTCAGAAGACTCGGAGACCTTGGTAAGTTTGATCTTAACGATGGCAGGACTCCTTGGGAAAATATCTTTGGCATGTAAAACACTGGCAAATAGAACAGGGAATGGTCATTTAAATGCTGGTCACATTGCACTGATATCGATTTGAAAATAAAAAGAGGATTACAGCTCTCAGGATTAGGGTAGGATTGATTAATGTAGTTCTTTCTTCAACACCAAAGACACAAATGTCCTGAAGGAAAAATTGATGCTCACTTAGAAAAATAAAGCTAATAATTCCATAGAATTATAATTCTCATAAGGAGATCATCTTTTGTGTCCCAGATGATTTAGAAGAACTGCATTCCCCGATCAGCTTCTGTTCATGGTTAATGGAAACGTTTTTTAAACTGCCACTAATGGCAACAAGGCAGCCCTAATTTAAAGAGCACTGCATTCTGGTTGATGAGCAATATCAGAGTTAGGGAAGTAAGTTTCATGTTTTCGACTCAGAGTTACCGATGAAATACTAGCTTGGAAGTGTTCCTGGTTATTAACCTTTGAAGAAAGGAAGCTCATCAACATTTTATTAAACCTATTTTCTGTAATGTGGCCATCTTATTTACTAATCATCGTTCAGCTTACGCATTTTACTGCAGGCAAATGTTGAGGCGCATTTTGTGTCTATTCTCTTCTCCATCTTAACAAGCAATCATCACTGATATTTGAGATGTTAAAGTCTACAGAGAGAAAGAAATATTGTAGTCTAAAATCTCTATTATTTTTGGAACTAGCCTCTAGATTAAAGAACAAAAGATGGTATCAATTTATAGGCTTTTTTTTGTTTTTTTGAGATGGAGTCTTACTCTGTCACCCGGGTGGGAGTGCAGTGGCATGATCTCAGCTCACTGCAACCTCGATCTCCTAGGCTCAAGCGATCCTCCCACCTCAGCCTCCCAAGTAGCTAGGACCACAGGTGTGTGCAACCACATCTGGCTAATTTTTCATATTTTTGGTAGAGATAGGGTTTCACTATGTTGCCTGGACTGGTCTTGAACTCCTAAGCTCAGGCGATCCACCTGCCTCGGCCTCCCAAAGTGCTGGGATTACAGGCACGAGCCACCACACCCAGCCTAGGCACCATTCTTGATTAAGATTCTAACTGTAGAAGTTCAGGAACCTGAATCTTGAAACATGTGGTCAGTAATTATGGGGGTAATACGGAGAGGGAACACGCATGTTGGGGCAAACTGAAGAAAGCACCCCTGAGCAGAATCATATGGGACCACTGGTATCATAAACCAATGTGTAACATTTTGAACTTTGGAACCAGACAGACTTGGGTTCAAATTTTGCTGCCACTGTATGTGTAGTGGCTGTGTGACCCTTAGTAAATTACTCAATCTCACTAATCCTCAGTTTCCCAATCCCTAAAATGGGGACAATGAAAGTGTCAACATTATAAGATAACTTTGAGGATTAAAGGATAATGTTCCTGGCAAACAGTATGTTCTCAATAAATGTGTGCAATTCTTGGGGGCTGTTATTGGATGTCAAAATGATGGGTCTGAGGAAGTAGGCATCAGGCAGAAGAATATCTATTTTTGACAAGGACTGGTTCTTATAGCCTTTGTTTCCAAGACATTTTAAGAGAGGATTCAGAAGGAACTTGCCCTAGACACATGTGGGCCTAAGTAGAATATGAGTTTTATTGACTCAAGGATAGCAGGGTGTAATTTATGGATTGAGTCAAATTTGATCACTGGTATATTCATCAGCATATCATAAAAGAAAGTCTTGCATTGGCATGACACTCTTCCACCATTTTTTTTCTCTCCTGCATTGTTGGTGCTGACTCTCCCTTGGGTTCCAGCTATTGTAATTTAGGTTTTCTCTAGGAAGATTAAGGTTGTGCTGAGAGTTGGTGGGGGGAATGAGATGAGCATTCCTGGCAGAGAGAACAGTATGAGCGAAAACACAGAGACATGATTTACGGAAGGTGAAAACCACTAAGTGGTAGAATGAGATGGATAATGTGTGTCTCAGCTGATGAAGGGTGACTGAAGAAATGAATTGTATATGTTGTATACAATGCCTTCTTTTTCCCCAGAATCCTTCTTGTTAGGTCCTTATTTTCAATTTTCTCGACATCAAGAATGATTTATTTGTGATGCTCAATTAATTTGCAATTGAATCCAATCAATTCATTGATTCAATTAATATTTATTGAGGTTTTACTGGGTAGATTGTATTATAAATACTTATGTATTGCAAAAATGAGTAAGATGATAGATAATGTTATTTAATAAAGATGATAAACCATATATACAAATGATAGTGACGGACCCAATCATATTTTTACCTTCAAACAGGGATTTTAACTAGTGGGTTTAAGTAGGATGGTTGCATTCCATTCAAAGAAGAAAGACTCGCCAGGCAGTGATGAGTATTTACAAAAATATTCAACATTATTACATGAATTTATACTCAGAAGCTAAACATTGTTATTATGTTTATCAAAAGGGAACATGGGTTAAAAATTGAGAAACTAGCATTGTTATGGGTCTGAAAGTTTGAAAACATTTTTGTTTTCAGTTTCATTGAATTTCCACAACACACATGGTACTTCCATTTCATAAATGAATAAGTCACAGCCCAAATAGGTTAAGCAAGTTTTTCAAAACACAGATAATAAATGATAGGGATAGCACTTACCCCAGAGCTTCTGATGCCAAAGTGTGGGTTCCTTTTACAAAACCCATCACACAACTTCCTAAGTGGTACACATTCATATTCATGTTTGAATTGAGAGGATGTCACAAAGATCAGGGCATCTGACAGGATAGTAGTAGAAGGTAGTCTGAGGTAGTGGAAACTGAAGCGGTGATGGGAGAACTACAAGCAGAGAGCAGGACAGGACATGAAGAAATGTACAATCAGAAATATCTGGGGAGTGATGGGAGAATGTTTTAACTTGGCTGGTGTTTGTAGAGACATAGTGAGAGATAAGAGCAGATGGGAGCTTGTGGCTCAAGTTAATCTAGGGAAGCAGGGGCAATTTTTGAAAAGAGAATCAACAATCATCATGACATTTTAAGAAGGCAAATATGTCAGTGTTGCATGGGATAGATTCCATAAGGGGGGCATTTTTAGATGACAAAATATCCCCTGAAGGTCTTAGCTAATGGTAATAGAAAAGGAGAAACATTGTGAGTATTATCCAAATGCCCACCTGGCCTTGCCCGTGGATTGCTGAGAGGCCTCTCAAACAGGATATTTCCACCAACCTCTCTCTTTCCCCTTGTCTTTCACAGTTTTGTTCCTCTACCTGTCTTCTCAATCTTAATAAGTTGTCTCATCATCGAAGTCACTCAAGCCAGGACACTGTTATCTTCAATTTCTGTTTTCCTGGCAGTGAGTCAGCAAACCCTGTTGTTTTCGTGTGTTAAATACATCTCATATCTATCCACCAATCTCCATCTTCTCTTTGACCACATTAGTCCAAACCTCCATCTTGCCTAAATTTTCCTACTGCTTCTGTTCCCCATCCAGCTATGATAGATATATCTGTATTATATATGTAATATATATTAGGATAGACGTATATAAGACAGACATATCTATATTATATATGTAATATATTCTAATATATATAAATAAATAAATATATAGAAATAAAATAACATGTTGCTCACCTGCCTAAAACAGTTTCATTATTTCCCATTTTCCTGGAAGTAAACTTCAGACTCCTCACTGTGGCCTTCAGGACCAGGAGGATGCAACCCTGAGCATCTCTTCAGCTTCCTTTCCTTTGCCCTCCTCTCTCCCAGCATTCCAGCCACTGCCTGCATTCTGGGATGCACACGGTGGGCATTTCCTACTCAGAACCTTCAGAGCTCTTCCTTCTCTTTGGAAACTGACAGCCTCATCCTCTTGCCCTCTTTGGAGAAGCCTTCCCTGATGTGTGAGTCAGGTCTGTTTCCTTTCTGTTACTGCATCATCACTCCCAGCTCTGTTTCTTTATAGCACTTGTTTTATATTATAATATTTTTTGTTAAGTAATTTACAGTTTTGTTTCAACTACCGAATTATCCATCTATGACGGCAAGAACACATCTGTTTTGTTCACTCCCTTGCACTTAGACCCAGGGCTTGGAACAGTGCATGTTCTACAGTGTATTCAAGTATATGTCGAATGACTGAATGAATGATTTGACAACTGATTGAATGTGGGAAGAAGGGATTCTATGGTTAGAATTCTATGGTTAGAATTTTTAGGAGCCTCTAGGGCTCCTAAAAATGCAGCCTTCCCAGTGTTGTGCTGGTAAACTGGGTATCATCACAGCACTCCCTCACCCCGAAAAGTCTTAATTTATAGTGATTGGGCATATTCAAGGTATAAATGACTCCACCATGGCCAATTTCAAGCTATCAATGAGATTGATGTTGCAGAACCTGACATTGGGAAGGGATGTCCACATCTGGATCTCCAGCACAGCATTTAGTTTTCTCGACTTTCAAGGTCTCTTGTGGACTAACAGTTGTGCTGCTGGTGGTTTTAGAGGAAAAAGTTTAAAAACATCCTATGAACATTTTACATATTTGTAATAAACGTTTCATTACGATTTTCATAGAATGCCATTGCATTCTTAATAATACTTTTACTCTTAAAAGCTGTGCATGAACTCTATGGATTCCACTGGTCTGTCTTATCTAACTTCCAATTTATAGGAAGTTATCTCAACCAGCATATTTTTATATTATTTGCATGGTATTATTCAGATTTGTTAAATTTGCATGTTGAGTTGTTAGTTTTGTGTTGTATCATACTCATAATTCACAAAAATGGATCAAAGGCTTGAAAGTGTTTCATTGAGGAATAAAAATAGTGAGGAAAATAGCAATGCATATATTAAAATCAAAATAATTTCATAAATGCAAATAGTAACTGGGTTTCTAGGTAAATATAAAATGTGAATCTATGTATGCTCATAAATGTTGACTTTTTGAGTGTGAAGATTTTGAACAAGCAGTCGAAAGGTCATGTGTGAATGCCCTAACAGTAGATTTTTTAAGATATAGAATCCATTTATCCCTGTTTATTGTGGCATGATGTCTGGGCTAGAATTCTTTCAAAGTGTGGCACCAATCCATACAAACTTTGAGGCGTTTTAAAAACAAAACCCCATTACCTTTTTTTGGTAAGGCAATTGCAGATATTTAGAATAACAAAAAATTAAATATTTTCAATTTTTAAAATGGACTTTTTTTTCTCCCTCAGTAGTGGTAGAGAAATGACCAGTGCTACAGAGAGATTATGGAAAGGTGAATTCCTTAAAGAAAAATGCGTGCAATTTACAAACTTGACTGACAAGATGCTTGTAAAACCAGCTATAAAAATTGATTGGTTTTCATCCAGGGAACATGGCAATCAAGCCATTGACAAAATTCCATGATCAAACATTAGAATCAGTGTTGGAGGTTGCATAGTACCAGTGGCTGACACTGGAAAATCAAGGACTGTCATGCACATGTGCTCATAGATCTACGCTTCATGTCTGACATGAAGTACCAAGTATAGATGAGGGGAGACAGCTGGATAATTTTTATTTGTTTTTTCTTTTACTGAAAATATATACAATAAAAATTTTGTTGTTTAGTTAATCATTACTTTGTGAGCTGTGCTGGAGCCTGGAAAAGGATCAGTGGCACTAGTATTTTTTTTTTTAACTTTTATTTTTGGTTCTTGGGGACATGTGGAGGTTTGTTACATAGGTAAATTTGTGGCATGGGGGTTGTACAGATTACTTCATCACCCAGGTATTAAGCCTAGTATCCATCAGTTATTTTTCCTGCTTCTCTCCCTTTTCTCACCCTTCACCCTCAGGTAGGCCCCAGTGTGTGCTTTTCCCTCTTTGTGTTCATGAGTTCTCATTTAGCTCTCACTTACAAGTGAGAACATGTGTTATCCGGTTTTCTGTTTCTGCGTTAGCTTGCTAAAGATAATGGCCTCCAGCTCCATCCATGTTCCCTCAAAAGACATGATCTCATTCTTTCTTATGGCTTCATAGTATTCCATGGTGTATATGTACCATATTTTCTTGTTCCAGTCTGTCATTGATAGGTATTTAGATTGATTGCATGTCTTTGCTATTGTTAATAGTGCTGGAATGAATATATGTGTGGATGTATCTTTATGGCAGAATTATTTCTATTCCTTTGGGTATATACTCAGTAATGGGATTGCTGGGTTGAATGGTAGTTCTGTTTTTAGCTCCTTGAGGAATCACCATACTGCTTTCCACAATGATTGAACTAATTTACACTCTCACCAACAGTGTACAAGTGTTCCTCTTTCTCTGCAAACTTGCCAGCATCTGTTATTTTTTTGACTTTTTAACAGTAGCCATTCTGAGGCCGGGCACGGTGGCCCACAGCTGGAATCCCAGCACTTTGGGAGACTGAGGCAGGTGGATCACCTGAGGTCAGGAGTTCGAGACCAGCCTGGCCAACATGCTGAAACCCTGTCTCTACTAAAAATACAAAAAATTACCCAGGTGTGGTGGTGGGCACCTGTAATCTCAGCTACTCAGGAGGCTGAGACAGGAGAATCGCTTGAACCCAGGAGGCAGAGGTTGCAGTGAGCTGAGATTGCACCATTGCACGCCAGCCTGGGCAACAAGAGTGAAACTCTGTCTCAAAACTAACAAAAAAATAAAATAATAGCCATTCTGACTAGTGTGAGATGGTATCTCATTGTGGTTTTGATTAGCATTTCTCTAATGATCAGTGACACTGAGCTTTTTTTCATATGCTTGTTGGCCACATATATATTGATATAGTTTGGCTGTGTATGCACCCAAATCTCATCCGGAATTGTAGCTCCCATAATCCCCACATATTGTGGGAGGGGCCCAGTGTGAGGTAATTGCATCATGGAGGCAGGTTTTTCCTATGCTGTTCTCATGATAGTGCATAAGTCTCACAAGAACTGATGGTTTTATAAAAGGGCAGTTCCCTGGCACATGCTCTCTTGTTGCCTGCCATGTAAGATGTGCCTTTGCTTTTCCTTCATCTTCCTCCATGATTGTGAGACCTCCTCAGCCATATCAAGATGTGAGTCTATTAAATCACTTTTTCTTTATAAATTGCCCAGTCTCAGGTATTTCTTCCAGGCAGTTTGAAAATGGACTAATATAGTAAATTTGTGCTGAGAGTGGGATACTGCTATTAAGATACCTGAAAATGTGGAAGTGATTTTGGAACTGGGTAACAGGCGAATGTTGGAACAGTTTGGAGCCCTCAGAAGAAGACAGGAAGATGTGGGAAAGTTTGGAGCTTTCTAGAGACTTGTTGAGTGGTTTTGACCAAACAGTCCAGGCTGAAGTGGTCTCAGATGGAGATGAGGAACTTATTGGGAACTGGAGTGAAGGTGATTCTAGCTACGCTTTAGCAAAGAGACTGGTGGCATTTTGCCTCTGTCCTAGAGAACTGTAGAACTTTGAACTTGAGAGAGATGATTTAGGGTATCTGGTGGGAGAAATTTCTAAGCAGTGAAAAGTTCAAGAGGAAGCAGAGCAAAAAAGTTTGAAAAATTTGCAGCCTGATGATGCAATAGAAAAGAAAAACCATTTTCTGGGGAGAAATTCAAGCTGGCAGCAGAAATTTGCATAAGTAATGAGGAGTAGAATGTTATTCACCAAGACAATGGAGAAAATGTCTCCAGGGCATGCCAGAGACCTTCATGGCAGCCCCTCCCATCACAGTGGGCCTAGGAGGGAAAAATGGTTTCCTGGGCCAGGTCCAGGGCCCCCCTGCTATGTGCAGCCTTGGGACTTTGTGTTCTGCATCCCATCCGCTTCATCTGTGGCTAAATGGGGTCAATGTACAGCTTGTACTGTGGATTCAGAGGATACAAGCCCCAGGCCTTGGCAGCTTCCATGTGGTGTTGGTCCTGTGGGTGTGCAGAAGGCAAGAATTAAAGTGTGGGAACATCTGCCTAGATTTCAGAGGATGTATGGAAATGCCTGGATGTCTAGGCAGAGGTGTGCTGCAGGGGCGGAGACCTTGTGGAGAACCTCTGCTAGGGCACTGTGGAGGGGAAATGTGGGGTGGGAGCCCCTACACAGAGTCTCAACTGGGGCACTGCCTAGTGGAGCTGTGAGACGAGGGCCACTGTCCCCCAGACCCCAGAATGGTAGATCCACTGACAGCTTGCACCATGTGCCTGGAAAAGCCACAGAAGACTCAATGACAGCCATGAAAACAGCCAGGAGTGGGCCTGTACCCTGAAAAGCCCAGTAGCAGAGCTGCCCAAGACCATGGGGACCCACCTCTAGCATCAGTATCCCCTGGATGTGAGACATGGAGTCAAAGGAGATAATTCTGGAGCTTGAAGATTTGACTGCCCTGCTGGGTTTTGGACTTGCATGGGGCCTCTAGCCCCTTCATTTTAGCCAATTTCTCCCACTTGGAGCAGGTGTATTTACCCAATGCCTGTATCCTCATTGTATATAGGAAGTAACTAACTTGCTTTTGATTTTACAGGCTCATGGTGGAAGGGACTTGCCTTGTCTCAGATAAGACTTTGGACTGTGGACTTTTGAGTTAATGCTGAAATGAGTTTAGACTTTGGGGGACTGTTGGGAAGGCATGATTGGTTTTGAAATGTGAGGACATGAAATTTGGGAGAGGCCAGGGGATGAATGATATGGTTTGGTTGTGTCCCCCCCAAATATCATCTTGAATTGTAGCTCCCACAATCCCTACATGTTATGGGAGGGACCCAGAGGAAGATAATTGAATCATGTAGGGAAAAGAAAGATCAGACTGTCACTGTGCCTATGTAGAAAGGGAAGACATAAGAGACTTCATTTTGAAAAAGACCTGTACTTTAAACAATTGCTTTGCTGAGATGTTGTTAATATGTAGCTTTGCCCCAACCACTTTGCCCCAGCCACTTTGACCCAACCTGGAGCTCACAAAAACATGTGTTCTATAAAATTAAGGTTTAAGGGATCTAGGGCTGTGCAGGACGTGCCTTGGTAACAAAATGTTTACAAGCAGTATACTTGGTAAAAGTCATTGCCATTCTCTAGTCTCAATAAACCAGGGGCACAATGCACTGTGGAAAGCCACAGGGACCTCTGCCCTTGGAAGCAGGGTATTGTCCAAGGTTTCTCCCCATGTGATAGTCTGAAATATGGCCTCGTGGGATGAGAAAGACCTGACTGTCCCCCAGCCCGACACCCGTAAAGGGTCTGTGCTGAGGTGGATTAGTAAAAGAGGAAAGCCTCTTGCAGTTGAGATGGAGGAAGGCCACCGTCTCCTGCTTGCCCCTGGGAACTGAGTATCTCGGTGTAAAACCCGATTGTACATTTGTTCTACTCTGAGATAGGAGAAAAGCTGCCCTGTGGCGGGAGGCAAGACATGTTTGCAGTAATGCTGTCTTGTTATTCTTTACTCCGCTGAGAAGTTTGGGTGGAGAGAAACATAAATCTGGACTACGTGCACGTCCAGGCATAGTACCTTCCCTTGAACTTAATTATGATATAGATTCTTTTGCTTACATGTTTTTTGTTGACCTTCTTATTATCACCCTGCTCTCCTACTACATTCCTTTTTGCTGAAATAATGAAAATAATAATCAATAAAAACTGAGGGAACTCAAAGGCTGGTGCCGGTGCAGGTCCTTGGTGTGCTGAGTGCCGGTCCCCTGGGCCCACTGTTGTTTCTCTATACTTTGTCTCTGTGTCTTATTTCTTTTCTCAGTCTCTCGTCCCACCCAACTAGAAATACCCACGGGTGTGGTGGGGCAGGTCACCCCTTCAAATCATTGGGGTGGATTTTTCCCATGCTATTCTTGTGATAGTGAATAAGTCTCCTGAGAACTGATGATTTTATAAAAGGGCAATTCCCCTGCACACCCTCTTTTTTGCCTGCCACCGTGTAAGATGTACCTTTGCTCTTCCTTCGCCTTCCACCATGATTGTGAGGCCTCCCCAGCCATGTGGAACTGTGAGTCCATGTGAGTTACAGGTGCCTGTTTTTCTTTCTAAATTACCCAGTCTTGGATATTTCTTCATAGTAGTATGAAAATAGACTAATACATATATTTTCTTTTGAAAAGTGTCTGTTCATGTCCTTTTCCCACTTTTTAATGGGGTTGTTTGTTTTTTCTCATAAATTTAAGTTTCTTATAGATGCTGTTAGACCTTTGTCAGATGCTTAGTTTATAAAATATTTTTCCCATTCTGTAGATTGTCTATTTACTCTGTTGATAGTTTCTTGTGCTGTGCAGAAGCTCTTTTGTTTAATTAGATCCCATTTGTCAATTTTTGCTTTTGTTGCAATTGCTCTTGGTGGCTTCATCATGAAACCTTTGCCCATTCCTCTGTCTAGAATGGTACTGCCTCAGTTGCTGTCCAATGTTTTTATAGTTTTGGGTTTTACATTTAAGCCTTTAATCTATCTTGAGTTGATTTTTGTAAATGGTGTAGGGAAGGGGTCCAGTTTTAATCTTCTGCATATCACTAGCCAATTATCTCAAAACAATTTATTGAATAGGGAGTCCTTTCCCCATAGCTTGTTTTTGTTAGCTTTGTCAAAGATCAGATGGTCATAGTTGTGTGGCCTTATTTCTTGGTTCTCTATTCTGTTCCATTGGTCGGTGTGTCTGTTTTGTACCAGTACAATGCTATTTGGGTTACTGTAGCCCTGTAGTATAGTTTGAAGTTTGGTAACATTATGTCTCTAGCTTTGTTCTTTTTGCTTAGGATTGTTTTGGCTATTCTGGCTTTTAAAAAAATTCATATTTTTTTTTGAGATGGAGTCTCGCTCTGTTGTCCAGGCTGGAGTGCAGTGGTGCAATCTCGGCTCACTGCAATCTCCCACTGCTGGGTTCAAGTAATTCTCCTGCCTCAGCCTCCCTAGTAGCTGGGACTACAGGCATGTGCCACCACACGAGGCTAATTTTTGTATTTTTAGTAGAGACAGGGTTACACCATGTAGGCCAGGCTGGTCTTGAACTCCTGACCTTGGGTGATCCACCCGCCTTGGCCTTCCAAAGTGCTGGGATTACAGGTGTGAGCCACTGCACCCAACCTCCACATGAATTTTAAAATAGTTTTTTCTAGTGCTGTGAAAAATGTTGCTGGTAGTTTGATAGGAATGGAATTGAATCTGTAAATTGCTTTGGGTAGTATGGCCATGTTAATGCTGTTGATTCTTCCTATCCATGAACATGGAATGTTTTTTCATTTGTTTGTGTCATCTCTGATTTCTTTGAGCAGTGTCGTGTAGTTCTTATTGTAGAGATCTTTTACCTCTGTGATAAGCTGTATTTCCTAGGTATTTTATTCTTCTTGTGGCAATTGTGAATGAGATTGTATTTGACTTGGCTCTCAGCTTGGCTGTTGTTGGTGTGTAGCAATGTTAGTGATTTTTGTACATTGATTTTGTATTCTGAAATTTTGCTGAAGTTGTTTATCAGCTGAAGGAGCTTTTGGGCTGAGACTATGGGGTTTTCTAGATATAGGATCATGTCATCTACAAACAGGGAGAGTTTGACTTCCTGTGTCCTTATTTGGATGACCTTTATTTCTTTCTCTTGCCTGATTGTTCTGGCCAGGACTTCCAACACTATGTTGAAGAAGAGTGGTGAGAGACAGCATCCTTTCCTTGCACTGGTTTTTAAGGGGAATGCTTCCAGCTTTTCCCCATTCAGTATAATGTTGGCTGTGGATTTGTAATAGATAGCTCTTATTATTTTGAGGTATGTTCCTTCAATACCTAGTTCATTGAGAGTTTTTAACATGAAGGTTTGTTGGATTTTATCAGAAGCCTTTTTTTTGCATCTGTTGGGATAATCATGTGATTTTTGTCTTTAGTTCTGTTCAGGTGGTGAATCACAGTTACTGATTTGCATATGTTGAACCAACCTTGCATCCTTGGGATTAGCCTTTTGATGTGCTGCTGGATTCAGTTTGCAAGTTTTTTTGTTGTTTTTGTTGAGGATTTTTGCATCAATGTTCATCAAGGATATTGGCCCAAAGTTTTCCTTTTTTTTGTTGTGTCTCTGCCAGGTTTTGGTATCAGGATGATGCTGGCCTCATAGGATGAGTTGGGGAGGAATCCCTCCTCCTCAATTTTTTGGAATAGTTTATGTAGGAATGCTATTAGTTCTTCTTTGTACATCTGGTAGAATTTGGCTGTGAATTCATCTGGTCCTGGGCTGTTTTTGGTTGATAGGCTATTTATTACTGATTCGATTTTGGAGCTTATTATTGATCTCTTCAGGGAATCAATTTTTTCCTGGTTCAGTCTTGGAAGGGTGTATGTTTCCAGGAATTTATCCATCTCTTTTAGGTTTTCTAGTTTGTATGCATAGAGGTGTCCATAGTAGATTCTTCCGGTTATTTTTATTTCTGTGCGGTCAGTGGTAACATCCCCTTTGTTATTTCTAATTGTGTTTGTTTGGATCATCTCTCTTTTCTTCTTTATTAGTCTAGCTAGTGGCCTGTCTATCTTATTAATTTTTTTCAAAACACAAACTCCTGGATTTGTTGATCTTCTGAATGGTTTTTCGTGTCTCAATTTTCTACAGTTCAGCTCTGATTTTGGTTATTTCTTGTCTTCTGCTCACTTTGTAGTTGGTTTGCTCTTGCTTTTCTAGTTGTTTCAGTTGTGATATTAGGTTGTTAATTTGAGATCTTTCTAACTTTTTGATGTGGATGTTTTGCACTGTGAGTTTCCATCTTAACACTGCCTTAGCTGTGTCCCAGAGATTCTCATATGTTATAGGTTTGCTCTCATTAGTTTCCAAGAACTCTTGATTTCTCCCTTAATTTCATTTTTTATTCAAAAGTCATTCAGGAGGATGTTGTTTAATTTCCATGTAATTGATGGTTTTGAGCAATTTTTTTAGTCCTGTTCTATTTTTATTTTGCTGTGGTCTGAGAATGTGTTTGGTATGATTTTGGTTCTTTTGCATTTGCTGAGGATTGTTTTATATTTGATTACGTGGTCAGTGTGCTATGTGGTGATGAGAAGAATGTATATTCTGTTGTTTTTGGGTGGAAAGTTCTGTAGAGCTCTATCAGATCCATTTGGTCCAATGTTGAGTTCAGCCTCTAAATACCTTTGTTAACTTTCTGTCTTGATGTTCTGTCTGATACTGTCAATGGAGTTTTGAGGTTTCCCACTATTATTATGTGTGAGTCTATGTCTCTTTAAAGGTCTCTAAGAACTTGTTTTATGAATCTGGGTGCTCCTATGTTGGGTGCATATATATTGGTGATGGGATCTGCTTTTTATGATTTCCGTTTGCTTGGTAGATTTTTTCTCCATCTCTTTATTTTGAGCCTATGGGTGTCATTATGTGTGAGATCGGTTTCTTGAAGACAGGATACCATTGGGTCTTGCTTTTTTATTCAGCTTGCCACTCTGTGCCTTTTAAGTGGGGGCATTTAGCCCATTTACATTCAAGGTTTGTATTGATATGAGTGGTTTTGATCCTGTCCTTGTGTTTTTAGCTGGTTATTATGTTGCTTTATAGTGTGACTGGTCTGTGTATTTAAGTGTGTTCTTGTATTTGCTGGTAATGGTCTTTCCTTTCTATATTTAGTTCTCCTTTAAAGATCTTTTGTAAGCAGATCTGGTGGTAACAAACTCCCTCAAAATTTGCTTATCTGAAAAGGATTTCTTCTTCACGTAGGAAGCTTAGTTTGGCTGGCTATTCTTGGTTATTTTTTTTTTCTTTAAGAATGTTGACTATAGGCCCCTAGTTTCTTCTGGCTTGTAGGGTTTCAGCTGGGGGGTGGACTGCTAGCCTGATGGTGTTCCCTTTGTAGGCAATCTGCCCTTTTTCTCTAGCTGCCTCTACCATTCTTTCATTTCAACCTTGGAAAGTCTGATGATTACGTGTTTTAAGGATGATCTTCTTGAGTAGAATCTTGCAGGAGTTCTCTATTTCCTGAATTTGACTGTTGGCCTCTCCAGCGAGACTGGGGAAGTTTTCATAGATGATATCCTGAAATATGTTTTCCAAGTTGTTTGCTTTCTCCCCTTCCTTTTCAGGGACACCAGTGGTTGGTAGATTTGCCTTCTTTATATAATTCCATATTTTTCAGAGGTTTTGTTCATTCCTTTTCATTCTAATTTCTTTATTTTCATTTGACTGTCTTATTTCAGAGAGGCAGTCTTTAATTTCTTAGATTCCTTCCTCAGCATGGTCTATTCCACTACTGATATTTGCAATTGCATTGTGAAATTCTTGTAGTGTTTTTCAGTTTTGTGAGATCCATTAGGATCTGGCTATGCCATTTTTCAGCTTCTGTATCATTTTATTGTGATATTTAGTTTCCTTGGATTGGGTTTTACTATTCTGAATCTTGAGGATCTTTGTTCCTATCCATATTCTGAATTATATTTCTGTCTTTTCAGCCAACTGAACTTGGTTAAGAACTCTTGTTGGGGCCGGGCGCAGTGGCTCATGCCTGTAATCCTAGCACTTCGGGAGGCTGAGGTGGGCAGATCACAAGGTCAAAAGATTGAGACCATCCTGGCCAACAGGGTGAAACCCCGTCTCTACTAAAAATACAAAAGTTAGCTGCGTGTAGTGGTGCGTGCCTGTAGTCCCGGCTACTTGGGAGGCTGAGGCAGGTGAATGGCTTGAACCTGGGAGGCAGAGGTTGTAGTGAGCCAAGATCACACCACTGCACTCCAGCCTGGTGACACAGCGAGACTCCGTCTTAAAAAAAGAAAAGGAAAGAAAAAAAGAACTCTTGTTGGAGAACTACTGCATTACCTGAGTTCTTGCATTGGTTCTTTCTCATCTCTGCATGTGGGTGTTCCTTTAACTGCAGTGTATATTGAGTACAGTCAATAGACTTCTTTTCTGGATGTTTTCACAGGGATGAGGCTTTTTGTGCAGCATCTTTATTTGTAGCTGACTGCTTGTCTTTGGTTTCACAGTAGGGTATGTTAGTGAGGTATTTTGGGGGTTGAAGCTTTGGAGTGTGATTCAGTAGGTGGTGCTTAGGCATATCGGTCAGTTGTTAGGCTGTTGCTCAGTTGTGTGGCTTCCCTATATTTCCTTACTGTTGCAGCCACACTCCCTCTCAGTGCTCTGAAATTTTGGCTCTTCTCTCACTTGAGTGCTGGCTGTAGATTGCAGCTTGGCACTCCTGAGCTACCCACCACAGCTCTGGGGTGATCTCAGGGTTTATGTTCCCTCCCCAACTTGGAGGCAGCAGAGGAAGGGACATTAGTAGTGGTTGTGTCCAAGGGTCTTTTGCTTGTCTCCTGGGGACTCCACCCCAGAGAAATGCAGGTCGTCAATCACTCAGTGCAATCAGTCCAGGATGGAGAGTCTGTGCTGTGGGCCCAAGCCAGGGGTTCCCTGCATGGGGACTAGTATTTTTAAGATGGCTGAAATATGTTCAATGAACAAGGGCTTTTATATAAAAATAAAGTGATTCCACCAATAGTCAGTGTTTATTCAAAGAGAAAGGTTCATAGTCAACAACATGACTCTGGTTGTTAAAGGAAATAGTGAAAATTGCGGAGAAGATAAAATCTTAGACATAAGGTGTTTTTTATTTACAGTATTTTGAGTGAGGGAGTGGGCTATGAAACTGCATTTAAAAACACCAAAATACATTGCTAATAGAAAAGCTGTTTGCATAAATTTACACGGAGGTAAAATCACTTCTTCATGTTGTTGATAAAACCGGTAAAGATGATTTTGTGATATGTGGTGGTTTGGGAATATATTACTATTTGGCCTAGCCTGAACCTGTCACCTACAACTGAATGATTACAGTTTTCACCATTGAGGTTGTAATATTAGGAATTATTAGAGACCAAACTTGGGCACACTGGGAGCTTAACTCTTTTCCATACTTGATGATTTTCTTCACTACTCAGAAAATGAAATCAATGAGATGTTACTGGGAATATTTATAAACCACATCCTAATGCTGCCACAGATAATGAAAGAATACTTCGCAGAGTCAAGTCAATCCAAGAGAGGATGAGGAATTTATTTTCCATGATTTCCTAAATTTACATAACTCAAACTTCCAGCTTTTGAATCTGAGAGGCCTTCCATTTAGCATCTCTCCAATCCTGTAAGTGATTTTTCATAGCAATTTCTGTACAACTTCTGCATCCATGATCATGATTAAGCTGAATGTATAGAACTAGCTGAGAGTCACCAGTCACTGACTCCCAAGAGGACCATGAATTTGTATCAGAAGGTTCTATTTACCAAATGTAGAGTAACTAGCTGTCCTGTGAATCGGGCAGTCTACTGGACTGGATTTCATGCTTTTCAATGGCAGGAAAGAGAGATTATTTCACAATTAATGTTAGTCTTAAATATTGTTATAACTTTTCTTAAGATTGTACTAAACATGGCAGTCCCTATATGCACCAAAAACCCATTAACAGTGTGCAGATGTCTGAAGTGTGAGAAGCACCGTTCACAACTGTTATTTCCAAATGGTGAGTATGACAGCAGGAAAACTATGGTTTATATTACACTTTAAGCATTTCTGTTTTGTATTTGATTTGTAATGTGCACAGTATTGAGTACAGTGATAAGTCTATACGCTTATGTGAATATACATAGAATGCAAGTACATGCTTAAAAGTTTTTTTATGGTAGGGACCCATAATCAAAAAGTTTGAACACTTATAGGGTTTGCAGGTGTGTCCCCACCTGAATTTCATATTGAAATGTTATCCCCAAGGCTGGAGGTGGGGCCTGGTGGGAAATGATTAGATCTTGGGGGTGGATTTCACATAAATGGTTTAGTACCATCCCCTTTGTGCTGTCCTCGTGGCAGGTGAATTCTCCTGAGATCTGGGTGTTTAAAAGTGTGTGGCACCTCACACTCTCTGTTGCTCTTGCTCCTGCTCCTGCCATATGAGAGGTCTGCTCCTCTTTCGCCTTCTGCCATGACTATAAGCATCCTGAGGCCTCCCCAGAATCTGAGCAGACGTCGACACCATGTTCAATCGTGTCCTCTACAACCTGCAGAACTGTGAGCCAATTAAACCTCTTTTCTTTATAAATGACCAGTCTCAGGTATTTCTTTATGGCAATGCAACAATGGCCTAATACAAAGACTGTTGATAAACTCATCTGAAATAATTTGTGTACACTCCTATGTTGTCAGCACGGTTTGCTTCTTTTAAATCATTGAAAAGTGGTGCTCAAACCTCATCAGTTTTTCAGCCCATCTAACTTTGAGTTTTACCTGGATAGAGACACCTTTAGGAAAGACTCATGCGCTGCTGGTCACAGGTATCCACAGGTGACCAGTGCAGCTGTTCCACACCCCAGCAGTGGCCTCACGGGCTTTCAGGGGCTTCTCTGTAAGCTGTGCTGGAGAAACACTCTCATTCTCAGGAGGATCCTGGGCGTTTGCTGAGTGTAGTGATCTACCTAGGAGCAATCGAGGATGTCTGACCCAGAGTCATTGTACTGCCTTTCAAGACCCCTGATCTGGTTGGCACCTCTGCTGAGAAGGCTCCACTCCCAAGGGAGTAGGGGCAGGGAGGGGCGGGCAGCCTTGCCTAGAGTCTAGGATCCAGTTCTCATTCTCCAGTCACCACGAGCCCCTGCCTGGGGAGCCAAGTGCTCATCTTCTCAGTCCGAACATCTTTGCACCCTCTTTGCTGTGTCTGACAAGTTAGAAGCTAGACAGAGGGACTTTATTGTTAACTGCACATATGCAATTCACATTGCAGATGAAACTGCTGGAAATGTTTATTTTTAAATATAGTTTTGTTTTTAAATAGAGACAGGGTCTCAGCATGTTGCCCAGGGTTTTTTCCAGCTCCTAGCCTCAAGCCATCCTCCCATCTCAGCCTCCCAAAATGCAGTTTTTCAAATTTATTTTTGAAACAGTAATATAACGATATGGCCAAAAATGAACAAGAAGTGCCAGAGTATATTCTATACAGTGCAACTCAGTCTCCTCCCAGCCATATTTCCCAGAGGTCCTTCTACACTTTTCCAGAGTGAAGCTGTTGATAAACAAACACATATATGTTCTTTGTAAACCCAAGATGAGAGTGTATGATCATCTTCATTCTGCACATTTTTCCAATAAACAATGTCTCAGCAATCTTTCTGAATTAGTATATATAATCCTACTCTCACTTTAAATGTTGGTACACTGTAAATATTGGTGTACTATTATTTCTTTCTTTCTCTCTCTCTCTTTCTTTCTTTCTTTTTTTTTTTTTTTGAGAGACACGGTCTTGCTGTGTCGCCCAGGCTAGAGTGCAGTGGCACAATCTCAGCTCACTGCAATCTCTGCCTCCCAGGTTCAAGCAATTCTCCTGCCTGAGCCTCCCAAGTAGCTGGGATTACAGGCTCATACCATCATGCCTGGCTAATTTTTGTATTTTTAGTAGAGACAGGGTTTTGCCATGTTAGCCAGGCTGGTCTCGAACTCCTGACCTCAAGTGATCCACCTACCTTGGCCTCCCAAAGTGCTGGGATTACAGACATGAGCCACCGCGTCCAGCCCATGATTTCTTTATTCAGCCTGCACTCATGGACATTTAGGTTGTTCCCAGATATTTTTTTTTTTTGCTATTAAAAATGAGAATGCTATGAATTTCCTTGTATCAATGGGAATAGATGTGTAGGGAAAATGCCTAGACATGGCTGGGCGTGTGTGTAAGGTGCATTATGATAGATATTGCCAAACTGTTCTGTGTGAAAGTTGTAGAATCAAGTTTTCTTGCCAACAGCATATTAGAGGGGTCATTTGCTTTAATACACAAAGTTTATAAAATATTTTTAGTTTTACCTATTTGATAGTTGTTAGATTAATTAGGTATAATAGTTGCATTTTATTATTAGTGAGGTTGACTATATTGACACGTGCTTAGACACAATCTCCTTCCTTTCTTGAAAATTGCTCACGTGTGTCGTATTAGGTTGTTAGCATTAACTTTCTTACTGGTTTGTATAAATACTTTTTAAATAGTAAGGACTGTAGCCTTTCCATATGTGTTGCAGATACTTTTCCCAGTTTGTTACTTGTATTTTGACATTTAGGTAATGCTGTTTTGCAGAGTAAAGGCTTGTTATTTATTGTAGTCAAATTGCACAATTTTATCTTTATAATTACTAGGTTTTGTTTATCACCTGAAAGGCTTCCTGGTATATTGCTTAAATATTCATTGACAAAGATTTAGTTAAGCTTTCTGTCTTCCCAGTGCTCTTACAGCACCTGGAAAGATGTGAATTTCAAGGATTTATTAAAATGACTGCTTTTGTTTTACTCCGGATAAAACCGAATCAGTTTGAACCCTACAGAGGAGCCCAGAATGATTTCTCTTTGTCTCAGAGGCCTGCCTTTCTCTCTCTGTCTCAGAGGTTTGCCTCCACCTCCCCTGAACCTTGGCCCAGAAGTTTGCCTTCTCTCTCTTCCTTCCCCCTTCTTAGTGGCCTCTGAACCCAAGAATCTGTCCTGGAAGCCAAATGGAAATTCTACACAGAAGCCCGTCTAAGTCTTAGCAGCAATGTTGTACTCGTTTTCTTCTTTAAAATTAATGAATACACAGCCAGAGGTTTATTATGCCACACACATTGTGTTCACCACTCTTCATGATTAAAAGTCTCACTTCTGGGGTCCAGGACAACTTCCTAAATTCATCACCGGGAACTGCATTGCAACATTGCTGATTCTGGCCCTATGATTAATTCTACAGCTTTTGAAGAAACCCAAACTGGACAGACAGTTACTGAATTTTTGTAATGTCCGAGGCTTCCAGGAGGAGTGACACATATCTCTGCTGGATGAGCTCACAGTTCCAATGAGAAGATACAAGCTGAAAGATTGCAGCAGAACTGGGAAGTGAAAGCACGGAGAGGCTGTGGGACATGGAGGAGGGGCGGTAAGATTGAGAAAGAGGTAACAGTTGGGGTGACTTTGGACCTGAGACCTGGGCAGGCATAAGAAGTCTCACTCTCTATTCCATTCTTGGCAGGGGATGTTTCTTTGTACCAGGTAGCTTTGCGCTTGTTTTGTTCCATAAAAGTAAATCTCTGTTCACTAAGGAATTATGGTAGTGAATGGTGACTCTCCGGAATTATAGGGCTAATTCCAAAATAATCTTAGTTTTATTCCCCCACATTGTAATATTAACACTTGGGAATTTTGTTTATCGCGATGTTTAATAATTTGGCCAGCAGAGGGCACTGCATACTGACAGTCTCTCCACACCAGTCGCTCAAATCCTCAAGAGTTCCCGAAGTGTTAGGCTTAACTCAGGGGTGTTTGCAAGTGCTTTGCTCTTCTGTTTCAGACATAAACATATGTCAGAAATTAAAAGAGGGTTGTGAAGCAGGAAATTAGATTAACAGTAGCATATAATTTCCCTCTATTTGTTAATAAAGAGAAAAAATATTGGTATGTACACCCATGTCTACAGGGTTTTAAATGTAGCTGTATTAATTAATGTATTAATAATATGATAACACTACTTCTTGCATAAATCAACATAACTTCTAAATTCTCTTTGAAAATATTTTTGGTTTTATATTGTGGTTTAATTCTCAATCATAAACTAAAAAGTAAAAAAACCTGATGCCTAATGTTATACTTTCTTTCAAACCTTAAGATAGATATTATTGTTTGAATAGTATCAAAATATTGTGGTTCTGCACAAATGCTTTTTATAACTTCTTACGATGATATTTTAATTTCTATTTCCACATATGGATATGAGTATTCGAAAACATTTGACGCACAATTTTCTTCTCTTCATCTCCCCATTATAAAAATGTAAAGGTGTGTTTTAAAACCCGTTTGCTCTTGGTTAAACTTGACAATGTGGAGACCCCTTTGTTAGCTGGTCCTATGAGTTAATGCACAGCCTTTGTGTTTTTCATTTAAGGAATAAACTAAACTGGTACCATCCAATGCTACTGACTTGATTTGCCATAGCCCATCTCTATGATGTAAATATGGATTCCCTGGCATTTGCAGAGTTAAGACAGTCTCCTGGGATCAAAGCCTGCATCACATAAATACAGGAGAAAAGCTACTAAAAATTTCTTACAGTAGGAAAACACTCAAGAAGGTTTTTATATTAAAAATCCCTTATCCCAAAAACTGTAGGCTGTGTTCTGATGATGTATTACTAATTTATCAGATATATTTAATGACAGTTTGTAACATGTTCCTACTAAGTGAAGGAACGGTGCTCTGATAAGCACTGGGCAGAATTGAAGAAGTATGACATTCTCTGATCACTTAATCCATGCTCAATTTGACTAGCAATTTTATTTAGGTTTATTGCTTGCTATATAATATACTTAGTTGTATAAGTAAGATACAGATTAATAGTATTTAAATATTACTTTGGAAGCTTTTAAGGGAAATAATTCTAATTCTGAATAATACTAAATAGCTCTGCAGCATGTTGGGATTTAAATATAGATTCAGTCACTACTGTAGATTAAGTCATGATTTGTCTTTTAAAATTGGAAAGCGAGTTAACTTTTGCCCATTGGTTCTCTTTGCAGTGAGTGACCGCCTGGGTACCTGTGGGCATCTGCATTCCACATTGTGTCTGCAGTGCCCTCTTGTGGCCATGCATCTTTATGCAGATAGAGTCTTCCTCTACTACTATCTTTTGGGGCTTCTTCCATTTCGCTTTGCATTGGTGAGGCTACTGGAATAGGACTTACTTGAGCCCGGTTCATTATCTACAAGTAGGATATTGGTACCAGACAGCACTAGGAAGACTAATACAATCTTGGAGGAGGTACTTCATAGCTTGATGTTCTAAAGATTAGCTTTAAGTCATTACATTTTTGGTCATTTATTTAAAGTGATTATTCCTCATAAAATATGGTTATTATCAAAGAGCCTTTCTCCATTTGTCCCAGATCAACAATGACTGGTAAGAGGTTCAGTACAGAAGAGTCATCATATACAGTCCTAACCACCTCTGGCCTGATCTATTTTACACTGGGGCATGACTGGCATTGACTCCAGTCTTCCACGGCCTAAATAAGATTAGTACTCTGAACACAGTAAGAACTTTGTGATTCCACCTCAGTTCCACCCAAGGCAAGGGGAATACTTCCCCCATTTCACAGACGTTTATATGGTGTCTTTTAGGGAAGAGGCAAAACACAGATTGTTATGGTTAAGACCTGAGTTCTGTAGTCAAACCTAGGCCAGCCCATAGCAAACTTTGTGAATCCAGGCAAAGAATTCAACTTTACTGCCTTCATTTTATCATCTGCATACTGGGGAGAGTAACAGGTTGCTCTGAAGATTAAGTGCCAACAGGCCTGTGAAACATTGAACAGTCATTATTAGTTACTGGTGCTAAAATGCAATTGGTGCTAAAATGGGACTTTTCTATACATTTTTTGATTTTAAATTAATAGACTTTAGTTTTTAGAACCATTTTAGGTTTACAGAAACATTGAACAAATAGTACAGAGATTTGTCATCTATTCTTCCTTGTACAGTTTCTTCTATTAACATCTTCCACTAATATGAGACATTTGTTATAATTCATGAACAAATATTAATACATGGTTATTAACTAAAGTCCATAGTTTACTCTGGGTGTTGTATACTCTGTGGGTTTTGATGTGACTAATGACATATATCCACCACTGTAATATTATACAGAATATTTTCATTGCCCTAAAAATCCTCTGTGTTCTGCCTGTTCATCCCTGCCTCTCTGCTGCTCCTGGCAGCCCCTGATCCTTTTACTCTCTGGATAGTTTTGCCTTTTCCCGAATATTGTACAGTTGGAGTCATGCAGGATAAAGGCCTTTCTGGCTGCCTCCCTTCATTTAGAAATTTGCATTTAAGTTTCCTCCATGTCTTTTCGTGGGTTGATAGCTAATTTCTTGTTATTTTTGAATAATATTTCATTGTCTGGCTGTACCACAGTCTGTCCACTCACCTTTATTCCTATAGTATTTTAACTGCTTCCTTTCCTGTGGCGCCCACTACTGTGAGCCAATGGAGGAAGAATGCTGCAGTACATCCAGTACTATAGCCTTAGAATCTGGGACAATACTCGTTAAATAATAGCTCTTCAATAAGTATTTGTCTAAGTAAGAGAAGTTGAAAGAAAGAACTTTTGAATTGGCCACAGTAGCATTTATTTTGGTAGTGGTGCTAAGGGACAGGGCTTCCAAAGGGCTGTCAAAAGTGAATCCAGTTATTAGTCTGCTTTCTTCTTGGAACCTGAAGGGCTTGGTGATCCTGGGAGCACACTCCCTGCTGCGGAGCCTACGGTGCAGCAACACACTTCCCAGGGAGCTGCACTGGGCCACGGACACGCGTCAGTGGGCATGCCAGCTGGACGTGTATTTCCAGCCGTTCTAGCAACTTCTGCTGTCAGGAGGGACCCCTGTGTTCCTCGGAAGATGGCTCAGTGGTGACTGTCATATCTCTGCCTAGAGAAGAGTTAGTGTGGTCGGGGGATGTGGAGAAGAACTGGCATAGGATGTGATCAGTCATAGTTCCCTGGGGATCCTTATAAATCCATCTGTAAACCATCGAGTGTTTATGGATAAAATCATGGCAGTAAAGTATTTATTATTTAATGACTGCTGCAGGGGAAGTTTTAGAATTTTCACTGGCAAGGTAAGGGAGTATAATTTGTGTTGTAGGTGGTGGTGAAGGTTACTCCTAAAATCAACATTATAAGCTTAAAAAAAAAGAGAAAGGAAGAATAGTGTTTGGTATAAAAGTGACCTGAAAGAAAACTGTCTGAAAGGTTTTTGTTAACAGAGGAAAAATGTTTCTTCCATGGACTCATGTGTTCAGAGAAATTGTTCAATTCAAGGAGAGAAAAAGATTCAATATACAATTATTCTTACTCAATTGTTTTTTTTTTTTTTAAGAGACATGGTCTCACTTTGTTGCCCAGGCTGGAGTGCGGTGTCATGATCATAGCTCACTGTGGCCTTGAACTCTTGGGCTCAACTGATCCTCCTCCCTCAGCCTCCTGAGTAGCTGGGACCAAGGCATGTGCTACCATGCATGGCTAATTTTTTTCTTTTAATTTTTTTGTTTTTAGAGATGGGGTTTTGCTTTGTTGCCCAAGCTGCTCTTGAATTCCTGGGCTCAAGAGATCCTCCCACTTTGGCCTCCCAAAGTGCTGGAATTACAGGCGTGAGCCACCTCACCAGGCCAATTTGTTGTAAATTGAAAAACAGAGGATCAGAGATCCATTCTGTGGCAGGGCATCATAAGGAGAGGCCTGCCCTTGAAAGACCTGTCCCAGCAGCTCAGAGTTCATGTGGGGAGGGCTCAAGGCAATTTTCAATCAATCAGTTATGAACTGGGTTGTTTTAGGCACCTCCTCCTATTCACCCTGGTGGTGATAGAGGGTTTCCCACCCTAGGGTTGTAGAGATGGCCAAACCCACGGCACCTGACACCGGACAGGTGTCCAGCAGGGGATGGGGGAGGTAGGCTTTGTAGTAACAAGAGGAGGAGGATGTGATTGGATGGGGGAGGTAGGCTTTGTAGTAACAAGAGGAGGAGGATGTGATTGGCTTGTTTGGATAACTCCATGGGTTGGCAGGAAACTGAAGCCCGCTACTCAGGGATATATGTGGTCCCATGATAAGGAGTGTCCTTTAGCTAGGGTATTTTTCCCACAGGAGGGAGGGAACTTGAGGTAAGGCCATTGAAGGCCCTCCTGGTTTCCCAGATGTCAAGACAGCATACAAAACTGCATCTTAATTTTAGGCCTTACACCCATGTGTGGGTTAGGGATGTCAAAGGGAGAGTAGCATGTGGAGGCTAATAAATTAAAAATAATTAAATGAGCCAGACGTGGTGGCTCACACCTGTTATCCCAGCACTTTGGGAGGCCGAGGCAGGCGGATCACGAGGTCAGGAGATCGAGACCATCCTGGCTAACACAGTGAAACCCTGTTTCTACTAAAAATACAAAAAATTAGCCGGGCATGGTGGCAGGCGCCTGTAGTCCCAGCCACTTGGGAGGCTGAGGCAGGACAATGGCATGAACCTGGGAGGCGGAGCTTGCAGTGAGCTGATATCACACCACTGCACTCCAGCCTGGGCAACAGAGCGAGACTCTAAAAAATAAATAAATAAATAAATGGCTAGCCAAAGTAACCAGATTCCTTTTTTTCCTCCTTATAAGAGGCAGCCTACATTTAAGGAACAGTTCCACTGTGCTCTCTGAGTCACTTTCTTTGAACTTCATCATGGAGTATTCATAAGAGGCACACAGCTCACCCACCAGGGCAAATGAAGGGAAAAGTTCCAAAGAGGTGCTTCATGCCCCATAGCAGGTAATTTCTGAGCAGTGAATGTTTAGCGTCCCAGACATGAAATTTTAAATTTGGTTTTATACAAGGGTCCCAGGTACCTTCATACACCCACATATTTTTTAGCAAGCTTGTGCATGTGGGCCACAAAGCACAGAATGATTTCTTTCTGCAGACTAGATATGGAGTTTTTATTTATTTTTAATAATTTATTTTATCCTCTGGTGGGATTTTGTATATACTAGTGGATATTCTCCAAAGGCACATACACACAGAGGACATATTTACATGATAATTGCTCAGGTAGACAGGTGTGATGCTTGTACTCATTGAATATGGTGTGACTAATTTATTCCATCATGTCAAAGATCACTGTTGATACGAAGTTCTATTTATTGTCTTTGAGTGTGTTTTATACTATGCTGGGTTATCTGATTTTTATTTTTATTCCTGGGCATTGCTCTATTTTCTTCCAAGGGCCCACCAAATGAGATAGAGGTAAATGTCTAGGTCTGTATTCTCAGATTTTGCTACAGAAAATTATGTATTTTCTAGATTTTCTTTCCAGAGACCCTTAAGACCAAAACTGTGGTTTCTAATTGCACCACTTGTTCTTAATGTTTGGCCACTCATTTACTCCCATAAGGGTTTCCCTCTTCACTGAGAATAAATAGCCAAACCCCTGATTTGTCTCTTTCTTGCAAAGGTGGGTTAGAGTGGGGTGGTCCAGTACACGACTCTAGGAGTGAAGGAGCTGGCCTCACTCTTAAAATTGCAAGTGCTTTTTCCTATTTCCACTCAGTGGCTATGAGATCTGCAGCTCTCAGCCCCTGCCTGTGTGGCACCATCGTGACTCTGCCGAGCGTTCCCATCCAGTGTGGGGAAGGCAAGATTTAGGCCAGTTGTTAAAATCCTGATGAGAGTTAATGCATGCCGAACAGGGATTTACATTCTAGCTTGAGAGTCATTAAAAATGAATGCTATGCTGAGCTATTTTATCTTGGCTTTTGGATTTGGAAAAGCCTCTAATAAAAGCCTCTAAGAAAGACTATGAATAACTTGAAAGTCCCTTCATATTCATAATAGATATTTTGCAGCAAAGAATTTCCAATGTCCAGTTATAATCAGTGACCAATAGTCAGCCACCAGGGTGGGAATTATTACTCTCTGTGACTTCTCAGGCATCTGCTTAACCTGGGTAGGCAGAAAATGAGAATGTTTTATGTCAGTAAATTAAATCTGTTGCAGACAGATCAGCCATTTATGGTAGATGACAAGCCTTAGTCATCGTTTACTGTCAATAATAATATTGTAAGTATGTAGTGGGGATGGTGGGGGCTGTGATGTGTGTCAGTATCTCTATAATAGACTTCTCTCTAAGATGCAAGTATCCAGAGATACGTTTGGCAGATAATAGGTTCAGTTTTATGAGCTTTATTGTTATCTTGGTGATGTGCTGATACCTAAAATCTCAGCATAGGCATAGCTGCAGCAACTGGAACTGCCTGGGGTTATAGATTGCTAAATGTAATTATTCAAGCACAGTTGTGTTGACAGGTGACTTCAGAAATATAGAGATTCTAATCATGGCTCTGCAAAGTTTGGTGGAGATTGCTCCTTGAATAAATAAAATATAAAATTTATACTGATATCGTGTAAATGAGCTTCTAAGAAAGAGCCCTATTAATGAGAAGAAAGCACATTGCATTAGAGGTCAGATGTACTACTTTTAAAATATCTGAGACAGAAGAAGAAGAATTTTGCAAGCATTCATGGAGAGCATTTTTTGGATGTCACTTTAGGTTACTGGTGAGCACTGAAATAATTGAAATCCATTTCTGACTTCACAGATTGAATGAAATTACTTAAACAACACACATGTAGACAAAAAAAAGCCTCTGATTGAATATAAGCCCTATGTAAACAAAGAATGTTAGTTTAGGAGACTAGAAATTCATGTAAAAATATTCTTTTTAATCCTTGGGCTCATTAAAGGGAGCTAAATTGTGCCAGATTAACTGAATCCGGTATTTGGGGTATCCAGGCCATCTAAATCTCTCCCTCTACTCAATTGGGGCTTCCGCCTGCTAAGGAGGGGGAGTAGGGACTCAAAATATATCCAATATATTAAATAAAATATTCATTATAATTTATATAACTTGAAATTTAGTGCTCTTCCAACAGAGTTGCTAGATTTAGCAAGTAAAATTACAGGATGCCCATTAAAATTGAATTTCAAATCAACAAAGAATATTTCTTTTCACTTTTAATAAAGTTTATTTTTTAGAGCAGTTTTGGGTTCCCTGTAAAACTGAGCAGAAAATACAGAAGAGTTCCTATATAACTCCTGACCACCCTCCTCCCTCATATCTGCATCCCCCACCAGCAGAGTGGTACATGTGTTATAATTCATGAAACTATATTGACACATCATTATCACCCAAAGTCCACAGGTTACATTACAATTCACTCTTGGTGTTGTACTTTTGGTGTTGTATGGGTTTTGAGAAATGTATAATGATATGTGTCCACCATTATAGTATCATACAGAGTATTTTCACAGTCATAATGATCTGTGAATCTCTGCTTATTCATCCCCCTCTCCCTTAAACTCCTGGCAACCACTGATCTTCTTACTGCCTCCATAGTTTTTCCTTTCCCAGAATGTTGTAAAGTTGGAATTGTACAGTATGCAGTCTTTTCAGATTGGTTACTTTCACTTAGTAATGTGCCTTTAAGTTTCTTTCATATCTTTCCATGTCTTCATAGCCCATTTCTTTTTAGCCCTGAATCCTATTAATATTCCATTGTCTAGATGTACCACAGTTGACTTACTCATTCACCTGGTGAAGGACATCTTGCTTGCTTCCAAGTTTTGGAATTAAGAATAGAGCTGCTATAAACATCTGTGTGCAGATTTTGGTGTGGACGTAAGCTTTAAATTCATTTGGGCAAATGCCTAGGCGTTTGAATGCTGGATTATATGGTAAGAGTGTGTTTCCCTTTGTAGGAATATTTTTTTTCAGTTTAAGTATGTCCGTAGTGTTGCATGACATCCCTCCCTGCCAAAGATGGAGTGGCTTCCTGCAGTGCAGTGCGTGCAGAAGTCACAACATTTCTAGTCATGGTTGTGACCAATAGGGTAAACTTTTACATTTCTATCTGCCCCTCCAGTTGGGGTAACTCACCCCTACCCACTGGCTGGATACCTTGGCAGCCAATGGGGCTAGAAGGAGCCAGAGACCCCAATCGAGGATGGCTGGGCCAAGACACATTCTTGATCCTGGTTGTGCCAGCCACCCTTAAAATCCCTACTGGACTTGGTGCTGTGGGCTTAGAGGTGCCCTAAGTTCCAGAACTGCCTCTGGGCTTCTTGCCTTTTCTCTCATTCTCCTTCTGTACCATGCTGCTTTCTGGTGCCCAGGCGTTGTTCCTGCTGCTGCTGACTTTGTTCCCCTGAGCTGCTGGGTTCCGATGATACCAAAGATTCCTCAAGGTGGGCTGAAGCCTTCAGGATTGAGGCCCACGGTCTGGAAGGCATGAGCCCTTCTCCGTGGAGCTGTTTGAGGTCAGAAGGAAAAGCAGCCCCTCCTGTGTCAGGGCGATGGCAGTGCCGGGTGTTGCACAGGCTGGGTTCGGCATGACCACTTCCGCTTCCCTGCCAAGATCGCTGTCGCTCAGCCAGTTCTTGAGGCGAGGCTCCAAAGCGGTGGCGTCAAAGCTGGCTGCTCAGTGGAGGCCCCTAGGGAGCTGTGAACGCCCCCGTGGGCAGGCCTCATCAGGCTCAGTAAGTCAGGAGGCTCAAGGTCGCCGCAGGCAGGGGTATTCTGAGTCTCTGAGGGCGGAACCCCTGGTCTCCGGGGAGCTGCCGCTGGGCCCCAGCTGGGGGCACCATGGAAGGCATTTCCGCCCCGGGCACTTTGCCTAGCCGGCTGTCCCCGAAGCCACAGCCTTCTCACTTCCGGGAGTCGAGGCCCTAGGCTGACCTCAGGTGCTAGGGTGCGTCCCTGGCCGCCGTGGGGCCCATTACCTGACGCGGAGCAGCCGTGGGCGCCGTGCGTGCCGGTTCCCTGCGTGCCTGGACCCAGAATGGACCAGGCTGGAGTGCGACGGTGATTTGAGGCAGTCACTGATTATTTCTATGCCTCCGTGGACTCTTCTTTTGGAAAATCTAAGTTCCCTAAAACTCTAACAGTTAATCTGATAAAATGGGACATAAAATACATATTTTTCCTTCCATGTGATGTGAGGAAGTTGAGCTTCAAAAAAACGGTCACAAAAACAAAGAGAGTGCCTGGCGGCCTGGACTCCGGATCCTGTGAAATAAACCCGGCCGGAGCTGCTCTTGTCTGAGGACAGGAGTTCTTGAATCACCTTATTCCTGCGAATAAAGGTGTCCCTCCCACTTGTCAAGCTCTTGAACTGGGTGAATAAACCCAATTTTTGTAAAATCATAATGTTAATTGACTAACGGTGGAAACAAAAATTTAATCATAAGGTTTGTGAATAGGCATGGATTCCAAGCAAAGAGACTGAGATGCTTTAAAATAGATGTTTTTCATCAACCTGTCCACAAAAGAGGCTGTTTTGCCGGACATCCTGGCAGTCATTGATGTCTGAGATTTTTCTGGGACTGTGGATAGGAACGGTCACATGCAAGCTGTGACTCTCATTGTTCTGTGCTTCCAGGGAAGACGAGCTACCTTTTGAATTAAAAGGTAAATAAGCCATTAGGTTAATGTTTATTCTTGCAATTTACGAGCAGTTTTTTTTTTCAATTCGCATATTTGTGCTCCAGTTACCTTAATTTTGTACTTCAATTTCAGATGCAATTCTTCTATTCTTAATATATTCAGGTCTCATTTCAACCAAAATATAAGGCTTTTTAAAGCTAGAGAAATATGTGAGTGATTATGTTTGCTGATAATTAAACACCTCAGCATCACGTATAATCAAGTAAACTTTATTCATTGAGACAAAAATAGATAAAATACAGAAAAACCAAGAAAATAGTTTCATGGATCTGGTTTCAATTCTGTACAACCACCATTTTGGGAGTCCTACTATGTGTCAGGCACAGGAGCTCGTTATTGGATCAACAAGAGAAAGATAATGTCCTATCTATAAGGTGATGACAGAGGAAATGGATATGTTATAGATAATTTTTATTAAATGGTCAAAGGCAATTTTAGATTTAGATAATATTTGGCTATAATTTTGTTATAAAATGTGCACTTAAATTTTAAGGCTTTTAAATGGTAATGATATAAATGTTGCATTGAAATTTCAGTACTAATAATGATCACGTGATGTACTGATACATAAGTCCAGGGAAGAAATAGCCATATAACAGAAGAAACCTCTGATGGTTCTAATCCCTGAATATAGGTTAATGTTTCATGACTTACTAATTTTATTAGTAAAACAGAAAGAATATTGTATAGCGACTTGTACTTATATGAACACAGATATATTCCAATTATTATGTAGTATTTCTTCATGGTCTAAAAAGGGAGTAATCTAAAAAAGACATTTAATATGACCATGACTTGGCATTGGAGAGTTAAAGTGGGTTTACTCTGATTTGCTTTAATAAGTGCTTTATTTTTACATTTTTATTATTAAAAATAATCTCAGAATTTTCTGGTCTTCCTAACGAGGGGAGAAATAAATTTTCAGAATTTTGAGCTAGAGAATATTTGCACTCATATTTCGCCTTTGCTATAGAATTCTAACCAGTATTTGCTGTTGCAAATAAATCTTCTAAAAAAAGAATGGCTAAAAAAATTGCTACTAGATGTGCACCAAATGTTTTTCTAACAGGCAGTTAAACTGGATTATATAAATCAAATGTAATGATGGTTTTTAAGTCACCGTTTTCTCCAGGTCCATTTCATTTTATGATTCTGTCATCAGGTTTCTTTGGTGACAGGCAGGCTTCCTCTGTCTTTTTTCTGCATTCTTGTCATTTTATGTCGGCTTTATTCTTTAATTTGAACTTGAATCACGTCATCTATTCTTTCTTTTTTCTCCTTTAGTTTTGCTTTAGTTATTTCGATTCTACACCTTATATGTTCTTTCTAAGTATTTCATACACAAATAGCTTTTATCTCAAGTACTGAGAACTCTTCTAACCTATATAGGTTTTCTTTACTTTAGGATATGATCCAAAAATATTGAGTTGAATGGACTTACTGGATTAAAAAGGCTGTGATTAAGTATGTTAATTTACATTTTGATTTGTGAAAATCAAAGTTGATTAGCAGTATAATGAACATATTTGAAATAATTTGGGCTCTTTTAGCCAGAATTAGAATAAGATTTGTGAGGAAGAAATTGAATCTGCTTTGGTTATTTAACAGTTTTCTTGCCAGTGTATTTTATGTGGATACAGCACTTAGGAACATCAGAAACATACAGTATTATCATGCTGGAGAGAGACTGTGGGAAATGCTTCTTTTGCTGTATATGTACTCGTTTAGAATTTTGATCCAAGTTCTGGAATGTTTGTTATATCTGTACATATGTTCAACTCTGTCTTGGATTTGTTACAGTGTCCAGAGAGCATATCTAAGACTTTTCCTCTGTTTTTCTGGGGAAGTAAAACATACTTTGATGATTCCAGAAACTTTATCCGTATTTTGCTACACATATATACTTACACATATTTGCACAATGTAAACTCTATATTATGAAAATAACACTTACTCATTAAAAATCAAGAATACAGAAGTCCTGCTCCTCTGGGCTTTCTTAATAATTGGGTGTCTATTCTTCCCAGTTTTTTTCTATGTCTATAGCAGTGGTTCTTATACTTTAGTAAGCGTCAGACTCTACTGGAGGGAGTATTAAAACAGATTGCTGGGTCCCACCCCACAGATTCTAATTTAGTGTGTCAAGGGATGACTGTATTACTAGCTTTAGTTCCTTGATTGATTTCTCTTGAACTCTAAGTAATATTTTACCTTTTAATCTCTTGTTTCATTATATATAGATAATATCTCTTGATTACCTACAGTGTGATATGATGTGATATGAGTATATTAATAACATTATTCTTTCAACTCTTCCTACTTACTTTCCAAATCTTGTTTACTTGTTTGTCAACACAATCTTTGATTCCATTCTTTAACCATAATTGTCTTCTTTTCTTTGTCAAGAGTTTGATAATAACTTGGAAATGAAATAGTTTTCTTGATCTGACTGGATACTTATTGTTCTCTAGAGCACCGTGTAATGCACAATGATTTTCTTTGTTTTTTTTTAACTCTTTGTCTTCCATGGAGTTTCTATTGCCTTTATTTTTTTACTTTACCCTATACATTTACCATAGCCTCATTTTAAAATAACTCAATATACTACCATTTATTCTGTTGATATCCCCTTGCCCAACACTTATCTCTATATCCTTTACTTTATTTTGTTATTTTATTTTATTTATCTTTCTCTGCTTTTAACTGATTGCTCTCTAGGATAGCTACACAGCTGTTATCCTGGGACTGTCCTTCATAGCTCTTCTCAGTTGGATCATCTCTTTACTACATTCCCTAATTTCTTCTTTCTTAGTCCTTCCTCTTGCTGAATTACACCCTTCATTAACTTCCTAAGAGGGAAATCAATATGCTGAGTCATGCATATTTGAAAATGTCTTCAATCAGCCCTTATAAATGATTAAGTGGTTGGCTTATGTAGAATTTTCCATTGAGAATTATTTTCCCGTGAGAAATTTGAAGATATTACTACATTGTCATCTACCTTCCAGTGTTAGTGATTCTCTTTCCTTAGCAGATTATTTTTCTCCCATATTCTCTGGAAGCCTTAATATCTTTTCTTTATTCTCAGTATTCTAAAAATTATCTAATTATTCTCTTTTTTTCTCTTCTCTGTTGTCTCTGTTGGGAATCTGTTAGTTTGATGGAAAACAAACTTGATTTCATCCAATTTTATTTGATGACTATCATCTCTTCTTTATATTCTGCTTTTCTGTAAGATATTCTTCATTGAATGTCTTATCTTCCAAGTGACTGGCAATCATATTTTAATTCCTGAGTATTTTCTGATTCTCTAATTTTTTCATTTTGATAGCAAATATTATTATTTGTGGATAGACTATTTCCTTAGAGGTCTTTGAATGTATCACTTAAAATTTTTTCTTTTCCTTTATTGTTTCTTTTTCCTACCCGCCCCCGCAACCCCCAGGGTTAATTTATTTACTTTCTTAAATCTTGGGTTTTATATTGTCTTTTTAATCTTGGTCCTTATGTTGCAGGATTTCCTGAAATATCTGGTGACACTTGGTTGCACATTCATACTTAAGAATGAGGCACTAAAAACTTATGACTGAGAGCCCAGACTTCATGGATTAGTTTTTTTTTTTTTTAATTTAACAAGGATGTATTCACAGGAATACACGCAAGTAAAGAAAAATAACAGAAAAACTAAAATGAAATGAAGCGTATTCAAACCACTTCCATTCTGTGACTTTTAACTTGTAGTCTCTGCTTATATATGCAGGGTACAGGAGGCCCCCAACATGGGCCAATGCAGTGAAAGAACCCTGCATTCCATGCTCCATGGCTTAGTTCTTGATACTTTCTAAAACACCAAATTACAGATGGCTTTGCTTAGTGCTATGTCTCTTGAAATGACTCTTCTGTTTCTTCCCAATATTGTGCCCAATTTCTTTAAAAAGATCATCTTCCTTTTTTGGAGGTGGTGGCCCGGAGGTGACTTGTATTGCAAAAATAGGCAGCCAGGTGTTTTGCACATAAAAGTTAGGGATGGGATGAAAAAAAATCAACATTTATAGGCTTTTTTTTTTTTTTTTTTGTGGGGGGTGGTGGAGTTTTGCTCTGTCGCCCAGGCTGGAGTGCAGTGGTGTGATCTTGGCTCACTGTAACCTCCGCCTCCTGGGTTCAAGTGATTCTCCTGTCTCAGCTTCCTGAATAGCTGGGATTACAGGCGTGCGCCACCAAGCTGGGCTAATTTTTGTATTTTTAGTAGAGACGGGGTTTCACCATGTTGGCCAGGCTGGTCTTGAACTCCTGACCTCAGGTGATCTGCTCACCTCAGCCTCCCAAAGTGCTGGGATTACAGGCAGGAACCACTGCACCCGACCTATAGGCTGTTTTTCTTCCCATGTCTCAGTAATACTCTCCTTGTTTGCTGGTACTTTTGGGCCTTTAATTTCTCCAAGTCAGCAACTAGCTTGACTGAGACCTCCGTTCCATGTCTTTTAAGTTGTGATTTTCCTGCTGCACTTCGTCTTGCATATACAATCTTATAATTGCTTTCAAAATCTCCATTCCATTAAAAATAAAATTTTTGTGGAACCTTATTCCTTTACTATTATGCTAATGAGGTCTGAGAAATGGGGGCAATAAAAACATGTTCTTAGTCTTGTGTCCGAAGTATAAAATGTCACATGTAAAGTTTATATCCAAGGTATATTACATCTTATTTTGGTGAAATCACAATTTAGAAAGGATTATGATTGGGCTGAATTTTAAAAGTAGTTTGAGACTTTTGTGCGTGAATCAGTGTACAGAATCAGCTGTCAATGGATCCCTGACAAAATCCTTGTTTAATTTTTTGTCACTTACGGGAGACTTTTTTTTTCCCCATGGGAGCTGTTCTAGAACAGCACTGTCCAATAGCACCTTCAGTACTTGGAAATGTTCTATTATTTGCACTATACACTATGGTATCCATGAGCCACATGTGGGTTTTGAGCACTTGAAATGTGGCTAGTGCTACTGAGGGAATGGATTTTATATTTTGTTCAATTTTAACTAAATTAATGTGAATAACCACATGTGGCTGGTAGCACCTTGCTGGACAGGCAGTTCTAGATCAATGGACTGTCATTCATCATCAGGATTTATCTATGTGGATTCTTTTCTATAGCATGAGACATCTCTTTTTTTTAAAAAAAAGTATTTTTTTTTAATCCCACCAAGTATTAGTTCTTTACAGGCAGGAACAGGGTAGTTCATGCTCATTCTTGCATTTTCAGTGCCTAAAACAGTGCCTGGCACTTAGTAGATGATCAAAAGCATTTGTTGGCCAAGTGAATAGAGAATAGAGAAAGCAAACAAGATTTTGAGTGTGTAGATATGACCTTTATCAGGCCATTTCTAGGTAGAGATTTCAGACAAGGATTCAGCTGTAAAGAATAGATGCTTCATTTTCCACTTCAAAATGTCATGTAACAAGCACTTTTATGTTATCATGGAAACACTTCTTATGTTGCATGTGAACCATTTATTCTACTTGGATGCACATTTGCCATTTTATTTGTGCTATTTTTTTACTTAGCTAAACCCTCTGTGTTCTTTCTGATTCAGCTTAGGTGACACCAATGTCCAGGAAGAATTCTTCAGCTCTTCACTCCCACTTCACCCCACCCAGCCCCATGCTTCTCTGGACCTCATTTAAAAGCATCTTCTCTGTTGTGTTAGCTACTCTCACCTTGCATGGTGGTTTCACGTTCACATCTTCTCCATGATACTGTGAACTTTTTCGAGGCAACACCATATCTTAATTAGCTCTGGTACTTAGCATAATACCAGAGAGATGTGGGCATGTGACCAGCTCTTTTCCTCATATTAATTGCTAGGCTGGACTGTTGGCTATAGTATAATACTAATGGCCTACAAGGTAAATACATTTAATAGACAAAGTGTTTGTGTTTGCTCTTCTCTTATTTTAAATGTAGTTATCAGAGACTGAGAAAAAGGACTTATCTTTCTTGGTATTTAATGTATATTTGATATTATTTAGAAATATATATAAATACCAATAATTCATAACTAATAAATTGCATTAATCTTCATCTATGTATTTACTAAACATGATAGAGTTTTTCTCAAGATAGCCTTATTTTGTCTCTGCATTTTCTCTTTTTTGGAGGCAAGAGCAGAACGCTAAATTGCACTTTCCGTCTTGGTAGAAGGCTGTGCTTGATAATTGTGGAGCTGACATGAAAGGCAGCTGCAGTTCTGAAGGGACTGCTGTGTTTTAGATAGGGTTAGGATAGGTGCCATCTTCTCAAGTGAGGTTTGCATATCTGTGAGGCACATTTCAGCAAAGCAAGCAAATGCTGATAAACCGTCCTCTTAGAGCAGGAAAGAGGCAAACAACTCAGTGTTTTTTAAAAAAATGAGACATGTAGAGAGACACGGTCCTGATAACAAAAGAGCCCAGGATGTTTCATGTCTTTCTGGGAGAGAGGAGGGGAAGAAAGACACAGAAACCCAGGATCTCATCCTAACAGCTGTAAGAGGATTAAATACCATGGCCTGAGGAACTGTTTCAGTGCACAGTATCCTGGAGCTGCTGAGGCCACAGGAAGGGAAACAGCTTAGAACCATTTAGGCAGAGCTTTAGGGGGCAGAAGCACAGGACTGACGGAAGGATGGCATGCAGACCCGAGTTGTCTCTACCTCAGCCCAGAGCTCCATAGATGTCAGTGCTCCTTTTTCTGGGCTGCTGGGTGATCTGGACGCCACCCATGGTGGCTGTAGGTAGCCAACCTTGACAGCACATGATGATTCTCCCTGAAAGGCAGTAACCCTCAGGCTTCTTCTCCATGGGACTTGGAAGGAGATGAAAGAGCAATGCCCTGTCTGGTCCCCTTGTTGACACACTGGATTATAGCAGAAATACATAAAATTTTATACCAAGGCTCAGGTGAATTTTAGGATGATATTGTAGCATGGGACAGGTGTAGGCAGACCTTTTCTGTAAAGGTGCAGGTATTAGCTTGTTAGGGCCACCATAACAAAATACCACAGGCTGCATGACTTAAACACTCACAGTTCTGCAGACTGGAAGTCCAAGATCAAGGTGCCGGCAGCATTGCATTCCTCCACAGCCTCTCTCCTTGGTTTGCAGACCGATGCCTTCTCGCTGTGTCCTCGTGGCCTTTCCTCTGCCTGCCCACATGTGTGTTCTAATCTCCTCTTCTTATAGAGATAACAGTCATATTGGATGAGGCCACTCATGGCCTCATTTAACCTAATTATCTCTTTAAAGGCCTATCTTCAAATACAGTCACAGTCTGAGGTACTGGGGGTTAGGACTTCAACATATGAATTTTGGAGGGACACAATTCAGTCCATATTAAGATATATCCTAAATATTTTAAGCTTTTACAGCTTCTTATCCCTGTCATTTAGTGTGAAAGATGCCCAGGCAGTACATAAATGAATGAATGTGGCTGTGTTCCAATAAAACTTTATTTATGGACACATTTAAATTTCATACAATTTTCACACATCATGAAATCTTATTTTTTTTCCAGCCATTTAAAAATGTGAAAACCTTTCTTAGCTCATAGGCTGCCTAAAATCAGTCCGCAGACGGGATTTATCAACCCCTGGAATAGAAATGCTGCTGCAACCCTGTCCAGTGCAATGTTGTGTGTGGCAGCCAATCCTCACAGTCTCTTTCAACCTGAGTGGATTTATGTGGGTTTATGTGTTCTGACAAGTATTTCATAGTGAACTCAGCCTGCTATGGAGACGTTTTGCTCTTTGCTGGGATACCCTTGGACATAGTGAGTAAAGCCATCCATCATCATGAGAGTATTGACGATGTCCTCCCTGCCTGGTGCCAAGGATGGAAAATATATCACACACATTCTACCAGATTCTGGGTTGAATGGCCCCTAATAGGTTGCCTATTCAAACAGCTCTTTGGGATGAGGAGTCACAGGATTGCCTTCAGTTTTAACATCCCCCGCCATTTCAGACTTGAATTAATTCCAATGACATAGGGCAGTGCCTAGGGGAAGAAATCAATAGTTCCTATAATCCTTTTACAGGCATTTCATTAACCAGCACCAGTTGTGGCTCATCCAGGAGCAGGGACCTCAGGCCTTTCAAAAAGCCCTGCTGTGCCACCCAAGGAGGGCCTGCATTTTCTGTCTCCCTAGTTTGGGGTCTTTCAATTGAGCTTATGGCTGGTTCTCCAGCCCTAACGAAGAAGAGGTGATCCATCTCAGGATGAATCCTTAACTTTGGCCATGCCCCTCATTGAAGAGTGTCCACCTTCCTGGGTATGCTTTGTAGACATTGCCCTCTTTCTGGCCTGGTAACATAAGCTGGAGTTGGGTGGGTAGTGCATTCAGAGAGCCTTGGCATTGTGGCCAGGTCTGGGTTTGTGTACAGTACCAATGTTTGTCAGCATGGCCATTTATTCCTGCTTGGTGGCACCCATTCAGCACTGGTGAGCCCATCTGTAAGCAGGTGATCTTCAGTCTAAGCCTGAGAAGGTACCTTGTCTATATACATGCTCTGAACTTCATATCAATAGCATTCTGAATCAGTTCTGGAACTTATTCTAACCAAAGAGTTTAATCAGTTTCCGTATCTCTCTTTGAATCCATTATGACCCCCACACCCTCAGAGAAGATTAAGAAGACCCCAAAAACATCTTAAGGTGAAGTATCTGGAACAGATCAGCAAAAGCCAGAATAAAATGCCTGCTGAGAGCTTTGCAGCATGATCACAGTTATCACTCCACCAGTTCTTGCAGTATGCGGGAAGCCAGACCTCTATTTTTGTCCCAGAAATGTCTGTATCACAGGGCATTCTGGCATAGAGTAGCTTGAAGTCCAAATCTTGAGTGATTTGGCCGGGCTAAACTTGAGTGGTTTGGTCTTATAACACTGAGTGAAACTACAAAATGGTTTAGCTCTCTGAAACTGGTAGTAACAGTCAGAGACATTTTTAGAGTTATTTCCCCTTGCTAGGGGACCTAGAAGCCATGGATTGGGAAGGGAGAGGCAACATGGCCCTAGGGCGAGGCACTGCCTGGCTTTCCCTGCACAAAGCTGGGTGCAGACTTTGTGGAGGCATGCTCTGCAACAGGAGCTAGAGGCAGAGGTGGAGTGACAGGATTCGCAATGGAGCACAAGAGGCGTCCAATACAATTATCCTGCCCTCTGTACCACTGAGATCCACTCAAGTAAGCATGACACATTTCTCCTCGAAGTAGTGGCCAGCTACACTCTCCAAAAATGACTACTACTATGGGTTAGCAATAGAAGAAACAGTAGTACTCCCTGCTTTAGCTGCTCTTGAGACCGTAATTGGGAACACCACCCATTCTATCTTCTCTCATTATTGGTTAACATTTTAGCTGGTCGGCCCTACAGAGTTAAGGGGATTCAAGCCTTGTCCCAGGGGCTGGGGTTGGGGATGTGTTTTCTTCTTTTCTGTTGCGAGAACTGGTGGCTGCAAAGTCCTATTCACTGTTAAAAGCAGCAAGGGCAGCCCAGCCTTCTTTTTTGTCTCTTAATTCACCAACATAAGGAGATACGGTGACCAGGCGGGAGCTGTAGCTTTTGATTCTATGGAAGGTTACTGTGCTCTCTTATGTAAGTGATCATCATGCTGGGAACCAAGACCTTCAATCAAGCAAACCTTAAGGTTGCAGAGCTGGGAAGCATAAATTACTCGAGTGGATCTGCAGGATGGGTGGGTAGAAGGATCAAACCTGCTTCATGCACTTGGTTCCCAGGGGTTTAACCACTGTGGACACAGCATCATACATCAGTATATTAGGGTTCTCCAGAAAACAGAACTGATAGGATCTATAGATATACATATATAATATACAAGAGGTGATTTATTATGGGATTTGGCTCATGTAAATATGAAGACCCAGAAGTCCTAAGATATGCTGTCTACAAGCTGGACAACCAGGAAAGCCAGTGGTACAATTCAGTCTGAGTCTAAAGACCTGAGAATTGGCGGCAGGGGGCGAGGTGGTGGGTTGCTGGAGTAAGTCCTGCAGTTCATAGTCCTGAGAACTGGGAGTTCTAATATCCAAGGGCAGGAGAAGACAGATGTTTCAAGAAGAGAGAGCAAATTCACCCTTCATTATTTTGTTTTATCTGGCCCCTCAATGTATTGGATGATACACACTCACAATGGTGAGGGCAGATCTTCTTTACTCAGTTTACTGATTCGCATGCTAATCTCTTCTGGAAACACCCTCGCAGGCATACCCAGAAATAATGTTTTATCAGCTATCAGGTATCCCTTAGCCCAGACAAGTTGTCACATAAAATTAATCATCACAATCAGCCTTAGGTTTAGTGCAGTTACTGCACCCTCCAGGACAATGCCTGTGTAGTAAACTCCCACTGGCAGACTTGCTGGATCAGAATATCCTGGGAGGACTGTGATACTCCTAACTTATTCCAAATTCACCCAAATTCCACTTGGAATTTCACTGAAAATTCCAAAATCACCCAAGGAGCAATAAGCTGATGCATTCAACCCACCAATACCTAACTTTGATAGTTGTTAGGGTCATGGGAAAATTGCTGCTTGTAGGAAGATGGTAGCCACTTGTCCCCTTCATCAAGCAGTACAGATCAAGTTCTTGGGTTCTTACTGTGCCTGTGGCCTTACTTGTCTGAGGACGGGGATTGTTTGAGTTGTCTAGATGAGTTGAGCCTAATCTTGTAAGGGGTTGAGGTGGCTCACCCAAAACCCCACACACATTTCCCTGTGGGGCCCACGCTGCCTCTATATGGCATCCTGCCCACCACAACAGCAGAAACCCACATGTTTGCTGAGATGTGTCCTTGCCCTTGATGTTGAAGTTGGTGCTTTACAATCCTCCATGCCTATAGATTTCATTGGCCATACCCCAGTCTTTTATTGCCATGACTCACCTTGACATCTGTGAACAAAACTTGATCCTGAACTTGAGACAAGGACTCTCTGGGCTTACCCTTGTCCTTAAGTGTGTATTACCTTTGTCGCTGTCTTTCCTTTTTCATATATCAGCTGCATTTCCACTGCAAACTAGAAGGTTCTTCAGGTCATCATGAAACATGAGCTTACTAAGCAGGAATCTCTATAGCCTATCCCTCAGCCTGGCCTGGGTCTCTGGATACATTGTTTGGTTCCTTTTTCTTCCACTTGATAAATAATTTCTACAACCTCATTATATTTTTAGGAACTTTCTAAACTCCACTGACCTTCCTCTACCCTGTCCTTTTGGGAAAGTAGTGGGAAACTTGGCATGCACTTCCTTGTCACTTTGTACATCACTAAAGATCTACTCCATGGCAGTCATGTAGAGGCCAGTGCATTTGAGACCATACACAGATGCCACCACTAGTCCTTTTGAACACAGTGGGTTCTCTGTGCTTCTGTCGTTGGACCTTGACTTTCCTACTGCATCTCCTTGGGGGAGTACAGACAAAGTTGAGTTTCCTCATCCCTCGATGCAGACATTCTATGCCAGGTATACAGTCTAAGTTTGTAATAGTTAATAGAAGCCACTATTTTTTGCTGGCCACTTGTCTGATGTCATCACCTCTGTATCCCAGCACAGCTACTGGACCAGCCACACCATACCCTCACAAGAATGGCCATGGGTCTGGCTCCTCATTTGAGAACTGGCCTGACTTCTATAGACACTTCTTATCAGAGAATTAGGACTTAGATACTTATTGCCTTCTTTCGTCTCCCTGCCCATGTGCCACCTCCTTTGCAAGACTCCAAATCATGAACCCTTCCTTAGAAAAACTCTATTTTTCCACATAGGAAAGTGTCACCCTATGTTAGACTGGCACCTGGCAAATTATTTAAAACTGAAGCCAGAATCAAGAAGGAACACTATGAGAATAACTTCTAGGTGCTAAAATGTTTTATCTCTAGCTGGGTTGCCTGGACTACATATTCTTAGGTTGCATCTGGCTTATTCATTAATTAAAACCTGATCATGTTAATGAGTGTCAGGAGTTTGGGCAGGAGAAAGACAATTAATTCTGTTTTGTCCTTGTTACATCTGATACCTGGGAGATAACTGATCCATGATTTGGAAATCACAAAAGAGACAATAATATTTAGATTTGGGAACCATCAATGTGTATGTGGTAATCAATAACATAAGGGTGGATGAAAGCACTCAAAGTAGAATACAGAAAGAGTATTGGACTGCAAGCAGAACCCTGGAATGCCAACACTAAGATATGTGCAAGAAGGAACTGTCAGAAAGCAGAAAGAAATAGTTTTAGAGTTCAGAAACCTGAGAAAGGACAAATTTCAAGGGATGAAAAATAAGTAAAGCCAGGCATGGTGGCGTGTGCCTGTTATCTCAGCTACTTGGGAGGCTGAGGCAGAAGGATCACTTGATCCCAGGAGTTCTGGGCTGTAGTGCGCTATGCTGGCTGCCCATGCTAAGTCTGGCATCAATATGGTGATTTCCTGCAAGTGGGGACCACCTGGTTGCCTCAGGAGGGGTGAACTGGCCCAGGTCAGAAACGGAGCAGGTCAAAACTCCCACGCTGAAGTGGGATTGCATCTGTGAATAGCCAGTGCACTCCAGCCTGGACAACACCTCATCTCTTAAAAAAAAAATAAGTCAAATGTAGCAGGAAAGTTGCATGAGATAACAGCTCAAAAGTGTTCATTTGGCGGTGACTGACGTCTGAGAGCAATTTCATGGGAATGGTAGAAATTGAAGCTAGATTTGAGAGAATGAAGCAGTGGATGGGAGATGGGGAATGTGGGCTGATTTTTAAAATACGTTTCATTGAGAAGGGATGATAAGAGAAAGGGGAGCGGTGAAGGAGGTAATACGCAGGGGAAGAGGGCATGACAATGTGAGGTCACATTGCCATAAATGTGAGGTGTGTCATAAATGTGAGGTGTTGGAAAGAGATGGAGGATAATAGAAATAACCCAGTCCAAGAGAAAAAGAAATGAGTGGGATTAAGAGGACTCATAGGTGAACTGGCTTGGACAGGAAGGGGACACTTATTTTCTGAATGGTGAAAGTAAGTATGTAGGTGTCAGGTTCACGACTGTGCCAAATGCCCAGCTTGGGGTCAGATTCCAACCCATGCTGAGGTCTGAAGGGAGTGGGTGGATGAGCAGATAGCTGAAAGAACACTTGGGGTCTTAAGCAGGTGAAATGTAGTTTTATTCAGCAGCTCTCTCATCAGCAGCTTACTCACACTAGCTCTTTCATATTGCCCGCCTTGTCTTGGCTGTCTGCTCTGGCTCAGAGGCCGGCTCCCACCCACCGCTGCACGGCCGGCTCTCCCCTGCCTTCAGGGTCAGCAGTTTTCTTTCTCTGGTCACGAGCTGAGCTGGGCTGTGCCCTGGCTCCCCCCGTCCGTCTGCAAAATGGACAGCTTTGGCTCTCTTTCTCTGGGTGCCAGCTCAAGCACATGGACAGTGTCAGCAGGGCAATTATACCTTTATCAGACAATAGTGGCTTAGAGCCAAGTGGTGGCCTTCCCATATTATGGCTACATGCCTATGATAACAAGTGGAGTTATACACCTGTGCTCTAAACTCGCTGAGTCACACAAAATGTAAACATCCTACCTCAGCCTATCCTTGACCAAAGCACAGCCATGTTCCTTACAGTAGGCAAATTCATAGAGGTGTAGGGACAGCAGGAAATGGAGGTAGTTCATGTTCAAGGACCTCAGTTTTCTTACTGAAGTAGGAGCAAGGTCAAGGGGAATGATAAGGTGGGCATTGATAGGAGGCATAATCAGAAGGCTTTGGGGCTGAACCTCACCAAGAACACATACGAGGGTCATCAAGTTGTGACATGATCTTTAGAAGCAACATTGTTTACATGGTAGCATTGTCATGCACCAGCATCCAGGAGCCCAGGGTGTGAGAGCAGTGGAGGCAGATTGTAGGAGTGCTAGCGTTGGGGCATTAAGAGCAACCATGACAGAAAGACAGGGTTGTGAGAGATTTGTGGGAATTGTTGAGAAGTGGCCCAGGTGCCTTATGGTCTGCACTAAATAAGGAAGTACAGGGGCCAGAAAAGGGCCAATCGTGGGAAAAAATGAAGGGGCAGAAAACGAAGGAATTAGAGTCGTAGCAGGCTTAGTGGGAGGAAAGGCAGGACAAATTCTTACATCTCCTCTTAAACCTGCCCCAATCTGGCTTCCATTTCAGCTTCTGCCATGAAGCTGCTCTGGTCAAAATCATCCACCTCTCCTGTTGTTAAATCCTAAAACACTTGCCTATACTCAACTTACTCAACCTAGCAGCATCATTCAATACAGCTGCTCACTCCCTCCTTGTAAACACGTTCATGTTACCTCTGTAAAATCGGAGTCCACTCTTTCTTCTCTATGACTACCTACCTGCCCCATCTTGGTCATCTTTTTGAATCTTCTTTGATACCTCTATGGTCACTAGACCTTGGGATGCACCAAGGCTTAATCCTGGACTTTCTATTCCTTGACAACTCCCTTTCCCTACATTATCATTCAGAGCAAGGCGTTAGGGATTCTTTGCATACTCATACCCTTACATTTTAGTGCAGCACAAATTATTAATACTTCCCTGGGCTATAAATTCTTGTATCCAATTGCCTACCTGACATCTCTACTTCAGCGTAGAGAAGGACCTGTCCAGAACAGAACTCCATTTCCAACCTCCATGTGTTCCTAACAGTAGTTGGAAAAAATCTTTTAAATTCTTTATTAGAGTTAACAGTATAATTAGAGTTAACAATATGTTTGTTTTACTTTAAATCCTCCAGGTTTAGCTTATGTAAGATAAATGCCTTTTTAAAAATTGGTTCCAATTAGGTCTTAAGCACAGCTTGTGTGGGTCTCTTTAACAGCAGCTCTAGGCTCTTTTCCATCTTTCTGCACTCACTCACTCACCTCTTTCTGGAATGAAGGAGGCTAGCTAGAGAGATGAAGGAATGCCTACCCCGATAATCTGAATGTTTCCACTCCAACTGTCATGATATTATAGTGTATTATACTATGAGCGCTCCGCTTCTTTTGGCGTGTGTGTGTGTGTGTGTGTGTGTGTGTGTTGTGTTGCTTCCAAAATAAAGCACACCTGTTGCTTTCTTTTCTAATCTGGTATTTTGCATTATTATTACCTAAAATTTAGTCTCTGAATTTGGTGGGGTTATAGTCAGAGACAAGAGAGTACAAGGACAATGGGATTATTTCCTGATCAGGTATCCTTTTTTTTTTTTAATATTATACTTTAAGTTCTAGGGTATATGTGCACAACGTGCAGGTTTGTTACATATGTATATATGTAACATGTATATATGTGCCACCCATATGTATATACATGTATATATGTGCCACCCATTAACTCGTCATTTGCATTAGGTATATCTCCTAATACTATCCCTCCCCCTCCCCCCACCCCATGACAGGCCTTGCTATGTGATGTTCCCCATCCTGTGTCCAAGTATTCTCATTGTTCAGTTTCCACCTATGACGGAGAACATGTGGTGTTTGGTTTTCTGTCCTTGCAACAGTTTGCTCAGAATGATGGTTTCCGGCTTCATCAATGTCCCTACAAAGGACATGAACTCATCCTTTTTTATGGCTGCATAGTATTCCATGGTGTATATGTGCACATTTTCTTAATCCAGTCTGATCAGGTATCCTTACCTGACATTAAATAATTCTATGACTTCTGACTTCAGAAACACAAAACATGTATTAGATTCATATATTTACCAAATTTGCTAAGTGCCTACTAGATACCAGGTACTAGACATGCTTGATTTTATCAAGAAATAATTAAACATATGGACTTAGATACCAAGAAAATCTAAAGTGTATTTAAAAACAGTTTGCTTTTTATTTTTTGAGGAAGTATATTTAAAAAAAAAAAACTGTGGCTTCCCAAGTAAATGCCTGTGGAAAAACAAGAAATGATTTATCAGCAAGTAAGCTGGGAAACCCACAGAAAAGGTCAACTTAAAGCTATTCATGTATTCTTTAATGTTTAGTGATTTAGAAAATATTCAAAGTTAGGGTATACTTTTTATTAACTGATTATTTTGTATTGTTTAGTCATTCTTGTTTGTTTCATATATTTTCGTATATTTTCTTGTATTTTTTGGTCATTGTTATCAGATGGTTAAAAATGCTTTTTTTCTTTTTTTCTCAGCTAGCCCTGGTTAATTGTTTAATAGAATTTAAAAGGTTATATAAAGAAGAAGTATTGGCTGGGTGCAGTGGCTCACAGCTGTAATCCCAGCACTTTGGGAGGCGGAGGCAGGTGGATCACCTGAGGTCAGGAGTTCAAGACCAGCCTGGCCAACATGGTGAAACCCCATCTCTACTAAAAATATTAAAAAAAAAAAAAAAAGCCAGGCATGGTGGCAGGCACCTGTAATCTCAGCTACTTGGGAGGCTGAAGTAGGAGAATTGCTTGAACCTGAGAGGCAGAGGTTGTAGTGAGCTGAGTGCCATTGCACTCTAGCCTGGGCAATGAGAGCGAAACTCCATTTCAAAAAAAAAAGAAAAAGGAAGTATTTTCCTCTCTTATCCTGTTTGTGATCTAATATCTATGTCAGAATTTCTGTGCAAGAAAAATAAACATTTAAAAAATGAATAGGTAACAGATTGGCTCATTCTTTGAATCATCATGAGAGGACAAAATTCAGAAATAAAAGACTGAGTTGACCTATTTACATGTGAATAATTTGGATGGGAATGAATCAAAGGGACATGATTATCAGAACTCTCTTGGGAGCCTGCGCTCTTGATAAAATGTGTGTGAGAAAAGCCAGAATTCAGAGTGGAACTGGCTCTTTATGAAGTTTATATGTATGAGTCTTTTGAAAAGCTAAATTAACTAGTTTTATACTGAGTCATAAAATAAAGGTGAGGTTATTCACGTTAGTGAAGTAAATTTAAACTCAAATTCCTTAAAAATATTATGAGTACATTGATACTACCAAACTGTTATGCCCTTGGGCAGGGGGCTAAAATTCTGAAGGCATCAGTACTCTCAATATTCCTATTGTTTGAATGGTTGAATTAGCTTCTTGATATGGTAATTTTAGGTTTGTGAGACTCATTCCAGTATGAAGTGTATGAAAATGTTAAAACTATATTACTTACGATTGCCAAGATAAATTCATGTGTGTGTGATCACCTAAATGGCAGTAAAATACGCTGGCCAAGTGTAATTATTTCTACTTTGGCAGCATTTTACTGTAAAAAGTGGTCAAATAAATCACTGCCTACAGTTCTCATTGACACTTTGGGGGAAAAAAGACAAGTCTCTTTATTGCAATTGATATTCTACTTCTTTGGATGAAATATTTCCAACACTACCAAGTACTCTGTGATAAAAATTCTGAGAAAACCTTATTAGTTCATTTAAAGATCAATCCATTTTTCAAATTTATAGAGTATCCATATGTTTAACAATAGATTTAGAACAAAATAAATAAGCCTTAACCACCAAACAAACCTTCATATATTGTTACTTAAAATCTGAGAAATAGTTATCTCATCTTTTTATTCCACTCTCTTGTTCGGCCCACTGTCAGTGTACAGATTTAGCCCTGCTTCTTGAGCTGAGGTTAGAATTTAAAATTTTAAACTGAACTTGCAGGTATCATAAATATATTCTTTTTTAAAGTTCAAACTGTTCCTATGAATCTAAGTTTCCATTGACCCCAATCTCACATTTCTCTTTTCTTTTCTTTTTTTTTTTTTTTTTGAGACAGAGTCTCGCTCTGTCACCCAGGCTGGAGTGCAGTGGTGCCATCTCAGTTCACTGCCACCTCTGCCTCCTGGGTCCAAGTGATTCTCTTGCCTCAGCCTCCCGAGTAGCTGGGACTACAGGCGTGTGCCACCACGTCTGGCTAATTTTTGTATTTTTAGTAGAGATGGGGTTTCACAATGCTGTCCAGGCTGGTCTCGAACTCCTGACCTGGTAATCCGCCTGCCTCAGCCTCCCAAAATACTGGGATTACAGGCGTGAGCCACTGCGCCTGGCCCATTTCTCTTTTCAGAGATAACCACATGCAATTTGTTGTATAAGAAATTACCACAAATTTAGCAGCTTCAAACAGCACCTAGTTATGATCTCAGTGCTGGAGGTCAGACATTCTGGTGGGCCTGGCTGATTTCCCTGCCCACGGGCTCACAAGGCTGAAATGAAGGTTCTCAGCAGGGCCCGGGGTCCTCTTCCAACCTCAGAATCTTAGCAGAATTCATTTCCTTCATGTGTTTTCCACGTGGCTCCTTTCATCTTCAAGCCAGCGAGGTTCGAATCTTTCACCGGCTTTACATGTTCCCCATCTTCTGCATTTCTTCAAATTCCTCTTCTGTCCTCAGCAGGGATAAAGCTCCGCTTTTAAAGGCTGGTATGATGACATTCGGCCTACTTGAATAATCCAGGATAATCTCACTATAAGTTGACTTGTTGGTAACCTAAATGAAATCTTTTGTCATGTAACTCATGGTAGTGACACCCAGGATGAAGGCTGGAAGCCAGAAACCTGCCTACCCAACTATGGCTGTCAGTTTGGTGCTTTCATATTTATTCATATTTTGGAGTCAAATATGCAGCTATTTTTTATGAATTGTTCATGGATACTTAACAAGAATGTTGTCTTCACTGTTTTCTGAATTTTATAAATATGTTAGATATAACTTACTGTTATTTAAATTGTTTAAATGTTGACTTCCCCCATATATAAAGATAGTTTATTTCTAAATTCAATACCTAATGTTATACTAATATGACATGGATATTATGAATACAGATATATCTGTCAAAATGAAATATAAAAGGAAAACATAAATCTAATAGGACTAAACATATTTTCTACATTTAGTAAAAAATAACGATGACATCTTTTCTTCTATGATGCAGAAGAATATTTTTTTCTCTTTCCATCTCCCTTTCTAATAATACTTTTCTGAACTGCTTGCAGCCTTTAGGATATTCCCCTTTTATGTGGTGGTAAAACTGAATATAGCCAAATGTAAAATTCTCCCTGACTTGCAGCTCTGCTCTTCTCAAGCCCACATTATGCTGGTTTCTAGTGTCAGTCCAATGGAATGACATTAACCCAAATATCCTCTCAACAAAGTGTTTGAGCATAGAATAGTTAAGTTTACTTACCAGCAACAGCAAGTTTTTAGATTTGTAGGATTTGTTTTTATCTATTTGCTTTAGACTGACAGTATGCATTTCCTACTACTAGTTTGTATCTGTCTCTTGTGTCTCCTGTGTTTTTTTCATTAGAGATGTTGGGGCCAAGCTGCTTGGAGTATAGGTATTCCTAAATTATCTTCATTGTGAATACCACCTTTAAACATTTTGAAGTACCTGTTTGTCTTTGTAATTTTTTTGATCTTTTAAGTTTTTGGTGGCTGGGTGCAGTGGCTCACACCTGTAATCCCAGCACTTTGGGAAGCTGAGGTGGGCAGATCATGAGTTCAGGAGTTTGAGACCAGCCTGGACAATATGGTGAAACCCCGTCTCTACTAAAAATGCAAAAATTAGCCAGGCATGGTGGCGCGTGCCTATAGTCCCAGCTACTCAGGAGGCTGAGGCAGGAGAATCGCTTGAAAGCTGGAAGTGGAGGTTGCAGTGAGCCGAGATTGTGCCATTGCCATTGCACTCCAGCCTGGGTGACAGAGCGAGACTCTGTCTCAAAAAAAAAAAAGTTTTTGGCTCTGATTTTCATTGCATCTCTTAATAACATCATGATCTTTCTTTCTCTTTTTCTCTCTTTTCCCCTATTTCTTGCCTCTTTTTGGTTTTATTTGGGTTTCGTTTCTTTCTTTTTTTTTTTTTTTTTTTGAGACAGAGTCTCGCTCTGTGGCCAGCCTGGAGTGCAGTGGCACGATCTTGGCTCACTGCAACCTCCGTGTCCCGAGTTCAAGTGATTCTTCTGCCTCAGCCTCCCAAGTAGCTGGGACTACAGGCACGCACCACCATGCCCAGCTAATTTTTGTATTTTTAGTAGAGACGGGGTTTTACCATATTGGCCAGGCTGGTCTTGAACTCCTGACCCCGTGATCCTCCTGCCTCGGCCTCCCAAAGTGCTGGGATTACAGGCGTGAGCCACTGCACCCAGCCGGGTTTCATTTCTTACCCCTCTTTTTTATGGCCAACCTTTTCAGTTCTGTTTAGATTTTTAAAAAAATACATATACATATACATATATATATATATATATACACACATATATATACACATATACATATATATATACTGTTTTTGTTTAGTGATCAATTATTTCTTAAATTGTTGAGTTTAGCTCATTTATAGTTGTTGATATGATAGATATACTTGGTCTTAGTTCTCTTATGTTACATTCATATATTTTCTGGTTTTATACATGTTAAAAAGCATTTTACAATGAGATCTCTGTTTCCTTCTGTTTTCGATGTGTGTGTGTGTGTGTGTGTATGTGTGCGCACACATGTGTGAATTGTATAGCAGTTCTGATAAGATTTGTATTTCTCTGGTTTCATTCTAGAGGCCATTACACTTTAAATTCCTCACAAAATGTTTGGCTATAGATTGTTCTGTTCTTTGGCAACATTTTTATTTATTTACTTTTGTTGTTACTCATCTGATAATGAGTTTTACTGGTGCCTTCTCTCTCATTTATTGCATTGTCACATTGGTTCCCTGCCCGTTCCTTTTATTTATTTTGCTTGATTTTGAATAAGTTGGGCTTTCCTGGACCACCCAAGGAAAGCAAGTTTCCTGTGGGGTATTAGACTAGTGCAGAATTTCATTCCTGGTGCTTTTCTTTTCCTCTGCATTGGAAATTATGACTTATTTGTAGCCATATCTCACCTGGTTTTTGAAACAAAGCTGTGTCCTATGGAGCTTGTTTCAGCAGCTTAGCTTAACCAGTTTCTCACAACTGTGTCGCCAAAAAAGGGATACACCTTTTGCCCTGAACATCTGTCCTGCGTTTTTGGAAGTGTCGTGTTTCTCGTGCTCTCTGAGCTATGCTGTCCTCTGCGTTGCTCTGGTTCTAGCTCAGGATTGTTTTTTCCCAGTTCTTACAAGAAGAAATGAAGATGCTTGCTGATTTATGGGCTCTGCTTATATTGGGAATTTGGGTAGGGGAAGGGAAGGCCTCTGGAAGTTTAAAAATTTTGGATATTCGTGCATTGTATGTGTTACATTTTGCAAACACTTTCTTCCAGACTAGGCTTTTCTTTTGCAGTAGAGATTAAAGTTTTTATGTAGGCCCATTTATCCATTTTTTTCCCTTATTGCTCCTCTGCTTTGCATCTTATTTAAGAAAGGTTCCCACCTCCCTTTAAGGTTATAAACAATTCTGTTTTTTTCCACGCTACCAGAATTTTGTTTTTCACACTGAGTCCTTTAGTGCATCGAGGATTGATGTCTGTTATTAATGTGATGCAGAGATCTAACCTTACTTTTATTAAAGAAAAATTTATAGCCAATTGTTCCAACACAGTGTGGGCAAATTGAATAGTATATCCTTTCCCACTGCTTTGAAATGCCACCTTTTAATATTTTCAGCTCTAAATAATTGGGATTGTTTCTGAATACTTTGTTTTGTTTCACTGATCTATTTATCATCTCTGGAACCTTTACTCACACTGTTTAATTTCCTACAGTGTTGTATAATACCAAGCAAGCATTAATTTATTCTTTTTCAAGATTTCTTTGCTATTCATGTTGCTTTTCTCTTTTACGTGACTTTTAGGATCAAGTTTTCAAGTTCTGTGAAGTTCTAAGAAATTAAAGTATTAATTGAAGTTTCATTGAATATATAAATTAAGGAAAATTACCAGCAATTTTGGCATTAAGTTTCCTTATGTAAGAATGGATTTCTCTCTCCACTTAGTTTCAGGATGTTTATCTGGATCATGCACTTCTCTTGAAAGATTTATTTATAAGTGCTTTACAGTTTTTTAATAAGGCTTTTGTGAATGCAGTTTATTGTGATATTGTTCATTTGGCTGGTCTGAGTATGGAGGGAAGCTATTGCTTTTTCTCTTCGTTAATCTTATGTGCGACCATTTTATGACCTGCACCTCACTCATGCTATTCTTCACAGCTGCAGTATTTCCCTGCCACTTCGCTATGGCTTCGTCATTCTTCAAGGGTTAGCTGAAAACCTAGCTGCCTTCATAAATGTCTTTCTTGAATATTCCTTTCCTTAAAAATTTTCCTTTGCTCTGAAAATAAACTTGCAGCCTATTTACACAGATAAGGCATTTGTGCTATGTTTCCTGTTCCATCGATGTCTTATTTTCTCCCCAGATTATAAACTGCATAAGGACTATGGCAAAGTTTCAAAATTATTCTTTTAGCACAAATGATTTAATTATGAGATTGTAATTTTCAGTAAACATTTGATTTACTAACAATTCTAGTAACCATTTGATCTAGTTATTCCATAGACTGGAATTATTTTAGCATGTTAATATATTAGTTGGTTCTAATAATTCTAAAAAGATTTATAAGGAACATACAGTTTTTGACAGAATCTGCTTTTGCGGTGGTTTGTTTCTCTTTTTTTTTTTTTTTGCTGAACCAATTGATGATAACAACTGAGAATCATTCTTCTGCTTAGAAAGTTACTTTTCCAGAAAGAATTTGAAATGAGAGCAAAAATCTGAGAAGGCAGTCTTCTAATCATACATTACGATCCACAAAGAATGAACAAGACTCATGGACTGGAAGGTGTTCAATTTTGTATGCAGTTTCACTGGGCCTGGGTATACTATACCCTGGAGCGTTTGTCATCATAAGCAGAGGAGGTTTATGAGCCTGGGACCCAGGGGGTCAGATATGGTGTGCTGCTGCATTGCCTATTACTGTTATTTACACTCACACTGGAACTGAATTGGGTTCTTGTTTCTTTTCATTTAATAATGTTTACATTGTGGAAATAAGCTGGCAATAAAATTTCGTGGTCATTTTTAATCTAGCCAGTGAATTCTGCTTTCTCTGGAAATAGAAGTGTTGCTTGGTTGATTTTGCAGCCTTCTTTTCTCCTTCCTCCTGCCACCCCATCCCTCGCCCCGATTTTCCAATTAGGTTCCAGATGCTGATCTGTTTACCTGCGTCACCTGCACAGCCAGCTGCTTCCAGGAGCCTGGATATTTGTATTTGCCTCACTTTATATTACACCTGGGGGATTAATTACCAAGTACAAGCCTATAAAGAATCTGGAAGAATATAAAACGCTTTGGTGCAGGTTTAGTAGAAAGGAAGTTTGAATCAGCTTCCAGTCATTAAAATGGTGTGGTTAGAAATCACACTCTATATGAGACTGTAAGTGGCCTGAAGATGAGGTTTCTTTATTTTCTTGTGCAGGGATCACAAATATCTTGTTCTGGTTCAATTTGCAGGTATAAGGAATGTATAATTAAATCCTTCAAATTAGGATGCATGTGTATGTGTAAATGTATCACCTTAAACACAATTCATGACCTAATTTTTAGTGTCCGGAAGCATGAACTTGTAGTCTCAGTGCAAGCATGAGCTAATAGCAAACTACTGGGAGGCAGGTATGTCAAGGACTTGATGAAGAGTCACTGAGGGCACCTGGCACATTCTTCCCAGGGGTCATCAAAGATAAAGTAGACTGTCATTCATGCAGAAAGATGAAAAGAAAACAAATATCTCCTGAATGTATTTTCCAACCCTGTGTTAATGATTAGAAAACCCTCCTTTCGCTTAGGTAATCTCTACAGATATACCTTCAAATAACCCCACAGTAGCTGTGGGGGTTCGTAGGTAATTGAAAATTTCTGTATAACATTTTCATTTTAGAATCTGACTCTGGTTTGAGTTTTATGCCCTGACTTGAAAAGCACACAGAAGTTCGGGCCTGATATCAGCATATTCTTGAATGCTCATTTTGGGCCTTGTAACTGAGTTTTACAAATATTCCTTTTCAGCTAGGCAGCAAGGAGCATATGCCCCTGGAAGTGTAGTTTTGGAAGGAAGAAAAATTCCCACACAATACGTGATGAGAGGGCTGAACAATTTCCATCTCAGGCAGGGAATTTTACATTCTAGTCAGGTTAAATGGAAAGCAAAACAAATGAGGGAATGGAGCACACAGGCTAATTAGTAATTCTCTTCTATCAGAACTTCTGGCACAACCCTGGTATTGAACCTGCACGATACTTTGCCACATAACTTTTCCTCTTAATTGTCATGACTTATTTTTTTCAAGGCTGGTTCAACCTCATGCTGCTGGTTCTAGGGTACCCCTGCCTGGAGGCTGCTATCGCACTCATCTCAACCATATATATAAATATGGAGATTTATGTGGAGAAACAGTACTTTCTCACAAATGGTGGACTAGTTAAGCTGGGGTGTGGAAGAACAAAGATTTCTTTCTTTAGTTATTTTAACTTTTAGGTACAGGGGTACATGTTGGGAAAAAGCTGAGTATTGGGAAGGAAACTGAGGCAGGGCCTGCATAATATCCTCTGGAATGTGTCTAGACTTGCTGGCTCCTTGCTCCTAGGTTCCTAGGCTCCTATTCCCATTATCTCAAATATCAGAACATGTTCCATATAAATGCTAAACCATCACAGCTGTAAATCATGTGCTTAATGCAACGTGTCCTTTTTGACCTCCGTATTCTCACCACCTGTTTCTCTGTTGGGTTATCAATAAATAGCGTGGGCTCCCAGAGCTTGGGGCCTTCGCAGCCTCCGCACACTAGCGATGGCCCCCTGGTGTCCCACCTTTTTCTCTCTCACTGTCTTTTTCTCAATCCTTTGACTCTGCCAGACTTTGTCACCCCCACGACCTGGTGTTGGGTCTGATCACCACAACAGGTACATGTGAAGGTTTGTTACATAGGTAAACTTGTGTCACGGGAGTTTGTTGTACAGATTATTTAATCACCCAGATGTTAAGCCTAGTACCTAATAGTCATCTTTTCTGCTCCCTTCCCTCCTCCACCCTCCACCTTTAAGTAGACGCCAGTGTCTCTTGTTTCCATCTCTGTGTTCATTAGTTCTTATCATTTAGCTCCTGCTTGTAAGTGGGAACATGTGGTATTTGGTTTTCTGTTTTTGTGTTAGTTTGCTAAGGATAATGGCCTCTAGCTCCATCCATGTTCCCACAAAAGACATGATCTCATTCTTCTTTATGGCTGCATAGTATTCCATGGTGTAAATGTACCATATTTTCTTGATCCAGTCTGTCATTGATGGGCATTTAGGTTGATTCCATGTCTTTGCTATTGTGAATAGTGCTGCAATGAACATACATGTGCATGTGTCTTTATGGTAGAATGATTTATATTCCTCTGGGTATATACCCAGTTTTGGGATTCTCGGGTTGAGTGGTTGCTCTGCTTTTAGGTCTTTGAGGAATCACCATGCCGCTTTCCACAATGATTGAACTAATTTACACTCCCACCAACGGTGTATAAGTGTTACCTTTTCTCTGCAATGTCACCAGCATCTGTTATTTTTTGTCTTTTAATAATGGCCATTCTGACTGGTGTGAGATGGTATCTCATTATGGTTTTGATTTGCATTTCTGTAATGATCAGTGATGCTGAGCTTTTCTTTATATGTTTATGAGCCACACAAATGTCTTCTTTTGAAAAGTGTCTGTCATGTCCTTTTCCCACTTTTTAATGGAGTTGTTTTTCTCTTGTAAATTAGGAACAAATAATTCTTGTCCTAAATTGGAAACCATAAATCTGAGTATCTTCAAGCAGGAGTGAAAACATCATGGCTAAGTCTTCATATCACTGATACTTGCGGGAGTTCCCGATCTGGCTGAACCACTGGAGAGAAGACGGTTCCCTTGAGAAATAGCCAGCACTGTCTGCCAGTTAGATGGGAAAAGTTAGAGGTACAAAATGGCTTTCCTCTTGTTCTTTAAATCAATTCTGAGCTTTGCTCTAGGCCCTGCTGTCAGAGACTTTGTTAATAGCCCAAAGGAAAGCCCTATATTTGGCCAGAATAAAAATGAAGCTTCCTGGTGAGGATGGAGAGTTCTGTGTTTCCATTAAGCACCTGGTGATCTGTTCCCTTTCAACTTAGCTCTCTGACTACTATTTCTGGAAACCAGAACCATTTCAGTGGGGTTCTAAGCTGTCGGGAAGTCTGTACTACTTTCATCTTCCTGAACCACTTCTCTAGGTGGGAGCTGGTAGAAACCTGAGGAGAAAACCCATTCTTTCCCTGTTAGATATAAAATTCATCTACCACCTTGTACTAAATTTGACATGTAAGAGCAATAGGCGATGGTCTGATACTCAGTGAAATAAATGATGGATTACAAAGTGATGGCAGTGTCCCCTCTGCACTAGACTGTGAACACCTACTTAATACCGTGTCTTTTGACCTATGTACTCCTCAATGTCTAACACAGAGCAAGCACTCAATAAATGAGTTTATCAATACAGAAGTCCTCAGAGAAAAAGGCAAATAATTATGTTACGTACAAAGCCAGTATAGTAAGTGTGATTTTAATGGAAAAGACGTAGTACACATTTAGAAGTTTAAGCCTTACATCTCCAGTAATAATAAACTAGAAAAGAAAACGGACATTTTAGCCCTCATAGCATATCTAAAAGTTAAGCTCTATTAGAGTTTTTGCAAGCTAAGTGTGGTTGTACATGAAGACCACCTAAATGAGAGCAAGCGGGGATTATTTATGCAGTGCTTGCTCCAGTGAGGGAGTCAGCCACCATCACTTGCATTTGACAGAGAGTCGAAGGCAGGCAGGTGAGGGGAAAGCTTTGTAGTGTGCAAGGGAAGGCTCCAGGAATGCCCTGATTGGAGGCTGTTGGCACCAGGAAGCTGGAGGAGGGGGTATCCTATGTGATGGGTTAGGGGTGCATATTTGGCTTTCTCTGATTGTTTCTAAGTTGGATGTGGGGCCAAAAATTAGGGAAACTGTGGCCGGGCACGGTGGCTCATGCCTGTAATCCCAGCACTTTGGGAGGCTGAGGTGGGCGGATCACAAGGTCAGGAGATCGAGACCATCCTGGCTAACACGGTGAAACCCAGTCTCTACCGTAAATACAAAAAATTAGCTGGCCATGGTGGCAGGCGCCTGTAGTCCCAGCTACTTGGGAGACTGAGGTAGGAGAGTGGTGTGAACCTGGGAGGCGGAGCTTGCAGTGAGCCGAGATGGTGCCACTGCACTCCAGCCTGGTCAACAGAGTGAGATTCCATCTCAAAAAAAAAAAAAAAAAAAATCAGGGAAGCTGTTAGTTATTAATCAAGGCCTGGCCCTGTGCAACTGTTACAGAGGCTTTTGTTTGGCTTCCTGGACTGGTTGCTAGAGATAGCAGTTTGACTTTCTGCAAGTCTGACTTGTAAACAGTTTGACTTTCTGCAAATCTGACTTTCTGGGCTGGCTGCTGCAGATTGTGGGTCAGAGTTCTGTATTTATATGTGGTGTGGTCATTGTCTGTTTCTATATTCAGTCTCCCATTGTTTTGAGGATAGCAGTGCTGATAGTCAAGATATTTAAAGATAGACCAGCACAGTGGCTTACCCCTATGTATACTTTGGGAGGCCAAGGTGGGCAGATCGCTTGAGCCCAGGAGTTCAAGACCAGCCTGGGCAACACGACAAACCTTGGTCTCTACTAAAAATGCAAAAAATTAGCCAGGCATGGAGGCACACACCTGTGGTCCTAGCTACTCATGAGGCTGAGGTGGGAGGATTGCCTGAGCCCAGGAGATAGAGGGTGCAGGGAGCCAAGATCATGCCACTATACTCCAGTCTGGGCAACAAAGTGAGACCCTGTCTTAAAAAAAAAAAAAATTTAAACACTCATGGAAAACTCTTTACATTATAGGTGAAAACTTAGCCAAAGGTTTGTTTATACATAAAAAAGATTTTCTTTGTGTTAACAATAGTCTGAACATTCTTGAAATGGAGTGGTTCTGACCTTAATTTGTAGGAGCTATTTAGGCCATAATTAGAAATGTTCAACTGAGAGACAATTTTCCAAAGAGACAGTGAAAGAGTCCAATTAATTTAGCTTCGCAATTGGAACAAAAGTTATTCCTGAGGACAACAGGGATGGTAAATTATTTTGGAGCAAAATGTAGAGGGATGCAAGAAGTAAGGATAAAAACATCCTGGAAAAGGAAGGCAGGAGAAATGCAGGTGTCAGAGTTTACTGCAAAATGAATGGATGCCTGAAAGGTCAGGTGTGCTATCAGCTCAGACACAGAGTGGAATTAAAAAAGACCAATGGAAAATTACAGCAGCACAAGAAATAATTACAAGGAGAAGCAGTGATGAGATTAAAAAGTGTGTAACAAGAAAATAGCTTGAAGTCTGAGGCAAATCATAAAGCAGATACTTTATCAAGTAAAATGCTAAAATGATAGTATGCTTTGTAAAAAATAGAGGTTTTGATTCTGGTGGTTTGACTAAAGATTGAGTGCTTTTCATTATAAAATAGATGAGTTGGTTTTTTTTTTTTTTTTTTTTTTGGTGAGAGCTTTTAAAGAGCAAGGTGACTACAGGTTCAATAATAAACTGGCATTAAAATAATAAAGGAGGAACACAGAAAGTAAACCTGTGGCTTATGGTACTTTAAATTTTGATCCATAAAAATCAACATTATCAATTTATGCTATTGTCATTTTGTGACTCTTAGTTGCTTTTGTAAAATTTTTGGATTTAAAAAAGTTAGCTTGATAATATATTTTCATACCCAGTTTATTTAAGTACTGACTTTAAAAGAGAATATATTTATTTTTAATAAGACAGGCTATGAATAAATAACAAAATACAATATAATTTTCACTGAAAACTCATTTTTCTCCAATATATCCAAGAGAGCAGTGCAAGAAAAAGCAAGCTCAGATATTAATTTATTCATTTTAAATTTTATAATTCTTAAAGGAAATTTGGAAAGTACAAATAGAGAAATATTAATAATTCCATTATTCAATAAAATCTGATTTTAAAAGTTGTGTTTTAAGGTTCCTTACAGTATTTTTTCTTAAGTATAATTATTTTTTAAACGTAGTTTTAAAATTTTATTTTCTTTACTAAGTAATTATAACACTTATAATTTAGGAAAAAGACCTCACACAATTCACTTGCATTTCTTGCCTGGAAGGACAAATTGGCTACCTTCATTTTGCTAAGTATTCTTTTTTTTTTTTCTTTATGTGTCTGCATGTATATTTTTTTCTTTTTTTAGAAACTTTTTATTATGCAAAATTTCAAACCCACACATGGATGGAGAGAATAATCTGATAAACTCCTGTGTTTCATTCTCTACTTCCACCACTAGACCTACTCACTGATTTGAGTTTGAATCTTGTGGTAAACATCTGTGGGGAATAGGCATTTCTAGAGGAAATTCAATAACAAGATAATAATAAGAAACAGCAATCATGATGAGTTATTTTGCTTTAAATCTTGACAGAGGAGCCATTATGGAAGAGGGCATCAGCCTGTCTATATTTTTAGGTTCCTTAATGTTGTTAATTCAGTCAGTTTTGGTAGTTTTAGGTGGTGATGCCCAACAGGACTTTTGTGATTTGGTGTAGTATTAGTCAGGGTTCTCCAGAGAAACAGAACCAAGAGGATACAGATATACAGATGTAGATATAGATGATATAGATAGATACAGATGGATGGATGGAGTGATAGGTAGGTAGGTAGGTAGGTAGATAGAGAAAGAGGAGATTATGGGAATTGGTTCATGTGATTATGGGGGCTGAGAAGTCCCATGATCTGCTGTTTGCAAGCTGGAGAACTAGGAAAATGAGTAGAATAATTCAGTCCTAGTCCCAAGGTCTGAGAACCAGAAACTCCAGTGTCTGAGGGCAGAAGAAGATGGATGTCGCAGCTCAGGGAAAAAGAGAATCCACCCTTCCTCTGCCTCATTGTTCTATTCAGGCCCACACTGGTTTGGGTGCTGCCCACCCATACTGGCAGGGATGGATCTTTTTTACTCAGTCCGCTGATTCTAATGCTAATCTTGTCCAGAAACTTCCTCACATATACACCTGGAAATCATGTTTTACCAGCTATCTGGGTACCCCTTAGCTCAGTTAAATGACACATAAAATTAACCATTGTGGGTGTTTTATCAAAACCCCCTCATCTCATGCATTCCTTTTAAAGTTCTTATTTTATTCCTAACTTTAATTTTTCTGTTCTTGAGTTCTCAGTTTTGATTCTTTCTTGGTTGGAGTTGATTTTTCACGATTTTGTGAAAGGAATGATCATTAAATACAGTGCATGTTGTCCATAAGACAATAGTCTGATAGTATTTAGTATAGAAGAAAAGATACAAATAGGAAAACATTTTTTTTTCTCTTTAGGTAACCTCTTGTTTATTTTTTGCCTATGCTGTGGATTTTTAAACTATCCTTGCCATTAAAATTATTGTGGTTCATTTGTTTTGTTTGAATTGTCTTGGCCTGGAGTGTGGTGACCCTTTTTGAATATTCTAGTTCTTAGAAGGCTCTGGGTCATAGGACCTTCCCATCTTCTCCCTGTCTATTAACTTATTTCTTCATCACAGAGATCTTATGCCTCCCTTCCCCAAGTATAATCATGGCTGCCTTTTCTTGAGCCCTTGCTAGGTGCCAGGAACAACGCTTTCCACACGTCATGGGATTATTTTGTGTTTGTCATCTGCATTCTAGATCCATTTTTTTTCTATAGCATCAGCTTAGCTGTATACTATTTCCAGTATCAACTTTTTTCCTAAATTTTTAATTGTGGTAAAATATTCATAACATAAAACTTAGCACAACAATTTTTTAAAGTGTATAGTCCAGTGGCATTAAGTAGATTTAAATTGTTGTATAACCATCACCACCATCCCCATATCTCCAGAATTCTTTTTCATTTTGTAAAACAAACTCTATACCCATTCAGCAATAACTCCTCACTTCCTCAAGCCCCTGGCATCCACCATTCCACTTTCTGACTCTATGATTTTGATGACTCTAAGTAGCTCATTTAAGTGGAATTATACAGTATTTGTCTTGTGATTGGACTATTTCACTTAGGGTAATGTCCTCAAGGTTCATCTATATTGCAGCACATGACAGAATTTTTGTTCTTTTTAGGGCTGCGTAATATTCCATTGCATGGTAATATGGTTTGCCTGTGTCCCCACCCAAATCTCATCTTGAATTGTAGTTCCCATAATCCCCATGTATTGGGGTAGGCACCTGGTGGTAGGTAATTGAATCCCGGGGGCGGTTAGCCCCACGCTGCTGTTCTCGTGATAGTGAGTGAGTTCTCATGAGATCTGGTGCTTTTATAACAGGCTTGTTTCCCTTTTGCTAGGCACTTCTTGCTGCTGCCATGTGAAGGATGTGTTTGCTTCCTCTTTCACCATGATTGAAAGTTTCCTGAGGCCTCCCTACCCATGCTGAACTGTGAGTCAATTAAACCTCTTTCCTGTATAAATTACCCAGTTTTGGGTATGTCTTTATTAGCAGCATGAGAACAGACTGATACACATGTATATTCCCCAATTTGCTTATCCATTCATCCATTGATGGACACTTGAGTAGGTTACATATTTGGACTATTGTGAATAATGTTGTGAGTATTGGGGTACAGATATCACTTTGAGATCCTGCTTTCTGTTCTTTCATGTATAGAGGGTTGCTAGGTTATATGGTAATCCTTTTTTTAAATTTTGAGGAACTACCATAGTGTTTTCTACAGTGACTATATTGTTTTATAATCCTAGCAGCAGTGCACAAGGGTTCCAATTACTCTATATTCTCATCAAAACCTGTTATTTTCTGGGTTGTTTTTGTTTGTTTGTTTTTTGTTTTGGATCATAGCCATTTTAATGGGTGTGAGGCTTTATCTAATTGTAGTTTTGATTTGCATTTTCCCAATGATTAGTGATGTTGAGAATCTTTTCACATGCTTATTGGCCATTTGTATATCTTTGGAGAAATGTCTTTTTAAGTCCTTTTCCCATTTTTCAATCAGGTTGCTTTTGGTTGAGTTATAAAAATTCTCTATACTAAATATTAATCCCTTATTAGATATATGATTTCCAAATATTCTCTCCCATTCTGTGGGGTTGCTTTTTTACTCTGTTGATAGTGTCTTTTGAGTCACAAAATTTTAAACTTTCAGGAACTCCAATTTGTCTGTTTTTCTCTTTTGTTGTCTGTACCTTTGGTATTATGTACAAGAAATCATTGCCAAATCCCAGTGGGAAATATAATGACCTTTTCTATTTTAGAATCTATTTGCAATTCTTTCTTATTCTACCTATCTAATATCCTGTTGGCTTTTATTTAATTATAGCCTATTGCTTAATTTTCCCCTCATGACGTTTTACTCCTATTTCATAAAGAAGGTGATTTCCTGAGCATTTTTTAATTGTGTTAAAATAAACATAACAAAGTTTACCATTTTACTCAATACTAAGTAAAATAAGCCAGTCACAAAAGAACAAATATGATATGATTCTACTTGTATGAGGTACCTATGAAATGGGAGAGTTCCCTGATTCTCCTCGCAGGACGTGTGACAGGGTGTGGCTTGCCTGCTTGGTCATCCCGCAGCTCAAACCCCTACCAGGAGCATCCAGACAGGAAGGTACAGAGGCCCAGGTGAGGGTGTTTGGGCTTAGGCCCCATGGCAGCGTCTAGCGATGGGTGTCTGTGACTCCTGAAGCCCAAATGGGCGTGTGTTACCAAGCTCTTTCAGATTTGCCTTCTCTACCCAGCACTTCCTGCCCCGCTCCCCTATTACCTAGAGTAGTGAAATTCAAGGAGACAGAATGGCTGCCAAGGGTTGGGGATGAGGGAATAGGGAGTTATTGTTTTATGAGTACAGAGTTTCAGTTGAGAAAGATGAAAAAAGTTCTAGAGATGGATGGTGTTGATGGTTGCACAACAATGTAAATGTATCTGATCTTGAGTCTTTTAAAAAATACCAACCACTTGGCGGGCGCCTGTAATCCCAGCCTCTCAGGAGGCTGAGGGAGGAGAATGGTGTGAACCTGGGAGGTGGAGCTTGCAGTGAGCCGAGATTGGGCCACTGCACTCCAGCCTGGGCGACAGAGCGAGACTCTATCTCAAAAAAAAAAAAAAAAAAAAAAAAAAAAGGCCAATCACTTATAGATGTTTCTTCTCTTTTTGTGCTAAGTTAGTTTTACATCTGTGTTCAGAATCTTTGAGATAATACCCCTTTTCTACATTTCTGCATTTTTTTTTCTGTGAGCCCCACTAGTATTTCTCCATTTTTACCTTTTCATTTACTTATTCTCACATTATAAGAGATGGATGACCTATACAGACTTGGCCTTTGGGGCTTTGGCTTCATTCAATATCATCTTGGGTACCACTGAATACCGTTCAATCTAGAGCTGGGTGGTAGGTTGAGATGTATATTTCCTAGCCCAGATCCCAGAATCTAGAAGAAGTTAAATCTGATATGACTTTGATAAATAAGACAGTATGTTCTTCTAACCCCATCTCCCGTTCTCTGACACTGAACATATATATGAAGTATATATAACATATACCGAGTATTTAAAATTTTAGAATAAAAATGTGCATTACTGCACATCTTCCTGTCTTTCATTCTCTGGTTGAGTTTTCTTGCAGGGGTTGTGCTTTCCAAGATCAAATTTATGATTGTTAGTTCTTCTTCCTCCCTTCCTTTCTCCAGTTGTCATCCCAGTGTTGCAGTTTACAGTTAGACTGCTTTATCAGAATAGAAGTATTGATGGGGAGGGAAGAACAGGACACAGACACTGGTTTTAAAAAAAAGCAAAACCTCCACATGTGTGTGTGTGTGTGTATTTTTAAGTTCTAAGGTAGATGTGCAGGTTTGTTGCATAGGTAAATGCGTGCCATGGTGGAAAACTTCCCAATATTAAAGCAGAGGTTATACACGAAAATGTCTGGAAGAGACAGGAAGGTAACAAATATGAGTGAAGTTGCCTTGGTTGAGTTTATGGGGAGCTGAGGTTCCCAAATAGAGGAACAGTTGCTGCTCAGCTCTAACCATACTTGCCAGGTGTTTGGTTTTTAAAGAGAAGGAAGAAATCTAAATTTTTGTGAAACCACCCAATTGTTTGGACACTAAATAAGACTGAAATATAACTATAAACATACAAATTACTATGTGTACCCAACAAAATCTGGTACCTAGGCAAAAAGGACAGCTGCATTGCATATAGTTTGCAGTCATAGTATGTCTGAACAAGGGATTATTCCCTAGGGAGAGAAAGAGTGTTGTCACCTACTTTGGGATGATGAGTTTTTCTTAGTGTCAGTGTAATCATCAATGCCTAAATTTGTGAGGTGCTGAATTCCAGTTCCTGCTATTTCTTGTGCTTTTAACGATAAAAACAACAGAAACATCAAATGTCTTTTTAAACCCATGAACAATTTCCTCACTTATCTCAGAACAAGTAAATAATATAAAATACTTGATAGGAGGAAATTTAGATTTAGGTTAAGTGAGACATTCTAAATCTTTCAATATTTTTGTCTCTTCCTATAATGGGTTTCATATCTGACTTATTTTCTGGCTCTGGCTTTGTACACTTGTGAATTTTCACCTTAGTTGTGCAACTTTCTGCTTTATTAAGAAATAGTGAAGTCAAAACAAACTAGATACTGTAGCCTGCTTTTATTCTATTTCCTTCTTTACATGAACAGAATAGCCAAGTTTAGAGTAAGAGATTATGTCTTGTTCCTATGTTATATTTAAGGTGTTTCTGCTGTAAATGGAAACAATGCCTCTAAGATCCCATTCCTTATACCACATGATGCATCACAGTCCTCTTTACAGGAATGTGTAATAAAAACAGTTTCATTCTTTCTCAGCTCGAAGCCACACATTGCGAGATGTATTCTTCAGCACTGGCTGTTGTAACAAAATACCACACACTGAGTGGCTTAAACGACACATTTATTTTCTCCAGATTTGGTGGTAGAAGTTCAAGATTGAGGTGTTAGCAGGGCTGGTTTCTGGTGAGTTCTTTCTTCCTGGCGTGCAGAGGGCTGCCCACTTGCTATGTTCTCACGTGGCCTTTCCTCTGTGCCCTCGAGGAGAGACAGGGAGAGCTTTGGTGTTCTTTCCTCTTATTAAAAGGACACCAGTCCTATCAGATTATGGTTCCACCCTTATGACCTCATTTCACCATAATTACTTTCCTAAATGCTCTATCTCCAACTATAGTCACATTAGGGGTTAGGATTTCAACACAGGAATTTTGTGAGGGACATATTTCAGTCCATAACAGCCACCTTGTAAACAGCTCCTCTTCAGGGAACCTCATTCTTTTCTCCTGTGCTTCATAGAGTGAAAGGACCCTAATAATCTAATCATACAAATTGTACGCTGGAATCATATAGATGACTACATAAATAGCAGAGACGCAGAAGCTAGATACTCTTACGTTTTCTTTCTTTCTTTCTTTCTTTTTTTTTTTTTTTTGAGACGGAGTTTTGCTCTGTCGCCCAGGCTGGAGTGCAGTGGCGCGATCTCCGCTCACTGCAAGCTCCGCCTCCCAGGTTCACGCCATTCTCCTGCCTCAGCCTCCAGAGTAGCTGGGACTACAGGCACCCGCCACCACGCCCAGCTAAATTTTTTTTTTTTTTTTTTTAGTAGAGACGGGGTTTCACCGTGTTAGCCAGGATGGTCTCGATCTCCTGACCTCGTGATCTGCCCGCCTCGGTCTCCCAAAGTGCTGGGATGACAGGCGTGAGCCACTGCACCCGGCCTCTTACATTTTCTTCATATTGATAGGGAAAGCTTTTGAGTTTACTTCATGAAAATGAAAATAATTTTAAATGGCTAAAATATTATAATTCTTTAAATATCCATGTGTGTATCGAGAGAATGTGTTTCTAGCAATCTAATTCATATTCTGAAATATAACTGCAGATTTCTTAATGTAAAAGGAATAGTATGATGTGTTTGTTTTTGAGGTTGTTACAATATAGAAAATGGCTTTCCAATTGGCAGAATAAAAAAAAAACACACTAAAAAAAATAAATTCGTAAAATAGTTAACATTGTACACCTTCCTATTCTAAATGGCAGAATCCTCTTCACTAGACAGTAACAGAGCCTGTCACAAAGCCTTAGTACATAGTCCTCAATAACTATAATGCTTTCTTTATATGACCACAAGCAAAACTCCCTGGACAGTAACCTTTGCTCAGGTGAATGCTTTTCTCTAGGTAACTGGTTACCCAGCTTCTGCATTCTCGTTTACTAAATCGTTCGTCATTTTTGCCTTTGCATATGTTGGGCTTTGGGCTAGATACTGAGTTCTCAGACATGTAATCTCTACCAATTCCAAGAGAGAAGGTATCTGATTTTATTCTGTGTGTCAGTTAATTTATCTCAAATGTTTAATTAGAGCAGCAGAAAACTAGAAACACTGAAGATTTCCTAGACTTTTTGCAGGGCTTACTCCTCCCTGTGCTCAGATATCTTAAGCAACATAACCAGGAAGTCCCACTCAACCATGCAGATCTTCTATTATCTCTGCGCTGCCTAAGAACAGAGCAAAAAGTCTGGAGGAAGGAGGAGGAATGGACTGAGCACAGGTGTCAAAAACACCTCGTCAATCCCCTTCATTTCTAGTCAGAACTGTTTCCTTCACATTACCAATGGGACAGGGAAAGTGGTCTGCTTTCTACTTTCTGAAACAAGAATCATGGCTCAACAATATACCTGAAAATTAAGTTCTATCATGATGATTACTGATTATGCTTCCCTATACTTTCTAATCACCTTTCTTGACATCTTGGAACTTGCTTATAAGCTTATAATGGCTTATCTAGTCAATGGCGTTATATGGGTTTTAGTGTACCCCTGAAAGAGTGTGTGTAACTTAGTACAAAATACATAATTTTTTCCCTGTCATAGTAAATTCTTTAGTGGATCTTATAGCTTATTTATTTTTTAAAAACTCCCTTGTTATACTTAATTTGGTCATATTACTTCTTCTGCTGAAACTTTATTTTAACTCAGGATTATATAGACAAAGAATTTGAACTTTGTGGAGGTAAAATGGCACAGAGAAAGGGAGACAAGAACGAAAGCTTGGTGACAGGGCTAGCAGTGTGGTCTGAGTGAATCAGTCCTACAGGGCTGAGGCGGGCAAACCTTTGCATGTGTGTAGGATTCTGATTGACAGGGTTTCTTCACAGATGCTGCTGGTCCTTTTAAATCATGACTTATTTTCTAAACAAGAGATTTCTTTTTCATGAAGTTCTGCTGACAAAGTTTCCATCGTTTTCCAATGAGACTAGGTGTTGTTTATGTGACTTCTATAAAAGCAGGCATGGGGTGTTCTGAAAAAAAACAAAACAAAAAACAAAAACCCCTACAGTTCCATGAGAAAATAAAGGAGCCAGAAAGCTTCCTGTGTGTACATGTCCCCTCAAAAACAAAAATACAGCAAAGCAAAACAAAACAAAACAAAACAAAACGAAGAAACAAACCCTTTTGCGGGTGCTTGATAAATGAAGCACTATTTCAGTGTTCTAAGTTGCAGCTGAAGCATAAGTATAATTGAGTGGTTGGGTTTGCATGTTTAAAAAGTATAATCCATTGTCTCCCCACTTTTTTGACCATTTAGGATGTTTAATATTTGAAACATAAAAATCACACTTAGGTGATTGAAATAGTGACATGAATTCTGAGTACACCTCTTTCTTTCTCAGCTTGTGGCAAGATAACTATAGGTAACACTTTCAGTGAAATGTAGGCCAAGAACGAAGGGTTTATGTGGTGGTGCAGAGGAGATGGGAGGTTCCTACTTGTTGAATAGTTCTTGTGGAACGAATGCTATGGAAATTCTGAGATGCTCAATGATATTTTTCTCCGAGGGTATAGTGTTCGGAAGCTATTTTCGTCTACTGTTTTTCTCTTTCAATTATATGCTCTGTACAAAATTTTCATTTTTTAACAAAAGTTCTGTTTGTAGCTAAATGGCATTATGCATAGTAGGAGTCAAAAGGTGACTGTACAAGCTATTTCTTCACAACTGATATGTCCCTGATATACAAAATGACTAATAATTGGAATCCAGGGAGTACATTTATATAGATATTTATCATGTGGAAGGTGAGGTGAAATAGTATTGTTGAAGGTGGTTGCTGTGGCTTGAATGTCTATGTCCGTCCCCAAATGCATGCACTGAAACCTCCTCATCAATGTCATAATATTAGAAGGTGAAGCCTTTGGGAGGAGATTAGGTCATGAGGACAGGGCTGTCATCACTAGGATTAGTGCTCTTATAAAAGAGACCCCAGAAAGCTGCCTTGTCCCCTTCCATCATGTGAGGACACAGTAAGAAGGTGTCATCTGTGAAGCAGGAAATGGGCCTTCACCAGATGCTACATCTGCCATCATCTTGGTATTGTACTTCCCAGCCTTCAGAACCATGAGAAATAAAACCTTGTAGTTGACATGCAACCCAGTCTATAGTTTTTTGTTATAGTAACTTAAATGGATTAATACAGTGTTCAACATGTAAACAATACATGGTTTCTTTCTTTCTTTCTTTTCTTTCCTTTCTTTCCTTCTTTTCTTTCTTTCTTTCCTTCTTTCTCTCTTTCTCTTTTGAGACGGAGTCGCACTCTTTTCACCCAGGCTGGAGTGCACTGGCGTGATCTTGGCTCACTGTAACCTCCGCCCCCCAGGTTGAAGTGACTCTGCTGCCTCAGCCTCCCGAGTAGCTGGGATTACAGGTGCATGCCACCAAGCCTGGCTAATTGTCGTATTTTTAGTACAGATGGGGTTTCACCATGTTGGCCAAGCTGGTCTCGAACTCCTGACCTCAAATCATCCACCCAACTTGGCCTCCCAAAGTGCTGGGATTTCAGGCATGAACCACCGCGCCCCACCAATTACATGGTTTCTTCAAACAACTTATTCTTTTCCTAGAAGTATAGGCTTCAATAATTTTTCTCTTGTTGTCTGACAACATTTCCGTCATCCTGAAGCTTTCCTTTAGGATGTCAAATCAAGCTTTCATGCACTCCTATGAAATAATTGGAGGTTTGCTGAACGGGTTCTTTTTTTTTTTTTTTTTTTTTTTTTTTTTTTTTTTTTTTTGAGACAGAGTCTAACTCAATCTGTTGCCCAGGCTGGAGTGTAGTGGTGTGATCTCCTCTCAGTATAACCTCTGCCTTCCGGGTTCAAGCAATTTTCTTGCCTCAGCCTCCTGAGTAGCTGGGATTACAGGCATGTGTCACCACGTCCAGCTAATTTTTTTGTATTTTTACTAGAGATGGGGTTTCACCATGCTGGCCAGGCTGGTATCAAATTCCTTACCTCAAGTGATCTGCCTGCCTTGGCCTCTCAAAGTGCTGGGATTACAAGTTTGAGCCACCATGCCCGAGCTTGAGCTGGTTCTTCTTTGAGTTAGGTATAAGACAGAGAGAGATAAAAAGTATCAAGAGGGTTGAAGTGTAGCAAAAGCCCTTCCTAATTTCAAATAGCCTGAGATATTTCATTGCCACATCAAGTAAGTGTTTAGTATGCTCCTTGTCCTCAATACTAAATCCCTCTGGTTGGAAAATCTAGAAAAATGCTTTCCTTGTGGTTCTGGCTTATGTTTCAGACAAGCTAATAGTTTCACACATTTCAATTTTCATGAAGAAGAACAGGGGGTTGCCATGCATGTTTATAAATTGTTATTTGTAAACTAAAAGAAATAACAAATAGTTGTGGGTGAACAAAATAGATGTTCTGGGGCTCCAGGGTGTGGGGCTAGGACTCATTTTGGAAGCAGAGGGTTTCTAGGTAGCAAAATAAATTAGGATTCTTTTTTAAAAATTAAAATTTAATTTTTTTATTTCCATACGTTTTTGGGGAACAGGTGGTGTTTGGTTAATATGAATAAGTTCTTTAGTCGCAATTTCTGAGATTTTGGTTCATCCATCACCAGACAGTACACACTGTACCCAATTTGCAGTCTTTTATACCTCACCTCCCCCACCCTTTCCCCCCAAGTCCTCAAAGTCTATTGTATCATTCTTATGCCTTTGCATCCTCATAGTTTAGCTCCCACTTATGAGTGAGAAAATAGAATGTTTGGTTTTCCATTCCTGAGTTACTTCACTCAGAATAATGGTTTCCAATTCCATCCAGGTCTCTGTGAATGCCATTATTTTATTCTTTTTTATGACTGAGTAGTATTCCATGGTGTGTGTGTATATGTGTGTGTGATATATATATATATATATATATATATATATATATATATATATATATATATATAATCTCACAATTTATCCACTCATTGATTGATGGGCACTTGGGCTGGTTGCATATTTTTCCAGTTACAAATTGAGCTGCTGTAAACATGTGTGTACAAGTATCTTTTTCATATAATGATTTCTTTTCCTCTGGGTAGAAACCCAGCAGTGGGATTGCTGGATCAAATGGTAGTTCTACTTTTAGTTCTTTAAGGAATCTCCACACTGTTTTCCATAGTGGTGGTACTAGTTTACATTCCCACCAGCAGTGTAGAAGTGTTCCCTTTTCACCACATCCCTGTCAACATCTGTTATTTTTTGATGTTTTGATGATGGCCATTCTCACAGGAGTAAGGTGGTATCTCATTGTAGTTTCAATTTGCATTTCCCTGACCATTAGTGATGTTGAGCATTTTTCATATGTTTTTGCCATTTGTGTATCTTCTTTTGAGAATTGTCTATTCATGTCCTTAGCCCACTTTTTGATGGGATTATGTGTTTTTTTTCTCGCCAATTTGCTTGAGTTCCTTGTAGATGCTAGATATTAGTCTGTTTTTAAATGTATAGATTGTGAAGATTTTTTTCCCACTCTGTGGGTTGTCTGTTTACTTTGCTGATTATTTCTTTTGCTGTGCAGAAGCTTTTTAGTTTAATTATGTCCCATCTATTTATCTTGGTTACTGTTGCATTTGCTTTTGGGTTCCTGGTCATGAAGTCTTTGCCTAAGCCAATATCTAGGAGGGTGTCTCCAATATTACCTTCTAGAATTCTTACGGTTTCCAATATTACCTTCTAGAATTCTTACGGTTTCAGGTCTCAAATTTAAGTCTTTGATCCATCTTGAGATTTTTATATAAGATGAGAGAAGAGGATCCAGTTTCATTGTTCTATGTGTGGCTTGCCAATTAGTCCAGTACCATTTGTTGAATCGGGTGTCCTTTCTTCACTTTATGTTTTTGTTTGCTTTGTCAAAGATCAGTTGACTGTAAGTATTTGGCTTTATTTCTGGGTTCTCTGTTCTGTTCTATTGGTCTATATGTCTGTTTTTATACCAGTACCATGCTGTTTTGGTGACTAGGGCCTTACAGCATAGTTTCAAGTCGAGTAATGTAATGACTCCAGATTTGTTCTTTTTGCTTAGTCTAGCCTTGGCTATACAGGCTCTTTTTTGGTTCCATATGAACTTTAGGGTTGTTTTTTCTAGTTCTGTGAAGAATGATGGTATTTTGATGGGAATTGCATTGAATCTGTAGATTGTTTTTGGCAGTATGGTCATTTTCACAATATTGATTCTACCCATCCATGAGCATGAAGTGTGTTTCCATTTGTTTGTGTCGTCTATGGTTTCTTTCAGCAGCATTTTGTGGTTTTCCTTGTAGAGGTCTTTCACCTCCTTGGTTAGGTATATTTCTAAGTCTTTTATTTTATTTTTTTGCTGCTATTGTAAAAGAGGTTGAGTTCTTGATTATCAGCCTGGTCACTGTTGGTGTATAGCAGAGCTACTGATTTGTGTTCATTGATTTTGTATCCTGAAACTTTGCTGAATTCATTTATCGGTTCTAGAAACTTTCTGGAGGAGTTGTTAGAGTTTTCTAGGTATACAATCATATCATTAGCAAACAGTGACAGTTTGACTTCCTCTTTACTGATTAAGATGCCCTTTATTTCTTTCTCTTGTCTGATTGCTCTGGCTAGGACTTCCAGTACTATGTTGAATCGAAGTCGTGAGAGTGAGCATCCTTGTCTTGTTCTAGTTCTCAGGGGGAATGCTTTCAACTTTTTCCCATTCAATATTATGTTGGCTGTGGGTTTGTCATAATAGCTTTTATTACATTAAGCTATGTCCCTTTTATGCTAGTTTTGCTGATGGTTTTAATCATAAAGGGATGCTGGATTTTGTCAAATGCTTTTTCTGTGGCTATTGAGATGATTGTGGGATTTTTGTTTTTAATTCTGTTTATGTGATGTATCACATTTATTGACTTGCGTATATTGAACCATCCCTGCATCCCTGGTATGGAACCCACTTGAACATGATGGATTATATTTTTGATATGCTGTTGGATTTGGTTAGCTAGTATTTTGTTGAGGATTTTTGCATGTATATTTATCACAGACATTGGTTTGTAGTTTTCTTTTTTTGTTATGTCCTTTCTTGGTTTTGGTGGTAGGGTGATACTGGCTTTATGAAGCCAAAAGGATTTAGGGAGGATTTCCTCTTTATCTTGTGGAATAGTGTCAATAGGATTGGTACCAATTCTTCTTTGAATGTCTGATAGAATTCAGCTGTGAATCTGTCTGCTTCTGGACTTTTTTTGGTGGCAATTTTTAAATTACCATTTCAATCTTGTTGCTTGTTATTGGTCTATTCAAAGTTTCTATTTCTTCCTTGTTTAATCTAGGAAGGTTGTAGAGTTCCAGGAATTTATCATCTCCTAGGTTTTCTAGTTTATGCACATAAAGATGTTCATAGTAGCCATGAATGATGTTTTGTATATCTGTGGTACCGATCCTAATATCTCCCATTTTGTTTCTAATTGAGCTTATTTGGATCATCTTTCTTTTTTGATTGGTAATCTTGCTAATAGTCTATCAATGTTATTTATCTTTTCAAAGAACCAGCTTTTAGTTTTATCTTTTGTATTTGTATTTTTTTTGTTTCAATTTCATTTAGTTCTACTCTGATCTTGGTTATTTCCTTTCTTCTGCTGGGTTTGGGTTTGGTTTGTTCCTTTTTCTCTAGTTCCTTGAGGTGTGACCTTAGATTGTCTATTTGCTTTTTCAGACTTTTTGGTGTAAGTATTTAAGGCTATGAACTTTCCTCTTAGCACCACCTTTGCTGTATCCTAGAGGTTTTGATAGGTTGTATTACTAGTACTGTTCAGTTCAAAGAATATTTTAATTTCCATCTTGATTTCATTGCTGACTGAGAGATGATTCAAGAGCAGGCTATTTAATTTCCACGTATTGTCATGGTTTTGAGGGTTCCTTTTGGGGTTGATTTCCAATTTTATTCCACTGTTGTCTGAAAGAGTACTTGATATAATTTCAGTTTTCTTAAATTTCTTGAGACTTGTTTTGTGGCGTATCATATGGTCTGTCTTGGACAATGTTCCATGTGGTGATGAATAGAATGAGTATTCTGCAGTTGTTGGGTAGAAAGTTCTGTTAATATCTGTTAAGTCCATTGGTTTCGGAGTATAGTTTAAGTCCATTGTTTTTTGGTTGACTTTCTGTCTTGATGACCTGTCTAGTGCTGTCAGTGGAGTATTGAAGTCCCCCACTATTATTGCATTGCTGTCTATCTCATTTCTTAGGTCTAGTAGTATTCGTTTTGTAAATTTGGGTGCTCCAGTGTTAGGTGCATATATATGGATGATTGTGATATTTTCCTGCTGGACTAGTCCTTTTATCATTATATAATGTCCCTTTTTGTCTTTTTTTAACTGCTGTTGCTTTAAAGTTTTTTTTTTCTGATATAAAAATAACTACTCCTGCTAGCTTTTGGTGTGCATTTGCATAGAATATTCTTTTCCACCCCTTTACCTTAAGTTTTTGTGAGTCCTTATGTGTTAGGTGAGTCTTTGAAGACAGCAGATACTTGGTTGGTGAATTCTTATCCATGCTGCCATTCTGTATCTTTAAAGTGGAGCATTTAGGCCACTTACATTCAATGTTAGTATTGCAGTGTGAGGTCCTATTCTATTCATCATGATATTTGTTGCCTGAATACCTTGTTTTCTTTCTTTTTTTTTTTTTCTTTTTTAAGAGACGGAGTCTTGCTCTGTTGTCCAGGCTGGAGTGCAGTAGTGCAACCTCTGCTCACTGCAACCTCCGTCTCCCAGGTTCTAGCAATTCTCCTGCCTTACAGGCTCACGCTGCCATGCCTGGCTAAGTTTTTGCATTTTAGTAGAGATGGGGTTTCACTGTGAACTCCTGAGCTCAGGCAGTCCACCCGCCCTGGGCTCCCAAAGTGCTAGGATTACAGGCATGAGCCACTGTGCCTGGCCCTTGTTTTCTTTTTATTTATTGTATTTTTATTTCATAGGTCCTTTGAGATTTATGCTTTAAGGAGGTTCTATTTTGATGTATTTCAAGGATTTGTATCAAGATTTAGAGCTCCTTTTAGCAGTTCTCATAGTGCTGGCTTTGATAGTGGTGAATTTTCTCAACACTTGTTTATCTGAAAAAGACTATTTTTCCTTCATTTATGAAGCTTAGTTTTGCTGGATACAAAATTCTTGGCTGATAATTGTTTTGTTTAAGGAGGCTGAAGATAGGGCCCTACTCCCTTCCAGCTTGTAGGGTTTCTGCTGAGAAATCTGCTGTTAATATGATAGGTTTTCCTTTATAGGTTACCTGGTGCTTTTGCCTCACAGCTCTTAAGACTGTTTCCTTCATATTAACTTTAGATAACCTGATGACAATGTGCCTGGGCGATGATCTTTTTGTGATAAATTTCCCAGGTGTTCTTTGAGCTTCTTATATTTGGATGTCTAGATTTCTAGCAAGGCTGGGAAAGTTTTCCTTGATTATTCCCTCAAATATGTTTTCTAAACTTTTAGATTTCTCTTCTTCCTCGAGAACACTAATTATTCTTAGGTTTGGTCATTTAACATAATCCCAAAGTTCTGGGGGACTTTGTTTATTTTTTTTTAATTCTTTTGTATTTGTTTTTGTCAGATTGGATTAATTTGAAAACTTTGTCTTTAAGCTCTGAAATTCTTTCTTCTGCTTGTTCGATTCTATTGCTGAGACTTTCCAGTGCATTCTGCATTTCTCTAAGTGTGTTCTTTATTTCCAGAAGTTGTGATTCTTTATTTATGCTATCTATTTCACTGCGATTTTTCCCTTCATATCTTGTATCATTTTAAATTTCATTAAGTTGGACTTCACCTTTCTCTGGTGCCTCCTTGATTAGCTTAATAATCGATCTTCTGAATTCTTTTCCTGGCAATTCAGGGATTTCTTCTTGGTTTGGATCCATTGCTGGTGAGCTAATGTGATCTTTTGGGGGTGTTAAATAACCTTATTTTGTCATATTACCAGGTTTTTTTTTCTGGCTCCTTCTCATTGGGTAGACTATGTCACAGGGAAGATCTGGGCTTCAAGCGCTGCTATTCAGATTCTTTTGTCCCATGGGGTGCTCCCTTGATGTCATGCTCTCACCCTTTTCTTGGAGATGTGGCTTCCTGAGAGTCAAACTGTAGTGATCGTTATTTCTCTTCTGGATATAGCCGCCCAGTGGAGCTAACTAAACTCTGGGCTGGTACTGCGGGGAGTGTCTGCACAGAGTCCTATGATGTGAACCTTCTTCAGGTCTCTCAACCATGGATGGCAGCACCTGCTCTGGTGGAGGCGGCAGGAGAGTGAAATGGACTTGGTGAGCATCTTTAGTTATATTTTTGTTTATTGCACTAGCTTTGTGCTGGTTGACCTCCTTACTGAAGGTGGCACTTTCAAGAGAGCATCAGCTGTGGTAGTATAGAGATGATCAGGTGGTGGGTGGGGCCCTAGAGCTCCCAAGAGAGTATGTCCTTTGTCTTTGGCTACCAGGGCTGGTAGAGAAAGATCATCAGGTGGGGGTGGGGTTAGGAATATTTGAGCAGGTGCTGTGGGAGTACGGCTGCTGTAGGGGATGGTGGTGTGGTTCTCAGGCCAATAGAGTTCTATTTCCTGGGGGATTATGGCTGCTTCTGCTGTGTCATGCAGGTCACCAGGGAAGTGGGGTAAAGACAGTAGTTACAGTCCTCACTCAGCTCCCACACAGCCCGAAAGGCCGGTCTCACTCCCACTGTGCCCTGCCCTAATATCACCGTTTGTTTCTAGGCAGCGGGTGAGCAGGACTGAGAATTTTGCCCAGGCTGGTAGCACTAGTTGAGGTCCAGTGACAAGAAAGGGAATGAAAGATCTTGAAACACAATTTCCTAGAGAAAAGCATGAGTCAAGGTTTGGGACTCAAATTCAAGGGATGGACCTAAGAGTTCAAAGTGTGATGTTGTTCCAATACAACTGATGCTAGAAAGTTCTCTCATTTCAGCCACCTTAGCACAGTGGCTGGACCATTAGCTGAGCATGAGAGTAAGAAAGCAAGCAGGGCTTTCAGATTTTGTGCCTCACTTCTGTGCTGTGTCTGGATTCACCCCCTCCTCCAAGTTCTGTTCAGGAAACTTCCCATTTGGTTGAGATTGTTGCAAAGTTCAGCTGGAAGTTTCCTCCTCCCTGTGGTCTTTTCCCAGTTCTTCTGGCAGCCCTCCCCAAGGACTTCTGTGAGACAAAGTCAGAAATGGTTTCCCTGGGGACTGAGAGAGCCCACCAGGCTCTTCCTGCTTTTTCTTCTACCCCTGTATTGCAGCTGGCTCTCTAAAATTGTCTCAGCTCCAGGCAAGGTCAAATTCTTCTCCCGTGATCTGGACCTTCAGGTTCCCCAGTGAGGGTGTGTGTTCAGGGGTGGGCAATCCCCTTTCACACTTTCACACTTTGGGCACTTGCAGTGTTTGGTCGTCTCCTGTGGTCTGCAGGAGCAATCTGCTTTCTTCAAAGGGCCTCTGGACTTTCTCAGCTTTCCTGGTATGTTTCTACAGCAGTTCTCAGAGCAAAAGTTCATGATGTGAGTCTCCACACATTGATCTTTATGTCCAAGTGAGAGCTGCGATTTAGTCCTGCCTCCTATCTGCTATTTTCCTAACCTCTGCTCTGAAATCAGAATTCTTAGCTTCTCAGTTGGAATACATTATTATTCTGTCTGGGCTATTTATATGACTGTACATATGCATGTAGTAGGCTCCTAAGCCTTTCCCATAGTTTTTTAAAACCTTGTAACATGTACAAACATTTACTTCTTTCACTCTGTGATTATGTATTGGGGAAAGGAGGGACGTTTGTCCTTGGTTGTTACTTAGACACACCTCTTGGTTTTGCAAAAGCTGGCAGGCTAGCAGCCATTTTTCTGGGATTTGGTGCAACCAACACCTCTCATGACTTTATTGGAGTGCATTTTGTGGAGACCTCTAATGTATGAAGCTGTGGTGGTGGCTGGTAGCAGGAGGGTGGGAATGGATCAGTTTACACTAGGAAATCATATTCTTTAGAGAGTTCAGTTACCACAGCTCTTCCCAAGACCAGCTAGGAGATTTGTGGATGTGTATTATGGTAGCACTAGTTGAGGTCCAGTGACAAGAAAGGGAATGAAAGATCTTGAAACACAATTTCCTAGAGAAAAGCATGAGTCAAGGTTTGGGACTCAAACTCAAGGGATGGACCTAAGAGTTCAAAGTGTGATGTTGTTCCAATACAACTGATGCTAGAAAGTTCTCTCATTTCAGCCACCTTAGCACAGTGGCTGGACCATTAGCTGAGCATGAGAGTATGAAATAAAATAAACTGCTGTCCCAACGTTGAATCTGAGTCTTCTGTTGTGGCTTGTCTTGGGACCTGGACCAAAAAGGCATCCTGGCATTAGTAGACAAGCGTCATACATGAGATGCTGTATGATCACTCACAGCACACACAGTGTGGAAAAGAGAAGCAACAGCAGCAGTGAATTTATTGAGTACCTGTTTGGACACAGGACTGAGCTCTCATCGGATTAAGTAAGACCTTATGCTTTTCAGGCATATTGTACATGGGGGTATGTGCCATGGGCAGGGAGAAGGATCTCATGAGGACAATGAGACTTCCTGTTAGGCAGTGGGGATCACGTGGCTCGTCTGACATTTAAAGAGATACTTTAAACTTCTTTAGTGATATATGGCCTTCTAGTGTCATAGACTGTGATTGTTCAACAAAGAATGTTTTAAGGCAGGATATGCAATGATGTGAAAGCACAGTCTTATCGACTCTTCACCATTAAAAAAAAAAATCAATATTTCCCACCACACTTATTTACTGCTAACTGAATAGTGGTACCACAGAAATACAAAGAGAAAGAAATTCTCAACTTTTCAAGTTGCAAAGTTGACTTCCGTAGTCCATAGCAGAAGTAATTACCTTGAGAGAAAATACTTTCTGAGACCCAGATCCAGGTGGGTTTTGGAGAATGAAATAAAGTTGCAATCTACTGAATGTGGAGATACAATAGGTGTAATAAAAATACTTGAAGATCCTTAAATTCCAGGAAATAAACATTAGTAAGCTCAAAATTAAGGAATTTGGTCTCTTCTCTTTGCATTTATTTGCATTAATGCGTAAATGCTGAGGAGTCTCTAAAGCAGTTGTAATTTCTGCTTTAGAAAGCTGCGGAATGCTCAGAGGAAGAACTGGAGACTGATAAAACTGTGGATATTAGAAATAATAGTGGGATGGGATAAAAATGTGAGTATCAGAAAAGTGATATCAGAAGGGCATCGGATAAAAAAATCTGACACTTTGGGAGGCCAAGGCGGGCAGATCACGAGGTCAGGAGATTGAGACCATCCTGACCAACATGGTGAAACCCTGTCTCTACTAAAAATACAAAAATTAGCTGGGCATGGTGGCACATGCCTGTAATTGCAGCTACTCAGGAGGCTGAGGTAGGAAAATCACTTGAACCCTGGAGGCGGAGGTTGCAGTGAGCCGAGGCACTCCAGCCTGGGTGAAAAGAGTGAAACTCCGTCTCAAAATCAATCAATCAATCTGACAGTTCCCTCTGATCTCATTCTAGCTCGTTCCTTGATTCAGTTTGTTACCACCAGCATCCAAAAAAGAATCTAAGTTCATGTGTGGAGGAAGTGAAAACGTTCACATCCTATAGACTGACAATAGCACACCAGTTATAATTGTGCTGAACTCATGGATACTACGTAGATCCTCAGATATTTATGTCAGCAAATTCTAATGTAAACTGATGAATCCCAAGTGGTCTTAAAACATTTCCACGTGGAATTAAGAACTCAAATTCAGGGGGACATCCATGGACTATGAAGAAGGGAGAGTGTACTGACCAGGCAGGTGAGCAGATGAGCAGATGAGCAGAACCAACCTGGATGATCAGAGTTCATAGCCAGGTGTGATGGTTAATACTGAGTGTCAACTTGATTGGATTGACGGATGCAGAGTATTGGTCTGGAGTGTGTCTGTGAGGGTGTTGCCAAAGGAGATTAACATTTGAGTCAGTGTGCTGGGAAATGCAGACCCACCCTTAATCTGGTTGGGCACCATTTAATCAGTTGATAGTGCTGCTAGAATATAAAGCAGGCAGAAAAATGTGAAAAGGCTCAACTAGCTTAGCCTCCCAGCCTACATCTTTCTCCTGTGCTGGATGCTTCCTGCCCGTGAACGCTGGACTCCAAGTTTTTCAGCTTTGGAACTTGGACTGGCTTCCTTGCTCCTCAGCTTGCAGAGGGCCTATTGTGGGACCTTGTGATTGTGTGAGTTAATACTCCTTAATAAACTCCCCTTTGTATATATATCTATCCTATTAGTTCTGGCCCTCTAGAGAACCCTGACTAATATACCAGGTGAACTTTATTTTTTTATAGATTGGATTATAAGATGTGATGATTTTCATATTAATGGGGCTTGCTAGCAGTTGTTACTCAAGGAGAATTGCTATTGTGTAGAATTGCTATTGTGTTTCCATTTATTGATACAATATTGTGAATGAATTATCTCTTTCATATTACATACCATAGAAGTTGGGATCAATTTTTACTTTCACCATTTCATTGAAGACCACAAAAATGTAAGGCAAAAGAACAAAGGGAACTCTAACATCTTAACTTGGTAACAAGAGCCATCTTTGTTTCTAGGTGATGCTGGCAACTTGTAGGTGAAACTACAACCAGTTTCAATGTAACATTCATATTTCTGTTGTTTGACATTCATGGAATGATAGTAGTATTGTCAAAAGAACAATCCATCAGAGAAGCTTTGATGTGTTAGCCAAGGCCTCATCCACCAGCTTTGTGCAAAAACAAAAATGGAAGTGTGAGGATCCTCTTAAAGAAGGGGTCTCCATGAAAAAATGCTCATTACCACTGGCCTTAAGAGAAATGCAAATCAAAACCACAATGAGATACCATCTCACACCAGTTAGAATGGCGATCATTAAAAAGTCAGGAAACAACAGGTGCTGGAGAGGATGTGAAATAGGAACACTTTTGCACTCTTGGTGGGACTGTAAAGTAGTTCAACCATTGTGGAAGACAGTGTGGCGATTCCTCAAGGATCTAGAACTAGAAATATCACTTGACCCAGCCATCCCCCTAGTGGGTATATACCCAAAGGATTATAAATCATGCTGCTATAAAGACACATGCACACATATGTTTATTGCAGCACTATTCACAATAGCAAAGACTTGGAACCAACCCAAATGTCCATCAATGATAGACTGGATTAAGAAAATGTGGGACATATACACCATGGAATACTATGCAGCCATAAAAAAGGATGAGTTCATGTCCTTTGTAGGGACATGCATGAAGCTGGAAACCATCATTCTGAGCAAACTATCGCAAGGACAGAAAACCAAACACCGCATGTTCTCACTCATAGGTGGGAATTGAACAATGAGAACACTTGGACACTGGGTGGGGAACATCACACACTGGGGTCTGTTGTGGGGTGGGGGGAGAGGGGAGGGATAGCATTAGGAGATATACCTAATGTAAATGACGAGTTAATGGGTGCAGCACACCAACATGGCACATGTGTATATATGTAACAAACCTGCACATTGTGCACATGTACCCTAGAACTTAAAGTATAATAAAAAAAAATCAAAATCAAAAACAGAAAAAAAGTATCTCCATCGCTGTATAACTGAAAGTCTCTCACTCTCAGGCCATGATTTCTTCTTGGTTATTTCATTATATTTTGCAAAAACCTTAATAGTGAGGACTAAATAAAAGTTTATCTGTTTTGGTCCCCTATTGTGAATCTGTCTTATGTTTGAGATTTATTTCCTCAATTAGGCCTTTGAACATTAATATATATCACAGAGCTTAAACACAGCCATGTTAGGCATTTCCATTTAACACAGAGCTTTTAGTGTGGTTCATGATGAATATTTTGCATTTTTCTTTTTTCTAAAGACCTAGGGAATTGTTATATAAGTTGTTAGTAATATGTCTGCAAGAACAAAGCAATATGGCTTAAACAGCTCAAAATCATGCTATGAAAGCTCCACTCTATCCAATTCATACACAATTCAGCAGCATTTTCCTCTGCTTTCCCCTGGGAAAATGTGAAATATGATGCCCTATAGGATTGTAGATTGGTAATGCTAATATTTGTTCTTCCCCAAATTTACTTGCAAGAAGTTAAGAGCATTGGCTTAAGGGTTAGAGGATGAAAATTCTGGGCCCAATTCTGTTGTTTTTTTGCTGTGACCTCAGACAAGTCATACAATTTATTGGAAGCAAAATTTTCTCTTTGAGATGGGTACATCTCAAAGAATGTTGTCATCTACTTAACATTCTCCCAAGTCGTGAAAATCAAAGATAATATTACATGGCACTGTGTTTGAAAATAGGAATCTATGATCATTAGAGAAATGCAAATCAAAACTGCAATGAGATACCATCCCACAACAGTGAGAATGGCTATTATTAAAAAGTTAAAAAATAACAGATACTGGTGAGGTTGCAGAGAAAAAGGAACACTTATACACTGTTGGTGGGAATGTAAATTAGTTCAACCATTGTAGAAAACAGTATGGCAATTCCTCAAAGACCTAAAGATGAACTACCATTTGATCCAGCAATCCCCTTACTGAGTATCTACCCAAAGGAATATAAATAATTCTATCATAAAGACACATGCACATGCATGTTCATTGCAGCACTATTCACAATAGCAAAGATATGGAATCAACCTAAATGCCCATCAATGATAGATTGGATCAAGAAAATGTGGTACATATACACCATGGGATACTGTGCAGCCATAAAAAAGAACGAGATCATGTCTTTTTTAGGAACATAGATGGAGCTGGAGGCTTATCCTTAGCAAACTAATGCAGGAAAAGAAAATCAAATACCACATATTCTTACTTATAAGTGGGAGTTAAATGAGAACACATGGACATATGGAGGGGAACAACACACACTGGGGGCTGTTGGAGGGTGGAGGGAGGGAGGAGAGAGAGGACCAGGAAAAATGACTAATGGGTACTAGGCTTAATACCTGGGTGAAGAAATAATCTGTATGATAAACTTCTATCATACAAGTCTAGCTATGTGACAAACCTGCACTTGTACCCCTGAATTTAAAAGTTTAAAAAATAGAGAGTCCATACACATAATGAAAAATTAATGAGTTGATCTAGAAAAGAGGGTGAATTGGCCGGACACGGTGGCTCACACCTGCAATCCCAGCACTTTGGGAGGCTGAGGCGGGCGGATCACGAGGTCAGGAGATCGAGACCATCCTGGCTAACATGGTGAAACTCTGTCTCTACTAAAAATACAACAAATTAGCTGGGCGTGGTGGCAGGCGCCTGTAGTCTCAGCTACTCGGGAGGCTGAGGCAGGACAGTGGCGTGAACCCAGGAGGTGGAGCTTGCAGTGAGCCGAGATCACACCACTGCACTCCAGCCTGGGCGACAGAGCCAGATTCCATCTCAAAAAAACAAAAACAAAAACAAAAAAAGAAGGTGAATTGTTGTATGTAATAAACTGAATATGTTCTCAATTGCCCATAGAGCAATTGCCCACCTCCACCCCAGGTTCATGCCCGTGGTTTCCACACTTCAGTCTAAATTATCCATCTCCTCCTTTAAGAGGTTGATATTCTAGTAGTGCTATAGGGAGTTATATAGTAGTTCGTAAGATACATCAATGCAGCCTAATTGTCAGGGTTACCCAAGAGTTGTAAGTAGTTACTAACAATCGGAAGTCCATGATTTTTACATTTGTATCATTTCCTTCCTGTGGTGAATGTTTTGTTATATCTAAGGTCTGATGAGTCTTGAAGACAAGACTGATGAATTCACAGATTTCTCTATCTGCCCTGATAGTAGAACTCTCTCAAATCTGTACATTGGAGCACCACATTGCTTTGAATTTGAATATTTAATCTTGTAGCATTCTTTTTAATTGAAGTTTTTTAACCTCTCAGCAAAATCTTTAAAAATTTTTATTTTTTTCAGTAAACAAATCTTTATCTGACAAAGGAAATAGCTGGAGACGTACCTTCACAAAACCACCGCCGACGTTCCCCTGACGTGTGCTGCCCCAGTTTTATAAATTAGAAATCTGGTCATCGCAGCTTAGTTTCTAAGCAGTACCAGCTGTCTTCTCTTTCGAACACTGCAAAGATGCTTTGAAGCTGCTTCTGTATTGTTGGCAACATTAGCACAGAAAGATTTGAAGACTGTAATAGCTGGAAAAGGTTACACAGCCTCACATAATTGACTATGGCAATATAAAATATTGCCTGCTCTGTTTAGTAACAAAGTAGATAATGCTTTCTTTGGGATTCGAAGGGAAACAAAGTAAAGCCGAATTGCCTTTGCTGTGAAGCTTCCAGGTTAAAAGCTGCAAATCTGTGCTGTAAAGCGTGTCTTCCCTGGCTGTGTATAGTAAATTACCATCCCATCCTGCTGTGTGGACAATATGTTTCTAGCTTAATGAGTCAGATGCTTTGTGTTTCCTCCTGCTATTTAGTGCAAGGCAAATGGGTGCATAAAAAGAACAGAATCCAGTGGACATCATTGTTTTAGTTTATTTACCTTCAAATAATTCTCAGATAAAATAATTATGTGGATTTTTAAAAATCAAAATCCACAATGTTGTATTTATTTTCTTTGTATAAAGAAAAAATTCAAAATGAATCACAGATAGATAGGAGTTGCTTTGAATTACAGCAGTAATTGTTAATCACATGCTAGCTACCTCATTCACAAGGTCTTAGCAGGTAAATTTTTAGTGAAAAAAAAAGTTCTTTGTTATGGTTACTGTTGCATTATTTAAAATCAAAGGGCAAGTTAGACTTAATCTTACTTTTGCTTTTTGTGGTTTAAGGTTTATTTGTTTGCTGAGGTTTGATAGGCATTTAGGAAAACATCTTTGAAAAGACTGGATCAGTTCTTTCCATATTCATTACTATACCTTTAAAAATGAATGTGACAAGACACTCTTAAAACCATTATGGGAACTCCTCTGAGGAGCTATTAATAATTCAAACATTATTCAAACAATTTTTGCAAGACAAAACCACTGTGGGGCACTTTGGAGGCAGGTATAGGGGCAAAATAAAAATGTTCTTATATTGATATGTAAAACCAAGAATCACAAAATCAAATTCATTCTAAGGTAGAAGATAAACACCACTATTGGCTACTACCAGGCTTTGCAAAAGAACAATAAAAAGACTACTTCCCAGGTATTTTAGAGGTAATAGAAATAAACCTTTAAAGAGAAGGGTAAAATATTTATTGAGGAGTGCTCTGTACACTCTAGAATTACACAGGGCTGGTGACAGTGATTAAATGTTCCATGGCTACATAGAGAGATGCTGAGGTTTTAATGTACAAGATATTGATTACACGATGAATCCCAACAGTTTGTTTCCTGCAGTTGCTTGCAGCATGGGGAGAAATGAAAATAACAAGTACAATTCTGTAGGCTACATTGCATGCAAAATGGAGCAGGTGATGAGCTAATTGAGGGATGAATTTCCTTCTCCCATTCATAAATGTGAGAGTTGCATAATGAGTTAATCTGTCTGAAATGAGGAAGTATAATTATACCATATAATGATTAAAGATGACAATGAAATATTGTGATTTTCAGTTCAGCTTTAAGACTGGCCTCTTATTTGGTTTTCATTAAATATTTCAATGTGCAATGGTACCCACTAGGATTTTCCCCACTGGCGGAATTCAAGTGTATAAATTAGAGAGGGCCCTTAATTAGAGGAAAATATGAAAAAAATTGCATGTCTTAAAATGACTTGATGTTATTTATGATTTCAAAGTTCTTATGTAGATGGATAACATATAGACTACATTAAATTTCAGTTACTCCCTTGATTTTCCTTATCACCTTTTACTTTCTTTATGCTTAACATCAAGCTTTAATTTTATTTAGTTATTTATTGAGACAAGGTGTCGCTCTGTCACCCAGGCTGGGGTACAATGGCACAATCACAGCTCACTGCAGCCACGACCTCCCAGGCTCAGGTGATCCTACCTCAGCCTCCTGAGTAGCTTGGAGTACAGGTGCCTGCCAGCAGCCTGGCTAATTTTTGTATTTTTTGTAGAGACAAGGTTTCACCATGTTGCCCAGGCTGGTCTCGAACTCATGGGCTCTAGCGATCTGCCTGCCTCAGCCTCCAAAAGTGCTAGGATTACAGGCATGATGGCAAGCTATAATTTTAAATATAGTTACCCCCAAGTTAAGAAGCAAATGGTTATGAAGGAAAACAGAAACACAGGATCAGCAGCAGGTGGCTAGATGCAGATCAGAAATTGACTATGAGGAAAAAAGAACTGAGACAGCCTAAAAATGACTGAAACAACTTCCCTATCCATGTGGTTCCAGCTCACTCTGTCCAATATGCTCACGTTTTCATCACATTCCCCACTGACCAGTTTTTGTAAAAGACCAGTCCCTTCACAGGAGTAAAGCAACAGCTGTCCTAGTCCTGTTTTCATTTTCTTTTTTAGTGTTTATAGGAAAATTAATGGAGTCAGTTGCCAAAGGGAGCATCAAAGTTGAGCAGAAAATAAAATAAGACCCTTGTAGAAAGTTCTTGGTAATACTGTTGTTTCCTTTAAAAGCTGTACCTTAGTAGTTGATGAAATGAAAAAGTAAAGTGAAGTTCAAGGGTGAGAGTTTATGGTTAATGAGTTTTGGATGGAATTTTGTCCCAAGGCATTTGTCTCCTTGCATTCCTTTATACAAGAATATGATTAGATATTTTTAGAGATCATAGACTGTATCTATTTTTATATGCAAATATTTTAAATTCAATTTGTTGTGATTTATAGTATTTGAAGTATAGTGTGGCATACATAGTATGGTATAGTATACTGTATACTTGCAAGTATTCATATTGTAGATGGCATGACAATATTATGCTGATTTTTAAAGGTGAGAGCAATGTGAATGCTTTCTTGTGATTACCTACTGGGAATGGTAAGCTGCCATGTGAAGAATGATGTATTAGTGATTATCTTTGTCTAGAGCTTAAAGGATTGATGTCATTGAATATATTTAAGGTTTTCAAATTAAAACTTAATATTTGTCACAGATAAAAATGTTAGAGAAAGGAAAATATTTATAAACAACATTTTTATTAATAAAACTTCCAGATATATATAAAATTAGAGATCATGTCATGGTAAGCTCCTATACCCAGTCATTCAGCTTCAATAATTATCAGCGTTCCTCACCTGGGGAACTACTTTGAGGCAAATCCCAGACATGATAGCATTTCTTTTATAAATATTTCAGTGTGTATCTCCAAAGGAAACCATCTTCTTAGAAAAAAATAAAGCCACTATACCATCATTATGCTTAAAACTTAGCAATGATTTCCTAATATGACAATGATTCCTTAATGTCACCAAGCATCAATGAGTGTTCAGATTATCCCAATTGCCTTTATATGTTTTTTTAGTGTTTGTTTGTTTGAATCAGGAACAAATGAGTTTGCACCTAGGGAACCCATTTTTTTGTAACAAAAACTCTTGTTAGAAAAGAATTTGCCTTTTGGGGCTTAGAAATCCATTTCTACAAATACATCTGATGGCTCTGCCTTATCTTTATAGATTTGGTTATCTTTCTTGAAAATGTGCACCTCTTCTTAGGTATTTTCCTCTGAAGAATCATTCAGACCAAGGAACCTTTTGGGTGTTGGCTTTCTTTTATGAATCCTACAAAAGAAATGCAACTCTCTACCGTAAAAAGTGACCCATGAGTCTGATGACATTTAATTTGAGCACTTAACGTTTACGTGGTGACCACAGCTACTATGAATCTAAAGTGTATTCTTTCATCTATTTTATCTTGTCAAAAATTTCATGACTTTGACCTTTTCTTTCCCTACAATCTCTACATATATAGGAGAATTTTAAAAGTATTTTTGGCAATCAGGATTTTCTTCTGATCGTTGTGTGAAAAAGAAACATTTATGATCTTGAAAAAAGCATATGTTAACTTCCTTTGAATTCTTTAGATCAGCTAAAAGATGAATTTGCCATTTTAAGAATATGATATTGAAAAGATCTGTCTTCAAAGTGAACCCATGCAGGAATACTTTTTTATCTTAGGGAATTTATATTTTTTAAAGGAACCAGCAATCAAATTTGAAAACCAGTATGTACCCAATGGATCAGACTTTTCAAAGAATCATGTCTCAAAAAATAGAGCTTTTGATTTCTTAAAATGATCTCTGAAGTTCCATTTTGAAATACATAAATCAACAAATTGAATTTTAATGGAAAATCAAGGGTGTTTTTCTAAAGGCTCTTGAATGAAGCTTTGAAAAATATAAAGGCAGGGAATTATCAGCTTGTTATAACAGCATTAACTTCACTCCAACAATTTTATTTTTAGGTAAGAAAGGATATAATATCAAGGATAAATGAGGAAAGCATCTTGCTTGTTTAAAATCACAGAACTGGTACATCCCACTTTTCCCCCTCTGTGGATGTCCTTACCAGCCTCTGAACCACCTGAGTGACCACCAACCACTAAAATCTTAATCGTGTATTCATAACTTCAAAATAGTTGTAGTTGCTGTTCTATAGTTGTCATTGTATATGTATCTTTTTACTATAAAATCATGAACTAGAAGATTAGACAACCATGCTGTATTCAATACATTCCGTAAAACAATAAAAATATAATTTTTCTCCCATCCATTTGGCAGTATAATATTCAAAATATGAAAATGCATGGATTTCATGCACATTAATTGTTTGAAAAATAATGCTGTGAGATTTATATTTATGATATTATTACCATATATGAGTAGGACCTGAAACTGAGAGGTTAGATGACTCAACCAGTGTTGCACAGTAACAGACAGAGGACTTCTCCAAGTTTGGGTATCACTGCAAATCACACATGCATTCCACTTCAATGTACCACCTCTCATACTAATGCATATACAAGGGAAAGGACAATCAGAAAAATGAAAATCATAAAATTTCAGACCAAAGAGAGCTTTTCTTTGAGTGGGAAAAATTGAAGAAGTAAGTCAATAAGAAGTCAAAATGGAGAGTAATTGCTGAAGGGTTAAATCTCTTTTTGAGTATGATAAGGGCCTTACATTTATAATGGTCATCTGCATTTGTTTCTCCTGTGTATCTGCTCAATGGGGAAAAAAGATAACCACGTTAGCTGTTTCTTAAGTTTCCTACATAGGATAATTACAAAGAACCATATAGTCATCGAGAAAGTTATTTTTTTAGCTAAGCCAATGCCAGTGTGTCCTAATGAACAAAGGCTATTATTAAATCTTAAATTCAAATGTATGTAGGTAGTTGAGTAATATGTCACATATCATTATGCTTTAATCTTGAATGTGTATGTATTTTATTCATGAATCAGTGGAAATATTTAAGTTGTGTATGGAAAGGAATAAAAAGAGAAACACTATCTGTTTTGTTATATGCACATTTTGCTTCTTGAGTTTTGGGCTTTGCTTCATCCACTCTATGGCCTGATATCTTTATTTTCTTGTTCACAGGGTAGGTTTGCTTAGGAGTGGTGTGTGTGTCTGTGTGTGTGTGTGTTTGTACAAAGACCTTAAAAGTTCTCTGAATTTGAGGTGCTATGGGGTAATGATTCATTTAACAGAAATTGATTTCATCTGGAATTCTCCTGATAAATGTTATTGAAACAAAATGATTTTATATTCTTACTTTAATAACATGATGCTGTTTGGTACAAACTTTTAAAAAATATGATCATGTGTGAAAACTCATGAGAGTTTGAATAATCACCATGAACATCTCAAGTCCTCAGTAGTTTCATATGAAGATTTCACAGTGCTGGCTTGTTAGTATTGTTCATTTCCATGGATAATTTCATTTGGTGTCCTCTGTACTGTGTAGGAGCAGATGGTGTGTTTGCTTACTGCTCGGCCCAAGGTTTTCCTGTGGGATGGGCTCTCTTAGTGCACAGGAGTGTTTAGTGGCTGCATTGTGTGCTTGGGGTGAGAGAGGGAGATGAAGCCTTTTCCTGCATTATGCTCTAGGAGTCTTCTGCAAGGATTCTATGCTGAAGAAGGAGGCTGTCTAAACTCAGATGAATTCTCTGAGCATACATCCAACTTACGTGTTTTTATGGGCATGAATTTTTTCCATTCTTCAGCTATATCCCTTTATTTCATTTCATTAAAAGATTAAAAATGGGCAAAAGATCTGAATAGACATATCTTGAAAGACATACCAATTGCCAATAGGTATATGAAAAAATACTCAACGTCACTAGTCATCAGGGAAGTGCAAATCAAAACCACAATGAGATACCATCTCACCTTCGTTAAAATGACTTTCATCAAAAAGATAAAAAATAATGGATGCTGATGAGGATGCAGAGGAGGAGGAGCATTGTATACTCTTCGTGGGAATGTAAATTAGTACAACCACTGTGGAAAACAGTATGGGGGTTCCTCCAAAAAACAAAAATAGAAATACCATATGATCCAGCAACCCCACTACTGGGTATATACCCAGAAGAAAGGAAATCAGTTTATCAAAGAAACATCTGCACTTCCATGTTTACTGTAGTACTATTCACAATAGCCAAGATTTGGAATCAGTTTAAATGTCTATCAACAGATGGATAAAGGAAATTGGTATATGTACACAATGGCATATTATCCAGCTACAAAAATAATGAAATCCTGTCATTTTCGTCAACATAGAACTGGCGGTCATTATGTTAAGCGAAATAAGCCAGACACAGAAAGACAAATACTGCATATTCTCACTCATATGTGGGAGCTAAAAATGTAGATCTCATGGAGGAAGAGAGTTGACTGGTGATTACCAGAAGCTGGGAAGGGTAGGAGTAAGAGGGGATGAAGAGAGATTAGTTCATGGTTATAAAAATACAGTTAGCTAGAAGGAATAAGATGCAGAGTTCAATAGTACAACAGGGTGACTATAGTTGACAATAATGTATCATATAGTTCAAGTAGCCATAAGAGATGAATTGCAATATTCCCAATGTAGAGAACAAAAATAAGTTTGAAGTGATGGATATCTCAATTACCCAGATTTGATCTTTACACATTGTATGCATGTATCAAAATATCACTTTTACCCCCAAAATATGTACAACTCTTGTATGTCAATAAAAAGTTTTAAAAATCAATTGCATTTGGCGCCCGGCCAAAATTACATTATAGAATAGTGTTTGATATAATGGCGGTAAAGAAGTGTAGCTGCAGCAAAGCTAGTCCTTGTGAGGGTCCACATTGCTAGGTGAGAGGGTTAGGGGTGCTTTTTCCCTTTATTTGATAACAAAACCATTTATCATATTTCCTCTTGTAGGTTTTCTCTCTTTTCTAATATTAATACAGCAAATATTTCATTGGAACATTCAGACTCATATAATTATTCTGTTTAGGATGATTGTGAAATTTATGAATAGAACTTCTAGCACAGTGTCATTCTTTGAATTGGAGGGTGATTCTATTTCTGTGCAAAATCATGTTAAGAAGCTATGTTTTGTGACATAAAAATCATTAGATTTTTGGGAAAACTTTATCAACAACATTTGGAATGGCAGGAAGTACAAATAAGCAAGATCTAAATTTAACAGTAGGGTAAATCCATCTCATAAGGACTTTGAATTGACTTTGGAAAATGATCAGGGAATGCTGGATTTCTTGATAAATATCTGAGGCTCAAGGAGCCTAACCCTGTTTTTCCTCATGAGCAATAATTCAGTATTTGCTAGTTTAAGTGTTCATGGTGACTTTCTAGCACATAAACACCATGAAGTATAAGAATTGACTCAATATAGAAGACTGGTGCCAGAGGTTTTGTGTAAGTTTTGTAGCAATATTTCTACGTTCGGTGGCCTCTTGTATGCCTACCTTGGTTTGGTCTGCATTGATTTTAGTGCATCTTAAAGAGTTTCATTTGCAGTGTGGCTTTCCTCTACCTCCTGGAGTTATACAAGGCAAACAAAAGGTGGCTTGGGCTGGAGTCATTCCTGATAGGGATTTTTAGTCATACCTCTATTGGATAGGCCCATTTTAAAGAGTAATATAGGACTTTTACCTTGATTACTAAAATAGTACAACAACAACTCCCCTCTTGCTCCAAGAAAACCTAGCAAAAAGATATCCCCTTCATTAATTGATTGCTGGCTCTTGTCTTTGAGATAAATCAGAGAGAGGTAGCAAAGGGTATATCTGTTCTACTAGTCTGTCTAGAATAAAAACAGAAAGCCAGTTTGGGAAGTTTACTTATGGTGATTCAGGCTGCAATGCACCTAGGGCATAAACGTTTAGCTCTTTGTTTGACTTGATAATTCCTTAAAGTTCTCCTTGCAAGTTTGCTTGACTTTGAGGGCTCAGTGAAGGAAAAATGTGTTCCTAGGTTGAGCTCTCCCAGTGATTGGAATTCCCACAAAATGTTAAACAGTAATATGTCTCTTGCCTTCCTGGGGCTTGTGTCTGCAGAGTATCCCCAGTAATTTCCTTCTTGTGCCTGACCTGGTGATTATTCATGAGAATTCTCACCTGCTTAAAGTTCCACTGATCTCTGCTCCAATACAATGACTTGGTTCAGGCATGGTCTAGAATCTTTCTTACTTCAAACTGTGCTGTGGATCATCCCTTATTTTATAGTGGGAGACTTTAGCTCCTCAGATGTAAATTGAATGACTCACAGAAATGTTACACGAAAAGCCAGTGATATGGTTTGGGTTTGTGTCCCCACCCAAATCTCATCTTGAATTGTAATTCCCATAATCCCCACATGTGGTAGGGGGGATGTGGTGGGAGGTGATTGGATCAGAGGGGCTGTTTCCCCCATGCTGTTCTCGTGATAGTGAGTGACTTCTAACAAGATCTAATAGCTTTATAAAGGGCTCTTCCCTCTTTGCTTGTTGGTTCTCTTGCCTGCCACCACATAAGATGTGCCTTTGCTTCTTTTTCGCCTTCTGCCATGATTGTTGGTTTCCTGAGGCCTCCCCAGCCATGCAGAACTGTGAGTCGATTAAACCTCTTTTCTTTATAAATTACCCAGCATTGGGTATGTCTTCATTAGCAATGTGGGAATGGACTAATACAGCCAGTGATGATACTGACACATCTAATAGTTTTTCCAGAGTGAGACTTTCAAGGATTAAGACTCTTTCCTAGAATATAGCTAGCTCTAGTACCCAAAGGAAAGTAAATACAGAGAATTGGATTAAATAAAGCCAAAAAATTGACTTCACATATCCAAAGCTTTAGACTTACGTTTGTCTCCCCCTACTCCACCCTCAATCATTAGGGAACTTAGAAGCTGTAGCAGTGGTTGGTTATTCTACTCTGTCAGACATCTGGAACCCTGACCTTTTGATAAGTGCCTATTTCTTTTAGTCTTGAGAAGTTTCCCTGAAGGCTGGTTATAATCTGTATTTCCACTATAAATATTTCTCAATATTTAAATTATTTCAGACTCCTTGGATATCTGGACATATCTGGATGATATTTTAAGTGCTACTCATTATTGTCCAATTTAATAGGATATCTGAGTGCTAGAATTGGCAGGGGATTAAAAATGCTTCACTTTCAGTCTTTGAGCAAAGTAGAACATTGCTTTCCTAAGGCAATTCTAGACCACAAATACCAGTTGTAGATTTCTATTGCTGGGGAAAAGTTATTTTGGTTTTTTCTTGGCTGCCACATAAATCTAGGAGGAAGATGACCTTAGTTTGCCATCATCTAGTACCTTCCGCCCTCTCAATGTTAAACCATACAAAAAAATGAGGATCTTTCATATTTAAAGAAGCCTTCTAGAGGTTGAAGCACTAAAAATCCTTATTAGTTTGTTTCTCCTCTGGAATCCTATTAATAATAAGATTACTAGGACCATAACATTATAAAGACCTTAAAAATGATAAGTTCTCTGAGTACAGGAAATATGTATTTATAGCAGATGAGTAAAAATAATATAATTATTGTTTTAAAAATGTTTCACTACCCTATTTAATTTCTAGGATCTCATTTAAGAAATTTAAGATATTTGTTATGAAACTTCTTTAAGAAATTAGAAAAATGGTAGGAAAAAATGATCAATTAATAAAACTAGAACTTACAAAATTATTCTGAAAAATATCAGAGCAGTTCCCATCTGAGGTGCTATTCTCTTGATAATAATTGTCATGCAAACAGAAAATTGCATTACAAAAATGGCTTCTTGTTTTTATTATTGCCTTAAAAAGAGTAAAATCATATATGACAATTTAAAAATTATAATATGATTGCTATAGTACTTGTAGCTGTTTCTCTAATATTCTATCTTTCAAATTAAAGTATAACAATGTAAAATGACTTAAAAGACTCTACTGTAGGGTCTAAGCACCAATAGGAGTTCCAACAGGATAACTGGTTATTCTCTGAATGTATAAATACATATGACAAGATGCACTATGCCATTGAGTTATGCAATCTGTTTTAGTATTGATTTCTTACATTTTATTTTATGCTTTTGATAAAACCAATTTCAAGAGCGTATTACTAAAGCGTATTGGTTTCTTCTGAACGGCAGTAAGCACAAAGGTTGAATATCTTGTGTGTTTGTGTGGAGGTATATGTATGTGTATGTGGGAATGTATGTATATAATTTTTATATTATGTGTATGTATTATAAAATACATAATATAGTTATATATTAGTTTTTATAAAATTTGCATGAATTTCCAAGAAATCTGAGGTGTAGTTAAAAATGAAATTAGTGGATGACACTTTTTGGAGTGATAAATTTAGAAATGAAATGTAACATGAAAGTCTTTTTAAAAGAGTTCAGTAAGTAGTAAATTCACAATTCCTTTTTTACTACTTTTTTTTGCAGTATTCAACAAACTATCATTGTTTCATTGGCTGAAAATATATGAATGAAAGCCAAAGAACTATGTAATGACACTGGGCTATTAGTTCTTGCAAATCCTATAGGCTAACACCACTTCAACAGAGTGGGCAGAAACGATCATCTGATCTGATTACAATGTCTATTTATGTAGCATTTAGTTTCTTTTTTGTTTTTTTTAAAGGATTTCATAAATATATTATTCATGCTAAAGGAATAACAATACTCCGAATTTTATAGCACTTGAGACGATATTGCAGAGAAATATTACACCCGTTTTTATCTTCACCATAAAGCTTGTTGAAAAGTAGGTCAGGAATTCGTGTTCTATTTTAAAACATAATTTAAATATTTCAACAGCACATGTGCAAACATGACAGTTCATGTCATGTTTTTGCTCCCACAATGACATTGATCATACATAACCACTGTCAACAATTTCCCTCAATCATTTCATAATATTTCTAAAATCTATATTATAGACCTCAGTGTTCATATATAGAATATATATTTGCACAAATATTTGCCTATTTTTTGATACATATAGGTTGTTTTATTTCTTTACTTTCTTTAGAACAAACCTGGATTGTGCTATGTATTTTGTCCTATATCTTTAACGCAACTTTTAAAGGCCATCTTTGTAAATTGGAACATACACATGTAAATTAATTTTTTAAGGTTTCACTCTTTTGCATAGATGTCTCCAATTTATTTAACTAATTGCTCCCCTACTGATAGATGCTTAGATATCTCTGTTTATATGTCATTTTAAAGATGTTCTAGATACATTGTGGTTTATTTATGCCAGTTGTTCCATTAGCTAGATTCTTTTTATTATTATTATTATTATTATAATACTTTAAGTTCTAGGGTACATGTGCACAACGTGCAGGTTTGTTACATATGTATACATGTGCCATGTTGGTGTGCTGCACCCATTAACTCATCATTTACATTAGGTGTTCCTCCTAATGCTATCTCTCCCCCATCCCCCAATCCCATGACAGGCCCTGGTGTGTGATGTTCCCCACCCTGTGTCCATGTGTTCTCACTGTTCAGTTCCCACCTATGAGTGAGAACATGCGGTGTTTGGTTTTCTGTCCTTGCGATAGTTTGCTCAGAATGATGGTTTCCAGCTTCATCCATGTCCCTACAAAGGACATGAACTCATCCTTTTTTGTGGCTGTATAGTATTCCATGGTGTATATGTCCCACATTTTCTTAATCCAGTCTATCATTGATGGACATTTGGGTTGGTTCCAAGTCTTTGCTATTGTGAATATTGCCACAGGAAACAGACAGTGTGGCAATTCCTCAAGGATCTAGAACTAGAAATACCATTTGACCCAGTGGTCCCATTACTGGGTATATACCCAAATGATTATAAATCATGTTACTATAGCTAGATTCTTAGATGTGCAATTTTTAAGTCAGAAAGGTTTGCACATTCAAAATTCGATAGCTATTTTAAAGCTACCTGGCCCCAAATAGAGTATTATTTTGTACTGTCAAAGATGGTATATATGCATTTACACTGCTCCATGCTACTGTTGATACTTGCTATAATGAATTTTTTAAATTCTATGCAATCTGCATCGTATTGTTTTCTGTTTGGATTTTCTCTGACTACTAGTAAGACTGAGCAGCTTTTTGAATTTTTAATAATCATTTGTATTTTCATTTTTTGATTTACCTATAAATAGTCTTTATTATTTCATTGTTTATTTCCTTTGGTAATTAATAGTAGCTCTTTTGCTATTCTGAATTTTTTGTGTTATATATATTATGAATATTTTCTTTTATGCTTTTGCTTGTTACTTAACTTTGCTTATGGTGCCTTTGTTATACCTAAGTTTTCAAATGTATGCAATCAAAATAATTTTTTCCCCTTTATGGCTTTATACTTTGTGCACTGATTAAAAATTATTTTTATAACACAAGATATTGAAAATATTATCTATTTTCTCATGCCATTTTTATGGGTTAGCTTTTCAAACTATTCGGAATAAATTTTTGTGTTTGACATAAAGTTGTGATCTAACTTATATTTTCCCCAATGGATAGTGAATGGTCTCAACATCATTTACTGAATTATTACCCTGTTGAGGTAAAATGAAATGCTACTTTTATCATACACTAAATTTATATTAAACCTTGGTCTTTTCCTAGATTTCTAGTATGCTGTGTCGATCTATTTGCTAAATTCTGCCCTGACTTTATAATTAGAAATACTTCAAATCTTCATGTCATGTTTTGATAATTAAAAACAAGTTCCCACCCTGATTCCTCATCTATCGTGTTTGGCGAGCTTTGAGCATTTTATCTCCTAGATGTATTTTAGAATCAACTTGCCAGTCACTCTAAAAATATGCTGTTTGGATTTTGTGTGGGACTGAATGAACACTATTGTTTAATTTTGATGATTATTACATATGTTCTGCCTACTTCTAAGAATTTGAGCCTGGTCAGGAGGAAAATTTAGTTGTTCATTGTGTTATTGTTATTAATCTATTTTCTATTTATTCATTTATTTATTTTATAGATTAAAATATTTAGAGTTTAAAATTTTTTGGCATTTTTTTAAATATGTAGAGTGAGGTACAGATTTTAAGTTTTTTCCCTTTACAGTGAGTACCTAATTGTTCCAGTTGCATTTATTGTATAATCAATCATTTCCCTACTATTTTGAATTACCAAATTTATCATATACTAACTTCTTGCTATGCTTGCATGTATTTCTATAATTTCTTTTCTCATCCACTAACCTATTTGTTTAAATCTACGTATATCAAATTATCATTTGTTTTATTATCTACAAGGTTAATTCCCATGTACTCTTCTGTTTAATTTTTCTACTTTCTCACATATTTATTTTTTCAGGTTTTTGTTGTCGTTATTATTATTATTATTATTTTGAGATGGAGTCTCGCACTGTCTCCTGGGCTGGAGTGCAATGGAGCTATCTCGGCTCACTGCAAGCTCCGCCTCCCGGGTTCACACCATTTTCCTGCCTCAGCCTCCCTAGTAGCTGGGACTACAGGCGCACACCACCACACCCTGCTAATTTTTTGTATTTTTAGTAGAGACGGGGTTTCATGATGTTGGCCAGACTGGTCTCCAACTCCTGACCTCGTGATCCACCCACCTCGGCCTCCCAAAGTGCTGGGATTACAGGCGTGAGCCACCGCGCCCGGCCTCAGGTGGTTATTATTAATAGCTCGTAAAATGTGTTTTTGTTGTCTGGGCATGGTGGCTCTTGCCTGTAATCCTAGCACTTTGGGGGAGGCCAACGTGAGCAGATCACGAGGTTAAGAGATTGAGACCATCCTGGCTAACATGGTGAAACCCCATCTCTACTAAAAATACAAAAATTAGCAGGATGTGGTGCTGTGTGCCTGTAGTCCCAGCTACTAGGGAGGCTGAGGCAGGAGAGTGGTGTGAACCCGGGAGGAGGTTGCAGTGAGCCAAGATAGCTCCATTGCACTCCAGCCTGGTACAGAGTGAGATTCCATCTCAAAAAAAAAAAAAAAAAAAGTGTTTTTGTCTTCTTGTTTCCATTTGCATGAAGATTCTTGCTGAAATTGCATTACGTATGTATGTAAGTAGTGTTATATTTACTTAGTTTTTTTTTTTTTTCTTAAAGTAATGCTAAGTGTGTGGGATATTATATAATTCACTACAAGTTAAACTAGTGCTATCTTTGGTCTTCTCAGAGGACTGATACCATGGTTGAGTATAGGATTTCAGAAAGGACTGGAAAGATTGTACCACTGTTTTGTAGAGTTTCATGTGAAAACTTTTATGAATCTTTTCTTTGTAAATGTCTGTTCCTACCATTGAATGTTTGATCCTCTCTTTGTCTTTGTTATTAGACCATTTTATTAGGATTGGTCCAGGTGTTGATCCATTTTTTTTTTCTTGCCTCTTCCTTACTATTTTTTTCTCTACACTTGGTAAAATGTTTAAATCTGGGACATCATGCCTTTCTTTCACTGAGGGGAGTCTTATTTCTTTGGTAATTGCTTCTTTGATACATGTAGGTTATGGAGTTATTTTCTATATTAGTTTTGTACAAAACTATTATTTGGATACTATATCTGTGCCAAAGCTCTATGCCTCTTATTTTTTAATCAAAAATTTTCACTTTTATGTATTCTACGTTATATAACAGCCTTCAAGTTTATGTTCTAGATAGTTAATTGAGTTTTCCTCAGTGTCCATTTCATTTTTCCACTGACTTCTATTGAATTTTTGTTTCTGAAATTCTGTTTTTTTCCAAGTTCTTTTTAAAAAAAAATTTACAAATTGCTTCTCTATTGTGGCAGTCTGGTTGATATTTAATGCAGTATCTTCTTATATATAATGAGTTGCTCAAGTAAGAGATCTCTCTTGCTTTAATAAAATAATTTATTTTCTTTTTCTCTTTTTTTTTCTCTCTTTTTTTTTTATTGATCATTCTTGGGTGTTTCTCGCAGAGGGGGATTTGGCAGGGTCACAGGACAACAGTGGAGGGAAGGTCAGCAGACAAACAAGTGAACAAAGGTCTCTGGTTTTCCTAGACAGAGGACCCTGGGGCCTTCCGCAGTGTTTGTAACCCTGGGTACTTGAGATTAGGGAGTGGTGATGACTCTTAAGGAGCATGCTGCCTTCAAGCGTCTGTTTAACAAAGCACATCTTGCACCGCCCTTAATCCATTTAACCCTGAGTGGACACAGCACATGTTTCAGAGAGCACCGGGTTGGGGGTAAGGTCATAGATCAACAGCATCCCAAGGCAGAAGAATTTTTCTTAGTAAAGAACAAAATGGAGTCTCCTATGTCTACTTCTTTCTACACAGACACAGCAACAATCTGATTTCTCTATCTTTTCCCCACATTTCCCCCTTTTCTATTCCACAAAACTGCCATCGTCATCATGGCCCGTTCTCAACGAGCTGTTGGGTACACCTCCCAGACGGGGTGGCGGCTGGGCAGAGGGGCTCCTCACTTCCCAGAAGGGGCGGCCGGGCAGAGGCGTCCCCCACCTCCCGGACGGGGCGGCTGGCCGGGCGGGGGCTGCCCCCCACCTCCCTCCTGGATGGGGCGGCTGGCTGGGCGGGGGCTGCCCCCCACCTCCCGGACGGGGCGGCTGCTGGGCAGAGACGCTCCTCACTTCCCAGATGGGGCGGCTGCCGGGCGGAGGGGCTCCTCACTTCTCAGATGGGGCAGCTGCTGGGCGGAGGGGCTCCTCACTTCTCAGACGGGGCGGCCGGGCAGAGATGCTCCTCACCTCCCAGACGGGGTCATGGCCGGGCAGAGGCGCTCCTCACATCCCAGACGGGGCGGCGGGGCAGAGGCGCTCCTCACTTCCCAGACGGGGTGGCGGCCGGGCAGAGGCTGCAATCTTGGCACTTTGGGAGGCCAAGGCTGGGAGGTGGAGGTTGTAGCCAGCCGAGATCATGCCACTGCACTCCAGCCTGGGCAACATTGAGCACTGAGTGAACGAGACTCCATCTGCAATCCCGGCACCTCAGGAGGCCGAGGCTGGCAGATTACTCACGGTTAGGAGCTGGAGAGCAGCCCGGCCAACACAGCGAAACCCCGTCTCCACCAAAAAATACGAAAACCAGTCAGGCGTGGTGGCGCGCGCCTGCAATCGCAGGCACTCGGCAGGCTGAGGCAGGAGAATCAGGCAGGGAGGTTGCAGTGAGCAGAGATGGCGGCAGTACAGTCCAGCTTTGGCTCGGCATCAGAGGGAGACGGTGGAAAGAGAGGGAGAGGGAGACCGTGGGGGAGAGGGAGAGGGAGACCGTGGGGGAGAGGGAGAGGGAGACCGTGGGGGAGAGGGAGAGGGAGACCGTGGGGGAGAGGGAGAGGGAGACCGTGGGGAAGAGGGAGAGGGAGAGGAAGAGGGAGAGGGAGAGGGAGAGGGAGAGGGCCAATTGTATTAATTGTAAAGTTGGTATGTCTATTTTCTTTTTCTCTATGAAATGAATGAATATATTTTCATCAAATCTACTTAAAAACTACTCACACATTCCTGATTGTTCAAAGTAGTATCATTTTTTCCAAACACTTTTATTGATTCCACATCTTTTTTCATTGTTCACCCTGTCCACATACACACAGATATACCAGCATTGACAATAGAGGTAAGTAAATGTCAGTTACCTAAGCAACTCCTCAGGTCCTGCTTGTGTCTCTCAAATGTTGAGAAGATAGGAGATATTCTGTTTCTCAAAAGGCTGATGGGCTGAGAGTCTTTAAAGTGTGCAGAGGGGCCGGCAGACTCTCTGGGCTCTTCAGTTAGTGTAAACTGTTGATCCTGTGGCAAGGGCATAGCTTTCTCTGTCAGTCTCTCTGGTGGAGATCTGAAACTTCATCAGGGCTGTGCACAGAAGGCGATGCCTCCAAGGGGACTCCATCTCTAGCAGCAAGGCTATCAGGTTTCTCAGGCTGTCCCTTGAGTTGCATGTTTTTCTCTTAATGTTTGAATAATTGAATCATTTTGGTAGAAAATTGGAGGAGTCGTGAGCACGTCAAAACCCTGCTACAAATATTTTAGATAAACTCCATGCATATACTTCTGTTGTTGTAGATGAATGTATGGGTTAGGGGGTGAGGGGTGCATGCAGCCCATGCCGAGGAAGATTTTTACTATTATTTATCTGAAAGAGTTTCAGAAAACAAATATTTCCATTTCTAATTATGGGCAGAACGAACAGTTCAATATTACTCAATACCAAATCTTTGTTCTTGGCATACACTTTCCCACTGACCCCAAGTGGATCAATTGATTCAAATTCCTGGAGGTATGTTTTGTTATGTGGCTATGAGGAGGTAATGCAACTCAAAAATTATATATTTCTTCACATATGAAGAAAAGCAATTTTCTTTTCCTTTTTTAAAATTGGAAGGATGATAGATGGTAATGCCTGCACTTAAAATTTTTTAAGTAAAATAATATTTCATGATATATGGAAAGACCCAGAATTCTTCAGTATTGTCCAGGTAAGAATGACACTTAAAAAACAATGTAAGAATTTTAGGTTAGTCAGATGGAAAAGCTCCGGATATTTACATATTGATTAAGAAAAATGGAAATGAAGTGTAAATCATTGAATCCTTATAAAAAACAAAAACAATTACATCTATTTCTCTTATTTATATTACATAGAATAGGGAAAAGTAGCAAATCTATAACAACAGAATCAGGATTCCAAAAGTTTACAAGCAAGAATAATGCAATGGCTGTAACTGAATGAAAATTGATTAGTACAAAAGTAAAATTCTGGCTGGGCGTGGTGGCTCACACATGTAATCCCAGCACTTTGGGAGGCTGAGGCGGGCGGATCACCTGAGGTCAGGAGTTTGAGACCAGCCTGGCCAACATGGTGAACCCTGTCTCTACTAAAAATACAAAAATTAGCCGGGCATGGTGGCACGTCCCTGTAATCCCAGCTACTCAGGAGGCTGAGGCAGAAGAATTGCTTGAACACGGGAAGCGGTGGTTGCAGTGAGCTGAGATCATACCACCGCACTTCAGCCTGGACAACAGAGCAAGACTCCGTCTCAAAAAAATAAAAAAATAAGTTCTAAACAACACCACAAGTACAAGACGAAGAAGAGATGAGTGAGATTGAAGTTCACATTATTGGTTATAGATGTTTTTGGATAGTTTTGCAAGCACTGTTTTAATTTAATGGAAAGGGAGATGCTAAAATTGTATATGTATGATACGGTGGAAGTCTTCTCTTTTCTATCACCTCTGAAGACTGGCTCCATGACCTTAGACTGTTAACTTAATTGTTCAGAGCTTCTGTTTCCTCAACAGCCAAATTGGGTCTCATACCACCTATTTGCAATCTTGTCATTATAAAATGAGATAAACTTCCTTTACAGCAAATCTTGAAAAGGTCATTTATATTTAGTCTCTCCATTTTTTTCCTCCCACTCTGTCAGGTTGTCAGTGCTGCCCCTACCGTTGCTGTGGTGAATCCCCCCATGACCTCTGCATTGTTATATCCCATGCTAGATTCTCAGATCTTTAGCTAGGGCAGCATTTTTGACAGATGATCAGTCCTTACTCCCTGAAACATGGTCTTCATTTGGCGTCAAACACTGGTTTACCTCCCAACTTTTGGGCCATTCTTTCTCAGTCTCCTTTGCTTATTTTCCCTCATTTTCCTCAATTCTAGTTGGTGGAGTTCCCAGGCTTCAGTCTTTGTAATTCTTTTCTGAGATGCTGTTCTCAAGCTAATCTCATTAGTCTCATGGCTTTAAATACTGTCTGTATTTCAATGACTCTAAATTGAAATTTCAAACCTGACATCTCCCCTGAGCGCCAGATTGCATATTCTACTCCCTTTGAAAAAAATTTTGTCCTTAATTTTTTTTTTTTTTTTTTAATAGAGACAGGGCCTTGCTATGTTGCCCAGGCTGATCTTGAATTCCTGACCTCAAGTGATCTTCCCATCTCAGCTTTCCAAAGCCCTGGGTGGAGGCCACTGTACCTGGCCTACATGCTATTTTTGATATCTGAAACTAAATTTATTCAAAATGGAACTCTTCATAAAACCCCAGTAAGCCTGTTCCTTCCTTAATCTCCCTCACCTCAGTAAATGGCAACCTTCCCAGTTGTTTGAGACGAACCTTCGGATTCATCCTTTACTTTTCTTTCCTTCAGGGACTACATTTTGTCCATCAGGAAATTCTCTTGGCTGTACTAAAAAAAATCTTATGAATCTAACTACTGCTCGCTATCTCCCGTGCTAATGCTGTGGGTTTAGTTCTCCATCAAACCTTGTCTGGATTATTGAAATAGCCTCCTCACAGGTTTCCTGCTCTGACCTTTTCCTCTCTTCAGTCTGTCCTCTACACAGCAGCCAGTTGATACTTTTAAAAGTTGTCAGCTTATGTTACTCATTTGCTCCAAGCCTCCTTCCATCTCATTCAGAAGAACAATTATACTACTTTCTGTGACTTACAAAGCCTTACATATCGGCTCGCCCCCCAACTCTTGCTCCAACCATTGCCTCAAACCATGTCTTCTATTCCTTCTATCCCAACATTCCACTCTGGTAACTTGGCCTTTTTGCTATTCTTCAAACATGCTAGGCCTGCTCCTATGTTTTCCTTTGCTATTCCTCATCCCTGGGATGCCTCCACCTCTGAAATCGTCTCTAAGCTTAGTTATTTCTTAGCTGGGATAGTATGGAGGAGATTTGAGTATCATAAGGATAGTTGAACTAGTCAGTATTTAAAGTGCCTTCTGCTGCTGAGGTTTTATCAATAAATGGAAGAAATTCATTATATACTATGTGCCATTTATTAACTTCTCACTGGGTACTGAACAGCTCATTTGTGGCAGGTCAAAATGGACACCTTTCATCTTATATATACATAGTTCTAAAACTTTTTCTTTTTATCAGTGAACAGTTTTTACTAACTTTACTTGGAACCTCACGCCCAGTACACAAAATCAATGCAAGTGGGTTAACGTAAGGCTGATGATAGTCGATAAGCACCCATGGGCTCACACCATTATATAGAGGAGGTATTCATTCTGACCGGGGAGTACCTATGGGAACCAATTGCTAAATGCTTTGACTGGCACCTGTGAAGTTCTTTGGGTAAAGTAAGACAGGGAGGTTTCTGAAGTTTAACCACACTGATTTCCTTTTTCCATGCCTCCTCCTTGAGGAGGTTGTTGTAGTCAGTTCAGAACCTGAGTGCTTGATGAAACACAGTTGTCCAGTTACTATTCTAAGCTGTATTTTTCAATTAAAGTTTACTTTTAGAACAACTTAGGGTGGACTGATCTTTCTTTGTATAATTGGGAATGAATTCTTAGTTTTTGTCAGGAGAATGATTATATTTATCTAAAAAAGCAGGAATCAAATATTTCCTGTATGGCTTTGTAATATTCAATAGAGGGAATTTGGGAAATCAAACAGACACTCCCTCTGGGGTTTGTGAAATGGCTTGGGGACTCATTTAATTTTAGAGTAGCTGGCTTTAAGGGACCTTAAGCAATCTAGCTACTTGGGACTAGGAAATTGTTTACTTATTATTTTCATTATCGGCATCACACTATTTAAAGAGTACTGTCAGATACGTCTCAAAAGAAGACATTAATGTGGCCACAAACATATGAAAAAAAGCTCAATATCACTGATCATTGGAGAAATGCAAATCAAAACCACAATAAGCTACCATCTCATGCCATTCAAAATAACGATTATTAAAAAGTCAAGAAACAACAGATGCTGGTGAGGTTGTGGAGAAATAGGATTGCTTTTACACTGTTGGTTAGAGTGTAAATTAGTTCAACTATTGTGGAAGACAATGTGGCAATTCCTCAAAGATTTAGAGGCAGAAATACTTTCTGACCCAGCAATCCCATTACTGTGTACACAAAGGAATATAAGTAATTATATTATAAAGATACATGTACATGTATGTTCATTGCAGCAATATTCACAATAACAAAGACTTGGAATCAACCCAAATGCCCATCAATGATAGACTGGATAAAGAAAATGTGGTACACATATACCATGGAATACTATGCAGCCATGAAAAAGAATGAGATCATGTCCTTTGCAGGGACATGGATGGAGCTGAGAGCCATTATACTCAGCAAACTAATGCAGGAACAGAAAACCAAACATCACATGTTCTCACTTACAAGAGGGAGCTGATTGATTAGAACACATGAACACATGGGGGAGAACAACACACACTCAGGCCTGTAGGGAGGATGGGGGGAGGCAGAGCATCAGGAAGAATAGCTAAGGGATGCTGGACTTAATACCTAGGTGATGGGTTGATCTGTGCAGCAAAACACCATGGCACACATTTACCTAAGGAACAAACCTGTACATCCTTCACATGTACCCTGGAACTTAAAAGGTGAGGAAGAAAGAAAATCCTTTGGAGATCAGTGATGCGTATGTGGCTATTCATTATATCAAATACTCTTCTGTCTACACCTGTATGTTTGAATTTTTTTTTTTTTTTTGAGATGGTATCTCACTCTGTTGCCAGGCTGGCGTGCAGTGGCGTGATCTTGGCTCACTGCAATGTCTGCCTCCTGGGTTCAAGCCATTCTCCTGCCTCAGCCTCCCGAGTAGCTGGGGTTACAGGCGTGCACCACCACACCCAGCTAGTTTTTGTGTTTTTAGTAGAGGTGGGGTTTCACCATGTTGGCCAGGATGGTCTCGAACTCCTGACATCACGATCTACCCACCCTGGCCTCCCAAAGTGCTGGAATTACTGGTGTGAGCCACCGCGCCCAATGGAAATTTTTCATAATAAAAAAACGTAAAGATAAATAAAGAGTAGTGTCAGAAGGAATAGGAAAAAATCGAGGCAGAAGAATTCAGAACATGATACTACCTTTGTTGGGGGTGGGTGGCGCAGGGGGAAAGCTGTCCAGTTACTGGTTATTTCACAACTTTGTAATTAGTGCATTTTATAAAATTTAGCTAGAAGTAGAAGAGCTGATTCATCGTAAGAATGATCATTGATCGGTGACCTTTCATCATTTCCTCCAACTGAGCTCCAACAGTAACATATTTTTAAAAAGGGATTTTCCAATATTTGTGACAGAAAGGTAATGATCAAGCTAAAATCTGGAGAGAATAATCACTTCTGAATGTAATGGAAAGTTCATGTCCCTGAAACTTTCCTTTGGCCTTTATCAAGCAATTGTTACCCCCATCAATATCCTGTCACTGTTAATTAGAAACTGTTTGTGCCACAGCTGATTTGTCACTCTGCAAAACTCCTATGGAGAGATGCAGGGCAGTCAATGCCATGGCTCAAAAGAGAACAAAAGTCCGTTTTCAAAGGAGCCAAACACACTAAGTGGTGACCCAAGCTCTGCTCCTTCCATTATTGCTGTTAAGCCGGAAGCTAATTAAAAATCTCTGCTGGCACAAATGTGTGTTTGGTGTTCTAAAATATGTCATCTCTAAAAGACCGACTGATCGAAACTGCCGAAACAAGCTTTTGACTCTATTCTGTCTTCATGTGTTCATTGATTCTGACCTTAAAAATTCCAAAGTTCTTTCCTTACTAGACCCAAATACTGTTTAAGAAATTTACTATTTGCCTGGAAATGTTTCTGATCATATGGACAAAGCCACGAATGTGATTATTTCGAGTTTCATTAATGACTAAAGAAAAATGGAAATAATCACCATGACTCATTCGGATATCTAATTATCTATTTTTAAATCCCATTTTTGTGGAGTCTCAGCAGAAAACTCTTTAATAGTTTTATCTTTTGAGGACGAACTGGACAGCCATAAATGAAGTGATGATGACCAGATATTTTACAGTTTGATTTAATTATATATGATGGTGGCAGAGATGGGGAAGTTAACAAAATATATATTAAAATACAAAGTTACTTTAAAAAGTACAACACTGATATAAAAATCACAAATATGTGGCAAGTAAATTATAAGAAGTAATTTAATGAATTAATTGCCATTTCCATATTTTTTCTTGCAATGGCGTGGTCAATTCTGAGGCAAACATACAAGAATTATGTTAGCTCATACAGTGTAAACTTGTATAGTTCACAACTTGTATAGATCACAAGTGAAAACCGATATAGTTTATTGCAGCAGCAATAAAACAATTATAGTAGGTAATTATATTTGGAGATCCCTAGTATTACATAGGACACCCCTGCTCCATATAAAGTTGCTTTAAAAACTTGTTAGTGTAGCTCCCATGGAGGGCTACGTGAGCAATTTGACAACACAGGAGTGGGGAAGCAGTGTCTGAGGGCATTTGGAAGACGGTAAGTGAGTTCTAATTATAGAATGACAAGAAAATGACTCTGCAGGCTAATTTTAAAGATGCATATGACTAATATGTAGGAGCTTGGGAAAAAATCAGGCTCTACCTTTCTATCTTATTTGCAAGAAATAAGAAGTAAATGAGGGAGGCAACAAAACCATATTCATACTGATTAAACTTATGTGAGGATTAGAAATGCCTCTTCCTGAAAGAACTAAGCCCCAATAAGTGCTGTGTTGCAAAAGGGAGCTGGGAGAATTTGTCTGTGTGTACATGGAGGGTACACCACTCTGCAGTGGAGTTGTGGAAGCGCACATTACACTTTCCCACAAGGCTGGGGACCACGAGGCAACAGGCCATGGTGGACTTCTCACGTTGTGAATAGTTTCTATCGTATTATCTCTAAGGTTATTTCATGTGAAGAGAAGAGGAACCGAATTAAACAATTAGGATGTAATTGTTTTGATTGATAAAAATTATTGCATATAAACGCCGCTGTTTTTATCTTGTGTAGCTAAAGCCAATATCCTGTGTTCTGCTTCATAGTCGAGACCTCAGAAATAGTAATGAGATGACTGAACACACAGCACCATTGTACTAGATGAGACGTAAGTGTATGCCATCCTCATCACCTATGCTTGTCACTGTTTGCAAATTTCCCATAATGTCTCTTCATCTGTCCTTCCTCTATGGGGGGGTTGCCTTACTATTAGCTTTTTCAGTATCATAATTGGATTTTTGGACAGGTTAACTTTATTAGGTTGTATTTCTGATGTTGAACTTTAGCTTTCAAACTTTCTTCAAGAAATACAGAAGTTACTAGAAAATCTGTGTAAATTTGTAAATTATTGGGTATTTTTATCCATATATGTTTTTATTGGTGACTGTGCTTATTATTTTATTAAGAAAATAAATGCAGTCAGAAGAGAATTTCCACTGTTTCTCATCATCACATTTATCCACCCGCCAGCAGTGGTACCATGCTCTTTGCCTTCCATCCTTTAACCGTGGCTGTACTCTCTCTGCTTCTATCTCTGCCACTGCACCCTGGTCTGATTCCCTTCACCCCGGAACAACAGTCCAGCAACTCCCTTTCTCTCTTACAACTCTTTGCTGGCTTCTCACCTCCTTCAGAGTAAAGGTGATATCTATACAGTGGCATTTTAGGCCCTATATCACAAGCCTGCCCCGATATTCTGTGACCTCATCCCTTAATACTCAACCCCTTCTTTGCTGTGCTCTAGGGACACCACCTCCCTGACCCCAGGCCTGCACCGTTTCAGGATGCGTGCATTTGCAGCGCCCCCTGTCGGGACTGATTGCCTCCTGGATAGCTCCACAGCTTTCTCTGCCATCTTCGCCAGTCTGCTCAAATGTCACTTTCTCTCACTGTGGCCTACTTCATTTCCTCCTATTGAAAATTGGCACTTCCTCCTACTACATAAAACTTTGGGTTCTCCCCTTTCCCCTTGCATGTTCAATATTAACTGTGTAGATATTATTATCATCTATTATGTTAGGCATTTCCCTTATTTTGTTTCTTGTGTTCCAACCTCCATCCCTCTATCCCTGGCACCCAGGTAGATACACTCCCTAGAGTATGAGCCTCTGCTGGCAGGGGTCTGTCTGTTCTGTTCGTGGCTGTATCACCAGCGCCCGTGACAGCATCCAACACATGAAAGACACTCAATAAACATTGAGTAAATATCAATAAATGGATTCAGTGAATTACACATTATAAAAGATATCTGCTTTCCCCAAATGTATATTTTGCATATGGTACACATTTTACGATTGTGTTGCACAGCTATAGATAACTCATAACTCATTTCTCCTCCATTTGTTCCTCTTCTTTTAAATTTTAAGGTCGGGGTACATGTGCAGGATGTACAGGTTTGTTACACAGGTAAATAGGTGTCATGGAGGTTTTTGTATAGATGATTTGATTTGTTGTACAGATTATTTCATCACCCGGGTATTAAGCCTAGTATCCATTAGTTATTTTTCTTGATCTTCTCCTTCCTCCCACCTTCCACCTCTGCTAGGCCGCAGCGTGTGTTGTTCCTCTCTATGGTCCATGTGTTCTCATCGTTTAACTCCCACTTAGAAGTGAGAACATACAGTATTAGGCTTTCTGTACCTGTGTTAGTTTGCTAAGGATATCCTGATTTGTCTTTAAAAGGCAGAATTCTAAACTCTTTAGGTAGAACAAAGGGAAAGACCTTCATATTTACTATATATTTGTTTTACATATTTATTATTTAGTATATATTTACAATTTACAAACATTGCATTTTCTTGAAATATTTCTTTTAATTTTTTAATTGTGCTAAGAAGGCTTAATATGAGATCTGCTCTCTCAGCTGGTTTTTGAGTGCACAATGCTGTATTGTTAACTACAGGCACAATGTTGCACAGGTCTCTAGAACTTATTGAAATATTTCTTAAGCGTTTTAGACTTTTTAAATTCAAAGTACAAATTCCTGAAAAAGCAACCACCATAAAAACACAACACAAATAAAAGAGACAAAGCAGCAGTTGAAGAGAGCTTAGTTAGTAATTCTGAGCAATTAATGAGCTGAATTAATGCTACTTTGTACCCAAATTACTCCCTGCTAGCATCTTGGTGCTGAGGGAGGCACATCAACTTTCTCAAGCTGCCTTGGCTACTTTTTTCTACAATACAGTAGGAACACTTCCAGAGAATAGCAGAGAGTAGAACTATTTATCTAAGCTACTCAGGTAAACTCAACCCAACCAGCTTTCCATGTGGCTCACGTCTTTCACCAGTGTGCTGGAGTTAATATAACCAAGATGCTGCTGCTACCCAAACACTCAAAAAAATGGCAGCAGCAATAAAACCAAATACAGTGATGGGCTCTTTCCTTTTCACCTGTATAGTAGGTTTAGAAAATATATCTTTGATTTTAAGACATGAACAACTTCAGGTAATATAAGAGCAAACATTTCTGTGGTTGCTATCACATGTCAAGTATTGACCTAAGGCTTTAAAATTTTGATTCCCCCAACAACCCAGTGTGTGTTTGCAGAGGGCTGCTATTATTCCCATTTTACAGAAGAAGCAAACAGGCACAGAGGGGTTAAGAGATTTGCTCTTATTCCTTCATCTATTAAGTGGAGGAGGTGAGATTTGAACTGGAGCATTCTGGCCCTGGCCCCCATGCTCTCATCCTCTACAGTACATTGCCTTTGAAGGGAAATTGCCTTCCTCTCTTTTCTCTGGCAGTGCCCTCTGCCTTTGTGCTATTCACACCTTCTGGTGAAGTATCCCTTTGAGCTTATCTCTCACAAATTGGGCCTGATGGTCTTGATCATTCTCTCTCCCCCATGTCTACATTTTTTACACTTGTCTTTTTATTTATGAATCTGGTTCTCAGCCATTACAAAAGAAAACACCAGCTAATGTGTTAGGAAATAATACTTATTCTCTTAACCCCAGGGAAGTAGGTATTTAACAGGAGCTTTCTCAGATGATGCCTTAATTCCAAGGAGAGGCTTTGATGATTAAATATTAAATTGTGAGAACAGGACATCTGTGTCTATGTAATTTCAATGTACATTTAAGTTGATATTTAGAACACCCTGCCCTAAATAACAAGAATCAGCTTGCACAGTCCAATTAATTTTCTTAGTCACTTTTATTGTTTTGTGTCATCTTTGTTGTGGATATATAGTTTCAGTGGGCGTATCTTTTCAGATTACTCAATAATATGATTTTGATGATTGTGAATTTTGAAATCTTGGAGAAAACTTGTCAATGTTACTATTACATGACAATGTATAACAAGATTCAATATGCTTGAAAAAAATGTTTGCTTTTCTTTTTTACTGAATTGGGAAATTTAGGAACTAAATTTAACCTTTTAGTTTGGTACCCTAAAATATACTGTACATATTGAAAGAAAAACAGGCTGGGCACGGTGGCTCACGCCTGTAATCCTAGCACTTTGGGAGACCAGTGTGGGCAGATCATGAGGTCAAGAGATCTAGACCATCCTGGCCAACATGGTGAAACCCTGTCTCTACTAAAAAAATGAAAATTAGCTTGGCATGGTGGCGCTTGCCTGTAATCCCAGCTACTCGGGAGGCTGAGGCAGTAGAATCACTTGAACCAGGGAGGCAGAGGTTGCAGTGAGCCGAGATCATGCCACTGCACTTCAGCCTGGCGACAGAGCAAGACACTGTCTCAAAATAAAATAAAATAAAATAAATAGAAAATAAATGAAAAATAATAGGTGTTTCTTCAGATCTAATGCATTGGTATGGAGAAGAAAAACTACAGAATTTTCTGGAATGAGCTCATTTTGCCATTGCAATAGGTAGAACTCCTGGGGGCAGCAAGAAACTACTAAGTTCTCAAATTTGAAAAAATACAAAACTCTCTCTACTAGGCCACCAGGCAGGTACTCAATTACCTGGTGTGGTCTCTCTGTGGTGTTTTTTCTGTAGCTCTGCAATCTCCCAATGAGGTGGTTAACACAGAAAATTCAAAAAGAGGCACAGATCTTCATGCTAAAATTGTATTAATTTTCAATGGGTTTTTGGATAAAACTGCTCTCTACTTTAAGTGTGCTGTTAGGTGAATGTCAAAATAAATTAGAATTTTGATTCTATCAAGCACATGGATATAGTCACCCTCTTGCGACAATAAAGGAACATTTACAAACTGGAAATTGCTCTCCGTTGTTCTACCTGACCTTTTGAAGGCTCTGTTGTAATAATATGTTAAATTACAAAAACTGTGATCCTAAGTAAAAACTATAGATTTTCGCATGGATTCATCTGAACTGTAATTGATTGTCTAACATGGAAACCATGCTATGTGAATTATTTGGCACAGTGCTAATATTGGCTAATTTAGAATGTAATAATCAACATGGATCCTTTCAACTGCACTTACGAACTTATCCACAGTAGGTAAGAATATAGGACTCCCCACAGGGCAGAAATCACCTGGTTCCTGGAAGATATGTAGTCCAAGTTTTTAATTATATTCGGCTGGAGTTCTTTTTAATTTTATCTTAGTAAAAAGAAATGAATTTTAATGTGACAAAAATGATGCTTAAGTTGTAAAGGAAGCACATTAAACGGAGTTTATAATACTTCCCACTGCGATGAGTTTTAACATTTAAAATGAGAAAAAGGCAATTCTTTACATTCAAAATTTGATCAATCCAGATGATAGCCAGAATAAAAATTAATTACCATCTTGATAGGATAAGCTTATCTTTCAGATATATACTACACTCACCTATTCATACAGACTTTGAAGTCTCCAGAATAATTTATTTTCTGGAGTCCTAGAAAAACAAGATGCAAACTTCCTGCCCCAAGTCATAGAAAGAGACTCATTACTTCCCCATGTCTTCCCCATAGAGCCAATATCGATGTTTCCTTTTCCAATAGCAGTGGCCAGAAAAAAAATGACCTACTCTCATAGTGATAGTTTATACATAGATAATTATAATATGCATCTTCAGAAACACACATGTATTTTATGTTTATGGCACATGAAGTATATTAATAACAGGAATTGGCTTGCTAACACATTTGAAAAAATAAACCATTTTTAAATAGCTCTTTGCTGAAGTATAATTGGGTTTTCATAAAAATGAGAAACTTTGCTTTTTAGTGTAAAAACAGTGTTTACCAGCATGAATATGGTCACTGCAAAGGGTATAGACTAGAAAGGATAACTTTTTATTGAAGCTTTACTATTGCCTTTGAAGCTTGTCACAAGGGGAGGTGGATTGGTGCTGACAAGTACTTACACATGGCCTGCTACTGATAGCAAGACTGTGAATTTGGGGGGTGTGGTTTCTCAGAAGCCACGGGGTTAGGGATAGTTTTAGAAAGTTCTGGTACAACTTTTCCCTCATACTTTAGAATACTGAATTTAAAACTTCAGCATGCATTAGAATACTTGGAGGGCTGGTTAATATATGGACTACCGGACCCCAACCCCAGAGTTTCTGCTTCAGTTAGTCTAGGGTACAGTCTGAGAAATTATTTTTTCTAAGAAGTACCCATGTGATTTTGCCTGGGGACTTGACTTTGAGAGCCACTTTTTTTTTTTTTTTTTTTTTTTTTTTTTTAAGTATCACTGGGTAAGTCCTATGCCCCAAACCTGAAGCATGGTACTCAGACCAGGAAGAGAAGTGGCTGCTCAGGAAAAGAGAATTACTTTTAGTGCTTATGATTTGTTAATTCAGAATCATGGCAATAGACAGACCAGCCAAACATGCATGTAGCCTATTTCTTTATCTAAATCCATGAGTGATATAGTTTGCATGTTGTCCCCTCTAAATCTCATGTAGAGGTGGGGCCTGGTGGGAGGTGATTTAATCATGGGGACGTATTTCTCATGAATGGTTTGGTGCCATCCTCTTGGTGCTGTCCTTTTGATAGTGAGTTCTCATGAGATCTGGCTGTTTAAGAGTGTAGCATCTTTCCCCTCTCTCTCTCGCTCCCACTCTTGCCATGTGAGATGTTGGTTTCCCCTTTGCCTTCTGCTATGATTGTAAGCTTCCTGAAGCCTCACCAGAAGCTGAGCAGATGCCCAGCACTATGCTTCCTGTACAGCCCACAGAAATATGAGCCAACTAAACCTCTTTTCTTTATAAATTACCCAGTCTTGGGTATTTCTTTATAACAAGGCAAAAAAAGACTAACAAAATGAGTGTAACTGCTTCTGTATGTATGCTCATATATTCATGGATGTCAACAATATGGCAGAATAGGAGATTACTACCAACATTCCCTGCAGAAGCATTGATTTTGATAACTACCCATAGATGAGAGTACTTTGTGGGAGTTCAGGAGACCAGTGGAAAAGTTTCAGCACACTGTTGAACCAAAAGGGTAGAAAGAACAATTTCACTTTAACCACGTCACCTCTCCCCTAAGGTGGCATAGCTCAGTGACAAGTAAGGCCCACAGTTTTTCCCATGGAGAACAGTGAGACTGCAGTGAGCGAGCACCCAGCTCTCTGAGCTATGTGAGATTCTGCCCAACAGGCCTACTTGCCCACTTCTTTCTCACCTCATTCAGATTACTGAGATGATTAGCATGGCTGAGTGGTTTGAGAGAGAATGGGTACAGAAAAGATAGGATGTGAACCCTGCTAACCCCTCTACAGACTCCATCAGGAGGTCAGTTGATGAGCTGCTTGGGACACCCTTGCCTGCAGAAAACCCCAACTGGACCATGGGCAACCCAAATTCTTTGGACAACTCACTCTGCCCCCACCAGTCACTGAGTGCACCTTTGAGGACTGAGAGTTCAAGTGTCTCACAAAGATAGCTTCCTCAACTCTGTAGGACAGGGAGAAGGCACACAAACTTGAGCATTATAGAACACAACCTTAGGGAAAACAGGGGGCTCTCATCATCTGACCTGGTTTTGTGGGGTTTGGAGAAGACAAGATTTCTCCTCAAGAGGGAACAAGAGGTGTGGATTGTGTACATTCATAGAAAAGGTTTAAGACAGTTTAAGAATTCCTAACTGAGCTGACTGGTGAAAGTATTCACTTTCCAAAACCAGTCAGTAAACACTAGAGAAAGTGACTGCCTCTTCAGATGCAAAGAGAGCAACACAAGACTTTAAAGAACATGAAAAATCAAAGAAACATGACACCACCAAAGAATACAATAATGATCTAGTATACAAATCCAAGGATATGCAGATTTATGAATCGCCTGAGAATTCAAAATGATCATTTTAAGGAAGCTCAGCAAGTTACAAGAGAAAACAGACAAATGAATAAAGTCAGAATAAACAGTACATGAACAAAATGAGAAGTTCTATATAGAGACAGAAATCGTAAAAAAGAATCATATAGAAATTCTGCAGCTGAAGGATACAATGAAAATGAAAAAAGCAGTAGAGAGAATCAACAGTGGACTTGATTGAGCAGAAGAAAAAGTCTGTGAACTTGAAGACAGGTCATTTGAAATTATCCAGTCAGAGAACATGGATGAAGCTGAAAGCCATTATCCTCAGCAAACTAATGCAGGAACAGAAAACCAAACACCACATGTTCTCACTCATAAGTGGGAACTGAACAATGAGAACACGTGGGCACAGGGAATGGAGGAACAACACACACTAGAGCCTGTCAGAGGAGGGTGATGGGGGAGAGCATTAGGGAAAAGAACTAATGCATGCTGCGTTTAAAACCTAGGTGATGGGTTGATAGGTACAGCAAACCACCATGACACACGTTTACCTAGGTAGCAAACCTGCACATCCTGTGCATGTACCCCAGAACTTAGAAATTATCCAGTCAATGTAGAAAAAAGAAAAAGAATGAAAAAGAATGGAGGAAGCTTATGGAATTTATGGAACTCCATCAAAAGAACTAACAATCACATTGTGGACATGCCAGAGAAGAGAGAAAGTGAAAGGGGCAGAAAGCTTATTTTTAAAAAATAAATGGCTGAAAACTTCCCAAATCTGAGAAAATATATGGCTCTCAAGTACATGAAGCTCAAAATCCCCCGAACAAATTAAACCCAAAGGAGATATTGCTGACACACATTATATCAAACTGTCAAAAATCAGAGGCAAAGAATTTTGAAAGCAGCAAGAGAAAAGAGGCTTGACACATACAAGGGAACCTTCATGACGCTCTCCGTGAATTTCTCAGTGGAAACTTTGCAGGCCAGGAGAAAATAAAATGATATATTCAAAGTGCTGAAAGCAAAAAACTGCCACCCAGGAATACCTGGCAAAGCTGTCCTTCAGAAAGAAAGGAGTAATCAGGACTTTCTCAGAAAAACAAAAAGGCTGAGAGAGCTCACCACTAGAACTGCCTTGCAAGAAATGCTAAAGGGGGTTCTCCACATTGAAATGAAAGGACACTAACTTATAACATGAAAACGTGAAAGTATAAAACTCAGTGGTAAAGATAAGCACACAGTCAACTTCAAAATACTCTAATGCTGTAATGGTGATATGTAAATCACTTATAATTTATGAATTGATACAGAATTTAGAAAGATGTATACTCTGACATCAAAAACAAAATGTGGAGGGGGGACTAAAAGTATAAAGGTTTTGTATGTAATTGAAATTGGGTTGTTATAACCTTGAAATAGACCTTTATACCTCTAAGATGTTTCATATAACCTCATAGAAACCACAAAGCAAAAACCTCTAGAATATATAGGAAAGATAAAGATACCATAGCATGCCACTAAAAAATCATTAAATCACAAAAGAAGGCAGCAAAAAGAATAAAAAAGAACAGAGAATTTACAAAGCAGTCAGAAAACAATGAACAAAATGGGAATAGTAAGTCCTTACCTATCAATAATTACTTTAGATACAAATGGATTAAATACTCCATTCAAAAGGTGTAGAGTGGCCAAATGAGTAAAAGAAACAAGAGACTCACATCAACTCCAAGGCACATGTAGGCTGAAATTAAAGAAATAGAGAAAAATCCCTGACCTGATGCCTTTGCTGGTGAAGTCTACCAAACATTTAAAGATGAATTAATACCAGTCATTTCCAAACTCTTCTAAAAAATTAAGGAGGAGAGAACACTTTCAAACTCATTTTATGAGGTCAGCATTATTCTGGTACCAAAGGCAGAGAAGGACACTACAAGAAAAACAAAAATAAAAACAGAAACAAAAACTACAGGCCAATATTCCTGATGAATATAGATGCAAAAGCACTCAACAGAGCATAAGCAAGCTGAATTGAATAGTATATTAAAAGGATCATATGCTATAATCACATGAAATTTATACCACTTCTTTATTTTTGATGTTGCCCATGCTTTTGGTGTCATTTCCAAAAAATTATTGCCAAAATCATTGTCATGGAGCTTTTCACCTATACTTTCTTCTAGGAGTTTTACAGTTTCAAGTCTTACATTAAAGTATTTAATTCATTTTATATTTTTACATATGGTATGAATTAAGGACCAAATTTCCTTCCTTCCTTCCTTCCTTCCTTCCTTCCTTCCTTCCTTCCTTCCTTCCTTCCTTCCTTCCTTCCTTCCTCTCTCCCTCTCTGTCTCTCTTTCTCTCTCTCTCTCTCTCTCTCTTCCTCTCTTTCTCTCTTTCTTGCCTGTGGATATCCAACTTCCCCAGCACTATTTATTGAATAGACTATCCTTTTTTCATTATTTATGGTGCCTTTGTCAAAGATTGGTTTATCAAATATGCTTGGGCTTACTTATGGGCTGTCTATTCTGCTCTGTTGGTCTGTTCGTCTGTTATTGGGGCCAGTACCTTACTGTTTTGATTCCTATAGCATTGTAATATAATTTAAAATTAGGAAGTGTGATGATTTCAGCTTTCTTCTTGTTCGAGATTGCTTTAGATATTTGTAGTCTTTTGTGGTTCCATATAAATTTTAGGATTTTTCTTCTATTTCTATAAAAATTATGATAGGGTCCAGGCATGGTGGCTCACACCTATAATCCCAGCACTTTGAGAGGCCGAGGCAGGCAGATCACCTGAGGTCAGGAGTTCGAGACCAGCCTGGCCAACATGGTGAAACCCCGTCTCTATGAAAAATACAAAAATTAGCTGGACATGGTGGTAGGCGCCTGTAATCCTAGCTACTCGGGCGGTTGAGGCAGGAGGATTTCTTGAACCCGGGAGGTGGAGGTTGTAGTGAGCTGAGATCATGCCACTGCTCTCCAGCCTGGCAGCCTGGGGGACAAGAGCAAAACTCTGTCTCAAAAAAAAAAAAAAAAAAAAAAAAAGAAAATGCTATAGGGATTTGCATTGAATCTGTAGATTGCTTTGGGTAGTATGGAGATTTTCAACAATATTCTTACAATCCATGAACATGAGATGTTTTTCCCTTCATTTTTGTCTTAAATTTTTTTAATCAATATTTTGTAGGTTTTAGTGTACAGATCTTTCACCACCTTACTTTAATTTATTCCAAAGTATTTTATTCTTTTTAATGATATTGTAAAAGAGATTGTTTTCTTCTTCTTTCTTTGATAGTTCAATATTAGTGTATAGAAATTTAACCAATTTCTATATGTTGATTTTGTGTCCTGCAACTTTACTGAATTTGTTTATCAGTTATAACCGTTTTTGTTTTTTGGTGGTGTAAAATTTTGTATTCATGTCGTCTGCAAACAGGGACAATTTTGCTTCTTACTTTCTGATTTGGAAGCCTTTTTTTCTTGTCTACATTGTCTAAGTTTGAATATGCTGTGTTTTCATGTTTGGTTATCCTAAAATATTGAAATAATTCTCTTTAGTCTTCTCTTTGACCTGATGATTGTTCAAGAGTTTTTTAGTTTCTAGGTATTTGTAAATTTTCTAATTTTCTTGCTGCTATTGACTAATAATTTCATTATATTTTCATAGAAAAAGATACTTCACAAGATATCAATCTTCCTATCAACTTCCTTGGTAAGACTTGAATTGTGATCTAATATGTGATGTGTCCTGGAGAATATTATGTGTGTGCTTGAGAAGAATCTGTGTTTATCTGCTTTTGGGCAGGAAATTTTGCATATGTCTGTTAGGTCTATTTGGTCTGTAATATTGTTCAAGTCCACTGTTTCTTGATTGATTTTCTCTCTGGATATTCTATTCAGTGTTGAAAGCAGGATATTGAAATCTCCTACTATTGTATTTCTGTCATTTTTTCTTTTTTCAGCATTCAGTATTTGCTTTATATTGTTGGTGCTTTGATGTTTACTGAATACATACTTGCAATTGTTATATTTTCTGCTTGAGTTAACCCCTTTGACATTAGATACTTAAACTTTTTGTCCTAGAGAGAGTTTTTGACTTAAATTATACTTTATATGATACAAATATAGCTATTTCCACATTCTTTTAGCTGCCATTTGCATGAAACATCTTTTTCAATTTCTTCACATTCAGCCTATGTATGTCCTTGGGTTTCCTGTAATCAGTACATAGTTGGATTGTGATTTTGAAATCTCTTAAGTTACTCTGTATTTTTTGATTGGTGAGCTTGACCTATTTACAGTTAAAGTAATTATTAATAGGGAAGAAGTTACTATTGCCATTTTGTTAAGTGTTTTCTGTTTTTCTCATAGTTCTTTTGTCTCTTTTTTCTCCCTTGTCTTCCTTTGCATTTTGTTATATTTTTGTATTGATAGGTTTTGTTTCCTTTCTCCCTCTCTCAGTCTCTCCCTCTTTTTTTGGTGGTATTTTCTTTGTGAAAATTTCTTTCATTGAGCTTACATAAAACACTTCATAGCTATTTTAGTTATAATAGTCTATTTTAAGCTGATAACAATTTTAGTTGCGTACAAAACTGTGCATATTTACCTCTCCTCTTCCCATATTTTATGCTATTGATGTTTAAATTTACTTCTGTATGTTCATTAACAAGAATTAGTCATAGTTATTTTTAACACTTGTGTTTTAACTTTTGTACTTGAATTAAACATGATTCATCGTGCTAACATTATAGTAATACAGTATTCTATTTTTTTCTATATGTTTACCCTTCCAATGAGCTTTATATTTTTATGCTCTTGTGTTGCTTTTTAGCATCCTTTCATTTCAAGTTGATGAATTTCCTTTAGTATTTCTTGTACAGGAGAGATAGTGGAGATGATTAGCATCCTGAGACATTGTTTGTCTGAGAAAATCTGAGAAAATCTCTCAATTTGTGATGGAAATGTTTATGAGGTATAGTATTCTTGGTAGGCAGTCTTTTTATTTTAGTACTCTGAGTATATCATCCCATTCCCTTCTGACCTGCAGAGTTTCTGATGAAAAATCTGATAATCTCATGGAGGTTCCATTGTTGGTAGCAAGTTGTTTCTTTCTTGCTGTTTTAAAATTCTCTCCTTTTCCTTAACTTTTAACTTGTTATAATGTATCACGGTCTGGGTAACTTTGTATTCATCTCATTTAGTGTCCTTTGGACTTTTAGGATCAAGATGTTAATCTCTATTCCCATGTTTGGGAAATTTTCAACCATTATTTCTTTGAAATTTTTTTACTCATTTGTCTCTCTCTTCTTTTTCTAGAGGTCTCATAATGTGTATGTTCATTTGTTTGCTGGTGCCCCATAATTTCTTTAGTGTGTTTTTGTTCTTTTAAACTTTGTTTTTTCTTTTTGCCTCTCTGACTGGATTACTTCCAATGATGTGTCTTTAAATTTACTGTTTCTTTCTTCTGCCTATCTAGTCATCTGTTGAACCTCTCCAGTTGAATTTTTTACAGTTTTTGTATCCTTCAGTTATATGTTTTCTGTTTGGTATTTTTTTAAAATTGTCTATCCCTTTGTTAAAATGATTGCTTCATTCAGATATTGCTCTCTTCACCTTGGTTAGGAAATATGTAATGATTATTTATAATGATCAGTAGGATCACATATCTCCAGTTCATTTGGGTTGGCTTCTGTAGAGTTATGTAGTTCTTTTAATTAACATATATTTACCAATATTTTTTCACTTTTCATGACCCTCTGTGTTGGTTTTTATTAGTTAAAATAGTCACTTCTCTCACAGACTGACTTCATATCAAAGATGATCTTCACCTGTCAGCCTTTCCAGAGATTCTGGGTGTCTCTCAAGTGTTTGCCCTCATTAAAAATTTCCATCTTTGTTTTTAGTGGCAGCCATGATAGTATTCCCAAGTACCATCAATGCTTGGAGACAGGTGAGATAGGAGCCCGTTCCTTGACTAGCAGCCAGCAAAATTAAGGTGGTAGATATGTGGTCCAGTACTTTTTCTTGTCAGGGTAAGCTAGGAGGTGGGATTTATTGTCTGCTCACTCTGCACTAAGCTGGGGAGTTGGGGGGCACAGTGACAAGCGCCTGTTAGCTTGTTCAGATTGCATGCACTTTCAAACTGTTGCTTTGCTGTCTGTCATCCCCAGGGAGCTAGTGAATGCTGGACTTCCTTAGCTCTCAAATACACATGGGTTAGAGGCTAGTCCCTCAGGTAGCAACCAGAAAAGTTGTGAGGGGGCTAGAAGAGAAGTCCAACATCTGGGGAGAAGCCGGAGGACTGGTTTTATCATTGGAGTGGGCTCAGTGGAGAATTCATTGGATTTTCCGATATGACTGTACAACCTTTAAGAGAACTAGTGATTGCATGCCCTGTTAGCTTCCAGCACTGCACTCAGTTAGGGGGAAGAGGCATAAGAAGTGCTCACATGGCTGTTTAAAACTGCCTTTTTGTTCTCTGTGGTCCTGGAGGACTAGTGAATGCCAGGTCCCATCAGCTTCCAGAGATGGGCAGATTGGGAGTTAGTCCCTTGGGTAGCAACTGTAAAAGGTGGGGCACTAGATGTGTGGTTCAAATTTTTTGCTTCTAAGGAAGAAACTGGGAGATGAGAATTCCCTGCTGGTTGTGTGGCGTTGTGGCAGGGATGGGCTTTATATGTCTCAGCCTTTCCTACTCATTTCAAAGTGGGAGTTTTCTCATTCACCCAGTGTACAGGAGGCTCTCAAGTAGTTTCTGGAGTTTTCACAGAGGGAGCTGATCCTTGTGTAGCTATATGCATTTGTGGGTGGAGGAAGAGTTTTTCCTCCATATATTCTATATATATATATAAAATATTCCTATATTCTACCATATTGATGAAGTCATGCCCGCTGAATTACATTTTAACTTATCTTCTTTCTTCAATATTGGTGGCTCTACAGTTAATTGTCCTACAAAAGCCAGAGTGCTCTTTAAAACCTAAAAATTAGATTATTTCCCTTCCTTGCTCAAAATTTTTCAACAGTGTATTATAAAACCCATAGTTCTTACCTCAGCCTGTCAGATCTTACATGATTACAGGTCCTGACTATCTGGTAGAGCTTATTTCTTACAGCTTTATAACTTTCTTTTTCCTTGTGAGCTTCCTTTTTCAGGTCCTTTAAGACATTACTCGTATTTCCCCATCAGAGCTGTTTCCCTTGCTATTCTTCCATACCATTTAATATGGTTTGGCTCTGTGTCCCCACCCAAATCTCATGTTGAATTATAATTCCCAACTTTGGGGGAGGGGTCTGGTGGGAGGTGATTGGATCATGGGGGCAGATTTCCCCCTTGCTGTTCTTGTGATAGTTCTCATGAGATCTGGTTGTTTAAAAGTGTGTAGCACTTTCCCCTTTACTCTTTTTCTTTCTCTCCTGCTGCCATATGAAGATATGCTTGCTTCCCATTTGCCCTTCCACCATGATTGTATATTTCCTGAAGCCTCCCAGCCATGCTTCCTCTTGTATAGCCTATGGAACTGTGAGTCAATTAAACCTCTTTTCTTCATATATTACCCAGTCTCAGGTAGTTGTTTATGGCAGTGTGAGAATGGGCTAATACATCATTGTCGGACTTACTGCTTACTTCATTCAAGTGACGACACATAGGGATTTTCTTTAGGAATGAAATTGCTTCTCCCCCAAGTCACCGACTATCACCTTACCTGGCTTTTTCTTCATAGCATTTATTGCTGCATCATGTTCTTTTTTTATAATTCTATTTCTCAATTTTCTGTTTTCCTATTAGACCATAATCTTTATGAGGATGAGAACTATTGTTTTTATTTTATCTTTAATATATGGAACAGCTTGCCATATAATAAGTGCCAGATAAATAATTGTTGGAAGAATGAACTTACTTATAAAAAAGACTTACAATACATTTCTATATTTTGTCAGTTAAGGATTTAGCTTGTAATTAGTATAAAATAAGTGTTTTTGACTACTGGATAGGGACTAGTTTGAATTAGTGTTTACATTTAAAAAATTAAATCACACTACTTTAAATATATACAAGACTGTTTCAGTATTTTGAAATCAAGTGTGGTGTAAACAATAAAAAATATACCTAGCAGCTTAAGCTACATCAATATTGAGTCACAAGTGAATTAATAACAATGGTTTTGTCTTAAGCATTATTTGTTTGTTACCAGGTGATACTCCCTAACTTCTTGAAAATAGCAATTGCCCTAGTATGATAATTATTTATATTTCAAATTTGCTCAAAATACTCATTTCTTATTAAGTTTTCAAAAATGATTAAAATTTCAATTCAGCGTTTATTAAATTTGTAAAATATTCTAACCTAGCACAACTTAAAATTTTAAATGCTTATCCCATTTATAGGTGAAATATGATATCTGAGATTTGTGTTAAAACAGTGAAGTGGAGGAGTTGTTGAGAGTATGGATAGAATATTGGCCATGAAAAATGTTGAAGCTGGGTGATGAAAATGTTGAAATAATTGTTTGATAAAATGTTGAAGGTGGGTGATGAGTAAAAAGGGGTATATAATACCATCCTCTTTATATTTGTATTTGTTTTACATTTTTCTATAGTAAATAGTTTAGAAACAAAAATGTTTGCTGAAATTTTGTCACCAAAAACCTTCTTAAAAGAGAAATATGGTCTTGTTAGTTTTCAAAATAGCTTATGAACTTTGGGAGGTTTTATTTATTAAGTAAAGAAGTAGCAAGCAAATTTATTGCCTATTTCTTATTGGTCAATTCAAGGACCAACTTTAGAAATTCTTTGATTCATGCCCATCATAAGCTTATTCCAACAGATTGCTTATTTCCATTTATTTAAATACATGTATTACTGCAACTTTTATGCAATTTATACATTTTATATCTATTTGCTTTTCTTTATTAGATATAGTCCATGGATATGTATAATTTATAATTTACATCCTTTGAGTCTTATAGTAACCTCATGTACCAATGATGTTAAAAAAGTTGTGCATACTGGTGATATTGGAAATATGCCTTTTAAAGGTCATTATTTTAACATTTAACAAATATGTGATTCTCATTAAATAATAAAACATTTTGTAGATTTGAAAATTAGATTATTGTGCTTGGCTGGCATATTAAAACCAACACCAAGACAGTTACCTGAGTGTTCATTAATTCTTCCCTCTTCTTCTTCTTTTTTTTTTTTTAGAGACAGAGTCTTGCTCTGTCACCCAGGCTGGAGTGCAGTGGCATGATCTCGGCTTACTGCAAGTTCCACCTCCTGGGTTCACACCATTCTCCTACCTCAGCCTCCTGAGTACCTGGGACTACAGGCGCCCACTACCATGCTCGGCTTATTTTTTGTATTTTTAGTAGAGACGGGGTTTCACCGTGTTAGCCAGGATGGTCTCGATCTCCTGACCTCATGATCCGCCCGCCTCGGCCTCCCAAAGTCCTGGGATTACAGGCTTGAGCCACGGCGCCTGGCCAATTCTTCCCTCTTCTTAAATAGCCTAACTCCAGTCTGTCAAATGGGCATGATGTTTGCATCTACTAAGATTTTTTTTCCTAATTAGATACCAGTGGATTGTCAAAAGTGCAGTTACTGAATATTAGCATGGTAGTTAGAAAAAAATAGACCAACTGCTATGTAATTATCTCCAAGTTGTATAGGGCATAAATATAAATTATTATATCCTTAGGGCTCAGGGGTGAGGTTTTGAATATAAATGCTTTAGACTTTTAAGAGGCACTGTGCATACATGATCATAAGAACTTCTAAATATTGAATGTCGAAGTTTTGCAGAGAATGAGGATAAATGGCACTGAATGTCACTGTAGGATTCTGTATTAAATTATTGATGTAATTCAGTTGCACAGATGCAATGTATGCACTCAGTCACAGGGAGGCTTGTCCTAGCCCTGACATCTAACAGCTGGGTGACCTGGAGCAAATTACTTAATTTTAATAGGCCTCAGCTTTCAGTTCATTAAATGGGAGAGTGCCACCTGACTGATGGATGATAATTTATTGAACCTGAAAACACATTCATATTTCTTTATTAGTAAAATGATTTCTATGTTTGATATTATTGATACACTAATCATGAGAGTATCAAGGCATGGCAACAAATATGCCCATTTTATTATTAAAAATACACATTCTGTAAGTTAGCAAATGCATACTAAATTTTTGTTTTTGTATTAGAAACTCACTGACAGTAGTAAGTATAGTATTAATCCTGGAGTATTAAGCTCCTACAGTACTAATAAAACCAAGATAATTCTTCTACCTGCTATTTTTTGGGACAGTTTTTTGGAATCCTGAGCCATATAAGGACAAATATTCTGACACTGCCATGCTGGAGAGACCACCTGTAGGTCCTTTGATTGACCATCCCAGTTGATCTCAGACTCCTAACTATCCTGTCCAAGGTCCACACATGTGAGTGAAGGTTCCTGGGATGCTCGGGACTAGCCTCTGTGCCAACTGAGTACCACAAAGGGACCTCAGCTGTCAGTGCCCTATGGAGCATAAGAACCTAGCCTGGCTCTAGTTCCTCACCCACAAGGTCAGATAAAATAAAATGAATGGATGGGTTTAAGCCAAAAAGTGATGGGGTAATTTGTTAGTTAGCAAAAGGCAAAATTGCCTGTCTAAAATCGTTTAATATGAAGACACAAAGAACTCATAAAAACAGAAAATGATGTTAATACGGAGAATACCTACAAAGATGATCTTTCCATTATCTTTATGAGATCATCTTATTTAATATAACTGAACCTGAACATTAGATCAAAGACGTAGTATTTGACAGAAAAGCAATTTACTAATTTTCTCCTCGGGAACACATTTTATTGTATTCTCAAACCCTTTGCCCCTTGCCAAAATAGTTGTAAATTCTGATTACTGTTGTTTAAACAATTATTTAGTTTCTACCTACTCTATAGGGATTTATAATGCATTAGTGGATTCAAATATATGAGATGATTCTGGTGTAGAGGCAAAGAGGATATTATAAATCAATGAACATGCACTAAACTCATTTATGAGTGAAGCATAGTATTTGTAAGCAAAGGAAAAGTTCATTGACTTGCGTTTGGCTCTATCAGATTTGTAAACATTAAGGATGTTTAAGGTGAGTGAAAAGTCGAACTTCAGGGCTAGAATTTCTTGTTTTTCTTAAAGCTTATATTCCAACACTGTTTGACATGTACAATAATGGCAACCACATTGCCTCATGTTGCTTTTGGAGTCAAAGGGGATTGTGTGCTTCAAAGATGACTACTGCTATTTAGATCCTTTGTGGGAGGAGTTAAACTAGTGGAAAAGGAATACGTGCTAAAGAGTTAATGATGTTTTTCAGAAACTGCTAACCAAATTTTGTGCATTTGTAGCAGCGTGAAAGAAACATTTCAGTTTATAAAGGCGAGCTTGTGCTTTCAACTTAAAGTATTGCTCTGTCAGAAACATTTGCTTTTCTAAAGCTTCTATGGTATTAATAAAAACATTTGTAGTGTAACTTGATGCTTATAAAAGTGTCTCAATGAACAGGTTTACAGATATTCTTCGTTATACCTTAAAATTCCTTGTTGAGATTTGTTATTTTGTTTTGTTTTGTTTTTTAAGCTCCTGGCTGCTAATCTTTGGGTTATTTTTCAGTTCTTCAGCATACTCATCAGAGAGTGAGTGGTCAGTGAAAATAAAAGAGGGCGAAACAGAAAACAATTAATTTACCTTTTTTGCTAAAACAGTTTTAATGGTGTATAATGCTGAAACTGACAAGATCTCTCAATTACTGTTATATTTCACTTTCCGTACAGCAAGAATTGCTTAATTATATTAGTTTCCCTTTAATTTAATGGATTTGTAAAAGAAAAGCACCTCTAATGAATACACAATCAATTTTGTGATTCTTCTTTTTACAATTTGCATTTAACATAGCATCTTGATCATAATAAACATTTAATCATATTTGCTGAGTAAAATTATTAAAATCATCAATTTTAAAATATTTTAGAATTACCAAAGGAGTATCAACATATGAAATATGTATACAGTTTAAATGTTCATCCAGGGAAGTTATTAATGCTGTGATATGGTTTGGCTCTGTTTCTCCACCCAAATCTCATCTTGAAAGGTACTCCCATAATTCCCACGTGTTGTGGGAGGAACGCGGTGGGAGCTAATTTGAATCATGGGGGCAGTTTCCCCCATACTGTTCTCATTACAGTGAATGAGTCTCATGAGATCTGATGGTTTTATCAGGGATTTCTGCTTCTGCATTGTCCTCATTTTCTCTTGCCACCACCATGCAAGAAGTGCCTTTTGCCTCCAGGTGTGATTCTGAGGCCTCCCCAGCCATGTGAAACTGTAAGTCCAATTAAACCTCTTTTTCTTCCCGGTCTTGGGTATGTCTTTATCAGCAGCATGAACACGGACTACTACAGTAAATTGGTACCAGTAGAGTGGGGCATTGCTGAAAAAATATCCAAAAATGTGGAAGCAACTTTGGAACTGGGTAGCAGGCAGAGGTTGGAACAGTTTAAAGGGCTCAGAAGAAGATAGGAAAAATGTGGGAAAGTTTGGAAACTCCTACAGATTTGTTGAATGGCTTTGACAAAAATGCTGATAGTGATATGAACAATAAGGTCTAGGCTGAGATGGTCTCAGATGGAGATGAGAAACTTGTTGGGAACTGGAGCAAAGGTGACTCCTTTATGTTTTAGCAAAGAGACTGGTGGCATTTTGTCTCTGCCTTAGAGATTTGTGGAACTTTGAACTTGAGAGAAATGATTTAGGGAATCTGGCAGAAGAAATTTCTTTTTCTTTTTCTTTTTTGAGACGAAGTCTTGCTTGGTCGACAGGCTGGAGTGCAGTGGCGCAATCTTGGCTCACTGCAACCTCCACCTCCTGGGTTCAAGTGATTCTCCTGCCTCAGCCTCTCAAGTAGCTGGGACTACAGGCACCTGCTACCATGCCCGCTAATTTTTGTATTTTTAGTAGAGACGGGGTTTCACCATGTTGGTCAGGCTGGTCTCAAACTCCTAACCTCAGGTGATCCACACAACTCAGCCTCCCAAAGTGCTGGGATTACAGGTGTGAGCCACCGCTCAGCCAGGTGGAGGAAATTTCTAAGCAGCAAAGCATTCAAGAGGTGACTTGGGTGCTGTTACAGCATTCTGTTTTAAAAGGGAAACAGAACATAAAAGTTTGGAAAATTTGCAGCCTGACGATGTAGTAGAAAAGAAAAACCCATTTTTTTTGAGGAGAAATTCAAACTGGCTGCAGAAATTTGCATAAGTAACAAGGAGCCAAATAATCCCTTTGGATTAATTTGGAAAATATTTATTTTCCAAATATTAATGGGAAAAATGTCTCCAGGGCATGTCATAGGTCTTCATGGCAGCCCCTCCCATCACAGACCCAGAAGCCTGGGAGAAAAAAAATGGTTTCATAGGCCAGGCCCAGGTTCCCCATGCTGTGTTTAGCCTAGGGACTTGGTGCACTTAGTCCCAGCTGCTCCAGCTGTTGCTAAAAGGGGCCAAGGTACAGGTCAGCCCATGGTTTTAGAGGTTGCAAGCCCCAAACCTTGGCAGTTTCCACATGATGTTGAGCCTGCAGGTGTGCAGAAGTCAAGAACTGAGGTTTGGGAACCTCCACCCAGATTTCAGAAGATGAATGGAAATGTTTGGATGCCCAGGCAAAAGTTTGCTGCAGAGGCAGGGCCCTCATGGAGAACCTCTGCTAGGGCAGTGTGGAAGGGAAATGTGTGGTCAGAGCCCCCACCCAGAGTCCCTAGTGGGGTGCTGCCTAGTGGAGCTGTAAGAAGAGGCCATCGTCCTCCAGAGCCCAGAATGGTAGATCCACTGACAGCTTGCACCGTGTGCCTGGAAAAGCCACAGACACTCAACACCAGCCCATGAAAGCAGCCAGCAGGGGGCGCTGTATCCTGCAAAGCCACAGTGGCAGAGCTGCCCAAGACTATGGGAACCTACCTCTTGAGTCAGTGTCACCTGGATGTGAGACATGGAGTCAAAGGAGATCATTTTGGAGCTTTAAAATTTGACTGCCCTGCTAGATTTTGGACTTGCATGGGCCCTGTAACCCCTTTGTTTTGCCCAATTTCTCACATTTGGAGTGGCTGTATTTACCCAATACCTGTACCCCTATAGTACCTAGGAAGTAACTAGCCTGCTTTTGATTTTACAGGCTTATAGGCAGAAGGAACTTGCCTTGTCTCAGATGAGGCTCTGGACTGTGGACTTTTGGTTTAATACTGAAATGAATTAAGGCTTTGGAGGACTGTGAGGAAGACTTGATTGCTTTTGAAATATGAGACATGAGATTTGGAGGGGACAGGGGTGGAAGGAAGGATATGGCTTAGCTCTGTGTCCCCACCGAAATCTCATCTTGAATTGTACTCCCATAGTTGCCTCATGTTGTAGGAGGAACCCGGTGGGAGATTATTTGAATCACGGGGGTGGTTTCCTCCTTACTGTTCTCATGGTAGTGAATAAGTCTCATGAGATCTGATGGTTTTATCAGGGGTTTCCACTTCTGCATCATCCTCATTTTCTCTTGCCAGTGCCATGTAAGAAGCACCTTTTGCCTCCTGCCATGATTCTGAAGTCTCCTCAGCCATGTGGAACTGTAAGTCTAATTAAACCTCTTTTTTTTCCCAATCTTGGTTATGTCTTTATCAGCAGCATGAAAATGGACTAATACACACTATAACAAGAAGAATTTAGGTATATTAGTTTCAAATATATGAGCACAGAAATGGGAATTTCAAGATTTTTGGAGATGCTAATTTAATAGAACTTTTGAAATTTCATAAGCATGCATTGTCCCTTGAAAAGTAGTAACTGCTTGACAAATGCAGATTTTTATTATTACTGACATTTTGAGAAAATATCTGCAGCTGAAGATCCTGCAATTGTGAAAAATGTCATAAGTTTTTCATACACCCAGTTCTTTTGTCACAAAGTATGATCAGATTTTCTGCTTAGAAAGTGTTTTTGGCTGAATAGGTTATAGTCTACCCTGTATGTAGGCACAGTGAAAAAATGACAGGTAGCTTTCTAACGTCTTTTTGAAAATAAGTCTTTATATCAGAATATTGACAATAATGCTATAACTGTTACAATATGGGGACAAAAGTAACTTAATTATAACTTTTCAAAAATGTTTGTCATTTATACAGCTTTTTATCTGAAAAATGATGGACAATCATATGGAAAACAAAATTAGTAGAATGCAATTTAGAGACAGATAAGAAAAAAGTTCTTCAATAAAATAATTTAATGGTATTCAGGAAAATGCAAATGTGAGAGTCTGTGCAATGTCACGTAGCTCTATTCTGTCAAACTTGAAGATAAATATCTCAAATTATGATAATTGAATGTTTGAATACCCAAGTTTCATATACCCATAAATCTTAACATTTTATACTTGGCCTTTAGGAAGTTAGTATATCCCAGCAAAAATCTTTTATTTTTATGATATATATTTATTACACTAACATGTATATAAAACTTACCAGTTTAACCATTTTTAAGTGTATAGTCTAGTGGCAATAAATACATTCACATTGTTGTGCAGCCATTATCACTATCCATCTCCAGAACTTATCTTTCCAAACAGAAACTCTGTACCCATTAAACAATAACTCCCCATTCCCTTCTCCCCCAGCCCCTGGTAACTAACTACCAGTCTACTTTCTATCCCCATGAATTTAGCTACTCTAGAGGGCTAACACATTTAAGAAGAATCCTAGAATGTTTACCCTTTTGTGATTGGCTTATTTCACTTAGCATAATGTCTTCTAAGTTATTTCATGTTGTAGCACATATCAGAATTTCCTTTCTTTTAAAAACTGAGTAATATTTCGCTGTATGGATATGCTACATTTTTTTTCTCTTTTTTTAAATTTTATTTTAAGTTCTGGGATACATGTGCAGAATATGCAGGTTTGTTACATAGGTATGCATGTGCCATGGTGGTTTGCTGCACCTATTAACCCATCATCTAGGTTTTAGGCCGTACATGCATTAGGTATTTGTCCTAATGCTCTCCCTCCCCTTGCCTCCCATCCCCGACAGGCCCCAGTGTGTGACGTTCCCCTCCCTGTGTCCCAGCAGACACCTGATTTGCTTCCATCTTTTGGCTATTGTGAATGCTGCTGTGAACTAGCTGTATAAATATCTGAGTCCTTGCTTTCGATTCTTGTGGATATTTACCCAGAAGTATAATTGTCATATCATATGGCAATTCCATATTTAATTTCTTGAGGTTCTGCTATGCTATTTTCCACAGTGGTTGCACCATTTTATCCCACTAGCAAATACACAAGGGTTTAAATTTCTCCACATCTTTGCTAATACTTGCTATTTTATTTTATTTTTTGATAACAGCCATCCTAATGGGTGTGATGTGGTATTTCATTGTGGTTTTATTTGTACTTCTCTAGTGATTAGCGATGTTGTCTTTTCACATGCTTATCAGCCATTTGTATATCTTCTTTGGAGAAATGTCTATTCATGTTCTTTGCCTATTTTTTTAAAGCAGTTTGTTGTTGTTGTTGTTGTTGAACTGTCAGAGTTCTTTCTTTTTTCTTTTTTAGAGGTAAGGTATCACTTTGTCAACCAGGCTGGAGTGCAGTGGTGCTATCATAGCTCACTGCAGCATTAGACTCCAAGGCTCAAGTGACCTTCCAGTCTTAACCTCCAGAGTAGTTGGAATTAACAGCCTCGAGCCACTGTACAGGGCTACTAGGAGTTCTTTATGTATGTTCTGGATATTAATCTTATATTAGATATATAATTTGCAAATATTTTATCCTGTTCCTTGGGTCTTCTTTTCATTCTTTTGATAATGTCCTTTGGTACATAAAAAGTTTTTAATTTTGATAAACTTCAATTTATTTGTTTTTTTCTTTTGTTGTCTTTGCTTTTGGTGTTATACCCAAGAAAGACTTGCCAAACCCAATGTAATGAAGCTTTTCCTCTATGTTTTCTTTTAAGAGTTTTATAGTTTTAGCTCTTACATTCAGGTCTTTGATCGATTTTTGAGTTAATTTTAGTATACGGTATACATTAAGAGTACAGCTTCATTCTTTTGCATGTGGATATACAGTTTTTTCAACACTATTTATAGAAAAGAATGTCCTCTTTCCATTGAATGGTCTTGGCACCCTTGTTAAAAATCCTTTGACCGTAGATATGAGGATTTATTTCTGTGCACTGTATGCTATTCCACTGGTCTATTTGTCCTCCATGTGCCAGTACTGCACTGTTGTGATTATAGTATTTTTGTAGTAAGTTTTGAAATCATGACATATGGGACCTCAAACTTTGCTATTTTTTTTTTCTTTTCTTTCTCTTTTTTTATTGAGACAGGGTCTTATTCTGTTGCTCAGGCTGGAGTGCAATGGTGCAATCACAGCTAACTGTAGCCTTGACCTCCTGGGCTCAAGTGATCCTCTTGCCTCAGCCTCCCAAGTAGCTAGGACTACAAGTGTGTGCTATCACGCTGAGCTATTTTTAAATTTTTTGTACAGATGGGGTCTCCTTATGTTGCCTAGGCTGCTCTTGAACTCCTGGGTTCAAGCAATTCTCTCACCTCAGGCTCCCAAAGTACTGGGATTACAGGCCACGCCTGGCTGATCTTTTTCAGTGTTGGTTTGACTATTCCATACGCCTTGAGAGTCCATATTAAAGGTAGATTTTTCTATTTCTGTAAAAAAGTCATTTGGATTTTGAGTAAAATTCTCTTTTTAAATGAGTATTTACATATGGGATGCTTTGGCAGAAAGAAGTTAAACATTTTGACTTTTATATTCTTTAATGATAGATCATGAGATACTTCCAATCTCAACAAAACATGTTAATATCTACAATTTTCCTCATCCAGAGACAAAAAAAAGATTTTAATTCATGCTTTTGTCTCCAACTGTGCATCTAAAATAGTTCTACCCTGGGTCTGGGGAGACAGAATAATGAGTGCTCAGAGAACTTAGAAGTCTTCTGATTGCTCTTTGCACTTGTTTATTTCCATGCATCCTCCAAATTCTGGCTAAACGTGGGGAACAAATGAATGTATGAATAGCCAGCAGCCCCACAGGGTCGGGGAAAACACTCAACCAGAGAGACATGAGATTCATTTACTTTTCTTTTAATATTGTTTCATTGTGTCTTCTTTAGCTGTGGAGTTAAATATGGTTTTTGTTTCAATACAGTAAGCAATGGATTTACAGGAAATCACTGATAGAGACTCCTAAAAGTTTTCTCAAATATCCACTGTAAAGATTGAGGAGAGAGGGATTGGGGGAGTCATGAACCAGAGTCACAGGAGCCTAAGTTCTGACCTCGCTGGTATAGATCTCTTCTCTCCATTTCCTTTTTTTCTCTATCTCTAAACATTTAATCTTGAATTTGTTTTGGATAATTTTTCATAATCATAAACGGTTAGCACTAAAAGGCATCTCCGTAATTTTTAATCTTACCTACCTTAATTATTTTAAATATAAAACAGGCACATGTTTCTCAGTATTATTTCTCTTATGTTCTGAGAGAAGAGAAACCTCATAGTCCCTCATTATTTCAAATCGAATTTACAATGTTCCTTTTGTGCTGGTTCATGCTATTTGTGTTTTCTGTGTGTCAACCCTGACTTCCTGTTTATGATACAAGGTCCTGAGGGGCGTGAGCTATAGCCCTTCAGGACCTCAGGTCCCTTTGCACTGAGTGCTTAGTGAATCTTACTGTTCAGCTGACTCCTAAAGTAATGAATTTTAATTAATGTAAAATGGAAAAATACCCGCTGCATTAGTGGAATGTGGCTTTTAAGTGATTTTGACCTTTGGGGAAAGGACACAAAATAGAGTTTTCTTATCTTCTAATCCTGATGTAGTTGTGTTAGTCCATTCTCATACTGCTAATAAAGATATACCCAAGACAGGGCAATTTATAAAAGAGAGAGGTTTAATGGACTCACAGTTCCACGTGGCTGGGGAGGCCTCATAATCATGGTGGAGATGAAGGAGGAGCAAAGTCACATCTTACATAGTAGCAGGCAAAGAGAGCATGTGTAGGGGGAACTCCCTTTATAAAATCATCAGATCTCGTGAGACTTATTCGCTATCATGAGAACAGCATGGGAAAGACCTGCCCCCACGATTCAATTACCACCTACTGGGTCCCTCTCACAGCACATGGGAATCATGGGAGCTACAATTCAAGATGAGATTTGGGTGGGGACACAGCCAAACCATATCAGTAGTTAACACCCATTACACTCAGAAAGACACTAGAACATTTTACTCATTACTGAGCTTTTGAATTGAAATTGTGGGACATACGGAATCATATTCTTCTTTTTTTGAGATTGCATCTCTCTCTGTTGTCCAGGCTGGAGTGCAGTGGCTTAATCATAGCTCTCTGCAGCCTTGAATCCCTGTGCTCAAGCAATCCTACCACCTCAGCACCCTGAGTAGCTAGAACTATAGGTGCATGCCACCATGCCCAGCTTTTTTTTTTTTTTTTTTTTTTTTTTTGTAGAGATGGGGTCTAGCTATCTTGCCTAGGTTGGTCTCAATAAAAACCATAACATATTACAATAAAAAATTAAAATCTAAATAAATATAGATATACAACATGTTACATGTTTATGAGTCAGAATCCTTCGTATAATGTTAAGATGTAAATTCTGCTTAAATTAGTCTACAGATATAATGTGATTCCATTCAAATATTTAGCAGGCTTTTGTTTTTGAAGGAGAAATTGTTAAGCTGATTCTAAGATAATATGAAAATGCAAAAGAGCTAGCAGAGACAAAATGATCTTGAAAAAGAACAAAGAAGAATTACAGAACTTAATTTCAAGACAGTGAGGCTAGTCAAATAGATCAATAGAACAGAATAGAATCCAAAAACAGACTCTCACTAGTATGACCAATTACTTTTTGCAAAGTTGCCAAAGGAATCCAGTGGAGATAAGAATATTTTCAATAATATTCCTAAAATAACTAGAAAACTGTATGGGAAAGAGATGACTTTTACAATATACACTAAAATTATTTCAGATTAATTTTAGACCAAATTTAAAATGTGAATCTCAAATCTTGTAGGGGAAGACTTAGATCATGTAGTTATATCTTTCGGGTGTGAAAAAAGGAAAAGAAAATATATTTAACAATTGGTATATTTGACTTCATCAAAATTAAAAATGTCTTCTCATTAAAAATTATAATTAAAAAGTGGACATGCAAGTTACACACTAGGAGAAAATATTTATAATGTGTATATCTGATCAAGGAATCATGTCCAGAATGGACAAAGAACCTCTATAGACAAAAAATAGGAGCCTAATTAAAACTTATCAAAAAACTTGAATAGTTTACAGAGAAAGTTTTATGAAAGGCCAGTAAATACATTAAAAGATGATGAGTATCATTAGTCATCATTGAAATGCAAATCTGAATGAGGAGATATCTTTAAAATCTCACCAGAAATGGCTAAAATTTTTAAGACTGACAAGACCAAATATTGACAAGAATGCAAAACAATTATCTCTCTCATAATTTGCAGATAATTGTGTAAAATGGTACTTTTTTGATGTTTGACAGTTTCTTATAAAATTGGACACTTCTCTACCCTACAATCTAGCAATTCTACTCCTATGTATACATGTAAGGAAAATTAAAACATATTATCTACAAAAAATACCGAATAAAATGTTCAGAGTAGTTGTATTCATAATAGCCAAAAAATGAAAGCAACCCAAATGTCCATCAACATGGACAAAATATTCTGGCATATATTCATGAATGAATATGCAGCAATAAAAAGCAATGAATTACTGATAAACATAAAACATGGATCAATCTCTCGAAAAGTGTTTTGGACAAATTAAGCGAGGCACAGAAGTGCACAAATTATATGATTCCTTTTATAAAAAATTATAGGACAGGCATCACTAATCTATGACAATTGACGTCACAATGGTGGCTGACTCTAACGTGTCAGTTTGACTTGAGGGGAGCAAAGAGGAACATTCTCTGATGATAAATTGTTCGATAATGATTAGAGGGTGGATTTTCCACATGCCACAACTCATCAAACTATCCTTCAGATCTGTGCATTTCACTGTATGAAAATTACACCTCAATAAAAAAATTAACCAGCTGCATCCTGAATCAGAGCAGCATATATTAAAAGTTAATTCGTGCTAGGTGAATCAAAGTAATACTGCAGGATATTAAAGACAAAGAGAAAAATCTTAAAAGAAGCCAGAGAGAGGAGACAAATGACCTATAAAGGAAAGTGATTAGACCGCAGGGGAAATAGCAGTCAACCTAGAATATATTTCCAGAGCGGCCGGGCGCGGTGGCTCACGCCTGTAATCCCAGCACTTTGAGAGGCTGAGGCGGGCGGATCATAAGGTCAGGAGATCGAGAGCGGATCACGAGGTCAGGAGATCTAGACCATCCTGGCTAACAGTGAAACCCCATCTCTACTAAAAATACAGAAAATTAGCCGGGTGTGGTGGCGGGTGCCTGTAGTCCCAGCTACTCGGGAGGCTGAGGCAGGAGAATGGCGTGAACCCGGGAGGCGGAGCTTGCAGTGAGCAGAGATCACGCCACTGCACTCCAGCCTGGGCGACAGAATGAGACTCCATCTCAAAAAAAAAAAAATCTCTATATATGTATATATATATGTGTGTGTGTATATATATGTATATATGTGTGTATATATATGTGAGTGTATATGTGTGTGTGTGTGTGTGTGTGTGTGTGTGTATATATATATATATATATATTTCCAGAGCAACTATGATTCAAAATGAGGGCAAATAGAGACATTTTCCAGAAAAATTTCACAGTGGTTACTAATCAAGTACTCTCAGTGAAGAAAATTCTGAAGTCCATAAGGAAAGAATGGTGTCTCATCACAAGAAACCTCTTGCTGGGCTCCTTCGAAGAGTGTGGTGTAGTAAGCAGGTTATACCTGGGGTCTCTGTGGTCTCCATAGATGATGAACCTGGGGAGTCTCATCAGGTTGAATACATCTTGGAAAAACCCAACCAACTGCACATTGAGTTGCATCAACGGTAGAGCGCACTGCCTTCCATCATCGACAAGGCACCCCGGAGCTGCTGCAGGAGTTGGCATTTAGGGTCCTGAATAGCATGGCACGTAGCCCTTGGTGCAGCTGATTCCATGGTTGGGTGTACTAAGGATGTGCAGGGTGAAATGGGAGGGGATTTTTAGTGGTTACATGTTCTGGGGCAGCTCTAAATCTCCTTTTTACATATGTTAGATTCTCCCTTATTTGTGGCTTTATTAGTGGTATCTGAGTTAGCCACCAAATCCTCTGATAATGCATGTGGATCTTGAAAATGAGAGCTTTATCATTATTTTTAAATACTTGACATGAAAAAATTCAATTAGATTCAGAATGCTTTCATAGTTCAAGAAATTTCAATATGACATTTGTCAATGAAAGAAATGGAAGTGCTACTAAATTCTTTAAATGTAATTTTAACCATTGCATGTTTTTCAAGTTTTAGAAAAATAAAGTTTTACTACCCACTTGTGTGAACAAAGTTTCTTGTCAAAGGTGACTATCGAAAATTGGAAGAGATCGTTATTTAAAAGGTGTTGTTTAGGAATTGTGTATACATATTTCAAACATTAAACCTGCTATTAAAGCAAAATATACACACAAAATGGTCTCAAGATTCTCATTTATATATTTGAAAAATATTTGGAAATTCTATACATAGTCTGTAATTAATATCTTCCCTAATACTTACTTTTTCTATAATAACTATATAATATTAAGATAGTCAAACTTTTTTCTACCAAGCTCCATTTAGATGCCCTTGAATGCCTTTAGTTTACTGCAGTGTACCCCCCAAAATTTCATTTTTTCTTTATATACCATGATGTAAAAATGTGAGGAGACATTCATTAGAGTATATAAGTATGCAGTATATATTGTTTTGTTGTAAGTATTGTTTCCAAGTACATACTGAAACATTTAAAATTTGTGTCTGTAACGGAAAGAAAGTGGAAAAAATAAGAAACCTAAGAAAAGACATTAACAGAAAGTAGAGATACAATACTAACGAGAGTGTTAGATAGCATAGCCCCCAAAGATGTCCAGGCCCTAATTCCTGAAACCTGTGAATATGTTACCTCCCTGCCCTAGGGACTTTGCGGAATAATTAAGGTCACAGACCTTAAAACAGGGAGATTATCCTGAATTATCTTGGTGAACACAATCTAAGCACGTGAGCCCTTAAAAGTTGTAGATTTTCTCTGGCTGGAGTCAGAAAGATGGGGTAGTGGGAGAAGACAGACTGAAGCATGAGAAGAACTGGACCCGCTCACTCTAGGAGCAGAGAACACCCCACTACCTGACAGCCAGCAAGAAAAATGGGGACCTCAGTCCTACAACTACAAGAAACTGAATTCTGCCAACAATCCGAATGAGCTTGGAAGTGGATTCTTGCCTGAGAGCCTTCAGAAATGAAAGCAGCCCTGCTAACACCTTGATTTTAATATCTATTTTTCCACTGATCTCACTGATTGAGTGGGCTTCACTGATCTATTAATGTCCATAATTCTGGGTGTGCCTGGCTATTCATTCAGGTCAGTAAATATTTTTAGGCTCTCCAGCATTTATATACATGGAAGAGTTGCACTTCTGGCCCTTGTGGCCCATATTATTCCTATAATACGACAGCTAAGATGCTGTCATATAATATTTGAGTTATATGGGTCCTAAATCCAGTGACCGAAGTCCTTATGAGAAGGCCACGTGATGACACAGAGAATAAATTTCTGTTGTTTTAAGCCACCCAGTTTCTAGTATGTTCTTATGACAGTGCTAGAAAAGTAATACAACCTGGTTCCTGGATTCAGTGGGGAAATGGAGGCAGGACTAATATGACTAAATATTAAGTGACAAGGCACTATGATGACTCATGTATTTCGCCTATTAGGGCCCAAGTTAGTCCCAGAATCCACAGTAGGAGCAAGGCTGAAGGCTGAGGTTAAGCAGATCTAGCTATGGGAGCTGCAGGAATTTGGAGGCAAGGAACGTGGCAGGTTCAATTCTAACACTCTTGCTTGCACTCACATTGATCCACTGAGGGATAAAATGTACAAACAATTGTCATTATTTATTGGCATGCATCCACATCTGTGCTCTCAACTCCTATCCCTCATTAGGACAAGAGGCTCTCCAATATGCCTTAATAAACAGTGTCATCCCTCGAGTAGAATGTGCTTGGTACTGTGCAGAATTAACCTCAAGTCAAATAATTAAATCGCAGGCTTTCTGTTCTACAATTATATAGCTTTCCTCCTGGTCTACATTACATTGAAATCCCATAAACATCCTACATGTTTTAAGAATCTGCAGTTTCCTTTAAACAATTAATGATTGTGAAAATTACAGTTTGTTCTCTTTCAATTCCCCTAGGAACACCAAATGGTACTCTGAATGTCATTAATATAATATGCAAATGATCTGTTTGGCTCCTGCTTCTCCGTTTGGGGTAACCTTGTCAATCAGCCTGTTTGCACTAATGAGCTATCTGATGAAAGCTAGCCCAGCTGCGGAGAAGGTCACTGAAAATCTCGACCTTCCTTTTCTTGCTTAGGCCGACATGGCAATATCTGATGGAAAAGGAAAGAGCTTTGATTGACGTTTATGTAAAATCACCTGAGTGTTAATGAAGGACCAGCAGAGATCTTACTGGGCTCTTTCCTCAAACACAAAGAGCATCTATACTTTTCAAATGAGCTCATTGTTCTATTTAAAGGTTATTATTAGATATGATTTCAGGGTGTTCTTGAAGTGGGAATGAGAAGGTATATTAGATAATACAGTTGTGTATAACTACATCAAATTTTAGAAATATTATTGCAGCATGATATGAACATTACTACATGTCTGTATTTTTCTTGGTGATTTTCTGTTAATATCCTTGTGTTCTGAGAAACTTTCAATCCGTTTAGGTAAAAAGGACATGGTGTTTATTGTAACTAATTTACTAAATGGAGAAGTTAGGAAAACTTTCTTCAAATATCATTCAAAAATTTTAACTATACAAATAAGAACAAGATAAAAATCATGGGGCATTTGGATGTTCATTTGAAATTTTTAAGGGACATTTTTTTCCCACAAGAATTATAGTGGATAGAAAACTTCCTAAGAGAAGAACCTTGTTGTGAAACAGAATTAACAGTGACCTTGGGTGTCTGAAATGAATAATGCACTCTAATAGTTGCTGTACATGAATGAAAAATAAAGAGAAGACTTATGTTTATTTCATCTTATGTGTTGTACAGTTTGATGTGTGTGCATTCATCCAACTGATAGATTTGATTTCATGTTTTTAGCTGATCTTAAAAACTCCCACCTAAGATGTGGGCTTGGGTTAAGAATGCTCTACAATTGACCCTCCAGTAGGCTAAATTGATACTGGTCATCCCATCTATCTCTCAATAGATTTTTTTGATTGGTTTCAGGCAGAATCAGGGACATTGGCAACTGGTTGAAATGTAAAACTTATCTCACCTGATAACCCTGTGTTATGGATTTAGTGGAATAAAATATCCTAGTTTTCTGAAGATCAGTTTCTTTGCAAGTGAACGAATTATTTCTCTCATTCCCTATGATGTGGATTCCTGTTTTCAATTTGCCCACTGCTGTTAATGCTATTGCTATTCTTCTATGCTCACAATGTTTCAACCTTACAATCAGTAGCAATCTGTAGCAATCTCACACATTCATTCTTAAAAGTGTGTTCCAAATCCAACATTGTCTTTCCTCTTGTTACTATGGAGAACCTAATCCGGTCTGTGCCATCTCCTACCTGGATGACTCCAAAGACTTCTTAAATTCCAGTCCTTCCTGTAAGTGCACACATCATTTTTTCCACCCTTTTCGATGCCATTGTAGTAATCTAAATGGTGTTTTCACCACGATTGCCCTTTCCCCAAGAGTCTTCAGAAACTCCCATTAAATAGGCTTCAATTCTGCTAAGACTTCAAGATCCCCCTGTATGTTGTCTTCACGTTCTCACTTCCACTATTGTGGTATCTTAACTTTAGTGTCTGTTCATGATGTCTCTCCAAAACCTCATGTCCTTCTACTGTTGCTGTTCTTTGCTCCTGTGATCACTTGGGCTGGGAGATCCTCTTCATTCCTCTCCTGGAGTTCCACCTCCTCTGACAAACCCCTCCTCACAACTGTGGTCCATATTGATCTCTCTTTTCTCTTTCTCTTCATGCTTTCTGACTTTTTTCTTTTTCTTTTTCTTTTTTCTTTTTTTTGAGACAGAGTCTCACTCTGCCGCCCAGGCTGGAATGCAGTGGCGTGATCTCAGCTCACTGCAAGTTCCGCCTCCTGAGTTCACGCCATTCTCCTGCCTCAGCCTCCCGAGTAACTGGGACTACAGGTGCCCACCACCACGCCTGGCTAACTTTTTGTATTTTTAGTTGAGACAGAGTTTCACCATGTTAGCCAGGATGGTCTTGATCCCTGACCTGGTGATCCACCTGCCTTGGCCTCCCAAAGTGGACTTTTTAAAATAATTATGTTGCCCTACTAATTTGAGATTAGAAACGAATTAACCACAATCCATGACTTATGACACCATTTCATCATTGATCCATAGGTGGCTTTCTTTTATTTGTATACCTGGTATTTTATTTTATTGAGACAGTTTCACTCTTGTTGCGCAGGCTGGAGTGCAATGGTGTGATCTCGGTTCACCACAACCTCCACCTCCCGGGTTCAAGCGATTCTCCTGCCTCAGCCTCCCGAGTAGCTGAGATTACAGGCATGTGCCACCATGCCTGGCTAATTTTGTACTTTTAGTAGAGATGGAGTTTCTCCATGTTAATCAGGGTGGTCTCGAACTCCTGACCTCAGGTGATCTGCCTGCCTCGGCCTCCCAAAGTGCTGGGATTATAGGCATAAGCTACTGCTCCCGGCCTGGTTATTTTAAAAATTGTAAAACAAAATTTCAATCTTATCTCTCAAAATTTTAGATTCTTATACATGATAATATAGTCTTCCATCCCTTCTTCCTACCTTTGCCGAAAGAAACCATCATTCTGAATCCTACATTTATCATTTTTTCTTCTCTTTTTGACATTTTTATTGCAGCTAAATGTTTTCCTAAAAATTATGTTTCTAAATTTTAGTTATTTTTATCCTAATTAAAAGAGTTTGAGTGTTGTATGTAATTTTTGGAAAATAATGTTACAGTTTATTGCTAAGTTTCAACCATATTGTTTCATGTTTTGGCCTGATCATTTGCGCTACTCTATAATATTCCACAACTTATTCATCTACTTTCCCAGCTGATGAATATTTGGGTTGCTTTTGACTTTTGCTGTTGGGCATCATCTTACTGTGACCAACTTTGTACCTGTCTCCTGTTTTCCATGTAAAAGACTTTCTCAGGTATAAAGGTAGGAGTGAATAGCTGGGTCACTAAAGAGTAGGTAATGTCAAAGTGTTTTCTAAAGTGACTGCCAATTTGTGTTGCCAGGAGCAATACATAAGAAATCCTGGCCAGGCGCGGTGGCTCACGCCTGTAATCAGAGCATTTTGGGAGGCCAAGGTGAGAAGATCACAAGGTCAAGAGATTGAGACCATCCTGGCCAACATGGCGAAACCTGTCTCTACTAAAAATCCAAAAATTAGCTGGGCGTGGTGGCACACGCCTGTATTCCCAGCTGCTCAGGAGGCTGAGGCAGGAGAATTGCTTGAACCAAGGAGGCAGAGGTTGCAGTGAGCCGAGATCGCGCCACTGCGCTCCTGCCTGGCTACAGAGCAAGACTCCGTCTCAAATTCTGTGGGATTATATCCCCTCAAATATTTGATATTGTAAGTTTTCTTAAATTTTCCCCAATTGTACACTATTTTCATTCTGATCTTCATTTGTTTTTCTTGGATTTCCAATGATGAACATCCCTTCCTATGCTTAGTGGCCATGGGTGTTTCCTTTTCTGTGAAATCTTAGTTCAAGTATTTTGTTTATTATTTGTTTCTTTTGGGTTATTTGAAATCTTCTGATTTATTCATAAGTGTAATTATGATATGAATTATTTATTCATATGTAATTATTGTTCATTTTATGAATATAATATCCCAGTTTGCCACACTTTTACCTTTAAAAGTGTCTTTGGTTAAACAAAATTGCCAACTTTAATACAAGCAAATGTATTAATATTTTTCATCAATTATATGTCTTAAGAAATATTTTCCTATGAAATTATAAATATTTTCTAGTTCTTAATATGATTTAAAGTAAGAATTGTATTTGATCTTTAACTTGTGAATCACCCTTTTATCCAGCTCCATTGATTGAGTAGGGCCATTCTTTCATTCAGACATACCACTTGTGTCATGTTCCAAAATCCCATTTCTGTGGAACTGTTTGAGTTTTCCCCCCTTTTCATTGATACATTTGTGCATCACTGCATTACTACTACATGGCCTTATTTATTAGTTTCATAAGAAGTCTTGATAACTTGTAGGACATAAACTACTCCCTGAATTTGTTTTTCAAAAGTATACTTTTTATAGTTGGCCCTTGACAGTTTCTATGTATGTATGTGTGTGTGTGTGTGTGTATATATATGTGTGTGTGTGTGTATAATCACACATATACTATATACACACACATACACACACATACATACACAGTCATATGCTGCTTAATGACAGAGATATATTCTGAGCAGTGTGTCCTTAGGTGATTTCATTGTTGGGTGAACATCCTAGAGTGCCCTTAACACAAACCTAGATGGCATAGCCTGCTACAAACCTAGGCTATATGGTTTCACTTATTGCTTCCAGGCTATACACCTGTACAGCATGTTACTGTACTGAGTACTGGTAGGCAATTGTGTCACAGTGTTATGTATTTGACATGGTTTGGCTCTGTGTCTCCACACAAATCTCATCTGGAATTGTAATCCCCAGGTGTCAAGGGAGAGACCTGGTGGGACGTGATAGGATCATGGGGGAGGACTTTCCCCATGCTATTCTCATGACAGCGAATGAGTTCTCATGGGATCTGATGGTTTAAAAGTATGATACTTCCCCACTTCCTCTCTTTCTCTCCTATTGCTATGTGAGACACACCTTACTTCCCCTTCGTCTTCCACCATGATGGTAAGTTTCCTGATGGCTTTCCAGCCATGTGGAACTGTGAGTAAATGAAATCTTTTTTCTTTATAAGTTACCCAGTCTCAGGTAGTTCTTTATAGCAGTGTGAGAATGGACTAATATAGTATTTGTGTATCTAAACAGAAAAGGTACAATTAAAAATATGGTATAAAAGATTAAAAAATGGTATACCTGTATAGGGCATTTACGACAAATGCAGGACTGGAAATTGCTCTGGGTGTCAGTGAGTGTGTAGTGAGAGAATCCAAAGGCCTAGAACATTACTGCACACTTCTATAGGCTTTATAAACACTGTACAGTTAGACTACATTAAATTTATTTTAAAAAGAATAGTTGTTCTACAATGTTATAATGGCTACACAATCACTAAGTGATAGGAATTTTTCAGCTCTATTATTATCTCATGGGACCCTATTGTAAATGCAGTACAAAACTGACCTAAACATCATTGTTAGGCACATGACTGTGTATGTGTATGTGTTTGTCTGTTTATATATTAGGATAAAATCAATATCTAGAATTTTGATTAAATTTGCTTTGACTGTAATAAATAATTTGATGAGAATCAACATTTTATGCTATAATTCTAGTGGTTTATATCTCTCTATTAAGGCTTTTAAAAATATCTCATTCATAAAATTATATTATTTTGCCATGTAGGCTACTTGCATATTTTTTGTTAGATTCATTCTTATATTCTCTGATACTACTGTATATGGAATACTCTATTTAATTGCATTATATCAGTTGTTTTGTTTTTTTAAAAATTTCTATTTTAAATTCAGGAGTACACGTGCAGGTTTGTTACATAGGTTAACTTGTGTCGTGGGGGTTTGTTGTACAGATTATTTCAGTATTAAGGTATTGAGCCTATTACCCATTAGCTGTTTCTCCTGATCCTCTCCCTCCTCCCACCTTCCATCCTCTGAAAGGCCCCAGTGTGTGTTGTTCCCCTCCATGTGTCCATCTGTTCTCATCATTTAGCTCCCACTTAGACATGAGAATTTGCAGTATTTGGGTTTCTGTTCCTCTGTTAGTTTGCTAAGGATAATGGCCTCCAGCTCCATCCATGTCCCTGCAAAGGACATGCTCTCATTCTTTTTTATGACTACATAGTATTCCATGTATACCAGTTGTTTTCTGTTGGTACCTGGAAATGCATCTGATGTCTGCGTGTTCATCTTATACCAAACCATATTGCTAAATTCTTAAATTGTTTCTAACAATATATTTTTTTCTAATAATTTCTCTTGCCTTTCCTTTGGGTTTTTCATATAAAGATCATATTGTCAACAAATAATGAGTTTTATTTTGCCCTCCCAAAGCTCTAGTCTCTTATTTTCTGGTCCCTTTGTTCTGGGTGTTATCACCAATACAAAGTTGAATAGAAGTGAGGACAGTGGGTATCCTTGATTTGTACCTGATTTTAAAATAAATGCCTTAAACATTTTCTCTTTCAGTCCAAATTTTTTTAATAGGTAATCTTTGTCAGGTTAATGAATTTACTTCATGTACCCGACTTATTAAGTGCTTTTTATCATGAATAGGTGTTGAATTATATCAAATGCTTTTTTTGTTACCTACTGCATATAGTATTGCTGTGGAAAAATTTGAAATCAATCTCATTCTTATTCTTTTATATGTGAGATGTTCTTTTCTGTGGATTTTAGAGTTTGTTTTTCTTTTATAATGTCTATAGTTTCAACTTAAAAAAAAATCCCTTCTCCTTAGCATTCTCGGTGCCCTTTCAATCTGAGGTCTTTTATTGTCCCCCTTCCCCCAATTGGGGAATTTATCTTCAATATTTCTTCAAGTTTCTTCTCACCTTCATGTATACTTTTGTCTCTTTCTTGGATTCCTATAATTTAGATATTATTTTTACTTTTCATTTCTTTTTTATTTGAACTTTCATGTCTTTTTTATTTTCTTTGAACTTTTTATACTTTACTTCTTCCTTTTGCAAGATTTCCTAAATCTGGTTTTCCAGTTTATTAACTCATTCTTCAGCTGTATCATTTTGCTACTTATATAATCACATATTACCTTAATAATGGTATGTATATAAAATCACTGTCAGTGTCATACAACAATAAGCATTTATTTTTCAGTCATGTTTCTGGGTCAGCTGGGTGGCACTGTTCCAGGTGCCTCTCATTTTCTTCCTGGGGCTAGTGGCCTACCCGAGGACATATTCTTCTCATGTTGATAGTAAAAGAGCAAGAGCATAAGCTCCACCATACAAGCATATTTTGAGCCCTGTATTGTGTCTGAAGACATCATACTAGCCAAAACAAGTCTTGTGTGGAGCCACAAGACATTGATCTTTTGTGTCTCTTACTTCAGTCATTACATTTCTCATACATAATATTTCTGCTTGGTTCTCTTCCGTCATTTTTATCCCTTCATATTAATAATATCCTTTCACATCCGTCTAATTTGTATATTATGTTAATTTAAAGTTCACAGTTTACCTGTTGTAATATTGTTGCCTGTTGCAATGTGCATTTTCAGTATGATGCTTTTCTTTTGTGGTGGTTGTGCTCTTGTCATGTTACTTTGTTTTGTGACCAAGCCCCTGTTTATGTCAGCGCCAAAGAGCTTTGGGGGCAGGGGGTTAATGAACTTCAGGGTGGAGACCCCAAGCACAACAAACAAAGCCAGTCAATCCTTAGATTGTGATTCTCTAGCCCTGAAGGTTTAGTGGGAGAAGAGGAGGAGAGAGAAGTGACTAACCTCACCTGCTTTCCTTAGCCCTGCACTCACCCTTGACCCTTGTACTGCTCTGACTTTACTCCTGATACATATTAATGACTTAAATGACAGATGTAAGGCAGCACATCCACCCAGGTGATACTAATGAACAGGCAGAGCTGAGAACCACTGCCTCAGAGATTCTGTACAGCTTCTGCTTTGGAATTCTGCTGATCTCCCTTTTCCCTTGCTTGGGCTCTGTGAGGCTTGTGTTGTACTGAAAATGACCTCAGGTTGCATATCCTGTGCATTCAAGGACTTAGGGCAAGTGACTCTTAAAAATATGATTTCACTAAAAATAATTTTTCTATATCATCAATTTCTTATGCATATGTGAAGTGGCATTTCTCCCACTGGAATGATAATGAATAGTGTTGAGATATGATTCAATACAATATGCTAAATAAATAAATTTGAAAGCTGTTTAGTGTCAACTGTAGATTTGTGTATTTAGGATTCAAGGGACTTCACCTCTACCACTGGTTAAGGTCCTACTGCCATTGCTAATGATTTACGGTGACTCATGTACGCTATAAATCAGTTTGGTCTCTAAATATAAGGAATCCAGTGAGTAGTGGAGGGAACCTTTTTATATTCTTTTTCCAGCTCCTTCATTGTAATACCAAATGTCATTGTAAAACAAATGAAATGCCATTCTAAAATATTTATTAGCTTCTTAAAGTGAAATACCAATTGTGCTGCAGAGGGAAGTTTCATAAAATCTTTTAGACACCACTAACATGATCCTGCCTTTTTGTGCTTTCTGATTATGTAAACCTGGTCTTTGCAGTAAAACATGAGAACACTAATTGACATATTAAATACATGTATCAAAATTATGAGTAGTGTGTACAATGATAGCAGAAATACTGTGTGTTCAAGTCACAGGAAGTCCAGGCTCTGACTTGGTGCTTGCAGCCTTGTGTGGGGGCAGCTTTCCCCAGAACACTCTTCTGGCGACCTGGACACATAGTATTGGTCTGAAGAGAAAGGCTCCAACACTAATCCTTGTTGGTGCTATTAACAGATAAAAAATTGAGTTGTTTAACATGAAGATTTTCTGAATTTGGCAACACTGCATTTATATACAGAAACTTTATCCATCAATTTACTCAATACTATTAACTGAACATTAAAAAATGTGGTGAAGAGCGGGGTGCAGTGACTCATGCCTGTAATCCCAGCACTTTGGGAGGCCGAGGCGGGTGGATCACGAGGTCAGGAGATCGAGACCATCCTGGCAAACACGGTGAAACTCCGTCTCTACTAAAAATACAAAAAAAAATTAGCTGGGCATGGTGGCGGGCGCCTGTAGTTCCAGCTACTCGGGAGGCTGAGGCAGGAGAATGGCGTGAACCCGGGAGGTGGAGCTTGCAGTGAGCCGAGATTGCACCACTGCACTCCAGCCTGGGGACAGAGCGAGACTCCGTCTCAAAAAAAAAAAAAAATTGTGGTGAGGAAACACAGACAAACATGCAAACGAAGCCCTTGTCCTCAAGGAGGTCATATTAACTGCAATGACTGAGAAAGGAGCTCCTTGGTAGTGAAAGATACATAGAGGATGTCCTATATCATAAAGACAGTGTGGCCTAAGTCCAGCGTGTTTCTCTGATCATATAATGCCCAATTGACATACAGTACAACTATGGTGTTGAGGAGAAAGATACTCCAAGAGTTCATTAAGCAGCCTAGCATAGGGCAGCAGGAAGTTCAGGGAAAGCAGAGATGGATTGGGGAAGGATGTGTATGCGTAATTTCCATGAAGACATTTTTTAAATGGATTTTTCTGCCAGAGTCCAGTCAGAAAAATGAACATCATGTTATGCACTTCAAACGCAGGAGACTTAAGATGGGGAAGTCCCAAAAGTGTTGGATAAACCAAAGATTAAAACAGGGCACTCAATGTAACCCAGAAATAAATATCAGTTCAGAGGGCAAAAGGGAAGAAAGTGGTTTTACCAGAATTCAGAAGCATGCTTGTTGTATTGCCTGTGCCACGTGAGACACTGAGACTGACTGGCTAGTGTGAGAACCTATAAGGTGGGGGTGTCCTGGGCCAATGCTGGATTCATGGTAAAGGGGCTGTGTGGCCGGTGATAACTGTGGAGAGACTGCTGCACACACTAGGATTGCAGAGAGATGCAAACACTTCAGCGACACTGTTGGAAGGAGGGAGGTGGGGAGAATGAGCATAAACAGAGGCTTCTTCCTTCTTCCCTTCAGTCTTTGGGTATTCTACTAGTTCCCAGAAATGACAAAATTCACAGCAAGCCAACAGGCAAGGGAGTCTCTGGGAAACGTAGTTTTCAGACTTCTAGTGCTAGTGTCGTAGAGCCAATTATATAAGAGGGCATATGGGTTTGAAAGCCAACAGGTACATATTGAAACAACCTACCTTTTTGGCACTAGGAATCCGTACACAGCCTTTTATTCATAAGCAAATTTCCATCTTACGCCAATAAAAAAATCGTCTTCCTAGCAAGATGCAAAGATAAAAAGATCTTTGTATTTATTTATTTATTTTTGAGATGGAGTCTCACTCTGTTGCCCAGGCTGGAGTGCAATGGCGTGCTCTCGGCTCACTGCAATTTCTGCCTCCCAGGTTCAAGTGATGCTCCTGCTTCAGCCTCCTGAGTAGTTTGGATTACAGGCATGCACCACCATGCCCAGCTAATTTTTTTTTTTTGTATGTTTAGTACAGATGAGGTTTCACCATGTTGGTCAGGCTGGTCTCGAACTCCTGACCTTGTGATCTGCCTGCCTCAGCCTCCCAAAGTGCTGGGATTACAGGTATGAGCCACTGCGCCTGGTCTATTCTTTATACAGATGATCTAACTTCTGTCTGGACCAAAGGAGTGGATTAAATGGAGATGTAAAATTAATGATCCGTACTGCCTCTTTCAAGTCTTTTATGGTATTTTTATGGTGCGACTAAATTCATAAGTTTCCCCAAGGGCATAATATTGCTTTGGTTTTACTATTTGGTAGCAATGTGGTGATATCTCAGGGCCATCCACTTGGTCCTTCTTAGCTTAGGTCATGCAACCAAGGTGAGGATTCCAGCTGCTGCTAAGTGTGTATAACCCATTATACCTTCAGCAACTGTACACATTCCAGCAGGGTGGGTCTGTGGACCTATTATGAGAAAGACTTGGGCTAAAACTCCATTATTATCTAAACTGTGTAAGTTTCCCCTCTGACAATAAACCACCATGACTTTCCCTAGAGATTAGTGTCAGTGCAGAGCAAGTGTTTAGTAAATTCTAAAATCTGGGCCATTCTGTCTACCCAGTGTATAGCTGCTCAAGAATATGACACAGGTCCTTTTGAGGAAGCTTAGACAAAGGATTGATAATGGACACCAGTGACAATGTAGCAGGATTCAAACTCAAAAGAAGTCAGCTTCCCCTCCAATAAAAGGACTCTGCCTCTGTGAGATGGTCTTGTTCTGATACTGGGTAAAAGACTGTGACCCTCTGTTGTCCTCACTCGAGTTAGTTTCTGCTCACCAGACTGGAGACTATCCAATTACACAGGCCAGGTAACAATCCAGTAGGCAGCTCATCTCTCTCTTTCCTGAGTCTATTGGGTACCACCAATGATCCCTGTGAGTTGTGAAAGAAATCAAATATGTTACCACCAAATGTACTTCTTTGACACCCTTTGAGATGGTTATTCATTGAGCCAGCAAACAGAAGTGGCTCTGCAAAGCTGTCTTTTGTGGGGAGAGTGGCATCTGCAGAGACTCTGCATTGATGCAGCCAGGTCTCCCCTTGTCCAGATCTAGGAAAGATTAACTGAGTCTGATACTCTTAAAGGTCAGAAAGAAATATTTACCATCCTTTGTCTCTGAGGGCTGCTACCTGTGAGGTTTCAGTTATGTAACAAGGCCACCTTGCTAGCCAGACTTCCTCTTCTCTTTCTCCCATAACTTGTTTTGCCATGATCAAAGCCCCCATTCACTCTGTAATTTCAAGATGGTATATAAGCTTCTACACCCTGTTAGGTGAAGGGGAGGTTTTCCCTTGGCCCCTACGGCTGAAACATTCACATTGCCCTTCTGGCTCTATGGCCTACTACGTGCCCACCTCTCAAATCTGTATTACAATGTACTATTTAGTTTTTAGCATAATCCTCAGCCCTAAATGCATTCTGACTATAAGATGTGAGGTTTTTATTTGTTTGTTTTAGAGCTACCTTAAACAAACAAACAAATGAAAACCCTTACATCTTCACTACTGTAGACATTCTTTGATTTTCTGACCATACCTTGAACTGAGAGTTTAACCTCTGAGTGTATCCTTTTCTTTCCCTGTATCTTGAGTGCATTTAGAAGTAACTGCCCCACACTGTAGCCCTTTGAATCATCAGTACTAAAAGTTACAGTTAAATGAAGTGGCCACTTGCTTTCCCAAAGCCTTGTCTTTAGCAGAATTTTGACCTCAAGCTACAAGAGGTGATTAAGTCATTATAATGCCACTTCAAGTCTCAGTTTACTAGATACCTATTTTCTGCTGCAAATAAGGAGGTCATTCTATGCAAGCTTGAACAGGTCAACAGATCAATACTGGAATTCAGTTTTGAGTGATTGTTTCCTGGGATCACTACCGGTACTGACTGCTATATAAGTCAGGGTCTTTTAAAGGAAATAAAAACCTAGATATTCTGCAAGGAGGTTGCTTAATCAAGAGAATAGCTTAAAAAATATTGGAGGAGATGAAAAAACAGAAAGTGGGCAGCAAGAGCTTGGTAACAGCAGGAAGCTGTTATTGCCCACAGATCTCAGGGAGGAAAAGGGAGGAGCTGTTGTTATCAGAGTCGAACACACACATGCTGCATGCTGCAGGGGGTCCTGAATGGGTGCTGAAACTTGTAGGAAGGGGCACCTGACCACAAGGACACCTTAGCCAGTGCTGGCACCGTGGAGGAGGGGCCTCAGAGGAGTGCCAGCAACACAGCAACTTCCAGAGACCCCGCCCGAGGCACAGGCAGGCAGAGAGAAGTAAAGAGGGAGGGAGGGAGAAAGGACAAAGATATTTCTCATTTGCTAGCCTTCTGTTTTCCTGCTGCTGCCTCCTATCCAACAGGAGGCCACATCACGAGGACACCGGAGAAATACTTATGGCTTTCTGGCTTCAGCCTTACTAAGCAGAGAACTGATATGTAGAAGTGAGCTAAGAGACCAGTAAAAACTGGTACAGACAGATTTATATTGACAAGTGAACAAACAAAAGGTATGAGCATATCTCTATTTGCTGTCATACCTGAAAATGTCCATTATTTGTGTTTTAACCCCAGAATAATTTCTTGGAGCATTTTTGATGGAATTATAATGACATAAAGAATACAGAGGAACAATAATTTAAAGATATACATATATCAAATATATGATATCTCTGTATACCCATATCAAATATATCTATATAATATATAGATATATATGACAGAAATATATATGTACAACTACAACAAGCTGTGAGAGATCATTTTCCAAATGGTCACATTTTAAATCATTTGAACGTGCATTGCCATGGCCACAATGACTGAAGGAACAGGAAATATTCCTAAGTAGTTTTTATTCTCTTTTGAGTGTTACATGTTAGCTGTCCGGAAAATGTAGAAGAGTTGTCTACACTCAGACCTTATATAGCATTAAGAACCCATTCAGTCCTCCCTGGTCTTCCTGTGCTGACTGGTTTTATTAGAAGCTGGATAATGATCAAGATCACAAGGAAGCCTGCAGGAGGAATAGCATGCCTTTATGCACACATAGGCATAATGACATCAGACACAGAAGGGACCTAGCAAGCCAGCGTGGACAGTTCTAAAGACCAAAGATATATATTTTTTCTTTTGTAAAAAAAATGAGAAGATCCTTCCAAGAAAGAGGTCCCCCTGACAAAAATAATTCATAGCTTTAGAAGTGAGAAAGTCATCTATCACTGGAGCAGTGTGGAGCCCTGATGCGTGAGGCAGTCATCCCAAATCATTCCAGGGAAATCATGTACTTTGGAGGTAACGTACATTGCACATCCATACAGACCTTTGCAGATTGCAGATCATTGCCACTCACATCATGTGTTTTATGGCTTACGACAATCTCGTGGTGTACACATCAGCACTCCCTTTTACAAGATGGGAGCTGTTAAAGAGACTACGTTCATGTCCCAGATCACAGAATGAGAGCATCGGGTATTTACACTTCGTCTTCTGACTCAGGCCCATCATGCCAGTGTCCATCTGTTCTGCTGATGGTCTCTGCATCTTTGTGCCTTCCTCTGCTGAGTCACTGCCCAGGTCAGGCTGTCTTCATGCTCTGCCATGGCTACTGCCCAGCTTCCTCACTAATCTCTTCACCTTCAGCTGTGACACCTCCAGTGCTCCAGATGGGGGAAAAATGACTTGGTCGTATTACTCACTTGTGTCCTGTTACCTCCAGAAAAAAGGCCCACTCCTTGGTGTGGCTGATACTGGGGTGCAGGTCTGTCCCTACGGGGATTTCTAAGCTGTCTGCATTCCCTGCCCTCTAACAGTATGAACGAGCCCTTCCTCCCTGCAAGTGCTGCATACTCTTCCTTGCCTCCTTGTCTGGGATGCCTCTGCCCTCTACTGCCTCTCTACTGTTTGCCTGGGACATTGGGCTCATTGGATCAGGGTCCATTCAAGGGCTAGTTCCTCTTTGTCATTTCCCTGAAACTCCTATTGGGAGAGTTTGGGCACTGGTGATCAGTGCCACAGCACTTCTCAGAATGACTCGCTCTGTGTTCCTGGCACTGAATCTTGTTGAAACTCCTTAACTAACTATATGATACCAGGCAATAACAATGACAATGAGGGCTGCCATTTACTGGGTGTAAGTGTTATGTGCACGGTGTGTCCGAAACTGCTCTCTCTGTTTTACATGTTTCCAGCTATTTAATTCCCTCAAAGCCTCAAGAGGAAGATAATATTATTACTCTCATTATATGAGTTGTTTCATTTAATCATCAGAGCAGTCTCGCCTGTGGCATAGGTACTATTATTCTCCACATGTAACGGAAGAGGAAATATGGGCAGAGAGGTGAATTACTTGCCCAAGGTGACATAGCTGCTGAATGGTGGAGCTGGGCTTGGCACGCTTCCTTTAGAATCACGGCCTGCAGAGGTTCTGGTATATTTATTTTCAGGTCTCTAGCACCTACTCAGTAAATGGTTACTGATTTGAATGTAAATTAGACGGGAATATTTATGACAAAAGTGCCTATTGGGAGACTTTCTCAAGTTAAGACTGGAGAAATAAGAAGACTCTGTGAAGACAAACATACGTTCAGACCCACCCAGGATCCGTTTCAGGACATCCACACATGAAACTTTTACATTCCTCATTGGTTATTTGTTGAACTCCTAGTTCCTGGTAATAGAAAGACAGGTTTTATAGAAAGGATCATTTGATCTCTCTCAGGAATAGAGTGGCAGCAGTTTATGCTCTATTCTCTGAAGTGCTGCCTTTAATTTATGATAGAATTAGAATGCTTTCTTGTTAAGGCAACCTCTGTGCTCAGTGTTCTTTGTAAAAGACCATATTTTGAGACTGAATTCTTGATTTCAAGGTCAGGAAGAGGAGATATGGAATGTCAGGGCATATAGTTCACATGCAAAATTTCATAGAAACTGGAATATCTCTGCCACCTATGAACCCTAGTGATTTTGATTTAGAAACAAATACAGTGAATGCTGAGAAAAATATAGTCTAATCCCTTGTGAATTGATATTTTGTTGCTTCTATTTTGACTAATTTTCTGGTTGTACTTTTTTCCTGGAGGGCCATAGAAAAACAACACATTTGGGAAGCTAGTCATTTGGATATGTTGTTCTGTTAAGAATGACAACCTCATTCCTCTTTTCTAGAAAATCTATGTGGTAGAATGATAAGGATACAGTCCTAGAATTGGATGAAGGATGAGTTGTCAAGAAGGATTTGATTTTCAAATACACAGAGGTGATGACTGAGACTAAATCAAGGATGGATTTTCTTAAAGTGTCAGAGGAGAGTGTTAGATTGATGATTGGATTGGGGGGAACATGCTCAGAGACTGGGACATGGTATAAGGTCAGTGTGTAAATGTGGAGAAAGAATTTTGTTTTTGAGGCAGGAAGACTAAGTTGGTGTGTTACATATCAGCTAAGGGAAGCTCTTTGGCAAGGAGAGGGGAGTAAACAGTTTGATGTGCCAAAAATATTAAGAAGGATGAGGATCGAAAAAAACACCATTTGATTTGGTGAAAAGTTGGACATTCCCTTATTTCCCAGGGCATTGTGGTGGGAAAGTTGCTTTCTGCTTCTCTCCAGGTAAGCACTAAGGGGCACTTATGATTTAACCTGTCTTTTCCGTATATGGAAAGCATATGATTCATCTAGAGAACGCAATGAATAATGAAGTAAGTAAGCTTGTTATAATCAGTGTAGTATCATTGCACTGTTTTCATCAGGGGTTTGATGGTTTTCTCATGTAAAGAAGAGGCAAAAATGAATCAAGCTAGGAAAGTCACTTTTACACACATGTCGATAATCCCATTAAAAAAGATTGATGAGAAATAAATATGGCGGCACTAGTTCAATTTTGTATACAGAAAAGTCTCCCAGTACCTTTCCTCATTGATTATGCTTGCAGGTAGAAGAGGCCCAAGCACACCAATGGAGAATTTTGCCATTAAAACACACACACAAAGCTCAAAGTACTTTGTACCAAAAGCACAAGTAGCTTACATTAACAAGATCATTTGAATAAATCAATGTTTCCAGTCTGCATCACATTGAAAACCATATTTTAGCTTCTTTAAGGGAATAATAAAAGAAGCAGCTCCTTGTGTTCCTCTCCAGAGTATTCACAGCTAATGAGCAGCTGGAGGCCTTGTTGGAAGTTAATAAACTCATCTTCAGAGGAGGCAGGCTGTGCTGCACCTTGTTGTGACTGAGCACTCAGGTCTGAGTCATTCATTCTATGGCCACGACTCTGGAAACTGCTTACCCTGTGGCCTTATCCATTTCGTCCAATTTCCAATTCGTATCAAGTTTATTTAGCTCTCATTATCTCTCCTTGAACTAAAGTTACAAACAATCTACATCTTTCCTTGTTAACATGATTATTGTTAATGACAATGAAGAATTTATCAAAATCACATTGTGGATGCTACACCAGGCAATAAAAAGTGGAGAAAAATTTTCTTGAAGGGACAGACTTGATAATCCTATAGAACTTTTCTTTTTAAATAAATAATTGGAATACATCTGAATAGCAAATAATTATCCTATTAAAAAGCACAGCTGGCTAGAGACAAAAAAGAAAACAATATATGGACTCATGGGAAAATTAACAGTGAATATTGAATTTCCTGAACTTGGTTTCTAAACCGTTTGACATGCTGTTTTCCTTTGGTCTTCTTGTTTCCCACCTGGGGTTAGTCTTTTCACTGTGTGTAGTGGTTCTCTTTTAATCTTGCAGTTCATCAATTCGGTGGAAATTTGAATTTTATAATTATTACAGATTGGGACACAAATCAAAAGTAGGCCAAAAGTGAGAACCTTTCTAACTTTTTCCTTGGGCTCAAGCAATTCTCCCACCTCAGCCTCACAAGTACCTGAGACTACAGGCGTGTACTACCATGCCTGGTTAATTTTAAAATTTTTTAAATAGAGATGGGGTCTCTCTATGTCGTTCAGGTTAGTGTTGACCTCCTGGCCTCAAGTGATCCTCCGGATTCAGCCCCCTGAGTTGCCAGGATTACAGGTGTGAGCCACTGTGCTCAGCTCTCTAATTTTTAAAAATCGTTTACTTACAGTGTCTCCTTGCTCCAAGAAGAACTATATATTCTCCTGATCCCCTTTGACTGCACAAGGACCCAGTAGTAACAATTGTCACCCAGTGCTCTCCCCTTTAGCATTCTGAACTCTGAAAATTTATAAACAAGCTGCCTTCTAACAACACCTGTCCAGTTCCTGCTTTGCTGAGTGATAGCAAGTCAATACCTTTTAAATTGGTTCAGCATGAATAATACTAAGTCACACATTTTAGAAAACGCATTGTAGAGAATGACACCTTAAGCTAAAATAATGATTTTAGTTAAAGAAAATCCAGGCCTCTTGGCTGTGGGAATAAACTAAGTCTTAGTATTCCAAATCAGAGCACATCACTTTTACTTGCAAGTGGCTACCTCATTATGAAGCCCCTTGTGGACAAATGTGGGTTTGTGTAAGATGAGTTGTTTAGCCTTTTATCTTTTTGTGACCGCTAAGTTGAATATAATAGCATTTTGGCTCCTATTACTGGCAAAATAGTCAATGTTTGCTCCAGGAAGTTGAACATTTCAATGATAAACATCCCAACAGTTGAATTATAAATTGGTAGCCTGCCTGGTGTGGTTGATAAGCCAGCTGGCTTATCTTGAGCCCATGACATTTGATTGTCTTTTGCCTTCCTTTGAACAAGTTATCTCTTAGCCATCTGTCTTATAAAGTGAAAATAAATAGCTGCGATTCAATCTTGCACTGTAATGTATTGTTTTTCTCAGCAAGTCATCATGAAACTCATGAATGATATACGGGTAAACACAGCATAAACACAGGTCATGGTGTCTGATATGACCTTTAAGATGTTAAACTTAGAGGTGATTTATGGAGACTGAATAGTACATCGTATTAACTTTTCATTGCTCAGCACCTTAAATATCCTCTTGGCTAACAAGTGAAGTGGTTTCTGTTCATTGCACCTGAATTTTCCTCCACAGCCCCGGAGCTTGCTTTGAAGGAGAACAAGAGCCCTGTGCGGATGAAGAGAGATGAATTGAATAGTAAGGCAAGAGCAGACTGTGGGATGGGAGATTTCATTGGGTCGCTCATTTACTTGTTCTGTACAGTTGTTCCTACAGAAGACAGAATGAAAGGGCACTCCTGTGTCAGATAACCATGCTTGAGCTTCACGTTTCAGGCAGGAAGCAATGGATATATGTCCCTGAAATCAATTCAATTGATTATTTGCTAAGTTTTCATGAATACTAAAAAGGAAAGGTCGGCTGACATAAAAAATGCAGTGCAATGGTTCCCTCAGGGGCTGGGCACTGGTGAGGTCTGCATTATTGCTTTTTGATCTTCCATTTATCCTTTTCTGAATATGAATAAAATATACTTTGAGATTTAGTTTAAAATTAAGGAAAATTAATGATCCCCTTTGAAAATCAGTCTCTGCTATGCTATTAGTCTTTAAGAAAGTTAAGAAACCTTTCAAACTTTAATTTAATTAGGAGTCTACCACTCCCTCTCTCTTTCTCACTCTTAAATTGTATAGATTTTTCCAGGGGGAAACACCCTGATTTTCATTGCATTGTTTTCAGCATGCACTTTGTAGGTGTAGCTCAGTGGGCAACTTCAGCAAAGTCTCAGGATAAAAAATCAATGTGCAAAAATCACAAGCATTCTTATACACCAATAACAGACAAACAGAGAGCCAAATCATGAGTGAACTCCCATTCACAATTGCTTCAAAGAGAATAAAATACCTAGGAATCCAACTTACAAGGGATGTGAAGGACCTCTTCAAGGAGAACTACAAACCACTGCTCAACGAAATAAAAGAGGACACAAACAAATGGAAGAACATTCCATGCTCATGGATAGGAAGAATCAATATCGTGAAAATGGCCATACTGCCCGAGGTAATTTATAGATTCAACGCCATCCCCATCAGGACACCAATGACTTTGTTCACAGAATTGGAAAAAACTACTTTAAAGTTCATATGGAACCGAAAAAGAGCCCGCATTGCCAAGACAATCCTAAGCCAAAAGAACAAAGCTGGAGGCATCACGCTACCTGACTTCAAACTATACTACAAGGCTACAGTAACCAAAACACATAGTACTGGTACCAAAACAGAGATGTAGACCAATGGAACAGAACAGAGCCCTCAGAAATAATACCACACATCTACACCCATCTGATCTTTGACAAACCTGACAAAAACAAGAAATGGAGAAAGAATCCCCTATTTAATAAATGGTGCTGGGAAAACTTGCTAGCCATATGTAGAAAGCTGAAACTGGATCCCTTCCTTATACCTTATACAAAAATTAACTCAAAATGGATTAAAGACTTACATGTTAGACCTAAAACCATAAAAACCCTAGAAGAAAACCTAGGCAATACCATTCAGGATATAGGCACGGGCAAGGACTTCATGTCTAAAACACCAAAAGCAATGGCAACAAAAGCCAAAATTGACAAATGGGATCTAATTAAACTAAAGGGCTTCTGCACAGCAAAAGAAACTACCATCAGAGTGAACAGGCAACCTACAGAATGGGAGAAAATTTTTGCAATCTACTCATCTGACAAAGGGCTAATATCCAGAATCTACACAGAACTCAAACAAATTTACAAGAAAAAAACAAACAACCCCATCAAAAAGTGGGCGAAGGATATGAACAGACACTTCTCAAAAGAAGACATTTATGCAGCCAACAGACACATGAAAAAATGCTCATCATCACTGGCCATCAGAGAAATGCAAATCAAAACCACAGTGAGACATCATCTTACACCAGTTAGAATGGCGATCATTAAAAAGTCAGGAAACAACAGGTGCTGGAGAGGATGTGGAGAAATAGGAACACTTTAACACTGTTGGTGGGACTGTAAACTAGTTCAGCCATTGTGGAAGACAGTGTGGTGATTCCTCAAGGATCTAGAACTAGAAATATCACTTGACCCAGCCATCCCATTACTGGGTATCTACCCAAAGGATTATGAATCATGCTGCTATAAAGACACATGCACACGTATGTTTATTGCGGCATTATTCACGATAGCAAAGACTTGGAAGCAACCCAAATGTCCGTCAGTGATAGACTGGATCAAGCAAATGTGGCACATCTACACCATGGAATACTATGCAGCCATAAAAAAGGATGAGTTCATGTCCTTTGTAGGGACATGGATGAAGCTGGCAACCATTATTCTGAGCAAACTATCGCAAGGACAAAACACCAAACACCGCATGTTCTCACTCATAGGTGGGAATTGAACAATGAGAACACTTGGATACAGTAAGGGGAACTTCACACACTGGGGCCTGTTGTGGGGTGGGGGGAATGGGGAGAGATAGCATTAGGAGATATACCTAATGTTAAATGATGAGTTAATGGGTGCAGCACAGCAACATGTATACATATATGCAACAAACCTGCACGTCATGCACATGTACCCTAGAACTTAAAGTATAATAAAAAAAATAAAAAATAAAATAAAAATAAAAAGTATGCCTCTGTCATTGACAGGAAGACGAGCAAGGATAAATTACTTAACCTCGGGTTTTTTTCATTAGTAAAGTAGAGATATTAACGTGTGCCTAACTTCGGTTTAAACACAACACTTAAATTTGGGTCATTGCAAGAATGAAAGGAGTATGTGAAATCACTGTAGAACATTGTAGAATCCTGTGTAAAGCAGTTATTTTTATTCATTAGTCCATAATATCACTGACCATAGAGATGGTAGTGATGTCTTTCTATCCTGATTTGTCTCTCTTCACTGGTACTGATGGATGGGGCCAAGCTTGCAGTAGATGAGTTCTTCACTGTGTTTCTTACCTGGATTTTGAAGATCCTGAAATACAGAAATATTGTTTAGAAACAATAAACATTTTCTCTGGGTCTAATACTTTTTTTTTACATGAATGTACTTACATCACTGAGGGGAAGTTATTGCCAGTCCTGAACATTCTAGAAAGAAGGTCAGTAAAACTCAGTGATTAAGAAAGTTTTGAAAACCTTTCCCTATAGCCAAATTGGCTTGTCACTGCCTTCTGAAATATAAGATGTGCATGTCATTTCTGCTTTTGTTCCTAACAGTTATCATTTCTCTTTTTATTTTGTATAGAATGTCTTCCCTCTCTAGTCTTTCCTTTGTTTAGAACCCAATTAAGTGCACTTTTTCTAAAAATAGACTTTTTTGATTACTTTGGCTGTCCAGTAAACACCATTCTTAAAAAGTCTTTGGTGAATGTGTAATTTACTGATTTGTATTTTTATTTACCATAATATGTGTGTATCATTTGCCTCTTAAGGTCAATTGTGAATTCTTTGGGGGAAGGAAAATGCATTGTACTCAACTGTTAGAAAATAATACTAGAATTTTATGATGACAGGATGATTAGATGAATAAGAAGGGCTACCCTAGTAAGTACTATTTGGGAGCAAACAAAGTTAATTGGCCAGAAAGAGTTTAAAACATTTATTTAATGGAAAAAAGTTTTCAAAATCAATTTAAAGCTTGATGAATTTGAAATTAAGGAGGCAAAGTATTGACTTGGAAACCGCTGATGTATGACCAAGAGTGTTTAAAGGAAGAAGACAAAAATTTAAGTTTCATATTTAGAAAAGGAAAAATTGAGGGTAAAATTAGACCCATGAAGAGAAATCTGGTGGGTCTCTTTTAGTTGTCTTGCCTTCTATAGTCAATGCAACATAACTGTTGTATTTTTCACATAGAAAAATGAATGTAGAACCTATATCTCTTGCAAACCACATCCTGATCTTTACAAATCGATCTGCTTCCTATACCAAAATGTTCTCCTTTTTGATGGCAGCATTTGAAGTGATTGTGTGAGGTCCTGGGAAAGAAAGAAATGCACAATTGTTGCATTATTTTATTTCATATTTAAATAGGTAGTCATCTTCTTATTTTCTTACCTCTTCTAACCAAAGTCAAAATACACAGAAAGTTGAATATACAGTTTTTGAAAAGAACAGTTGCTATTAAGATTGGCAGCTTCTGTTCTGAATGTTCTTAACAGGACTAATTCTTGCTTAGCATGTTCTTAGTCTTCCAAGTTTTTCAGACAATACTAAGACAATTTGCTTTTTCATGATAGAGATAAGTGTTACATAAAAATGAAGTTATTGTTGTTGTCCATTCTCTGTTCTTTTAATATTATCTTACTGGTTTAGGTTGACTTGTGATTTTCTTTCCCAGTGGAATTTTCCATTAGATTGCATTTAGAAACAATACGGGTTCTTAGACTCCAGTCAAAAATGTTCACTGCTCATGGCCACTTGTCTTCAGGCCATAAGGAAAACACAAATTGACTGCATAGACCATGAAACAATGTTCAATCACATCGGCTTTTGTAGGCTCACAGTTTAAAGAATCCTTCTTGGCCAAATTTGATAAAATGAAAGGCTTTTTACTCATAGAATCTTCGTGGCTACTTAACTCAGCTTTAGGATGCTGCGTTGGTAACAACTCACTTGCATTTATAATTTAAATGTAGTGACATAGAAAGCAGACTTTCAAATATCTGAATGTGGTTTTACAATCAAATTCTTCATCCCCATAACCTGTGGTATGTGATCATCCTGGCCCACCTTCACCAAGAATCCTATGAAGTCAGTTTAGCCAGAATTCCCATTACATCTGATGTTTCCTCTCAGTAATTTTCCATCCACTGACCTCACCCTCCTCCTTGGCTATAAATCTCCACTTGTCCATGCTATATTTGAATTGAACCTGGTTTTCTTTCTCCTTTGCAATTGTTCCTGAATAGAATCTGTGTTCACAATTTTAACCTTAACCTCTGTCTAGTTCTGGTTTTCTTTGCCAGGCAGGATTTCTATTTCTAGGATCTCTACATAGTGTATAAACTTGAAACAATAATTGTGGGGTTTTTTTTTTGTACTTCTTTCTTTCCATCTGTGAAAAAAAAATTAATAACTTTATACCCGAATTTTCTCTGAGAATAAGTGTAATATTTACAGGGCCTGTAGTATAAGACAGAGGCATAGTAAGGAAGAGTAAAGAGAATGGTGAACAAGAATTTATATTCCAGTGGTGATTAATTTGTCATACTTGGGATGTGTCATTATTTGCTAAGTTATGTAAGTCAAATTATTTCCTATACATTTTTTTTATCTTTTGTAGTAAAATCTAAATATTTTATGGTGAGAGAAGACCAAAAACTCTAAACGCCGTGGCATTAGGGGCCCAGTTTATTTTGGTTAATTTTTGCATCCTTATAGCATCCAGCCCAGCAGCAGATAGATACAGAGCAGGTGATAAGCAAATATTTCTTTTTTTCCAAATATTTATTGATTAAGCAAGTGAATAAAAGTGAAATGAACGTTCTATTCTATAAGTAATTTTTTAAAAACCTGGCTAAACTGAACTCTTGAAAAGGAGGCTAATTCAAACACTTGGTCATTTCTACTATTGTTTTAAGTAGAAAAAGCACAAACAAGTATCTAACTGAGCACCAAAGAAAAGAGCTAACAGCTTGAACAAACTTGCAAAGGAGTTGATACTCACATGTGTGCACAGGGACATTCCTAACACCTCGTTTGACTGTTCCACACAATTTTATTTCACTGGTAACAGTTTACTGAAGAAACGGAGACAAACTTACATTAACAGAACGCTTCTCTGAGCTTGATGAAAGCATATTAACCAGACAGATAATAGCAACTTCTAGGAGCTTAGTTGCTTCCTAACTCCTGCATAATAGAGACCTAAAGGTGAAGGTGAGAGTTTTATTTAACTATGACTATCACAGCCCACTCAGGGATACAGAATGATCACTTCCTTCATTCTATCATTGCTTTAACTTAACAGATACCATCATTTTTCTGGCCAGTGAAAAATGTTTATTGTGTTCATCTTTTTATCTAGATTGGTGCTTCCCAGTAGAATTTTCGGTGCTGATAGCAATGTTCTACTGTCTCTATTATCCAACACTGTGGCCATAAGCCACGTGTGGCTTTTGAGCCTTGGAAGTGTGGCCAGTGCAACTGAGGAACTTGATTTTTAATTTAACTAATTTGAATTTAAATTAAATAGCCATATTGGCTAGTGGCTCCCATATTGGACGGGGTAGCTTCGGACTGTAGCACCAGTGTTCTGTGGTGGTATCTGGCTTTGAGCCAGATAGAGTCAGGGTTTGAACCCAGTCCTGCTATAATATTTACAAGTTATAGGAATTTTGCCACATTCCAAGGGATGACTACACACACACACACACACACACACACCTCCGTACAGCCTAAGTAGACTTACCAAGGAGTCAATGTATAAAATATGTGTCTACAATAGTTACTGATGTATATTAGGCCAACAATGATCCTCAAAGTCCCCTCACTTTCTGGATATATTATAGATAATAATTACAGTTTCTTAAGGAATTACTTTGGGCCAAACACTCTGCTGATCACCTTCCATACTTTAAGGTTAAGCAAAGTGACCAAGGCAGCAAGTGATGAAGCCTAGATTTAAGCCCAAGGCTGAATCCAAAACCTATATGTTTATATATCATATATATGGGGTAATAATACATATAGTACATAATATATAATATATATACATTATAAAATATATAATTATATTTATTAAAAATATTTTTCATATATTATAAAATATGTTTATAATATATTTTAAATATATAATACATAATTATATATAATATACATAATATGTGTGTGTATATATATGTGTGTGTGTGTATATATATATATATATATATATATATATAAAATGTATTACCCCAACTTTGCCTTTTAGCTTCCTGAGTGTGGGACGAATGGCTTATCCTTCCTCCTTGGCAGAGCACTTTGAATTTGACAGGAGCTCAACATATGTGGGTTTATCATTGGCTTATTTTGTACAGAAGGCATTGATGAATAAGAAGGAAGATAGCATGTTGGGGGTGGCAATTCACTCCCTAGAGAGTATCAGTACAACAGTGTCTCCTTTTCACTTGTTTCAGAAGCTCAAAGAACTCAAGAGCACTGTGTGATAGGCTGCTTTTACAGAGGAGTATAAGAAGATTAGAACCTAGATTTCAATGTCTCCTGCAATGATTCACAGCAACTTGGCCAGAGACCAGTATGTAGATCTTATCCAAGACAAGCCTCAGGACATATTTCGGCATATCAACTTGCAAAAAACCCATTTCTGAGTGCTAACATCATCGTGTGTTGTCTTTTGCTACATAATTTTATTCTTATTTTGTTAAAAGACAAAATATATTTTTGATTATTTTTCTTGTCACTCTTTGATTCCTGGTATAATAATAGCAGGGGCCCTGAATCACAGAATGAGGCCTAAAGACTGACAGTTGCAGCAGAATGGGGAAATTGGTTATGCTCTGTCAGAAGAAGCATCTCATGTGATGCTGGGAGGCAGGGGCATAGTTTCACGATCATCTCTGCCAAGGTAGGCAGGAAGCTCATGTGGACTGATTCTAGCCATTGGCTCCAGCTTAGCATGGGCTTCCTGTTAAGTAGGGACAGCAATATTAACACTAGACAATGCACAAAGTATGAGGATAATGTAAGACAGATAGGTCTGTTCCTTGCAGATGGTAGGTAAGTCTTTGACTCCGCACCAGGGAAGAATGAACTTGGGTTAAGAGCTCATAACAGCTGCCACTCTGGGCCCTGGTCAGCTCTTTAGGCTCAGATAGAAGCCCCCACACATGTCTAGCTGAGTAAGAACACTCTCTTTGATAAGAACAATTTTAAAAGGGGCAAATAGAACCATATTAGGGTTCTATTTTTATCTTATTTCTCAATGCCATGACACTGTTCTGAATGCTGGATGCTTTATTGACATGAGACTGAAAAGGGAGACTCTTCTGGTGCTGACAACAAGGTGTGACTCTCAGAAACTGGCCATTCCTCAGTAGGCATGTGGCCCTGCTCTCAAAGTTGCATCAGTAAGAACGGCTCAAGATCAATTTTTCTGAAAACCTAGTCATTATTTTTTGGCAGGCAGTCTCTAAATATAATTGGCTTATCACTAAAATCCTATGTAGCAGGTTAACTCATTTAGTTACTTGGGATTACATTTTGTATTCAATTTATCTTGGAGGTACACCAAGAAGTTACCTTCACTAAAATTAGATGTCCTTTGACTGCAATCTGGAAAGAAGTTTTAAATGGTTTAAATGGGCATTTTATAACACCTGCTTTAAAAATTCTCTAGTATAAAATACTTATTTATAAGCTCTATAATGCAAAACTTTGAGACCTTTGGTTTCAGTGGATCTGATATTGCTGTTGAGATACTTGACCTTTTCTGCCAACCTTTCCTTTACCTACCTGATGGACAAGTTTCAGAGCTTTCTATTAAAGCATAAATCCAAAACTTTTATTAAGGGATTAAAATCCTAGTCTTTTTGTTTGTGCACAAAATAAATCAATCTGTCTTTAATTAGTGCTGTAGATTATCTGCAAATGCTTTCCAAAGAGCTTTAACTCTTAGCTGTAGGATATCTTAGCTTAGATATCAGGTTAGAACATCTCTTCAAGATTACTTGAAGTGCATGTGACAATCTATTCTTATTTTTCTAAATTTTAGAACTCTGGAATCAAGTTAGACCACTAGAAAACCACATATTTAGAGAATCAGACAATAGTTTTGGCCTGTTTGTTTGTTTGTTTGTTTGTTTTTTGGAGACAAGAGTCTCGCTCTGCCCCCCAGCTGGAGTGTGGTAGCACCATCTTGGCTCACTGAAACTTCTGCCTCCCGAGTTCAAGCAATTCTCATGCCTCGGCCTCCCCAGTAGCTGGGATTACAGGTGCCCACCACCATGCCCAGCTAATTTTTGTATTTTTAGTAGAGATGGGATTTCACCATGTTGGCCAAGCTGGTCTCGAACTCCTGACCTCTGGTGATCCACCCTCCTCAGCCTCCCCAGTGTGCTGAGATTACAGGCATGAGCCACTGCACCCATCCTGTTTTTTTTTTTTAACTACATGTACATATTTTCTTCAGTGTTATGCATGTGACCATGTCAAGGGATGTTGTCAGAGAAATGCTATTAGGACATTTTTTTGTAGGGCCGAGGTTGTGGATTTTGTGTTCCATACACACAGTGAGACCTTCATGGGGATTCCCAGCATAAATGTAGTCCTCCCTTCTCATCTGCACTTTCACATTTTGTGGTTTCAGCTTCCCGAGGCCAACTGATGTCCAACAATATTAAGTAGAAAATTCCAGAAATAAACAATTCATACATTTTTAAATTCCCTGTTGATTTTGGGTAGTGTGGTGAAATATGCTGTCCTGCTCCATCCCACCTGGGACATGAGTCATCCTTTTGTTCAGTGTATCCTCAATGTAGATATTACCTCCCCCTGTTAGTCACTTAGTAGCTGTCTTCTTTATTGTATTGAAAAAAAATGGTGTGTAAAGAGTTCAGTGTTATCCAAAGTTTTAGTCATTCACTGAGGGACTTGGAACATATTCCCTATGGAAAATGTGTTGTGCAATTCTTTTTATGAAAGAATGCTGTGTTTCCTAATTCTTGATTCCTAAGGAAAACTAAATTTTTCCTGAACATTTTTTTTCTTTTGGCCGTTCATCTTTTTTAATTTTAATTTTTAATTTTTATGGGTACATAGTAGGTGTACATATTTATGGGATACATTATATATAATATATATAAACATTATATATATTTATTGACAAGGTCTCACTCTGTCACCCAGCTGAAGTGCAGTGGTGCTATCCTGGCTCACAGCAGGATAGTGACCTGTCAGGCTCAAGGAATCCTTCTGCCCCAGCCTCTCAAGTAGCTGGGACTACAGACACTATGCCTGGTAAATTAAAAAAAAATTATAGAGATGGGGGTCTTGCCATGTTGCCCAGACTGGTCTCAAACTCCTAGCCTCAAGTGATCCTCCTGCCTCGGCCTCCCAAAGTGCTAGGATTACAGAAGTTAGTCACCATGCTTGGCCTACATGAGATATTTTAATACAGGTATCCAACATATAATATTCATATCAAGGCAAATGGGGTATATATCACCGAAAGCATGTATCATGTCTTTGTGTTACAAACATCCCAATTATGCACATTTATTTAAAAATGTACAAAAAATTATTATTGACTATAGACCCTGTTGTGCTATCTAATACTAGATTTTAATCATTCTATCATACTTTTGTACCCATTAACCATCCCCACTTTCCTGCTCCCATCCCCATCACCCTTCCCAGCCTCTGTTAACCATTATTCTACTTTCTATCTCCACGAGTTCAATTGTTTTAATTTTTAGCTCCCACAAATGAGTGAGAACATGCAGTTTGTCTTCCTGTGCCCAACATATTTCATTTAACATAATGACCTCCAGTTCCATCTATGTGGTTGCAAATGACAGGATCTCATTTTTTTTTAATGGCTGAATCGTACTCCATTGTGTATATGTACCACATTTTCTTGATCCATTCATTCACTGATGGATACTTAGGTTGATTCCAAATGTTGGCTATTGGGAATAGTGCCGCAGTAAACATGGGAGGGCAGATATCTTTTAGATATGCTGATTTCCTTTCTTTTGGGTATGCACCTAGCAGTGAAATTGCTGGCCCATATAGTAGTTCTATTATTAGTTTTTTGAGGTACTTGTACTAATTTATATTACCATCAGCAGTCTACAAGGGTTCCCTTTTCTCTACATCCTCGCCAGCATTGGTTATTTACTGTGTTTTGAATAAAAGCCATTTTAACTGGGTTGAGATGATACCCCATTGTAGTTTTGATTTGCATTTCTCTGGTGATCAATGATGTTGAGTGCCTTTTCATATACCTGTTTTCCATTTGTATGTCTTTTGAGAAATGTGTATTCAGATATTTGGTCCATTTTTAAATTGGATTATTGAATTTTTTCCTGTTGGGTTATTTGAGCTCCTCATATATTCTGGTTATTAATTCCTTGTCAGATGAATAGTTTGCAAATATTTTTCTCCTATACTTCGGGTTGTCTCTTCACTTTGTTGATTATTTCATTTGCTACTGTAGAAGCTTTTTAACTTGATGTGATCCTATTTGTTCATTTTTGCTTTGGTTGCTTATGCTTGTGGGGTATTACTCAAGAAATCTTTGTCCAGACCAATCCTGGAGAGTTTCCCCAATGTTTTCTTGTAGTAGTTTCATAGTTTGAGGTCTTAGATTTAAGTATTTAATGGATTTTGATTTGATTTTTGTATGTGGATAGAGATAGGGATCTAGTTTCATTCTTCTGCATATGAATATCCAATTTTCCTAGCACTATTTATTGGAGAGACTCTTTCCCCAATGTATATTCTTGGCACCGTTGTCAAAAATGAGTTCATTGTAAAGGTATGGATTTCCTGCTAGGATCTCTATTTTGTTCCATTGATATATGTGTCTGTTTTTATACCAGTACCATGCTATTTTGGTTATCATAACTCTGTAGTATAATTTGAAGTCAGGTAATGTGATTTCTCCAGTGATGTTCTTTTTGCTCAGGTTGGCTTTGGCTATTCTGGGTCTTCTGGGGTTCCATATAAATTTTAAGATAGTTTTCCTATTTCTGTGAAGAATATCATTGGTATTTTGATAGGAATTGCATTTACTCTGTAGATTTTTGGGGTAGGGATAATATGGATATTTTAACAATATTGATTCTTCCAATCCATAAACATGGAATATCTTTCTATATATTTGTGTGTCCTTTTCAATCTCTTGCATTAATGTTTTATAGTTTTCATTGCAGAGATCTTTCACCTATTTGGTTAAATTTATGCCTAGGTATTTTATTTTATTTGTAGCTGTCATAAATGGGATTACTTTCTTGATTTCTTTTTCATATTGTTCACTGTTGGCACAGAGAAGTGTTACTGATTTTTGTATGTTGACTTTGTATACTGCAACTTTACTGAATTTGTGAATAAATTCTAATAGTTTTTGGTGGAGTCTTTGGGTTTTTCCAAATACAAGGTTGTATCATCTGTAAGTAAGGATAATTTGACTTCTTCCTTTCTGGTTTGGATGCACTTTATTTCTTTCTCTTGTCTGATTACTCTAGCTAGGATTTCTAGTATTATGTTGAATAACAGTGGTGAAAGTGGGCATCCTTGTCATGTTCCAGATACTAGAGAAAAAGTTTTCAGTTTTCCCCCATCCAGTATGATACTAGCTGTGGATCTGTCATATGTAACTTTTATTTTGTTGAGGTATATTTCTTCTATACACAGTTTTTTGAGGGTTTTCCACCATTAATTTTTTTAAGTCATTACTCCCCAGACTGTGTTCTGCAGTCTTTTTCTAAGCAGACTGGTAAGTGGCACATGGAAAAAGTTTCTGGCCCCTTTATATGGTAATCATCATATTAACGGCTGTGTGTGATTGAACAGTTAAGAAGAAACAAACATTAACTTTATTTAAATCCTGAATTTGCCAATATTTCTTACATCATGTGTGTGGTATGTGGGCATTTCAATTATGATCTGACAGAACAGCATTAAGCAGATACCAGTTTGTGAAATGCTGCTACAGTTTCATGATTTTCCTCTTTACTTTGTTTTGGTTGCCAAGAGGCTCAGAGAGAAATTGGCAAAATTTTAGACTTAAATTCCCCAGCCTGTGACCTGGACAAGGTAGCCATAGACATCTTGGTAAAATTTCAAATTCCACACCATCCCACCTGCTTTGTGAATTGTGGCAGAGCTGTTTCTGCTGGGTCCCTGTCCCCACGAGAATGCAGGGCATCATGATTCCTCTTTCTCAACAATCACGATAGCAGGCTTTGCTTAGTTTTTCTCATTTATCTTAACTATGTATCTCTTTCTATTCTGGGCATTTTACTGACTTATGTTTTACTTTCAGTTCAGTTCTTCCAATGACCTGCAGTGAATACAGGTCCATAGACTTATCAACCAATCTCATATTTACTTGTTTCTAAAGCTTTAATATCTAGTCTCTTCCAATGAGCCCTACTCAGTGGATTTTCAATATATACTTTATAATATCATCTTTTTATGACTTTTATTTCTATCATCTTATTTTCCTTCCTTCATCTTTTTTCTTCAAATTTCTGACTTATTTATTATCTCATTTTCTTATACATATCTCTGAAATCTGGCTCAAGTCCTTCATGTAATGAGATGATGGTATAAATAACTAATTATTTTTCATAATTAATTAAAAATAAATAGGTTGTTTCCCTTCTAATACCTGAAGGGATATAGTCAGATGGAAGTGGGGATGATGCCATGGCAGGGATATTAGTGGGAGTGTTGCCAGATCATTTTGGAGAATGGGAGGTGTTAGGTAGAGCTGGGTAAGCATGAGGCTCTTTGAGGCCCTGAGCAGCATGGAATAAAACAGTGTTTCCTGGTCTGACTGACCCTAGCAGAAATCTCAGCTTTGTGCCTGACCAGTTGTCCCGTCTGGGTCACAGCCATGCAAGAGAAACCTTGGACATGCTGGTGTTGTCGTCTCAGGATAAGGTGTCAGCTCCCTCCCAAGTGTGTGATTTGGAATCCTGATGTGCAGCAGCACGTAGGACAAAGCGCCTGCCACCACAGACTGTGCCCCTCACTGCTCTCGGCTGCACTCACAGCACTGACTCCAGCTACTCTGCAATATTTTGGGAGAAATTACTTGTGTGCTTACTTCATTGGTCAAAATTCCTTCCAATTGAAATTGAGTGACCTACAATCATCTTTTTTTGCTTCCTGGATATTCTGGAGTGGCACAATAGAGTGCATTGAGAACAAATGTTTAATTATTGAACAGGGCCCTGCCTCTGAACTGTTTGACTAAAAGAAATACCACAGACATATTTCTGACCCTGATGCCTCCAACTTTGTTTTATGCCTTGATTTGTCAACATCCATTTGTCTTTTTCAAAACCGAAGTAGAGAATTTCATAAAAATTTTATTTGTCTTGCATTGGAATGAACACACCTCATTTATTTGGTTGAAGTTGTCTCCTTTTCCCAGTTTTATTCCTCCTAACATCACTACCAATTGAATACTTCAGAAACATCTCTTTTACATAGGTTACAGCATAAAACCCTTTAATGACTCCTGTTACCTATAGGTTAAAATCTAAACACATTATTATTTTGGATTTCCAAGTCTCCAAAGTTTGGGTCCAGTTTTTATTTTTAGCCTTATTTTTGATTAGTACTCCTTTCACAAAACATTTGCTCCAATCACACTAATGTTTTCATTTGTTGCTTTAAGTTTTTGCCTTGAATGTGTTCCAATACAGGTCCTTAATGTACATAAATAATATAAATACTAGTAGAAGTAGTGAAGATAATGGTGACCACATTGAAATGTTTGAATCACGTACTTTTTTTTTTCCTGTGTTTCAACTAGTTGTCATTTGTCTTCTTTCTACACATTTCTTCACCTATCTTAACATCACGTCAGGGTCCTCTCAGTCCCCTTTTCTCTGTTATGCCTTCTGGACCTCTGTGGCTAGAAATAAACCCTCTTTCCTGAGTTACTTTGATTCTGACTGTCCAATCATTGGTGACCACATTCTGGGCAACTTCTGCAACTAGGTACCGTTTTTTGTGTGTTTAGAAAGTTCTCAGCTTTTAGGAGTGACTTATGTACATTCTTTAATGTGAATGGCACCTATTTCAAACCTTTTGTGGGATGTGTTGATTATATACAGAAAATTAAATTCTGGTATAGCTAATACATACCTGCACACGCATGCATAAATAGGAGCAATAAACCAGAGGAACAAAAACACTTCCATGCAAATGGCAGGTGGTGACTCCTCCCCTTCTGTCACTGAAGCCACTTGGAAGATTTCTGTGCTCTCTCTCCTCCCTCTTCCTCCTCTTATTTGCAGGTCTCCATTTTGATGAGTTTTTCTGATCTGACAAAGTAAAATGGGGACTGTGAACTGAGTTGCATTAATATAGTTCTAATTGAAAGTAGTCCAAGTTTGCTATTTAATTTATTGTGTAATATTTAGTTACAAAATTTTGTGTTGATGAATGTGCTTTTTTTAAAAAAAATTGTGAGATGTAAACAAAAGTTTAGAGGAGATCCATACTTAATCTTCTGCTTTTTTCCAGATGTTTTGGCTCAGTCCTGCAAGCATTATACTAATGACAAGAGTAAAATCAATGGAGATAACATAGGGATGCAAACATGAGCGCTTTAATCTATTAGACAACTTGAAAATTCACATTCAGATTGCAATGAAATGAAGAGAAATTTGCTGTCAACTAATTTAATTGTTTGGCTTATTATTTTCTCAGAAAGGATGCTATGTGATTCTTTCTGAGGTGGGCTGGGTATTTCTTGGAATGCTATGGAGGGAGACCTGGCACAGGGTGGAATGCAGACCTCCTGGGGACTGGCTGCATCAGCAAGATGCCCTCTCCCTTAGGCTGCAGCTACACCTGTGAATCATACATTTGGGAGGAATGTAGATTTTACTTGGGGATTTAACCTACTTGCAGTTTGTGGAAAATATCCAAATGGAATTATGAAAGCATTACCTAATTATAACAACACGTTTATTTTCCTTGACCGTCTTTGGTTTTGACTTGTTTGAATTTGTTTATTTAAAGAAGGCTGGTAGGTGGCAATTTTTTGTCTGCCATGTGTGGTGTGTATGCATGTGATACTGACCTAGCTAAAAATATTTGCATATGCCCACAGGCCATTGATAAAATAAGAATCAGCATAGAAATGAATCAATGTATGCTTTGCGAGGATCCCGTTTTTTTATATATACAGATAGGATGGTTGAATCAGGATGCATGATACTCCGGTGCATTTCTGAATTTTACTGCACCACCTGTAGCCTGTCTTTGTGCACGTGAAAACCCTTCAGAAGCAATGATCTCTGTATGTGATGTCCTGCACCCTGCTGAATTCATGCTGTGATGTTGTACGTTGTCTCAGGGGAGGAGAAAAACAAGAGGGTTTAGACAGAGGCTCAATTTAGCTCTGGAATATGGGGGAAAAAAGCCTACAAAAATTTGCATACAATCTCCCTTATTTTGTAATTGTGCACTCATTCAGTGCATTTTATGGAGATTACCTTAATGGGAGTGAGTGTTTGGGGTCATTGGGACTCCTGGAGCTTTTTCTTAGTTGGAGGACAACTTTTTATTACGGTTTTAATTTTTAAATTTTATTTTATTATTTTTTAAATAAAATTTTAATTTTAATTTATTATTTTATTAATCTATTAATTTTCTAATTTATTAAGGTTTTATTTTTTTCTTCTTTTTAGACTTCAATATTAGCCTGAAAGCAATTGAGAAGCCAATTCCAGAATTCTTGAGCTAACTGCCATGAATATTATGCAAAATCAATGGATAATCTCCACACTTTTTATATGTCATAACAACCGTTTTATTAACCATTGTGGAAGATTTCAATTTTCTTTGAATCTCTGAATAGGCCTATTTGAACGTTTTTTGAGGAGAAGAAAACAGATATGTAGTGTGAAATTTGGTGTAGGAAATGCTGATAATAATTAAAGAGGAGGCCGGGCATGGTGGCTCACACCTGTAATCCCAGCACTTTGGGAGGCTGAGGCAGGTGAATCGCTTGAGGTCAGGAGTTGGAGATCAGCCTGGCCAACATGGCGAAACCCCATCTCTACTAAAGATAAAAAATTAGCCAGGTGTGGTGGGGTGCATCTGTAATCCCAGATACTTGGGAGACCGAGGCAGAAGAATCACTTGAACCCAGGAGGTGGAGGTTGCAGTGAGCTGAGATTGCACCACTGCACTCCAGCCTGGGTGACACAGTGAGACTGCCTCTCGAAAAAAAAAAAAAAAAGAAAAAGAAAAAGAAAAAAATAATTAAAGAGGAAATTAGGAATAAGAAAACAAGAAGGAAGTAATGATACGTGCAGAGTAGAATATACACATGCACACAAACACACACACACTGGGATTTTAAAAGCAGTCTTGAGAGAAGGAGGATGAACTTGACATGGCTGTGAGAGTCCCATGGGAGAGAGCCAGAGTGTTTTGCTATGCACTGGCATGAGGAGAGAAATGGAGAGATTATATGTACACTGTATACAATCAATAGGTAGGAGTTGGGAGCTCAGCCATGTGGACACACTGAATTTTCTTCCTTAGATAGGCTGTGCTAAGTGTGTTCATTTGGGTTTCTAAAGTTTTCTCTATCTTAAGTATCATGTAAACTTGGCATAATAAGGCATGATTAAACAGGGAGGCTAGAGAAAATATGCATTCCATCTTTCAAGAAGAATCCACAAACTGAACCTTGCTTCTCACACTGCTCTAGTCCTCATCCAGGCACTTGTTTCCCCTAGAACAAGTAATTGCTCTTAGGGAGAATCTTAAAAGATGGGCTCATGTTTCCTATGGAGGGACTTGTATTTGGGACTTCCGCTTTCCTCTGCCCCTCATCCTGGACATTACTCCAGGAGAAGGAGGCATGTCCCTTCCCTGACTGGTGAGAAGGAGGAACTGGCCATGCTTGGCTCAGTCCTAATGGCTTCCTTTTTCTCTCTCCCCCAGGTTCATCTGCCTGTCCATGGCATGCATTCTCATCTGCTCTTTGGAGCCCAAATCTTACCTTTACTAATGGCTAGCTGTGTAATCTTGGAGAAATTTCTCAAATTTTTGGTGTCTTTTTTGTTTTCTAGCTCGAAAATAGATGTGATAATAGATTGCCTCCTTGGATATTGTATGGAAGAGTCTTTAATTAAAGATAAGGAAGACTTTTGCAGAGGTAAACAGATGAAGCACAGCATACACTATCTCTCACCTCCAGAGACAGAGCCAACACATCCATGAATATGTGTCTTGTTGAAGGGGTGGTATTAAAGGATAGGGGTGTTGCACATACTAAAAGCTGTCTGTACCTGATGGATACTTGATAAACCTTTGTTAGGTGAAGTCCTAATTGAAAGAAGGAAGGTATATTTTGAAATGGCTCCAGATGATTCTGCTAAATACCCCTTTTCCTCTCCTGCTACAACACACACGCATGCTTGCACACGTATACACACACACACCACATTTGTGCATATAAGCACATCGCCTATTGACAATCATTGTGAAACCTCCCTCTTTACAGCTGTCTTTTATTAAACTATTTATGACACATATGCTTTCTAAAGACAGCAGGCTGGTAATTTCTTTTTCCTCTTGACAAGCACTGTTAAGAATATACTTATTTTCTACTATTTTAAAAAGTAATATTTACAAACCACTAGCATTTTCTGAATTATATTTGACAGCGTACACTACTTGCTTCATGATCCAAATATAGTATATTGAATAGATGACGATGTCCTTCACAGTCACTATTGAGTCATAAGGCGCTGAAGGGAAGTCTGGCTCATGGGAAGTGCTCTCTCTTACGGGGAGAGCAAAGGCTGGGACACGACCTTTGATTTCTTCCTTCTGTTATAATAGTAGATTTTTTAAAAATTCAAACTCAAAATCTAAGTTGTCTTTCATGTTACATTCACTAATAGTGCATATTATAGCTAGATATATGTAAATATAGGTCTTTAGAATATCCTCGTCTAAAATAATTATTGCAGACAACACATCTATCATTTAGGTTCATGTTGTAGAAACCTGGATTACGGCTTAAAAAGGTTTCTAGTCACTCATTACTAATTTTCTTTACTTATACTTGCCTTTAATTCAATTTTGAAAATACGTATAATATGAGAGATTTCCTTCTTGGATGTTATATGGAATGGTGAAATAATACCCTGTAGTAGTTGAGAAACATGGAGAATTTAAAAGGGTTAAGCTCAAAACAATACAGGCAAGGAGTACAAAGACTTTGTTAAAAAAACAGGTTATATGTGGCTTATCATTAGATCATATAGTTTGATATGTGTAAAAAGTAATGCTCAGATATGTGGTAAAGTAGGGAAGATAAATAAAATTTACTCAATCTGTTTCTCTTAGATGGAAAGCTAGTGCCATATATTCTTTTTTTAATCTTCAGGGATAAACATAAAACATGGCCCCATAATTACCTCCATTTCTAGTATGTTCTCTGTGCTGCAGGTATGATAGTAGGTGACTGGCAAGCATTGGCTAATTTGATTCACAATTTAGTGTGGCAATAATATGTTGGCTCTGATTTTTTAAATAGAAGAAAAAATAAGCATTCAGTATGTAAATTGGAAAGCATTATCTCTTTAACAGAAGGTTAACTTTATTAAACATTTTGCTGCACTAGGTCTATGACATTTGAGAAGGAAATTTTACAAAGATTTTGGAAATCCCCAAATCTACATATGTATCTTTCCATAAAGTACATGTACAATGATTTTGAGAACAGCAAAACTCATCTGGAAGGCACATGCTGGAAGATGGGCTTTGTTCACCCTGAGTGCCCACTCATGTTCACCTACTAACATATAAACTCACAGGGGTAGGACTCCTGGTAGGACATGTGACAGATCAGAAATGTGAGAAGACAAGGGGGCTCGTGGACAGCTGAAGGGACAGATATTCAATTGTAGAAGGCCCGTGTATAATCTCTTTCCACACTTGTTTGTGCGTGTTTGAATAATGTTGTATATACAGATTTGCACCTGCAGTTCCCCTTCTATGCATTTCCCATGTCGTTAGAAGAATTAAAATTCCTCTGTCATAGAGAAAAATACAAATTATTTGTAATGTTGACTAGATATTTTATGTTAAGAATTATTAATGTTTGTGTGTAATAATGTCATATTCTGAAAGTTTTTATCTTGGAAGCACACATACTGAGGAATTTATAGATGTAATAATATGTCAGGATTTTGCTTCAAAATATGTACTCGAGAGGGGCAAAGTAAGTAGGAGTATGAATGAAGTAAGTTTGGTACTGTGCTGATAATTGTTGAATCTGGGTGATGGAAATGATGGAATTTATTATACTGTTCTCTGTATTTTGCATATATTTAAACGTTTTCATGATTAAAAGTTAAAGTTTTTCTATAAATTTAATTTCTAATGGCTTTATGATGGTCACAATAAGGATATATTCATGTAATCATTTATATTATACAATTTGGGGACATTTTATGTATTTTTTATTTTTCAAGATCATGTAAGGTATGGTAATCCACATTTCTCTGTGCATGAAATTTTACCAACATTTAAAATTAGTCTGGGGGAGAATTTTGGGGGTATATTACTGCACCAGGCCAGCCTGGGATACAGGCATCACGCCTGTAATCCCAGCACTTTTGGAGGCCAAGGTGGGCAGATTACTTGAGGCCAGGAGTTCGAGACCAGCCCTGGCTAACACGGGAAAACCCTGTCTCTACTAAAAAATACAAAAATCAGCTGGATGTGGTGGCACATGCCTGTAGTCCCAGCTACTTGGGAGGCTGAGGCGTGAGAATGGCTTGAACCCAGGATGTGGAGGTTGCAGTGAGCTGAGATTGTGCCACTGCACCCCAGCCTGGGCGACAGAGTGAGAGTCAGTTTCAAAAAATAAAAAAATTTCCTGCAGCAATGAATGTAATCATTTAAAAGTGATATGCACTTTTCCAGTTGTTTCCCAAGTTGACGTAATTGTTTCCCAAATAGACTGGATACTTTTTTCTAATAATTATGAGAATGCCCGAACCACCTCATGCTATTAGTATTGCCCATCATCATTTAAAAATATATCTTAAATTGATAGATCATTTCGTTATGGATATTAGAAGAATGGATACTTCTTGAAATATGAGAAATTTATGCTGGTTGTAGAAAATTTGGAAAGTGCAGAAACATCCCAACAGTAAAAGAAAACCACTTGGTGAAGTGCGAATTTTTCTTTTTCTTTTTTTTTTAATTTATTTGTTTTTGAGACAGAGTCTCGCTCTGTCGCCCAGGCTGGAGTGCAGTGGCGAGATCTTGGCTCACTGCAAGCTCCTCGCGGGTTCACGCCATTCTCCTGCCTCAGCCTCCTGAGTAGCTGGGACTACAGGCGCCCGCCACCACGCCCAGCTAATTTTTTGTATTGTTTTTAGTAGAGACGGGATTTCACTGTGTTAGCCAGGATGGTCTCGATCTCCTGACCTCATGATCTGCCCGCCTTGGCCTCCCAAAGTACTGGGATTACAGGTGTGAGCCACTGCACCCGGCCTGAAGTGCAAATTTTTCATAACAATCTTTTTTCAAAATATTTTGAAATATTCTCTGCTGTTCAGTTATAATGATAGCTGGAGGCATTATACAACTTTATTTTGTAACATATTTTTTTCCAGTACAGATGTGAAAAGCTTCACATCTATTATTTAGTACTGCAATGTCAAATAAAGTTAGAGAGAAGTTTCAGAAAAAAAGATAAATTCGTAAAAGGCCATAGTCTCTGTGAGGAAAAGTGACATAGGACATTTCTCCATTGGCAGCAGTTAGGAAATGTAGGAAGAGCGTCAGAGTTTCTGAGTCAGCTTTCAGATGCATGTCCTCACTTTCTCTTCATTATACCCAAATGAAGATCTTGTTTGAACTTTTTTTAAATTATACTTTAAGTTTTAGGGTACATGTGCACAACGTGCAGGTTTGTTACATATGTATTCATGTGCCATGTGGGTGTGCTGCACCCATTAACTCATCATTTAACATTAGGTATATCTCCTAATGCTATCCCTCCCCCCTCCCCCCACCCCACAACATTGCGGCACTATTCACAATAGCAAAGACTTGGAACCAACCCAAATGTCCAACAATGATAGACTGGATTAAGAAAATGTGGCACATATACACCATGGAATACTATGCAGCCATAAAAAATGATGAGTTCATGTCCTTTTTAGGGACATGGATGAAGCTGGAAACCATCATTCTCAGCAAACTATCGCAAGGACACAAAACCAAACACGGCATGTTCTCACTCTTAGGTGGGAATTGAACAATGAGAACACATGGACACAGGAAGGGGAACATCACACACCGGGATCTTGTTTGAAATTTACAGATAGAGAAGCGAAGGCCTTGGAGATACAACGTTCTTCGGAAAGTGGTCAGAGCCTCCTAACATTGCTTCGGGGCTGCGCCCCTCCCCGCTCCCTCCTGTTTTGGCTTCTTGCCAGCCTGGATGTTCCTGGTCCCTGCAATGCTTGCACTTTCCTGAGTCAATACTGTGGAATCTGTTGACCCTTCTTCTTGGAAACTGTTTTCTTCCATTTTTTTTTTTAAGAAAACTGTAAAGTTAATGCATACTCTTGGGAAAAAAGAATTCTAACAGAATTAAAGATTATAATTGAAACATACTTTATACACAGTTTTATATACCATTTTTTCTTAATACTATGAACAAGTTTTCTGTGTCCTTAGAATGGTTGTAAATACCATAGTGGTTACAAGGGGCGTAGCCACATTCTAAGAGTGCATCGCCATTGACTTAATGCTCCACTGTATCCTCTAATTAGGCCACAGCCTTGGCTGACCCATGCTCCTGCCTAAACGTGACCAGTCTGCACCTCAGAAGGCCAGGCTCTCCCCTTGGCTGCCACCTACAGCCAATCTAACCAGCTGTGCACCCGAGTCTCTGTTTTTTTTTTTTTTTTTTTTTTTTTTTTTAATGTTTTCCCCATTACTTCAAGGTTTGGATAAAATAATGTACTATGGTTTGCAGCCTGGCTTCCCAAATAATGAGGCTGGAAGTCACAATCTGAAACTGAGTGAATTAACCCCCTGTTCAGGGAATTGAGTAATAAGGAAAAAAGACCTTGAAAGAGCTAGGAAGATTCATTTCCTCTTCTCCCTTTTTCTGATGAACAAACTGTTTCAGGAAAGAGATCTTGCTTACCTCTGCAGTCTCTCTGAGATGTCCCTCATGGCCACATGAGTGCACCCAGCAAAGGACCCAACTTGGGAAGCTGTGGCCAGGATGGTATATGTCACTTTGCATTGCTTCTCATCCTTCCCTCCGTAGCTGTTTTCCTCACCTTCTTGCCATGAGTTTGCACGTCCTTAAACAAAATAGGAGCCTTTTTAGTCATTGCCTCAGACCAGGCTTTTTAGGGAACCTGAGCTCAGGCAGAGACCTAGATGCAGAGGGAGGTAGAATGTTCCAGGAAGGAGATGCAGAATGTACAAAAGCTTTGTGGGGTGAGGGAGCATGATAGGGTAAAAGCAAAGGAAGGTTGAAATGAAAAAAAAAAAAAAGTAAATGGCAAATGTGAAATGTGATGGAGAAAGGAAGAGGAGGGGCATGTGATGTAAACTAGCTGGGGACAAAACCACAGAAGGTGGTATAGACCCCGGAAGCAGTCTGGTCTTGATTCTAAGAGTAACAGCAATCTACTGTAGGGCTTTAGGGAGGATGGCAGTGGGATGGAGATGGGGTAGCATATTAGTCCATTTTCACACTGCTGTAAAGAACTGCCTGAGACTGGGTCATTTATACAGAAAAGAGATTTAGGTGACTCACAGTTCCGCATGGCTGGTGAGGCCTCAGGAAACTTACAATCATGTCAGAAGGGGAAGGAGGGATGTCTTACGTGGTGGCAGGCGAGAGAGAGCCTATGAAGGAGGAACAGTCAAACACTTATAAACCATCAGATCTCATGAGAACTCACTCACTGTCATGAGAACAGCATGGGGGAAACTGTTTACATGATCCAGTCACCTCCTTCCCTTGAGATTTGGGGATTACAGGTCCCTTCCTCAACACATGGGGGTTACAATTCGAGATGGGATTTGGGTGGGGACACAGAGCCAAACCATGGGGGTTACAATTCGAGATGGGATTTGGGTAGTGACACTGGATTTGAATTTTGAAAGGGACACTCTGGTTATGCAGGGCAGAATAGATCGTCTGAAGGAGGTTTGCAGTGTGGATATTGCTTGATCAGTTAGCAAGTGATGGCATATTACTGGAGAAAGATGACATTAGCTTGGACTACTGTGGGAATAATGGAAATGGAGAAAAATGAGAGATATTTGGGAAGTAAAATGGATAAGATCGATAAAGGTTGGATATGTAACCTGGGGCAGTGGAGGAGTCTTAGATAATTCCTAGGTCTCTATATTGAGCTATTTATTGGATGCTGGTGGCATTCACAGAGGTCAAACATTTGTGGCTGAGGTCAAACATTTGTGATGTACCCGGTATAACTGCTCCCTGAAGTTCCCTGAAGCTGAGAGAGTGAACAGATGGTAAGGAGAGGCAAGCTGGCCTTGCCTTCCTGGATTTTATGTTTTCAAATGACTGAGAGTACTGTATGGATTGGACATGTGACTAAAAGAATTCCCTGCCCTTCCCCACCTTGCAACCCCCTTCCCCAGATCTGAAGTTGAATTATACACTAATGAGCACATGTCTGGCCCAAATTAGGTCTAGAATGCATGTGTCTAATGTGGGCCTTCTAATATTCAGTCTTCCCTGTATATTAGTGAGCTATTTCATTTTTCAAATAATTGGAGTCATGTTGTAGTTCTTCCAGGGAAATTCCAATCACCAGGGCTAGTGTCTCTGCCCTTGATCACACTGATTTATAGAAGTCATCTTCTTCATTTGTAAAGTATTTGTTGTGTTTATTATGAGTGAGACACTAAGTAGGGCACAATATGAATATGACATGGGTCTTGCTCACTAATTTTCAGCAAGATAAGAGATTATATTGTCCTTCATCACATTGATTTATGGAAGAGTCCATATGCAGGACTCAATCTCCTATCCTTTCTGCATTGCTGTCTTTGAGAGCTTGCAGTCATAGAACAGATTTTGAAAAATGAGTGGCAGTCAATTTTGACTGCCTCAGAAAATAATACCCATAGTGTGGCTAAGAGGGTAGAGCATGGTTGGGTGCAAAAATTTGAATATGCCTAACCACTTTCCTGTAACTTGTATATTCCATATTTCTGAACTGGGTTATTATACCAACTTGTAAGATGACATTTCTGAGAACAAGTTGAGTATAAGTCACTGATTATGTTTAAAACTGAAGTGTTATCTACTCTATAGTTATAAATTTTCTCAGACTCCTGCAAATTGTTTACTAATAGCTTGCTTTTCCATGTGATTCAGATTTTGTCTTTATAGATATGTGGGTTGGAAAGTGGGATGTGGCATATCCTAATCAGATACATATTATTAGGAGGTTATCTTAAAGCCTCATTCTCAATCACTTTTATATATTTTTGATGCTGATATAATCAATAGAATTTCATATTCTAGAGAGTAAATTTGCTAAACTAGATGAACCAAGACAGTACATTATTAATATATTACTTAGTATTTAGAATCTTAAACATCAGTAGGACATGGGAGGTTATTCCTGACTTGACAATTGTTTTTTAGCCTCTTCAATAGGTAGCTTTGGCTCTTGCTTTCAGTGCTTTCAGCAATGAAGGCTCATGTGGACAGACAGTGATATATTCTTTTTTGCATGTTAATTATCAATATTTATTATGATTTATGCTTCATTATTATTTGCAACTATTTTAATGCCACTCCTATACCCAGAATATCCACAGCATTTTTAAAATTGTTTTTCTTTATTTAGCTATTACCGTTAACATTAATTATATCAATTTTGAATAAAGGGATATGGAAATATTCTATATAATTTTTTTACAGCCTCAATATTCTTTTCTTCAACATTTTGTGGTATAGAAGAATTTCCTTTCACCAATGGATTTTTATCCTTTGAAAATATGAAGGACTGCTGTTTTAGCAAGTCAAAATGTTACCTGGGAATGATCAATGGTTATGATTTACCATCTTGTATTACTGGTGAAAAAAATGGAAAATTTGAAAGATGCATGTATTTTTTAAATTAGTTAATTACATTTGGATAGTCTTATAATAGTGAATCATTTTGCTGGAAATGATATAGTAGTATTCATTCCCTTTATCTTAGATTGCATTTAGGTCTTTGAAATATTGCTCCACATATGAATTGAATTTTTTGGGGGTGAAGTTTCTTCTAAAAGTTATCTGCCTCATTTATTTGCAAAGCATTTGTTGAATGTTTATTATAAGTGAGGCACTAGGTAGGGAAAAACATGGATAAGAAGATATGAGACCTGCCCATTGGTTTATCAGCAAGATAAGTTATTGCAGACTTCCTCTTCTAGCAAATTTGGTGGATATTTACAGTGAGTGAACTTGATCACAGTAAACTGCTTTTGCAAGCCTGGTGAGAAAACTGATCCACAAATTATGTAATGTAAGGGATAGCTAAAAGCCATGATATCAGTTTTAATAAGTAGTAGAAAAAGCATTAATTGTGTTAACAAGGTGGCATTAGTTGTATTACAATCCATATGGACCTTGGTTTGCATAGGCCCCGTGTAAATAGCTGGAATTAGAATTCTTAAATTTCTGGAATTAGAACTCTTACTGGTCTGTAAATTGGGTCAACTGGAACTCCTTCAAAATCTACTGGAAATGTTGGGGTATGAATTTCAGATGAAAGAAAGGGAAGAATTTTTTTTAATTGATTGTCTATGCAGCTGGTAGTTATGTGTTTTATATACATTTACTATTTATATTGTCAGTTGGGTAATATTTTCTCCATTTCAGATGAAGAAGCTGAGGTTTAGGGTGCCCAAGTACTCTTGTTGTAACTTGGGTGAACTTGAAAGTGACCCATGTCGGCTGGGAGGGGTGGCGGTTCTGAGAGTCAGGGAGGTGCACTGGACAGAGAATCCTCTGTGTCCAAGATTGTGTTCTACATTTTATGAGGATTTAATAAACACAAATAAAATACAATGCAGGCTAAAACTGAACTTGATACAGTTCCTTCTCAGCCTCATCTTCCACTATATTTCATATCCTCATTGAATATCATCTACTTGTCTTCTATCCTAGAAACAAGCATCATGATCATCATATTCAGCTTCTATTTTATTTATTCAATACTCAACAGGGGACAGACATGTTATATATTGTGTCATTTAGTATTTACAACTACTGAGCATTCTCATTTATTCCTATTTCATATTGGATGAAACTCAGGTTTAGGAAAGAAAAATCACTTGTTCAAAACCTCAGTTAGTGAGCAGAAAGATCACGACTCAGACTCAGGTGTACCTCACCCAAAGCCCAGGTTTTGTATAGTGCAGTAATTGCTTCCTATCTGGTCAAAAATTTATGTCGCTTGAGCTTCTGAATATCTTTCTGGGCTTTCTCCCCCTATTATTTTTTACTTTTTATTTTTATTTTTTGGTGGAGTATCACTCTGTTGCCGAGGCTGAAGTGCAATAGCACGATCTCAGCTCACTCCAACCTCCGTCTCCCGGGTTCAAGCGATTCTCCTGCCTCAGCCTCATGAGTAGGTGGGACTACAGGCACGTGCCACCATGCCCGGCTGGTTTCTGTATTTTTAGTAGAGTCGGGGTTTCACTATGTTGGCCAGGATGGTCTTGACCTTTTGACCTCAGGTGATCTGCCTGCCTCGGCCTCCCAACGTGATGGGATTACAGGCGTGAGCCACCACACCTGGCCTTCCCCCTATTTTTATTGCAGCTGCCTTGGCCTGCATTATCTGTCCCTTGGTGGAGTTATCTTTCTAACTCTGGTTCTTCCTCCATGTCTGTAGCTCACCTTTTGCCATTTCCCACTCAAAACTCTCAGATGGCATCATATTAGGGTGCATTCTGAGCTAATGATTCTTTAGCTGGCAAGGAAAATGCATGTCTGAATAAAGGTATAGAGTGGTTTGAGAAATTTTACTCAATTGGATTAATTTATATTTTATACAAGTAAAATCTTACACAATTTCATTATACAAATTAAATAAAACACTAAATGCTAAATAAAAACAAAAGAAGTAATGCTTGGCAACATTTTCATGGCAAGTGGAAATATGCTCAGTGTAGAATGAGAAAATATTTGATGTAAACCCTACTATTACAAAGACTGTGTCATGTTTGTTAATTATGGATAAAGATCTTATGCATCTACAAGTTGACTGATTTAAGGCAGGCAGTTACTGTGGGCCAGTTGGCTGCCCACCCAATGTTTATGCTACAATTTTTTTTTTTTTTGAGGTGGAGTCTTGCTCTGTTGCCCAGGCTGGAGTGCAGTGGCACGATCTCGGCTCACTGCAAGCTCCGCCTCCCGGGTTCACCATTCTCCTGCCTCAGCCTCCCAAGTAGCTGGGATTACAGGCGCCCACCACCATGCCCGGCTAATTTTTTTTTTTTTTTTGTATTTTTAGTGGAGGCGGGGTTTCACCATGTTAGCCGGGATGGTCTTGATCTCCCGACCTCATGATCCACCTGCCTCGGCCTCCCAAAGTGCTGGGATTATAGTCATGAGCTGCTGCACCCGGCCTATGCTACAATTCTTTCTTGCTAACAAAATTCCAGTGTTGTTCATGTGGCAAAGTGCTTGAATTTGGTAGATAAATCATGGTGAGTCTCAGAGAATGCTAGTAATTCTAGTTCCCTTTGACAGTGATTGTCCTAGGGGGCCATATGACCCAGTTCTGGGCAGTGATCTATGAAGTCCTCTGGGCTTCTCTAGAAAAATATTTCTTCTTGAGAGAAATATTGTAATTCTGTAATGAGAAAATCTATTCTTTTGACTGCTCCTTTGCTTCCTGTGTTGGGAATGATGGCTGGAGGTATGGCAGCTATCTTGTGACAGTGAGGATTCAAGCCTGAGGACAAAGCCAACACCCTAAAACAGAAGGTTGAAGGAGCCTAGGTTTGATGGCTTTGAACCATTGAATCAACTCTGTGACTGCCAATCAAATGGCTTCTTTTTAGCAAATTATAAATATTCCTATGCACATAACCACCATTAATCCAGTTTTTAAAAAATTATTTCTATTGAAATTTACTATTTCTATTCTAACTGGGTACATGTAAAGCATCTCTGAACCCTGAGAAGCGTATTGTATTTTATTCCATCTTCCCCAGGAGTTAGTTTTCATCCTTGGCTTTGCTAGCTAAATACCAGAAGATTGTCAACATAAAATAATTTATATTTAATTTTGGGCATTACCAATTGCTGGTTATTAATAGACTGTGGTTTTAGGTATATACGAAAAGTAAATACAAAGTTTCTTTTCCATGGATCAGAAAAGAGTGCATGTTTGGAAGACTTCTACCTATCACTGGCAACAGCTAGCATGATTTCTCTTCTGTAAGAGTGACGGGTCATTATTCCTATTTTCCTCTTGTTCTTTTAGGTGGCTGATAATGGAAATATACAGTTCAAAAACTTTCAAAGCTTATATCCAGTATTGATTCACATGTATTGAAAAGAAAAGGATTGTGGTTTTGGGAATATTTTAGTCTAAAAATTCTACACAATAATATTGCATCACCCTCTTGACTACTTGAACACTATTGAAGTCATACTTGTGCAAACCCCATTTAAAGGTATAATTTGAGAACTTACACTTCCAATTACAAATAATTTTTAAATGCCACATTTCTGAGGAAACCTCATAAAAATATTTATTATAATGGCTTCCAAATTTTACCTGCAGTGAAAATTGAGAAGAAATTCCAGAATATGAATTTATCTGGATATATAGTTGTGTTAGTCAGGGAGTTTTAGACTGCAGTGAGCCGCGATCACACTACTGCACTTCAGCCTGGGCAACAGAGACCCTGTCTCAAAGAAAAAAAAATCCTAGATATTTTTGTAAGGTATGTTTTAGATGAAGCTAACAGTTAACCAGTAGACTTTGAGTAAAGCAGATTACTCTTTATAAGTAGATAGGCCTCATATAATCAGTTAAAGGCCTGAATAGAACAAAGACTAACCTCCCTCAAAGAAAAGAGGGAATTCTGACAGCAGATGGCCTTCAGGCTCGAACTGTGCTATCAACTCTTCCTGGGCTTCCAGCTGCCAGCCTACTCTGCATATTTCAGACTTGCCAGCCTCCAAAATTGCAAGCCAATTTCTTGAAAAAGATCAAAATTTATATATAGACATACACATGCACACCGACAAACACAGACACACATGCACACATAGACACACATACACACACACACACACACAAACACACACACACACACACACACACACACACACACGCTATTGGTTCTATTTCTAGTGGTTAAATGTCTCAAACTCCTGGGTTCAGGCAATCCTCCTGCCTCAGCCTCTTGAGTAGCTGGGATCACAGGCATGGACCACTATGCCCAGCTAATTTTAAATTTTTTTTTTTGTAGAGATTGGGTCTTGCCATGTTGCATAGGCCGGTCTTGAATCCTGTACTCAAGCAATCCTCCCACCTCAGCCTCCCAAAGTGCAGGGATTCCAGGTGTGAGCTGCCATGCTTGGCCTTGGATAATTTTTGACCAACTGTTTGGGTACCAAGGCTGAGCCAAGTTGACACATAAAATCAATCATCACAATGTCCACCACTGAATTAATAATTTAGCATATCAAAATGTAGGATATGCCAGGAATGACATTATTACTCTTATGTTACTTATTGTGATGAATTTTATAGCAAAGCAGTTTTTTCCCAACTACTAGTGTATGTATAGCATATGTGGTTAAAAAAATCTGTAGAAAAATGTCTGATTTTTTCTCAAGTCTTGAAGATTACAATAAAGCTGATGATAGCTTTGCAGCTGAATAAAATTCTTTGATGTAATGAATTAATTTAGAAAAAAGCTGATTGGAGCATGAGCTGGTAAAATGCCAGCTATGCTAGCTTTGTAATAGGGATTTCTGGTGGAAAGTCGAAGGAAACAAGTTCTTTCAGGAATGTATTAGATCATTTGTTACCAAATTTTAGCTTTGAAAACCCTGTTTAGTGATCCAGGGTGAGAGTCCATTGTGAGTAATGCAGTTAATTAAAAACTGTTGATTAGTAGATTGTTCAAATTGCAATGTGAGGATCCTGAATGACAAATAGAATTTGCTTATTTTCCACAATGATGCCATTTGAATGTCTATCAGAATTTTAAAACTTCAGATTATGAATATCGTCCCATATCGTCCCACTGGACCTGAACATTTTTAAAGTGAAGCTCTTTTTGCACTGTGTTTGGGAATTTCTTCTGAAGATGCTTTCCATATTCTAGGCAGGGAAAAATATGAAACCAATAACTTACTCATTTTAGAATGGAGATGATGAATATATTTTGTCCCAAAGTATTATAAATCAAAAGGCAAGTCCTTGAGAAGAATATTCTGATTTATGTAGCTATTCCCTCTAAGTAAGATAATAGTTTAACCAATGGTACTTAGAATGTTTGTACTCAGCAAGAGTCTTAGAAATAAATCATCAATGTGATTGACACACTTTTCCTTGGCTGGTTTACTGGTTCAGTGAGAATTTCGTTCTGCTTTTTTAGACAGTCAAGAAGGGCAGGCACTATTTTAAAAAAATGTAGCCCTGCTACATACTACTGTGACTGATAGAACAATTTTCCCACGAGCAAGATTCACTGACGCACAGCTCCCTACCCCCATGTTTGCTTGTGGTTGATAAGACGACATCCGCACAGCTGAGCCCTGTTCTAGGAGGAGCTATTAACACGGATTCCTCCAGAAGAAATGTTCACCCAGGCTCGTGAGGACAGAGTGTGGATTAGACTGTGAGGGAACTAGGTGGCAGAACTATTCCAGGATCCATGCTTCAGGCTCATCCATTCTATGCACTACTTCTTTTTCTTTCGTAAAGATCTAATGTTTTTTATATATATATACACACATATACATATATGTATAAATTATACACACACACACACAGAGACATGCACACACACACACATATATATTTAATTTGGTGAACCACAAAGCTTGACTCAGGGGACCTGGAATAGACTGCTTATACATTATTGAAATTAGCTCATGGAAAACACGCTGCAACCTTGTCAAATAGAAATATGCTTGCCCCGATTTGCGACCTAAAGTTGCTCTGGTTTCAGAACACCAGGGAAAATTACCAAATGCTTCAAACCTCCAAAAATGATAATTTTCAAAAGAACTTAGCAAAATTGGCAAGTATATTCGAGCTTCAAATATGCTGAAACTGAAACTGATGGGAAAAAAGCCCTACAGCATCCATATATAAGCTCCAGCCCCAGCTAACAAAATCACAACACCAAATGTCTCATCCTTCAGTGAAGATCTCAAAGAGCACCCGGCTTGACAGTGGTTCAAAGGGACAAAAGCACAGCTCAGGTGGGGAAAGTGAAATCCAGGGAATGAATCCATGACCTCGCGTGCTCTGGCCGAGAAGGAAGCTTGTGCAAAACTCTCCTCAGAGATGCCCAGTTTTTGTCGCTATCCCAGAGAAGTTTAATTTTTAAAAATTAATGCTTCATTCATTTGATACAGTTAACTTCTAGAAAATCATTTTTAGGATTTGATTATGAGGTAAACGGTGTGCTCTGGTGGGCTTTGGGTATTGTCTTGTTATTTTAATTTGTATGTAATTGGGAAGTTACTCTGTGTTCATTGTCCCTATGGAAGTAAAGCAGTAGGAATGGTTCAATATTGCATGTCAGCTCTCTGTTCTCTCTTTCTTTTATGATGCATAGAATAGAAAATGTGTAGCCAGCAAAAGCAGATAATATGATTGTGTGTGTGTGTGTGTGATTCTAAAGCTACTATTCCTTTGTTTCATTTTTAGTTTGCAATATTCACATTATTTGTGCAGTTTCAATTAACATTAAAAGAAGGCAGGAGATATTTCTGTTTATCTAAGGGGTCATGGGTTAAAAGTGATTCTAAAGTCTCATCTGACAGGCAAGCCTCTTTCAAATACAGTAACTCTTCTTCACCAGTTCATTTCCCCTGCATACACATTCTCCTTGTGAGCCACACCAAAATGTGAATACACCATGTTTTGTCCCATTTCTTTGTCTTTCAATACGTTATTGTGTTTCTTTGGATATGCTCCCACCCTCATATTTCTTATAAGAACATTCTTTTTTATCTTTAAGACTGAATTCAAATAGCACCTCCTCTAAGATGGCTTCCAAGGATGCATAAACATTTAATCTTTCCTTCATCTGTGCTAACATTACTGTGTATACACCACTATTAGAATACTTGGCTTATTGTAAAGGTTTTTTAAAATACACCACAATTAAGAAAATATATTCTTCTTATAAAAGGTGAAGTAGCATGAATAAGGGTCAAATCTCTCATCACTACTCTCCATTCTTCCATTCCACGCTCTTTGGATTAACCCCTGTTCTCAGTGTGGGAATATCCCACCAGGCCACTTTTATTTCTGTACACATTTCCTGGCCCCATATAAAATGGACAGTGTTATCTTTTAGATTAACCACTCTTTGGATTAACCACTGTTCTCAGTGTGGGAATATCCCACCAGCCACTTTTATTTCTATATGCATATACATGGCCCCACATAAAATGGACAGTGTTATCTTTTGTGTGAGTTACAGAAATAACATAATAGTGCATGTGTTGTTCTACAAATTAATGATCGTGTATGTGACTTGTCTGTTAGCCTGTAAGAGAGATTCACTCACCCCATCAGATGGTGAAGAACTTTAGTTCCAAGATGATTTGTGCGTGGTCCATAAGTGTTCATATGCATGTGTGTTCGCCTGTGTGTTCTATATGTGTTCACATATGTGAATTCATATGTGTGTGAGTTCATGTACGTGCATTTGTTTTATTCCTTATGTCTTCTCTGTCCTCACCTCCCAACAGTACCTAGCCAATGACCATTGCAGAGTCAGTATTTTAACATAAGTCTATCGTAGAGATAAGTAGTATTATATATCCATGTTGCTCCTTCATGACTATAGAAAGACTTAATAGAATCAACCCAAAATTTAAGATTGAGATATTTAATGTGACCAATGAAGTATTTAATGTGTGCACTCTCAGGCAAATGACATATAAGTACTGGAGTCTCGGTAGGTGATCTTCCTCATATGTTAGATAGAAAGGAATTTCCACAGCGATATTTCCATCAAAATTACAACAAAAAACAATTATTATCATTTTTTGCCAAAATAGTTTCCTAATTCAGATTATATGGTCTGATCACAAAATGATAAATCCAGTTAATATGAATGTTTTCCTTAAGATTAGAAAGATAAAAGAAATGGTCTTTTCTTTGAAGAATAGTTGGACAATTGAGAGATATTAGTGGAGAGGAGTTTATTGAGGCCAAATAAAAAACAGATTGGTGACACATACTATTTTTCTTATTTTTAGAAAGCATATTGTGAATTATAGTCTAAAAATTAGCTCAAGTTGTCCTGGGGAAGAGGGTAGCAGGCAACTGATCATAAATATTAACCACTTCAGGATTGTATAAATGACAGTCTGTTCTCTCAAGTGCTAGAAATGCCTCTGGCAAAGAGAAAAAAAATGCCTTGGTGGCAAATTTTCTTTCAAAGAAAGGCAAAGAAAAAGCAAACTTTCCATGACTAGTCTTGTTCTTCATGTTATTTAATGCATTTCTTGGTTACTCAAGTCTCAAGGACCTCCAGTTACTTCTAATCTAAATGCAAGCAGGGTTGAACAACATCTGATTTTTCTTACTAGGGCTACCTCTCAGACCAGTGGGAAATCAAATGGCTCCTCACATATTGCTAGGGGTGTGGATTCTCTACTTGAAAAGCATATGATTTGATATCAGAAAGCATTAATTTAAATCTCAATTTTGCCACTTACTGGTTGTATGAATTTTGACAATTTATTTAACTTTTCTGCACCTCAGTTATCTCATCTGTAAAATAAGAATGATGATTTCTATGAATTCTATAACTCATGATCTTAATGCAAAGCTAGGAAATTATAACCTGGTCTTCCCACTATGTTCACGTGGTCATTACTGGCTGTGTTTTTGCCCTTCTCCTCACACCTTTCCCAAACCTGTCTGGGGACCTTTCTGACTGCTGGGTGCTCTTGGTGGGGGGTGGTCCTGGATATTTTCCAGTGGCCTCTCTACACCTACTTACCCTCTGCCCTTCTCTGCCTTGCACTGTCCCCCAGGAGTCTAACCCTTATTGGCTGCAAGGGATGCTGCTACCCTCTGGCTTCTGATAGGGCATGGCCAGTGAGAGGTGTCAGCAGGAGTTGGGAGCAAGCAAGTCAGATCTCTTATGCCACGCAGTATGGAGACCAGTACCTGGGCTCCTGACCACAGCTCTCCCTCAGGGATCCAGCGATGATGTTCCCTCCTTTACCTATCAGGCGTCTTCCTGATGGTAGACTTTCCACTCTTGCTTCACCAATGTTTGTTAGTTCTCTCTGCGTTGTAAATTCTCCTTTTATAAAACTCTTCTGAGTTACCTGTGACTATGCTGTGTCCTTCCTGCATGAACCCTGATCAGTCCGAGAGAAAGTGGGAGCAATTGAAGGAATGGCTCGGCCTCTCTCTGTCTAGACTCCACAGGCATCATAGCTACACAAAATGCATTCTGATAGCTGTTCCGAATTCTCAAATTTAGTGCACAGTGTAACAGCCTATGCCTGTAAAGGAATCTGTTTCCCAAGATCCCAGTGTATTGGACAGATTTATTTATTTCTGAAAAGTTTCTTTTGAAGTTTAATGAGAACTTTCTCTAACATTTCATAAGTAAGGAGTCAGTTATCAGAAAGCAAAAACAACACAAAACCAGAACTGGTAGAATAACGGATGTGGTCTGATAATTTTTGTATGTGCTGCCAAGATAGATGGTGATGTATCTGATTCAATCATTTCAATTTTCTTCTTGGATAGAAGAAATTAAGAATTAACTGAGAGCAGTTACAAGCTTAATTTTTGGAAAATAGTAATTTTTATAGCCAAGTGAGACTTGCAATAACCTATACTTATAAACAAATATACTTTATTTTATTATTCTTTTTTGATAATTAGCCATATGAGTTAAATTTAATCTTGAAAGAAAAATGCACCAAATTAATGAAATCTGAGCAACAGAGTTTATTGTTTAACCCCAAATTTACCTCTATCTACAATTGTTTTAAAACTTAAGAATCAACTGAGAGTAGTTACACTGAAACCATCTACATTTGGTTTCTTGATGAATCTGTTAGGTGTTTTTAGAATTTTTTTAAATGGTAAGATGAAAGTTAGCATATAGCACCTGACAATACACCAACTAATGTTTAGGGAATTGACTAGCTATCAGTGTGATATATTAAATAATTATCACTATTAACCCATCTAACACAAATTTTCACTGGACTGATTTTAATTATAGCAGAGTCAAACTGATCCTGACTCACAGATTGTCAAAGCAAGGAGACGTTCTCCTCCCTCAAAGCAACATTGGCTACACTCACTCGCCTTCTGACTTTGGGCAAGCAACTAAAATTTTTAGGCCTCAGTTTCCTCATCTGCAAAATGGTAAAATGATAACTAGTTCTGCTGTCTTCAAAGGATTATTTTAAACTTTAACTGAGCTAGTGCTTTGAAAGTATAGATCGTTAACCTTCTTGGCTCACTTGAGATAGTGTGTTATTTGACTTCAAAAGTTTTTTTCTAAACTGCAGCAGATAATTTTTTCACATGTAATGAGACAAAATAAATAAAGAATAAGTGAAAACAATAAAACTCCTGCTAATCTACTTAGTTCAGCATTTTGTTTAATGTGAAGAATGGGCCTTACTTGATGCATGGGAATATTTGACAACTCATAGAAGAGTTGACTGCTATTTGAACAGGGTGGTTCTGTGGATTTAATTGTAGCCAAAGTACCAACACTTCCAGTTTAACAAAGGAAGATTTTCATCCTTTTCGGTACAGATGACAGATTTGTGTGATCTTCCCTTCTTAATGGAGTTGAGTGGTCACAGTATAGTGAGCAGATATCTAAATTTGTCACCTCTCTATATTTCAATGTTTTATAATATGTAAGAATATATATTTCAAAATAGTCGTATATTCAGAAGATGATAGAGTTTTAAGTGAGACAAATGTGAGTTAGAATTTTAAACGCTGCCTTTTACCATGTTTGTGATGGGAAAAAATTGTTGCTCTTTTACAGCTTTGCTTAAAGATGTGTTTTAAGAGTTAAGTAAAATTATGTTGATAAAATACTTGGCATAGGGCCTGGCATTCATTTGCACTTCTTCAGTTCTGCAATTACCCATCTACTACAGATCTGAGACAGTGAATAAATTCATTGACAGAATTTTGACACATACTAAGCTTTTTACCTCCAAGTTGGAATGCAGTCAAGCATCACCGTTCTATTAACTACTATTTGTAGCTCTATTGAGATATAACTGACACAAATTGTACATATTTAAGGTATACAATTTTATGTTTTAATATACATCTTCATTTTGAAATGATTACCACAGTCAAGCTAATTAATATATCTATCGCCTCACATAGCTACCTGCTTTTTTTTGGTGAGAACACCTGAGATTTACCCTCTTATCAAATTTCAAGTGTACAATACAGTAGCATTAACTATGTTCACCATGTTGTCCATTAGATCTCAGAGCTTAGTTATCTTGAATAGCTGAAATTTTATACCTTTAGACCAACATCTCCCCATTTTCCCCTACTCCTCCTTCCCCAACTCTGACAACCACCATTTTACTCTCCGTTTGAGTTTGACTATGTTAGAGTCCAGATATAAGTGAGGTCGTGTATTATTTGTCTTTCTATGTCTGGCTTACTTCACTTAGCATAATGTTCTCCAGGTTCATCCATGTTGTTGCAAATGGCAGGAATTTCTTTTTATAAAGGCTGAATAATATCATCTTATTTTATAAACATATATATCTCCCACATTATCTTTATCCATTCATCTTTGATGAAAACAGGTTGGTTCTGTATCTTGGCTATTGTAAATAATGCTTCAAAGAACATGAAAGTGCAGCTGTTTCTCCAATAAACTGATTTTATTTCCTTTCGATATATACTCAGAAGTGGGATTGGTGGGTCAAATGGCAGTTCTACTTTTTTATTTTTTGAAGAATTACTATTTTTTTTCTTTAATGGCTGTGTCAATTTACATCCCCACCAGTAGTATATAAGGGTTCCCCATTTCTCCACATCTTCACAACACTTGGTACGTCTTGTGTTTTTGATAATAGCCATTCTAATAGTGTGATGTAATATCTTATTGTGGTTTTGATTTGTATTTTTCTGACATTTAGTGATGTTCAGCACCTTTTCATACATACGTTAGTTTGTTTTATGTCTTCTTTTGAGAAATATGCATTCAGGCCTTTTGCCCATTTTTAAGTCAGGTTATTTTTTTGCTATATAGAGTTGTTTAAGTTTCTTATATATTTTGGATATTTGCCTCTTATCAGATATACAGATATATAATACATATGTATATGTATGTGTATATACATATGTGTATGTGTATATACATATATACATTATTATATATACATTATATACATAGACACACAATAATTAGGATATATTCTTATTCTGTAGGTTGCCTTTTTACTCCATTGACTTTTCATTTGCTTTGCAGAAGAATTTTAGTTTGATGCAATCACTCTTGTTTATTTTTGCTTTTGTGGCCTGTGCTTTTAATCATATCTTAAAAAATATGGTCATCGAGATTTTTCCCTTTGTTTTCTTCTAGTAGTTTTACAGTTTTAGGTCTTGTGTTTAAGTCTTTAGTTCATTTTCAGTACAATTTTGTATATGGTATGAGAAAAGGGTCCAATTTCATTGTTCCGTGTGTGAATATTCAGTTTTCCTGGAACCGTTTATTGAAAAGACTGTTCTTCCCCGTTGTGTGTTCTTGGCACCCTTTTGAAAAATCAGTTAGTTGTAAATGCATGGATTTATTTATGGGCTCTCTATTATGTTCCATTTGTTTATGTGTCTGCTTTTATGCCAATACCATACTGTCTTGATTATTATAGCTTTGTAATATATTTTGAAGTGAGGTAGTATGATGTCTTCAGCCTTGTCCTTCTTTATCAGAATTTCTTCGACTATTCGGGTGTCTTTTGTGGTTCTACATACACCTTTGAATAGATTTTTTTATTTCTGAGGAAAATTCAGTTGGAATTTTGCTAGGGATTTCATTAAATCTGTAGAGTTCTTTGGTTAGTATGGACTTTTTAATAATATTAATAATATTAATTTTAATAATATTAATTCTTTCAGTCCACGAACATGGGATACCTTTCCATTTCATTGTCTCTTCTGTAATTTTCTTCATCAATATTTTCTGTTTTCCAGTGTACAAGTCTTTTAACTGCATGGTTAAATTTATTCCTAAGTATTTTATTGCTATTGTAGATGGAGTTATTTTAAAATTTTTCTTATGAGATAATTTTTTATCTGTTCATAAAGGTTCCACTGATTTTTTGTATGTTGATTTTGTATTCTGCAACTTTACTGAATTTATTAAGACAATAATTTTTTGTTGTCTTTACAGACTTCAGAATTTTCTCTATACATGATCATATCATCTCATCTGTAGAGATAATTTTACTTTTTCTTTCCAATTAGTTGCCTGTTAAAATCTCCCTCCCTCCTTCCCTCCCTTCCCTTCCCCTCCCCTTCCTTCCCCTCCCCTTCCCTCCCCTCCTTTCCCTTTCCCCTCCCCTTCTTTCCCCTCCCCTTCCCTCCCCTCCTTTCCCTTTCCCCTCCCCTTCCCTCCCCTCCCTTCCCTTTCCCCTCCCTTCCCCTTCCCCTCCCTTCCCCCTCCCCTCCCCCTCCCCTCCCCTCCCCTCCCCTCCCCTCCCCTCCCCTTCCCTCCCCTCCCCTCCCCTTCCCTCCCCTTCCCTTCCCTTCCCTTCCTCCTTATTGTTAAAAGACGAGGTCTTGCTCTGTTGCCCAGGCTGAAATGCAGTGGCACAATTATAGCTCATTTCAGACTCAAACTCCTGGGCTCAAGTGATCCTTTCACCTCAGCCTCCTGAGTAGCTGGGACTACTAATAATAGTAAATAACTTTAAATTACTAATACTAAATACTTTTAAATTATTTTCTTGTTTATTTGCTCTCGTTAATAGAAGTGGCAAAAGGGGACATCCTTGTTTCACACCAAATCTTAGAGGAGAAGCTTTCAGTATTTTTCCATTGATTTTTTCAGTTCCAGGATATCTGCTCAGTTTTAGTTTGTGGTTTCTATTTCTTTATTAAGAAATATTTTGTTAATATATATTTTTTATTTTATTATTATTATACTTTAAGTTTTAGGGTACATGTGCACAATGTGCAGGTTAGTTACATATGTATACATGTGTCATGCTGGTGTGCTGCACCCATTAACTCGCCATTTAGCATTAGGTATAGCTCCTAATACTATCCCTCCCCCCTCCCCCCACCCCACAACAGTCCCCACAGTGTGATGTTCCCCTTCCTGTGTCCATGTGTTCTCATTGTTCAGTTCCCACCTATGAGTGAGAACATGCGGTGTTTGGTTTTTTGTCCTTGCGGTAGTTTACTGAGAATGATGATTTCCAATTTCATCCATGTCCCTACAAAGGACATGAACTCATCATTTTTTATGGCTGCATAGTATTCCATGGTGTATATGTGCCAATTTTCTTAATACAGTCTATCAGCGTTGGACATTTGGGTTGGTTCCAAGTCTTTGCTATTGTGAACAGTGCTGCAATAAAGAAACTACCATCAGAGTGAACAGGCAACCTACAACATGGGAGAAAATTTTCACAACCTACTTATCTGACGAAGGGCTAATATCCAGGATCTACAATGAACTCAAACAAATTTACAAGAAAAAAACAAACAACCCCATCAAAAAGTGGGCAAAGGACATGAACAGACACTTCTCAAAAGAAGACATTTATGCAGCCAAAAAACACATGAAAAAGTGCTCACCATCACTGGCCATCAGAGAAATGCAAATCAAAACCACAATGAGATACCATCTCACATCAGTTAGAATGGCAATCATTAAAAAGTCAGGAAACAACAGGTGCTGGAGAGGATGTGGAGAAATAGGAACACTTTTACACTGTTGGTGGGACTGTAAACTAGTTCAACCATTGTGGAAGACAGTGTGGCGATTCCTCAGGGATCTAGAACTAGAAATACCATTTGACCCAGCCATCCCATTACTGGGTATATACCCAAAGGACTAGAAATCATGCTGCTATAATATTTGTTAACATTTTGTTCTTGTATTGCTTTGCTTACTTTATTTAGTTGTGATCTTGTAGTTCATTGAGCTTTTTTAAGCTGGTTATTTTGATTTGTCTCAGTTTGTAGGTCTTCATTTTCTTAGGGTTAGTTACTGGAGCTTTACCAGTTTCCTTTGGTTGCGTTGTTAGTGGCAGTGGTGGCCCATTGGGAGCAGCTGCTGCCATGACACCAACTGCAGTAGGGGAGGTATGGTGGGGCTGTGTGCTCCATGGAGCAGGCAGGAGCCCCACTCTCCTGGGTGCATCTGCAGCTGCCCAAGTTGCAGCTGTGGCTTGGACCTCCCTGTGTACTTGGGGGCTGGGAGCAGGCAGGAGTCCCGCCCTCCCAGGTGCAGCCTCAGCTGTGGACCCAGGCATCTTTGCACTCTCAGGGTCCTGGAAAGGCCCTCGCTGCCCCTGCAGGCTCAGAGGTGTCTGCTCCTGCTGCTTGGCCTCTCCTGGCTCCTGACTCCTTCTCCAATCTCAGAGCAAGGTTGGGGCTGAGCCCAGGTGCTGTTGCAACTTAGCTGGGTGTGCACACACTCATGGCAGTGCTGATACACCAGCCCCCTGCTGTCTCAGCCCCCTCCAGACTTTGGGCACCAAGGAGCACAGGAGGAAGGCTAAGCAGGGACTGAGGGCAGTTCAGTGCTGGCCTGCAGGGACCCCTTTTCATGAACAGCCTGATCTCCATGAATGGGGGCAGGAGGCAGACAGGTGCCTGAGTAGAAAGGGCAAGTCCTTAGTGAAGCCTCACCTTCAAGCTGGATAGGGCCTAAAGCCTGGGGCCCGGGCTGCCAGTCCCACAGACCAGAGTGGGAACTTGTGGTGCTTTTTCTAGGCCCATCCATGGCAACCCATGGACCAATCGGTGTGCACTTCCCTGCTCTGAGGCCCATAAACACCCTGGACTCAGCCTGACTTGTGGAGATTATTGGATGACTGGATGTGGAGAGGAGCTACCCACTCCATGGTCTCCTTTCTGCTGACAGCTGAACACTTATCGAGACACCCTGCCTACAGAGAGGAGCTACCCAATTCAGTTCTCCTCTGAGCTGTTCTGTCACTCAATAAAGCTCCTCTTCACCATGCTCACCCTCCACTTGTCTGCACACCTAATTCTTCCTGGACACAGGACAAGAACTTGGGAGCCACCACATGGCAGGTCTAAAAGAGTTGTAACACAAACTGAAACATGCCCCTTGCTCATCATGTTGTGGATGACAAGAAGGAGAGAAGAGAGAAGAGCTGTGGCCCTCTGGGGAGCCCAGACCTGGGAACTCTCAGAGCCTGCATTCCTGGCATCTCCAAGCTTCCATGTGCCACTCAGTTCCCCAGTGCCACCTGTGGAAGCTGCTTGTGGTACACCTGGACCAGCTGCAGCCTTGTAGGGATCCAGCACCCATGCTGGCACCTGGAGTTGCCTACCCTGCCACAGCCAGCATGCCTGGTTTTGTGTAGTGGCTGAACCCCAAATGGGGCTGAAGCCAAGTCCCCAGGGGCATGGGCTGCTTTTGAATCTATAGCCAGGACTACTGTCAGCAGGCCTATCACCAGGGCATGGGCCTGCCCTTTCAAAGTGGGCTTTCTTATTCTTGGGCTCCATCAGGGTTTCACAACCTCCTACCTGGATCCCAAGGCTCCCACAAAGGCACTTTTGTCCACGGGTGGCTGGAAAATTGTTGCTTCTGTAGGGGGATGATGGCTGGGGACCTCCTATTTCTCCATCTTTGTCTCTGTTAACTATTCTTTAAAAATGCCAAGATGTGGGGGCTTTGTTGTCTGTATTTTTTTGCTCTCTTAATTGCTCTGAAAAGAAATAGTATGAAAATAATAAACTTCATTGAAACCAGAGCTAAGGACAGTTTGGCCTATCTCTACACAACTTGCATTGTGGAGTTCACAGCGTTGTTCATAAAAATAAAAAACAAATAAGATCAAGGCTACCACTAAATTCAGCTATCACACTAAGAGCTCATTCTATTGAGGGAACTTTTATGTAATGGAAAAGCACCTTCAGCATAGCCTTGGAGTGCGATCTCTACTCCTTGCAGTAGGTGAACATCATCTTTCTCAATGAGTATTCTAGAATCACAGAATTTGGATTACAGGAGAATCCTTAAAGGGCACCATGAATTTAAGGTCGTATGTGCTTTCAACTCAATTTCCAGTTAAACAATGCCCACACCCAGGGCTGTTCAGCTGAATCAGGAAGAGTGTTTAGAATCCATCTTTGAACTCAGCTTAGTCATGTGGACTCTCTGTCCCTGCTGAGGCTTCAGCTACATCGATGATTGTGCACCCCCCAGATACCCTTTTCAGTCACCTGGTATCATTCTATTTGTTTTAAAGTGGACAGCGTAGTTCTCAAAGTTAAATGACCCAACTCTATTCATTTGACTGTTCTGGGATTAGATTCTGGTCATGGCCCCTGGCTTCTAACTACTTAGGTTTTTAATGCAGACCTTGTACTAAGCTGATAGTGCAATTCCTAGAGTATTTTATAACATTTCCATCTAAGAAGTCCATTTCCAGTGAGGTCAATGCCTTTAGTATTCATTGCTTAGCTCTAAACTTGTATGTAAATTGGAGATTAAAAAAATCCTTAATTTAAAATAGTGATCTGGTAGACTCTATGCTTCTAAAATTTGTCCATGAATCCTCCTCTTTTATAGGTCCTCCTAGCAGGTAATATAAAGTGGAAAAACATGTATGTAAATTTTATACTGTGATACTCCCTGTTGCACAGTTTCTCCAATTTAAAATGACTTGATGCATGAGAGAAAGGAGAGCTAACATTTCATTTGTGCCTTTTCTCAGATGATAGAATAGATACAAAAAGATCATCATAATAAGAACATCCATGAGAATGAAGCTGACTTATTTTTACAAACCTTACATAAACCTTGAATTTTCCAGGGAAACAGGGAGTCACAAAAAGGCAGTGAGGTTTTGAAGAACAAAAATCTAATGGCCTAATAAAGATATAAACAAAAATAATAAAATATTAACTTGGTTTCTTCATCTTTGAAGTAACCAAGTTGGATGTTGGGTCAGATTATACCTCTAATGTAATATAATTTTACACTTCTTTGTTCACTACCAACAATATATGCCATAAAAATGTCTAGTCGAGAGGTATCTTAAAGAACCACTGGAAACGAGATATAGAACTTTAGACTTAACCACCATGAATTCCATAAATAACTGTCAAAACCTATACACAGGTGATCTCTTTAATAAATTGAGAACTGAGAATTGTTTTTGATGAAAGTTTCATGAGTCTCTGTAGCCCCGGGGTTCTGAGCCCATGAGTCGAAGGACTTTTTGACTTTACGTAATGCTGGAGCAATACCTTTAGAAGAGGACAAATCCATTTAAAATAAGCTCTCTGCAAATGCCACAGCCTGCATTTTCAACCTGTGGGCTGTCACACAGACATGACTGGGCCTCGTAGTATATGCCACCAGCAAAGTGCAGCACCTGTGAGGCACACACCTTCAGTTTATGTGAACCTGAATCAGGCATGAGCATGCACACCCAGACGTGCAATGGAAATAGCAGCACAGCACCGCTGGGCTCTCACTAACCCCGCATATGGGAGTGACAGCTGTTACTTGTGCTTGGAGCAGATTCTCTAAGCATATGGTAACTGTGGTAAGGATAGTAATCTCTGCTCTAACAGTTGGTTTGGCATAAGGGATTATTGTTGGGAAGCATTTCTTCCTTTTTTAACTAAAAAATTGCAACTGGTATCACTATTTTTGATTTAAAGATATTTTCAGCCTCTGCCACTGTACCGTATCACACAACAATGCAGAAGTGTTCCATCAAGATTGTGCTGAACTTCATAAGAGCGATTTCATAAATATATGCACTTTTGAAAAAGGAGCCATAAAATGAAATTGTGGTTGTTCCAGAACAATCTCTGTCAAGGGTGATGTTCACTCCCGAGCCTCTGATCACCATCCTCAATAATAACAATAAAATTGCCAACTGTGACCTCCTAACAGACTTGTGGTTTCCTGTTATTGCTAATGTTCTGTCTGTGGAAGGCAGACGCAGTTTCTCTCAGGTGCACCATTAAATTAGGTGACAGAGTGCTACTGCGTGACTGGTAACATATTGAAGGGAAGATCAAGGAATGCTGCAAGATGGCCCAGGGAGATGTATCAGAAACGAACCCTTTCATTTTCCAAGCATGAAGCTCCTATCAGAGACTGTTGTGAATGCCCATGAAAATCATAATTTATCATTTAGGGTGCTTCTGAGATAAATCTTATCACAGATTTTTCTTCATTTTCTTTCTCCTCCAACATTATCAAGATTACCAAGGATGATGTTGGGATAAGAAGATTGCTGACACCAAAGAGTGAAAATCTATGCTTTCAGGTTGTCTTTACTAAGCACAAAAGCCCTCAGAAAGAATAAATTAGGCTAACTTATTAGCCTAATTTAGCTGGAGACACATTGACAGCAAACTGAATCTTGAAGTTTCTCAGTGGAATATATGGGGTCATATATTCTACCGTGAACAGCATTGGAGATTTTAACAGGACAAAGAAAATCCTCTGATTACTTATGCTCTGTTCTACTTGATCCAATGATGTCCTCTGTACATGGTTGTGTTCCAGGACCCAGATGTAGAGGACAGGGCAGAACTGTACTCTCTGAGCTTTTTACCCTCAGTTTTCTATGAAAGCCTAGCTTTTCTACATTACCGAGCTTCATGATTTTTTTTTAACTTCTCTTGAAATATAAATCCAATTTTCACTTAATAGGGCCTTCTACTGTTTTTTCATTTGCATTCTCTTCCTTGAAGATTGTATTCACTTTTGTTACTGTAACTATCACATCCACGTGAGTGGCTCCCAAATCCATCCCTGGGCTCACTTTCTACTCTTCCAGGCCTGTCTCCCACCAAAGCTCTTTCACCGAACTTGACTGGTGAAAACTACCAAAAGTTTTATGTTTCTAGGCTCCATGATGCTCCTTCAGTCTTCAGCGTCATTTCCTGGTTCCTTTCTTGTTAGAAATTCTGCCTATCTTTAAGCACAACAGTATTATGGAACCTGTATCACCCAGTTCAGTTGATATTAAAAATATGTTTTAATCAGCGTTACATGGTGTCTATTGCTAGTCTGAGCTAATGCAAGCCTGTATGTTGCTGGGCAGCACTGTTGAATGTCAGCTCTGCATATCACACGTCTTGACATTTGTGTTTACAAGTCTGTCTCTCCCACCAGACTTGTCATGCTGAAAGTTTCCTGATGTCTAGGCCTCATTCACATGTTAAATCTTGATCATGTTCACGGTGCATAGGTACTTAAACGGCCGTTTGAATTCTAGTGAGTGAATAATATTTCTTGATTCTATGGCTTTGTTTCTGTCATTCGAGCCTTATTTCACATTTACTGTTTATATATTGTATTCCTATGTTGATTTATATTGACCCTTTTCCATATGGACTAATGTCAAATGTCTATTTTGGTAGCTTAATATTCCATATTTCAAGCTGTTATTCCTCCTTAAAAGGATAATATTGAATGATAATTACAACATCTGATCAATTTCCTATTATTCTGAAATCTGACATCCAAATTCTAGATAAAAATCTTTTATATCTCTGTGTTAAATGGAATAAGCCAAGAGTGAAACTCTGAAATATTTCTAAAACATTTTTTTCTTTCTCTTTTAAAACATTTCTATATCAACCCACTGATTAAGATTTTTATGGCAGGCTGTACACCCTGCTATGTGTATATGTAACTCTATTGACTCTAGTATATATTTATCAATACAGGTTGAGTATCCCTTATGTGAAATGCTTGGGACCAGAAGTGTTTTGGATTTCAGATTCTGGAATATTTGCATATATATAATGAGGTATCTTAGGGATGGTACCCATGGCTAAGCATAAAACTCATTTATGTTTCATATATACCTTATAAACATAGTCTAAAGGTAATTTTATACAATAGTTTTATTAATTTTGTGCATAAAAAATTGTGTTAAGTACTTACATGTGGAATTTTCTGCTTGTGGTATCATGTCAGATTTCTAAGGCTTTGAAGATTGAAGCATTTTGGATTTCAGATTTTCAGATTAGGGATGCTCAATCAGTATATTACAAAAAATCTTTTTCACGTGTCCTATGGGAATTGAGACACAGCATGTCTATATGTTCAAATCTTGAGCTTATAAATATAGTTATTATAAGATTATTGAAGAGAGGAGTCTGAGATAACTGGGCATGGCTGGCATGTCTTCTTCCTTGAGGCTCTGCAACCATCTGTCATTGTTTGATTCTGGAGCATATTTCCTGGGGCTTTGCATTACGGTTCTGCAAAGAAACAGAACCAATAGGATATACAGATCTATAAGAGGAAATTAATTATGGGACTTGGCTCATGGAATTATGGATGCCAAGAATTCTCACAACATGACATCTGCATGAGAACTAGGAATTCTGTGGCGTAATTCAGTCCGAGTCCCAAGAGCTGAGAAGGAAGGGAGCTGATGGTGTCACTCCCAGACAGAGACCAAAACCTGAGAATGGGGGTGGGAGGGAGGTTGGTGTGTAAAGGGATGGGGGAAGGGTGTGAGGTTGTTGGTGTAATTTCAAGGCCTGAAGTCTGAAGGCCTGAAACCAAGAGCTTGGAGGTTCAAGGGCAGGAGGATAGATGTTCCAGCATAAGGAGAGAGTGAATTCACACTTCTTCTGCCTTATTTTTCTATGCTGGCCTTCCATGGATCGAATGCTGCCCACCATCTTGGTACCCAGTAGGTAGGTGTCATTCAGTCCTTTACTAGTCTACTGATTCAAATGCTAATCTCTCCCAGAAACACCTTCATGGACACACCCAGAATTCATGTTTTACCAGCTCTCAGGGCATTCCTTAGCCCAGTCCGATTGACATATAACATTGACCATAAAATAACAGACCCTTTAGATATAAGACCACTGGCCCCAGTTGTCACCATGATAGATACTTGAAAATATTAATTTCCCAAGCAGAGAACATGGATATCACATATAAGACTTAAGGGTTAATACCGAGAAGATAAATGCAAGGAGTTGGTGAGTTGAGATTGAGCGTAGACAGCAAGTCCAGCAGGTGTAAACAAGAGCAGCTCGTTCTGAGAAAGTTTCTTCATAAGTGGATCATGTGAGAAGTGATCATTGTCATCTCCTGACCATATATATGCCATGCATATCCATGACCCAACCTTTCTTTAATGGACAGTCCATGATTCTCCATTGTCCATTTGGACTGAAATTGAACATTTGCACACTCTTTTTTGAGACGGCCCCTCCATTAGAATCATATAGCACTTTCAATTCTTAGCCATCTTTTCTCCCAGAAAATGAAAATGACATGTGTATAACAAATTCAACTATGGGCTTCCTGGAGTCCCTGTGCACTCACATATTCATACCTGTTCTTGCCTTCTAGGGCACCATGCCAGTTTTTCATACCTTGCACCAGAGCTTTAGATTGCAGAAGTCACCTTGTTTAGCAAGTTCTAATACATTGCACAGAGTGTTCAATTAGGCCCACTTTATTTGATTTTATTTTTAATTCTGAAAAAGAACCTTAAACATGACCCTCAAAAAAGTGTCTTAACCTTTAGAAAACATGTCTAGAAGCAGAGGAAATTAAGGCATCCACAGGATTCCCTTGAGCAACAATGGAAGCCTCAACTGTGAAAACTCTGACAGCTCTTCCTGGTTACCATGGTGAGAGAAGGCTTTCTTGTTCATAGGCCATTAACAGGATGCTCATGTTCTTCAAGGTTTTATATTAATTGTTTGGTGTACCTTCCTCTCCTCCTACATAATGTAAATGTGTTGAACCAGGGCATAAACCTTACCTAAGGAATGGTGAGCTGAGCCTTTAAGATGAACAAGACTTCTCCTTCCACTTATCTAAATTCTGTGTGTACAGTAAATGTGCTATGCATCATTATTCCATCTCTATTATATGTTTACAAGCACCTCCAACCATTTCCAATATTTCCTTTTAAAATAATATGTATCCTGTGGCCTGACTTGCAATACAAAACCATAGAATTAATGCTGCCTGACTGTGGAAGCTTTGTATGTGATGGATAAGGCACTTAGAACTGATGTACCTTGCACCTTCATTTCAAAGCAATACTTCTGTTTCATAAAACACATTTACTATGCAAAACCAGTTTTTACATCCTGATTTTTCATTGCTATTTGGGATATCCTATGAACATTAAACAATTCTTATCTTTCTTTTTTCTCAGCCGCTGATAATTATTTCACTTTCTCTCCCTAAAGTCTACCCTAACATCTTTTGAACAAGTGCTCCTTTTTTGATATCACCTTTGTATGAGTACATGAAAAAAATCCCGATCATATCCTATAGTAATTTCTTTTCTTTAGTCTTATCATTTGTTAAGTGAAAAGTAATGAGAGGGCATTAATAATAAAGGCAATATTGAAATGAGCAGAACGAATTGGGCTACAATTATATTGTTACCACACAACTGTGTTTCTTCTATTTTCCCATTGAGGCACAGTAAGTATTTCTGGAAGAAAAAAAAAAGAGATAACACTTTACATAGAATTTATAGGTGTCTGTTATAACCTCTGGATTCCAAAGCTGAGGATTACTTACCATATGATGATCTGCTCAATAAATGAGAAAAAGACCTAAATTCATAGCTCCTGGGAATCCCTGGGCAGTTGGGTAAGATAATTTCAGCAGAGAGTTTGGCTTTAATAGAAGCTATTTGTTAGTGATTAAAGGAAATTTAACTGTAAAACCTTATCTGAAGTTATGGTTCTTAACAACTAATGACCTACTCTGTAACCAAGGATAAACTACTGTTATAGGTAGAATATCTTATAATTTCAAAAGGAACTCATTAATAACCATGTACCCAGTGGATTGTGTCAGAATGCAAAGAAAAAAGAGGGTATATAAATTCTATTGATTGTTGAGACCAATATTTATCGTCAATAATTTTCTCATTTTTCCTGTAATAATACAACATCTGTTTCTGTTATTAAGTTTAATGTTGAATAATAGAACATTAAATAATGTTAAATATAATAGAACATCAAATAATGGTAATGTTAATAGCTTAACATTAAATAATAATGTTTGTTAAAGCTTATGTTAATTGAATCTTAGGGTGAAATAAGATCTTTATATTATAATACAGTGGAAATATATAGGCACCAAAGGGTCATCTTGGTCCTAGAGTTTCTTTTTTAAAAAAAATTTCACCATTGATCAATCCTATAGTTTCTGTAGGAATACTGTTCACTAGTATTTCAAGAAAAAAAATCAAAGCTTTATGGGGATGTTCTCAATGTTATCCAGAAAGCTTAACTCCAAAAATTGAACAATGTAACAACAAAAACAACAACAGCAACACCAATAACAAAATAACATAAGCTAACCCAACAAATCAGAAAGAGTAGTGAGTGCATATGTTTTCTTGAAGAAATTGAGCAAAAAGCCTTCCTTGTAGAATATAAAGTGCAGAATGATGGTTAATCTTGATAATCTGCTCAAAGGAAAGTAGTCTTCAGAGGCTAATATTTCACATTAAGGGAAAGCAGGCTGCTAGAAGCAAGGGCAGAGAAAATCCTTTAACATGATATTCACTTTGGAATACAATTTATATAAAACATCTTAAGATGGGTATGCTATTTGAGTTACAGTGAACAAATTTTAATTGGAGATGGAGCAATTAATTATAATCAATAAACTCTATGATACATTATCTAAGATATCAAAGAAGTAATTTAATTAAAAAATTTATTGAACACTTGGCTGAGATTTGTGAAAAATGCAAAAAAGACAATGCATCTTCTCTTCTCTTAGGCAACCCACTCTCTGAAGAAAGAAACTTGCTGGAATGGCAAGTACTGCTCCTAAAGGAAACAAATGGGACTAGAGAAGAAAGTTAATTATCATTCATTTCTGTGCGAAATTGGGGTTGCTTCTACATGGAGAAACATTCAATTATATTGGGTATCATTTGCCTACGTGTGAACTATAAGAGTCATTGATGACTTGTTAACAACGAAAAAGCATTTATTATTACTTTCTCAGTGGTCTGAGACAGAAAGTTAATTCAAACTTCCCTAAGCAAAAGGGATATGAGCATAATGGTTCTGGAAATGAAACACTGATATGATTTTTACAGTTTGAAGTTTCAGGCAAACCAAGAGTCCCTTCCCCTTCCTCTTCTCTTTCCCCTTTGCCTCCCCTCCCCTCCCCTCTCCTTGCCCTCCCCTCCCCTTTTTCCTTTCCTTCCCTTTCTCCTTTCCTTTCCTCTCTTTTCCTCTTTCCTTTCCTTTCCTTTCTTCTTTCTTCTTTCCTTTTCTTTCTTTTTCTTCTCCTTCTCCCACTTTCATGTGTGAAATTCTGACTTAAGGAGGTGGAGTACATTTATTTTGCTCTCTCTTGTGTAGGGTTAGCCCTGACCAAACCTAATCGGCCGAGCAGTATTTTTGAAGAGTGAGAGAAAGGATTGTTTCCCAAAGGAAGTGACTTAGGTAGATAGATACATGTCTACTTAAGTATACCAACATTTAATTGATTAACTGGAAGAAAGAAACAGAAAACTTTGGTGATTTTTTTTACTAAGTAGAAGATGGTATTAACAGAAAATAAAGAAAATATTTTAATTTCTTCTTCTGGGTTGAAGGTCATGAAACCAAGCAGAAAGGACAACAAGAAAAGTGAATACCTGAACACACAGATGATTTTAAAGAATAAGATTTTATAATTTATTTATTGTAGGTCTGTGATTTCTTAAGTGTGTTTCTTATGTGTGATATGATAAAAGTATTCCATGGGCAAATAAATATGTTCAGCATTGCCTATTACATCCTTTTCTTCATGATTTTCAATATATGCCTGTATACAAAAGGCTGAAGTGTTTGAAAGTAAATAAGCCTATTTTACTTTGTTTAAAAATATTATTTATTCTATTTTACCACGGATTTTTAAAAACATCCCCACTATGAAAATTCCAAACACTGGCTTTAGAAATGAAGAGTCCTAATCCTTATCAAGAGACCTAGAAATGGTAATTTGAACAGAAATGAGAAAGGTTAAAACTACTAGGTAAAACCAGGTGTCGTGATGTACAGAAGGTATAATTTAGAAAAATTATTAGCTATCAGGAAGTGGCAATGAGGAATTGACAGGCACTCGATTATCTTTGGAAACTGTGGGATGTTTTTACATCAGCAAATAGGATATGAATAATCAAATATAGGATTGTAAATATGATCTTAAGCAGATTATTAAACATAGGATTTCTGTGTAATTATTGAAAAAAATATGACCACTCTGAAGTGTGTTGGAGTTACCCAATAGTAGTCTCTCCAAATTAAGCTTATTTATTATATAGATCAATGAAGGGTTGTAAACAGTGTCTCTGTTTATATTTTAGTAAGGCATGTGTTATGGACTGAATTGTGTCTGCCTCAGAAAAGATCTGTTGATGTCATAGCCTCCAGTACCTCAGAATGTGACCTTATTTGGAAACAGAGTCTTTACACAGGTAATTAAGTTAAAAGGAAGTAGTTAGGGTGGGCCGTAATCCAATATAACTGATGGTCCTTATGAAAGGGGAAATTGGGGGCACATACAGACGTGCACAGAAGGGAAACGATGTACAGGTATAGGAAGAAGTCAGCCAAGTGACTGCACTGAAGCATCTACATGCCGAGGAATGTCAAGGATTGCCTGCAAACACTGGAAGCTAGACGAGGCAAGGAAAGATGCTTCTCTAAAACTGTCGGAGAGAGCATGACCCTGCCAGCACCTTCATTTTGGACTTCTAACCACCGGCACTAATAAGAAAATAAATGTATGTTGATTTAAGCTGCTCAATTTTTGGTATTTTGATACGGCAGCTCTAGGAAATGAATACAGCATGCAACAAGGTCATAATAGCAAAGTCTTTCACCCTCTTATTATGTGGCAGTCATATTTTATTTGCCATATTCTTCCCTCTATCAACTATTTGTAGAAGGTAGTAATTAGCAATCTCAGCAACTGGAAACTTGTATTTGTTTTCTCGATGACGCCCTGAGCAGTTACCAGTATCTAGTCAGCACCCAACCAACACCTCTTGGTTCCTGAGGTCATATTTTAACAAAGGCAGGTCTCCTGTTAGCCGTTGGCTTGTCCAATCTAATATAACAAGTGCATCTCACCTTCACAAATGACCTCACACCAATGTGCTTGGGTAATATACTAAGAATTCTTTTTTTTTTTTTTTTTTTTTTTTTTTTTGAGATGGAGTCTTGCCCTGTCCCAGGCTCCCAGGCTGGAGTGCAGTGGCATGATCTCAGCTTACTGCAACCTCTGCCTCCCGAGTTCAAGTGATTCTCCTGCCTCAGCCTCCCGAATAGCTGGGATTACAGGCGCCCGCCACCACACCCAGTGAATTTTTGTATTTTTAGTAGAGATGGGTTTTCACCCTGTTGGCCAGGCTGCCCTCAAACTCCTGACTTCAGGTGATCCACCTGCCTCGGCCTCCCAAAGTGCTGGGATTACAGGCGTGAGCCACCGCGCTCGGCCAAGAATTCTTTTAAAAACACTCGATAGCCTGGGGATTCATCCAAAACAAATGATTCTAAATTTAGTAAGGATGAATATGAAGAACTTTATCTGAGTCCTAAAAGTAAGTGCTGGAAGTCACGTCTCAACTGTTTCTTTTCATCATGATTCTCTGCTGGGAAGTCGTACTTGTCTTTAAAGTCCCACAGCTTTTGGCCTCATCCTCTGTGGAGCTACCACTGGCTCCGCAGGTGGACAGGGACTCCTGCTCCTGTGAGTGAGCTGGGCTTGGTGCCTAAGTACCCTGCAAAGACAATCGCACTGTGCTACCCCGTGTGTCTCTCTTTTCACCACACTGCACACGTGCCTTATTTTTCTACTCTACCACATCCAGGACCATAGTGGGCACATTTTTGTACATTTTTGAAATGTTGAACTAAAATCCTTTTAGTCAAAATGGAGAGATTTTGACAGCATAGATATTGATAGTTCTGTCGAGACAAAGTGCCAAGCAGCAATTCATTATTATTACCAGGTCAATTCTGTTATTCATTTTTAAATTATAAAAGAATATTATTATATTCATGCTGTGCTTCCAGAGAAAGCTCCAGAGATTTCAAGATTTGCTAAAAAGCTACAATAATCAAAAGAGAATTATCAATGTAAGATTAGACATACAAATCAATAGAACAGAATATAAAATCCAGAAATATATCCAGACACATGTAGTCAGAGTTGATTTTTGACAAAGTTCCAAGGTAATTCAAATAGGAAATAGTCATTTTTACAATGGTGTAACAACTAATTATAATGGGACAAATAAAACATCAACCCTTACCTCACACCACAGGCAAGATTTGAATTCAAATACATGATAGATCAAAATATAAGAGCTAAAACTACAAACCACCTACTAGAAAAAATATATTTGCAAACTTGGTTTAGGTAAAGGTTTCTTAGAATGCACACTGGTATGCTGGACAAAATAATTTCCTCCCCTCCACAAGTTGTACACATTTTTATCCCCAGAACTTCTAAATATGTTACCATACATGGCAAAAGGAACTTTTGTAGATGTGATTACATTAAGAATTTTGAGATGGGAGACATTATTTTTGATTATCCAGATGGGCTTAATGTAATCATAGAAATCCTTAAAAGCAGGAGGACATGTGACTGAAAAAGAACAGTCAGCAAGATATCAAGTTGCTGGCTTTGAAGATAGAGGAAGAGGACCATGAACCAAGGAATGCTGGCCACTTCTGGAAGCAGAAAGAGTCCCTAGAGCCTTCAGAAAGAAACACAGCCCTGCCAACACCTTGATTTTAGAACACTGAGGCCATGCCAAATGTCTAACCTATAGAACTGTCACATGACACATTTATGCTGTTGTAAGCCACTATGTTTCTGGTCATTTGTTACCGCAGCAAAAGTAAACTAACACTATTGGTCTTTCTCACAGTGAAAAAATGCTCTTTGGAAGACATCATTAAGGCAATGGAAAAACAAGTTACAGACTGTAAGAACATATTTGGAATACACTTACTTGATAAAGGACTTGGTTCTAAAATATAGCTATACTGTATATACATCATTTATATATCTTTATCTATATATATCTTTGTCCATGTCCACATATACAATTCAATAATATGACAAACAGCATAATTGAAAATGAGCAAAAGATTTCAATAGTTCATTAAATAAGACACATAAGTGGCTAGTAAGTACATTTTACTATCATCTGGTCATTAGGGAAATGAAAATTTTACAAAAAAACACAGTTTGCCGCTATTCACTCACTTAAATAGCTAAAATTCTTAAACTGACAATCCAAATTGGAGGTGAGGCTATGAAGGAAATGGAACTCCCATTTCTTGTTGTTTGGAACTTTAAACACCTAAATATTCATGAAATGCCAAATGGATAAACAAATTGTGGCACATCCATACAATGGAACACTACTCAACAATAAAAAGAGCAAAGTACAGATAACGATATGGGAGAATCGCAAAACCTACGCTGAAGTAGCTAGACATGAAAGAGTACATCCTGTATAATTGCATCATATGAAACTGTAGAGAGGACAAATCAAATCTGTAGTTACAGAATGCAGATCAGTGTTTTCCTGGCGTCTGAAGAAGTTCTTCTGATTTTGGTGGTAGTTAGACTTGAGCATACAATTTCCTGTTGTTTATAGAGATGTCTGACTTACTAATCAATTTAAATGCATCTGCGTTTTTCAGAAAACAGAAAGGAACAATAAATACACTATATAAACACTGGGGGATAATGAGTCTCTCCCTTCCTCCCTCTCTTTGACATTCTTCTTCATTTGTCCCAAATTCATCTTCTTTCTACCAAAATTCACCTAGGAAAAAAAATTGGGTTGATTCAACAAGATTACATTGACTATGAAGAGACAATAATTTTTTACCTTCCTTTTCTTGTTTTAAAAATAAGCTGTGATGCAGAAATCACATGATTTATTATAGATGATGGTAATCATGGATGATATGATATCTGAAATTAACAAAGGCTGTCGCAAAAAAAAAAAAAAAACCTGCCTTGGTAGAAATTGATAAATTCCTTTCAATATGCTTTTTCTGCTATTCTAATTGCCCAGACCAATTCATCAATCCTAGAAGTTATATTTGAATTGGTGGTAGTTACAGCAGTTTAAAGCACCTAAGAAATACTAATGAGAGATTGCTAGTGAGTATCCCTTTACCTCTCTAAAACAAAGAACATATATAGTATCTTAATTAGAAAGCAATCAGCAGCTTCAAGCTTTCTGGACTTGCACTGAACCTCTGTACTTCCTGCCTCTTCCCTCATTCTCAGGAGATGGCTTGGGCTTGAGAAGAGTCTGGAAATGTCAACTTTATGCCACGTAACATATGGACTGAATTGCGTCTCTGCTCTTTCTTTCCTTTGTGTCTTCTGCTTCAATGTGGAAGTTGGTTCTTTCTTCTCTGTAAACCTAGTACCTCTCTCTGCCTTTCTCATCCTGTCCCCAGAGAGACCTTGTTTGCATTGATTAGCCCATTATTTCTTTTTTCATTATTTCACTGTCATCTTGCTGTTTCCAGTTTTTCTTTTTAAACCTGCTTAGATCTTTCCTTCCTTAGCACATCTGCCAGCGTTGTCTATACTGGTGTTTCAGGAACATTGGGGCCGTATGTGAAGACTCTTCAAAACATATTTTGTTTAGCTCTATGATTAGAAATTGAGATTCAGTAGAAATTATATAAGTATTAGTAATCTTCCTTTTATTAATATACCCAGTGATTCTAAATGCAACTGATATATTAAATCAGCTGTCACTATCTCTATTTCTCAATTCCTATTCATTCCTTAGTAAACCTGCTCACTTGAACTTCCATTTCTTTTTAGCAGTTTTCTTGAGATAATAAACAGAATTTTTTCAGTCAGTCATTATGTTATTTGAAAAATTAAAAAATACATTAAAATTGGAAAACTTTGTAGTGTTAACATTTAGAGAAGATGAATATTCAGAAGACTTTGAAAGAGCCAAAAGTATATCTGCATAAATGTTGACTAAACTTTCCATCATTTAACTACTCTGGGAATAGAATTTTAAAAGGCTACTGGAGACTTGGAATAGTATGGCCAAGCACCTGTAGATTTTGGAACTGTAGCTATTTATGCATTAAAGTCACGCTGTGACAAAACCCGAAACAGGCCAGACATATGGCTGCTAGTCATAGATAGTGATTTGCAATAGTGAAAGGCAGAGCTGGTTCTTTTTTTTTTTTTTTTTTTTTTTTTTTTTTACTTTTTAATTTTCTTTTTTTTTTTTCTTTTTTTTTTTTTATTATACTCTAAGTTTTAGGGTACATGTGCACATTGTGCAGGTTAGTTACATATGTATACATGTGCCATGTTGGTGCGCTGCACCCACTAACGTGTCATCTAGCATTAGGTATATCTCCCAATGCTATCCCTCCCCCCTCCCCCGACCCCACCACAGTCCCCAGAGTGTGATATTCCCCTTCCTGTGTCCATGTGATCTCATTGTTCAATTCCCACCTATGAGTGAGAATATGCGGTGTTTGGTTTTTTGTTCTTGCAATAGTTTACTGAGAATGATGGTTTCCAATTTCATCCATGTCCCTACAAAGGACATGAACTCATCATTTTTTATGGCTGCATAGTATTCCATGGTGTATATGTGCCACATTTTCTTAATCCAGTCTATCATTGTTGGACATTTGGGTTGGTTCCAAGTCTTTGCTATTGTGAATAGTGCCGCAATAAACATACGTGTGCATGTGTCTTTATAGCAGCATGATTTATAGTCCTTTGGGTATATACCCAGTAATGGGATGGCTGGGTCAAATGGTATTTCTAGTTCTAGATCCCTGAGGAATCGCCACACTGACTTCCACAATGGTTGAACTAGTTTACAGTCCCACCAACAGTGTAAAAGTGTTCCTATTTCTCCACATCCTCTCCAGCACCTGTTGTTGCCTGACTTTTTAATGATTGCCATTCTAACTGGTGTGAGATGATATCTCATAGTGGTTTTGATTTGCATTTCTCTGATGGCCAGTGATGATGAGCATTTCTTCATGTGTTTTTTGGCTGCATAAATGTCTTCTTTTGAGAAGTGTCTGTTCATGTCCTTCGCCCACTTTTTGATGGGGTTGTTTGTTTTTTTCTTGTAAATTTGTTTGAGTTCATTGTAGATTCTGGATATTAGCCCTTTGTCCGATGAGTAGGTTGCGAAAATTTTCTCCCATGTTGTAGGTTGCCTGTTCACTCTGATGGTAGTTTCTTTTGCTGTGCAGAAGCTCTTTAGTTTAATTAGATCCCATTTGTCAATTTTGGCTTTTGTTGCCATTGCTTTTGGTGTTTTGGACATGAAGTCCTTGCCCACGCCTATGTCCTGAATGGTAATGCCTAGGTTTTCTTCTAGGGTTTTTATGGTTTTAGGTCTAACGTTTAAATCTTTAATCCATCTTGAATTGATTTTTGTATAAGGTGTAAGGAAGGGATCCAGTTTCAGCTTTCTACATATGGCTAGCCAGTTTTCCCAGCACCATTTATTAAATAGGGAATCCTTTCCCCATTGCTTGTTTTTCTCAGGTTTGTCAAAGATCAGATAGTTGTAGATATGCGGCATTATTTCTGAGGGCTCTGTTCTGTTCCATTGATCTATATCTCTGTTTTGGTACCAGTACCAGGCTGTTTTGGTTACTGTAGCCTTGTAGTATAGTTTGAAGTCAGGTAGTGTGATGCCTCCAGCTTTGTTCTTTTGGCTTAGGATTGACTTGGCGATGCGGGCTCTTTTTTGGCAGAGCTGGTTCTTTATAGAGCGAAGTCCTCTTGCTATAGTGCTTCCAACACAGGTCAGATTTTTTGTCTGATACCTTTTCAAGCTGGGATTCCCCTAATTTTGGAAGACTTTATTTTATTCAGAGATGAATCATATGGTGTTTCTAAAAGAAATGACTTTAATAGCCAAACAAGCAGCAGGCATATATGTAACAGCTCTCTTGCCTGCATTGCTGGAGCCTGTGGTTAATTATTACCTATTCCTGGACTTCTCACAATATCTTTGACACCTGGCTTCTCGATAGTTCTATGTAGGTGAATTCAAGGCACTTAAGTATCATGTTCTTTGATACACTTAGCCAGGGTTTGGTTTTGGTTTTGAGTTATACTCTTTAATGCTAAGAATCCAGATTTCACAAATGAGAAGATTACATTCCCCTTTTTATTTTTGATCAGATATCTGCTGTGCTTCCTTCAAACTCTGACTGGCCTAATTTGTTGTCACCATTTATGTTGAATATTTCTCATGCATGCATTATCCCCTTTGGAACTTATTATTTCTTTATAACTATGTTCAACAGGTATTGGTTGAATTCTAGGATTCAGTAATGAACCAAAAGAGTCCTCATACATCCCCCGTTTGATTTGAGGGATGCTCTGGTTGTCATCATAAAAGTTTAACCTCGGTATAAAATGACATGAGACTACCAGTTTAGAAACTCTGTGTTTCTGGGGTTATTGTTCCGTGACTTGGTGGTAAGTTCTATATTTCTTTTCAGTCTTATTTGTAATCGGAACTCCTCTGAAAGCATGTGTTGTGTTTCATCTTCATGTTTAGTACTTTATCGGGAATAAACATACAGTACTTTCTGAAAGCTAGACATTGTTCTGCATCTATGTGTCTATACATGTTTATATATGTAATTTGATACGTTTAATCTTTACAACCATCAAATGGGGTGGATACTGTTGTTCTTATTTTATAGGTGAGGAAACTGAGGGGGTGGATACTGTTGTTCTTATTTTATAGGTAAGGAAACTGAGGCACAGACAAATCAATTTACTTGGCCAAAGTCATCCAGCTAGTATGTAGCAGAATGAGTGTTCAAACCCAGACTGTTTGGCTTTGGAGTGTGCTCATAACTGCTACCATTCATGTGCATTTTGTGCATGTTTTTAATACATTTCGTGCATGTATTTCTACTAATTTAATGTATAACATATAATGGGACACACAACACTATTTGTATTGCAAAACCAACTTTCACTGAAAATGAGAAACACTTTCCCTAGACAATCACTATTAATGCATGGCATTTTTCACTCACAGAATCTTATATCTTTCTGTCTAAATATACTTAAATTGGGCATCATCGGACACACACGTTTGCACCTCTAGTCAAACAAGATTTTCACATCTGTTGTGAAATATTTTTTAAAGATAAAAGAAGTAATGGGCAAAGAAGAAATAAGAAGTGCCTGGGCTGAATTGTGTCTCTTTCCCACCCCCAGAAAAGCCCTAACCCTCAATGTGTTGGCATGTGAAGGTGGGGAGAATTGGGAGGTAATTTGAGTTAGATGAGATCATGAGTTTGGTGGCTTTATAAGAAGAACAAGAACACATACTCTCTGTCTCTCTCTCTCTCTCTCTTTCTCTTTCTCTCTCTCTCTCTCTCTCTGTCTCTCTCTCTCTCATTCTCTTTCCCTGTTTCTCTGCCATGTGAGGACACAGTAAGAAGCAGCATTCTATGATTCAGGAGAAGGGCCTTTATCAGGAGTGTAATCTGCCAGCATCTTAATCTTAGGCTTCCAGCCTTCAGAACAGTGAGGAAAAAAAAAATGTCTGTTGTTTAAGCCACCCAGTCTAGGATAATTTATTATAGCAGCCTGAGCTAACTAAGACAAGAAGGAAGAACAATAAAGAGTGACAGAGTTCTCACCGTACCAGGTCTCAAACCTACTTCTTTCTTTTTGTTTTGTCTACAAAATGCCAAATAACTATGACTAAATCTTGAATGTCTTATATAGTTATATATACTTGAGTATATATATGTGTGTGTATATATGTGTGTGTGTATATATATATACAGATATAGATATGTGTATGTGTGTATATATAACAAGTATATATGTGTATATATGTGTTATGTGTTTACACATGCACACACACATACACAGACAAGTGAATGTTTTGGTTGAACTTTGCAGTTTCATAAGAGCTATTAAATACTTTCTTTTACATTTATCGTTGTAGAATTTTTTAAACATTTAAAAACCTTAACACTATTTGTGTGTGTGTGTGTGTGTGTGTGTGTGTGTGTGTGTGTGTATTTAAAGATTACTTCCCAGCTTGTTTTGCCATGGAATGATATTCTGTTGTTTCTTAACATATACATTGTGTACTTGCATCTGTTAGTGTGTTGGATTGAGGAGCAGTTATAATACAACTGGATTGTGATGTCAATAACTCCTTTAAGAAGTCATACTAATGATAATAAGTAACTAACTATGCTTTTTATTCAAAAGCCCCTCTAAGACCGACCAACTAGAATTAGAGGATTATATGTGCATTGAGATTGGTATTTATATAGTCAAAGAAAATATTTAGATTTTTCTCATATTGATCTATCATCTAGCACTAAGTAGTGGACTTAAAACACTTTTATTCTAAAATAATTCAGTGTATACCAAACACATAACCCAAATATCATAAAAGTCTGAAGAAATCCTAGCCACCTTTTAGTTAAAATAATCGATTGTTGATTTCTAGAAGTGTCTAGAAGTGTCAGCTTCTAGAATAACACTTACTGTTTTGGAGAGCTGCATAACAGAGCAAAAAAAAAAAAAAGAAAGGAATTTTGGGGACTCAGCCACATCTTGGGTAAGTGCTGGACCTGTAGATGTGGCCTATTATCACCTTAAAATTTTAATTTTTTTTTTTTGAGACGAAGTCTTGCTCTGTCACCCAGGCTGGAGTGCAGTGGCGCAATCTTGGCTCACTGCAACCTACACCTCCCGGGTCCAAGCGATTCTCCTGCCTCAGCCTCCCAAGTAGCTGGGATTACAGGTGCCCACCACCACACCTGGCTAATTTTTGTATTTTTAGTAGAGATGGGGTTTCACCATTTTGGCCAGGCTGGTCTTGAACTCCTGACCTCATGATCCACCTGCCTCGGCCTCCCAAAGTATTGGGATTACAGGTGTGAGCCACTGCGCCTGGCCCCTAAAATTTTAAGTGTTAATATTTCTATGCTTACCATACCATCTGGGAGAAGAGATGAAGTCACGTGACCAAAAGAGCATCGAGCTTTTTTGCTGTATTTCGTGTGGTTTTCTACACCAAAAAATATTTATATAATTTAAAGATGTCTTTCTAATGTTACTGAATTACAGAGAGCAAAACACATGGACCAGAGTCAATACTACCCTTAGTGGGACTGAAGTTATACTTTTAACAGATTGGAAAGATTCATCCAGAACCTGTTGTTACCAAATCATACAATAGTATGTGTGTTTGTGAATATGTTTGTATATTTGTGTGGGTATGTGTTTAGGAATGGAGAGCTTGGGTAGAGAAACATATGGTAAATAAGAAAGTAACTTTACAAATAGAAAGCAATAGTTAGCAGGACATAGATTAATGTTATTAAAAATGTCTCTTCTAAGTTTTCAATAGAATACAATAATGATATTTACAAAAATACTAAGGAAACACATGGAAAAGGTAGTTAAGTTTATCAATATTTGTTTGTTTTAAAAATTAACCTAAATTTTGAATGGCCTTAACCACTGGTAACTAAAGGGGAATCTGGAGTTGCCATGGCAGTGGGAATTAAAATCATTTCCTTTTCTACTGACTTTAGGCCACTGATCTGTCATTCTCTGTGTTTTCAGTAGTTCTCTTCCTAAGGCTGGTGGTTGTACATTGCCCTTCACTCACAGAGGTAGTTTTGTTTATTTCACATTTTTAATCTTTTTTTTATACAGTCCTCTACATAATAATGAAAAATCTGCCTGTAAGTCTCAAAGCATTTAGACGTGCTTTGAATTAAGGATCCAAAACATAGTAATAATCTATTCTCAGAAGTTCTTAATACACTCTGCAGCAGGAGGATCCTATTTTGTTATGGACAGCATGCTGGTTTTGTTTTCCAAGTGTTTTAAACTCAAAAGAAAAAAATGTTAACTTCTTAAATAAAACTGGTCATCAACTGCTGTTCTCATCTGAATATAGTTTGTCTTAATTTAACAGACTTTATTATGATGGGTTTAGAATACTTTTTATTTAATGATTTTGTAATGTAGGATTTTCAGGACACAGATGCTATATTTTCACAGCAAGGGAAAATGATGTATTATTAGCCTGTTTCTTAGTAAAGTATATTATTTTGATAATTCAGAGAAGACAGAACAATACTGGAAAATTTTCTGTAAAGCTGGTGATCTTGGTTAAAACTGTCTTTGTTGATGCTGATTATGAAGCATGGTTGTAGAAAGACCAACTAGACAACAACCTTCATATGGTTGACTTTAGCCACCACCTCTAGCTGCTGCTGGCAATTTGTGTGCTCTCCCAAAGACTTCATGGTTGTGGCAAAGCAGCCTTTCCAAGCCTACTTTTAATGGAGTAACATCCTCCCTTAGATTTGAGGCTCAGGGAAATCACAGTACATTATGTTGGTTCATGGTATCAGGGGCTGTGTGGAGCTGCCTATCATAATCCCTTGAAGAGCTTTGTTTTCTTGCCAGTTTCATGTCTTTGCCTCCTGGAGTCTGTGCAGCCTGCCAGGCTCCATCATTGCAGGTGTGTTCCAAGAGGAAACGTGGCACATCTGTTCAGGTACCAGTTCACAGCTTCCCCATCACTTACTTTGCATTGGGCTGCTCTACATGGAATCTCATTGCAGCTTCAACTGCCAGATGTACGATGATGACCCATGTGCTTGGGACCCATGTCTCCAGATGGTTCCATGAGGATAACCAGATAGGTCTCATTCTCAAAATATTCAAAGCTGAAATCATCTCTACCATGACCTCCACCAAACCTGCTTTTTCTTCTTTGCTCCCTATTTACCTCTTTACCCAGCCTACAAACAGTTGTCTGGAAGTCATGCTAGCTTGTTCTCTCTCTTGACTCCTCCCTGCCTCATTCTAGGCATCCTATGGGCCTTTCTATCTTAGTTGGCTTAATCCAACCCTCTGTCATTTGGCATTGAACCAGTACAATTATTTTGAGTTTGGTCTCCTTGACTTCGAGGTCATATTCCTACAATCTGTACCCTTTTCTTTTTAAAGAAAAGTGAGTGACATACACTCAGATTACTTTTGCTGGATTTTTTTTTAATCCAAAAAGAAAATCAGAATGTGTGATTCTTTGCCTTAAGTTTGTGTAATGCCTCCCATTGACTGTAGTTTCCTCCTTTATAACATTTCCTTCCTAGCTTCCCCGAATATTGGCTGTGGACATTATAATATGTAGTGGATGTAGGGCCTGCCAAGTAATAAAGGTGCATTTTTATCAATGTAGCAAAACTGCCAGCCCCTTTGCATGGTGCATGCTGCAGAATGTGCTGTTCAACCCTGGGTCTGCCCACGCTGCTCCTGCATTTGCAACCCTTGCTCCTCTCCAGCGCCTCCCAAGGCTCAGTTTCAATATCATTCCTCTGAAATGTCTCGTGACAAAAACCTCCCTCATTCCTGAAGATGAACTCCTTGAGGGCCAGGAGGCTGTCTTGTGAATTTCTGAAATAATATGTGTGAAGTGCCTAGAATTGAGCCTGGTACAAGGAAGAAACTTCTTTCATTGATGAAATGCCATATCTCTGTCTCTATCTATATCTGTATCTCTATCTCTCTGTCTCTGTCTTTAGCTCTCTCTTTCTCTCTGTCTCTATCTATACTTATACCAAACCATCCACACCATTACTAGAAGGATCCATCTAAAATGTACTTCTCATTACAGCACTTCCCTACTTAAAAATCTCTCAAGTATCTCTTCAAAGCCTAGAGGATAAAATTGGGAGTCCTCAGTTTTTCTGGAAGGCCTGTGTGATCTGATTCTTGCTTAACTCTCCACTCACTGCTCTATAAGGACCTGACCCAGATATCTCAAACTTTTGGCAGCTCTCTGGATGTGCCTCTCTTTATATACCGGGGATATACTTGGGCATATGCCATTCTCAATATCTGTTCACCGTTTTTCTCATTCTACATATAATCCAGACATCAGCTCTGAGAAGGAGGTTCTAGGCATTTAATCTGTATTATCTCATTTCATTTTCATCACTACGGGATGGGATAGTTATTACTGTAATTTCCAATTTCCAGTAGTTGAGGAAACTGAGGCACAAAAGTTTAAAATCAGCCTAGGGTCATATAACACTTTTTCCCCCAGATATTTAAAATTTTAAAGGCAGTGGCTGTGCCCTGTTAAAAATTAATAATTAAACTTTATGTAACTAACATATTTGTTAGATAAATGAAAACTCTAAGCCAAGTGGGTTGTCTGACAGCAGCTCCATCCTCACAATTTTGTATAAAGTCAATGAGCATTGCTGCTGTGTAAACTTTACACCCGACTTGCCAGAATGTGTCACGGTTGCAAAGCCTCCACTGCCCTTCTTCAGTCTGTTCCCAGTTTTGTGAATCCAAAGGTAGCCTAAGCACAAAATGGTGTCAGGTTTCAGCTCTGAAATTTCCAACCATATGGACTCTACATGCACGTAGAGTCTTCCTGGGGGGCGACTGCTTCCTGTTATCTCTTAGAGACTAGCAGCATGATTAATCCACGTGATATCAGTTGAACACAAAGAAAAAAATGCATGGCAGAGAGTCTTGTTAAAAGAACTGCATGCTGAGTTGAAAGAACTAAGTGCACAGCCATGCATGATACTAACTTTATTTGTATAAACTTATACTTTTGTCAGATATTTGAGACTCTGGATCATCATCCACAAAGCGGATGTAAATTCCTTCTGCAATAGGCTCACAATTTTGTGGTGAGGTTGGGTGAGATGCACTTACAAGCTAGTCCTGGGATTTGAACATCGACATGGGTAGGAAGAAGCATCTCTAGGTGAATTCAGCAACACTTAATGTTCTAAAAATGATTCACTGAATGATGAACTTGTCAAATGGCCCAATCACCACATTTACAAAATTTACTGACTTAACAAAAAGTTATTTATAATAGCTTTAACAAGATTGTTACTAACTTAAAAACAATGTTTTAACAGCTTTAATAAGAATATTCAGTTTACTAAATGCGAAATGCACTTCTCTATTCTTGGCAAATCAGTAAATTGGTGAATTCAGCAAATTAGTCCTACTGCTGAGAAAATTCTTCTAACACCAGCAGGTTTGTGAATTTAAGCTCCAGGAGGATATGGAACACGTGTAAGTTGTTGAATGTTGTTTTCTTAATGCTCAGCAGTGTGCCTAAAACATAATTAATAGAATAAATCTTCATCGAATAAATTAATAAATGGGTCTGCATATGAGATTGTGGATGACTGCTGTGCAGAAACAGACTATAAAGAGAGCATCAATTATGCCAATCTTCAGGCCTATAAAAATTTTGGTTAGCATTACCATTTTATTATATTTATAAGGTTATAATTATTTATAAGTTTGCATTTAAACATACTAGAATTAGGTGAGAGATGGCTCCTTGGAAGTTTATAAGAAAATGTAAACACAGGTTTCTAAGTTTAAGTAAATTTAGCAATGAATAATAGATTATTAAATAGGGGTTTCAATTCAGCACAAATATTTACCTAGAAAACTAGTAACTATTTTGAAATTTAAAAAAAAAGCCCACACACTTTCATATACATATTTAATCAGCCAGCATCATGGTTTAATCAGTAGCTGGTTGGACGTCAAAAAGAGAAAACAAATTTTATTTATGTGTTCCATAATTAGTCTCATTTTGATGTGAAGGACTGAATTGTTGATCAGACTTCTTAAAATCACCATATTCCATGTGATTGTAATTGATGACACAGTTAGCTTCATTACCAAGACAAATTGTGAGCATTCTGAATAGTGCTTTATTTTGGATAATAAAGGGTTGTTTCAACCTAAAGAAAGCACTGTAGTTGAATGATACAATACCAAGTTGACTTTTAAGGTCTAACCTAGCCATGAAACATGAGAATTATCATTTCTTTTTTACAACCTCTAGTGAATTCAGATATACTTTATCAAATTGCCTAGTTTAGACAATGAGATATTTTATTGTGACAACTAAGAATAGATACATGGTTGTCTTCCTATTCTTAGATGCAGGACTTCATGCTTAATAAAAGTCCGTCTCCTTTAATTCAGTCTGTATACTTTCCTGATTTTGATGTGTCATGAACAATTATGTATTTCTTTGAGGATAAAGATAAGCCAAAGCTATGAAAGGAAATATGTTTGGAGTATGAATGAGGTAAATATAATGATGGAAACAGAAGCTAAAGGATGAGAACTACCAAGAAAAGTAGATGTATATTCATTACCATATATGCTGTTATTTCTTATGCATATTCATCTATTTGGATACTCCTCAATTTTTAAATGTGGATCTGGTCTCGAAGTTTTCATTTAAAAAATCTTGCTCCTTGGCATTGTAGGTCCAAGGCTTGACTCCTACCGTATAATAACAGTGTTAAAATCTCACTGAAATTATGCTAACTACATGAGTTTAACCACTGTATATTTAGCACATCTTTACCATTCACTCACTGAGACTATATATAGTATATGCTATATAGTATGTATTAGATACAGTGTGAAAATATATAAACCTATAATATATAAATTATTACATAATTACACATTAATCATATCTATTATTTATTACATACTATATATACATATACAGGTATGTCTAAATATATGTATATAAACTCAATGTAATTTAAGTATAAGTTCTGTAGTTTCATTAATGAATCCTCACATTTAATAATAAAGTAAATTGCACACTCACAAAAAGAGCTTAATGTGTTGGTGGATGGGGATATCTTTGGTTCCAGGTGTTCTTTAGGTGCTTATTATTTTTAGGAAGCAGACTGCAGCTGAAATTCTCTGAATTAATTTTATTCTGACTCCTCTTCTCTCCCAGGTATAAAATGGAGAGAGCTTTTCTTGAGGTGCCAATCACTTTGTGTTGTACACATAAGGCAGAAAGGCATTTCTGTGGCTCTTCAATCACAGTCCTTTCTGGGGAGGTCTGCTTTGAAAAAATCACTTTTTTTTCAACTTTTATTTTAGATTCAGGGGGCACACATGCAGGTGTGTTACCTGGGTATATTGCATGATGCTGAGGTTTGAGGTACAAATCACCCCATCTCCCAGGTACTCAGCATAGTACCTGAGTTTTTCAACCCATGCCTTCCTTACTCCCTCCCCATCTGTAGTCTGCAGTATCTATTATTCCCATGTTTTTGTCCATGGGTACTAAACGTTTAGCTACCCCTTATATGTGAGAACATGTGGTATTTGGTTTTCTGTTTCTGCATTAGTTTGCTTGGAGTGATGGCCTCCAGATGCATCCATGGTACTGCAAAGAACATGATTCCATTATTTTTTATGGCTTCATAGTATTCCATGGTGTATATGTACCACATTTGTTTTATCCAGTCCACCATTGGTGGGCACTGATAAGGTTTGGCTGTGTCCTCACCCAAATCTCGTCTTGAATTGTAGTTCCCATAATCCTCACATGTTGTGGGAGGGACCTGGTGGGATGTACTTGAATCATTGGCTAGTTTCCCCCATGCTATTCTTATGATAGTGAGCAAGTTCTCACAAGATCTGGTGGTTTTATTAAGGGCTTTCCCCTTCGCTCAGCTCTCATTCTCCTTCCTTCCGCCATGTGAAGAAGGACGTGTTTGCTTCCCCTTCTGCCATGATATTAAGTTTTCTGAGGCCTCTCCAGCCATTTGGAACTGTGAGTCAGTTAAACCTCTTTCCTTTATAAATTACACAGTCTCAAGTATGTCCTTATAGCAGTGTGAGAATGGACTAATACAGGCACCTAGGTTGATTCATGTCTTTTCTATTGTGAATAGTGCCGCAAAGAACATGCAAGTGCATGTGTCTTTTTGGTAGAATGATTTGTTTTCTTTTTGATGTATACCTAGTAATAGAATTGCTGGGTCAAAAGTAGTTCTGTTTGAAGTTCTTTGAGAAATTTCCAAACCACTTTCCACAGTGGCTAAACTAATTTACATTCCCACCAATAGTGTGTAAGCATTCCCTTTTCTCAACAGCCTGGACAGCATCTATTGTTTGATTTTTTTTTTTTTTTTTTGAGACGGAGTCTTGCTCTGTCACTTAGGCTGGAGTGCAGTAATATGATCTCGGCTCACTGCAACCTCTGCCTCTCAGGTTCAAGTGATTCTTCTGCCTCAGACTCCTGAGTAGCTGGGATTACAGGCACCTGCGACAACACCCAGCTAATTTTTGTGTTTTTAGTAGAGATGGGGTTTCACCATATTGGCCAGGCTGGTCTCGAACTCCTGACATTGTGATCCACCTGCCTCGGCCTCCCAAAGTGCTGGGATTACAGGCGTGAGCCACCACGCCCAGCCTGAATTTTTAATAATAGCCATTCTGACTGGTGAGAGATGGTATCTCATTGTGGTTTGATTTGCAGTTCTCTGATAATTAGTGATGTGGAGCATTTTTTCATATGTTTGTTGGCTGCTTGTATGACTTCTTTTGAGAAGTGTCTGTTCATGTCTTTTGCTCATATTTTAATGGGGTTATTGGTTTATTGCTTGTCAAATTATTTGTTTATTATAGATTCTGGATATTTGATCTTTGTGAGATGCATAGTTTGTGAATAGTTTGTGAATATTTTTTTCATTCTGTAGGTTGTTTACTTTATTGATAGCTTCTTTTGCTGTGCAGAAGCTCATTAGTTTTTTGTTTTGTTTTGTTTTTGTTGTTGTTGTTTTTAGACTGAGTTTTACTCTATCACCAGGCCGGAGTGCAGTGGCACAGTCTTGGCTCACTGCAGCTTTCACCTACCGGGTTCAAGCGGTTCTTCTGCCTCAGCCTCCTGAATAGTTGGGACTACAGATGCCCGCCACCAGGCCCAGCTAATTTTTGTATTTTTAATAGAGACAGGGTTTCACCATGTTGGCCAGGTTGGTCTTGAACTTCTGACCTTGTGATCTGCCCACCTCGGCCTCCCAAAGTGCTGGGATTACAGGCGTGAACCACAGTGCCTGACCGAAGCTCTTTAGTTTTATTAGTTCCCACTTGTCAATTTTTGTTTTTGCTGCAATTGTTTTTGAGGCCTTAGTCATAAATGGAAGAATCAATTTAAAAAATTATCCACAGAAACCCTGAAGATTCTGTTGGCTTCGGGATGTGTGTACCTTTTAATCTTGATGTCACATCTTAGCTCTTGGTGCAAACTTTATATGATAATTTGACAAGGTTATTTTTTTCACCTATTTAATTTTATGTGTGGTGAACTGTGTTCTTTCAAAGAAAACAACTAATTGAATAGGTTGAGATCAGACAGACTAAAATCTTCATTTTTATTTCTAGTAGACACTAGTAGATCAGCCTTGGTATTATACAATCATGTATTGCCTAATGACCGGGATGAGTTCTGAGAAATGTTTCATAGAGAGCACTTACACAAACCTAGATGGTATAGCTTATTACACATCTAGGCTTTATGATATAGCCTACTGCTCCTAGGCTACAAACCTGTACAGTATGTTACTGTACTGGATACTGTAGGCAATTGTAACACAATAGTAAATATTTGTGTATCTGAGCATATCTAAACCTAGAAAAGGAATTTTTCAGCTCCATGATAATCTTATGGGGTACTGTTCTATATGCAGCCCATCATTAAGTAAAACGTCGTTATGCGGCACATGTCTGTATATTTATACGTATGTCTCACTTTAGCTCATTTTAGCTTCCTGAGAAAACTAATCTGTTTTTTTAATGCCAACTTGCACATTAACCTTGAAGATGTCTTTAAGGAGTGGCAATTCTGAGTGTTAAGTTGTCAAAGTGTGGCATAATGGTTAAGAATGACAGTTCTTAAGTACAATGCCCGAGTTCACGCTCTCCACTAACTAGCTCTGTGACCTTGGGAAAGTTAATGATTGTCTTTGTGGCTCAATTTTCTAACCTGCAAAATAGGGATTACATCAAAATGGATTTTAAAATGTTTAGAGTCCCTGGGATATCAGTATAAGTTCAGTGTCAGCTACTACTACTGCTGCTCTAGTACTACTATAATTATGCTGTTATTATGACTATCATAATCATCACCATCACAATTGGCATAATGATTTAGCCAGAATTAATTTTGCTTTTCAAGGCTGTATTTATTACAATGCTTTGCAACCCTAACAGCAAATAAGAATCAACCCAGGGAAAGTTCCAAATACAGCGGTAGCTGGATCCCATCCCCAGAACAATTAAAGCAGATATTCTGAAAGTGGAAAATGGATGTTGGTTTCAAATGTGCATCTAGCATGGAGAACACCTGATCCATAGGAAACTTAGCCTCACAGCCCCTACTTTTAGCTTCAGTGTGCTTTGTTTTCTCTTTGCCTCAACAACAAATTCATAACTACACCTCTGCAGTTTTTATCTAATCTTAAAATCTAAGGTTTCAAGATACCTTTGTTTAATACTTTATCTGTTTTTCTGAAAGATATACATTTAAAATCCTTTAAAAACTCAAATTTATCCCAGACCTACCTGGAGCCTAATTTACTCCTCCACCATCTGGGTGATTCATGGTTCATGAACTAAAAACTCTTTTGCCAGCCTCTGAGTTTGTTTGCTTTTGTTCCTTCTTCTGTGTTCACACTGCCTCGTTCCAGCTCTAGATCATCCCAACCTGTTTCCTCCATACCTTACTTTTCTCCAATTTAGAAAATCACAAATGTATGACCTCCGGTCACCTACTGAGATGACAGGTTTCCAGTTGATTCTTTAGTGTTTTTTGAGGACAGATGACTTTCTTATTTTCCTAGTTGCCACTGAAGATTCATCATTCGGTCTGGCTGCCGCATCCTCCTCAAAAAACACACTCCAAGAAAAAAACTACTACTCATGCTCTTTCTCCTGCTATTAAGAAAATAATAATAGCAATAATAATAATAGTAAAAATGTGAAAACTTAATATGTGCTAAGCACAATTGTACTATATTCCATGTAACCTGTCATTATAAAAAATCGTTAGTACATAATATGTGTACATGTTTATGGTGTATATGTGATATTTTGATACAAGCTTACAATGTGTAATGATCAAATTAGGGTAATTGGGATATGCATCACCTCAAACATTTATCATTTCTTTGTGTTGGGAACATCCCAAATCTTTTCTTCTAGCTACTTTGAAAAAAACAAAACATTACTGTTAACCATATTCACCCTGTTGTTCTGCATAATACTGGAACTTATTTTTTTAATCTGTCTGTATCTTTGTACCTGTTAACCAGCTTCTCTCCATCTCCCCTTCCATTTCCCTTCCCACCCTCTGGTAAGCATCATTCTACCCACTACCTCCATGAGTTCTACATTTTTAGCTCCCACATATGTGTGAGAATATGTGATATTTGTCTTTATCTTTCTGAGCCTGGCTTATTTCATTTAACATAATGAACTCCAGTTACATCCATGTTGATGCAAATGACAGGATTTCCTTTTTTTATGGCTGAATAGTACTCCATTGTGTATATGTGCCAAATTTTCTTTATCCATTCATCTGCTGATGGACACTTAGGTTTACTCCATATCTTGGCTATTGTGAGTAGTGCTGCCATAAATGTGGGGGTGCAGGTATCCCTTCACTAATTTACTTTCTGTTGGCAAAATACCCAGTAGTGGGATTGCTGGATCATATGATAGTTCCACTTTTAGTTTCCTGAGGAACTCACATACTGTGTTCCAAAATGGGTTTACTAATTTACATTCTCTTCTTTGCATCCTTGCCAGCATCTGTTACTTTTTGTCTTTTTGATAATAGCCTTTCTAACTGGGGTAAGATGATGTCTTATTCTGGGTTTGATTTGCATTTCCCTGATGACTAGTGATGTTGAGCATTTTTTAATATGTCTGTTGGCCATTTGTATGACTTCTTTTAGAAATGTCTATTTGTATTCTCTAACTTAATTTTCACTAAAAACTGTGAGATAGATACTATTATTATTCCTTTTCTCAAAGAAGGAAACCAAGGCACAGCAAGAGCTTCCTCCTCACAGTATGCATTATTACAATGGTTAGAAATAAAACTTAATCTCTGGCAACTGTTCCCTCATTCTCTGTTTTATTGGAAGGTGCCCCTTTCCCGGCCCAGATCTTAACCTGAATTCTGTTGTTTTTTTGTTTGTTTCTTTGTTTGTTTGTTTTGATATGGAGTCTCACTCTGTCACTCAGGCTGGAGTGCAGTGGCAGAATCTCGGCTCACTGCAACCTCTGCCTCCTGGGTTTAAGCGATTTTCCTGTCTCAGCCTCCTGAGTAGCTGGGATTATAGGTGTGTGCCACCACGCCTGACTAATTTTTGTATTTTTAGTAGAGACGGGGTTTTTCCATGTTGGCCAGGCTGGTCTCAAACTCCTGACCTCAGGTGATCCACCCACCTCAGCCTCCCAAAGTGCTTGAATTACAGGTGTGAGCCACCACACCTAGCCTTAACCTGTGTTCTTAATATCAACTGCTCTTTCATACTCAAGAATATTGTCTCTGCTCTCATTTTCTTCTTCCTGACTCTTGACATCCTCTGTCTGCAAATTCCACTATGCTTCTTTCTCTTCAGAGCCACACTCTGCCAAGCATGTGCCATGCTTCCTGGGCTATTTTTTCACTGAATCACTATGTAATCTGGATATTTCTTTTTTTGCCACGTGTCTACTAAAACTATTCATTCTATGTTTGCCAGTCTTTAAATTGCCATATCTAATGGACGCCTTTCCTTCTTTCTTATTTTATCTTTCAGAGTATCTGATGCTGCTGGAATCTTCTTTCTTGTGAATTGCCTCCTCTATTGACTTACAAGTCAACACACTTCTGGTGTTGCTCCTTCATGTATATCAGCATCTTCTCTTTCGCTCATGGACTTTCCTCCCGCAGCTTGCTCCTCAAGTGCTAATGTTCCCTAGAATTACTGTGTTGGTTCTTTATATACTCTGCCTGAGAAATCTCACCCACTGATGATGGAACAGTCAATATTTAATTCAAATTTATTACTCTTGATTTATCTCACTACTGACAACTGAATGAAGGTACCCTGCAAGTACCTGTAGCCTGAACTCCCCACATCCCATATCCTCTGCCCAATCTGTTCCAGCCTTGTGGGGAATGATGCTACTAGTCACCATATCCTACTAGTCCTACTAGTTGCCATGTCAGCAACAGCTATTCTTCTGTTTTCTTTATTTCCAACGAGACTCAGTCACCAGGTTCTGTCAGCTTTCTTCTTCCTGCCTATCCCATTGCCTTAACTCAGTTGAGACACATCTGATTATTATGTGATAATCTTTGCCTATCTCTACTTCCCACCACACCACCGCATGCACAGTATGCCCCGGCTTAGCTCACCAACGTCCGGGTCTCAGTATCATTCCATGTAATTGCACTTCACTGTAATCTATTTTTCTGGTTACATCTACTTATCTTTTAGGATACTTCATATATACCCTCATCCAAGAAGCTGTTCCTGATTCCTGTGTGTTGAATTAAATGCTCATCCCTTATGTTGCATATCTTTCTGAGAATACCTCTAAAATAGAAGTTATCACACTTATTACAAAGAAAACGTTTGGTTTACTTGCCTGTTGCCCCCTCTAAACTCTATGCTTTTGGAGGGCATAGCTGTCATTGATTATTTCTGTATCTCCAGCACATCCTACAATATGCTGCCAGAATAAATGTTGCATAAATGCTATCTGAATGATTAAATGAATTTTAAGTGATCACTTAACTAAAGGGAAAATACCAGATTAAACTCATTTTCACTACAACTATAAAGTGTTGGGCGGCAGGCCTTGGAATACATTTTCTGAGCTAGGAAATGCCTTGTGATATTTATAGATGTGCATCCTGCATCATGACAAGACTGATATTTTTTCTGCCTTTAAGCTTGTTTTATTTCTGAGTTGGACTTTGCATACACTCAGAGTGGTGAGATTATATGGATATGGAGGTTGGCAAAGGAATGAGAATCTCTCACATTCCTTAATAACCTCCCTCTAACCTCAGGATTTTTTTTTCAGCCTCCCTATGTGCCAGCTAATCATAGTCAATGAATCCAAGTTAGAAGACCCTTTAGAGATCATGTACTCCAACACTATTATTTCATATGTGAGGAAACTGAGTCCCACTGTATTGGCTTCCTAGGGCTGCCATAAGCAATTACCCCCATACATGATGACTTAAAACCACAGAAATTTATTCTCTCATAGTTCTCTAGGCCAGAATTCCAAGATCAAGATGTTGTCAAGAGATCAAGATGAAGGCTGCAGGAAAGAGTTCTTCCTTGCCTCTTCCAGCTTTTCATGGCTCTGGTTTTTGCTTGGCTTAGGGCTGTACCACATCAATCTCTGCCTCTGTCTTTCCATGGCCTTCTTCCCAGTGTTTCTCTAAGATGTCTCCTCCTCTATCTTTTATAAGGACACATGTCATTGAATTTAGAACCCACCCTAAATTCAGGAAGATCTCATTATGAGATTCTTTATTTTTTAATTAATTAATTTTTTTATTATTACACTTTAAGTTCTAGGGTACACGTGCACAATGTGCAAGTTTGTTACAAATGTATACATGTGCCATGTTGGTGTGCTGCACCCATTAACTCATCATTAGGTATATCTCCTAATGCTATCCCTCCCCCCTCCCCCCACCTCACAACAGGCCCCAGGGTGTGATGTCCCCCTTCCTGTGTCCAAGTGTTCTCATTGTTCAATTCCCACCTATGAGTGAGAACATGTGATGTTTGGTTTTTTGTCCTTGCGATAGTTTGCTGAGAATGATTCTTAACTGAGTCACATTTCCAAAAAACAACCTTTTCCCAAATAACGTCACAATCTGAGGTGCTGTGTACACAGATCTTTTGAGGTCCACCATTTCAACCCACTACAACCACCTCTCCAAAGGCCCAGAACTAGGTAGTGGTATAGTTGCATTAGACTCAGTTTCCAGTACCCAAGTTGAGGACAGCTGAAAATTGCCCTGCACACTGCACCGTAAGATGTGCTCTGGCAAAGGGGAGGAGTGTAGTTGATCTCATATTGGCAAGACCTCAGCTGTGATTCATTTTAATTATTCACTAATATATGTGTTCTGAAATACACTGCTATGATCTGAATGTTGTGCCCCTGTACTCCCATTCATATGTTGAAATCTAATTACAAATGTGATGATATTAAGAGATGGAGCCTTTGGGAAGTAATTAGATTATGAAGCTGGAACCCACATGAATGGGATTAGTTTCCTTGTAAAGGAGGCCTCAGAAAGCTGCCCTGTCCTCTCCAGACACTGAATTTACCTTGATCTTGGACTTCCCACCCTTTAGAGCTGTGAGAAATATATTTCTATTATTTATAAGCCACTCAGTTGATAGTAGTTCATCATAGCAGCCTAAGCAGACTGAGACACACACAGAATTGGAAAAAGAGAAGTGTGTAATGAAAGTTGTTGAGATTCTGTCCTGACTGATGCTCCTAAATCCTTTCTATACTATTTGGCCCAATTATCTTTGTAGATATATTTCCCCCCAGGAAAGAATCAATAGATACTCTGCTCTGTTTCAATTTCTTCCCGTATTACTTATATGTTTTCTTTCTATCTATAAAAAAATAAGATTGGGTTTTCTGAAATATATTTTTTATTCCTGTGAGAATCAGTTTTTCTACACCACAGACACAAATCAGAACTAATTCACAGCAGATGTGAGCATTCATAAGGAGAAGTATGTTTTATATTTCCTGCATGAAAGTATAGTGAAGGTTCAGGACATGCGTGAAGGCCCATTGTGTTGAAGTAAGGGTGTTTCTTCTATGTTCCTCCCCACTTTTCAGGTGAGGAACTAAAGTTCAAATCAATCAGAAAGATAACTGAGCAGATGTGTATCTGGTCAGGGATCTGGGTCCTGATCTCTGTGTTGCCAAAGTATATACTCTTTCCTACATCTTCTTTACATTAATACATCCTGATTTGTTGTAATAACTAGACAGAAGTAGAAATAACAGCACAACGTATATGCAACTGGTGGCAGCAACAATCTATCAGAATGGTCAATAATGATCATATCAGCTTTGGTACAGAGTTGCACCTGTGTACACCTTGGGTTGGAGCCTCAGGGTCAGGAAGGCAACAAAAATGGATCTAGACAGGAGCCATGACAGTCTCTGCAGTAACCAGTCTCAGCTGAGTGTTCACCAGTACACGTGTGAGGAAGGATGGAAAGTTAATCCTGCTGCACAGTTTTTTATATTGGGTTCTTTTCTATGCATTTGCTTACTTAATTGAATATCTATTAAACAAATTGTAACCTTTCTGCAGTTCCATCAATCTTGGTTCTTCTAAATAATCATGTTCCTGGCTTTATAAATACTCAAGCCATAAGAATTTGCTACTAAAAGGGTAGCCTGAAAAGGGGAAGGCAACCAAAATAGGTGTTACTCACCTAGCGCACTGAATGCTTGATAAAGCGCAAAGTTGCAGAAGCAACTATTGTACTAAGGATTTCATTTGTACTTCCTTCTATATTATTTTAAAAAGAATTAGAGACTGTTTTGTTTATCTTGTTAGTCAAAATTACATAAACCTTTAAATTTGCAGTTTGTAAATGCTATGACAAATTCAAATATAAATCTTAGTCTAGTAATAATTCTTTAATGTATTTTTCATAATTCTATTACAAAAAAGAGATAGGTAAAAATAACAAATACTATAATTATGTTGAATTATTACAAAGACTGTTATGTCCTAATACTGCTTATTCTCTTCATATCCAAATTATGTAATAAAATGATTGCGTTCTGTGTTATGAAACTGTGAACTCTTTGAGAACTGTAAACTTAACAAGTTTCCTCAAATAACTTTGACTCTTTCAGACAGGCCCTCCAAGAGCATCTGTTGAATTAATGTTGTAGCAAATGGGAAGGTAAAATGTGCTTGCGTGTGTTAATGACATGTTATTATTGTCTTCCCTGCAGAGAAATTGTAATGAGCAGTTGCACCTATTGGCTGGTGGTTGCTGGAATGCATGCTGCCTGCCCCAAGTCTGGCTGTCTTCTATTTTCATATCTGGACCTCTTTCTGTTTCCTATTGTCTGAGTCTGACCTCTGGTTTTAAAATCAATCCCTGACCACTAGCTCAATATTTCAGATCAAAATAGCTCTGCCAATTGTTCTCTAATCTTATACTTTAGCTCTAAGTCCTTCCTTCCTTCCTTCCTTCCTTCCTTCCTTCCTTCCTTCCTTCCTTCCTTCCTTCCTTCTTTCCTTCCTTCCTTCCATCCATCCATCCATCCATCAGTACATATTAGTTAAGAGGTTACTGGGTGATACTTTGGCTAGATGTTAGAGAAGCAAGACAAATAAAACTTTTCTCATGGAGTTTACAATCGAGTGGGCAAGATCAGATCAGACATTGACTGTGGAACAGTAAGGATAAAGAGTGTTAAAAATGTGGACCTGCAGGATGTTGTGGGAGTGCAACACAGTAGGAGCTTGCCTTACCTGACGTTTCAGGACAGCAATCTCTGGAGAAATGATATTCCAGAAACCTGATGTATGTGTTGGATACAGCCAAAGTAAAGATAAGGGCTAGTGTGTTTTAGCCAGAGTAATGCATGGACAGGCACTGATATTGCCTGGGTATGTTTGACGAACAGAAAATAGACCAGCATGACTGAAGGGCAGAGACCTAGGGGGCTCAGGGATAGGGGGAGTTACTGCTTGTAGAAACGGTTTAGGGCTTGGCAATAAGAAATCTTTGAATAATTTTAAGGTGAGAAGAGGCATGGTCAGTGAGGCAGATGCTGTCTCTTTGTCCAGCTCTAAGCTCACATGCAGCTGAGATGGACTATTTCCAGACTCACTGGCCACTTCCAATTTCAAGCACCCTCATCCCTCAGCCTTCCTACCTGAGAGTTTTCTTTTGGTGCCAGCACATCTTGCTCAGCTGTCACGCGAGCTATAGCAAGTATTAGGCATTTGAAGTCATGACCATCGGTTTTCAGCAAAAAATGAGTTAGCAGAATTTTTCTTCCTTCAGTGGGAAAATTCTGAGAAATTTTGACATGGTCCTTCAGAATGCCCTAGGGGGATTAAGCCTCTGTTGTGATCAGAGTCACCTGTTTATTAGCTTCTCCATTTCTCTGGCCTACTTCCTCTACTGTTTCACTTGTGCTTCTTGGATAATATCCTAAATAAACTACCTGCACGGAAGTCCTTATCTCAGGATTTTCTATTTAAGGAACTCAAACTAAGAGGGATAATACCAGAAGTTATATTAAAAAGCAGATTCTAAGAATGGGGTTCCAATTGGAGGACTCACTGGTCATATAGCAACAAAAACTATTGCTAGTGATGGCGAGTGGGGGTAGTGATAATCCCTGGAGCTTGGAGCATCATATTTACTCAGTCTCCCCTGTGGTGAATTGGGTTGAGGTAAAGATTGAAGCTGAACCATTAACTTATGCAACAACTTTTATACTTGAACACATATGGGAGCAATGCTAATTATATGGGTTGTGGAGTTGTCTGGCATGTGTTCACATCTCTAGAATCCTTGATGAAAGAAAATAACAGGCTCAGATCCATAACTATCATCCAGGGCACACTTTAAGAACTGGAAAATGTTCTGTAGCCACAGGACAGACTATATTAAAAAAATATAACAGGAGACGAAAATGTAAAAGAAGATGGAATGCACAATCTGGTAGGTCTCTTATGCAAAAATCAGGGTCCTAATACTTCATTATTCTCAGAGTCCTAATACTTTATTATAATCTATTACTTTAAGATATTAGGGAGCTCAGTTTTGTAACGGAATCTCTCCTTAATAATATTTGGTTCTTAAGATTCTGAGACCTAGAATGGGAACTTTTGAGGGGGGATGCACGGTAATATTAAGGCCCCAAAGTCTTATGAGCTCTCTGGATAGGCACAAGTGGCTTCCTTGCCCTTGTTAAAGGTTAAATGTCCACTAGAGTGAAACTCCACAAATAATGGTGCTCCCATTCCTCAGTGAGACCATTCTATATATATATATTTTTTTGAGACAGAGTTTTGCTCTTGTTGACCAGGCTGGGGTGCAATGGTGCAATCTCGGCTCACTGCAACCTCCGCCTCCTGGGTTCAAATGATTCTCTTGCCTCAGCCTCCCAAGTAGCTGGGATTACAGGCGAGTGCCACCACACCTTGCTGATTTTTATTTTTAGTAGAGATGGGGTTTCACCATGTTGGTCAGGCTGGTCTCGAACTCCTGACCTCAGGTGATCCACCTCGGCCTCCCAAAGTGCTGGGATTACAGGCTTGAGCCACTGTGCCTGGCCAAGACCATTCTAATATGTGTTCTGCATGGTTTCTCAGACAGTGCCCACTGGAACTGAGCTCCATTGCTCATTGTAGTATCCCATTCTGGGCCTGTTGCCACTTCCTGATTCATTTCCCACACCCCCTCACCTGTGCATCCTGTGATCCCTTCCCAAGCAGATTACCTACATCCACGTTTTTTTTTTTTTTTTTTTTGACAGAATCTCGCCCTGTCGTCCAGGCTGGAGGGCAATGGCATGATCTCAGCTCACTGCAGCCTCCGCCTCCCAGGTTCAAACAATTCTCCTGCCTCAGCTTCCTGAGTAGCTGGGGTTATAGGCACTTGCCACCACACCCAGCTAATTTTGTATATATATATATGTGTGTGTGTGTGTGTGTGTGTGTGTGTGTATATATATATGTATATATATGTATATGTATATATGTATATATATATGTATATATATACATATATATATATATATTTTTTTTTTAAATAGTGACGGTTTCACCATGTTGGCCAGGCTGGTCTTGAACTCCTGACCTAGTGATCCTCCAGCATTGGCCTCTCAAAGTGCTGGGATTACAGGCATGAGCCACCATGCTCGGCCCCAAGTTCTTTATTAGCATCTATTGTATGAGTAATCCATAAAAATACAGCAATTTTAAAGATCATTCTAGTTGCAGTGTGGAAAGTCAATTGGAGGGAATTGAGAGTAAATATGGAAAGACCAATAAGAAGAATATTTAATATTCCAGGTGAAAGCAGATAGTGGTGTAGACTGGACTTGTGCCATGGTGATAGGCCAGTTCTAGAGATGGAATCAACAATACAAAATTGGTTGTATATGGAGGGGAGAGTTATTTCCATTAGTTTGCTATCTGCAACAGTTTCCCCTTTTGCTATCTTGGAACTTATACCTACCACCCAACCAGCTCTTGGCACTGTCTTTTCCAACATTTTTGAAGGGTATATTAGTCCGTTTTCACACTGCTATAAAGAACTACCTGAGACTAGGTTGTTTATAAAGAAAAGAGGTTTAATTGACTCACAGTGTGTAGGCTTAACAGAAAGCATGACTGGGAGGCCTTAGGAAACTTAAAATCATAGCAGAAGGCGAAGGGGAAGTAAGCACATCTTACTGTGGCAGAGCAGGGTAGAGAGAGAGAGAGAGAGAGAGAGGGAGAACGAATAGGGAACTGCCACACACTTTTAAACCATCAGATCTCAGGAGAACTCACTCACCATCATGAGAACAGCATGGAGGAAACAGCCCTCATGATCCAATCATCACCTCCCACCAGGTCCCTCCCCTGACACGTGGGGATTACAGTTCAACATGAGATTTGGGTGGGGACACAGAGCCAAACCATATCAAAGGCCATCTTAGCTCTGAACACACATCCATTTTTAAGATTTTACTAATTATTTCCCGATTTCTCCTGAAATCAACTGTAATGTATACTTGGATTACCACAGATTATCACCCATCAGATTTCATTTAGGCCCACCTTGCCTTTTAGATCATTTCTTAATGCTTCCTGCTGGGTGCATCCTCAGTTTCCTGTTTAACTCTAGTGGTTCTTTCTTGATTCTCAGTCTGGCTCTACATGGTCAGGCATCCCTAATCAGAACAAACCTCAGCTCAAAATAAATAACCGATCACCGTCAATTACATTCCTACCAGTCTCAACTACTTCCTCTATCAAGTGGTCTCAATTCATGCACCTGTTCAAGCTGATGATGTGCACTGGTCTCTGAGAATACACCATTTTTCTTAAAACAGGATGTTTCTTAGAGGTAATAATGTTATTTTTCTCGATAAATGAGACAGCTTGAATGCTTCAAAAGAATAACAGTGTAGCTCTGCCTACCTCCTCTCTTAGACCCCACCTCCTTGCTGGAGTTGATAAGCCCTCTGTTTGGCTGAGAACACAATTCTCTCTCTTCAACTTTTTACAACATCATGGCAACTCTGTCCCCTTACATCTGGTGCCTAAAATGTATGGTTCTCGCTCTTTACCATATCTCAAAATATCTTCACTTAGAAGTCCCTGTGAGTGAATTTAGTAAGGAACTGACTACAAGCCAGGATCTAGGAAAATCTTGTTGAAGATCTCTGATATTTGTAAAGAACTGTGGGTTGAAGCAAGTAAGAAATACATGTGTAAAATGGTAAGTAGTAAAAATGATACAAATAGCAATTAAAGGAGAAATGTCCCAAGTATATGAATAAACACCTTGCACTCTACCTGTGGCAGCTGCCTGGAAATGTCCATGTCCTCTTCTTTCTGGCCACATGACTAGATGACATTTTCAATTTCCCATGAAGTTAGAAATGGCATGTGACTGAGTTCTCACCAATGGAATTGTGAGTAAATGTGATATTCTCCATCTCAAATTCTGGCTAGCTCTCTTATTAGTGCCTCTCCATCCTCTGTCCCCTTCTGGTGAGCTGGAATGCAGACCACCGCCAAGGCCACCTTAAAGGCCACTCACTGAAGAGCGCTGACTCTTTGTCTCCTAGGTCACTTGGATTTGCTGACCTTGATGACCAGTAAACTGGCTCAATACTGTTCTCTGAGCAAGAAATAAACTTCTATGTTTAAGCCACAAAAGTTTTTTAAAACTGAAAAGATGAAGAGTTTATTTTAGGCTGAATATTCTAAAATATCCTTTTTAGGATATATGGATTTTAACTGGGCACTCCTGAAGGATGGGGTAGGGCTTGAATTTAATTGAAGTACAAGTTGATATTCAATATATGTGACAAAATAAGATAAAAATCCAAGAAGAATTTGTGCAAATAGGTGCGAAGGGGCAGGAAGAAAATAAATTTGATTAGAGTAGCAAGATCTTCAGAATGGTTCAAAGCAAGGGTGGATAATAGGATTGAGTTAGATTGTGAAAGACCTTCCATATCTGGAAAAATATTTTAATTTTATAATGTTGGCAATATATACATATTTGAAAAAATGAACAATGCTCTGACACAATAAAGTGTTATACTAAGAAAATTAATCTTGCAAACATATAATAGTTTGAGGCCAAAATGAACTCTTTCTGGAAGTGCAAATAAGAGGCTCCTGAAATAATTTTACATGAATTACAAGATCAAGAATGTTAGGAAGAAAACAGAAATGGCTACTTTACCCATGGAGATAAGACTTTTGTCTTTTAATTAGTCAAATCTAATTCTAAATCTTGAGGATCGTCTTCTGTTTTGTCAGTAAAAGTTAAAAGGCAGAAGCAATCAATTTGATCTGTCTCTCAACATGGCCAAGGATTTGCCTAATTATTTATTTTATTTCATTTTTTATTATACTTTAAGTTCTGGGGTACATGTGCAGAACGTGCAGGTTTGTTACGTAGGTATACACTGTGCCATGGTGGTTTGCTGCCCCCATCAACCCCTCATCTACATTAGGTATTTCTCCTAATGCTGTCCCTCCCCTAGCCCCCCGACCACCTGACAGGCCCCACTGTGTGATGTTCCCCTCCCTGTGTCTATGTATTCTCATTGTTCAACTCCCACTTATGAGTGAAAACATGCGGTGTTTGCCTAATTATTTTTATGAAATTATGCACATGTATTCTTTGGAAGAACTAAGATTGCTTGACCAGCATTTATAATTTTCCTTTTACTCATAGTGCTTTTAGTCTGATGGGAAAAAATAACATTCCAAGAGCAATTACTTAATTACAATGGTGTCTAAATGCTTACAGGTCAGGTTATAGGAAGGCACAACAGTGTACAACTTGAGGTTTTAATGGGAGGTAAGGGGCAGGATGGCATTCACAGACATTGATTCTCGGTAAGCATCATCAATTGTTTAAGTCATGAGGTCAAAAAGTATTAGGGGTGGGAAATATCAAAGAGCTAGACATACTTAAAGGGGCAAGTGACACACTATGAAGGAAACAAACAAAAAAAACCCACAGATAAATCCAGAGGAAATAAGCAATTCAATAACTACTTAGCTCATTGAACTTTCTTTAGTGTGGAGAACAAGAGTTTAATGTCAAGGGAAATAAAGTAGGATAAGAAATCATAAAACTGATTTTCAAGTACACGTATTTAAATCCATTAGAGCTTCCCTATTTCGGAAACTGATCAGACAGTGGTTAAATAAATGCGATGAATAGCACTGGTGTCCTCAGTGATGTACTTAGAACCATTTAAATGCTTGTTATTAGGCTGCCGTTATATTTATTAGGAAGAAAAACAAAACTCTTGTAGCAGACTAATGCATCTTACCTTGATTTCCTTGTAAATCCCCTCCTCTCTGTTTAGCTTAAGTCTTCATTTCCTCACTTTAATTCTCACATTACTCATAGTTGATTCTTCTTAAAATAGGTTGTTTTTTAGCATGATCATCTGGAACCAATTTAGGCAAAAGTGTTTGTACATAAGCCCAGGTCTTTGATGTCCAAAGACTTTAAAAATGATTAATGTGGGTCAGCTAAATATTGCACTGATCAATGCGAGAAAGCAGAGACAAGAAGAACAAATAAACATCCAACTCTCATTGTGAGAACACAGATAGGGGATCTGTATCTCAGTAGCCCTCCACAACCATCCACTTCCTAGAGTACAAGGCCATAGGATTTATGCTTACACATTCCCTCAGTATAATCTGTTGATTATATAAGTCTTTTCTATGTTTATTTATTAAAAGGCAAGAAAGCCTTAGGATGTACAATTTGCCACGTTTATTATTTGTTCATTATTTTTTGAATGCCTACCTTGTATTAAGTGTGAAGGTGGGTCTTGGGTAAACTTCAGTGGGAAGATAACTATCATCATTTTTCATGGAATTTATATATAGTGAGGAAACAGATGGTAAATAAGTAACAATAATAAACTGGGAAATGTGTTATAATGGGGGAATGCAGGGTGGTGTTCAGGCATGTACTAAGGAATTTATGCTCTTCAGTGGGCTAGAGAAGTTCTTCCTGAGAAACTTATGCTTCAATTGAGACTTGGAGGAACAGTTGAATTAGCCAGAAGAAGGTGAAGTGAAGAGGAGGATTCTTGGCAGAAAGAAAATTGTTGGCCAAGAACATGAACAGCTGAGGGAGATGGGAGGGAGTGAAAGAATTTCAGTACATTTTGAGAGTAAAATATGTGTCAACATATCCAGAAATCAATCTGGAGATGAATCTATAGGTAGAGACCATATAGTAAACTCAAGGCCTTAAGTTGGATTTTATCTTAGTAGCAATGAAAAAATTGTTGAAGAATCTCAAGCAGGGAGTGGCATGATGTCATAGGGTAGACAGCGGATTAACAGCAAGGAGGAAGGGAGGTTGGGAGACATGGTAGTTTTTGCAGTATATGAGAGAGATGGCGTGTGCATGCACTAGGGATAAACAGTCTGAATGGAGAGAACTGTGCAAATCCAAGGGCTACTTAGAAGGCAGACCCACTGCATGTCTAAGAGGGTGGGAGCTGATGTGACCTCCACGTATCTGGTTCAAGAAGTGGATAAATGGGATTTTTTTGCTAAAACAAAGGCACTCAAGGGAATGAGAAAGTTTGAAGGGAGAAATGATTGGTTTTATCTTGAATAGATACTACCTCCAAGTGTGACTTTTCAGTATCTAGTTATGTCTTCATGTCTGAAACTCAAAAGACACATCTGGACTGGTGTGTTTGTGTGCACAGTCTATTACACATATATTTGGGAAATATCACAGATAGAAGATAATTCAAGCCTTAATAATAAATGTGATCACTGTAGTTGATTGTGCCCCATAAACAGGGTAGACGAGAATCCTAAACAATGTTTAAGTGATTGGTAGATGAAAAGAACCTGTAAAGGAGATGGAGGGAGGGGTGGATCAGGAGGAAGGAGAAGACCAAGAAATGTTGTCCACAAAGCAAAAGGCATAGTGTTAGAAGAAGCAAGGTGCCTCTAAAATGTTAGCAAAAGTAAGGACCAAAAGGGATCATTTGGACATCACATTAGCTGTTACTGATGACTTCAGGAAAAGAAATTTCAGTAGATGGATGGGAATAGACGTCAGAGTTCAGTGAGGTGTTAAGAATTAGGGAGTGTCAGCACAGAAACTGGAAGTATTGGATTAATGAAAAGAAGTTTGGGACTTGGCTTTTTGAGGCGGTTCCAAGATGGCCAAATAGGAACAGCTCCAGTCTACAGCTCCTAGCATGAGCGACGCAGAAGACAGGTGATTTCTGCATTTCCAACTGAGGTACTAGGTTCATCTCACTGGGGCTTGTCGGACAGTGGGTGCAGCCCACCGAGCGTGAGCCAAAGCAGGGTGAGGCGTAGCCTCAGCTGGGAAGCACAAGAGGTCAGGGAATTCCCCTTCCTAGCCAAGCGAAGCATCTATTCCAGATAGATGGCATCTGGAAAATCAGGTCACTCCCACCCTAATACTGCGCTTTTCCAATGGTCTTAGCAAATGGCACACCAGGAGATTATTTCCCATGCCTGGCTCGGAGGGTCACACACCCACGGAGCCTCGCTCATTGCTAGCACAGCAGTCTGAGATTGAACTGCAAGGTGGCAGCAAGGCTGGCGGAGGGGCGCCCACCATTGCTGAGCCTTGAGTAGGTAAACAAAGTGGCTGGGAAGCTCGAACTGGGTGGAGCCCACTACAGCTCAAGGATGCCTGCCTGCCTCTGTACACTCCATCTCTGGGGGCAGGGCATAGCCAAACAAAAGGCAGCAGAAACCTCTGCAGACTTAAATGTCCCTGTCTGACAGCTGTGAAGACAGTAGTGGTTCTCCCAGCATGGAGATTCAGAGATGAGAATGGACAGACTGCCACCTCAAGTGGGTCCCTGACCCCCGAGTAGCCTAACTGGGAGGCACCCCCCAGTAGGGGCAGACCAACACCTCACACAGCCGGGTACTGCTCTGAGATGAAGCTTCCAGAGGAATGATCAGGCAGCAACATTTGTTCAGCAATATTCGCTGTCCCGCAGCCTTCGCTGCTCATACCCAGGCAAACAGGGTCTGGAGTGGACCTCCAGCAAACGTCAACAGACCTGCAGCTGAAGGTCCTGACTGTTAGAAGGAAAACTAACAAACAGAAAGGATATCCACACCAAAACCCCATCTGTACATCACCATCATCAAAGACCAAGGTAGATAAAACCACAAAGATGGGGAAAAAACAGAGCAGAAAAGCTGAAAATTCTAAAAATCAGAGCACCTCTCCCTCTCCAAAGGAACACAGCTCCTCACCAGCAACGGAACAAAGCTGGTTGGAGAAAGGCTTTGACAAGTTGAGAGAAGAAGGCTTCAGACGATCAAACTTCGCCGAGCTAAAGGAGGAAGCTCGAAGCCATCACAAAGAAGCTAAAAACCTTGAAAAAAGATTAGACGAATGGCTAACTAGATAAGCAGTGTAGAGAAGTCCTTAAATGACCTGATGGAGCTGAAAACCATGGCACGAGAACTACGTGATGAATGCACAAGCTTCAGTAGCCGATTCAATCAACTGGAAGAAAGGGTATCAGTGATTGAAGATCAAATGAATGAAATGAAGTGAAAAGAGAAGTTTGGAGAAAAAAGAGTAGAAAGAAACGAATAAAGCCTTCAAGAAATATGGGACTATGTGAAAAGACCCAATCTACATCTGATTGGTGTATCTGAAAGTGACTGGAAAAATGGAATCAAGTTGGAAAACACTCTGCAGGATATTATCCGGGAGAACATCCCCAACCTAGCAAGGCAGGGCAACATTCAAATTCAGGAAATACAGAGAACGCCACAAAGATACTCCTCGAGAAGAGCAACTCCAAGATACATAATTGTCAGATTCACCAAAGTTGGAATGAAGGAAAAAATGTTAAGGGCAGCCAGAGAGAAAGGTCGGGTTACCCTCAAAGGGAAGCCCATCAGACTGACAGTGGATCTCTTGGCAGAAACTCTACAAGCCAGAAGAGAGCGGGGGCCAATATCCGACATTCTTAAAGAATTTTCAACCCAGAGTTTCATATCCAGCCAAACTAAGCTTCATAAGTGAAGGAGAAATAAAATCCTTTACAGAAAACCAAATGCTGTGAGATTTTTGTCACCACCAGGCCTGCCCTAAAAGAGCTCCTGAAGGAAGCACTAAACATGGAAAGGAACAACCAATACCAGCCACTGCAAAAACATGCCAAATTGTAAAGATCATCAATGCTAGGAAGAAACTGCATCAACTAACGAGCAAAATAACTAGCTAACATCATAATGACAGGATCAAATTCACACATAACCATATTAAACTTAAATGTAAATGGGCTAAATGCTCCAATTAAAAGACACAAACTGGCAAATTGGATAAAGAATCAAGACCCTTCAGTGTGCTGTATTCAGGAGACCCATGTCACTTGCAGAGACACACATAGGCTCAAAATAAAGGGATGGAGGAAGATCTAGTAGGCAAATGGAAAACAAAGAAAGGCAGGGTTTGCAATCCTAGTCTCTGATAAAACAGACTTTAAACCAACAAAGATCAAAAGAGACAAAGAAGACCATTACATAATGGTAAAGGGATCAATTCAACAAGAAGAGCTAACTATCCTAAATATATATGCACCCAATACAGGAGCACCCAGATTCATAAAGCAAGTCCTTAGAGACCTACAAAGAGACTTAGACTCCCACACAAAAATAATGGGAGACTTTAACATCCCACTGTCAACATTAGACAGATCAACGAGAAAGAAAGTTAATAAGGATATCCAGGAATTGAACCCAGCTGTGCACCAAGCAGACCTGATAGACATCTACAGAACTCTCCACCCTAAATCAACAGAATATACATTCTTCTCAGCACCACATTACACCTATTCCAAAACTGACCACATAGTTGGAAGTAAAGCACTCCTCAGCAAATGAAAAAGAACAGAAATTATAACAAACTGTCTCTCAGACCACAATGCAATCAAATTAGAACTCAGGATTAAGAAACTCACTCAAAACCACTCAACTACATGGAAACTGAACAACCTGCTCCTGAATGACTATTGGGTAGATAACAAAAGGAAGGCAGAAATAAAGATGTTCTTTGAAATGAATGAGAACAAAGACACAACAGACCAGAATCTCTGGGACACATTTAAAGCAGTGTGTAGAGGGAAATTTATAGCACTAAGTGCCCACAAGAGAAAGCAGGAAAGATCTAAAATTGACACCCTAACATCACAATTAAAAGAACTAGAGAAGCAAGAGCAAACACATTCAAAAGCTAGCAGAAGGCAAGAAATAACTAAGGTCAGCGCAGAAATGAAGGAGATAGAGACACAAAAAACCCTTCAAAAAATTCAATGAATCCAGGAGCTTGTTTTTTGAAAAGATCAACAAAACTGATAGACCACTAGCAAGACTAATAACGAAGAAAAGAGAGAAGAATCAAATAGACACAATAAAAAATGATAAAGGGGATATCACCACCGATCCCACAGAAATACAAACTACCATCATAGAATACTATAAACACCTCTACACAAATAAACTAGAAAATCTAGAAGAAATGGATAAATTCCTGGACACATACACCCTCCCAAAACTAAACCAGGAAGAAGTTGAATCCCTGAATAGACCAATAACAGGCTCTGAAATTGAGGCAATAATTAATAGCCTACCAACCAAAAAACATCCAGACAGACCACACAGATTCACAGCCGAATTCTACCAGAGGTACAAGGAGGAGCTGGTACCATTCCTTCTGAAACTATTCCAATCAATAGAAGAAGAGGGAATCCTCCCTAACTCATTTTATGAGGCCAGCATCATCCTGATACCAAAGCCTGGCAGAGACACAACAAAAAAAGAGAATTTTAGACCAATGTCCCTGATGAACATCGATGCAAAAATCCTCAATAAAATACTGGCAAACTGAATCCAGCAGCACATCAAAAAGCTTATCCACGATGATCAAGTGGGCTTCATCCCTGGGATGCAAGGCAGGTTCAACATACAGAAACCAATAAACATAATCCAGCATATAAAAAGAACCAAAGACAAAAACCACTTGATTATCTCAACAGATGCAGAAAAGGCCTTTGACAAAATTCAACAGCCTTTCATGCTAAAAACTCACAATAAATTAGGTATTGATGGGACATATCTCAAAATAATAAGAGCTATTTATGACAATCCCACAGCCAATATCATACTGAATGGGCAAAAACTGGAAGCATTCCCTTTGAAAACTGGCACAAGACAGGGATGCCCTCTCTCACCACTCCTATTCAACATAGTGTTGGAAGTTCTGGCCAGGGCAATCAGACAGAAGAAAGAAATAAAGGGTATGCAGTTAGGAAAAGAGGAGGTCAAATTGTCCCTGTTTGCAGATGACATGATTGTATATTTAGAAAACCCCATCATCTCAGCCCAAAATCTCCTTAAGCTGATAAGCAACTTCAGCCAAGTCCCAGGATACAAAATCAATGTGCAAAAATCACAAGCATTCTTATACGCCAATAACAGACAAACAGAGAGCCAAATCATGAGTGAACTCCCATTCACAATTGCTTCAAAGAGAATAAAATACCTAGGCATCCAATTTACAAGGGATGTAAAGGACCTCTTCAAGGAGGACTACAAACCACTGCTCAATGAAATAAAAGAGGACATAAACAAATAGAAGAACATTTCATGCTCATGGATAGGAAGAATCAATATTGTGAAAATGGCCATACTGCCCAAGGTAATTTACAGATTCAATGCCATCCGCATCAAGTTACCAATGGCTTTCTTCACAGAATTGGAAAAAACTACTTTAAAGTTCATATGGAAACAAAAAAGGGCCAGCATTGCCAAGACAATTCTAAGCCAAAAGAACAAAACTGGAGGCATCACGCTACCTGACTTCAAACTATACTACAAGGCTATAGTAACCAAAACAGCATGGTACTGGTACCAAAACAGAGATATAGACCAATGGAACAGAGCAGAGCCCACAGAAATAATACCACACATCTACACCCATCTGATCTTTGACAAACCTGACAAAAACCAGAAATGGGGAAAGGATTCCCTATTTAATAAATGGTGCTGGGAAAACTGGCTGGCCGTATGTAGAAAGCTGAAACTGGATCCCTTCCTTACACCTTATACCAAAATTAATTCAAGATGGATTAAAGACTTAAAGTTAGACCTAAAACCATAAAAACTCTAGAAGAAAACCTAGGCAATACTATTAAGGACATAGGCATGGGCAATGACTTCATGTCTAAAACACCAAAAGCAATGGCAAGAGAAGCCAGAATTGACAAATGGGATCTAATTAAACTAAAGAGCTTCTGCACAGCAAAAGAAACTACCATCTGAGTGAATGGGCAACCTACAGAATGGGAGAAAATTTTTACAATCTACTCATCTGACAAAGGGCTGATATCCAGAATCTACAAAGAACTGAAACAAATTTACAAGAAAAAAACAACCCCATCAAAAAGTGGGTGAAGGATATGAACAGACACTTCTCAAAAGAAGACATTTATGCAGCCAACAGACACGTGAAAAAATGCTCATCATCACTGGCCATCAGAGAAATGCAAATCAAAACCACAATGAGATACCATCTCACACCAGTTAGAATGGCGATCATTAAAAAGTCAGGAAACAACAGGTGCTGGAGAGGATGTGGAGAAATAGGAACATTTTTACACTGTTGGCGGGACTGTAAACTAGTTCAACCATTGTGGAAGTCAGTGTGGTGATTCCTCAAGGATCTAGAACTAGAAATACCATTTGACCCAGCCATCCCATTATTGGGTATATACCCAAAGGATTATAAATTATGCTGCTACAAAGACACATGCACATGTATGTTCATTGCAGCACTATTCACAATAGCAAAGACTTGCAACCAACCCAAATGTCCATCAATGATAGACTGGATTAAGCAAATGTGGCACATCTACACCATGGAATACTATGCAGCCATAAAAAAGGATGAGTTCATGTCCTTTGTAGGGACATGGATGAAGCTGGAAGCCATCATTCTTTGCAAACTATCTCAAGGACAAAAAAACCAAACACCGCATGTTCTCACTCATAGGTAGGAATTGAATAATGAGAACACTTGGACACAGGAAGGGGAACATCACACACCAGGACCTGTTGGGTAGGGTGAGGGGAGACGGATAGCATTAGGAGATATGCCTAATGTAAATGACAAGTTAATGGGTGCAGCACACTAACATGCCACATGTATACATATGTAACAAACCTGCATGTTGTGCACATGTATCCTAGAACTTAAAGTATGATTAAAAAAAAAAAAAAAGAAGTTTGAAGATACAGAAGAGAGAATGGGCAATGGATGTAAAGAGCTTGAGCAACTTATCCATAGGTGAAACAAAGGGCTCTGATACTATAGGCTGGGGTCTGCAGTGCCAGGGGTGGGGTCCCCATGTCTCCCAGTCTTTGACATGGAGAACTTGAAAGTTGCCAAAGTGAGGTTCGGCACATTTGTGGATGGGGTCATGGGATATTTCGAGAGAAAAGTAGTTGAGTTTCAGACATTTCCATTTTGAGGACTCATGAATGAGATCATTGAACAAAAATGATAGCAAAAACCACTCCCAGGGGAAATGCACCATGCAGCAGGGGATAGGTAGGGCCAAGTCTAGAGCTTCAGTTGTTAAGCATAGCTGCTGCTACCAAACAGCATTTGACTAAGGCTGGAAACTGTTGGCACAGCTGGAGCTTGGTCATTTTCAGAAATAGCTTTGTTTGAAGCCTTAGCAAGCGAAAGTAAGCACTTCGGAAACGATAAAGTCATTTGAAAAATATCCCTCCCAAGTTGAATATAAACTGCTTTTATATTCAACTTGGTAATTCTCAAAATAAGTTTTTTAAACCAAAGGTTTGCTGTAGTTGTGGAGCTGAACTTACTGAGAGCCTTTTTGTTTCTTTAAGCTATTGTCTGAAATTGAGAACGAAATTATTAAAAATAAAGGATTTATTTCAAAAAAAAAAAAAAAAAAAAAGAAAAATATCCCTCCCAACACTCTTTTCTCTTATATTCTATTAGTTTTTTTCTTATATATTTTCTCTTACATTATATTTACATAACTATCATAATTTGGAGCTATCAGAATAGCAAGAGGTATTATAAAAACACAATTAGCTTTGGGGTAAAAGATTAAATATAGAGTACGTTTTTCTGTGATGTTTTAAATAATCCCCACTTTAATGTATTGAATGCCAACACCAAAGTTTATAAGCATCATAAATGATCTATTACATTAAGAATAATATGATAGGAAAAGTTGTTTTTTTTTACTAATTTGATGATTTTTCAGTGGTCATTAACTAACACGTACTGTATAATATAACAAATTTAGATTTTATGTAAGGATTTGTGTATATTGTTAATCATGATCCAAACTTCAGTCCTCGTGGTGTTTCTGGGCTTTGCTGCTATTTTTGCCCTTGGAGGTAGTGAAGACAGTCAGTGTTCCCCACATGGATTTTCCTACATGAGGGCCTGTAGCTGTCTTTGAAGCAGAGTGGTCAGTCTTTTCTCTTGCTTGTTTAACACACTTCCATTTGAGACCATGGAAAGTTTGGGAAGTTCTTTGTGTGTTAGTGATACTATCTATATCTATATCTATCTATCTATCTATTATATATATATATATATATATATATTTTTTTTTTTTTTTTTTTTTTTTTTTTTTTGAGGCAGGGTCTCGCTCTGTCACCCAGGCTGGAGTGCAGTGGCACAATCTCGGCTCACTGCAACCTCTGCCTCTCAGGTTCAAGCAATGTTCCTCCCTCAGCCTCCTGAGTAGCTGGGATTACAGGTGCCTGCCATGATGCCCAGCTAATTTTTGTATTTTTGTAGAGGTGTGGTTTCACCATGTTGGCCAGGCTGGTCTCGAACTCCTGACCTCAAGTGAACTGCCTGCCTTGGGCTCCCAAAGTGCTGGAATTACAGGCATGAGCCAACGTGCCTGGGTGAGTGATACTATATTCTATCCAGCAAATGATACACCTCTGAAAATGTCATGTGGATGAGGTTAGAAAGCCTATTGGCGGCAAGGCTAGTGCTCTGCTAAATCCTAACCAGTTTCTGAATCTAATCCATTCTGTTTTATCAATTATCTATCAAGCCTCGGCACTTTTAATGTATGCAATCATTAAAATAGCAGTCTATTGCCATGCAAGTCTAGAGAATGAAGTTCCTGGGAAGATTTTTTACCTTCACTAATAGCACTCATTTACCTAGCTGTTGTTCCCAACAACAGAAACATCCCCAAACAACTTTCTTGTCCTTTAACAACGTCTGAATGTTTCAATAAAAGTTAAAGTGAAGTAGCAGATGAGAATGATGATATTTTAAATATTTTTTCATAGTTTGGCACATTTGCCCCTGGGGCAAACTGCACCGAAGGAGACTTTATAGAAGTAGAATGAACACATAATGTCCTTTGAATGCGAATTTATTAGCATTTCTCTGGGGGTCAGAAAACATACACAAAGCAGCTCTTTTATGTTGTGGAAATTTTTACACCAGTTTTTGGTATAGAGATATGTACATGTTTGTGTATTTCCAGAAAGAAGCTACTGGCCAGTGCTCAGGAGGCCTGGTTCTTGGTGGCGTTTAAAAAAAATTATTCATAAGAAACTAAACGATTGATTGAACTTTCAGATGTTTTACAGTTCTATAAAAAGACCGTCCATGGTAAATTTTCTGTTGTTAAAACATTGCTAAAAATCATTTTACTCCTTTTAATTAAATGCGTTTAGCATTGTCTGAGTAGTGCAATGATTCTGACTCGACTGGTTTCAGGTCATTCTGTCACATATGAACAGTGTTCAACAGAGCTCCAGGTTCTGTTTCTTTTTGAACACATCCGAGAAACCAGGTTTATGTGGCTGCAGAGGATCTAGTTCCCATGTAGTGCCTGTAAAGGAGGTCAAGGCCCATATCTGCCCAAATGCTGTTTAACTAGTTCTGTACTTAAATAAAGCTAGGGCAGGCTTCAGCAAAAGCAGGATATTGAGAAAGTGGGACCCACTGCAGCAGCTGGGTGGTAAAGGATGGCAGTAAACACCATTTGAGAGGAGAAGCCCAGGCACACCTACTCTCAGCACGCATTTAGTTTTATTGAGCACTACTCTGATATCTTAAACCAAGAACCATACATCTCATATATGTGTCTTCCCTTGACACCCCTTGTGAGGTAAGTAGGTAGAAAGGTAGACAGATAGTTCTGAAGGCTGCTTTCATTGGGATTGGGGTTTGGAGAGGGTTGTTTAATATATGTTTATCTTTTAATATATTTTACTATATATTTTTAGTCATAAGTTAGTCTTTTCAATATCTATGGTAAAATTTACCAGGAACTAGATGAAATAAAAAGAGTAGACCTTTTAAATGGATGAAGATCCAGGATTAGATCTGAAGTTTATTTACCATTATCAGTGGAACGCTACCATGGATCCAAAGCCTGTGTGTTTTGCTGTATAGTCAACATGTTGTGTTTTTCTGGGAAGTCAGAATTATAATTTTTTAAAGACATATTTAAACTGTAAGCTCAGAAGTTTAAAATAAAAAGCTTTAGCATTGATAGGTAGCTACAAATTTTGACTACATGTATTTACCACCATAGAACCTTATTAAATTTTCTGACAGGCCTCCTCAGAAACAGTGCTCTCAACATTTCTCCACAAGTTACTGGCAGCAATTGGATAACTATGCTTCAGATTCCTTCTCTTGAGTTCTTGGGCAAGCATTCTGGCTTTCTTCTGATTTGATGAATATCGAAAAGATGTTCTTGAATATTTCATCTTCTGTCTGTCATCCTTTATCTTTGACTTTTCTTGTTTTCTCCAACTTTGCATTCAGTTTGTCAGCAAATACTGGTAGCTACACCTTATAATAAATTCTGAATTCCACCACTGCTCACTACCCCCACACTCTTTTAAGTCACCATTATTTAATGAAACTACTTCCTATTTGGCCTCTCTGATTCTACTCTCAAACCCTCCCAGGTCCCACTGACAGTCTAATCTAGCTACAATAATAATAATCTTTTTATGCTCAAAATTGTTGCTTCCTTCTTTGAAACCTTCCAAGAAATTTCCATCCATAATCCTTGTTTTAGACTATTAGATGCATAAGTACAATGTCACCTCCACAGCAGCAGAGGTGGCAATTATTTGGTTATCATTGTCTCCTCAATGCTTAGCATAAAGCCTAGGCCATAACAGGAGCTTAATAAGTCATTGTTGAATGAAAGTGTGAGGAAATAAATGAATGGCTTTATATGGAGTCCAGTGGAATTCAAGGAGAGCCTTGGTAGTACTATTCCAGGCTCCTTTTTCCACAAAGGAAACTTCTCTGGATGATAAAAAAAATTCCAGTTCACTGTAAAATCCAAGTAGGAATAACTTTCATCTGAATAATTTATCTATAGAAATTTAAATCTTAATTTTTCTCCCCAGTGAACAATCCTGTCTTACAATTTCCTGTTGAATGCTAATCCTGAAAGAGCAACGGGAGGATATTGGGGTGAAACTGGTTTCCAGGGTCAGGTTGAAGACGAGGGTTTTTCTGATTTGAGATTTCCACGTGAAGAACAAAGAGAAGCTCCTTCTTCTGTCCTTGAGTTGGCCAGGGCACCTGGGCCTATACCGTGAGTCAAAGGAGCTGGTGAAATGCTAAGGGCTGGGGCCTGGGGTTAGGGGAGGTACAAATTACAGAGAAAGCTGTTTTCTAAGGAAGACTGCTGAAATACCATGTGAGAGTGCCATGGATGGGGGTGGTGGGGGAAAGGAGCCTTTTATGGACATAGATAAACCCTTGGGTAGACACTAGTTGTAAAGGGTGCTGAGCAGTTTCTGGCTTGTGCCTAAACCAGTCAAGATGTCAAACAGTAGCATAACAAAACATGTTTTCATTAGAGATGAGGATTTAAATTAGAAAATATACCCATGTTGGTCCAAAAAAAGAAAAAAAAAAGAAGAAAACAAGTGCTTTTCTTTTCCTTAAGTAAAACTCTACTTTTCAATGTTGTGATTTCATAGTGTCTAATAATATTACTAAATAAATGTCAGACTGTGTCTCACTCATGCCTGCAACACTGCATCTTTCATCTTTTCATAAAAGACTAACTGCTGTTAAAATTTATAGTTTCCTATAAATAGTACCCTTGGTTTCTGTGTCTATATTATACTTGGAAAAGATCTGACTTTTTACCAGACTGACCAGATGTTTTATGACAAATAGACACAGTTAGATTTTTAATTACCCACTAAGTAAGGTATTTAGCAACTAGACAGTTGGCCCCAATCTATAAAATGTTATACTTGCAGAGAACAATTTCTGTTAATAACTGAGATGCCTTCCCAATTTATTTGTTCTCAGTTTATATTTTCTCATTAGTCTTTCTTCACATTCATTGCAATTGTCAGTTATCTTATCAAATAATAATCCATATGAATTAAATATTTTTAATCATTGACTCTAAACATAGGGATAGAATAACTGCATGGATAGTTTAATATGCATCTCTAGGCATGGATAAATTTATGAGGAAAAGAAATTCGAGTTAATGTTTATGTGTATTTATATTTACAAATATAAACATGTAAATGGCATGTGGATCCTAGCATTCCTGTCATATAACCATTCACACTGTCTTAGTTCATTTTTGGCTGCTATAATAGAATATTAGACTGGTGATTTATAAGGAACAGACATTTATTTATCTATTTATTTATTTATTTATTTTTATTTATTTTTGAGACAGAGTCTCACTCTGTCACCCAGGCTGGAGTGCAGTGGTGTGATCTCGGCTCACTGCAGCCTCTGCCTCCCAGGTTCAAGCGATTCTCCTGCCTCAGCCTCCTGAGTAGGTGGGACTACAGGTGTGCGCCACCACACCTGGCTAATTTTTGTATTTTTAGTAGAGATGGGATTTCACCATGTTGGCCAGGATGGTCTCAATCTTCTGACCTCTTGATTTGCCCGCCTTAGCCTCTCAAAGTGCTGGCATTACAGACGTGAGCCACCGTGCCTGGCCAAGGAACAGAAATTTATTGACTCACAGTTATGGAAGCTGGGAAGCCCAAGATTGAGGGGCCAGTGTCTGGCAAAGGCCTTCTTGCTGCTTCAACTCATGGTAGAAGGTGGAAGGGCAAAGAGAGGGCAAGACAGAGAAAGTGAACCAAACTCACCCTTCTATAGTGACCCCACTTCTGTGATCATTAATCCACTTCCATGATAATAACACTAATTCATTAATGAGAGTGGAGCCTTCACTGCCTAATCACCTCTCACCAGGCCCCACCTCCCAACACTGTTGCACTGGGGATTACGCTTTTCAAACATGTTTTTTTGGGGGATACATTTAAACGATAGCACATACCAATCCCATGTTACACCTCTCTTTTGAGGATTACGTAAAACATAATGTAGGATTCCATTTTGCCCTCTTTCTCCTCATTGTCTGCTCTACCACCCCATCCTGCTCACACTTGCTATGGTTGATTTCTTGGTACCTTCAAGGCAAAAGGTGGGTTGGGCTATTAGGAATGCAGCTGTTCCATTGGCTCCACTCCATGCTGACGTGTGATGATGGAGCAGCTCGGTTCTCTGGGAAGTGGACTGGCCATGACCTTGGATGACTTGGAGGAATGGGGTGGGGCAGGCTTCTTTTTTTGGTCCTTTCAACAGTGGAGGACATCTTATTTGAATACTCAGATGCCAGAAAGAGATCTGACTCTAAAATAACATTTCTTACTCTACAGTTTTACTCAGTTGAAATTTGAATTTGGAAATAATTTGGCACTGCTACTATTGGGGAAAATTTCATTTTTCTGAAAGCATAACACATTAGTGGGAAGAACATGAATCTGCACCAAGAGAGGCCTACTGCCCGTTAGCTACAGACACCAAGGGCCAGGTGTTTAACTTCAGGTCTCAGCCTCCTAGGGAGCAAGGGAGATCAAATGGTCTATTAGTTAGCTGTCCACTGATTCAGGGTAGTCTCCTTGTGGGTCTGGATCATGTCTTGAGCCCCCTGACATGGATCTTCTAGACATAGACTTGAAAACACGGATTGGACTAAACTGAGTTATTATTATGGAGAGAGAAAACAGTATCTCTATAATTTCTTTAGGATTAAGCTGAGTGATCTGTATAATACTGATTGTTTAAAAATCCTAAGGGAGACTATTGCTGCAATTGTGAGAGCAGAAAAAAATACTTTTCAGTGTAGACACACTCAGGTAGCTGTTTATTGAAGTAAGCATACTGAGGTAGTTACGTGGAACTGAGAGGCAATTTGGCATAGTTAGAAGAGTATGTTGAAGCCACATATACCCAGTTTTGAACACCCTTCTGAATCACCATGACTGAGGGACAGTGAGTGGTTATCTGACATCTCTGAGCATTATTAGTCTTCTCATCTGCAAAATGGAGATAATAATAGATTAGATTCAATGCATGTAAGGCATTCTGCACAGCATTTGACCTCGGAAGGAAATACAAATATAGTAACTATTTTAAAGCTTCATTCTATGAAAGGGTGACTAAATTTTCTTATAAAAATATTCATTGCACAAGTTTGGATTAAATATACATGCTTATCATATGTGTCAAGTTAAATCTTGAGCAAAAGCCAAAATAAAATCAATGAGCTTCCTAACTTAGAATAAATGCTTTTGGGGAGAGGCTACTTTCCTAAGTTGGATGTGAGTTGAGAGAGGAAATCTGTGAGCTTGTTGCTAAAAATCTCTTTTTTCCTCCATTTAAAAGAAGAACTTCTGGGGTTCTCATGGACTACAGTGAACTAGAAGGCTTGTTTCTGAATTCATTAAACCACGTGATACAGTTTTTAAAATGCTTTCTTGACTCGGTTTTGAGGCCCTGGCTAGAGGCCAGTCAGTCCCTCTCCTTAGGTAGCTGATTAAGTCTACTTCCCAACCCCCTCTCCGATTGGGCTGTCAGACTCTGGGCCACCATCTACCTGCCCTAATCACCCCAGGCCCGGTACCAGACAGCTAGGGACAGCCTCTATGCCTCAGAGGCCCCTGAAATTATTCAAACCAGTCAATGCTAAGCTTGCTTACCCTGCATCACCTGTTCCTTCCTACAGAAACCACAGTAAAGGTTGTCTTCCCCTCCCTCTGTTTTGTGACTGACCCTGCTGATTCTCTGTGTGTCCCCACATGCGGGTGGCATGATATTTACTCCGTCTTTTGGGAACTCTAAGTAGAATAATTTACCTTTTCAATGACAGTTGTTTCCTGATCTGTTGGCCTTAACATACCAAAAGTAATAATGAATCCATTAAAACACCAACTGTAGAATGGAGATTAATAACAGCCCTTAATTTTTTCATGGTATTTTGATACAAAAAGATTTTTCTAATGCATGCAGATGTTGATGGTTGAATATCTAAAGGAGCACGCTATACAATGTATGCCTGTCTGCCTCCTAGAGTAAGCACTAAATCAAACTCTAGCATTTTATTTTACTTTTTATTTCATAATGCTGAATTGAAAACCAGAGTTTACACTGAAGTAAAAACGACAATTGAAAAAGAAAAAGCAACAAAATCCAGGATCCTGGAGATTCCCCTATTCCCACTCTCTGCCATTCTCTCCTTATAATAACTTATATCACATGAAGAGTTGTTCCAACACCACTGGAATTCTGTGCTCACCTGAAATGCCATGTGTTTGTGGAGGGACCTAAATTACTATTTCTAGGAGATCTACAATTTTTAATCTTCTCCTCTGGCTGAGTTTAACATTTTGATGTTAATATGGTAATGAAATGAGTCGATACGTCTACATTGGATTAACAAAGAACCAATTTTGGGATGAAAATCCTCCACAATTGGAGCCACTGACATGTTGACTTTACATTTCCACTACTAAAAAGAGTTTTCTCCAACCTCAGCCGTTGTAAGCTCTGGCATTTCCATTTTTTATTTTAAAGAATTGGAATAGGAATATTTGATTACCTAGCTATTGGTATTCCTTATGATGGTAGCAGTTTTGGAGCTTGATATTTGTCTTTGAAATCAACAAGTATTTTCTTTCCCAAGGTTGTTCCTTCATTTTAAGCTATAACAATATGTTTATGTTATCATGTGTGCAAATTTATTTTTGTGTTAAAAGTATTCTAAAGAGATTAGACAATTGAAATCTTTTTGGAATTTTAATGCAATTCTTATCAGAAAACTTGCATTTACTTTCCTGCAAATGAGGTTTTATCATATCAAATGTCTTCAGGATCTCTAGTTTTCTTTGCAGATAATTGCAACAGGTGGATGTATTTATAGTTAGTTTACAACAGCACATTTTTAGTATGGTGATACTCAAGATACTACTTAACCAGTAAGAATAATGACTAACAGTGAGTATTGAGGGTCAGGTTGCTTGGGTTGTAGAGCTGGCTTTAGATCTAACTAGCTTACCTTGGGCAAGATACTAAACTGTGCTTCAATCCACTCAATAGATGTTGAAAGCATAAGATATGTTTGCCATATTTATTATGTTTCTAGGATATGATGCAGTGTCTTATAGAAAATTTAGTATGTTCTCAGTAGGGGAAAAATTATGCTAAGCTAGTACTACTTCAAATATTATGTAATTATTTATGTAATTTGAAGCCTATTAAAAATTTCTGTCACATTTTCTTTCTGATGTTTCAGTATTTGTCTTTATTGTAAAAGATAAGGCAAAGGAATTTTTATTTTTAAAGAAAAATGTCACAGCAAGATTACCTTGAAGTAAATTTATGCAGTATATAAAATCTAAAAAATTAGATCCTATTTAGAATAAAAGCCAGTATAAATATAAAAATAATAAAAACAGTGTCACTATTCTTGAGGAAATATTCACTGAACACTTACTGTGTACTAGGCATCACTCTCTGTACATTTTACAGATGATCTCATTTGATTATCACCCCAGCTAAGCAAATGCAACTGGTCTGTTAATATATTTTATAATGGTGAAAATCGAGGCCTGGAAGGGGTAGGTAGTGATATGGTTTGGCTGTGTCCCCACCCAAATCTCATCTTGAATTTCCACTTGTTGTGGGAGGGACCCTGTGGGGGGTGATTGAATTATGGGGGTGGGTCTTTTCTGCACTGTTATTGTGATGGTGAGCGGGTCTCACAAGATCTGATGGTTTCAGAAATGGGAGTTCCCCTGCACAAGCTCTCTTTTTGCCTGCTGCCATCCCTGTAAGACGTGACTTACTCCTCCTTGCCTTCTACCCTGATTGTGAGGCCTCCCCAGCCATGTGGAACTGTAAGTCTGTGAAACCTCTTTCTTTTGTAAATTGCCCAGTCTCGGGTATATCTTTATCAGCAGTGTGAGAACGGACTAATATAGGTAGTTTTCCCAGGTCACACACTGAGTAAGTGATGGAGCCTTGTTTTTTTTTGTTTGTTTTGTTTTGTTTTGTTTGAGTAACAGTCTCACTCTGTCACCCAGGCTGGAGTGAGGTGATATATTCATAACTCACTGCAATCTTGACCTCTTGGGCTCAAATGATCCCCCCACTTAAGCTTCCTGAGTAGCTGAGACTACAGGCGCATGCCACCACACCTAGCTAATTTTTAATTTTTGTAGAGATGGAGTCTTGCTATGTTGCCAGGCTGGTCTCAAACTCCTGGTCTCAAGAGATCCTCCCACCTCACCTTCCCAAATGCTAGAATTACAGGCATGAGCCACCTTGCCTGGCAGGAAGCATGTTTTGAACCATGTTTTGAAACCATGTTTTGAGCTGAGCTTTAACCCACCTGATGACTAAATATCAAACATACATCAATTCAGCAAATGCTGATGACATGTTTTCCTCAGGGTTCTAGAAATTTTCATGATGCCCTCAGAGACTTTAATATATGTGTTTACCCTTAAGGTTCTTAAAGACTTTAGAATCTGTCATGTAAAATGTAATATTTTATTTTATTAAATTGCTGAAATAATACACACATTTCCTTTATAAGATGTGCAGGGACCCGTCTCCTCTACGGGGCTTATAGTCCAATACTAATAATAATATTAAAATATCTTGTAATTATAGTAATTATCTACCAGTATCATTTTAACTTGAAATAGTAAATTCAAATAGACTTGTCTGTTACTTACATTTGGATTGCCTGCTTGGATTCTTAGTTATGAAAAGCAGAGACATAAAAGCTCTTTGTATGGCTGTGGGAGAACAGAAGTGAGGGTGGTTTTGTTCACACAGTACCTGTATGTTTTTATTCTGGGGACACTAAGGATAAGAGAAACTAAGCACTTGAGGGGATACCGGGGGAGAAGCACTAAAATGCGTTTCTACTTGAGCTGGAAAAAGTCTTTTCCTTTTCCCTAAGAATTTTCTAGGGCAGTGCTTCTGATTTAGATATGACAAAATCCTGGGCTTGTCATCTAGTAGAAGCTTTTTTCCCCCTTGTTTTCTATTTCCTATGTTTATGTGAGAATTCATGTTGATAAATATATTTTTAATCTTAGCAGGAAGCAGATTTGGCATTAAATAATGTTAAGGTAAAAACTTTTTGGAAAATAAATCATTATTTTGATTATGCTCCAGATTTCCTGATAGGAACACAATCACTTGAAAATATTCAATATAGTAAAAGGAATACAAATTATTATTGGGAGCATTTTATTAGACTCTCAATTTCCTGATTGTGTCACTATTCTTGAGAGAATACCATACATGAAAAGAACAGTGTGATTTCAAAGATTTATCAAGACTTTTGTTCTGAGAATACTCAAATGATTTTTTCTGGTCAAGTAAATACTTTATGACATAGTTAAAAATAACTTTTGGAAAATACTAATATAGGGTTTGAAATGCAAATTACACTCAAGGCCATAATCTATGGGGCTTGGTTCTACAAGAGTTATTTCACAGGAGTTTTTATTTCCATCTATCAGGTGCTATTCCCTATATAGTTTCCATATTGCAGTCGTTTCTTTACAGCTATGACAGAACACAATGTCAAACTCAACTGATGATCTCAAAGTCCCCATGGACCACAGCCATGTATGGACAGGAAAGACATACATTTTTGTGTCACGGGGTAATGAGCATCTTTCTTTCCACCTGCAATTTGCACTTCGTTTTTTGTTTGCCTGTTGATCCCAAACAATTATTTCCACATGACATTCTCTCTCTTTCATAGGGCTCTTTATTTCGCCCTCCCACCCCCGCCCAACTTGGCAGCCCAGGATGAGGATGGAAATTTGAAATGAACATGAGAATAGAATTCCAGCTCGGTGACACAGAAAAATAAGGATGAAGGGAAATGATGAGCTCCGTTTTAATGTATTATTTAGAAACCTCTCACTGCTGACATGAAGCTGTTCTGAGTACCGACAAGGTGTGACAACAGGAAGTGCAACGATGGGCAGGTGGGGGATAATTGTGTTAAATAGGCTTTTTTTTTTTTCTCTCGTATGCCTTTGTGTACTTGCTCGGGGGTCAAAAAAGAAAAAATAAAAATAAAAAGAGCCCTCTCACCAGAATGACTTATAATTATTACACTGCTCCAGATCATCGTACCTTGTTGGCAGTCGGCTGTTAATTATTTGTCTGTCAGGAATCATTCGCTACATGCTTACTGTTTCTTTCCCTTCTTTGTGTGAATGGGAGTTATATTTTATTTTATGAACAATGCTTTTCTGTACTATAAGACAAGACACTGAAAACAAGGATGTCTGTTTATACAGCAGGCACATCTGGCTTTCACTGCCAAGATAACAAAGAACGTGGAGGGATATTTTAAAGCAAGAAGCCATCTTTGCCTATATGATATTGAAAAGATTGGGATTCATTCATTTTGACTGTAAGGATCCCAGGTAATTCCGCAGTATAATTAGAGCAGTTTCGTGAAAGAGTCTATTGTGCCGATGAAGCCATATCATTTATACAGAGCCTGTAAAATGTATATTTTTAATTAAACAATGGAAACAGGTTATCCCAAGGTGAAACTGCCTCCAATTTCATTATCTACATTACTTGCTTCTCATTACCCTCTTCTCCTTCATAAAAAATTACTCAGCAGCTAATTTCCTCAAGAATTTGCTCTGGGAAATTGGGGATTGCTCTTACTTAAGTTTTAGCAGTTAAGGGTTCAAGTGCCCATTCTATTAATGCCCACGTGTAGGACCTGAGGGGAAATGTGGGCTCTCCATGAATTTACATGTGCTATGTCAGGTCCATAAATGAGGCCTGAGACCATTTGAAGTGGGTGGCCAAGACCACTTTGCTTTGAGGTGTGGTGAGAGAGACAGTCATCAAAGTGACAGCTTACCAGGTGCTGGCATGTGGGCTTGTGTTTAACATCAAGTAATAAGATCAGGTGCTAAAAGTGGAAATACTAAAGAAGACAGCACTTCCCCAAGTGATGGAAGAGGAATCCAGATGAGATAAGACTTTTAATAAGGTTAACCTAACCAACTGACGAAGAAAAATTAGAATGAGAATAACCGCAAGCTAGTGCAAGGACACTATGATACTTAAATTGAGTGTTTGGTGAAGACATAAGTTGAGAAGAAAGAAAGTCCTTTATAAGGGCTGCCTAGGAAGCAACCTTTAAAATATTTTAATAACACCATGAAAAGATAGCTATTTTGGGATGCATCAAATCAGAAACTACAAAATAACTTATAATTGTTACTAATGATTTTATTTGCTCAATGCTACTGAAATTTTATGTAACACTGAAGTGTAAAAGACAAATATAAAGTTTGGGGCATTCTACCTTTTCATGCAAGATAGTAAATAAAAGGGACAACAGCTTCTCTTCATTATTTGCTCCAATTGTGTTCCCACCCAATAATAATGGCTGGAAATGTTCACATAAGAACAGTCCCATGAGATAGTGGGGGATGATGGTATGGTCACCAGAGATTCATGTAAGAGCTGCTGTTCTGTCCCTGGTTCAGGAGAAATCTGGACATTCAGAGGACATACCTGCTGGTGGTGAAGTTCTGATTAGTCAAGGGCGAGAATCACCAGAACTCATAATTCTAAGCCAGAAAGCCTTAGAAAGTTGGCTCTAGAGAATGAAGTTTACTCTCAGAGGATAGAGAATCAGTTAGGAATCTTATAACTTGTTCCCTGACCAAAGCAGTTCTCAATCCCAGCTTTCCTTCCTGGAGGCCTAAAATCATTGTAGTAATCAATGTGACAGAACCATCTCAGGTGCACATGTTGAGCTAGAGAATCTAAATTTTCAAGTGATAAATTATTGGAATCAGCTTATTCATATGTCTTAAGCATAGTTTCTGAAATAATTATATGAAATGATGTTAGTGGTTTTGAAACAATGGATTTCTATGCTTGTAGGAAAATATAAATTAGCATATTTATATATGTCTTAGAAGTTTCAAAGTTTAGTTTTATTTGCCTCTCTAAGTTTTAGGACTTAATCCTAGTGATAATATCTGTTTTTTTGTTTGTTGGTTGGTTTTAGAAGAAATATTGGGTTAAGACTTTTCATCCCAGTCCGTTTTTCCCCCCATTTGGTGATTGTGCTAGTCGCATGTGGGTGTTGGTTCAGTTGGAATTCATTCATTTATTCCTTTTTCAGACTCATATTGAATGCCACTTTCCAAATACTTGGAAACAGGGATGAATTTAACAGAGCAGGTCTTCAGGGAGTTTACTTTCTAGTAGAAGAAATAATCAGAAAACAAATAAATACGTAATATAAAGTTGGGTAATAATCCATGCTAGGAAGAAAAACTGGGGCATAGTGAATGACGTGGCCAGGGCAGAGGTGCTATGTTTGATACTATATTCTTGTCAAGCACTCTGACGATGTGACATTTAAATAGGAACTGGGTGAAGGGAAGAAATAAGGCTTGCAAAGATACAGAGAATGGATTTTCTTAGAAGATTATCCTTTAATGTGCTTACTTTAAAATATCATGGCTGTACCCTATTGCTAGTGTCCTTTAGTACATTCTCATGGGTCAGTATTTTGTGATTATGTTAATCATATTGGGGACCTATATTGTTAGTTTACATTCTGTAAAGGATAATACATTCCTTAGATGAATGCAGCTTGCAGATTTCTCTCTAGTTTTGACAGTAGGATATATTCGCTCCTGTTATAACACCTGTGATTTCATTTTCTGGGAGAATGGATCACAAAGAAAGACAGGGGAAAAGTGGCCAGCATGGTAGGGGATGTGTGGAAGGTAAAAATTCACATTCTCACATTACAAAGCTTTTAGTTTATTCCCAAATCGTAATTAATCACAAAAACTGGTATGGATTGTTTGCAGAAGACAGAGTGGGTTAAAAGGCAGAGAAACATTGCTGTAGCCTCTTTTCAGACAGACAGAAATGTATGCTTTTAGTTTCAGTTTATAAGAAAACCCTAAACTAATTATCAGCCCCTTGGAAAGTATTGTACTCTTGGAAACATTAGTATTTTATTGCAATTGTATAAATTCTTTAAGAGAAAGTTCCTCAGTAGTAGCCATGATAGCCTGGCTCAGTGCTGTAGGACTTAGAGAAAAATTGACATACTTTCATGGTAACCATAAGGTAATTCATACAACCAGAAAAAGAGACTCACAGTGGCCTGCCATACTTGGGAGTTTACTCTAGAAGCATGTTGTTGGAATTAGTTAAAAGCTTAGGGAAAACACTCTGACTCTTACTTAGTGAGAAGATGAATCCAAAAAAAAAAAAAAAAAATGGGGGGCAGTTCCAAGATGGCCAAATAGGAACAGCTCCAGTCTACAGCTCCCAGCATGAGTGATGCAGAAGACAGGTGATTTCTGCATTTCCAACTGAGGTACTGGTTCATCTCACTGGGGCTTGTTGGACAGTGGGTGCAGGACAGTGGGTGCAGCCCACCGAGTGTGAGCCAAAGCAGGGTGAGGCATCGCCTCACCCAGGAATTCCCTTTCCTAGCCAAGGGAAGGTGTGACGGAAAGTACCTGGAAAATCAGGTCACTCCCACCCTAATACTGTGCTTTTCCAATGGTCTTAGCAAACGGCACACCAGGAAATTATATCCCGCGCATGGCTCAGAGGGTCCCGCGCCCACAGAGCCTCGCTCATTGCTAGCACAGCAGTCTGAGATCAAACTGCAAGGCAGCAGCGAGGCTGAGGGAGGGGCACCCACCATTGCTCAGGCTTGAGTAGGTAAACAGAGTGGCCAGGAAGCTTGAGCTCGGTGGAGCCCACTGTAGCTCAAGGAGGCCTGCCTGCCTCTGTAGACTCCACCTCTGGGGGCAGGGCATAGCCAAACAAAAGGCAGCAGAAACCTCTGCAAACTTAAATGTCCCTGTCTGACAGCTTTGAAGTGAACAGTGGTTCTCCCAGCATGGAGTTTGAGATCTGAGAACGGACAGACTGCCCCCTCAAGTGGGTCCCTGACCACCGAGTAGCCTAACTGGGAGGCACCCTCCAGTAGGGGCAGATTGACACCTCACATGGCCGGGTACCACTCTGAGATGAAGCTTCTAGAGGAACAATCAGGTAGCAACATTTGCTGTTCAGCAATATTCACTGTTCAGCAGCCTCCACTGCTGATACCCAGGCAAACAGGGTCTGGAGTGGACCTCCAGCAAACTCCAACAGACCTGCAGCTGAGGGTACTGACTGTTAGAAGTAAAACTAACAAACAGAAAGGACATCCACACTAAGACCCCATCTGTACGTCACCATCATCAATGACCAAAGGTAGATAAAACCACATAGATGGGGAAAAAACAGAGAAGACAAGCTGAAAATTCTAAAAATCAGAGCACCTCTCCCCCTCCAAAGGAACACAGCTCCTCGCCAGGAATGGAACCTAGCTGGATGGAGAATGACTTTGATGAGTTGAGAGAAGAAGGCTTCAGACAATCAAACTTCTCCGAGCTAAAGAAGGAAATTTGAACCCATTGCAAAGAAGCTAAAAACCTTGAAAAAAGATTAGACGAATGGCTAACTAGAATAACCAATGTAGAGAAGTCCTTAAATAACCTGATGGAGCTGAAAACCATGGCATGAGAACTACGTGACAAATGCACAAGCTTCAGTAGCTGATTCAATCAACTGGAAGAAAGGGTATCAGTGATTGAAGATCAAATGAATGAAATGAAGTGAGAAGAGAAGTTTGGAGAAAAAAGAGTAAAGAGAAATGAACAAAGCCTCCAAGAAATATGGGAATATGTGAAAAGACCAAATCTACGTCTGATTGGTGTACCTCAAAGTGATGGGGAGAATGGAACCAAGTTAGAAAATACTCTGCAGGATATTATCCAGGAGAACTTCCCCAACCTAGCAAGGCAGGGCAACATTCAAATTCAGAAAATACAGAGAACGCCACAAAGATACTCCTCAAGAAGAGCAACTCCAAGACACATAATTGTCAGATTCACCAAAGTTGAAATGAAGGAAAAAATGTTAAGGGCAGCCAGAGAGAAAGGTCTGGTTACCCACAAAGGGAAGCCCATCAGATTAACAGCAGATCTCTCTGCAGAAACTCTACAAGCCTGAAGAGAGTGGGGGCCAATATTCAACATTCTTAAAAAACAGAATTTTCAACCCAGAGTTTCATATCCAGCCAAACTAAGCTTCAAAGTCAAGGAGAAATAAAATCCTTTACAGACAAGCAAATGCTGAAGATTTTGTCACCACCAGGCCTGCCCTACAAGAGCTCCTGAAGGAAGCACTACACATGGAAAGGAACAACCAATACCAGCCACTGCAAAAACATGCCAAATTGTAAAGACCCTCGATGCTAGGAAGAAACTGCATCAACTAACGAGCAAAATAACTAGCTAACATCATAATGACAGGATCAAATTCACACATAACAATATTAACTTTAAATGTAAATGGGCTAAATGCTCCAATTAAAAGACACAGACTGGCAAATTGGATAAAGAGTCAAGACCCATCAGTGTGCTGTATTCAGGAGACCCATCTCACTTGCAGAGACACACATAGGCTCAAAATAAAGGGATGGAGGAAGATCTAGTAGGCAAATGGAAAACAAAAAAAGGCAGGGTTTGCAATCCCAGTCTCTGATAAAACAGACTTTAAACCAACAAAGATCAAAAGAGACAAAGAAGACCATTACATAATGGTAAAGGGATGAATTCAACAGGAAGAGCTAACTATCCTAAATATATATGCACCCAATACAGGCACACCCAGATTTATAAAGCAATTCCTTAGAGTCCTACAAACAGACTTAGACTCCCACACAATAATAATGGGAGACTTTAGCACTCCACTGTCAACATCAGACAGATCAAAGAGACAGAAAGTTAACAAGGATATCCAGGAATTGAACTCAGCTCACCCCAAGCAGACCTGATAGACATCTACAGAACTCTCCACTCTAAATCAACAGAATATACATTTTTCTCAGCACCATATTACACTTATTCCACAATTGACCACATAGTTGGAAGTAAAGCATTCCTCAGCAAATTGAAAAGAAGAGAAATTATAACAAACTGTCTCTCAGACCACAGTGCAATCAAACTGGAACTCAGGATTAAGAAACTCACTCAAAACCGCTCAACTACATGGAAACTGAACAACCTGCTCCTGAATGACTACTGGGTAGATAACGAAATGAAGGCAGAAATAAAGATGTTCTTTGAAACGAATGAGAACAAAGACACAACATACCACAATCTCTGGGACACATTTAAAGCAGTGTGTAGAGGGAAATTTATAGCACTAAATGCCCATAAGAGAAAACAGGAAAGATCTAAAATTGACACCCTAACATCACAATTCAAAGAACTAGAGAAGCAAGAGCAAACACATTCAAAAGCTAGCAGAAGGCAAGAAATAACTAAGATCAGAGCAGAACTGAAGGAGATAGAGACAAAATACCCTTCAAACAATAAATGAATCCAGGAGCTGGTGTTTTGAAAACATCAACAAAATTGATAGACCACTAGCAAGACTAATAAAGAAGAAAAGAGAGAAGAATCAAATAGACACAATAAAAAATGATAAAGGGGATATTACCACCGATCCCACAGAAATATAAACTACCATCAGAGAATACTATAAACACCTCTACACAAATAAACTAGAATATCTAGAAGAAATGGATAAATTCCTGGAGACATACACCCTCCCAAGACTAAACCAGGAAGATGTTGAATCCCTGAATAGACCAATAACAGGCTCTGAAGTTGGGGCAATAATTAATAGCCTACCAACCAAAAAAAAGTCCAGAACCAGACAGCTTCACAGCTGAATTCTACCAGAGGTACAAGGAGGAGCTGGTACCATTCCTTCTGAAACTATTCCAATCAATAGAAGAAGAGGGAATCCTCCCTAACTCATTTTATGAGGCCAGCATCATCCTGATACCAAAGCCTGGCAGAGACACAACAAAAAAAGAATTTTAGACCAATATCCCTGATGAACATCGATGCAAAAATCCTCAATAAAATACTGGCAAACCAAATCCAGCAGAAGATCAAAAAGCTTATCCACCATGATCAACTGGGCTTCATCCCTGGGATGCAAGGCTGGTTCAACATACACAAATCAATAAATGTAATCCAGCATATAAACAGAACCAAAGACAAAAACCACATGATTATCTCAGTAGATACAGAAAAGGCCTTTGACAAAATTCAGCAGCCCTTCATGTTAAAAACTCTCAATAAATTAGGTATTGATGGGATGTATCTCAAAATAATAAGAGCTATTTATGACAAACCCACAGCCAATAACATACTGAATGGGCAAAAACTGGAAGCATTCCCTTTGAAAACTGGCACAAGACAGGGATGCCCTCTCTCACCACTCCTATTCAGCATAGTGTTGGAAGTTCTGGCCAGGGCAATCAGGCAGGAGAAAGAAATAAAGGGCAGTCAATTAGGAAAAGAGGAAGTCAAATTGTCCCTGTTTGCAGATGACATGATTGTATATTTAGAAAACCCCATCATCTCAGCCCAAAATCTACTTAAGCTGATAAGCAACTTCAGCAAAGTCTCAGGATACAAAATCAATGTACAAAAATCACAAGCATTCTTATACACCAATAACAGACAAACAGAGAGCCAAATCATGAGTGAACTCCCATTCACAATTGCTTCAAAGAGAATAAAATACCTAGGAATCAAACTTACAAGGGATGTGAAGGACCTCTTCAAGGAGAACTACAAACCACTGCTCAACAAAATAAAAGAGGACACAAACAAATGGAAGAACATTCCATGCTCATGGATAGGAAGAATCAATATTGTGAAAATGGCCATACTGCCCAAGGTAATTTATAGATTCAATGCCATCCCCATCAAGCTACCAATGACTCTCTTCGCAGAATTGGAAAAACCTACTTTAAAGTTCATATGGAACCAAAATGAGCCCGCATTGCCAAATCAATCCTAAGCCAAAAGAACAAAGCTGGAGGCATCATGCTACCTGACTTCAAACTATACCACAAGGCTACAGTAACCAAAACAGCATGGTATTGGTACCAAAACAGAGATATAGACCAATGGAACAGAGCAGAGCTGACAGAAATAATACCACACATCTACACCCATCTGATCTTTGAGAAACTTGACAAAAACCAGAAATGGGGAAAGGATTCCCTATTTAATAAATGGTGCTGGGAAAACTGGCTGGTCATATGTAGAAAGCTGAAACTGGATCCCTTCCTTACACCTTATACCAAAATTAATTCAAGATGGATTAAAGACTTAAATGTTAGACCTAAAACCATAAAAACCCTAGAAGAAAACCTAGGCAATACCATTGAGAACATAGGCATGGGCAAGGACTTCATGTCTGAAACACCAAAAGCAATGGCAACAAAAGCCAGAATTGACAAATGGGATCTAATTAAACTAAAGAGCTTCTGCACAGCAAAAGAAACTACCATCAGAGTGAACAGGCAACCTACAGAATAGGAGAAAATTTTTGCAATCTACTCATCTGACAAAGGGCTAATATCCAGAATCTATAAAGAACTCAAACAAATTTACAAGAAAAAATACAAACAACCCCATCAAAAAGTGGTGAAGGATATGAACAGACACTTCTCAAAAGAAGACATTTATGCAGACAACAGACACATGAAAAAATGCTCACCATCACTGGCCATCAGAGAAATGCAAATCAAAACCACAATGAAATACCATCTCACACTAGTTAGAATGGCGATCATTAAAAAGTCAGGAAACAACAGGTGCTGGAGAGGATGTGGAGAAATAGGAACATTTTTACACTGTTGGTGGGAGTGTAAACTAGTTCAGCCATCGTGGAAGACAGTGTGGTGATTCCTCAAGGGTCTAGAACTAGAAATACCATTTGACCCAGCCATCCCATTACTGGGTATATACCCAAAGGATTATAAATCATGCTGCTATAAAGACACATGCACACGTATGTTTATTGCGGCACTATTCACAATAGCAAAGACTTGGAAGCAACCCAAATGTCCATCAGTGATAGATTGGATTAAGCAAACGTGGCACATCTACACCATGGAATACTATGCAGCCATAAAAAAGGATGAGTTCATGTCCTTTGTAGGGACATGGATGAAGGGAAAGCAAACTATCGCAAGGACAAAAAACCAAACACCGCATGTTCTCACTCATAGGTGGGAATTGAACAATGAGAACACTTGGACACTGGAAGGGGTACATCACACACTGGGGCCTGTGTTGGGGTGAGGGGATGAGGAGGATAGCATTAGGAGATATATCTAATGTAAATGACGAGTTAATGGGAGCAGCACACCAACATGGCGCATGTATACATATGTAACAAACTTGCGCATTGTGCACATGTACCCTAGAACTTAAAGTATAATAAAAAAAAAGGAAATATGCTGTATTTTATATAGAATCCATATGTTTAAAATGATCCAGGCACAAAGACCCATGTGAGTAAGTCTCGTGATCCAAAATATTTTTTAAGAGTTTTTTTTCACTCGGTTTTAAAAATTAATTAATTAATTTACTTTTTTTTAGAAACAGGGTCTCCTTATGTCATCCAGGCTGGAGTGCAGTGGTAATTCACAGGCACAAACATAGCGCACCGCAATCTTGAACTCCTGGACTCAAGCACTCTTCCCACCTCAGCCTCCCAAGTACCTGGGACTACAGGCACAAGCAACCATGCCCCAAAATCTTTTGTTCTTTAACCCAGGTATTGCTCGTTATTCTACACGTGTGGTAATGTATGGAATTCAAAAAGTCACATTGATGTCGAAGTTGAGGAACTGCTGATGCCTCCATTATAAGAAATTTTAACATGTACATCTGTTAGCCACAGTAATTCTGTCCCATTGCATGTAATCACTAAAATTAAAAATGAACATATGAAAATAGAGTCCCAGTGCAGAAGCTGAACTTAATACCTTTGACATTTAAGGCAGTCACTTAATCAGATTACTCTCTCTGGTTATAGCCTATGGGAATTCACAGGTGTTAAATTAGCTTCAGAAGGACTCTCCTATTGTTTTTTAATGGAAAGCTAGGACACATGGAGATCTGAACATGGAAAATAAACATAAATCACGTATAAGAGATATGGAGTATAGTCTAAGCATTAGTCTTTAGTTTTCTGGGCATGCACAAATCTGTGCCAATCTAACTATCTGGTGTGATTGCTGTTTCATTTCACAATAATAATGCAACAGTTTCAACATTTTAGATTTAACCTTCTTCATAACTAGAGGAACTATTCAAATGCTTTTGATGTGATAGTAAAGTGATTCTGTCTTTTGAGAATGACAATCAGTGCCTTTGTGATTTCACGGTATAAACTATTTGAAAGGTAGAAATGTGGAAATGAGTAGCCTGTGATGATATTGAATCGTTTGGGTATGTTTCTGAACAGTTAGGAACAGAGAGGAAATACAAAGCCAGGCTAGAAAGAGTTCTTTTTACCCCAGGAATTTTTAGAGTTTCTTGGTGCATATGGATTTCAGAAAAAATTTTATTCGAACTTGATTTATTCTTTTGACCTTGACTGTATAAAATGAAGTATAGTTTTACAGTCATAATATAGCAGAGTTGGGGCATTAAATGTTCATGTTCACATACTGTTTACAGATACCAAATTGTATGGATAATTTTAAGAACACTGATGCAATAAAATCTTGATAAGCATTTCAAATCTATTGTTATTTTATAAAGCCAGAATGTCTGACCTGAAATCACAGCATAGTTTTATTTTGTCAGTGGAGATGTAGCACGCAAAATAGACTGGTTTTGGTCTCATTGTTTCAAAGACTTATTTCAGCATCTGCCTATACACTCTTATTAGAAGGAGAGCTACAAATTCCGTTGGCTTTTCAGCATTAGAACTGGCAATCATTCAAAAATAACATCTTTCATGAGTGTTCCCAGTGTTCTTCAACCAAGGAGTACAACGTATGAATGAATGAATGAATATCTGAATCAACTCATTTGTATAAACAAGTTTGAGGGATTGTAAGGGTGATGATGACTCAGAGAAAAACCTTGTTTATTTGTTTAGTGTCCCACAAACTTAAAAATCCATCTCTTGAAAAATTTTAGCTAATTGCTACAAAATTTAAAATCTTTGAAATGATTCATTTTAAATTAATTTGTTCTTCTGCTAATTGGTATTCCTCTGTACTCTGTGACTGTCGTCGTAATTCTGACCTGTCACTACTTCCAATCCACAGCTTTTATGGAGAGATTCTGCTCATGGTTGGCCTTAGGAGAAACAAATCAGTCAGCTGCAGCCCTGGAAGAGATAGGAAACATTGTATGTGATTGGGGAGGCTACCACCTTTGCTTCTCATTTGTGACAGCCTGAGATTTCCCCAGGAAAAGAAAGTCTGTAGCAAGTAGGCCATGAGTTGAATTCAAATTTAAGACTTCTGCCTTTCTAAAGTCTTGTTCAGTTTATTAAGTGTCTTGCCTCCTGCTGCATAAGCTATAGATAAAGAGACTGTAGTTTTCCTGGGGGTGTGAAACCCAGGTTAAGCAGACATCAGAAGGGAATTCTCAAATGAATTTTCAGTTAGTGCATTGACAGTCTCCAAAATTTGAACCTTAGCAAATACAATGTTCTTTTCAATTAATGTCAAAACATCAGTTAGCCTGCAGGTCTGTTACACTAACATGGTATCTATATTCTGTGGTTTTTAGTTTGACCCTACTGGAGGTAAGGTTTAATTGTCAGTTTCTTTGAATATCAGTAGAATAATTTCAGGAAATTTTTTTACCTTTTTACTTGCCCCGAGGTTATTCTGATATGAAATTTTCTCTTCTTGGTTTTGTAATATGCTGCAACTGCCTCCAAGGTTGACTCAGTAAGTTATTTAGAAAATCTTTCTTGAGGAAAACATAGGTTTTATTTGCATAGTTTGGAGCTTGATGGCATAATATGCATGTGCATTCTTTGTGAGAAAAGCAGTTGGAAATTGCTTCCTTCTGATGGTGTCTGATGTGCTTCTTAGTATGGGATAGCTTCCATAATTTAGAAAGAACTTAGTCCTACCTGTGGTAAACTGTGGATGAGGCAAGGACTCTGAGAAGTAAGATGTTTTGTTTTTGTTCATTCTGTGTTTTCAGTAATTACATGCTGTCAGCTTTATGGGATCTCAGGGCTTAACAGTGTCTAGTACATGGAAGATGGATAGTGGCATTGAATAAATGAGAACCTGGAAGAATGAATAAATGAATGAATGAAACTTCATGGTATTGTAGCTCACAGGATTTGTAAAATGCTTATTAGTTCTGAGTGCAGGCTTTGGAATGACTGGGTTTCTGAGGTACTAAAATCTGTAGAGAGGAAGCACAGAGCAAAGTATGCAGAGGAGGCCTCCTCTGACATCCCATCTATTCAACTATTCATGCATGCAAAGGTGATAGTAAACCTGGAAGATGCTTTTTAAAAGAAGAGTAATAAATATAATGAAATATAAATGTACCATCACATAATATATTCAAAGATCATTTTATGTTCCTGTTTTGTACAGGTTAATTTGAATTTGGATAAGCTAATTAAATTAAATTTTGTGTATTTTGTATTTGTTAAGAGTGTATTTGATGACTCACTGAAGAACAGATCTCTTATCTAGAGTAGTCACTTGCGGTGGCCATGAAAACACGCTACCTTGATCTTCTGCTGCAGGGGCATAATTAACTTAGGGTGACAGGCTCATTCTGGGAAGACACAGGACTCATCCTAAGAGTGACTATGGTATGGGGACTCTCTATTGACCTGGATTAACTCCTGAATTGCTCTGCAGTCCAACCCTTCTACTACTTGATGTCCCTTTCTTCCCTATTTCCTTCTATAGGTATCAGATTTCAACTGAAGTCTGAAGACTCTTGTTGCCTTCTCTTCCTCCCTTTGTCAAAAAACCTCTTGCCCATCTAACACCATCTTGGTGTCTGCTTTCTGGAGTCAGGATCTAGTTGATGCAAATGGTACCAAGACTCATCCAGAAACCTGGCAGAAACTTGAAGATTTGGGACCTGCTGAATCACCCCTGAGCAGAAGAAGGATACAATATCCTGAGTGGCAGATGGGGCTTGGGTAATACCTGACACCTGATGGCAGTCCAATTGCAGTGGTGTCTTGCAGGTGCAGTCACTCCAGCTTTTAAAAGAAATGGGTGGGGAGGATAGCAATGCTTACAAAGACAGCAGAGACAGCTCATTCAGGATAATTTGTATTGATATGCCCTGCAGAAGGATAATAAAGAATTGGGGGCTACAAACAAGCAAGTCAAGGCTAAATGTTATGGCTGGAGAGCCTGTGTGGCGCCTTACAAAGAAGCCGTTTCTCCTGTAGTGGAACGACAGACTCAGTTGAATAACAGACTAAAAATTTTGTAGTTAAATTCACAGAGCTTCAGACATTTGAAACCTTAGCCAAGATAGGCCTGTAATGTGTAGGTCGGGACCATGGTTGGGATAATGTAAGACCCTGAAATGTGGAGTAAGGATGCCTGGATGGATGCCTCTGAAGATTTTAGCATCGTATACATTATAACCTCAGAGCTTACAGAGCAGCCCATCCTTCTCTATTAACACCTATTAGAAAATGCTAGAGACCTCTCCCCTGCAACGCAACAGCCATCTATCTCAGGAGATGCCCCTATCTCCTCTCATGGGTACTTGTACTCACCATGCTTCTAGTTTCTGTATCAGGTAAGACCAGAAAACCCCAAGAGAGCCTAGATGCAGCATTTATAAAAGGCATTAATGGTTTGGTGGCAATAGGGTCACCAGCATCACTAAGAAGTTCAGTGGTGGGTCTCCTTGGCAGGCCAAGGCTGGCAGGAGTGATGGAAATAGAGATGGGTCATTATCTTCTGTGGGGAGAAATAGGGCACTGGAGTTAGAGAAACCAGATGGGAAATATGTTGTGATGAGCCTTACATGGTAAATGGGGTGCTATTATTATTTTTTTTTTTTTATTATACTCTAAGTTTTAGGGTACATGTGCACATTGTGCAGGTTAGTTACATATGTATACATGTGCCATGCTGGTGCGCTGCACCCACTAATGTGTCATCTAGCATTAGGTATATCTCCCAATGCTATCCCTCCCCCCTCCCCCGGCCCCACCACAGTCCCCAGAGTGTGATATTCCCCTTCCTGTGTCCATGTGATCTCATTGTTCAATTCCCACCTATGAGTGAGAATACGCGGTGTTTGGTTTTTTGTTCTTGCGATAGTTTACTGAGAATGATGGTTTCCAATTTCATCCATGTCCCTACAAAGGATATGAACTCATCATTTTTTATGGCTGCATAGTATTCCATGGTGTATATGTGCCACATTTTCTTAATCCAGTCTATCATTGTTGGACATTTGGGTTGGTTCCAAGTCTTTGCTATTGTGAATAGTGCCGCAATAAACATACGTGTGCATGTGTCTTTATAGCAGCATGATTTATAGCCCTTTGGGTATATACCCAGTAATGGGATGGCTGGGTCAAATGGTATTTCTAGTTCTAGATCCCTGAGGAATCGCCACACTGACTTCCACAATGGTTGAACTAGTTTACAGTCCCACCAACAGTGTAAAAGTGTTCCTATTTCTCCACATCCTCTCCAGCACCTGTTGTTTCCTGACTTTTTAATGATTGCCATTCTAACTGGTGTGAGATGATATCTCATAGTGGTTTTGATTTGCATTTCTCTGATGGCCAGTGATGATGAGCATTTCTTCATGTGTTTTTTGGCTGCATAAATGTCTTCTTTTGAGAAGTGTCTGTTCATGTCCTTCGCCCACTTTTTGATGGGGTTGTTTGTTTTTTTCTTGTAAATTTGTTTGAGTTCATTGTAGATTCTGGATATTAGCCCTTTGTCAGATGAGTAGGTTGCGAAAATTTTCTCCCATGTTGTAGGTTGCCTGTTCACTCTGATGGTAGTTTCTTTTGCTGTGCAGAAGCTCTTTAGTTTAATTAGATCCCATTTGTCAATTTTGGCTTTGGTTGCCATTGCTTTTGGTGTTTTGGACATGAAGTCCTTGCCCATGCCTATGTCCTGAATGGTAATGCCTAGGTTTTCTTCTAGGGTTTTTATGGTTTTAGGTCTAACGTTTAAATCTTTAATCCATCTTGAATTGATTTTTGTATAAGGTGTAAGGAAGGGATCCAGTTTCAGCTTTCTACATATGGCTAGCCAGTTTTCCCAGCACCATTTATTAAATAGGGAATCCTTTCCCCATTGCTTGTTTTTCTCAGGTTTGTCAAAGATCAGATAGTTGTAGATATGCGGCATTATTTCTGAGGGCTCTGTTCTGTTCCATTGATCTATATCTCTGTTTTGGTACCAGTACCATGCTGTTTTGGTTACTGTAGCCTTGTAGTATAGTTTGAAGTCAGGTAGTGTGATGCCTCCAGCTTTGTTCTTTTGGCTTAGGATTGACTTGGCGATGCGGGCTCTTTTTTGGTTCCATATGAACTTTAAAGTAGTTTTTTCCAATTCTGTGAAGAAAGTCATTGGTAGCTTGATGGGGATGGCATTGAATCTGTAAATTACCTTGGGCAGTATGGCCATTTTCACGATATTGATTCTTCCTACCCATGAGCATGGAATGTTCTTCCATTTGTTTGTGTCCTCTTTTATTTCCTTGAGCAGTGGTTTGTAGTTCTCCTTGAAGAGGTCCTTCACATCCCTTGTAAGTTGGATTCCTAGGTATTTTATTCTCTTTGAAGCAATTGTGAATGGGAGTTCACCCATGATTTGGCTCTCTGTTTGTCTGTTGTTGGTGTATAAGAATGCTTGTGATTTTTGTACATTGATTTTGTATCCTGAGACTTTGCTGAAGTTGCTTATCTGCTTAAGGAGATTTTGGGCTGAGACGATGGGGTTTTCTAGATAAACAATCATGTCGTCTGCAAACAGGGACAATTTGACTTCCTCTTTTCCTAATTGAATACCCTTTATTTCCTTCTCCTGCCTGATTGCCCTGGCCAGAACTTCCAACACTATGTTGAATAGGAGCGGTGAGAGAGGGCATCCCTGTCTTGTGCCAGTTTTCAAAGGGAATGCTTCCAGTTTTTGCCCATTCAGTATGATATTGGCTGTGGGTTTGTCATAGATAGCTCTTATTATTTTGAGATAAGTCCCATCAATACCTAATTTATTGAGAGTTTTTAGCATGAAGGGTTGTTGAATTTTGTCAAAGGCTTTTTCTGCATCTATTGAGATAATCATGTGGTTTTTGTCTTTGGCTCTGTTTATATGCTGGATTACATTTATTGATTTGCGTATATTGAACCAGCCTTGCATCCCAGGGATGAAGCCCACTTGATCATGGTGGATAAGCTTTTTGATGTGCTGCTGGATTCGGTTTGCCAGTATTTTATTGAGGATTTTTGCATCAATGTTCATCAAGGATATTGGTCTAAAATTCTCTTTTTTGGTTGTGTCTCTGCCCGGCTTTGGTATCAGAATGATGCTGGCCTCATAAAATGAGTTAGGGAGGATTCCCTCTTTTTCTATTGATTGGAATAGTTTCAGAAGGAATGGTACCAGTTCCTCCTTGTACCTCTGGTAGAATTCGGCTGTGAATCCATCTGGTCCTGGACTCTTTTTGGTTGGTAAACTATTGATTATTGCCACAATTTCAGAGCCTGTTATTGGTCTATTCAGAGATTCAACTTCTTCCTGGTTTAGTCTTGGGAGAGTGTATGTGTCGAGGAATGTATCCATTTCTTCTAGATTTTCTAGTTTATTTGCGTAGAGGTGTTTGTAGTATTCTCTGATGGTAGTTTGTATTTCTGTGGGATCGGTGGTGATATCCCCTTTATCATTTTTTATTGTGTCTATTTGATTCTTCTCTCTTTTTTTCTTTATTAGTCTTGCTAGCGGTCTATCAATTTTGTTGATCCTTTCAAAAAACCAGCTCCTGGATTCATTGATTTTTTGAAGGGTTTTTTGTGTCTCTATTTCCTTCAGTTCTGCTCTGATTTTAGTTATTTCTTGCCTTCTGCTAGCTTTTGAATGTGTTTGCTCTTGCTTTTCTAGTTCTTTTAATTGTGATGTTAGGGTGTCAATTTTGGATCTTTCCTGCTTTCTCTTGTAGGCATTTAGTGCTATAAATTTCCCTCTACACACTGCTTTGAATGCGTCCCAGAGATTCTGGTATGTGGTGTCTTTGTTCTCGTTGGTTTCAAAGAACATCTTTATTTCTGCCTTCATTTCGTTATGTACCCAGTAGTCATTCAGGAGCAGGTTGTTCAGTTTCCATGTAGTTGAGCGGCTTTGAGTGAGATTCTTAATCCTGAGTTCTAGTTTGATTGCACTGTGGTCTGAGAGATAGTTTGTTATAATTTCTGTTCTTTTACATTTGCTGAGGAGAGCTTTACTTCCAACTATGTGGTCAATTTTGGAATAGGTGTGGTGTGGTGCTGAAAAAAATGTATATTCTGTTGATTTGGGGTGGAGAGTTCTGTAGATGTCTATTAGGTCTGCTTGGGGCAGAGCTGAGTTCAATTCCTGGGTATCCTTGTTGACTTTCTGTCTCGTTGATCTGTCTAATGTTGACAGTGGGGTGTTAAAGTCTCCCATTATTAATGTGTGGGAGTCTAAGTCTCTTTGTAGGTCACTGAGGACTTGCTTTATGAATCTGGGTGCTCCTGTATTGGGTGCATAAATATTTAGGATAGTTAGCTCCTCTTGTTGAATTGATCCCTTTACCATTATGTAATGGCCTTCTTTGTCTCTTTTGATCTTTGTTGGTTTAAAGTCTGTTTTATCAGAGACTAGGATTGCAACCCCTGCCTTTTTTTGTTTTCCATTGGCTTGGTAGATCTTCCTCCATCCTTTTATTTTGAGCCTATGTGTATCTCTGCACGTGAGATGGGTTTCCTGAATACAGCACACTGATGGGTCTTGACTCTTTATCCAACTTGCCAGTCTGTGTCTTTTAATTGCAGAATTTAGTCCATTTATATTTAAAGTTAATATTGTTATGTGTGAATTTGATCCTGTCATTATGATGTTAGCTGGTGATTTTGCTCATTAGTTGATGCAGTTTCTTCCTAGTCTCGATGGTCTTTACATTTTGGCATGATTTTGCAGCAGCTGGTACCGGTTGTTCCTTTCCATGTTTAGCGCTTCCTTCAGGAGCTCTTTTAGGGCAGGCCTGGTGGTGACAAAATCTCTCAGCATTTGCTTGTCTATAAAGTATTTTATTTCTCCTTCACTTATGAAGCTTAGTTTGGCTGGATATGAAATTCTGGGTTGAAAATTCTTTTCTTTAAGAATGTTGAATATTGGCCCCCACTCTCTTCTGGCTTGTAGGGTTTCTGCCGAGAGATCCGCTGTTAGTCTGATGGGCTTTCCTTTGAGGGTAACCCGACCTTTCTCTCTGGCTTCCCTTAACATTTTTTCCTTCATTTCAACTTTGGTGAATCTGACAATTATGTGTCTTGGAGTTGCTCTTCTCGAGGAGTATCTTTGTGGCGTTCTCTGTATTTCCTGAATCTGAACGTTGGCCTGCCTTGCTAGATTGGGGAAGTTCTCCTGAATAATATCCTGCAGAGTGTTTTCCAACTTGGTTCCATTCTCCACATCACTTTCAGGTACACCAATCAGACGTAGATTTGGTCTTTTCACATAGTCCCATATTTCTTGGAGGCTTTGCTCATTTCTTTTTATTCTTTTTTCTCTAAACTTCCCTTCTCGCTTCATTTCATTCATTTCATCTTCCATTGCTGATACCCTTTCTTCCAGTTGATCGCATCGGCTCCTGAGGGTTCTGCATTCTTCACGTAGTTCTCGAGCCTTGGTTTTCAGCTCCATCAGCTCCTTTAAGCACTTCTCTGTATTGGTTATTCTAGTTATACATTCTTCTAAATTTTTTTCAAAGTTTTCAACTTCTTTGCCTTTGGTTTGAATGTCCTCCCGTAGCTCAGAGTAATTTGATCGTCTGAAGCCTTCTTCTCTCAGCTCGTCAAAATCATTCTCCATCCAGCTTTGTTCTGTTGCTGGTGAGGAACTGCGTTCCTTTGGAGGAGGAGAGGCGCTCTGCGTTTTAGAGTTTCCAGTTTTTCTGTTCTGTTTTTTCCCCATCTTTGTGGTTTTATCTACTTTTGGTCTTTGATGATGGTGATGTACAGATGGGTTTTCGGTGTAGATGTCCTTTCTGGTTGTTAGTTTTCCTTCTAACAGACAGGACCCTCAGCCGCAGGTCTGTTGGAATACCCTGCCGTGTGAGGTGTCAGTGTGCCCCTGCTGGGGGGTGCCTCCCAGTTAGGCTGCTCGGGGGTCAGGGGTCAGGGACCCACTTGAGGAGGCAGTCTGCCCGTTCTCAGATCTCCAGCTGCGTGCTGGGAGAACCACTGCTCTCTTCAAAGCTGTCAGACAGGGACACTTAAGTCTGCAGAGGTTACTGCTGTCTTTTTGTTTGTCTGTGCCCTGCCCCCAGAGGTGGAGCCTACAGAGGCAGGCAGGCCTCCTTGAGCTGTGGTGGGCTCCACCCAGTTCGAGCTTCCCGGCTGCTTTGTTTACCTAAGCAAGCCTGGGCAATGGCGGGCGCCCCTCCCCCAGCCTGGTTGCCGCCTTGCAGTTTGATCTCAGACTGCTGTGCTAGCAATCAGCGAGATTCCGTGGGCGTAGGACCCTCTGAGCCAGGTGTGGGATATAGTCTCGTGGTGCGCCGTTTCTTAAGCTGGTCTGAAAAGCACAATATTCGGGTGGGAGTGACCCGATTTTCCAGGTGCGTCCGTCACCCCTTTCTTTGACTCGGAAAGGGAACTCCCTGACCCCTTGCGCTTCCCAGGTGAGGCAATGCCTCGCCCTGCTTCGGCTCACGCACGGTGCGCACACACACTGGCCTGCGCCCACTGTCTGGCACTCCCTAGTGAGATGAACCCGGTACCTCAGATGGAAATGCAGAAATCACCCGTCTTCTGCGTCGCTCACGCTGGGAGCTGTAGACCGGAGCTGTTCCTATTCGGCCATCTTGGCTCCTCCCCCGGTGCTATTATTAAATGTGGTCCAGATAGAGTATTGCTGAAATTCTCAGAAAGGAAGTATGTTTGGCTTACAACCTAATAACGCCACAGCTTGATTACAACTCCCTGATGCCTTCTTTATGGACATCCCAGGCTTTGGGTATGTCCATAATAGCCTCTTGACCAAAGATGGTTCAAATATCGGGCATATACAAGAGGCTAAACCCTTAAATGTTTGAATAAATCTAGCTATGTTCTTCCTGAAACTGCCCAATCCCCACTGAAAAATGGAGTCCGTTGAAAGACTGTGGTCCATTATCTCTACATACCTCCAGAAAAGAGTTATTATCCCTATACTAGCCCTTGTGATCCTTTTGTTCTGTCTGTTACAAACACAAATTAGTATGACTGCCACTTTGTACAAGATTTAAGGGCCATTAACACAATTTTACTTTCCTGCTTTCCTATTATCTCAAACTCAAATACTGTCCTATCTACAATCTCTAGAACTGCTGCTTACTTTACAGTGGTAGATCCATGCTTAGCATTCTTTAGTAATTCTTTTCTTCCAGACTCACTGTATCTATTTACACTCACTTGGAAACAATACTCATGAACAATTGTGACCAAGAATTTACAGAAACACCCTCTTACTTCTTGGAAATACTCAATGACACCTGAATGACTGGAGACATTCTATTTCCCAAGGACTCCACTCTTATATAATATATAGATGATCTTGTTTGCTCTCTAGATTGAGAGTCCTGCAGAATTGATTTATTCCACTTGCTAATAGTGTAAGTGTACAGGCACACAAAGTCTCTAGGGGTAAACTCCAATTTTGTCAGCCCCACGTGTATTTTCTTGGCCATGATATCAAACAAAAATTAAGGGTCTTTTCCCTCAAAGACTGCAGGTTATTCCCGACTTTCCTGGCCAATTACTGAAAGACATCTTAGAAAATGTCTTATTCCCATACAATATTGTAGACATGGATTTCTAACTTTTCTCGACTAACTGCCCCCTCCTGTAAGCTAATGAAAACTGACAATCCTGCATTATAGACTCACTAGAGAATGTATTTTACCACTTAAATAACTCTCCAATGATCATACATCTTTCTTTCTGTTAGTACATTGAGACAAGTTTGGAGGATTCTAACTTAACAAGAAAATGGGCATCAGAGACTCACTGCTTATTATATCTTCACATTGATTTCATGACAAAAAGCCTGCCCTCCTTGTTTGCACACAGTGGCAGCAGTGCAAGCTCAGCTGAGGCAACTGATGACTTAGTCTTAAGATTTTTGCTTAACCCTGTGGTTCCTCATATCATTGAGACCTTCCTTTGGACTGAAAACTCCTTCAATTCTTCTGTTACTAGACTGGCTTCCTTTGAAATCCTTTATTCTTGGTGGATATGTTTATTGCTTTGATTGTAGTGTTGATATCACAGATGTATACATACGTCTGAACTTATCAAATTGTGTACACTAAATGAGCAGGGTTTTTTTGTATATCAATTATACTTCAATAAAGCTGTAAAAAATCCCTTTACCTATAGACATTTCTATCCATTGTTGCAAAATCCTAAAATCTGCTATTCCTCTTCCTCTCCCACATGACTGCTATATACTTATTTGGGAGTTTTTCTTGCTACGACCTGGACACTTTGAAACTCTTTTAGACTACCTAAATTGTGAAGTATTGTGGATAAAACCTGTTTGAGAACTGAGCAAGGACACTATTAAGCTGGGTATGCAATCAGAACACACTAACATTTATTCAAATTCAACTCTCTTCGAGATACTAAATCTGCACAAGTTGCCAAAGTTATAGCTCTTACTAAGTCCTGCCAGTTAGCTACAGATAAGAGAGAAATGCCTATATAGAAACATTTTTGTAGTGGTGCAAGATTTTGGTATGCTTTGGAAGAAACATCACTTCTTAATTACAGATGGTATATTCCAATTAAAGCAAAAACATAAAAGCAATTTTAGGAAGCAAAGGTTCATGTTGCAACAGATTAATATACTAAACAATCTGTGTTAACACATCCAAGCTGCCAAGCAAGTCCAAAATTCAAAGCTAAAATGAATTCCTGACTATTGGCATTAGGCCTTGAGTCAATTTCAGAATCAAACACCTGATTCTGAAATAACACACTGGAAAAATAAGATTGTTTGCTTCACCCAGAAGGCAGCTGGTGGTGCCAAGACAGCTATTTAGTCTTCATTGAGATGCTGAAATAGAATCTCTCAAAAAAAAAAAAAAGCTGGTTGTAACCGTACATGGAAAGGATAATTTAAAATATATCCTGAAGAAGTATCGATGGGGAAACCCCAACAAGATTGAAGAGCACGTCTTTGGTGTATCTTCCATCAAACCCCCAAATCCTGTGCAAACCTTGTCCCAAATGTGGGACAAGGACATGAGCGAAAACTTTTAGGCTATTGAGTATATCTGCAAATAGATTTCATTCAGTTGTTCCCTTGTGTGGTCATGAATATGTTCTTAATCATAGAATAGTGTGTGTTTTCTGGTTGGCTGGGATTGTTTCCTTTTCATAAAGTAACTCTTCTGACAGTAGCAAAGCAACTTTCCGACTCTGTGTTTCTCACTTGAGTAATATTCGTCTATTTATCTTGTTTTGGGGTACCCATGTCACAAGACCATTAATTAAGGCATTCTATGAAGCTTTGCCTGTCAACCAAAGCCTCACTGTTCCTACCACCCCCAGTCCTTAGAGAAATCAAGACCCATTAAAACGGAAACTTGTGAAACTCTCTGAGCAACTTCAGATGCTACAGCGAAAGGTTTACTCTCAGCATTCTGGCTGTTAGGCCCCTTTTAACAGGAACTCACAGATTATCCCCAAATGAGCTAGTCGCTGGATGCTCATCCATATGGGGATATCACCCTCAATTTTTGACTCTGCTCATTCACAGGCCAATATAGCCAAATGCTGTAGAACTTTAAGGCCAACTCATTTTCAATGAGACCTTGTGGCTTTTCCCACAGATAAGTCACAGAAAGCACTGCATGACTTTCAGCCAGGAGACCTACTGTACTGAAAATGAGAGCAATGTAAGACTATTCTTGAACTTTATTAGACGGGATTTGGAACCACAAATTGTGCAATGAAACTCCTGGGAACTACCTCTTGGATTCACATCTCTTAGTTAAAAAGACAGCATATACCCATCTCCCAGATATCCATGCCCGTGTAAAATCTAGCACTGGGAATCTCTTGGGATTCTCCAGAAGCTGATGCCATCATAAAGTAGATCTCTTTCTCAAGAACATCAGATCAAAGCCTATTAATACCAGAAACAATTAATTGCCACCTCTGTCTTTACCTGTTTCATTTTTCTTTTCATGACTATCATTTTCTCTCTGTGTTGGTTTAGGAATTTTGATTGTAAAAATGAGATTCTTTAAGGTTTTTCCTCTAATCATGCCATTTTGGGTAAATCAGTATTACACAAGCCTATTAATATCAAACCTCCCCTTCCATAGACTTGGATGGGGAGGAGATCTGTTCTGTGCACCGCAGGTCAGCCTGGGTGTTCGTTAACAGACATTACTGGTTATTCTCATGTTTATGCTTGTCTCCCTAGTCATTTGCTCTGTTTTCTCCAGGGGTTTAAATGCTGCTATGCAGCCACTCACTCGACAAATGATTGAAATATATATAACTACAAAGAAAACCATCACAAGACGCTTTGATGGCAGTCATCAACAGCCAGGCTGAGGCTGTTCTTGGAGTGGTGTAGATCAGGAGTTCTGAAAACAACAACAACAACAACAACAACAATAACAACAACAACAACAACGTATGGTCAACTGATGAGACTCAGAATCTCTGTGGGCCAAGAAGTGAGACTGTGAGTGTCCTTGAATACCTAAATGTTTTCTGCTTTGACACTGGTGTGACTTTAGCCCCACGACCATTCCTTCTCTCTTTTCTTGGCAATCCTCCCGTGAACTTAGTGCTCACCCATGTTGATAAATCTAAATTGCTCAACCAAAGGCTTCCAAATCACAAGAATAATTCCCCCCTATTCTGAGACCCATCTTTGATGAACCGTTCCTGAAACTAATGGAGATTTAGTGGTTCACTCTTTCTCAAGCATTATAATGTCATTTTATTTCTTCACCCTCTCACACACGTGTCCTTCCTGCCTCAGTGTCAACCTAGAGTGCTCTCTCGCCTGCCTCCACTCTCCATTGTCTTTAACTCCTCCTCATTCTTCAGTCTGAAGATCTAAAAGTTCTCATCCTTAGAACAGCCACCCTGAACCCCTTTGTATGCTCTTTTCCTTATAACACATATACTAATTTGCAATGATCTTTCAGTGTGATTATTTGATGACTGTCTTTCCTCCGTAATAAACTCTACACTTCACAAGGGTGAGGACTGAATCTGGTTTGCTCCTATTTTATCCCCACAATGCTTGCATGTAGCAGCTTCTTGTAAAGTGATTGTTGAAAGGTTAAAGAATGAAATGAACAAAATGATGTGAATTAATTCATTCATAACAGTAGTCAGGAATGATTTCATCAATGGAACCGGAAGATTTCAATGACATAAACTACAAATGTCTGCTTGTCTCTGCAGCAGGGGTGCTTTGACTCTGGGTTTCATTTACAGCTAGTGAAACTTAGTGGACATTTAATTCCTCTCTGAAACATTCTTTTTTAAAAGATATGTTAATATATATAATTAGATATCCATCAGATCTCATTGATCTGAGATTACACTATCTTGTTCATGACGAAGAAGGAAGAGAAAGGAGAGGGAAGCAAGGAAGAAGTGACTTTCATAATGAGAAATATAGATAGTAGAACAAAATATACTGACTTACTTGTATTATTTTGGAAGTAATTTGACTTAGTTCACTTATGCATCCAGAGTTACCATACCACAGAATGGCCAAGAGGATCTGAATTTTGCCTGATTATGCATGGCCTCGATTAGTGTGTGATGTGTTTTTAATACCCTTTTAGAAAGAAAATTGTAAGCTGTCATAACATGACTCTAACTGGAAAGATAATGTCAAACCTTCTTAGAAAACACTGTAGGATATTTCAATTCTCTTAGCAAGAAAGAGCACAAATTTAATTATGGATCAAAATGCCTTCTGCATCAAGTGGAGAGAGGTGGTTATTGGAAGTCCTGTGGTGCTTCTTATTTTTCAATATGACAGGAAACTAGAAACCCAAATATCCAAGTGATCCAATTTATATTTGTTCCCATGGTTTCTAATATGTAGTAGTACCTCATGCAGTTCTATTTGAAAACAAAAAAGGTTAATGAATTTCTTGACAATATGCAAATATATTTACGCCTAAGTTTATGGTCTCAGACAACACCCACAAACACACATATACATGACCCATGGGGTACTAGTAGTTTATTGCCAATACCACTCTTACTAACAGTGTGGTAACACATTGTAACATATTATTTGATTGTATTGTTCCTGGAGTTTCAAAGGCCTAGAAATAGAACCTTCCATGATATCATCACATGCTAAACCTGGAGAGGAAAGCAAATATCAGGACAGTGAATCTTCTTTCCCTCCTCTTTCTGAACTCTAGCCCTGTAGACTGAAGCCTATTCTCAGCATTGCCACCATCCACTGTTTTCCTGTGTATAACCTTTAATTAATGGAAGCGATTTTCACCACATTGAAGGTTTTCTATCCTGGATTACCAAGAAAAATAATGCAAGCCCACTTTCCCGTTAATCACATAGCCAAAACATGGAGGCCATTGATAAGTGATAGCTCTTCAGTCACTCAACCACTATCTGCTTCAGAAATAAGGCTAATGATATAGTCTACATTCTTCATTAGACTGAAATAACTGATATAAAATAGTTATTGGGTAATTTTTTGAGTTCAGTGAGTAAAAATTCAATCCAAAAGTAACATTGTTAGCTTTACTTAGGGTTTTTTTTCTCATGACTCGGAATACTTAAGAATATATATCTGAACAATATTGCATTATGAAAATATTTTTATACCTAAGTTTTTAAGTTTGAAAGGAAGTTACTTATCAACTTGCTCTGATGACTATCTTTAGAGTAGGCAGAATAGCCTCCCAAAGATGTCCACTTAATGTCCAGAACCTGTGAATGTTACCTTGCATGGAAAAAAGACTTGCAGATGCAATTAAGTTTTTAGACTTTACAATAGGGACACTATCTCGGATTATTTGAGTGGGCCTAGTGTAATCACATGAACCTGTAAAAACAGAGAAGTTGGCCTGAAGGCAGAAGGCAACTGAGGCACAAGGGAAAGAGAAGAGTTATGAGAGAGATACCTAAAGTAGAGCAGGATGTGGTCCCTCCTGCTGGTTTGAAAATGGAGCGGGCAATCTGATGGAGAACGCAGGACGCCCTGAGGCGCCAGCAGCTAAACATGCCTTGTAGTTCCTAGAAGCTGAATTCGGCCAACAACCTCAATGCGCCTCCAGAGAGAAACACAGCCCTGCCAACACCTTGATTTTGGCCTTGGGAGACTCCAGACAGAGGACTGAGCTGAGCTCCACTGTACCTGATGTTTTCTGCTTAACAGAAACTGAGAGGGAAAACCAAATATTGTGTTAAGTCACTGCATTTGTGGTTATTAGTTAGGGCAGCAGGAGAGAAGCCACACAATATTTCTGCCATGTTAAGATTTAATGGATTCAGTGTCTGATGAAATGTATTGATGTATAAAATATTTTATGGAAAACATCTATCCATCTATCTTCCCACTTTCTGGGGTTCATTTTCTATAAAAATGTTCCAATTTCTCAATATAAAAAATCCTTGGAACAGAAAGCTTTGAACTCTGTTGAAAATCTTGAAGAAATATATTCTGAGACAGCTTTAAACTCAGCAAAACATGTCGTTCCATCCCTTGCCTTTTCTTTCATGCCTAACCAGCTAGAAAAACCCACCCTGGAAAATCAGAAGCCATAGGTAACGCTGTCATGCTTCCATTCATTTAACACCTGCTGCAGAGTCCTTCATTCTTATTATCTCAGCTACAGATTTTGCCCTTGGACAGTTTGTTCGGTGGAAACATAAAAAGAGGCAGGCTGTTGACACAGAAGGATGATTGTTTTTCTGAGTCGGTCCTTTTAATTTAAAATGGAGCTTCAGAGAACAGGGGGATTTCTTTGCCAGATTCCCTTTCAATCCTGTAGGGCTGAGCAATACCATGGCTAGGATCGGGGTGCCTCACCCATTCATTCCATCATCTCGTGTTGTGGTACTTGTCATCTTCAGTGCTCAATAAAGGCTTGTCAAATGAATGAATGACCCAAATAGCCATTTTATTGTAAGTTTTTGGGGCTATGTAACTGAGTGCTGAGGCTCAGTCTTCATTCAGTTTTTTTAAAAAACTTGTGGTAGCCTTGCCTCGTGCAAGGCTCACTGTATAGTATATCTCATATAAGTTGGGCTACCATGTCTGTGCATCACAGGAGGGAAGGTGGTCCCTATTTCTTATCTCTAGAAGCCCGCTTCTGCATTTGCTTTGCAAAAAATACAAAGGCTTCTCAAGTGTAGGATTTACCCTAAAGCTGAAGGAGCTGTGACTCTCTGGGCAGTTATCAGGCTGATTCAGTTATTCACTAACTCCGAGGGACTTGCAGTCGAGTTGTGCTTGGGACACCTACCTCCGAGGATGCGTCCCGAGATAAACGGTCTGATATCCATGAAACCCAGGACTTCTACCAGCCCCAAAGCCAAGCAAGGACATGCAATGCATTTCTTTGTGTAGGAATAATTTAATTTTGAAATATACATATCATGTTAAAGTGTCTATTAAGGAAATTGATTTTTTTTTTTTTGAAAAATTTGAGGCCAGAGTTCTAATAATCAAGGAATCATTAACTGTGAAATTTGACTTTTCAATTTCACCAGAGCAACTGTTCTCAGGGAGTGAAATGGTAGCTCCCTTAAATGGTTTCATGAAACTGATCAGATATATATATATATATATATATATATATATATGTATAATATATATGGATATATCCATCACATATATGGATATATCCATCACCACATACATATTCCTCTATTCTTTATTGATGGTTCTTTCTCATGGCCCAGAATTCTCGAGAGTATGTGTCAGAAAAGAATAACATTATCAAACTATTTTATGCCTAATGTTTTAAATTTGAAAGAAATATCACTTATCAGTTTGTTATAGATTGATAATGTCCCCCTCAAAATTCATACATTGAATTTTTAACCCTCCCCACCCCATACCTCATAGTATGACCTTATTTTGGAAATAGGGTAATTTCAAATATAATTAGTTAGTTACATTAGTTAGTTAAGATGAAGTCATATTGGAGTGGGGTGGGCCCTTAATCCACCCTTAATCCTTATAAGGGTACCCTTCTAAAAGGGGACTATTTGGCCCCAGGCACACATGCAGGGAGAATGGGATGTGAGCATGAAGATGATAATCTACAAGCCAAGGAGAGAGGCTTGGAGTAGATTCTTCTCACATAGCTCTCAGAAGGAACCAACCCTGCCAACACCATTTCAGACTTCTGGCCTCCAGAACTATGCAATAATACATTTCTGTTGTTCAAGCTGCCCTGTTTGTTGCACTTTATTGTGGCAACCCTAGAAAATTAATACACTTAAAAAATCACTTATCATCTTGCCCCAATAACTATATTTGTGGTAGGCAGAATGACCTCCTAATAACCTCCATACCCTAACACCCAGACCTGTGAATATACTGTCACATGGCAAAAGGGACTTCGCAGGGACAATTATAGTTATGCACCAAGTAAAGATCTTATTTGGATGATTTGGGATATTTGTGTTTATGCCATGAAAACAAAACCACAAAGTAAGCTTCCAGTTGTCACGTAGGAGAACTGTATTCCTTATGGTCATGTGAGGTGGTGATTCCGAAAAGGTCTGGGGAACTGATTAGTAGCACGTGCTTTGAAGGAAAAACTCAGTGTCTCCAAAGGCCCAAATGAGAATTTTTTATCTTATGTTACTATCATTATAAATGGATTAAATAGCAACATTATTTTTATTTGAAATTTCAAAGCATACTGAAGACAGTGAAAGATTTTTACGCTGATCAACTATGGGTCAAAACAAATGAGGACCTCCTCGTAGGGTTAGTTTTTTATGTTTTCAAAAGAGCCACATATGAATAGGAAAATGAGTCCACTGTTGTACCCAGCATTTGCTTCTTTATAGGAAATCAAATTACACTTAAGTGGATACCTTCATTTTTTACAAAAATAAATACTACTTTTGTTGTTTTTGTTTTTATGTATTTACAGGCTTGTCAAAGTGGTTGCCTTTTCTTAATTCCTGCATGTTGTTTATTATTCTGCATTGATTTTTAAATGCTTTTAACATTTTATATTTTTTTGCCTTGTATTCTAAGAAGCCTAGTCATTGCCTGTTGTTTTTCTTCACTCTCTTTGTTGAAATGACTGTTATTTTCAATTCACTCACCCCCACACTTACATATGACCTTTTTACATTTTCCCAGTGTCTTGATGTACTTCTCCTCAACCTTAAATCTGAGACACATTTTTCAAAGCATATAGAACATCTTTATGTTTCCTAAGGAAAACTCTCTTATAGTATTGGGCTGCATGCACACACACACACACACACACACATGCTTACACGCACATCTAGAGATCTGTTGGCATTCTATCAGTGCCAACGATATGGACATCAAGTGAAGTTTCTGACATAAAGATGTTCTATATGCTTTGAAAAATGTGTCTTAGATTTAGGGTTGAGGAGAAGTACATCAAGACATTGGGAAAATATAAAAAGGTCATCTGTAAGTGTGGGGGTGAGTGATTTGAAAACAGTCAATTCGACAAATACACAATCTTTTTTAACTTACTGATTTCTGACTGATTTTTTTGAAAATCTCAAGTTGTATCTACATAAGTTCAGAGAAACTGCATTATTTTTCTAAAAACAGTTAATTCCTGTATAATTGCGTTTAACTAACTCAACTGAAAGCACACGTAGTTGATGGTAGGTAAACATTGGGTTGCCATTACTTTCAATGGCAAAAACTGCAATTACTTTTGCACCAACTTAATACACAATATTCTTAGTTTGCAAGTTATGAATTTATCTTTTTCTTCAAGCTAAAGATTGGTCTTTGAAAGCTGTGGCGACATGCCCTAAGGCCCCAGCCTCCGGGTTTAGAGGCTCCTGTAAAATGAGCCACCCACGCTGAGCGCAATCTCCTCCCTGCAGCTCCCTGCCATGTTTCATGGAGGGCCCCAAAGGTCAAGTGAGGAGGCCGCTTGCACAGGAGAGGAGGGAGCTCCCTTTGCCTCGCCCTGTGGCGGGAAATTAATATTTTTGGAGTTATATAAAGGAGGTTTTGTGGATATCCCACTGACATGAGAATTAATTCATTACTTGTGGATTATTAACGCATGCTCAGCAAATATGTTTTTTAGATTGTTAAGAAGAGGAAAAGACATTGGCTAATTAAACTTCTCATTTACCTTTTAGATTTCAGTGTGTAACTTTCAAAAATGTGTGCTTTGGCTGAAAAGGCCTTTCTTTTAAACAAAGATTTAAAATGTAGTTTTGTGGTTAAAAAAAAATCACTCTAAAAGCCTCATCATTTAGTACTAAAGAAGAGAATAAAGAGTAGATTTTAGTATTCCTGGGACTCTCACAAACCAAGGAGGTCTAGGAAAAGAACTGCTACAATTCCTCAGGTTTTGCTAAAAGTCTCATTTTAAATTCTAAGGTCTCATTTTACATGGGAAAGAAAAGAATATTATTCATAAGCAAAATAAAGAGAAATACTTGATATAAATTTTTAAAATCTTATTGGGGAACCACTTTATCTTTTAGCCACATCTGGGATTTGTGGCTTGAACCATCATCTCTGTCATGTATTCCACCGACACTAGCAAGCCTCAGGCCCACAGCTAGTCTATCGATGGGAGGTCTTTGAATAAGTTAGAAAAGGCTCTCCCGCTGGGTGGATGCAACTCACAGGTACACAGCCTGCTGCTTTTGTGAGAAGAAAGCACTCCCAGAACAGCATCCCCCAGAGGGAGCAGCTTTGCTGGCAGAAGGTCCCAGGGTACAGCCCTGCTTACCCCTTGGTGTGGTCCTTTTGTACATTGGTGCCTTTTGGGCCGTGCTTGGCTGGCCAATCATACCGTGAATTTGCATGTTGATTGTACTATTTGTAGGACTGTTTTCCTATGTTGCCGTTAATCTCCTTATTTTTAAGAACAAGTATGTCATATCTGCCGCCTGAGAGCCAGCAGTCTATGCTCTTACACAGCACTCCCAGCAGAATCCTCTCTCAGGAGAAAAAGCTCAAGTGGAAACAGACCTATTTACTGATCAGCAGAGGAAATCCATGCCAGCTCTCAAGGGTCACTGGGGATATGAGGGGGACCAAGAGCATGGAAGAGAGAAATGAAGACAAATGAGCGATGGAGCTGATGGCGAGAAGACAGAAATACTACAGAGAACGAAATGGAGCTCAGATACATCAGACCCACGTGAAAATCCCACTGTTCACATATTCTCAGATTTAAGAAGATACTGCAATCAATGTAAAAAGAACAGAATGGCACAGGAAAATGAATAATTCAAGAAAAAGAAAGAATTCATAGAAATCAAGAAATAAATTTGAACAACTCCCCAGAACATGGAGCAACAAATTAAAAAATGAAAACATGAGACTGTTCTGAGTGCTGATGTAGAATGGATTGCTGTGTGGGGTGGGGGGAGTTTCACCACGAGAGAAGTAGTAGAGAGTGTGCATTCCTCACCCTCTCAGTGCCCCTCACCCAGGCCAGTATGAGGATGGTCAGTGCTGCAGGTGAGAGAGGCTGCCCCCTAACATTCATGGGCAGCATTTATGTGTGTCTCAAAGGAACATCTGTGTGACTTTGTAACAGTGGAACCTCCCTGGTCCCATAAGTGGTCTTGCTGAGAAGCGGGGTGTCGAGGATGGGGAGTCCTCAGTACCCACTGGCTGGTGTTGGTCTGTTTGTTTTCCTGTTGAGCTAACTTTCACATCCTGACCCTGCTCTCTGCTAAGCTATCAAGGCAGAGAGCAAGTCAGCCTCCAGGGTCCTCTAGATAGAATTGCCCCAGAAACATTGATGATTTGGTGATGCAGCATCTGACTCACAAAAAGGTCAGAGTGAAAGCAAAAAGATCATGGACAAAAAGGACATTCTCAAAGAAATTCTAAAAATAATAATAATTTTTTAGTGCTGGAGAAAGACCCAAATCTTCATACTGAAAGACCCTAAATAATAAAAATAAGAGTAAAAATAAACCCTTCTAACATATTGCAAAGGAAAAAGCCAATCAGATTATCTACAAAGAAATGAGAATCAGGCTGATATCAGATATTTTTAATCATCAAAATTCAATGCTAGAAGATAACAGAGGAATGCCTTCAAAATTCTGAAATCATTTGGAACCCAGAATTCCAACAGAGCTAAGCTGTCAATGAAGTGTGAAGTCAGAGAAAACATAATTTTGGACATTGAGTACTCAAAATATTTATTCTCCCCATGGCTTTTCTTAGAAAGTTACTTAAATATTATAGCAAATGAGAAGTCTTGCCTGACTTCCAGGACCTAGGAAACAATGGCTCTAACCCACATGAGCTAGTGAGGGAGTTTCCAGAATGGTAGCTCATAGCAGTACCAGAGTTCAGATGAGAGCATGAAGATAGAGACCTCCAGGGAGGAAGGAGAGAATTCTCCACTTAATAGGTGATATAACTGAGAGGACAGAGAAATTAAAGCAAAATCCAGGAAAAACAGTGGTAAAACCAAAGCTATAGCCCAAATACAAAGCAAACTAAGATGTGTCACAGTAAGTAATCACTGATGGAGAATACTACAGCGATAGTTCATTTTACATTTGTACTAGGAGCTACATGGGTCCCAGGGTCATGTCATTGAAATGTAGAAAGGGAAGTTCAAACCTCATACACTAAGTGACTTAGGAAGTGAATATTTAGGGAAGGAGTCTTTCCTTTTCAATTGTTTGGAATAGTTTCAGAAGAAATAGTACCAGCTCCTTTTTGTACTTCTGGTAGAATTCAGCCATAAATACATCTGGTCCTGGGCTTTTTTTGGTTGGTAGGCTATTTGTTACTGCCTCAGTTTCAGAACTTGTTATTGGTCTATTCAGGGATTCAGCTTCTTCCTGGTTCAGTCTTGAGAGGGTGTATGTGTCCAGGAATTGATCCATTTCTTCTAGATTTTCCAGTTTATTCACGCAGAGGTGTTTATAGTATTCTCTGATGGTCGTTTGTATTTCTGTGGGGTCAGTGGTGGTATCCTCATCATTTCTCATTGTATTTATTTGAATCTTCTCTCTTTTCTTCTTTATTAGTCTAGCTAGCGCTCTATTTATTTTATTGTTTTTTTTTTTTTCCAAAAAGCCAGCTCCTGGATTCGTTGATTTTTTGCAGGGTTTTTCGTGTCTCTGCCTCCTTCAGTTCTGCTCTGAGCTAGATTATTTCTTGTCTCCTGCTAGCTCTGGGGCTTGTTGGCTCTTGGTTCTCTGATTCTTTTAGTTCTGATATTAGGGTGTCAATTTGGGATCTTTCTAGCTTTTTGATGTGGGCATTTAGTGCGATAAATTTTCCTCTTAACACTGCTTTAGCTGTGTCCCGGAGATTCTGGTGCATTGTTCCTGGTACATTGTCCCTAACTCATTTTATGAGGCCAGCATCATCCTGATACCAAAACCTGGCAGAGACACAACAACAACAACAAAAAAAGAAAATTTCATGCCAGTATCTCTGAAGAACATCGATGCAAAAATCCTCAATAAAATACCGGCAAACAAAATCCAGTGGCACATCAAAAAGCTTATTCAGCACAATCTAGTCAGTTTCACCCCTGGGATGCAAGGCTGTTTCAACATACACAAATCAATAAACATAATTCATCACATACACAGAACTAAAGACAAAAACCACACGATTATCTCAATAGATGCAGAAATGGCCTTCTATAAAATTCAACATCCTTTATGTTAAAAACTCTCAATAAACAAGGTATTGAAGGAACAGATCTCAAAATAATAAGAGCCATATATGACAAACCCAAAGCCAATATCATACTGAATGGAGACAAATGAATTCATACTGAATGGGCAAAAGCTAGAAGCATTCGTCTTGAAAACTGGCACAAGACATGTATGCCCTCTCTCACCACTCTTATTCAACATAGTATTGGAAGTTCTGGCCAGGGCAATCAGGCAAGAGAAGGAAATGAAGGGTATTCAAATAGGAAGAGAGGAAGTCAAATTGTCTTTGTTTGCAGATGACATGATCCTGTATCTAGAAAACCCCAAAGTCTCAGTCCAAAAGCTTCTTAAACTGATAAGCAACTTCAGCAAAATCTCAGGATACAAAATCAACGTGCAGAAATCACAAACATTCCTTTATACCAACAACAGAGAAGCAAAGAGCCAAATCATGAACTCCCATTCACAACTGCCACAAAGAGAATAAAATACCTAGGAATACAGCTAACAGGGGAAGTGAAGGACCTCTTCAAGGAGAACTACAAACCACTGTTCAAGGAAATCAGAGAGGGCACAAGCAGATGAAAAAACATTCCATCCTCATGGATAGGAAAAATTAATATCGTGAAAATGGCCGTACTGCCCAAATCAATTTATAGATTCAATACTATCTCCATTAAACCACCACTGTCTTATATATATATGTAATTATTTTATTATTATTATTTTTTGAGATGGAATCTCACTCTCTTGCCCAGGCTGGGGTGCAGTGGCACAATCTCAGCTCACTGCAACCTCTGCCTCCTGGGTTCGAGTACTTTTCATGCCTTAGTCTCCTGAGTGCCTGGGATTACAGGCGTGCACCACCACACGTGGCCAATTTTTGTATTTTTAGTAGAGACAGGGCTTTACCATGTTGTCCAGGCTGGTCTCAAATGCCTGACCTCAAGTGATCCACCCACCCCTGCCTCCCAAAGTGCTGGGACTACAGGCATGTGCTACTATGCCCCATTCACATTCTTCACAGAATGAGAAAAAAGAAAACTATTTTAAATTTCATATTAAACTAACAAAGAGCTCGTATAGCCAGGACAATCCTAAGCAAAAAAGAATAAATCTGGAGGGATCAGGCTACCTGACTTCAAAGTATACCACAAGGCTATAGTAACCAAAACAGCATGGTACTGGTTGGTATAAAAACAGGCACATAGACCAATGGAACAGAATGGAGAACTCAGAGATAAAACCACACATCTACAACCATCTGATCTTTGACAAACCTGACAAAAACAACCAATGGGGAAAGGAATCCCTACTTAACAAATGGTGCTGAGAGAACTGACTAGCCATATGCAGAAAATAGAAACTGGACCCCTTTTGTTCACCTTATACAAAAATTAACTCAAGGTGGATTAAAGACTTAAATGTAAAATCTAAAACTATAAAAACTCTAGAAAAAAATCTATGCAATACCATTCAGGACATAGGTATGGGCAAAGATTTTATGATGAAATCACCTAAAGCAACGGCAACAAAAGCTACAATTGACAAATGGGATCTAATTAAACTAAAGAGCTTATGCACAGCAAAAGAAACTCATCAAAATAAACGGACAACCTACAGAATGGGAGAAAATTTTTGCAATGTATCCATCTGACAAAGTTCTTATATCCAGAATCTACAAGGAACTTAAGCAAATTTACAAGAAAAAAAACAAGCCCTTTAAAAAGTGGGCAGAGGCCGGACGTGGTGGCTCACGCCTGTAATCCCAGCACTTTGGGAGGGCGAGGTGAGCGATCACAAGGTCAGGAGATCGAGACCATTCTGGCTAACATGGTGAAACCCGTCTCTACTAAAAGTACAAAAAATTAGCTGGGCGTGGTTGCGGGTGCCTGTAGTCCCAGCTACTCGGGAGGCTGAGGCAGGAGAATGGTGTGAACCCGGGAGGCGGAGCTTGCAGTGAGCCGAGATTGTGCCACTGCACTCCAGCCTGGGTGACAGAGCGAGACTCTGTCTCAAAAAAAAAAAAAAAAAAAAAAAAAAGTGGGCAAAGGACACGAACAGACAATTTTTAAAAGAAGACATACATGCAGCCAACAAACATGAAAAAAACTCATCATCACTGATCATTAGAGAAATCCAAGTCAAAACCACAATGAGATACCATCTCACACCAGTCAGAATGATGATAATTAAAAAGTCAAGAAACAACAGATACTGGTGAGGTTGCAGAGAAATAGGAACACTTTTACACTGTTGGTGGTAATGTAAATTAGTTCAACCATTGTGGAAGACAGTGTGGTGACTCCTCAAAGATTTAGAGCCGGAAATACCATTTGACCCAGCAATCCCATTACTGGGTATATACCCAAAGGAATATAAATAATACTGCTATAAACATACATGCACATGCATGTTTATTGCAGCACTATTCACAATAGCAAAGACGTGGAATCAACGCAAATGCCCATCAACGATAGATTGGAAAAAGAAAATGTGGTACATATATACCATGGAATACTATGCAGCCATAAAAACGAATGAGATTATGTCCTTTGCGGGGGCATGGATGAAGCTGGAAGCCATTATTCTCAGCAAACTAATTCAGGAACAGAAAACAAAACACTGCATGTTCTCACTTATAAGTGGGAGCTGAACAATGAACACATGGACACGGGGAGGGGAACAACACACACTGGGGGCTTTTGGGGGAGGGTGGATGGTAGGGGGAGAGGATTAGGAAAAAGAGCTAATTAATGCTGTGCTTTATATGCAGGCAATGGGTTGATAGGTACAGCAAACCACCATGGCACACGTTTACCTATGTAACAAACCTGCACATCCTGTACATGTATCCTGGAACTTTTAAATTAAATAAAAAAAAAAACAGTAAAAGAAAAAAATAAAGAAAAGTGAATATTTGTGAAGTCCTGATAATGAAATCCTGGCTATTGGTCTTTCAACTTTTAGGATCAACCTATAAAATGCATAGAAGATTTGGTTGTTATTACAGAACAAACTATGCATGTTTTCAACTTTGAAAGTATTGAAGTTCAGTTGGGCAGACAGCATGTGTTGGGGGAGAAGCATGGAGGGTGGATAGGGTGGTAAATGTGCTGATTTTCTCACCTTATAAAGTGAGTGTTACTGATATTGTTGATAATTGATGGTATGGGAAATATTTAGATATATTATTTGAAGCTACTCAGGCAATTAATAGAAAATGTTTATGTAATTATACAACTTTACAAAAATAGATGGTATGAATCAATATTATGAATCTTTTATAGTAGGATGTAAAAAATACTGTTAAAGTTGAGAAATGAAGATACAAATATATTTCTTAGTGTTTTGTAGCTCACCGTGAGAAGATTTGAAATGAAGAGTTCAAAGAACTGGTCTCTGATGAATGGCATTGGGATGGTGAGGTCTGGAAAAAGATGGGAAAAAGGACTTCAGCTTTCATCAAGAGCCCTTCTCTAACAAACACTAGATGTATTATTTCGTGTATTCATTATTCTGATAAAACGTGAAAAATCATATGAAAATAGAGTATAAATAATTCTATTAATCTGAAACAATTTAGTTCTTTAGAATGTGTCTTAATATATTATTCTTCAGTATAGTATTGTTTTACATATACAAAAACTACTGAATTATCATAGTAAAACATACAAACAATTTTGATACAGTAAATGTTTCTCTTAACTTTGATCAAACTTTATTTGCCACTCTGGTAATATTCTCTAGTTGGTCCTATGAGACCATTATCTATACTCTTAAATTATACATATAGGTACCTAGAGCAGCTTGTTTGATTTTATTTGTGTATATAACTTTAACATAAATAGACCCCTCTAAATATCAATATGGAATTCTTTTTTAACTTGTTGATATATTTCAGTGAGAGTTTAATTTCAGTATGCATAGATTTGCCTTATGGTACATTTCTTTTTGTGCTCTTTATTTTTTTCATATTTAGGAGAAGAATTTCTAGACAATAGGATATAGGCACTTTGAACTTTATACTCTTTCACAGACTATATGAAAATGCATGTTTTCCCAAATCTTCACCTATAAAGGGTGAAATACAATGTATCACAATACTATGTCAATATATTATTGCTCTATTGTGGTTTGATTTTAAATTCCTTGATTCATATTCTGTTACATTATTTGATTTACTTTTCATTTTGCTGGAGTACTTAAGTTACTTTTAAGCAAATGCATGGTGATGGAATAAATGTTTTGACTACTTAAATGTCTGAAGTCTATGATAACAAATTTTTAATTTTAGATGAAATGAAGAAATTTCAAGAAAACTGCAACTTACTAAAACTGACACAAGAAGAAAGTCTAAAATTTTTCATATTTATGTAATTGAATCTGTTACAAATGAAAGGAAGGATTTCTTTATATATTCTGGATAGTAATCACTTTTTATAATACATGTTTGAAATACCTTTCACCCACTTGTCACTTGACTTTTAATACCCTCTATGGTGCTCTCTGACACATAGAAGTTTTAAAAATGTAAGTAGAATGTCCAAGATATTACTAGTGTTTCCTGATGTGCCTTGTTCATCTTACCTTTTGGGAAAACAGAAGGTTGCTTGGTCTGTTTCCTGTTAATTTAGGCATGGCCATGTGACTGTCTTTGCCCAGTGACATGTCACTTCCAGGGGAAATCATTTGAGTCAGTTTACAATTCTCCATGTCGTTCTTTCCCTAGAGCATTGACCAAGGTGGTGTATATTCTAAATGGTACAGCTATTCAATAGCGGAGGAATAGAAAAAAATAGCAAACAAATGATAAGAATGTAGATTTAAACCCTGTTATTGATGAAATACTTAAACACATTAAAAAACAGTGCCACTGGATAAAAAAGAAAGTCTTACTATTATAATATATGCTGCTTCCTAGAGATATGTCTTAAATATAAGAAACCAGAAGGTTAAAAATAAAAGTATGGAAAAGCATGTTCAGAAAAACCTAATAAAACAAATCTACCTTGAATATGCCAATATTAGATTAAGTCTATTTTAAGGAAAGAAGCATTACTAGAGATAAAAAATTCATCATAATTAAAGGGTCAAACAACTAGGGAGACTTAACAATTCTTAATTAAAATGAAAACCTAATTGCATAGCTCAAATAATATACATATATAAAGAAAAGCACATAAAGCCAAAATTGATACAAATAAAAATATACAGATCTACACTTGTCTCAGAAAGTGATACAACAAACAGATGCAATATTGGTAAGGACATAGAAGAGCTCAACGCTTTGTTCCACAGCATGATTGATATGTATAAAATACTGCACCCATCAATTCAGTGATGTACTCCTTTTAAGTACTCACAGATTATTTAACTAAATTGCTCATGTTTAGGGCTACAAAGCAAGTCAACAGATTGCAAGCAATTAAAAGCTTGCAGAGTATGTCTATTGACCATAGCTCAAATAAACTAGACATAAAAACAAAATGCTAGATAGACAGTACCCAAATGTTTTAAAATTAAACAACTTACCCTTAAATAACCCAAGAAATGGAATCTGTTATAAATGAAAAGAGAAGGAGTGTCTAGAAGTCAGTAGATTTTAATAGTTAAGGAAGCTTGAGACCTAAAAGAACAAGTGTTTCTTTCACAAATGGATGTGAATTGCACTACGGAGTAGGAGAGACTCCAGTACCACCTCTGGAACTTGAGGGCTCCGAGGTGTAAAAATGAATATTCTTTACTACAGAGAGCAGCAGAGAACCTGTACTATCAGAGGAGAGTTCTATTTCAATTGGGAGAGAAAATTAGAGGCACATATTGGTGAAGAAGCTTAGGATTTTTTGAAATACCTGAAATTCAGAAACATAATTATGAATACACATATTACTAGAAAATTTCAATGCAGGTTAAAGGTAGTGACAGGCAAATGCTGTGTTTAAATAAAAAATTGATCTTACTCTTTTGGTATTTATTTTGATGACTTTAAAATTGCCAGAGGGTTCAACAGACATCCCTAATCATTTCCATCCAACTTCTAGCTATTCCCAAAGCCTTATCCACCCAGAAATACAATCATTAAGGTTTACTGGGCTGAAGTGTGGGAGGGAATGTAAGTGTCTGCTGTATACATTTATGAGGTAATGAATTTTTTTAAAAGATTAAAAGTTTAAGGTTTTTTTGTTTAGATTGTTTGAAAACATCCACTCTCCTAATGTAAGTACCTCTGTGGATATAGCCATATCAAAATAGTTATGACAAAATTTCAGGTATTTCTATTGGAATATAGGACAGTGGACAGGGAAGAGTTAAATCAGCTGGCCTACTCTATTTATTCACACTATTCATGTCCTATCGTGGGGATGGTGTTGGGGTATAGACCTGGGGGAACTAAAAGCAGACAGGCAACCCGGGTAACTTTGTCAGTATGCTAACCAGACTTTCTAGTAAATAGATTAATAATATTTGCTAGAACATCCTTATCTATGGGATCTTCTTAACAAGATATCTCTGTTTAAGGATTGCCAGTATGTCACATAAACTGGGATATAAAATGGACGTGTTTCATAAATGGAACATCCTCACCGTGAGGAATAATCTTTAAATAACTTTATTACTGTGGGCCGCAGAGCACTTGTCTGATGTCAAAAAGGAAGATGTGGGAACCATTCTCAAAACTCCAGGCCTCTATTTATTTCCATTTGAGCCTCTTGATTGCCTATATCTTTAACTTGATTAGTAAAATCTGTTAATGGGCAAGATCCTTGATTCATTTGAGTTTGAAATGATAATGTGTTCCTTTATGTTTTCTCAGGCATCTCTGTGAGTCTGTGGTTTCAGAAAAGACTTTTTGTAAGAGCTAAGTCTGAAAGCCTTAGCTCAGTTTGCTTAGTCAAGAAGGGTGCAGCTGGATAAAAAGAACATGAACAAAATTTTTAAAAAAGCCCAAATAATGGAACAACAAAAAAACTGTGAAGGATAGTGTCATTGGGAGTGACAAGAGGTAAGTTTACAAAACAGGACAGGGCCAGATCATGCTTAGGCCAACTTGTGAGAGGTGGCCTTCCTTGGCATTCACAGCAGACACACCCAGAACTGCAGAGAGAGCAGGTGGAACCTCTGCAGATGCTATTTTGAAGGTAAGCAGAGAGACTGGCGAGGCAGCCGTTCCAGCAGCTCAGTTGAGAAATGACCTGGGCTGAACCAGGATAGGGATGCAGCAGAAGGAATGCTTTTGTAAACCATTTGGGAGGGAAAACTTTTAGGTCTTGCCTGTTGATTGGGCATGAGGCTTGAGGCAGAGAACAGAGTCGAACTGAGAACAAACTTTCTAGCTGGAATGGCGGATGAGATGGTGAGGCTGTGGCCTGAAAGAGTTCATGCAGGAGGAGAAAGGAATTCAGGAGGTGTATGATAAAAGTTCTGTTTCAAACACCTAAAGCTTGAGGTGCCTGTGGGGTATGGAGGTGGATATTTCCAAGATGTGTCTGAGCCATGAGAACCCAGAGAAGCTCACATGTAAGGTCTAGAGCAAATGTGGGCATCATATGTATATAGTTTGCAGTTCAAACTCTGGGAGAGGACGAGATTGCCGGTGAACAAAGAATACAATAAAAAGGCCAGAGCACTCACGGGCTAGTTTGTAATTTTTATTGAGCACGAATGTGTTTATCACTGGATTCTTCAGGACTCTGTAGTTAAATAAGGTAACTGTATTGTGAGCCTTGTATTTAGAGAATATATAGGATTGATCTTCCTGGTTTACTCTGAGGATCTGTATATTGATAAAATGTGATTATATTATATAGTTTCCAGAAGAGATAATTTATATCATGTACAATGATGATATAGCTTGTTTGATGTCATTATTCTAATAAATAGGAAATCCAGCTTATCTGCAAATCATACTTATGCTTCTCTCTTTATCAGCATGTACTCAATAAGCACTTGGTAATTGTATGTTATATAAATGAAGCTATGCATATGTAATGTCCGTCATGTTATTTGGAAGGGGGCATCTGTGCTAAACAAGCTAAACACTTTTATTACCAAAAACATCAAGGAATGCAAATACCATAACTTCCTGCAAGTTGTTTATTGCCTATGAAAAGTAGCTAAAAAGTATTATATATTGCCATTTCATCATTCCATGAGATTACTTTATTGTTAAGTTGAAGTGACTGCTGGCTTTATTAAACTCAGTGCAATATTGGATTTCATTACAAATTTTCATTTTCATAGTGATAATGTCTTCCGCAATACAACACTCTTCATTTATTACTTCATTTTCACTTCTTTTTAGCTTTTGTTTTCATACAAACTCTAAAATGAATAAGCTCAGGGAAAGCCTCTTGTGACTAAAGATTTCTTATACTTCAACCTTTGGAAAATTTACATAAACATTACTTGTCATCCCATTGTGATATGGGCATATGAGATTTGATTCTCATTTTGGGAAATATTTTGTCACAACAAGAAAGGGCTTTGCTTTCTCTTCAATTTTTGTTAGAGATGGTGAAAATTTGACCTCCAAACTATTATTCATAGTATGGAGAGAAATGAATATCAGAATTAACAAGCTCAGAATGCTGGAATCAAGCTGTTAAACACGACAGATCATTTTAGTTTTAATAGCCTTTTATTGTAAATTATTTTACAATACAAATTGCTTTCTTAACTTTTGTATTTCTGATAATCTTGATATTTCCTTGGCTGATATTTAATGTTTTATGTTGTATCCTTCCTTTTTCTAGAGCTATTTGTGGTAGGTCTCAATTGCTCTCCATTATTGAGACCTTTCTCCTTGGGAATAAAATTTCTCTTCATTTAAAAATCCAGTCATTTTAATGTAGTGTTACAATGACTTCTCACTCAACAACAGCGTTTTGGATAAAATGTTAATTACACCATGAAACTTCAATCATCATCATGATGGCAACACTTGCATTTTCATTTTTAATTCCTTCAGTGAGTTAACTCTTTCTATTATGACAGGGTGATGTAATGTGATGGGAATTTCAAAACAGCCCTGCCTTTGGCATAAAATAGCCCAGTGACTTTAGATCGGTCTTGCAAACAGTCTGGACCTCAGTGTACTCAACGGTATAATTAAGGAGTTTAACTTCCTTCCAGGTGTAAGTTTCTTATACTAATTTTTGTGTTTGCCTTTTTTTTTTTTCTTGGTCTATTCTGCCCTCATTTCCTCCTTCTTCCCTTCATCGTTTTCCATGGTCAAGTCTTAGAACTCACCCTAAGGCCCGCATGTTTACTGCAGACATTAAGAATTAACAGCCATGGTGCAGTTTGACATAAGCGTCTCAGTGGCCCCTGTGGGAATTTACAGACAGCACCGTGTGGCATGAGCTGTAAAAAGAAGCGTTAAACTAGTACCTATAAAAATGTGTGCTTAAAGCCTAGAATGAAAATATTGTTTGGAACTTTCAATATTAAAATGGCTCTGGATTTATTGTGCCTTTGAGGCTGACTGAGTTTTGCGCAGCCCGGTTTTATATGTGATAGTGCTATTTTTGTTGGTCGACACAACATGATAACATCTTTTGATGAAGGTCCATGAAACTGTGGGTTGGAAGCCTTTAGGGGGGTCACCAAAAGAAATGCAGTCCTTTAAATGTCAGCAAAATGAAAGGACACAGTCACTTTCTGTTGGTTTTTATATATCTATGTGCACTTGGGGGAGATTTTCTTTTCTAAGCCCTCTCATTCTTCCTCAAGATATTTCTGTAACAATAGGCAAATAATCTTGGGGTATGAGGAGTATGTTTGTAAATCTATTTGTATAATGTTGATGTAAATACCAGAAATAGAAGCAAATATCAGAAAAACAAAAGCATTTAAAATATGTGCAGAGAAAAGCTAGCTGTTAATATCAGGAAAGAAATACAAAGAAGAAAATCTATACTGATAGGTCAATGTTGGCAGGAGATAGCTGCCTGCTTATTACTTCATATTAGAAAGAAAAATTGAAATATGAAATGATTTTGGAAAACTACATTCAACTTGTAGTTTAAGAGCAGACATTTTAACCTCTTCAGCTTGTGAGGATTAAACAACACCAGATGCAGGGTGAAGAACTTGGTATGAATATCTTAGTGAGAAATTTAGCACACACTAGCTACAGTGATGGATAAGAAGGTAATTCAAGTCTGAACTCAGGTTTAACTTAGGTGATCTTAATTGTTTTGTGTAACTCAAGGATTAAGAGGAGCATCAGAATGTGATCATAAGTTAAAAGTATATAAATGGGTCAAGAACTATGCAGTATAATAATTTATCAGAATTTTGTAAGCAAATCACATTTGTAATTCCAACCTTTTAAATTTCTGTACCTATTTATCTTTATACATCACTTTACATAATAGATTCACGATAGTTTAGAAAAAGTGGTAAAATATAAATCTGAATAAAATTAGGATTCAGAAAAATGTGAATTAAAATAGGAAGTAGAGTTGGAGGGAAATTGGAACTGAACTGTGCAAACAATGTGCTTCTCATATTTGTTATAGTTGAGGCACAGATTTGGCTTTGAGTTAAATTATAGATGTAACAAAAAAAGAGAGTCATTCATTTACACAGCTCTCATTATTTGAGAAGGCATACTGTGCTTGTTTGAATATGAGGTATGAGTCAATTTTCTAGCATCTCCAAAACAAAAAAAAAATTCACTTGAGACGTCATAGAAGAGGTACTAAGCCATTTAAAGACAATGACCTCAAAAAAAAAAAAAAAAGAAGAAAAAGAAAAAACTCCATAAAATAAAAACAAACACAAAACCTCTGATTAGAAAGGGGACAGGCATCATAAGACTCTTTCTTTTATTGCTCCTCCATAAAACCAAGGAATATAATAGTAAATTGCCATTCAAGGACAGCAAGAAAATACTGTCTAAGAACCTTTCTGATGACTTTGGTGGATACAGTGATTTAACCTAGATGATAAAAAAAAAATTAGATTACATTCGAGCAACATTTCATGAAAAAAAATTCATTTCCTAGCCTAATAAATATTTATTGGGCAACTACAATGGACAGAATGTCACAGCAGCACTGGCAGGAAATGTCCGTTTACCAAGAATGTTTACTTGCTTTCTCTCTTGAGGGCCTCTTTTATAACTCCCCTCTGCTCAAACCTGCATCTGCACCGCACTCATCCTTACTCTAAGGTGATGACCTTGTTTCTTTCTTTCCAGAGAAAATAGAAGCAGTCAAAAGGCATTTTCCCATTTCTTTACCCCAGCATCCACGCATGCACACCATATACATTGCCACGCTTCCTCCTATGTTGTGCTATTGCTGAGCCAGCCTCGGCCACATACACCACTCAAGAACAGTGTTTCAACGACTCTCTCCTTAGTCTTCTGCATTATTATTATTTTTCTCTTTTCTGGATCATTCTTGTAAGAATACAGGCTTGTGGTCATTTACCCCTTAAAAATATCTTTCCCTTGATATGAAATCTGCCTTTTATTGCCATCCTATTCTCTGCTCTATTTATAACAAGAATCCTTGAAAGACTTTTTAATATTCATTTCCTCCCATTTTTGCTTATACAGGCTACAATCAAATTTTGTCTCCATCAGTCTAGCAAAACTGCTTTTGTCGAGGTTACCTTCATCCTCTATTTTGCTAAATTTAATGGTCAATTTTCAATCCCTGGATTTCCTGACCTATCTTTTGTCATGCGTAATAAGGAGAAAAACTCTATTTCTGTTCTCTCTACTCTCTACATTCTCACATTTCTGACACCAAATGGGTGAGTCTCTTGCACACCAAGCGATTCTCTGATTTTTCGAACATCAACTGGATGTCCTAAAATTTAACTCAGTTCTGACACTAACTACTCAGAGCTAACAAAAACTCCAGAGGTTAGAATCTCAGTCCTCTTGCACATCAAACCAACCTGCTATCAATTGGGAAGTTCCTACCACCTCCTTCTTGTGTTCAAGAATTTTCTAGAATGACCCACAGAACTCATGGAAGCACATTACTTACATTTAACAGTTTATTATAAGGATGCTACTCAGGAAGAGCCAAATGGATCAGGTGCCTAGAGTAAGGTATGTGGAAGGGTGGGGAGCTTCTATGCCCTCTTTGGGTGCACCATCTTTTCAGCACCTCAATGTGTTCACCAACGTGGAAGCTCCCTGAACTTCATTGTTTAGACTTTATATGGAGGTTCCATTACATGGGCATAGTTGGTTAAGTTATTGTTCACTGGTTAAGCCAGTTTCCAACCCCTTTCTCCTCCCCAGAGATCTGAGTTGGGGTGGTCTGAAGATTCCAACCCTATAATCCGTATGGTTGGTTTTCTATGACAAGCAGCTCCCCACTCTTAGGGGCTTTCCAAAAGTCACCTCATTAACATAAACGTGAGGTTGAAAGGGGCTTGGTATGAGTCACAAAACACACTCCTTTCTCCTTTATTGCTCTGGAGATATTTCAGAAGCTGGGGACAAAACCAAACATTATGCTGAAGATGCCATAGGAGCATCATAGGTTCCAGAGCTCTGGCCAGGAGCTAGGGATGAAGACCAAAATATGTATTTCTTTCTTTTTTTTTTGAGACGCAGTCTCGCTCTATCACCCAGGCTGGAGTGCAGTGGCCCAATCTCGGCTCACTGCAAGCTCCGCCTCCCGGGTTCAGGCCATTCTCCTGCCTCAGCCTCCCGAGTAGCTGGGACCACAGGCGCCTGCCACCACGCCCGGCTAATTTTTTGTATTTTTAGTAGAGACGGGGTTTCACCATGTTAGCCAGGATGGTCTCGACCTCCTGACCTCGTGATCCGCCCGCCTCGGCCTCCCAAAGTGCTGGGACTACAGGCGTGAGCCACTGCGAATATGTATTTCTTACATCACAACATCACAAGCAGTCATTCCTTCCTCCTGGTAATACGTTTGTATGACTCCTAGGACCCCATCCTCTCTCAGTTTTCCTAAAACCCCCTTGTGGCTCCTTCTCAATATCCTTTAATATCCTTTATTGTTTCCTTATCTCTCTAACCTTCCTAAAAGGTGAAATAATCCTGAGATCATCCTTTATTTCTGTTCTGTTCTCCATCTCAATCGCTTGATGTTCTCATTTAGTCTCATGGTTTAAACACCATTTAGACCAGTGGTTATCAATTCTCACTATGTGTTCATTACTGCATGTTAACCCTCATTACATCTTAACTTGGGAGCTTCCATAAAGACTATCAAGGACCCCAAATATTCTGATTTTATTGGTTTGTCATGGGTCCCAAGAAAAAATACATTTTAGAAGCTTTCCAGTTGATTCTGATGTACAGACAGACTTGAGAAAGAAGCTGACATTTTAGGGGGGAGGCTAGAACTCAGTTCTGTACAAAACAAAGTCCTGTCTCTAACCTGCACATGCAACTGGTCACTTACAGGTCCTAAATATCTTTCAAATAAGTTTTAAATAAATTTATTCACTTCTATTTATGCCAATTATACCTTATTGTGCTAACTAAATAAGATTTATAAATGTAACTAAGAGATTGAATAAAATGATGAATAAGGCAATCAGCATTTTCTAGTTTTTTTAATCATCCCTTGCTTTAAATTTGTTGGCCTTAAGATTATTATTATTTTCTAATTACTGCTCATATTTTAGGGTAATCATACATTAAAAAATAGATTTTTAGAAGAACAAAGTAGGTTATAACCATGTATGTGCAATATGACTCAATGATGAGCTCTCTCTGTGTGGGGATTACCTCTAGGTACAAGGTCTGTGGGTGGTTTATTATCTTTGTACTAGTTCTGTATTTTTTTAATTAAATAGGCCTTATAATAATACAATATAATAAATGACAATTTAGGGATATATCGTTCTTTAAAAATAAAACCTCACATTTTGGGAGGCTGAGGCGGGCGGATCACGAGGTCAGGACCATCCTGGCTAACACGGTGAAACCGCGTCTCTACTAAAAATACAAAAAAAATTAGCTGGGTGTGGTGGCGGGCGCCTGTAGTCCGAGCTACTTGGGAGGCTGAGGCAGGAGAATGGCGTGAACCCAGGAGGCAGAGCTTGCAGTTAGCCGAGATCGCGCCACTGCACTCCAGCCTGGGCGACAGAGCGAGAGTCCGTCTCAAAAATAAATAAATAAATAAATTAATTAAAAAATGAAACCTCACAACATATTGCTATGTATGTGTTTACACATTTGTTCAAATACGTTGCTTGTTGTTTGGTGCTTAGTGATAATAGTATTTGCTTAAGTGCTCTATGTGTTGCAAAATGAGACAAAATATACGAAAATCCCATGGATTAAAACTCCAATTGAGTAACACAAATTAGAAGATACCAAGTTGTCTATGTAAAGTAGTAACATCATTTGCCTTTTTACATAGTCAGACTTTCTCTGGTATAAGCATCAAGCAACTCTATGTTAGTTTTCACTGGCTATCATTACATATATAATAAAAGACATCTTTTCTATATAGATTAAAATCAAATCACTGATGTAATTAAACCTGAAGATTCTTTCAAAAATGCAGATGGGCTGCACTTTTCGATAGCAATCTTGACCTTATGTTAGTAACATATTCCACCTGCTAGGCTAAACATTTTACCCAATAGTAGGGCAATTTAAGAATTAATTGATTCAGGAATCAAGATTAGGCAAGTTGTTTATTGTAATGAATCAAAGAGCATCCTTTTACGCCTGTAATCCCAGCACTTTGGGAGGCCGAAGCGGGTGGATCACGTGAGGTCAGGAGTTCGAGACCAGCCTGACCAACATACATGGCGAAACCCCGTCTCTACTAAAAAAAAAAAAAAAAAAAAAGGCCAGGTATAGTGGTGGACACCTGTAATCCCAACTACTCGGGAGGCTGAGACATAAGAATCGCTTGAGCCCGGGAGGTGGAGGTTGCAGTGAGCCGAGATCGCATCATTGCACTCCAGCCTAGCGACAGAGTGAGATTCCGTCTCAAAAAAAAAAAAAAAAAAAAAAAAGCATCCTTTTAGTGGCTCTGTCAGCACATCAATCACTATTGCTTAGAATTATGGAGTTTGTAGCACTTCGTTTGAACAAAAGAAGAAAGAATGAATAAGTCTTGTCCTTTTAATTCCAATAATACCTCTCTCCTCATAAAAATAATCTTATTTGTGTCTCTAGAATGTCCTAGTAACTAGTGTATTGCTATGACACAAAGTGCTTGAGTTAGAGGCTATTATTGTATGGGCTATAGTTCAAAACCATCGTTGTCAAGTGATTCACACAGAGCTTGTCACAGTACTTAAGACAGCTTCCATAAGTAGGCTGTTACCTTAGTTGGGCGATAAAAATGCAAAACAAAAAAACGAAAAACAAAACGTGGACAATGCAGGAGATACTGTGCACCTCTTACTAATTTAGGCTAATTTCCATATCCTCTGGGTGGCTTTGCCTGTTGTTTGGGATTTTCGACTCTAGATGGCGGTAAAGGGTGCACAATCACGAGCTGAGGTCAGGTTGGTTTTGAGCCAGGGCTCTCTAAGGCTGATTAGTGACAGCCTCAATTTCAGGGCTGTTTTCAATTTCATGTGTTACATAAAACAAAGGTTAATTAGTCATACTGCTCATTTTGAGAAGTAGAAATTTGCCTATAAATAGTATGCTATTCCGTGCACTAAGTCGTGTGATGCCTGTTGCTTTTAGTGTTTGACAAATTAAGGAAATATCTTGAAATGCCTGGATAAGGTGGACTTGGACATAGAACCCAGGCAAGACTGCTTTTATTGTTCCCATGGCAACATCTTCAAGCCTTTTATGCTTAATATTTTCACTAATGTCTGCTTTTTGGTAGACTCTGAAGATAGTGAAGGTGTTGCTCATAAAATAGGAAGATAGCTAGTATTTTTCCTGATTATATCTTTTGATACACCCTCCATCCATATGCACTGTCAAGACCTCTTTTCCTAGGCAATATCATTTGAAAGCAGGATGATGCGAACTTAGCTTGATTATCTCTAACATTTTCTATCTTTTATATTTTTATTTCCCAGTATTAAAGTGGGAATGGGAGCTTCTTTTTTCCCTTCAGATTTATGCACCATCTGTATTTTAAAATAATTATGGCTGTCCCTAAAGTAGCAAGTGTTTCCTAGCTGCCCTGCTACATCCTGTCTTCTAGCAGTTTATGACTGCTAACGTTAATCTTTTTCCTTGCCACCTCTCTCTCCTTTCCCTTTCTCCCTCCTTCCTTCGCTTCCTTTTCCCTTCTCTCCCTTCTTAGGTCTTTCTTTCCCTCTCTGCCTTCCTTCCTTCCCTTCTCTTTTTCTTTTTTCCTTCCTCTTTTTCTTCCTCTCTTCCTTTTTTCTTTTGGCCTTCCTAACCTCTCTGTGTCTCTTTCTTTTTCTTCTCTTTCTTTCATCTCCTGCCCTCTCTCCCCTCCTTTCTTGCCTCCTTCCTTCTTTCCTTCTTTCTCACTTTCTTCCTTCACTCCTTTGTTCCAGTGTCTTGAAAAGAGTGTAGACTTGGAGATTGGTCTTGAGCTGAATTCTACTGAAGCCTCATATATGTTGAGTATCCTTGGAAAAGTAACCTAACTTCTTTAAATATTATTTTTCTCTTCTAAAAATGGGCTAATAACACTTTCTCCATATTATAGTTGATGGGAGACAAAAGAGTTAATGTGTGCTAATCACCTGGCAGATAGTATCATTAACACCTGAGGGAAGTTAATTTATCTTTACAGTAGGAGCTGAATAAATGGTATAAAACAGTATAAACTATTTTAGTATAGTTTTCTTTTCATAGAACCTATGTATGCAATTTAAATGAAATTTTACTTACAGTTCCTCAGTGAAATGAAGTTATTTCACTCTCAAATTAATTCCTGAATAATAGCACCTTGGGTCAGAAGTTTATTGTACTCCGTTGCCACAGTGGTGGGGACAGGGCTGAATTAGGCATTAGGAGACCCACTTCTAGTTCTGCCATGAACCAGCTCTCCCTTTATTGAATCTTTTCTTAAGGGGAGGACCTTCACTTTCCGATGAGATTTTAAAAGTTAATTATATTATCTATCTTTCTTTACAGGACAACTTCTAGAATTATTGCTGCAAAGATCCGGTTATCCTCACAGGGAGTGAGTGAAAAAAAGTGGGAAGAAACTAACTTAATTCTAAGAAATGAGAGGATTACAGATCCCAGAAGATAATCAAGTGCTTCAAGACAGTTGATTAAGCCAAATTATATGTGGTAGAGAAAGATTTGTGGAGCAGTTTCAGAATATATACACATGTCTGTCTGTTGAATGTATTCCTTCCTCTTACAGGAAGGAATTCCTTCCAGGGTCATTGTATGTGATAAAGATCACTTGTAAATGAAAACTTTGGAGGTTACAGAAGAAGTAAATGTCAGAAATGAAGGAAAATAATAGCAGGTAAAGGAAAGAAAGGGAGGAATCGCAGAAATGAGAAAAACTGAAAAGGGAAGAAAGCAGAGACCACTAATTAGAAGTCGAGCATCTTGGAGGATGAAATTATGCCATAATTTTCTTCCCTTGTAAGTGATATATATATATATATGTTGGATTGAATTTTGTCTATTTTATCTTCCTTAAGGTTTGTATGACAAGTGAGGGATCAAAAGAAGGGAGAAAGGAAGGACAGGCAGTTTGAAAGATGAATAAGATTTGAAAACTCAAGAGGAAATTGAGGGGAGTTTTTTTGTGATGACAGGATACTATTCTAGTAAGGTTTATATGGCAAAGGAAGTTGATTAGTAGTTCCATGGTGATGAATATTGCAGTGAACATTTGCAACTGGACTGCTTGACACTCAGTCTAGAAGGGAGAAGTGGAGACCATCTTTCTTTCCAGCCCCTGGCGGCACATGGCCCATGGACAGTGAATGAGATGCTCTGAAAGTGCAGAGGTCCCTTTAGGGTTATTAGAAACAAGTATGTTGGAGAAGCAAGTCCAGTGGCTTGGAGGTGAGTGTTCAGGCAGAGCAGCTGCAGTCGGATGCTGAACAGACCATTCCTCTGTCAGGAAAAGTAGCTAAGCATCTTCTCCCTCAATTATTATTGAGCCTATTCTGCTAGGTTTTCAATTAGTTTTGGGAGGTGACCCTTTACAATAAACTCCTTTACTGCTTAAGTTAATCTGAGTCAGTATATAACCAACAAATACTCCTGGTGACTATAAATCAAATAAAATTAATTTTTCCAAAATACTTAATTTTATAACCTCAAATTTTAACATCCCTTTCTTAATTTGTCAAGTCTGGGAAACATTTGACATGAGAGCAAGTGAAAATATCTCAGGTTTTATAGTCAGGACACTTAGCTCTTTAGCCACTATCTTTGTCATCTTGGGCAAATTACTTAGCCTCCGCCCTTAATGAGTTTCCGCTTCTCTCATGTGTCATATAGCATCTTGGCTGCAGCTGAGATGTTTCTGGAGCATACGTTTTCCTTGGGGGGTCCTTTTCCGTTCATTCATATGCCGGAGGGCATTTGAAGAGAACATTTCCTTGGTGTGTTAGGAATGCAGGCAAGGAAAATAAGAGGGAGAGACAGCAGAGTGTCTGTCTTCTTTGGGATCTCTTCAACTGGGCTAAGCTTCTGTTTTCACAGGAACAACTAAAAAAGAGTTCAGGGACTAATTCTCATGGAAAGTCTTGAGACTGAACCAGTATAGTGTTTCTAAAAGACCCCAGAAATAAAGTGGAGTGAGAGCTAAAGAAAGAGTCTTATCTTCTATTTCTACATGTTGTCCAGGGTCGTTTTTGATGTCTTGAGGGGATCCTATCAGCAGGAGATACAGAGAGACTCCTACTGACATCAGCCTTCATGCACACATATGAAAGGAGAAACCATGTAGCTGATCCAGCCTGGAGACCATCGATGACAGCCTGGATGATGGACACAGGTGAGGGGACTCCATCAAAGAACAGACAAGACTTTGTTGTAGAAAAACAACAACAACAAAAAAAGAGGCTGACATCCTATAATAAATTTGTGTTTGGCAGAATCCTAAGGTGGCCCCAAGATTCCCACCTCTAGGTGTACATATTTTGTATACTCGCTCACCCTCTGTCTTGAGTGTAGGCAGAACTTGTGAATATGAAGGAATGTCACTCCGTGACATCTTAGGTTAGATGACAAAGGTTATCCCCTCAGGGGATCTTGATTATAGCTGCAAAATCCCCTTTGTCATCCCCTTTAAATTAATCAAAAGGGAATATGAGAGTGGTCTGCAGATAACAAGTAGCAAGAAAATGAAGACTTCGGTCCTGCAGCTGCAAGGAAACAAATTCTGCCGACAAACGCGAGAAACTTTGCAGTGAATCTTTTCCTGGTCAAGCATCCAGGTTGAGAACTCAGCTCAGCCAAGACCTTGATTTCAGACTTGTGAGAGCTTGCATGGAGAACTCAGTGACTGTCTGTAGTTTAGGAGTTAATTTTCTCACTCTGTGTATTAACTGAGTCTGCTTGTAATTTATTGTTTCTGACTTTTTTAAAAAACTGTAAATATTCATTGACTTTCTAACGGATTGCCTTTGATTGATCGATTGGTGATGGATGCTAATGGAATCTGTGACCCATTCTTTACAAATTACAGATTTCAGAAAAGGAGAGAAGCCAAAAACGTTCACTTGAGAGTGTCATTTGAAGAGGTAAGCCTCCTCAATTGACATATGTGCCCAAACATTTAGCTGCATTATTTTCTGAAGAGCCAGCAGACCATTCTGGTGACACACTCTTTGCCTTATTGTTTGCTACATAAAAACCTGAATGGAACTAAATTATAAACTAGGGCTATAGAATAAATGCAGCAATGATGGCTTGAATGGCTAAAACCTGAGATGTCACTCTCAATGAAAGGCAGTGTTTATTCCACAGCTCAGAGTCACCAATAGCATGAGATACTAAGAAAATGAAATAAACCCTAAGTTAGTAAATTACAAGAAGTCATTCTCAAAGTCCATGTCTTGTCTGTCCTTTTGATCATAAGGTCATTATGAGATACAAATACTAACATATTTAAAATTTAATAAAAAAGATTTTAAAATGTAGTTCTCAAGAGTGGTCAGCAACCTTAAAATTGGGGGCTGCAAACACATTCCACTGGCAAAGGATTATGCAAGATAAATTGTTGAACTTTAAAAGACTAATAAATTATATTGCAGTTAATTTTATTATCTTTTAATCAACAATGAAGTGGATGCACTATGTTTAAGTTTTTCAAGGATTTTGAATAGAAAATTGTGTTTTCTGGTCAACTCCCATCACCAATATTCTGGACACGAAATTTGTTCCATATAAGAAAGTAGAAGAGATGGTTCTGCTGTGCAGACACCTTAAAAAATCCAGAAATGTGGCAGAGGTGGTGGCCACCACTTGCTCCTCTTTTCTCGATTTTCTGAGCTGGACTTTTATTGAAGGATATAGGGAAATTTGAAAAGAAAATACTGCTTCTAATCCTGCAGTCATCTTCTGCTTTGGCTCTTGAGGGTTCGTTATTCTGGAAGCTGGAATGACATTCAGTAGTGTACTCTGAAAAATGGGAGGAGTTAATGCGGTTTTTTAAGGTATGATTATGGTCTCCACTTTCCTGTCTAATTTTCTGTAGGGTAATTCAACCTGTATTTCCCCATCTCTTAATGAGAATGAATAGCTACACAGTCTGTTTCAGGGGCTTTAATTGTTTCCTAGACATTGCGGATCTTTTCTAATAGTGCTTGTGATGCTTGAGACAAAGTCCCCATTCTTGAATGGTTTCTGCCAATCCGACTTTGTGAATAAACTCTAATGACAATATTTTTGAGAAAACCATCGTAAGAATGCCATCAATGTCTTGGAAGTGAATTATAGGCTATAGGAGAGCCCTGCGGGGAGGGAGGGAGCAGGGAGCCTGCAGCAGTACTGACCAAATCTTTCATGTTCCTAACTATGATG